>NC_000006.12:137570790-138820790 GCF_000001405.40 Homo sapiens | reverse complement strand
TAGAAGTATGTATAACTCATTTCTGAATCACTTTATTGAAGACCCAAATTAATTAAATACTTAGACTATGCATGAGAGTCTGAAGGCCTTTCTCCTGTGTGTAAAAGGAATCTGTTTCACTGCTAATTGCTTTTTGTTTTTTCCTTCCTGTTTCTCAGATAAAATTTGGAGAGTTGAGATGACCAGAGAAGTGACTACTAGATAAATGGACTGTTATGGACCATTTTCAACCTATTTTTCTTCCTTTCACTGTAAACAATTAACGGCAGCTTCAGATTTAGCAAATTCAAGGAATCAATGATGTTATCAAGGGCCAAGGATTTTTTATATTTTCACTTTGCCATCCTCAACCATTTACTTTGGTCCTCGGGCTTGTCCCAAAATAGTTCTCAAATGACTAACTGCAGTGAGCATTGGTCTTCACACAACAGTCACCACAGCTAGCAGGATGGAAGAAAAGACGTTCATCCTCAAATCTTGTTTAAGTTTCTTTCAGCAAGAAGAAGACTCTCCACCCTTATGTCTCCCTGGGCAGAATTAATATCTACACGCCCTTTCCTAAAGCAGACACCATCCAGGGGAGGCAGTGATCATGATGAATTTAGTCCAACCCTGACCCACCCTTGGTAGGGTGGGGGTTACTTACCAGCCACTCCTGAAGCATAGAATGCCTTGTAGGGGGTGGAAATCAGGGTTTCTGTCAGGAAGAAGGAGAGGAATGTGGAATGGCTTGGCTGGGCCAGTAATCAACAGTGTCTAACCCGGTAAGCAGGAATTGAAGAAAGACAAGGGGAAAGATTTCTCCAGCCACCTTGAATTAAGTAATGAAAACTTGAATTATGCAAAGTATTAGTAATCTCCTATATTCTAACACTTGGTTTTTTGTTTTTTGTTTTTTTTTTGGTACATGAAGTCTTGCTCTGTAGCCCAGGCTGGAGTGCAATGGTGCGATCTCAGTTCACTGCAACCTCCACCTCCCAGGTTCAAGCGATTCTCCTGCCTCAGCCTCCCGAATAGCTGGGATTAGAGGTGCCCGCCACCACGCCCGGCTAATTTTTTTTTAATTAAAACTTGGAATATTTTGAAAAACTCCTTCCTCCTAGAGAGCTACCAAATGAAAATTTTTTTCTGATTATCTTTTTGTCATTTTTGGAATTAGGAGTGCTTTAGATATCTGAATTCATTCAACAAGCATTTATTGAGTGGCTGCTATGTGCCTGGTATGGCTCTAAGTGCTAGAGATGAAAAGAGTCACCAAAGTCTTTGCTATCATGGAGCCATCATTCTAATGGGGTAGGCAGACAGCAAATAAACAAGTCCTGCATGTCACATAGTGTCAGGTGGTGTCAAGCGGTAGACAGAGAAGCTCAACATGAGAAAGGAGGGGAGAGCAGCTCCACACACTCACAAAATGGGAGTGAGAACTTCAAGCCAGTGGATGTTGCCTAATATAGGCCAATAACCTTCCCTCCATCCACACAAAAAAAAAGAGCTTTGGCTTTCTGCTTTCTCCCTTCCTTTTAAAACGCAATGATTTCCTTTTTTTTTTTTTTTTTTTAAGCATCATCCACCTCTAAAAACCATCCCAATTGCAAATGCTAATATTTCATACAGTTATCCTTAACCAGCCCATGCAGGTAGAAGGGCAGGAACATGTGCAGAATACTGGGCAAAGGGGAAGGAAGTGAAGATGACTCAAATTTCCAGACTTGCCTTGGATATTTAGAAAACAGTCGTTTTAGATACAAGTGTACACTTTCACTTTGAATACTCCCCTCTCCTCTCTGACAAAGATTCTCTGCTTGACCAAACTTTAGTCAAGCTTCTGAAACTTCCCCTTGGCCCACCTGTGCACTTCCTTATAAAATTCTGCTTTAGTAAAGAGCCCTGTTAAGTCAGTTTAGGAAGAACCCCCCACCCCCGGATATCTTGTCAGGTTCCTCATCCTCCACCCTCCCCCAGGTGTTGTCTGAGCACCCTGGCCTGTCATCAGCGAGAGTCCTGTTGGGTCAGTGTATTCAGATCCCCGCTTACCCCTGATGTTTCCTCGAGTAATTTTCCATCCATTGAGCCCCATCCTGCTCCTTGGCTATCCGCCCATGCTGCATTTGAAGTTGAGCCCAATCTCTCTCCCGTGACCCCATGCAGCAGTCCCTGTAGCTATCTCCAAGGTTCTCAGTAACGTCCGCCTTACTGTCTTCAGCAAGTTTCATTCGATGTTTTCTTCTTTAACCTCTTTACCATCTCCACACAGAAATACTCTCCTTTTAAATGGACATTCAGTAACTGAGAGTGACATGGCTGCTCTATATTTAAAATTAACCTAGGAGTATGTTGTCTCTGAAAAACTGCACACCAGATTGCCTCACAGATCACAGCTGAGACAGACGTCCTCAAGTGAGCCCTCACAGGCTGCGTGGGAAGAATGGAAGAGGGGGTAATGAAGTGGGAGAGGGGGCTGTTCTCTCTTAATACACCTTGGTGGATATTTTTCTGCCCTCCAACCCCATTTCAAGTCTGCTCTGATGGAGACAAGTGACGAGAGTGAATCCTTCATGGGCTGTTTATGATCTCACACGCACACGCACATACACACCTGGGTCAATGCATTCCCCCTCTAGGGAATGCAGTTGCATGAATGCTGCCCCACCCATCCAGGAAAGCTGCAAGTTTGAGCAGCTCTGGCTCTGGAACCAAAGGCCTTTGTTTGAGGAATTACCAGGCACTAAGCAGAGGCAATTCAAAACCGGTTCCACCAGTGTGGCAAGGGGACTGATTCAAACTCCTCACGGGTTTCTCTGAGTGTAACAGACACAAGCAGCCCAGTTTCCTTTAAGGAGTCACAGGAAAGGTCAACCTAGTCAAGTGGTAGGGGAAAGACATCACTGGAAACCATTAGTCATGTGGACGACACGGGGCCATAACATACCAAGAAAAGCCACAATTGAGGTATAAAGTTGCTAGGCATGAAAGACCAGCAGAGAAGTCTTCCCAGGAGAAGGGACATTTTAGTTTGCCAGAGGGATGGTTTAAGAAGCTAAACCTTTAAAAAATGTCTTAAATATCATAAAATTCCACTTAGGAAATCATCTTAAAACTTACTAGGGAATACTTATTAGGCCAGGAAAGAAAACTCTAAGATATTTGAATATATCTCATAGAGATTATGAATAATTTTTTAAAAGAAAATTGTGTTGACAGTTTCCACCAATATTGCAATACCCTGTTTATAACTGACTGAATTAAAACAAAATTATTTGGAAATTATAAAACCATCTAAAACAATGGCCTCTCTACCTTGAAAGAAAGGTATTGCACAAATATAGCCTAGCTTACATATAAACATTTCAAGTATTCAAATAATACTAATTTCTTTCATTTATTAATTTATTTACAGTTATTGGGTAAGCAAGACTACAGGAATAAATGATCCAAAAGAAATGCTTAATAATTAAAAATTGATTGCACTACCATTGGACCCAGCAATTCCACTCCTATATGTATAGCTAAGAGAAATAAAACATCTCTATGCAAAACTTGGACACAGATGTTCATAGCAGCACTATTTATAATAATTATTTACAATAATCAACTGAGGAGTGGATAAATAAAATATGGCACATCCATACAATGGGATAATATTTGGCAATAAAGGAAAGAAGTACTGACATGTGTAACAAAATGGATGAACCTTGAGAACGTTATAATATGTGAAAGAAGCCAGTCACAAAAGACCACATACTGTCTAATTCCATTTATACGAAAAGTCCAGAATAGGCAAATTTATAGAGACAGAAAGCAGATTTGTGTTTGCCCAGATCTAGAGGGATGGAGATGAGAAGTTACTGTTAATGGGTAGGGGGGTTCTTTGTGGGATGATGAAATGGTCTAAACTTAACATGTGATGATGATCACACAACTCTGTGAATGTACCGGAACCACTGAATTGTACCCGTAAATGGGTGATTTTTATTGTATGTGAATTATATCTCAATAAAGATGTTTAGGCCGGGCGCGGCGGCTCATGCCTGTAATCCCAGCACTTTGGGAGGCCGAGGCAGGCAGATCATGAGATCAGGAGATCGAGACCATCCTGGCTAACACGGTGAAACCCCATCTCTACTAAAAATACAAAAAAAGTAGCTGGGCGTGGTGGTGGGCGCCTGTAGTCCCAGCTACTCAGGAGGCTGAGGCAGGAGAATGGCATGAACCCCGGGGGCAGAGCTTGCAGTGAGCTGAGATCGCGCCACTGCACTCCAGCCTGGGCGACAGAGCAAGACTCCATCTCAAAAAAAAAATGTTTAAAGGAAATTTATACTAACATTCATGAAACTATGAAATACAGTCTGCTCTCTGAAGAAATGCTGCTGCTATCCAAAAACAAACAAACAAACAAAAAAAAAAAGTACTTTCACTGAACAGGTTAGTTTTATATTCTTGTCTCACAGAAAAAAGAATTCAGTTACCGGACAAAGGATGCAATTTCCAGTGACAAAAAGTCAGGCCTGAGTTAAGCTGCTTCAAAATATACCATAAGATCTCTAATGACCTCCAGTGGTCACAACTAAAATTGCCTGGTTTATGATACGTGAGCCTAGAACATGATGCACAAAGTGGTTATAAATGTGAGGTCTGGTCTGTTATTTTCTTATCTTGAAAGCTGCAAAGTTGGAGTAAAAAGAAACATAGCCAATGACTATCATAAAATGTCTTCCCCCTGATTTTTCAACATTGACTGAAGGGCCTGTTTATCTGTGCCCTGTCTTTGCAGCCTCTTTCAACAGAGCCAGGAAGATGCCTGTCTCCTTCCAGTGACTCCATGGGGAGAGTCCGTTAACAATCTGCTTTGCACCCACAGATGCAGGAGTAGCTGACAGGTGAGGAGGAGAGAAAAAATGGCTGATCAAAAGAGACTGGCAGGAAAACATGTAAGAAAGAACAGGAAGCAAGTACTCCACCTAAAATATGCCAATTTGATCATGCACCACTCTCAGATATTTTTGCTGGGTATCTAAGACATCCGAAGGTTACCCTCTCCTGCAACCTCACCACCAAGTTCTAGTGAAAGTACCTAACATCAAATGATGCCATACCTAGAGTTTTTCTAAACAAACATTAGTAAATAAGCCCAAACAACTTCACACAGTCTCCTCTGTAGGACTGATGAAGTCCCAGCTCTTTCTCCTCTGGGCAAAAGATTCATTCAAAAGGACAATGTTTCAGAAATAGTATTCTATTATTTTTACCCTCATTGTTGGCCTCGGGCTACCAGAAATCCTCCAGACTAACATAAGGCTTTTTATCTGGCATTGAGGGCTGGAAAACCATCCTGCCACGTACCTGCTACCAGCCTGGCTGGATTCTTCAACCACACCCAGGCAAGCTGGAGGGCTCTCTAGAATATTTCGGTCAGTCCACACATATCTTGAATTTCACGAAAGAGAATCCGTTTCTAACATTCATCTGGCTGGTTAACAAGCCACGGGTTGTTTTGAGAATAATGTCTGATATTTGCTATGCTAATTAGTAAAGTATCTAATAACTCAGGTATTGTGACCTTCCAATCTAGAGCTGGCTAATGACCCCTAGGGTATTCATTCCTGACCAGAACAGGAGCTGACCCTGGGCATAACTTCAACTCACAGATGTCACACCATCTGTGCTGAGTGTTTTAAAGTAAATTACAGACATAACATGAGGGAAGGGGAAGAAAGAGAAAGAGAACCCTCTTCGTAATCCTTGACTAGGGCTGTATAAGTCTTGCCCATATTCCTAAATGTTTCAACCACTGTCACTTGTCATATATTTTGTAGATCCATCCATTCATTTAATGATTATGCCTACCTATGTCCCAGACATCCATTTGCAATATATTGTCTGTCTGATGGTTCCAAGGAAAATTTAATATGCTAAGAGAATGTTAAAAATTCACTGACTGAAGCCATTGTGTTTTTGCCAACATGAAACAGTCCCACCATAGTATGAAAGCATTAAATCCTCCCCACGGCTTCACTTCAGCCTCAAGGCAAAAGCAGGCACTGGAAAAGTCTGTTTATAAACCTTAAAATATCAATTACCTTGTTTTTTTTTCTCCCTAGGAACAAAAAATCTCTTAAAGGTTATATAAACATTTATATACGGTTTTCTTTAAGAATCAATGTTAATTACATCATTAGGCTACATTTACCTTAATTGTGATTTAGTGCATCTTAAAAAAATTGCGAATAAGAATTCTTGACGTTGCTTGTTAGTCCAGAGGTCAAACCAATGACTTATAAGAGCCACTCTTTCCTGAAAGAGCTATAAGGGGGAGGGGAGGAAGTGACATTTGCTGTACAGTTCATTGTTTTTAATTGCTAAGCAATCTTTAGACAATCTACCAGCAACCTCACAGCTAATATTTGCAGAGTGCATTACAGTTCACAGAGCGCTTTCACATATAGAGAGAAAGGTCTCTCCTTTCAGGTTAAACTTTTTACCCAGGGATACTGACAGGCCCAGGCTTGTTGGGTGGGTTGATGGGAAAGACTGGCAGTGATGTAATTATAGAGGGGCCCAAGAAGGGCCTCTGGAAAACAAAGAGGTAATGATTCCTGGATCTTGTTTCTACCTAGGCTAATGTGGCCTAGGGAAACAGAGTCCACACATTTCATTTTGAAAACATATACGGGCTACACTCATTTAATTGTGAAAACAGAACCATTTGAGGTAGGTATAACTTCACTAACTCACAACCCTGGATCTTTATAGCACCCACCAAGATGAAAGTAAGTATCGCTAAATAGCCAACAGAGACATGTCTCTAGGGAAGACATACATTAAGGACCAGAGTCCCCCAAACCTGCGTTTCGGTCCAGCTTTGCTCAGATAGAGATAACAAACTCACTGTTATTATCATAGGTCAGGCTTTAGTCCCAGCCTGGTCTAGTCTCCTTCTCTGGTGAATGAGGCTGAACTCACAAGAGCACCCAGTTTGCCTTCTCTATTGCCAGAGCCACCATAGGCCATTAAATGACGACTTCCTGAATTACCTTAAAATAGGAGAGGCATCCCCAGGCCACATGGAACCATCCAGTTGGCACAGGAGGGAAGAGAGGATTACAAATACAGAGGAACACAAGCATGAATACTCCCAGCCCCCACCACCAAAATCACCTTCTCACCTCCTTCCCTATCTACAGCAACTGTGTGTCCTAGAGGTCTCTATTTTGTTCCTGGAGGTACTGAGTGGAAGGGGAGGCCATCTGGAGCCTCCCTTAAGGTAGGAGATGAGAACTGGGGTGAGAAGAGACTGTCTTTGGGACAAAGCTAAGTTTATTTTTGTTTAAACTGAAAAGCTAAATTCTTTAGAGAGTTTTTCTTTAAAAATGTGGCAACATGAGACCCAATATATCACAGGAAAATTAACCTTACGAATTAAACTTGTTCTGTTTTAAAGTATGTAACTTACCTGTCTATTTAATGACTTGTTGCTAAAAGGTGTCCAGGCACTAAATCTGGTGTGGAAGCTCTCCATTTCTGGAGTTCTCCAGGAAGAATCCCCAGCTGACGTCTCAGCAAATTTTCTTCCACTTCTAGAAACTACAGGTTTATTTCAATAGGTGTGCAATTAAGATCACCTAGAAATAACCAATATGTTAATGTCCTTATAGGAATTATATAATTATAGAAATTCACATATAACATATAGATAGAATTATAATTCATGTGTGTACGTGTGTATATATAAAATTCATCTGTGTATATGATAAGCCATACAAATATACACAAAAATCCCATTAACTTCAAATCATTGCAATTATTCTATTCTTACCTGCTTTCACCCAAATCTGAATTTAAACAAAAGTTGTTTTTTACTTTGCTGGGAAAATGGGAAGCATTAAGAACGTTCCAGGAAATGCTACTTAGAAACTGCCGTGATTCATCAGCCAAGGAGGTTGACTTTTTCTTTACCTGGAAAATAAGAATTTGTTATTTTGTTTTTTTAAGATGGAGTCTCGCTCTGTTGTCCAGGCTGGAGTGCAGTGGAGCGATCTTGGCTCACTACAACCTCCGCCTCCCGGGTTCAATCCATTCTCCTGCCTCAGTCTCTGGAGTAGCTGGGATTACAGGTGCGCACCACCATGCCTGGCTAATTTTTGTATTTTTAATAGAGACAAGGTTTCACCATGTTGGCCAGGCTGGTCTCGAACTCACAGACCTCAAATGATCTGCCCGCCTCAGCCTCTCAAAGTGCTGGGATTACAGGCATGAGCCACTGCATCTGTCTGAAAGTAAGAATTTGAAGTACTAGAAGGTGACATTCCACCTGCCCATCTTTTCAGGACAGAGGTCAAAGAGAATATAAAGAAAAATAAAATAGGCTAATGTATTATTTATTGCTGCAAAGCAAATTACTCCAGCATTTTTCAGCTTAAAACAACAAACACTTATTTCAAAGCTTCTGTGGTTCAAGAATCCAGGCAGAGTTTAGGGGGGTACTGTCTTAGTCTAACTGGGCTGCCATAACAAACTACCACAGACTGGGTGACTTGCACAACAGAAACTTATTTTCTCACAGTTCTAGGGGCTATAATTCCAAGATTAAGATGTCAGTAGCATTGGTTTGAGGAGGCTTCTCTTCCTAGCTTGTAGGCAGCTGCCTTCTCACTGTGTCCTCACGTGGACTTTCTTCCATGTGCATGCAGAAACAGAGATCTCTGGTGTTTCTTCTTCTTTCTGCTTCTCCTTTTCCTTCTTTTGAGACAGTGTCTTGCTTCTGTTGTTCAGCCTGGAGTGCAGTGGTGCAATCATAGCTCACTGAGCCGGGTGCAGTGGTTCATGCCTGTAATCCCAGCACTTTGGGAGGCTGAGGTGGGTGGATCACTTGAGGCCAGGAGTTTGAGACCAGCCTGGCCAACATGATGAAACCCCGTCTCTACTAAAAATACAAAAATTGGCCGGGCATAGTGGCACACACCTGTAATCCCAGCTAATCCCAGCTACTTCGGAGGCTGAGGCAGGAGAATCGCTTGAACCGGGAGGCAGCGGTTGTAGTGAGCCATGATCGCGCCACTGCACTCCATCACTGACATCCATCACTGACAGCGAGAGTCCATCTCAAAAAAATAAATAAATAAAATAAAAATCATAGCTTGCTGTAACTTTAAACTTTTGGGCTCCAGGGTTCTTCCCATCTCAGCTTCCCTAAACACTGGGATTACAGATGCGAGCTGCACCTGGTCTCTTCTTATAAGGACACTAGTCCTCTCAGATTAAAGCCCCATGACCTTGTTTAACCTTTATTCCTTATAGGCACTATCTGCAAATACAATAATAATGGGGGTGAAGGCTTCAACATATAATTTGTGGGGAAAGGGGATACATCTCAGTTCATAACCAGTACCTCTGTGTCAAGGCTCTTATAAGGCTACAGTCAAGGTGTTTGCGGGGACTGCAGTCTCACTGAAGGCCCTGCAGCTCATTCATGTGGTTGTTGACAGGATTCCATTCCTCATGCTCTGTTGGACTGAAGACTGCAGTGCTCACCAGCTGTTGGCTGGAGGCCTCCCTTGCCTTCCTTGCTACATGGTTCTCTCCATAGGGCAGCTCCCATGGCAGCAGGCTTCCATCACAGTGAGCAAATGAGAAAGCAAGAGAGGGCACACCAGAGGGAAGCCACAGTCTCTTTGTAGCCTAACCTCAGAAGGGACATCCTATCACTTTTGCTATATACTGCTGGTTAAAAGCAAGTCACCAGGTCCATGCCACACTCAAGGGGAGAGGATTAGATGACAGCATGCATAGTAATACAACCTATCATAGTTTACCCTTTGGGACAGTTCCTTTCCTTTCCCATATGCAGAACACACTCACTCACACATTTTTAAGGAAAACAACCCCAAAGTTCCATCTCATCAATATTTTTAGCACAGAGCTCATGAGCTAAAAACGATTCACAAGGGTCTCTCTATAGATACAGGTATAGCTCCCTTTGATCCAAATACCTTTGAACTAAAAAGACAAGTTATCTGGTCCTTGCCTGTGTAAATAATATATATCATGGTGGAACAAGGAAAGGATAACTGCAATAGATAGTCCCATTCTTAAAGAAGGATGACATATAAAGGATTCATAGCAATCCTGAAATGCAGTTTCAGAAGGCTGGGGCGCAGTGATCATTTTGTCTCCAACAATCACATTCTCTTTTAGACCATGCCAGGGATTCCCTTGACAATGTCAACTTCTCAAAATATATCCCAAATTATATATTTGATTCTAAGCAGTGCTATTTGCCACAATTGTTTAGAGACATTTTTTTCTCTCTCTCTAAAGTTAACTGCAGATATTTTGAGCGTATCAGGCTTCCTTAGAAAAAGCCAAACCCTACGTCTTTCTTCCCTGAGATGTTTTTCCAACTCAAAGTATTTGCTGGGTACCACCTTGTTCCATTCGGAGATCCTAACAATGGTGTGACAACCATACTTTTGACTGGTCCTTGCCAGTAGACATAGTTTTCAGCATCATTTATTGCTCAAAGTCTTTCTCAGTTTTTTCTTTACTAGTTGAAGATGTGAGTCAGTTATTCCTTCCAACTGTGCAAATCCCTGAGTTTTGAGACTCTCTCTGAATTCTTTTATATTCCTGCTTACAAACCAGCCAAATATCTTCTGAGCTCCTCTATTTCTTCTAGTACTTTGGCAAACGTGGCCTGTAGTAATAAACTTATTCTAATAACATAACATTCATTTTCTACCTCTTTGCATAAAGTACGAGCTCATTAGGTATATAATATGCCCTTTAATCTATTCCAGGCTATAGTTTTACAACCTTTCCCACTGCATCACATAGATTGCCATCTTTTCAGGTCTTCCACAACAATTTCATGCTGTCAGACTGGATGGTAATGCCACATAATATAGAATGTGTTGCTGTTGTTATGGAAACATCCTACTCCTGGAACCGATTTCTGTATCTACTAAACGTTCAAGGAAGAAATAACACTACACTTACACAAAATCTTCCAGAGAATAGAAAAAGTGAGAATGATTCCCAAGTTCTTTTATAAAGTTGGTATAACCTTTATATAATCTTAACACCAAAACCCAAGGACTTTACAAGAAAGAAATATTACAAGCATATTACCATAAATATAGATGCATAAATCCTACCAAATATGAGAACACCAAACTCAGTAATATATAAAAAAGATCATATATCACCAGCAAGTTGGATTTATGTAAATTTTGACATTACAAAATCAATGTACTTCTCATTATGAACAAAAAAAAAGAGAAAATTATATGATAATCTCAGTATATACAAAAAGTTTCCTTTTTGTTTGTTTAGACAGGGTCTTGCTCTGTTGCCCAGGCTGGAGTGCAGTGGCTTGATCTTAGCTCATTGCAGCCTCAACCTCCCAGACTCATGCAAGCCTCCCACCTCAGCCTCAGCTGGGACCGTAGGCATGCACCACTGTGCCTCGGCCTCCCAAAGTGCTGGGATTACAGGTATGAGCCCCGCAGCTGGCCCAACAAGTGTTTTTGATAAACCTCAATACCCGTTCATGACAAAAAGATCTCAGCAAACCAGGACTAGAAGGGAATTTCCTAATCTGAATAAGGTGCAAATACAATAACCTATAGCAGACATGACACTAATGGTAAAATGATAAAACTTTCTCTCTGTTCACTACCACTATCTTTGTTTAACATTGTTCTGGAGGGTCTTTCCAACGTGATAAACCAATAAAATAAAATGTATAATAATTTAAAAGGAAAAAATAGGCCAGGCATGGTGGCTCACGCCTGTAATCCCAACACTTTGGGAGGCCAAGGCAGGTGGATCACTTGAGGCCAGGAGTTTGAGACCAGCCTGGCCAACATAGCAAAACTCCATCTGTACTAAAAATAGAAAAAGTAGCTGGGCATGGTGGTGCATGCCTGTAGTCCCAGCTAGTCGGGAAGCTGAGGCAAGAGAATTGCTTGAATTGGGGAGGCGGAGGTTGCAGCGAGTCGAGATTGCGCCACTGAACTCCAGCCTGAGTGACAAGGTGAGACACTGTCTCAAAAAAAAAAAAAAAGAAAAGAGAAAGGAAAAAATTAAATTGTCATTATGTATTATTAACATAATTGTATGTAGAAAAATATTAAAGAATCTACAGAGAAATTGACAGATTTAATACACAAGCTTGGCAAGTTTGCTGCACACTAGGCTTACGTACAGAAATCAATTGTTTTTCTGTATACTAATAACATTTAATAAGCAACAATATATCATTTATAACAGCATTTAAAAATCCAATATGGGCAGAGGCAGGAGGATTACTTGAGTCTGAGAGTTTGAGACTAGCCCGTGCAACATAGCAAGACCATGTGTCTACAAAATTTTTTAAAGAAAATTAGCCAGGAATGGTGGTGCATGCCTGTAGTCCCACCTACTCTGGAGGCTGAGGTAGGAGGATCACTTGAGTCCTGGAGGTTGAAGTTGCACTGAGCTGTTATCTTGTCCCTGCACTCCAGCCTGGGCAACCAAATGAGATCCTGTCTCCAAAACAAAAACAAAAACAAAAATAAAATCCAATATAAATCAAGGTGGGACAAGTATTCCACATAGAATACTAAAAATTTTATCCAGATAAAAATTTTAAAGACCTAAAGAAGAGTATACATCTGTGAAGATATTGATTCTTCTAATCTATTACTCAATACAGTCTCATGAAAACCCAGCAAGTATGGGGTGTGTGTGTGTGTGCATGGCTGTGTGTGTGTTTGACAAACTGATTATAAAATGTGTATGAAAATGCAAAGGGTCAAGACTAGCAAAGACAACTTTAAAAAGAACAAAGTGGTTGGACTTACTCTACTTGATATCAGGACTTACTTATTATAAAGCTAGTGTAAATAACAGCATGAGGTATTGGCACATGAACAAACAAATAAACCAGTGGAACACAGCAGTTATTCAGAAACAGACCCACATACATATGGACACTCTACCTATGACAAGGGTGGCACTGCAGAGCAGTGGGATAGGATGGCTCCAGTCAGTAACACATGGGGTAGAACAACTGCCCAGCTGGACCCAGCTCACCCTCAGAACCATGAGAAATAATAAATGATTATTATTTAAAGCCATTAAATTTTGGGATGGTTTGTTATCCAGCAATAACAAAAAAAATTGGTATCTGGAAGTAGATTATTGCCATAATTTAACTGAAAACCTATGATACTGGCTTTGGGACTGGGAAGCAAGTGGAAATTAAAAGGGTGTGGAGGAGACGGTGTAGTGGAGTCTAGAGAAAGGCTAGTGAGAAGATGACCGGCATTATGTAGCAGTGGAAAGTTAGTAACACTGTTACCTGCACTAATGTGGAGGATAGAAAATGTGTCAATGAATCTATAGACCTGGCTAAAGAAATTCTGAGTAGGATGTAGAAAGTGCTGATTGGCTCCTTTAGCTGTACAAGGTGAGAGATATGAATTAACCTAAAAGATCTGTTTAGTTTTGGGGCAAATTTTAGTGATAAAGAATATCTAGGCTGGGTGCAGTGGCTCATGCCTGTAATCCTAGCACTTTGGGAAGCTCAGACAGGTGAATTGCTTGAGCTCAGGAGTTTGAGACAAGCTTGGACAACATGGCAAAACCCTGTCTCCACAAAAAAATACAACCATTAGTGGAGTTAAAAAAAAAAAAATACCCCTGGGACAGCAAAACCAACCCTTCCTCTTTCTCTTCCTCCTCAGCCTACTCAACATGAAGATGATGAGGATAAAGACCTTTGTCATGATCCACTTCCACTTAATGAACAGTGAATATATTTTCTCTTCCTTATGATTTTCTTAATAACATTTTTTTCTCTAGTTTACTTTCTTGAGAGAATACAGTATATAATACACATAACATACATTAAATGTTAATCGGCTGTGTTATCATTAAGGCTTCCAGTCAACAATAGGCTATCAGTAGTTAAGTTTTGGGGAGGTCAAAAGCTATGCGTGGCCAGGTGCAGTGGCTCACGACTGTAATCCCAGCACTTTGGGAGGCCGAGGTGGGTGGATCACCTGAGGTCAGGAGTTTGAGACCAGCTTGGCCAACATGGCAAAACCCCGTCTCTACTAAAAATATAAAAATTAGCTGGGCGTGGTGGTGGGCACCTGTAATCCTAGCTACTCGAGAGACTGAGACAGGAGAATCGCTTGAACCTGGGAGGTGGAGGTGGCAGTGAGTTGAGATTTCACCACTGCACTCCAGCCTGGGGGACAGAGCGTGACTCCATCTCAAAAAAAAAAAAAAAAAAAGCGTGAATTTTCAGCTGCACAGGGGATTTGTGCCCCTAACTCCCACATTGGTCAAGGGTCAACTGTAAAAGAGTTTCAAAGAATCTTAAAGTCCTTGTCCCATAGCACCCCAATCCATAGCCCAAAGCAGAGAAGGACCTGTCTCAAAGAGACTTGTGGATATAGCTTTTGTCTAATAGAATAAATTACAATTACATATATACAAAGCCCACAAAATTGTTAAGAGGCTTGTTCTCATGAAAGCATGGCCAGCTTGAAGTAAGAAGGACCAAGAAATTTTGAAATAAAAAGTCTCTGAGCTACCATTTTAAGCTGGGTGTCTGGGGAAACAGATAATGTGTCTTTTGAGCTCACAGGTCTCCAGATTGAGAGGAGTTATGAACAAGGAGCCTCATTTGCAACTGGACCTGACGGAGATCACAAGAGACTGGGCTTCAAGCCTCATACCATAATTGGAAGACCCTTTGGTGGTGTCTTGGTATGAAATAAAGGTATTCTGTGTGCTGCAACTGTGACTTGTGGCCAGAGGGAGGGACACAGTATATTGTCTGTGCACATGGCCAGGAACAATTGCTCCCATCCCTGTACCCACATACCAGTTCTCCATCAAGAGGTGGAGTCTATTCTTCTCCCTCTCCTTGAATCAATCTGCACTACCACTGTCTTGTTTTAACCAATGATGTTGTGGAAGTGATGATGTGTGACTTCTGGGCATGGACCTTAAGAAGACTTATACCTTCTGTTTTTGAACTCTTGGAATCCAGCTGCCATGTAAATAAGCCTGGGCTGGGATACTGGATGACAAGAGACCATATGGAGAGAGTTTGAGCCAGCCCCCAGCTGTTTCAGCCACCCCCGTCAAAGCACCAGATGTGCAAATGAAGTCATCTTGGATATTTCAGTTGCAACTAAGCTCCCATGTGCAACCACATGAATCACCCCAGCCCCCTACATACAAAGAGAAGAACTGCCCAGCTGAGGCCAGCCAACCCATAGAATTGTGAAAAATAACACGTTTCCTATTTCAAGCTACTAAACTTTGGAATGGTTTGTTATCCAGAACAGACTGACAAAGCCATGTGTTGGTGAGCATCCAGAGCTCTCACACAGCTGGTGAAAGTGCAAATTGGTATATGTACTTTGAAAAACTATTTGGCGTTATTTCTAGAATAATGCCAAACTTGACCCAACTGGAAAAAATATACATGTGGACTAAAATATATCACCAAGAAGATGCACAGCTGCACTGGATAGCTCCAAACTGGAGACAACCCAAGCATCCACCAGTAGTCCAGTGGATAAATCTACTGTCATGCATTCACGCAATAGAATACTATACGTCAATGAAACGAACAGCCTGCTGCTACACAAAACAGTAAGGATGAATCACACAATATATTACACAGAGGAAGCTGCGAATAAAATAATACATGTGGCACGGGTTCATTTACCAAAGTTCTACCCTGTAGTGTTAGACGTCAAGATAAGGTTTACCTGTGGGGAGGAAAGAGAGGGTAATGATTGGGAGGGGACACAAGAGGTTATTCTGCATGCTGGTGCTGACGTAGAGAGGGAGCCCTAGACTTCCCTGCGTGCTGTGATTCATTGAACGTTACACTCATGATCTGCGTGTTTTTCTATGTCCTGTATTTCAATCAAGAAGTTTATAAAATGATATTTACAATAACATCAAGTACCACTAAGTACCTGGAAAAAATTAAGAGTGCCAACTTTATGAAGAAAATTATAAAACTTTATTGAAAAATACTTTTAAAGTCCTAAATAAATGGAGAGATATGTCTTATTCATGGATTAGGGGACTCAGTAGAGTGAAGAGATTAACTCCCTCAACTTGATCTACAGATTCAATGCAATCTCAGTAACAAATTCCAAGAAATATTGTGTGTGTGTGTGTGTGTGTGTGTGTGTTTAAAACTTCAAAGCTGATTCTAAAATATTTATGGAACTTTAAAGTGCCAAAACCAGTAGTCTTGATAAACAAGGAAGGGAGCTGTGTTTCTAGATACCAAGACTTACTATAAAGCTGTAGTAATAAGATAATAAAGGTATTAGTTTGGGGACAGACAACAAAACCTGTGGAACAGAAGAGAAACTCCAAAATAGACCCAGGTATACAGGGACACTTGTTAGATGACAAATCAGAAAGGGAAGGGTGGATTGTTTCATTTATAGAAAACGGAATATCTGTTTTATAAAAGAAAAGAAATTGGACCCCTTTCTCACACTATATACACACGCATCAACTATCTAAAATTTTTTCATATGTATAAAATCAATTACGCATGGTCTGTGAATCCCCAGAAGACAAAATTAGGAACAGTGGATGATGTCAGAGAGGAAGATTTTGGCTCAATCTAAGTGGGAAAAAAATCACTCCACAGCTCTCGCTGTCTCCAGAGATTATGTCCATTACTGGAGTTGGTAAAACTCAAGGTGGACAACCACTTGTCAGTGATTTTCTAGCTGGGATACAAGCATCACAAACATTTAAGTTTCTAAGCAACCCTCTGTTGCTATAAATTCCAAGAAGAGAGAGTACAACGTGGCTTGGTGTAGCTGAAGAAACTTTATTAAAGAGTCAGAATAATTCTAGAATAAGACAGACATTTGCAGTGCCTCTGCTCTTATTACACTTCAAGAGAAGAAGCACATTTTTTCAATGAATATATTAGAAAGGCATGTATCATATTAGGAACAATTTTAGAAATGTTACAGACGAGCAGCATGGCATAGTGAGCACCAGATTTGGATCTCTGCTTTGACTCCCCAAAATTGAGGCTTTACAAGTGATTTAGTATTTGGGCCTCAGTTTCCTCATGTGTAAAGCCAGACAGTAATGTGTCTTGGCAAACTATATTATAATAATGTGTTGTTCAGATAAAAACCTCTTGGCAATATGGGAAATTAAATACCTCCTTCTGAATCAACACTAAATGAAAACAAATTCTTAGTTTCTTAAGATGCCCAGCTGTTGTTATGTGAAATCCAAGAGCCAACATATGGGATTTTTATTTAGCAAGTTCGCAAAATTGTTATTATACTCTGTGTTAAGGGATTACTGAGTTATATAATGAGCTGAACATTACAGAAAGAATAGTCGCTGTCTCTGCTGGTGGGCTTAAATATGTGAGCATAGTATAGTATATTGTGTGTGTGTGTGTGTGTGTGTGTGTACATGCATATATGTACAAATTTGAACAGGATTATTTTCTTTTTCTCTTTCCTTTTTTTTTTTAGAGTTGGGATTTCACTGTGTTGTTCAGACTGGAGTGCTTTGGCACAATCATGGTTACTGCAGCCTCAAATTTCTGCCTCAAGTGATTCTCTGGCCTCAGCCTCCCGGGTAGCTGGGGCTACAGGCATAACCAACTGCTCCTGGCTCAGGGTTATTATCATTATTATTTTTTTTTTTTTGAGACAGTCTCTCTCTGTGTCGCCCAGGTTGGAGTGCAAGTGGTGCAATCTCGGCTCACTGCAATGTCTGCCTTCTGGGTTCAAGCGATTTTCCTGCCTCAGCTTCCTGAGTAGCTGGGATTACAGGTGCACACCACCATGCCTGGCTAATTTTTGTATTTTCAGTAGAGATGGGGTTTCACCATGTTGGCCAGGCTGTCTCGAACTCCTGGCCTCAAGTGATCCACCCACCTCGGCCTCCCAAAGTGCTGGGATTACAGGCATGAGCCACCTTGCACTGCCTGCCTCATATTATTTTGATTATGTGAAGATATTAATTTCGTTGACTATTCAACCCAGGGAGAAATGGCAGCCTGGCAATTACTACTTCTTTAATGGAATAATTTCTTTTCCTATTCTAGCTTTTTACATTCCTCCAAATAGTAGTTCCATAAGATATTAATGAGTATTTCCCCAGAAAACAGGATCTGTGATTAAATGATTGAGATATTAAACTTATTTCTTTTTTGTAGGATGTTTTGGATGTTTTAATATGCTTAATGTTCACAACGAATCTTCAAAAGGGGAAAATAATATCCAGCATTTTCCCTTGTTCATTGTTATATGGAGACTATCACAGTGTGTATTGATTATCTAATGGGGTTATCATACTGTTTATTTAATGCTGTGTAACAAATTGTCCCAAAACTCAGTGGCTTAAAATAACAAACACTTATTATCTCACAGTTTCTATGAGTGACAAGTGTAGACATAGCTTAGCTGGGTCCCCCAGCTTAGGGTCTCTCACCATTCAACTGTCAGCTGAGGATGCCACAGCTGGACTGGGGAAGAATTAACTTCCAAGCTCACATAACTGATTGTTGGAGGGATACAGTTCCTCCTAAACTGTTGGAATGAGAGACTCAGTTCTTCGCTGGTTGTTGGCCACAGGCTCCCCTCCCATGTGGGCCTCTCTATAGTTTAGCTCACAAAATGGCAACTCACTTCCACCCAAGTGAGTGAGCAAGAGAGCAAGAGCGGGCAGGCAAGATGGAAGCCGGAGCCCTTGTGTGGCGTAACCTCAGAAGTGACAAGTGACACACCATCACTTTTTGATTCATCAGAACCGGGGTTTAGCAAACACAGTCAGCAGGCCACATCTGGCCCACCACCAGATTTTATAAAGTAATTGGGATACAGACAATCTCATTTATGTATTATCTGTGGTTGCTTTTCTTTAATAAATTTCATTTATGAGTCTCCTGTTTTCCTACTGTTTCCATATTTACTCAGTATTTTTCTTCATCTACTTACTGGAGAATTTTTTTTCTTTTTTCTTTTTTGAGACAGAGTCTCGCTCTGTCACCCAGACTGGAGTGCAGTGGCATGATCTTGGCTCACTGCAACTTCCACCTCCCTGGTTCAAGCAATTCCCCTGCCTCAGCCTCCTGAGTAGCTGGGATTACAGGTGCATGCCACCATGCCTGGCTAATGTTTTTTGTATTTTCAGTAGAGACGGGGTTTCACCATGTTGGCCAGACTGGTCTCGGACTCCTGACCTCAGGCAATCTGCCCACTTCAGCCTCCCAAAGTGCTGGGATTACAGGTGTGGGCCACCGCACCTGGCCTCTGTGGTTGATTTTTTGGCTACAACAAAATTAAGTAATTGGGAGGAAGACCATATGGCTCAGAAAGCAAAAAATATTTATTATCTGGGCCTTTACTGAAAAAGTTTGTCAACTCCTGCATTATAGGTGTCTACCCACATCTAAGGGGAGTGGATTCACATAAGGCATATAGACCAGGAAGCTGAGGTCATTGGGAGCCATTTTAGAAGCTTCCTCCCACAATAGTGTCTGCCATAGGATAGGTATTTGGCAAGTATTTGCTGAATGAGTAAATGGATAATTGTTGTATAATTGCAGTTTAAACCATAATTGCTATGGTTTGAATGTGTCACCTCCAAATATCAGGTTTTGAACCTTAATGGCCAATGTAATGATAGTAAGAGGTTGGGCCTTTAAGAGATAGGTCATGAGGGCTCCTTCCCTTGTGAACTGGAATTCAGACCCTTACAAGGCTTCACACAGCATTCACCTCATTTACCCTTCCACCTTCTGCCATGTGAGGGCAGAGCATTCCTCCCCTGCGGAGAATGCAACAACAAGGCATCGTCTTGGAAGCAGAGAGCAGCCCTCACCAACCAACCAGACCTGTCAGCACCTTGACCTTGGATTTACCAACCTCCAGAACTGTGAGAAATACATTCCTATTCTTTATAAATTACCCAGTCTCAGGTATTTTATTATAGCAGCACAAACAGAGACATGCATCTGCCAATTTTCCAAATTCAGGGGCTAAAAAAGCAAGTTATTAGTAAGAAAAAAACAAATTCCTTCACTATTAGGATTTGACAACTGTGTCACAACTGTGACAACTTATCAACTCTGTGATCTTCTTACTAGCAATTTCCATCATTATGTTAAATGAGTCATATGGTAAAATAAGCTTAGAATTGAATTAAATGTAGATTTGACAGATTATTCTTTCATGACATCAGCAAATTAGAAAAAATGGAAGCATTTTAAGGGATTCATTTGAGATAAGAATTCATTCTGGGGCAAGAATATTTATTGTGCATTCTGGTTACAATACAGCAGTCACCAGTATCTTCTATATACCAAGAGAGGCTCAAAACCTTAGTGTATAAAACCAAACTCTCAACCATTTTCCATCCTTTCTGTGTGTCTTTTCTACAGAAGCTAAAATACTGTGCCATGAAGTTTTTCCTTGATCATTTAAGAATGATCTTGTTCTTCTACAAAGTGGCATGTCTCTACTGGAAAAAACATTGTGGCTGCCATCTCACAGCCCAGCTTTTTACTTTGAATTGAAACTCCAGTGTGGGTGATGTAAACTGGAGGCCCCTTTGTTATCTCGCTCTGAAAAGCAGGGGCCTAAATGCTTCTAAAGTCTGTTGCAAGAAAGGAATAAAATAGAAGACCCCAATCTGTGTCTCTCCTCATTTGCAACTGGATCCAACAAACATGCTAAGTAACAAGATCAAAATGGGGAGGGGGGCGTGTAATAAATGTTGTATTTAACATCTTAATTTTTGTTTGAGTGTCTACACTGACTGACACGGCACTAGAAAATCTCTTCCCCCATACACTGGCTCATTGAATCTTCAGATTCACCCTGGGAGTTAGATTATACAAGAGAAGAACATGGCAGAGAAAATCATCCAGTCGGCATGCAGTGGCTCACACTTGTAATCCAGGCATTTTGGGAGGCCAGAGTGGGTGGATTGTTTGAGCTCAGGAGTTCCAGATCAGCCTGGCCAATATGGCAAAGCCCCATCTGTACAAAAATTAGCCAGGTGTGGCGGCATTCACCTGTAGTCCTAGCTAGTTGGGAGGCTGGAATGGGAGGACTCCTTGAGCCCAGGAGGCGGAGGTTACAGTGAACCAAGGTCCAAGATTGTGCCACTGCTCTCCAGCCTGGGCGATACAGTGAGACCCTGACTCAAAAAAAAAGAAAAGAGGCCGGGCGCGGTGGCTCACGCCTGCAATCCCAGCACTTTGGGAGGCCAAGGCGGGCGGATCATGAGGTCAGGAGATCGAGACCATCCTGGCTAACACAGTGAAACCCCGTCTCTACTAAAAATGCAAAAAAAATAAGCCGGGCGTGGTGGCGGGTGCCTGTAGTCCCAGCTACTCCGGAGGCTGAGGCAGGAGAATGGCATGAACCCGGGAGGCGGAGCTTGCAGTGAGCCGAGATCGTGCCACTGCACTCCAGCCTGGGTGACAGAGCGAGACTCCGTCTCAAAAAAAAAAAAATCAGAAAATCATCCAAGGTTACACAGGTAGTAATTGCCTATCAAGTTTCAAAATTATACTAGATTTTTCCTGAAGGGTAAGTTTAATTTGAATTGGATATAAAAGGATATTAAAAGAAAAACTTCAGCCGAATTAAATTTACAGGAGTTTAATTGAGCAATGGACGATTCGTGAATCAGGCAGCTCCCAGAATCACAGCAGATTCAGAGAGACTCCCGGAGTGGCTTGTGGTCAGAACAAATTTATACACAAAAAAATGAAGTGATGTACAGAAATCAGAAATTAGGTACAGAAACAGCTGGATTGGTTACAGCTCAGCATTTGCCTTATTTGAACACAGTTTGAACACTCAGCAGTGTATGAGTGGTTGAAGTACGGCTCCTGGGATTGGCCAAGACTCAGCGATTATTACAGGCACATACTCCTAAGTTAGGTTTTCATTCTTGTCTACCTATTAAATTAGGTTGCAATTCACCCACAAGCATTCAAATATAAAAGTACAGAGTCCATCTTAGGCCATATTTAGTTTGCTTTAACAACTGCTACGGATGTATTTGGAAATACACTTCTATGTCGTGGCTGACTATCCTTTACAACTGGTATATTGATGAGGAACTCGGAAATTGACATTGGCACTTCCATGCTTAGTCAAAAGAAGGATGGGGCCTGTTGTGTGACAACCTGTGATATGGTAGAATAATAAGAAATATATATATTTGATCTTTGTCCCTGGTTCCTGACATACAGCTCCTAAAACTCTTGTAGATAGGGATGCTAGGAGAATCTTTTGTTCTAATATTTGGTTTTTGACCCCAGTTCCTGACACAGAGCTCCGAAATCCCTTGGAATTTCCTGGGTGATAGGAGCATCTTTTGTTCAGATGAAGTGAATCTTGGTGGACCCCTAGATAGCTTCAGGATGGGGGCTGGTTACCAGGGAAACCAACCATGTGATTATGCAGCTGGAACTTTCAGCTCCATCCTCTGACCTCTGGGGAAGAGAGAAGGGCTCAAGTTGAGTGATCACCAATGGCCAATGATGTCATCAATTGTGCCTATGAATGAATCCTCCATTAAAATCCCAAAGGACAAGATTCAGGGATCTTTGGGATAGCTGAACATGTGGAGGGGCTGAGAAGGCATGGAAGTTCCACACCCTTGCCCACATACCTTTCTCTGGGCCTCTCTTCTATCTGGCTATTCATCTGTCCTTTGTAATATCCTTTATAATAAATGGGCAAACATAAGTAAAGTGTTTCCTTGAATTCCGTGAGTCACTCTAGCAAATTAATCAAACCGGAGGAGGGGCTTGTGGGAATCCAGATTTGTAACTGGTTGGTTAATCATAAACAACATATAGTCACAACCTGGGACTTGTGATTGGCATTTGAAGTGGGGGGCAGTCTTTTGGGACTGAGCCCTGAACGTATGGGATCTGACACTAACTCCAGGTACACAGTGTCAGAACTGGGTTAAATTATAGGACGTAGAGTTGGTGGCCACTGGAGAATTGGTTGTCGGTGGGAAGAAATTCCCATACATTTTGGTGACAAGAGGTGAAGGGCTGTACTGAGTGTGTGAGAGTAAAGAGAAAAAAGTTTTTTGTTTTTTTTTTCCTCTCAGAACAACCAAAGCCAGATTAAAAGATGAAATGGCTGAACAATTGCCAGCCCATATAGAGAGCTAAATCCTCACTGGGATCACACAGAAGAGCAATGATGTCAATTAACTGTGTTTCCACAGGTTATCTGTTATACAGCTGGAGAAATGCAAGTTAGTCTGGTCCTTCTCCACTACAGTAGACAGAGTGGCTTAGAAATTAAAACACTGCTCCTCGGCAGAGGTATGTACCTACATGCGCGTACTTCTGCAATTCACACATGCAAATTGTGCAATGATTCCTTTATTTATCAAAAATTTACTTCCTTAAATATGCCTCCAAAAAGGTATCTGGTTCTAAAGATCGCACAAAAGAACGGGAGTAGAAGAAAAGTAAGTGTGATTGGTGAAAAAACAGAAATGAAAGACAATTCCAGTTGAGTTAAATGTCCCACATTTAGGGCATGTAAAACTACATGCCAGTATATAATTTTTATTAAGTACACACTAAGCAATGGATAATGAAAATAATGGCGTGTTTTGAGGAAACCTGGGCTATTGATCTTACAGGCGGTGATAGAAAATACCATACTTGTGCTGGTATTTTCAAATGGTGGATGTGCTCACTGATTTATAAGTTTAAAGCTATAAAACTAAAGCTGTAACAAACAAGATGCAACTGTTGCTATAAAACTTCCAAGTCCTTAACCCTTCTTCCTCCCACTGAAATAAGTGTTTGTAGAGCATGATTTTTGAGGTTTCTGTGGAGCACAAATGTCAGTTCCTGCAGAACAGACTTTAACAGGCTTGGATACAATTGCATGGGTTGCAGTGAACTTTAACACCAATGATGTCAGGATATTGTGTTCTGATACATATGCAAAGTTTATTAATAAGCACAGCATCGGTATTTTTAAATCGATATTTTAAAGTACCACTGTTTTATTTGTCCTGCTCATCAAATCTTAGCATATTAACTCTTAGAGCTATCCTTATAACCAAGACCTATATTCACAGTAGATTTTTTGTATTCCTCCCTCATTCCCCCAACCCAGCCCCCACCCTACTCCCTACATTTTTGGACCCCATAGGAGGAAAGAGGGAGAGAACTGTCAGAAGGAAGAAGGCAGTTGGTGTGAACCTATGAAAATCAGCGTTTTCCAAAGTGTTCAAGAACTTTACTTCGATCCCAAATCAGTTCTCTGGAGGAGGTAAGAGT
Organism: Homo sapiens; assembly: GCF_000001405.40. NCBI lineage: Eukaryota > Metazoa > Chordata > Mammalia > Primates > Hominidae > Homo > Homo sapiens. The sequence goes on along the minus strand of NC_000006.12, from coordinate 138,796,441 downwards.
TTACTTGGCATGGCCCGATGCAAACCCTACCCTACGCGTGGATTTTGTTTCTCCCCAGAGCCTCTTCAGAATCTTGGTTAATTCCAGAGCTGCTAAGGGACTCCAGGGTCGCGGAGGGAGGGCCCTGCGCCCCTCAGCGCTGCTTAGGGTCTTCCTGGGCGACTGCACTGGGAAACTAAGCCGGCCCAGGCGATGTGCCCCGGGCGGCCCCAAGAAAAAGACTAGCGGCTCAGAAGCCACGGGCTTTACCTCTAGGAAGTGGCTATGAGGCCCGGTACAGTGGCGGCTGTCTCCTCTTGGAACCGCGCAGTGAAAATCGAGTGCGCCAACTCGGGCCGCAGCTCCGGAGAGGGGTGGGGCAGGGACAGGGTCATCTCCATAGGGATCCAACAACACGGAGCCACCACCCCGCCCCACAGGCCCGCAGCCCCTCCCGCCGCCGCGCCCGGACGGCCAACCTGCATCTCCCCAGCTGCAGTGAGCAAAGCCGCCCGCGCCGTGCGAGCCACCGCCCTTCTCTTGAGGCCAGCTAGGCTCGGGTCCCGGCTCCTTTCCCTGCCTCCAGGGAGCTTGCGGTGGGAGAAAGCTTCCGTGGGGTCCCGTGGGTCGCGGCACGTCTCGGAAGCCCTGCGAGGTGCCCAGCAGAGGTGCCAGACCCAAGGCCGTGGGACCCCAAGAAGAGACTTGGACACTGAAGCCAACGTTTGCTTGATCTCAAACAAAGCCAGCGATGTTAATTAAGGCTGTGTGATGAGGAAAGTGGAGTTTCTTATTTTTTGTCACATTCATCTTCAGCAGATCCTCAGAAAATGTTAATATTTACTGCAGAATTACCAATTTCAGCATTATACAGGAGGTACAAAAACAAAACCAAAAAACCCTTCTTCATTAGTTTCAGGTCAAAATGTCTTTTAACTATTTATTGTGAAGCCTGTTTTTTTCTTTTGTATGTAATAGTTATGGCCATGAAAAGATGCTCACAGTACATTACTTACAAAAAGCAGCTTAGAAAACCAGCAGAATGGTACGATCTATTTTTTTTGCAACGTGTGTAAGAAATCTGGGAGTATGTACACAAATAGGTTAAATGGTTTGCTCTGGTAGTTTTAAAAATCATCTGTAATTCAATTTTTCCTACAACGAATAAGCAACATCTATGTAATAAACCATAAGTTTCATTCTAGTAAAGTTTCATATGAGAAATGTGATCTTGCTATGCTGCCTAGGCTGGAGTGCAGTGGCTATTCACAGGCCTGGTCATTGTGCACTATATTTTTATTTTTATTTCAAATATCTTTTTCTTTTTCATCTGTATGCCAGTAAAATCATCATTGTACACTATAGCCTAGAACTCCTGGGCTCAAGCAATCCTCCCGCCTCAGCCTCCAGAGTAGCTAAAAGTACTGGTGCCTGTCACCAAACCAGGCCTTAAATTTTATTCTAATCCAGGCACTGCATTTTTTCCTGTTTCCTTGAACATGTGTTTAAGGAGTGTGAAAGGATACAAATTAGATAAGCTAATATTTCGCTACCTGGGACCCATTTAGGGCCCTGTGACACAAAGGGCGAATGAACCAAGTGAATAAACAAGGTCAATCCACTGCTCTGTCACAACCCGCAGGAACCAGCTTTTTGCTTTACTCTATCTCAGGACCAATCCAAGAAAAACATGTCACATGACAAAGTGTCCTTTCGCCCTGTCAGACCCTAGAGTACGACTTTTTCCCCCTTAAATCCCTATTCTCACAACCCAAATGAAGTTTCCTCCATGATGCTGTAATTTTTAAAAGGGGTATTAAAAAGACCAATTTACTGATCAAAATACTTTGAATTCAGAAAGCCAAAAATTATTAAAATCAAGATTTGAAAAATATTCAGTAAGTCCCTCTCCTCCCCTCCCCCAATTAGGTGCTTATTTCTGTGGCCTGGAAACAAGGAGACAGAAGCATGAGCATCTTCTGCAACACAAAGGTAACTGAGTTATAAATAAGCAAAATGTGTTCTATCCATACCATGGCATATGATCAGCCAAAACAAGAAATGAAGTACATGCAATAACATGGATGAAGCTTCAATCCTTGAAAACATCATGCTAAGTAAACGAAACCAGTCACAAAAGGCCACGTATTGTATGATTCCATTTATATAAAATGTCTAGAATAGAAAATCCAGAGAGCTGGAAAGGAGGTTAGTGGCTGCCAAAGGCTGAGGGGATTAGGGGACAAGGAGTGACTGTTAATGGGATTCTTTTTAGTGTGATGAAAATGTTCTAGAATTAGATCACGGTGATGGGTATATAACTCTATGAATCTACTAACAATCACTGAATTGTACACTTTAAAGGGGTACATTTTATGACATAAATTATTGTTTCAATAAAGCTGTTTTTAAAGGGTGATGAAATTAATGTTTACTGAGCATTACTGGTATCAGCTATTGTGCTAGGCATCTCTCTTTTTTTTTTTTTTTTTGAGACAGAGTCTTGCTCTGTCGCCTAGGCTAGAGTGCAGTGGCACAATTTCGGCTCACTGCAACCTCTCTGCCTCCTGAGTTCAAGCAATTCCTGTGTCTCAGCCTCCCTGATAGTTGGGATTACAGGAGCCCGCCACCACGTCCGGCTAATTTGTGTGTATGTGTTTTTAGTGGAGATGGGGTTTCACCATGTTGGCCGGTCTGGGTATTGAACCCCTGACCTCAAGTGATCCACCTGCCTCAGCCTCCCAAAGTGCTGGGATTATAGGCGTGAGCTACCGTGCCCGGCTTGTGCTAAGCATCCTATACGCGCTTTTTCACTTACTCCCCATACAACAACTACCAACTTGGTTACTGACCTCATTTTCTAGATTTAAAAAAAAAAAAAAGAAAAAAGAAAAAAATCCAACCTGAGTAAACGTGCATGAACACAAAGTTAAGGGGGCAGAACGGCGATTCAAATTAAGGTGTAAGTAACTTTAAAGCTCACATTCTTTCATCACACCAGTATTTAAATGTACACAAGGTACAGAATTTGCAAGGAGTTCAAGAACCTCAAATTTTATAAACACAGTTTACTTTTAAGGATTGAACCCTTGTATTTCCCAGATTGAAGACTATATGGGTTTCTTCAAAACAGACAACAGAGATTAATTTAAAACAATTACTTTATTAAAAAATAGCAAATCTCACAAATACTTATTTAATTTCTTATCACTGGCCATTGGAAAACACACCAGCATGTGTACTGATTGTCTAACATAAACTGAAGCTGGGCTTGCCACAAGACGCCTGTGCATCAACAGCTTGCGATCAACACTGGAATAAGTTTGGTGAGCTCAGGAAAGAGAAATCCCTCCGCCCTGTCAAGAACATCAGCACAATGCATTTCAAGTATAATCCCATAAGGCAACAATATGAAGCACAGCAGCACAATCTCTGCGTCACATTTCCTGATGAAGCCTTCAACAAGGCCTAGGCCTCCAGTTATGGTGAATTACAGCGAGTCACATTTACTAAAAGCAGTAAGTGAAAACGATCATTGAACTTGCACTTTAATTACTTTAATTCCTTGTTGTGGAAGATGATTCTGCTACTGGATTTGGCTGGAAAAGTAAAGACTGCTGCTTCTCTTCAAATCACAAGAAAGCAAACTACATTTCATTTTAGCTAGCAGAAGTATTTGGAACATCTTGTGCATCTGCCAAATGGAGTTTTTGTCTGAATTAATCAGTTAAGAAGATTTTCATTCTATAAGGGGTACTTCTTTTACATTTCTGAAAATTACATTCAGGAGCAAAGAGAAAGCGGTATTTAAAAAAGAGATATGTTCAAAGGAAAAGCTCTTGTGTTGCTACTGAGACACTCAGATGTGGTAAGACAACTTTTAAATGTAGTAAATTATACTCTTGTCTAGAATTTGAAGACTTTTTTTTTTTTAAATTTTAGAGATAAGGACTCACTTTGTTTCCCTGGCTGGAATGCAGTAATACGATCATACTTCACTGTAGCCTTGAACTCCTGGGCTCAAGCAATCCTCCCACCTCAGCCTCCCAAAGGCATGTGCCAACATACCTGGCTAATTTTTCTATTCTTTGTTAGAGATGGGGGAGGAGTCTGGCTATGTTGCCCAGGCTGGTCTTGAACTCCTGGCCTCAAGCAACCTTCCTGCCTCGGCCTCCCAAAGTGCTGGGATTACAGGTGCGAGCCACCACACCTGGCCCAGAGTTATTTTTAATGTGTCAATAATCATTTTCATAGTAAGGAGCTGATTAGAGACAAACATGACAAGACACTAGATTAAAAAAATCTTTTGAGAAGACACCACTTTATCATCTTTGGGAAAACAATTCTGTTTAAAAGTCCAAAAATAAAATCATTACAGCTCTAAAATCTTTTCTATAATTCTCTTAATTGTTCCTCAAGAAGACTGGAAATAGGACGGGAATCTTGCATGAATTACTCATCCCTTATTATAATCACTGTCTTTCATTTTTCTCACTGACCTGTATTTATCCACCTGTTACTTATTTTTCAAGACCCAATTCAATGATATGAATACACTGAAGGCAACTAAATGCTTGCAGTACATGTATGGCAGAGGTTGCAAAAATGTACAGACATAAGCACTGCCATCAAAGACATTCTTGTCCAATTGGAAGGCTGAGATTTAACACATGTAAAAATCAACAGATAATAATATAAGGCAGAATGCTAGGTTAAGGTACAAATGAAATCCTTTATGGAAGTGGTCAGCTTGAATGTAACGTGATAAGGAGAACAAGGAGGTGAGAGTAACTCTAGGTAGGAGGTACAACCTGAACAAACGCATTATGATGAGAATGAACATGATGTGTTTCTTGGGCATCCAGAAAACCAGCCTGAGGGGAATGAAAAAGAATGAAAAATACAACAGCATGTGCATACAGGTTGTGACCAAATTATTAAGAACCTTTAAAATAGTTGACATGGTTTAAAAAAAATGGTAAAAAATAGAAATGGCAGGAAGAAAGTGATGTTTCAAGAATATTAATTTTGTAGCAATACCTAAAGTTTAGAGCAACACTGTTCAATAGAAATACAACGCAGGCTGGGCGTGGTGACTCACGCCTGGAATCCCAGCACTTTGGGAGGCTGAGGCAGGAGGACTGCTTGAGCCCAGGAGTTTGAGACCAATCTGGGCAACATAGCAAGACCCCGTTATCTAAAAACAAAAAAAAAAATAGCTGGGCATAACGTACACCTGTAGTCCCAGCTACTCAGGAGGCTGAGGTGGGAGATCAACTGAGCCCAGGAAGTTGAGGCTGCAGTGAGCCATGATCATGTCACTGCACTCCAGCCTGGGTGACAGAGCAAGGCCCTGTCTCAGAAATATATATATATAACATTTTAAGAATTATTTCAACATGTAATCATTATAAAAATTGAGATATTTTATGTTCTTTTAAGGATATTAAGTCTTTGAAATGGCTTAGTGGCTACTATATTGAACAGTGCAACTCTAGATCTGGAACAGAAAATTGAAAAGGTATGGAATCAGGTGACAAGGTCCTGGATTATCATGTAGAGAGTGAAGGAAGAATAAAAGCAGAACTGATGATACTGATGATGCCTGACAACTGTAATAAAGAGATGGCAAACAGACTTCATATCCAGATCCAGGCTCAATGGCAGAGAATGCCATGTCTGATTAGCAATGTCTGCCATGGTCCTTGAAGGCATTTAAAAATATTCTTGGAGACTGAATTAACAGAGACAGCCGACAAAGAGGGAAATTAGGAGGGGAAAGTTTAAGTACTGAGAGAACACCTATTACAGGTGAGGAAACTATGGTTGCCAGATTTTGTTCAAGGTTATACGGCTGCCTACCAAGCATTCCAAAGCCTACACTCTTGTATTATATAGGGTATTATGCTGCTATGTTTGTGGTGGGTAAATTCCACCACAGGTTAAGTCACAGAAAGTGGTAAAACAAAACAAAACAAAAACTCTAAATGTTTAACAAAAACTCACAAAAAAGGGCCGGGCGTGGTGGCTAATGCCTGTAATCCCAACACTTTGGGAGGCCAAGGCGGGCAGACCACCTGAGTCGGGAGTTCAAGACCAGCCTGGCCAACATGGTGAAACCCCGTCTCTACTAAAAATACAAAAATTAGCTGGACGTGGTGACAGGTACCTGTAATCCCAGCTACTCAGGAGGCTAAGGCAGGAGAATTGCTTGAACCCCAGAGAAGCAGGTTGCAGTGAGTGGAGATCACGCTACTGCTTCAGCCTGGGCGACAGGGCGAGACCCGTCTCAAAACAAACAAACAAACAAACAAAACCACACAAAAGGATAGGAAATACTTAAGTGTCATGGCAGAGAAAGAATATAAAGCATTGAAGGAAGAAAGAGAACTTCTTGCAGGAAAAGCCCCTTGATTAACTCAAGTCTTACCCCCTTCTTTAACTCTTTCTTGACAATAATATCTTAATCTCTCCCAACAGTTTATGTAGCACCTTATTTTCTTCATCTGCAAAATGGGGGGCATAACACCACCCACTTCCAAGTAGGGCCAAATAAGATAATGCACATACCCCTTTATATAGTACTGGGAAAATAGTAAGTATTCATGAAGATTAGCTATTAATCGCCATTACAGGACTTGGATATACTTCCTGATTTCTTTTGCCCAGGATGGAAATGGCAGGATCCCTACTTACTGCAACCTCCACCTCCCAGGTTCAAGCAATTCTCCTGCCTCAGCCTCCCAAGTAGCTGGGATTACAGGCGCCCTCCACCACACCTGGCTAATTTTTGTATTTTTAGTAAAGAGAGGTGTTCACAATGTTGGCCAGGCTGGTCTTGAACTCCTGACCTCAAGTGATCCACCCGCCTCAGCCTCCCACAGTGCTGGGATTACAGGCATGAGCCACCGTGCCAGGCCCCAATTTCTTAATTGTTGTTACTGCACAATTCAGCAGTTAATAACAGTATGAATATAATCTTATAGCAATAATAGTAATTTTTATATATATAGTTTGGAAATTTTCACATACGCATCATCACATGTAGCAATTACCCTGTATTACAGAGAACACTCTGAGACGTTAAACAATTTGCCCAAGGTTACATGATCAAAATGTAGAACCAAACTTCAAAAATCAAATCTCTACAAGCAGCATCCTTTCTATGTCAATAACTGGTTCAAAGGGGATGTCTTACTTCTCAAATTAAATTATTTTATAGGCAGGATCATTTCTCATTGTTCTTTTGTACCTTACCATTGTGCCTGTTATGTTCAAAAATACATTTTGAAAAGTTCTTAAAATAATTGCTCTAAATTGAAATGTCAAAACCTGAATATTCTACATGTGTCTTGGTGATGTCCTTTAAGCTAATCCTATAATACACTAAGTACATTTAATTGTGAAATGTCATTTCACAAGCTATGTAAGCATCCCTCGAAGCCTGCATTTTAATGTCTAGTTTTCAATTTTATGCACCTAAAATATCCTATGTGATGATATTAAGTATAGTATATTATCTCTGAATATCTCACTGCCAGTTAGCCTCAGAATCTAAGCTTCAAAATAATTTACATAGCAACTAACCTAACCCTCAGTTATCATGATAAAAAATAATTTGTCTTAAAAATTCAAGAACAGTACAAAGCAAAGCAGAACAAACCAGAAACAAAATTTCAGCATAGAAAACAACAAGAAAATTCCATTTGGAACCCAAAGGGGGCAGGGAATGGTGTCTCACGCCTGTAATCCCAGCACTTTGGGAGGCTGAAGTGGGAAGATCGCTTGAGCCTGGGAGGTTTGAGACTGTGGTGAACCATGATCGTGGCACTGCACTCCAGCCTGGGCCACTGAGCAAGACCCTGTCTCTGAAAAAAAAAAAAAAAAAAAAAAAGAAAAGAAAAAAGAGAAAGAAAAGAAAACCAAAGAGGAAGAGTGACGGCCCTAGTGAATAATACTACGTGTCTTTTTTCCACCATATCTAAATAACACATCTTTCTAAAACTTGATCGAGATTATTCACCAGAAATTGTAAGTTGTAAACTTTTCACTGTTGATAGCAGACAAAGGATACATGGAAGAATTCAATTCTTCTAACTGTAAAACAAAGAAACAAATTTATTTTTAATTTTTATAAGATCAATATAAATAGTTGTTAACTATTTCTTTTTAAATAAATTATTTTTCATTTAAGCTTTCTTGTGCTGGTCACAGTGACCCGTGCTTATAATCCTGGCACTTTGGGATGCCAAGGCGGGAGAACTGCTTGAGCCCAGGAGCTCCAGACTAGCCTGGACAACATGGTAAGACCTCCTCTCTACAAAAAATAAAAAAATTAGACAGGCGTGGTGACGCACACGTGAGGTCCAGCTACTTAGGAGGCTGAGGTGGGAGGATTGTTTGGGCCCAGGAGTTTAAGGCTGCAGTGAGCTCTGTTAGTGCCACTGCACTCCAGCCTGGGTGACAGAATGAGATGCTGTGTCGAAAAAAAAAAAAAAAAAAAAAGCTTTCTGTAAATGAAAAAGCAAAGTACTAAAGAAAAAAACTTTCAAAAAAATTTCAGGCTAAAAAATTCCTTTTTGCAAAAATAATTATTAAGTAGCATTAACATGTGTGAAACAAGAATATGAGGAGAGAGGCCAGGCATGCTCTTGCCTGTAATCCCAGCACTTTGGAAGGCTGAGGGGAGAGGACTGCTTGAGCCCAGGAGTTTAAGACCAGCCTGAGCAACATAACAAAACCCTGTCTCTACAAAAAAATCAAAAGAATATGAGGACAGAATGAAACCAGATTATAAAAACTGGAGTTTTATAAGTATTCCTAAAACCAGGCATAATAACAATCATCTCTAATAAGTTTTTAAAAGAAAAAAAATTGCCATTTTAATGATCAAAATCTTTAAAACCATCATAGATTACAAAAAGATTTCACGTCACTCAATTTTCTATATGAGGTAGAATTCATCACCCCTTGTCTTAGTCTGTTTGGGCTGCTATAACAAACACCATAAACTGGTGGCTTATAAACAATAGAAATTTACCTCTTATAGTTCTACAGGTAGGAAAGTTCAAAATTAAGGAGTCAGCAGATCTGGTGTCTGGGGAGGGCATGAACCACTTCCTGTTCATGAAACAGGAGGGCTTTCTCCCCATGTCCTCACATGGTAGAAGGGGTAGGAGGTTTCTCTTGGGCCTCTTTTATAAGGACATTAATCACATTCTTGCCTGAATCACCTCCCAAAGGCCCCATCTCCTCCTACCATCACCTTCTAAGTTAAGATTTCAATATATGCTTTCTGGGGAGGACATAAACATTTAGACTACAGCATTTTTATCTTACAGAAGGAAACATGTGAATTACAAAAATGTTAACTAAATGGCTCAGTGTTGTTCAGTTATAACCCAAATGCAAATGCTGAACTAAACGAAGCCTTTCTGGTTTCAAATTCGGCGTTCTTTTCACTATACCACTGTTATTCTCCTAAATGTATAGCAAGTTATACTTATTATCTGTTAAGAGGAAAAAAATGTAAAACATGAACTGGTAAAGCCAGACACCGTGGCTCACACTTGTGATCCCAGCACTTGGGGAGGCCAGGGTGGGCGGATCACTTGAGTCCAGGAGTTCAAGACCAGCCTGTACAACATGGTGAAACCCTATCTCTACTAAAAATAAAAAAATTAGCTGGGCGTGGTGGCATGTGCCCATAGTCCCAGCTACTTGGGGGTGCTGAGGCAGGAGGATCGTATGAGTTCAGGAAGTTGAGGCTGCAGTGAGCCCAGATGGCGCCACTGCACTCCAGCCTGGGTGACAAAGTGAGTCCCTGTCTCAAAAAAACAAACCATGAACTGTAAATGGAAATACTTGCAAGACTGAGTAAGACAGACATGAAATAAAAAGATTATAGACTCGAAATAGTGAAAGTATTGGCATACAAGTTCCCTCACATTTACTTATTCAAAAGAGAGAAAAACAGTAGAAATTAACCCTTTTTTGTCAATAGTTAATAGGGAATCTAAAACTAACGTGTGTTGAATTCAATTTTTATTTATTTTTGTTCCAAAAAGGATTTAAAGAGGCAAATTTAATTAACATTTCTCAGTGTAACAATCATACTTTGTGTTATGTGCTAAACAGTGTACCCTCCAAAATTCATGTCTTAGTCCTCACCCCCAGTATCTCAGAATGTGAGTAGATTTGAAGACAGGGGTTTTAAAGAGGTAATTAAGTCACAATGAGGTCATCAGGGTGGGCTCTCATCCAATGTGACTGGCAGGAAAAGCAAAGTTGGACACTTGGCATAGAGGAAGAAGCCATGTGAACACGACGGCTACTACAAACTGAGAGGCCTCAGAAAAAAGCAACCCTGCCACCCTGAGCTCCAACTTTAGCCTCCGGAATTGTGGGAAAATAAATTTCTGTTGTTAAAGCCACCCAGTCTGTGGTACTTTGTTTTGGCAGCCCTGGCAAAGTAATACATATGGCAATGTACTCAATTAGCAGAAATAGCAAATGTCGTTCTGCCTTTAAAAACAAGTAACCGCCACCTGAGTAAATAACACAAAATGTATTAATCATATCAGGAAAGGTCTTTTTCACCACTATCTTCTATATCTTAAGATTTTATTATATCTGTACAGAAGCAAATATTTTGCTTTCAGATTTGCCAGCATCTGTATTCTGAGAATACATGCTTAGATGTAAATACGATAACTTTGTTGGAATACATTTCTTGAAAAAAAAGAGTAAAGTTTTTACAACATGGATGAAACTTGAACATTAAGTAAAATAATCCATTTAGTCCACATACTGCATAATTCCACTGATATGAAATGTCCACAATAGGCAAATCCATAAAGGCAGAAAGTAGATTAGGGGTTGCTAGGGGATGAGGAGAGAATTGAGAGGTCCAGGGTTTCTTTCTGGGGTGGTGAACGTGTTCCGCAATTCAACAGCGATCGGCACAACACTGTGAATACGCTAGCAACCACGTGATTGTATACATTAAAATAGTTCAAAAGGTACATTTTTTCGCAACAAAAATTTTTTTTTAAAGAACAAAGAAAAAGAATTACACTTACATCTGACAGAAGCCTATCCAGATTGGAGTCACTGGCTGTTTTTCTCTTATCCTCAGGAAGTTCCTCTAACTCCCCATAGAGCTCCAAATTCAAGCGAGCTAATTTCTCCTGCATTCCCCGAACATGTTCCATCTGTTCAATGGAACATTCATTTCCTTGGGAACATTCCAGAACATTAATAATGATTAGGACAGTTCAAACTAACAGCATTGAGTAAAAACACTTAAACTCTAGGTGCTCTAAAAGAAACAGGTTTTCTTTCTTCTGTAAATTAGATAATCATTAATATTTTCTGTGTTTAATAACAAATCAAATTTCTGACCAGGAAAACAATGACCCACTTAAGAAATGACCTTGGGTACTAAAGAAAATCATATGGGAAATATTTCAGGCCAGGCGTGGTGGCTCACGCCTGTAATCCCAGTACTTTGGGAGGCTGAAGCTGGTGGATCATGAGGTCAGGAGATCAACACCATCCTGGCCAACATGGTGAAACCTAGTCTCTACTAAAAATACAAAAATTAGCTGGGCATGGTGGTGCGTGCCTGTAGTCCCAGCTATTTGGGAGGCTGAGACAGGAGAATCGCTTGAACCCGGGAGACAGAGGTTGCAGTGAGCCAAGATCGTGCCACTGCACTCCACCCTGGCAATAGAGCGAGACTCTGTCTCAAAAAAAAAAAAAGAGCATATAGGAAACGTTTCTTTTTAAAAAGCAAAATCAGGCTGGGCATGGTGGCTCATGCCTATAATCCCCACACTTTGGGAGGTTGAGGCAGTAGGACTGCTTGAGCCCAGGAGTTCAAGACCAGCCTGGCAACATGGCAAGACCCTACCCCTACAAAAAAATTTTTTAAAAAACACGCATTAACTAGGCATGGTGCTGCATGCCTCTGGTCCCAGCTACTCAGGATACTGAGGCAGGAGGATTGCTTGAGCCCAGCAGGTGAAGGTTGCAGTGAGCTGTGTTCAAGCCACTGTACTCAAGACTAGGTGACAGAGTGAGACCTTGTCTCAAAAAAAAAAAAAAAGAAAAAGAGAAAAGAAAATCGTCCCTTAAGTAGAGAAAATGTATTTTCTTCAACAGTAATATAATATGTAGAAGCAAAACAGCACCATCTCATCATGTCCAGTTTGACAACTACCATTTTAACTGAGTGACCCAACATTTTGTAATAATTTGAGTGAAATTCAGAGTTCTAGGCCCAAGTGGCTCATGCCTGTAATCCTAGCACTTGGGGAGGCCAAGGCTGACGGATCCCTTGAACCCAGGAGTTCTACATCAGCCTGGGCAACATGGTGAAACCTTGTCTCTACTAAAAATACAAAAAATCAGCCAATTAGCCAGGCGTGGTGGCATGTGCCTGTAATCCCAGCTACTTGGGAGGTTGAGGTGGGAGGATCATATAAGCCTGGGGAGGTTGAGGCTGCAGTGAACCATGATCACACCACTGCACTCCACCCTGAGTAACAGAGCGAGACCCTGTCTCAAAAAAAAAAAAAAAAAAGAGTTCTGGCTGGGCATGGTGGCTCACGCCTGTAATCTTAACACACTTTGAGAGGCCAAGGTGTGAGAACTGCTTGAGTCCAGGAGTTCAAGACCAATCTGTGAAACATGGTGAAACCTCATCTCTATAAAAAATACAAGGCCAGGCGCGGTGGCTCACGCCTGTAATCCCAGCACTTTGGGAGGCCGAGGCGGGTGGATCATGAGGTCAGGAGATCGAGACCATCCTGGCTAACATGGTGAAACCCCGTCTCCACTAAAAAATACAAAAAATTAGCCGGGCGTGGTGGTGGGCGCCTGTAGTCCCAGCTACTCGGGAGGCTGAGGCAGGAGAATGGCGTGAATCTGGGAGGCGAAGCTTGCAGTGAGCAGAGATCGCGCCACTGCACTCCAGCCTGGGCGAAAGAGCGAGACTCCATCTCAAAAAAAAAAAAAAAAAAAATTAGCTGGGTGTGGTGGTGTGTGCCTGCAGTACCAGCTACTTGGGAGGCTGAGGTGGGAGGATGGCTTGAGCTCAAGGAGGCCGAGGCTGCAGTGAGCTGTGATCATACCACTGCACTCCAGCCTGGGTGACAGAGACTCTATCTCAAAAAAAAAAAAAAAAAAAAAGTTCAATAACGACTTCAAATGTGAATCATTTTTTCAACCAATTATGTATTCTTCCTTTAAGAAATATAAATAAAAATATTTATGAAGCATGAAAAATGGCATGAAGCATGAGCAACACTATGTAATATTTTTAATTGTACACACAGTTGTCAAGACAACTTAATTGCTAAAGAATAGGTCTTACATTACATATTGACCAAGAGTCCTCTGAAGTGACATTATCTGCCCAGAGCAACTAATTTATACACATAACGTATTATCTTTTCATTCAGTTTAAGTACAGACTCTGCAATCCCTTGATAGTAGAATTTTTTAAAAAAAAAACCTTTCTGTTTTTCCTAAAGGTACTATACAGGTAAAATATACCTCAGCTAAAGTTGAAGTACATATCCTAAATAAATATGAATTAATGTAAATTATGCTAGTTTCCTCTAGCCAGCTTTATAACATCTTCATAAATGGACTATACGACATTATGTTAAGGACTACTAATGTTGAAGCTAGTTATGGCTCTCTCAAAATCGTCCTTTCTTCACAGTAAAATATGTCATATTTCCTCTATTTTAGTCATGTTTTTCAACATTAGTAACCTGGAAGGTCAAGTGGAAGAAACAGAAATATCTCAAGATACGTGTTTGTGTGTATGTATGTATGTTTGTGTTTATGTATGTAAATGTACAGTAAAAATATAAAGAGGTAGAAATCATATGGGAAAAGATGAGAGTCAGAGGACGGATCTAGGTGACCTACCATGAGAACAATAGAAGCTTCAGAGGCTAAAAAGGAAGAGATGGAAGAAAAATAATAAACAATAGAAAATATGTTACGTGAGATGAAAGATGAGTCAGCAGATATGAAGGGCTCACTGATTCCCAGGCAGATTGATGAGAAAAGACACAGTCCTAAGCATATCCTGGAAAATGCCTAACCTTTAAAGATAAAAGAAAAACATCTTTTAATCATCGAGACAGAAAAATATAAATTACCTGCTAAGAAAGACTCTGACTGGCAATGGAATTCTCATCTGCAACACTTATTATGAAGAGTAATCAGTAGGATAACAGACAAAGACAAGAAAGGACTTCAATCCAAAAACACAAAGGCAACATAGAGTAGGGGAGGAAAGGTGCTGGGAAAAAGCAAAGACGTGGAAGTGGTCCAAAGATTACATCTCAAGGGTAGGAGGGAAGAAGGGAAGAGAGGGGAAGTGAAAATACTCTGAAGATACCACCTTACTGGGATGGGCTAAAGCAAGGAGGTAGGGGTACAATAAAGTATTTTTGTGAAATAAATAATCTGCTTTTAATATCTTCTTTTCAAATATTAGCATAACCAAGACTGGAAACCCAGCAACTATTGAAAGAAAAGATACAGACATGTTTGAGAATGCAAAAAGTAAAAACTTTTACAAGGTTAAATATACCATAAACAAAGTGCACAGACACAACAAATTTGGTAGACAAAAATAAATACATAATAGAGGTCAGAGGGTTAGTATCTAAAACACAAAGGGCTCTTTACAAGTGACAACAACAAAAGGATAAATAACCAAGTAGAAAACTGACAAAAGGTCCTGAAAAGGACCTATCAAACAATCTACCAAACACACACGGATCTTCAAACTCAATTGTAATAAAAGACATCTCACTTTACACCAAGAGACTGGCAAAAATTAAAAGACGAATAATACCTACTGCTTGGCGGGAATTCAAGGAAAAGCATTTTTTCATAAATTATTTATGGAACCTAGAAGTGCGGTATTGTTCTTTTTGCAAAGCAATCTGCATACTTCTATTAAAGTTAAAATTACATATATGCTTTGACCCAGCAATCCCACTCATGAGAATCAATCCCAAAAGAATAGAGGCACCAGCCTAAAGATCTGTGTAAAAAGATGTTGACTATGCCATTGTGTTTGGTGGCTCAAAATGAGAAACAAAGTAATGCCTCTCAATAGGGACATAGTTGAATAAACTAGAGTATATTCACAACTTGGAATATTATGTTGCCATTAAAAAAGAATGAACTAGAGCAATCCTAGGTGCATTAGAGAGATTTCCATCAGATATTCTTTAGTGCAGGAAAGCAAGACACAGAATATCTTGTATACCATTTGTATTAAATAATGAAAATAAAAATATGAAAGGATATACACCTGGACTGTTAACAAATGGCTGGGATGAGGGGAAGTGGAAGTAGCAGAAGGGATAAGAGGGAATGGGGAAGTTAAGTAACAAAAACATTGGGGAGGGAAAGAATACTTTAAAAAATCAATATGTATGTGGACATTTATGCATTTGTATAAGATTATGCATCTTCTAAAAAACTGGGGAAGTTAAAATTTTTTAAAAAGATTATGCATATTATTGAAATTGCTTTTTAAAATATTGAGAAATAGGCCAGGCGCGGTGGCTCACGCCTGCGATCCCAGCACCTTGGGAGGCCGAGGCGGGCAGATCACAAGGTCAGGAGATGGAGACCCATCCTGGCTAACACGGTGAAACTCCGTCTCTAGTAAAAATACAAAAAATTAGCTGGCCGTGGCACATGGCTGTAGTCTCAGCTACTGGGGAGGTTGAGGCAGGAGAATCACTTGAACCCGAGAGGTGGAGGTTGCAGTGAGCCGAGATCGTGCCATGGAACTCTAGCCTGGGCGACAGAGCCAGACTCTGTCTCAAAAAAAAAAAAAAAAAAAATTGGGAAATAATCTTATCATTAGAAAAAGCTTACAAATAAGTTCCAGACTGCACATGAAAAATCTGACTATCTTTTGTGAACTCTGTGACTACGAAAAAATACCTATTCAGAATTTTTAATGGGACAATCAGTTAACTATTCTTATATCCTCATGAAAAAACAAGAAAACTGGATTCTTTTAATTCCTAACTTTAAATCAGGAATCCCAGGCAAGAAACAAGTTTAAGCTTAAGAGGGTAAGGGAAAATGATCTTGATACTTTCAAAACGAAGACACTAAGTCTAAAATATTTTAACTGACCAAGACTGTCCCTCTTATTTGTTAAACTTGCAAGATACTTATTCCATAATGGCAATCCTACTTCAACATTTCAACTAACCCTCCCTCTTAAAAAAAAACTTTTTCCCAGAAGTTTTAGAAGGCAAATTATATTCTAAGACAAAATCTAGGATGATTGCCTTTATGCCTGTGGGCTCTTTTTTTCTTAAAAGAAACTGGCACTTTGAAAAGAAGAGTAAAATACACACAGAAAACAGGATGCAAACATCTTAGAGAAAAAAATAATACAGAAACATCTATTGCTTACCAAATGCTTGAAGTTTTCCAGAGTGGAAATCATTCAAAAGACTGAGCAGCCCTCTCTCCATCTCCTGAACATCTGAGACATCAGTGAGGAAGGAGTGCTGGATCGGAGTTGACTGAGCGCCTTTGCCCTCTCCACCCTGAGGTTTGGTCTTTTCTTTCATCACTCTGTAAAGACGATGAAATTTAGGCTTTTTAGGCTATTCTAGATTAAGCTTTTGCTTAATTTTTTAGTGAAGTAAATGGAATTTCCCTTAAAAGCAAGAAATCAAATAGAGTCAATACTAAACAAAACCAGAAACTCCAAGCCAGAAACCAAAAGAAAAAAAAGGTTGTGAAAAACCTCAAACAAATGTATAAAATATAACTACAAAGGCATATAAAAAGTTTGATTAATACATTTATATAATATGCTAATTCTTTGGACTGCAGAAAAGAAAACTTGTAAGTCTGTATTATCCTATGCTTTACATTTCATTTCTCAGTAAAACATATTACACCTTTCCCTTCTAAACTTTATTTGTTCCTTGAACTCTCAGTAGTTCTACATATGGTTTTGGAGTCCCTACTCTGTAGCCAACATTATCCACAAATGCCCCGTCTAAAGAGAAGGGAAGATATTTAAATTCATAATCACCATGTAATGGAATACTAAAAACTTGTTATCATCCTTGACTCCTCTAACTTCCTAAGGCTCCTACATGCAGTCATGAAGTCCTATCAATTATACCCACAAAATATCTAATCTCTCCAGTTCTCTTTCTCCCATGCCACCATCCCATCTCTTAACCAAATAGCTTCCCAACCAGTCTCCCTATCTCTGTGATCCCTGATCTCCCTTCTCTCCCCACCGGGCAGCCAAGTCCATTTCCAAAAAGTAAAATCAGATCATACAATTTGCTTAATTAAAAATGCTTCAGTAGGCCGGGCACAGTGGCTCGTGCCTATAATTCCAACACTTTGGGAGGCCCAGGCAGGAGGATCACCTGAGATCAAGAGTTCAAGACCAACCTGGCCAACATGGCAAAACCCTGTCTCTACTAAAAATACAAAAATTAGCCTGGTGTGGTGGTGCACACCTGTAGTCCCAGCTACTTGGGAGGCTGAGGCAGGAGAATCCTTTGAACCCAGGAGGTGGAGGTTGCAGTGAGTTGAGATTGTACCACTGCACTCCAGCCTGGGTGACAGAGCGAGACTCCGTGTCAAAAAAAAAAAAAAAAGCTTTAGTAGCTTTGCATTGCCTGCTGAATATAATCTAATATCCCTAAGAAACCCTATCCTCATCTATGCTCTAGCCACTGAATCTCTTTCGTTTCCTAGAAATCCATTATCTTATCTTCTTACGTGCTAATCCTCTGCCTACATTAGCATCCTTCCACTTACTGCCATCTTTGGCATGCTACCTCCCACACATCTTCAAGTCTCAGTTTAAATGCTATTTCCTCAGGAAGGCCTTTTTGGAACCCCTAGCCTAAACTAGTCCTTATTACACATGTCTGGCATATACCAGGCTCTCAAATAGTTGAGTGATGATGTTATGCGCACTGCGATATAGGAAGAGAGAGAAGCAGTTCGTTCAGCGTGGGACCAACCAGAGAAGGCTTCCTAAAAGTGATAAGTGAGCAAAGACTTAAAGAACAAGTAGGGGCTAAATTGGCAAAATGGGAGAAAGAGTAATTTATCTTTATAACCCAATGCACACTACAAATCCCGACACGGAAGTATATTCAGTACTCAATTTTAACATAATGTTGAATGAAGACATCTTCAACACAGCTGTCCTCACCACAATAAGATAAATAGGGTATATATATGCCCAGGGAAAGTAGGTGAGGGGGGGATACAAGAAAGAGACTATAATATGAAAGAAGTTTAGAATACATACATTGTTGACAGTAGGTCAATAACAGTTCTTCCCAAAGCAAGGGCTGCATTTTATGTATTACATACATTATGTAATACCTTGTTACTCAAAGTGCTGCCCATGACCCATAGAATCAATCTCACTTGTGAGCTTCTTAGAAATGCTCATCTGAAGCCCCCCATCCCACACTGCTGTGGAATTTGTATTCTAAAAAAATCCCCGAGAGATCCATATTCACATTTAAAATCTGAGATAAACTATTACAGAGTATAAGGTTTCAGCATGACAAATGTATTTTTTTCCTCTCAAATTTGGAAGTTTTCTCCAAGTAAACTTTCACATCAGTTCATCATTTAATAACCCTCTCAGAAAACAAACACAAAAGATAAAACAAAAACCTGTTTATTCCTGCTTCAATGTTATGTCACACTCTCACTTTATGTTAACATAATTCAACAATAAAGCAAGCACACAGTGAAATAATACTATGTGCAAAGCCCCACTGTAAGTTCTGTCAGGCACACAATGATGATCCAGAGAGTCCTGGCCCTCAGAAGCCTACATCTACAAGAGGGTATGGAAATAAAACCACCAATAAAAATGACAATGATACAAATAAACTGCTTTTAAAAATATAGAGAAAGGAGTGATTACTTTTAAAATCTCTTCGTTTTCTTTTTCCACCAACTGTAAACTTATTCAAAATCTGACCCTAATTAAACTCTTCCATGACAAAAACCCCATTCTGATAATTTATTCGAAGGAAATCCTCAAAACTGCTGTTTATCATTTGGTACTCATTGGAATACTTCTTCCAAATCTTCTCTTGTCTTTGGTTATGTCCCTTCTGTTTCGACAAAGAGAGATCATCATCAAGGCAGTAATCTCATCTTTTATTAGGTGTAAACCCAGCGGCTACAGAATGCAACAGGCATTTCCTTAGCTAACTTGCCAGGGTGAGATTGGATGTGAGAGTAAATTTATTTAATAATTAGAAAGAAGATTGACATTATACAACACTTTTTTTCCTCTAAAGCTATAATCTTCCCTTCCAAATATCTAATACTATAAAATACTCACATATATGTAACAGTAACATATAACATAGTTAAACTTGTCACTTCTGTTTCCTTTAAATATCCTGAATGCAAATGATGTTCACCAAATATTAATAATGATTATTTCTAGGTGGTAGAATTTTTGCATTTTGAATTTCTTCTTTGAATTTTTCCTGTGTTTGAATATTTATAAAAAACACAGTTTATACAAAAACAATGACACCATTATTTTTTAGAAATAAAAACTGCAAGCTGGGTGTGGTGTCACACCACACAGTCACAGCCCCTCAGAAGACTGAGGCAGGAGGATCCCTTGAGCCCAGAGGTTCAAGGCCGGCCTGGGCAACACAGTGAGACCCCATATTTAAAAATATATATATATATGTGTGTGTGTAAAATAAAATAAATTAAGAAAACTACCAAGGCACAAACACTCAGCTTAGAGAAAAAAGAGAGAAAGAAAGAAAGAGAACAAAAAACCCTGCTGACTTTCTTTCACTTTTTCACTTTTCCCATTTCTGACTAGCTCATCAACACAGTCAAAAAGTTTTCTTGTTTTGTATATTTTAATATAAGACAAAGTAAGGGCCTTCAAACCAATAATTCATTTTGCATTTTCTAATATCTATACACCGTAACTTTCATAAATTTTTCTTCTAAATCACGCATAATGGGTGCCTCAACTGTTTTAAAAGTCAAGCCAAGACTAAAAAAGTGTTTAAGAAGAAGTTGAGTCAGGATTTACTTTAATGGCATTTTACTGTGAACATGTAAAATAAAAGAATTCACCTTTTTAACTTTGGTCGCTGTGAAGTTGACTGTGATGCAGGATTTGAAAACCCTGTGCTTTTACTCACTGGAATGGCATTTTTTTTGGCATTGACAACCTGAGTACAGTGGGCACTAAAAGACTTAGGACTCCTCCTCTTCACTTTCCGCTCTTCCATTGTTTTAAGTTCCTTATTGCACCACGGCCAGCTTCTTAAGACCTAAATAAGGAATACAGCAATTATATATGTATGCTATAATATGCAAACATGAAAGAAATTCAAAGACCCATTTCACAGGGTCAAAAGAGGATCAAGAATTCCAGAGGGCATAAGAGAAAGTTAGAAAATGGGTCTCTTAAGTTTAATGTACTCTACTATGTACCCATAAGCCCCTAGCAAAATTGTCTGGTAGACAGTTTTTGTTTTGTTTTGTTTTACCATTTTCTTTATTTCTTCATCCTACAAATATTTACTGATTCTCTTCCACAAGCCAGACACTATTGTGGGTACTGGAGAGACGGCACTGAACAAGGTGTTTGACCTCAAGAAGCCTACATTTTACAAGGGGAACAACATATAAACAATAAACAAATGATCCACATAATATTCCCAGCCTGATTCAAGCTTCAGGTGGCCTTTAGGTCTTTCTTCCAAAATGTATGCTTAAGAAGAACCAAGTAGATTCAAACAGATGTATAATTGTCATAGGGATTTTACTAGCATTTTAAAAATCAACTAGAAGCCTTACTTCAACTACTAAACAGAAACTCAGTTTCTAGCTAGGGCTAATAATGATTCTAGCTTGGTGATAAGTGAAGTTCTAGAAAATCAAACTTGTTCGTTGCCTATTTTGAATATACTTTCTCTAACCATTTCCAAACAAACGTGAATTTTATGATATATATTTAGTTTTGCCCATATCAAAAAAGTTAACAATGTGAAGTTACAGATGGCCCTTCCATGCGGAATACGTGTAAGGCCTCCTAGTTATCCCTACACAATCCCCTTACTTTATCTATTAATCCGCTCTATTTTCTAACATCCATCTATTTAAAAAATACCCTTCCGGCCGGGCTCACGCCTGTAATCCCAGCACTTTGGAAGGCCAAGGCGGGCGGATCACGAGGTCAGGAGATCGAGACCATCCTGGCTAACACGGTGAAACCCCGTCTCTACTAAAAATACAAAAAATTAGCCGGGAGTGGTGGCGGGCGCCTGTAGTCCCAGCTACTCAGGAGGCTGAGGCAGGACAATGGCATGAACCCGGGAGGCGGAGCTTGCCCTGAGCCGAGATGGTGCCACTGCGACAGAGCGAGACTCCGTCTCAAAAACAAAACAAAACAAAACAAAACAAAACAAAAAAACCCCTTCCATACTTTATTTGTGCATAGTGTTAAATTTTTCTTAACTTCATTATTTCATATATCATAAGATGAATTTATATGGCTATCTCTACCTCATCAGGTTGTAAATTGCCTTCTAGAAACATTAGGCCGTTTTTGGCATGCTGTGTTTAATTTAGGCATGCCATGACCATTCAAAAAGATTCAAACCCATTGCTGTCGCTTAAAATAATTATTTGATGAATTCAATAAATTTTTCTTTTTCCTTTTGCCTGGACTTAGTGCCACTGGCACTGGAATTTAAACCACTGAGCTTAAATTGGCTGACGCTAGACAATTACAACTGGAGCTACAATACTGCCAAAGAAGAGGCTTTCTGGGAAAGGCTCCAATGCCCAGTCTCTAATCCCAGATACCACTGGGTGTCAATCCACTTAAACCTTGGCTAACAATTTTTCTTTTAAGAAGCATTTTTTGTAACAGAACAATAATTCTGGTGTTGTTTCAACATGCAACACAAATTAAATGAGAGTTTGAAAGATGACTGAATAGAGACGATTAGTTCTCTGAAGAGGCAAGGATCTGTAAAAATGTATGATACGCATAAACACGCTGGCCTGAAATTTAACGATGCTAATACACACTTGGTGGTACAAGAAAAAAAAATCTAGGAAGTAAAGCAATGCAAATAAACCAGTGGTGGTCTAAACCACAATATTCTGCGGAGCCAGCACTCGCGATTTCCTCGTTTTTGGAAAATTACATCTGTCACAAGAGCACTGAAACCCTTCCTGTATATCAAACAGCAAAGAATGTTTTAGAGAAGGCATAATAAGTAAACTGCTCATAGTTACTTATTCACACAGTGGTTTTAAGTGCCAGGTCTTGCCTCCAAGCAGTACCACTGGGCATCCCTCTTGACATCACCTCATTCCCCTTCCCCAATCTACCGAAGCGATGACCCTTCACCGCCCAGTACCCAGCAGTGACCAGAGTGGTGGGAAGGGCCTAAAGGGGCAGGTTGCGGAGGTTCCTTTGCTTCCACTACATACCTGAAGAAGAAGGGTATTGGGGCCCCCTTCCGCAACCCGCAAAGACCCGACAGCCTCAGAAGCCACCGCCGCAGCCACAAGCAGAGCCCCGGTCACATCCCGGGACCCGCTCCTCCGCAGCTCCGTTTGTTTACGGAAGTGACGTAAGAGGTACAGCCTCCATGCCCCAAGCGGAAGCCCCGCCTTTTCCTGCTCCCCCAGTGTCGCTCTTGGCTCCGCCCTCGGCATTTCATTGCTTCCCCTGTCCTTCCTTTAGCTGTAACTCCGGCGGGCGTGTTGGGTGTGTCGTTTTAGGCTCTGTGACCCAGGAGCAAGACGCAATAAGCGGGTGCAGTGGAGGTAGAAACGGGAAATGCAGTACCCTTTCCGGAAGCTACTCCGCCCCTCGGTGAGTGTTAGATTCCCCCCCCGAACTACAATTCCCAGAATGCTGTTCGAGCATGCCCGAAGGCGGAACCAGAGTGTCGCCATGCAACTGTTCCTTGGTTGTTTCCGATTGGTTGCCCGGACTTCTCGCGGCTAAACTAATTTTGGCTCCAAGGCGGCGTGAAGAGTGTGATTCTGTTCAGCGACCGTGATTCTGTTCAGCGACCATGATGTTGAGCCCCTAATTGAGAGTCTGTTACCACTATTAATAGCTACTCTGTTCGGGCCCTACACATAACGGTGTATCTAAACCTCTCTACAATTTTATGGGTAGGTGTTATACTCTCTGTTTTACAAATGGGGAATTTGAGGCTCAGAAAGGCTAATTGATGCAGGTGTCTCTCTGTCGTCAAAGATAGTTCTACTTCCACTATACTTAAAGCCTCTGGAGAAGGAATTGCAGGCTGAGAGAAAGAGATCTATCTTAAATGAGGGAAGAAATGCACGTTTCATTGCCTGGTCTGGGTAGCCTTCCCGGTGTTGGAGTGGGAGGTGGGAAGGTTTTAGATTCACAGGTCCTTAGATTGAAGGGACTCTGGAGGAACACCACATAGCACCCCCCGCATTAGCTAATGGGGAAACCATATCTAGAGATTGTATCCATGCCAGAAAAGGCAGAGCAAAGACAACCCCAGTCTCTTGGCTTCTAGGATAGGATGTTCTTCCGCCACCCGCCATTTAAAAAAAAAAAACAAAACTATTGAAATGTTAAAAAAAAAAAGCACAGAATAAACAACGCACCCACTATCCAGAACGAACAGATTTATGAATGAAAGAAATGGAGCATTACAGATAAAGAAGGTGTTCCCTATTCTCAGTCCCATTCTACTACCACCCTCAGAGAGGCAACCAGGATCATGAATTTGATATGTATCTTGCCAATCTAGGTTTCTATATTTAAACTATTACTATGTATTATAAACAATATGTAGAATGGTTTGGGGCATTTGAAGTTTTACATGAATGCTATTATATTTTGTGTATTGATCTGCAACTTGATTTTTTCACCAAATTCTGTGTTTTTGAGAGCTATCCACATTGATAAATATAGCTAGACTTTATCAAATAGATTTGTCACAAATTATTTGGGAATTCCCATAGTGATGGATGTTTAGGTTGTTTCCCATTTTTCACCATTACAAACACTACTGTACAGTCTGCTCAATATCTTTTCCCAGTTTCTCCTTTTAATTAATGTCGAATTGTCTTATTTGTATGAACAGAGCTTGCAACTGGTGATTCACATGCTACTTTTTTTTTTTTCAAATTGGTTGCTAACAGCTAAAATTGAAAGAATAAAAACAATGTGGCATCCCATGAATTAACGGGAAGATCTGACTACGTTAGATGTGCATTGTAGCCTGGCAACAATGGTTCAAGCTGGAAAGCATCTGCCTCCTTTACCTCAGTTCAAGTAATATCTAGTTTTTCTTTGTCTTTAGTACCCATCTGAGCCCTGTAGCATTTGTGTTTACAACCTCCAACATGATGTAGGGACACAGGAAAGTACCCTTCTAAATGGACATGTTTCAGGTATTCAGAAATAGGTATTCAGGTTTTGAATACCTATTTTAAGTCCCTATTTTAGCCACACCCTGTGATAGGAGGTCAGGATGCATCTATCAACAAAAGGTACAAGAGCTTTATAGTCAGAGATCTTATATTCCCGATATAAGAGACTGACAATAAATTAGTATGCAAATAAAATAGTTTCATTTAGTCAGATGAGAGTCCTGAAATAACAGCTTAAGGTCAAAAGTAGTTTGTACTGAAGGAGAAGTATCAGGGAAGGCCTTCCCGAAAATGCAGCTTTGAGGTAGAGATATGAATAAAGTGCATGAGCCAGCCATGGAATGATCTGAGGAAAATGAGTCCTTGAGTGCCAGGCACGGTGGCTTTTGCCTGTAATCCAGCACTTTGGGAGGCTGAGGCAGACAAATAGCTTGAACCTAAGAGCTGGAGACCAGCCTAGGCAACATAGCAAAACCCTGTCTTTACAAGAAATACAAAAATTAGCTGGGCATGGTGATGCAGGCCTGTAGTCCCAGCTGCTTGAGTGGCTGAAGTGGGAGGATCACCTGAACCCAGGAGGTCAAGGCTGCAGTTAGCCATGATCATGTCACTGTGCTCCAGCCTGGGTTACAAAATGAGACCCTGTCTCAAAAAAATAAAAAAAAAATAAGAAGGAGAAGGAGAAGAAAAGAAGCATTCTTGAATAGAACATACGGCTAAAATGCAGGCCATTAGGCAAAATGAACTTTAACATGTTTGAGGAAGCAGAGGGTTAGTGAGGTGAATTGTACTGGGCTAGGGACAGAGTGACGCAAGATAGAGTTGTTGTAGAGGTACAGTTTCAAGTGTGATTTCTTTAATCTAAAATCTAGAGTTCCTCCCTGAGAGAAATGATCTTTCAGATTTTCTAGATTTTCCTTTAATTCCTTTAAACTGTAAGCATCCATTCTTTGGATTAACTGTTAAATGCAGACCTTGTATAAATTACTCCAATCATATACTTTCTTCCTGAGGATTATATTTAGAGGATGGGAGCTTTGATTAACAAGACCCTTCCCCTGCCTCCCAGTACTCATACATTGTATAGCATAGGTAGGTAAGGAGGAATACTGCTGGCGAATTTCCTAGTAGTGGCAGTGGAGAGCCATTGAGAGAAAAATCTGCTGGGGGCCCAGAAATCTCTATTTAAAAAAAATTTGTCTTATGGAAAATTTCAAACATATACTGAGGAAGACAGAAGACTATAATGAATCCCTCATCCAGCCATTAACCCCTGGCCAATGATGTCGATTATAGCTGTTACCAGTGACGTTGACCCTGATCCTTTATGGAATGGAATTTTTGTTATGTTATTTTTTAGGGTGCTATGAGGATAAGAAAAGAAACAGGCATTTGAGAAGAAAATTATAACCGAATTTATACTTATAAATTTTTGATATCATAATCTCAGGTGATTCACATGGACACGCGTAAACACACCCACAAGTGCAGCTAGAAGTAAATCACCCAGAAACTGTCATTGTCCTTGTACATTGTATATACAATGCAATCATTTCATACCTTGGCCAGAAAACTGTGATTTCTGTCTTGCAAAGCTGTATGTAGTAGATAATGTGATAACCTGTAATATTGATCTGATAAATATGTATTCAGATGAAACCTGTAAAAAAAAAAAGCCCCTCTTCTGACATTTTTCAGTCTCTAGTATTATGTTGAAGTAAATCTCAGATATAATTTAATCCCTAATATTTTAATATAGATTGCTAAAAGATTAAAACTTTTAAAGACTTCACCACAATGCCTTTATGATTCCTAAGCAGCAATGAATGATTAATGTTATTAAATATTCAGTAAGTATTCAAGTTTCCATTCGAATCAGAAGTGTCATAACTTTTTTCACATTTTACTTGAGTCAGGAACCTCTCTTTCTGTAAGGTCCTCAGGTGATGAATGGGTTTGGAAGCCTCTCTTGTACAGCCTCATTAGTTGAGCTACAAACATGCATTGTCCTTTCCCTTCAGAAAGTTAGGGCGCTATGAAAGCAGGAGTCCCCAGCCTCCAGCTGTAGACTGGAACTAGTCCGTGGCCTGTTAGGAACTGGGCCACACAGCAGGAGGTGAGCAGCCAGTGAGGGAGCATTACCACCTGAGCTCCCACCTACTGTCAGATCAGCAGTGGCATGAGATTCTCATAGGAGCCTGAGCCCTAATGTGAACTGCGCATGCAAGGGATCTAGGTGGGCGGTGGTCCTTATGAGAATCTAACGAAAGCCTGATGATCTCAGGTGGAACAGTTTCAGTTTCATCCCCAACCCCCACCCCGCCCCATCCATGGAAAGATTGTTTTCCACTAAACTGGTCCCTGGTGCCAAAAAGATTGGGGACTGTTGCTCTAAAGGGGAAGGCAGGTATCTCAAAGCAAATGGATACTCTCAGTGCCTGAAGCACAGTCATTCCTGTATTGTCCTTTGTGGTTCTTATAGGGAAGAGATGTTTTTTGTTTGTTTCTTGTTTTTGTTTGTTTTTACCCAGAAGCCTATCCATCATTTTCTAAGTGTGCTTCCACTTCCATTTCCCCTGATGCCGGAATGCCTTGGCCAAGATAGTAACTGCTTAATGCTTCTTTGCGTGTCTGGCTCAGGAAACAGCTAAGAAAAAAGATAAGAAGTCATAAAGCAGAAATGAGCTCGGCATGTTCACGGAACTGAAAGAATGCCAGCGTAGTGGTCTGGAGTGCAGGGGGACAAGAAGTAGTATGAGATGAAGTCCCCAAGGTTGCCAGAGGGTCAGGTCAGGAAGGGTTTTTTAAACCAATATAAGAAATCTGTATTTTTTCCCCTAAGCACAGCAATAGGCATTGGAGAGTTTTAAGGCATGACATGGTCTAAGTTACATTTTTAAAAGATTATTCTATAGAAGAATGGAAACAGGAAGGCCAGTTAAGAGAAATGGGCCATAGTGAGGTGTTATATAGGCTTGCTTTACAGCTCAGACCTGAAAAAATAAGTTATTTCAAAAGCCATACTGTACTATGACTACTATTATAAAACTTGGTAAGATTCCTTGAGACACCCTCTAAAAAGGGTGCCAAGAGACTGGATCTGAACTATCCAGCACTGAAGGCCTTCAGAGCTGTGCTATTGTAGATGAGCAAGCCTTTTGGGAACTGTTAATAGTGAAAGGAAGAACCACGTGGTGAAGAGCTGGGAGCCACCATTTATGGAGGAGCATGGTATGGTGTCATGGAAAGTGCACCAGACCGGGAGTTGGGGGAAACCCCATCTCTTGTCTACTCCAGGCTGTACACTTTTTTTTTTTTGAGACAGAGTCTCACTCTGTCACCAGGCTGGAGTGCAGTGGCAGAATCTTGGCTCACTGCAACCTCCGCCTCCCAAGTTCAAGCGATTCTCGTGCCTCAGCCTTCTGAATATCTGGGATTACAGGCAGGTGCCACCACACCCAGCTAATTTTTGTATTTTTAGTAAAGACGGGATTTTACCATGTTGGCCAGGAAGGTCTCCATCTCCTGACCTCGTGATCCCCCCGCCTCAGCCTCCCAAAGTGCTGGGATTACAGGCATGAGCCACTGTGCCCAGCCTCTAGGCTGTACATCTTAAGTATTAGTGAGAGGCCCAAAAATGAACACAGAGGCCCTTACCAATTTAAGTATTTTGTTGTTGTTGTTGTTGTTAATGGCTTTGGAAAAACAAGGGGCAAAATCAGACTTTAAAAGTTATATGGGCCAGGTGCGGTGGCTCATGCCTGTAATCCCAGCACTTTGGGAGGCTGAGGCAGGCGGATCACAAGGTCAAGAGATGGAGACCATCCTGGCCAACATGGTGAAACCGTGTCTCTACTAAAAATACAAAAATTAGCTGGGTGTGGTGGCACATGCCTGTAGTCCCAGCTACTCGGGAGGCTGAGGCAGGAGAATCGCTTGAACATGGGAGGCGGAGGTTGCAGTGAGCCGAGATTGTGCCACTGCACTCCAGCCTGGTGACAGTGCAAGACTCCATCTCAAAAAAAAAAAAAAAATAATAAGTTATATGGATAGACATTTACAACATTCCTACATATATGGTTTTTTATAAACTGCCTTCATCACTAGGCTATAACTTCCTTGAGGGCAAATATGTTTTATTTGATTTTTGTATCCTAAGCACATTGCAAAGAACATAACATAAAGTAGGTGCTCAATAAATGAGGTAGGAATGAATGAAACTTCCTGATTTTATTTCCGAAAGTAAAGTGATTCCAGCAACCCCTCTTTAAACCAAAGTAGGCCCAGTCATAATGCTAATCAGATGGCATCACTACTGCCCAGGCAAGTGCTCTTTTTTTCTTAGCAGAGCAATTCTGGCTACACCGGCCTTTCTGCCAAGTGGTTTGAAGAAGGAAACCATCCTAAAGCTTAGGGGAATCATTGACTGATTGGTTCTTTAAAAAACAAAACAAAACAAAAAAAAACGTAATATTTGGGATGGTTTCAGGTTATGATTCTACAAAATTTACTTTTAATCCAACTTCAAGTTCAGACTTCCTTTTTAAGGCCAAGAGTAAACAGGATTAGGGGATGGTTATCAGCAAGATAGGAAGATGATTCGTTCTCCCAGTATCCTGTATCCAGGTTCTTGGTTCTTGCCACATGAACACTCCAGCTTTAGAAGAAGGTTTGTGTTACAGACTTAACCAGACAGCAAAGGATATCATGGGTAAGCAGACTGGCAGTAGTGCATTACAACCCTTCCTTCAGTTTTCTCTCTTTTTCTTGAATTTTAGTCCAAATTCAGCAGTATTATCATGGAGAACCACAAGGCTGCTAAGAAATATGTGTAGAGATAGCTTACAATATAGCAGAGGAAGAGGAAGGAAGGGAGGCGAGAAAGAAGAAAGGAAAGAAGGAGAAGAAAGAGAGGGAAGGAGGAAGGGAAGCAAAGAAAAAGCTTCCATAACACTTCGTTTATATCTCTATTTTAAAGTATTTGTTTAAAACCCAAACTGCTACCACTCTGAATTTTAAGAAATTGGCATAATTCCTGTCAGTGGGGAAATATTAAATATAGGGGCAAGAGAAGGGATGAGACTCTAGGTAGAAGACCCATTGTGTTGTCTGAGAGTTGGATGTGCACAGGTGGGCAGGAGGCTGAGTTTAAGGATATGAGATTGAGAACATTGAATTATTCTGTATAATAAAGTTGGAAGAATTGTTCACTGGGGTGAGTTTGGGGGTTGGGATTATTGCTAAGAGATAGCCAAAAAAAAAAAGAGGTCAGAGGCAGAGGGAGAAAGGCCTGTCAAAGTGGTAGGAAGGAGGAAGACTTTAAAAAGAGAAAGTCTGTTATTCAATTTGCAACTGTTAATGTTACTGTAAATGCACACACTGACACACACACAGGCACACACATCCCCCATGCTCCCAGACAGCAACATAAGTCCTCTATAAGCTCACAGCTTGTCATGAATGAATCATTATGATAATCAAAGAAAAGGGGTTGTGTTCCACATCTTTGGGAGATTTCATGGAGATTGAAGATGAAATGTGTGTAACAATAAGGAAGTCCAAAAACTGAACTGTGTCAGATGAAGCAGGAGCTTAGACTAAGTCCAAGTTGAATGGGAAAATGACAAACCGCTCGAAGGAAGTAGGTCGTATACATCTTTATATTCTCAAAGCTTAGTATAGTGTCTGGCATGTAACAGAAACTTAACAAATGTTCATTAAATGAATGAATAAATGAGGAAAAATTAGATTCATATGATACCAAGTGGCAGAATGGCATTATTAAATCAAGTGTCAACATAACTCACATTTCTTATTCCAGAATTGGAAATCAGGTTCATCTTAGTCATACCTGCCTCTGATCTCCAGGTGGCAGTATTTTATCATATTAAATTGTTTTGAGACCACAGATTCCATTTACTTTTTGAGAAAGGAGAACAGAAATGTATTTAAAATAAAAATTCAATTCTGTAGCTCATTTCTATAATTGTACAGAACTAAGTAAGTGATAGAATATGATTACATGAGATTATAGATTTATTCCCCAATTTCAATATAAATGAGAATTATTGGTAGTTCCTGAATTCAACCAGTTTCCTAAACCTTGAAGGTAAATACAAATTGGTGTGCTTTGTTTACAAAATGTATGGATTTCTTCAAAGTATGAAAATCTGTGTGTGTGTGTGTTTGTGAGAGAGAGAGTGAGAAAGAGTGAGAGAGAGGAGAGAGAGAGACACAGGGACAGAAAGAGACAGAGAGCAGTAATATGTTTAGAAGTAATTCACTTCCAGGCCAAGCACGGTGGCTCATTCCTGTAATCCTAGCATTTTGGGAGGCTGAGATGGAAGCATCGCTTGAGCCCAGGAGTTCAAGACCAACCTGGGCAACACAGTGAGACCCTATTTTTTTTCATAAAGAAGTAATTAACTTTCAACAAACAGGGTAACCAGATTAAGTAGAATGGCCAGTCAAATCTAAGTTTCAGATAAACAAGGAATACTTTATTCATATGTCTCATGCAATATGTAGTGCATACACTAAAAAAGTCTTCCTTGTTTTTCTGAAATTCAGATTTAACTGAGAGATCTGTAATTTCCTTAGCTAAATCTGGCAACCTTACCAACAAATATTCTGTTGTTACTGTTAATTCCAAAATAACAGAACGTTAAGGGAGGCCCCACTTCTACCAAAAATAAAAAATTTAGCCTGACACAGTGGTGTGCACCTGTAGTTAACAGCGATTTGGGAGGCTGAGGCAGGAGGATTGCTTGAGCCCAGGCGTTCGAAGTGGTAGTGCACCATGATGGTGCCATTGCACTCCAGCCTAGGTGATAAGAGTGAGACTCTATCTCTAAATAAATAAACAAATAAATAAAACAAAACAGAACTTCAAGTCTGCAAGGCAAAAAATGGTGTTTCCTTATTTGGAGAGATAAAAAGGAATTAGCAGGCAGGGGCAGCTTTCTTGTAAGTCTAACTTGATTGCTTTTTGTGCTCTACCAGTTTGGAGTCAAGCCCCTCAGCTGAGTAACTTATCTTCGGGAAACTGAGCTCTCTAGCAAGTGCAGATGGTAAAGCCTAATTATTTTATATACATGCAGTGTTTTACAGCACCTGTGAGTCTGGTTGCAAAAGCCAGACCCTGTGAACAATGGAAAAGATCCCAGGCCCCTTCACCCTCTAATTTATATTTTCCAGGAGTACCTGATCCATAGCAGCTATGATAACAGAAACAGATGAATTGCTTAGGAAGTAAATTCTCTTTCAAAATGTAAAGGACTTTCTGGTAAATCAAATGAGATATAGATTTATACACATTTGGATATTTAATATAAACATTCTGTCTTCCAGGTAAACTGTGCTTCAAAATTTCATTTGTAAATAAATTCCTGAACTCAAATAAATTTTCCATAGAAACAATATTATGAGTGGCAGTCAGGTCTTTTGGTTACCTAGTAAAGGTATATAATTAATTGATTATATGAGTGAAACACTGTATTTGCAGTTAAAAGTATGTTTTTTTTTTAAAAAAAAAAGGTTGTATTTTTTAAGAGTAAAAATTTAAAAAGCTTTTTTTTTTCTTTCAGACAGAGTCTTGCTGTGTCGCCCAAGCTAGAGTGCAGTGGTGTCATCTGGGCTCATTGCAACCTCCGCTTCCTGGATTCAAGCAATTCTCATGCCACAGCCTCCCAAGTAGCTGGGACTACAGGTGCGCACCACCATGCCTGACTAATTTTTGTATTTTTAGTAGAGACAGGGTTTCACCATGCTGGCCAGGCTGGTCTCGAACTCCTGACCTCAAGTGATCCACCTGCCTCAGCCTCCGAAAGTGCTGGGATTGCAGGTGTGAGCCACCATGTCCGCCCATTGAAAAGCTCTTTAAATATTGAATGCTCATGTTTGAAAAAATATAACCTATGTTTATTTTGCTCTTGCCTTGTTCCTGACCATTCTTAAGTGCTTATATGAATTAACCCTTTTAGTTCGTGTAACCCTAAGAGGCAGATTCCTTTATGATCCCTCTTTACAGATAAGGAAATTGGGGCAAAGGTTAAACAGCTGCTCCAAATTATACAGCTACTGAATAGTGGAAATGGGATTTGGACCAACCACAAGCACATTAACCACTGTACACTACAGTTTCATTAGCTTAGGATAAAGAAGGACCTGAACCATCTGAGAAGATTGTGAAGGGGACATCTGATGACCATCTAGGATGGTACATGGTGGTCTCTGAGTCTAGAACGGTTCAAGGTAAATGGCTGGTCTTTCCCTTAATTTAGGTATATGATGAATAGTACTTTTGTGCTTGTCAACTGTAATGGAGTTGTTTTGGAGTTTATAAATGGAACAAACGCTGTCAGAAAGAGAAAGATTTACTTGAGTAACTGGATAATGGTTAATAAAAGGTGGAAGAGGATTAACAAGTACATGCTTGTGGGGTGTGAGAAAGAGATTGCTGGGGTGGAAATAACTGAGCTGAGACCTGGAAAGAAAAAACAGGGAAGAATTTGACTTTACATAATTATTTACATGAAAAGGGAGGGGAAAATGGAAGGGATATTGCCCTGTATTATGGTTTGTTCTAACTTGTTCAGATGTATGACAACCCACTGTGGTTCATGTACCACAGCCATGGCAATAGTGGACTTACCAGGGGCCCCTACTCCAGATGATGGTCTTATGTCCTTAAGAAAGAGTCCAATTTCGACCTCAAAGTAGTTGTCTTTGGACACCCCTTCTACCCTCTTTCCTCTCCCAGAGCATTAGATATGAGGTCATGAGAGTGAAGGGGAAAGAGTCCTGGACTTATTGTTGGGGGAACAGAGTTCCAACTCTGCTACCTAACTAGTTCTCCTTTTGTGAGTTAAAGTCTTTGAGCCCCTCTTTCCTAAGCTGCGAAAACGGATGATTTTACCCACTTCATGGTTTTGTTGTAAGCATTAGGTGAGGTGCTGTATGTGAGAGCATTGAATAGAAAGCATGACTGGGGGGTCAGGAGGGGCAAGGGTGACCCTTCCTGTGATCCATACTCATCTGTGGCCACGATAGGGGCCTCTCTCCCTTAACCACCAGTAACTGTTGAACAAGGGAAGGATCTAGATATTTATTTACCATCTACTATGTATGCTATAGAATGTTAGTGTTAGCCAGGAAACTGGGTTCAGAGATGGGCTGCCTGGGTTCAAATCCTAGTTCTAGCTGTGTAATTTTGGGCAAATAATTTGAACTCTCAGAACCCCGTTTCTTTCCTGTGAAGTTGGAGTCATAATGAGACCTTCCTCAGAGGTTAGCTGTGAGGTGGGAGACAGTCTGTAGGAGTTCACAGTCTATTGGGAGAGTCAGGTTTGTAAACAAGCAATCACAATGCACCATGTGGTAAAGTGCAGTCATGGAGACAGGAATAAAATGCTTTGGTAGCATGGGGAGGGGAGGAAGGGGGGACTAACCTGGCATAAAGGTTCAATGAGAGACATGAGATGTGTGTGTGTGTGTGTGTGTGTGTGTGTGTGTTCATATGTATATATAGACACATACACCTTTTTGGGCAAACAAAACCGTTCCTGTCTTCAGGCCTAAGGATGAAGCTAAACTGGCTCACCAGGTCCTTTATGCCTGGGCTCTGTGATCTCCACACCCCCTTACTCTGCCGCCACTTGCTATTCTCTGTCTTTGGAGGCACTTCCATGACTCTGTTTTTGCACATTCTGTTCCCTGACGTAGAATGCTCTTCCATATCTAAACACCTCCAGAGCTCAACAGAGATAACAAAAATATCAAGAGTGCAAGAATAGCCAAATAAACAATACAAATAATTTCAGCAGTTTAAAGTTAATAAATACCCGTGATTTACATGCACAGTCTCATCTATGCCTTTTTGGTTTTTCTTCTTTTTTTTTTTTTTTGATACGGAGTTTCCCTTTGTTGCCCAGGCTGGAGTGCAGTGGCGCGATCTCAGCTCACCGCAACCTCCACATCCCGGGTTCAAGCGATTCTTCTGCCTCAGCCTCCTGAGTAGCTGGGATTGCAGGTGCTGCCACAATGCCCGGCTACCATCTAAGCCTTTTCAAAACCTTAGAAGACAAGTACTGTATTTAACCCAATTTGAAAGTGAGGATTATTGAAGGTAAAATATACTAACTAGCCTTTTGTAAGTCACACAACCAGCCAGTAGTACAGCTAGGATTTTTACCTAGCTCTGGCTAATCCTAGAGCTCACCTCTTAACTTCTGTTGTCTCTCAAAATTAATTCCTTGGGCTGAGCATGGTGGTGCATGCCTGTAATCCCAGCACTTTGGTAGGCTGAGGCAGGCAGACCACATGAGGTCAAGAGTTTGAG
Source organism: Homo sapiens (assembly GCF_000001405.40). NCBI lineage: Eukaryota > Metazoa > Chordata > Mammalia > Primates > Hominidae > Homo > Homo sapiens. Next base: position 138,761,625 of record NC_000006.12, on the reverse strand, counting down.
ACCAGCCTGGCCAACATGGCAAAACCCTGTCTCTACTGAAAATACAAAAATTAGCCAGGCGTGGCGGTACATGCCTATAGTCCCTGCTACTCAGGAGGCTGAGGCAGGAGAATCACTTGAGCCTGGGAGGTGGAGGTTGCAGTGAGCTGAGATTGTACCACTGCACTCCAGCCTGGGTGACAGGGCGAGACTCTGTCTAAAAAAAAGGCCGGGCGCAGTGGCTCACGCCTGTAATTCCAGCACTTTGGGAGGCCAAGGTGGGCAGATCACCTGAGGTCAGGAGTTTGAGACCAGGCTGACCAACATGGAAAAACCCCGTCTCTACTAAAAATACAAAATTAGGAGGGCGTGGTGGCGCATGCCTGTAATCCCAGCTACTCAGGAGACTGAGGCAGGAGAATCATTTGAACCCAGGAGGCAGAGGTTGCGGTGAGCTGAGATTGTGCCATTGCACTCCAGCCTGGGCAACAAGAGCAAAATTCCATCTCAAAAAAATAAAAATAAAAATAAAATTTAACTCCTTAGTAAAGTAATTCTGCAACTTAAATATCAAAAACAAAAATTGTCCTCATATGTAATCTGTTAGTTTTATTGCCTCTCTTATTACAATACCCATCATAATTTTTTTACTTTTATTTTTCTAAATTGCAAAAGTAAAGTTTATTATAGAGTTAGAAAATGTAAATAACCAATATAACAAGAGTAAGGAAATTATTATCCAAAATTTCACATTCTAAAGGGGAAAACCCCAATTTTAATCAATAGGGTACATCCTGTATGATTTCATTTATATGATATCCTAGAAAAGGCCGAAACTATAGGGAAAGAAACAGTGGTTGCCAGGATCTGGGCTACAAAAAGCATCAGGGCTAATGGGAATGTCCTATATGTTGATTGTGGTGGTAGTTACATGAGTATATGTTTTATTAAAATTAATAGAACTGTACACTAAAAATAGTACATTTTATTATTTATAAATTATAACTCAATAAACCTGACTGAAAAACATTAACACCTTGCCATATATCTTTCCACTTCCACACTTTTTCCTATGCATATATATCTTTTTATTTTGTAGAGACGGAGTCTCACTCTGTCACCCAGACTGGAGTGCAGTGGTGTGATCTCAGCTCACTCCAACCTCTGCCTCCTGGGTTCAAGAGATTCTCACACCTCAGCCTCCCGAGCAGCTGGGATTACAGGCACTCACCACCACACCTGGCTGATTTTTGTATTTTTAGTAGAGATGGGGTTTTACCATGTTAGCCAGACTGTTCTTGAACTCCTGACCTCAGCCCATCTTGGCCTCCCAAAGTGCTGGGATTACAGGCGTGAGCCGCTGCACTCGGCCAGTAAATATATATCTTCTAAAAATAGTTTACACTATATTGTTTTTCATTAAATATACTTTAGTTTTTAAAGCACTTCTAGACTTATAGGAAAATTGCAAAGACAGTACGGGGGTCCCATATTCATTCCACCACATTATTAACGTGTTACATTAGTGTGATACATTTGTTACGATTAATGAGCCAATATTGATGCATTGTTAGCTGAAATCTGTAGATTATTGTGATTTCCTTAGTGTTTACCTCATGTTATTTTTCTGTTTTAGAATCCCATCCAGGATACCACATTACTTTTTGTTGTCATATCTCCTTAGAGACCTCTTGGTTGTGACAGTTTCTAGGGTTTCCTGTGTTGATGACTGATATGATTTGGCTCCGTGTCCCCCTCCAAATCTCATCTCGAATTGTAATCCCCGTGTGTTGAGGGAGGGAAGTGATTGGATTATGGGGTCAGTTTCCCCCATGCTGTTCTCATGATAATGAGTGAATTCTCAGGAGATCTGATAGTTTTATAAATGGTAGCTTTTCCTGGACTCTCACACTCACTCCATCCTGCTGCCTTGTGAAGGTGCCTTGCTTCCCCTTTGGCCGTGATTGTAAGTTTCCTGAGGCCTCCCCAGCCATGTGGAATTGTGAATCCATTAAACCTCTTTCCTTTATAAATTACCCAGTCTCAGGTATTTCTTTATAGCAGTGTGAAAACAGACTAATTACAGAGAACTTGGAAATTTTGAAGAGTACTGGTCAGGGATATTGTAGGATGCCCCTTTATTGGAATTTACTTTTCTGATGTTTTTCCCATAGTTAGACTGGGGTGATAGGTTTTGGGGAGAAAGACCACAGAGGAAAAGTACCATTTTCATCGCATCTATTTTATGTTTTGTAACCTTTTTTTGCTCATATATGTGTCAAAGGCATATTTTTTACTTGATACGTATAAATCTGTAGCCTTCTTGATGGTGATAATTGTATTCTGTTGTATGGATGTAGCATATAATCACCTATTACTGGACACTCAGGGATTCACTGTGGCATTTTCACTATTACAACCAATGCTACAATAGATATATTTGTGCGAACATCTTTGCAAATTTGTCCAATAATTATTATTATGTTTAGACACTGGTTCTCACTTTGTCGCCCTGGCTGGAGTGCACTAGTGTGATCAAAGCCCACTGTGGCCTTGAACTGCTGGGCTCAAGTAATCCTCCCTCCTCAGCCTCCCAAGTAGTTGGGCCTACAGGTACACCCCACCATGCCTGGCTACTTTTCAAAATATGTTTCTTAGAGATGGGGTCTTCCTATATTGCCCATGATGGTCACAATTGTCTGATTGTTTTATTAGATAATTCTTAGTGATGTAGAGTGTCTGAAGCAAACTGCATTCACTTTATTTTTTAAAGGGCTTTTGGTACATAGTACTAAATTTTCCTCCAGAAAAATTGTTACCTATTCAGTGCTCTGTTTCCTCAAATTCTAGCTAATACTGGATATTATTTTTCATTTCAACCTTTGCCAATTGTAGTAGAAAAATGTATTGTGTTGCATTGTATTTAATTGTTTCCCTATTGGTATTTTCTTCCAGATAGTGAGCTCCTAAAGGAAAAAGACTATATTCTATTCATTTTTAGATACACGGAGTCTAAGTTACTGCCTAAAAGAAATAGGCACTCAGCAGAAGGGAGAGAGGGAGCAGGGAGAGAGGGAGGGCCTGAATCCAAGAGCGATTGTGTGATCTGACAAGATAATTCATGCTAAGGAGAGGAAGGGTTTTCACCATCACTGGGTGCAATTGTATCCTTCTGGGCCAATGGCCCATATGTATTATGTAATCTGAAGGGGTGGCACTACTAGTGTGAGCTTCAGACCAGGTAGGAGAGAAATCTACACTAGACCAAAAGAAGGTAAACAGGATCTTAGTGTTTTCCTCATATAGCAAGAACAATAACTAGGGATTTGTTTGGCCAATTCTGAAAGGGAGGATCACCCTACATTCCCTTTAAGCTGTAATGTCATTCATGTATTCTCTAGTACAGCCTTTTGAAACAATTAGGTACATTTGTGATTTTCAGATCTTTTCCTATTTTCCTTCTTCCTGTCAGTACCATCTTATGTATGTCACCTTGCGTATTTTCAGTCACGGCTGCCAAAAATTTTATTGTTTTCTCCCTGCACACTTCCCCAATATTTTATTTATACATTTTCTTATAAAACCTTGACTTTCTCTTCTTCTACATGCTTTGAAGCTCTTCCTAAATCTTGATGTCACTTATAAATTTACTATACCAACAAAGTGATAAATGTTACTTTTTCAATTTATCACTGGAAGAATGATAAATTGAAACAGTATAGAAAAGGAATATGTGTTTTTGGCCAGGTGTGGTGGCTCACACCTGTAATCCCAGCACTTTGGGAGGCCAAGGTGGACAGATCACCTGAGGTCAGAAGTTTGAGACCAGCCTGGCCAACACAGTGAAACCCCATCTCTACTAAAAATACAAAAAATTAGCTGGGTGTGGTGGTGGGTGCCTGTAATTCCAGCTACTTGGGAGGCTGAGGCAGGAGAATCGCATGAACCCAGGGGGTGAAGGTTGCAGTGGGCTGAGATCACGCCATTGCACTCCAGCCTGGGCAACAAGAGTGAAACTCCGTCTTAAAAAAAAAAAAAAGAAGAAGAAGAAAAGAAAAGAAAGGAATATGTATTTTTATATTAAATATTTTAGTTTTATTTTCCAGTTTTGCAAGGTTGATTCATTTAGTAGGGTCTGAAAAAAGAAAAATGTTCTTGGAATGCTGATGGTAATTCAGTAATTGTTAAATTTTTCAATTTTCCATCGGAGATTTTCTCAAGAGGACTCTGTTTAGAGTACACTTCCTATCTAAGAATTCCCATATGTGCTTTACAGAGATTCCACGTCCCTGCCAGTTATCATTTACTCTCTCCCTGGAATGTGGGAGTGCCCTTACTGTTCTTCCAGTCTGACCTAACAGAGACTAGGCCCCAACTTGTGAGACAGAATTTGTTTCCTGCTAAATAAAACAACATTTTTTCACAAATTAGCAAAATGATTAAAAAAAAGAGAGCATATTACACACTAGCAAACGATAAAGAGAAATTCGAAGAACCAGACATGTTTTTGGAGTAAGAAGTTCTACAGTGTTAAAATTAATTTACCATCTTTTTATGGTCTATAATGAATCTCTCTATTTATTTTTTGTTTATTTTTATTTATTTATTTTTTTTGAGACAGAGTCTTGCTCTGTCGTCCAGGCTAGAGTGCAGTGGTGTGATCTCGGCTCACTGCAACCTCTGCCTCCCGGGTTCAAGTGATTCTCCTGCCTCAGCCTCCCGAGTAGCTGGGATTACAGGCACCCACCACCATGCCCAGCTAATTTTTGTATTTTTTAGTAGAGATGGGTTTCACCATCTTAGCCAGGCTGGTCTCGAACTCCTAACCTCATGATCCACCTGCCTTGGCCTCCGAAAGTGCTGGGATTACAGGCATGAGCCACCGTGCCTGGCCTATTTATTTATTTTTTGAGATGGGGTCACACTCTGTCTCCCAGGCTGTAGTGCAGTGGCGAGATCACCGTCGATTTATATTTATTTTATACAAATTAAAAATAAATTTGTTTCTTTGTTTTGCAGCTAGAAGAATTGAATTCTTCCGTGTATCCTTTGCCAACTGTCAGTAGTGAAGTTTACAATTTATAATTTCTGGTGAATAGTCTCAATCAAGTTTTAGAAAGATGTGTTATTAGATATGGTGAAAAAAGACACAGTATTATTCACTAGGGCCATCACTCTTACTCTTTGGTTTGTTTTCTTTTTTTTTATTTTAAGAGACAGGTCTCGCTCAGTGGTTCAGGCTGGAGTGCAGTGGCATGATCACGGCTCAGTGCAGCTGCAACCTCCTAGGCTCAAGTGATCCTGTCACTTCAGCCTCCTGAGTAGCTGGGACCATAGGTGCTGCCACCATGCCTGGCTAATTTTTTAATTCTTTATAGAGACAGGGTCTCACTATGTTGCACAGGCTGGTCTCGAACTCCCGGCCTCAAGCAATGCTCCTGCTTTGGCCTTCCAAAGTGCTGGAATTACTGCGTCCAGGCTATAATGACTCTCTTAATAGCTAAATCTATTAGCAGACGGAAATAATTGATGCTACCTTATTACATAAAATAGAGCATTTATAGGACGGTGATAAAATTAAAGCAAGCATTTCTTAGTGAAACAAACCATTGTTCCTGATTGTTCATCAGGTAATTTATCATAAAATTATTTTTCCTTTATACACATGTGGAGTTATAGACATTTATGTTGAATGCTTTAAAATTGTCTTTAGTTTTCTCTCATATTGCCTTAGTTTGTAGTAATTTAGAGTAATTAGAGTAATATGAGTAATTAGAGTAATTTCTCATGTTGTCTTAGTTTGATTACTTATAAATTATTCAGTACTTTCTTTCATTAAAACATTATTAATAATATGATATTTGAAAAGGTAATATTCTTTATTGAAGTTAAATTAGTTTATGTTCTCATAGCACATTTTTTGTTGATCTGAATAAGTTATGTTACTTGGCTAACAATGCCCAGACAACCTTACTATTAACTCTAGCAATCTAGGATGTAGAATTGTGTTGAGATAAGTAGAAGTCAAAAGAAATAAAAGGTTGGAATCAGTGAAGAAATTAAACATCATTTAAATTATCAACATGTCCACCTGAGACTGTAATTGAGAAGGAAAAAAGAGGATCAGAATTGAGTTTCAAGAAGCAGCCTCTTAACTTTCCTATCTTTAAAGGATCAAACTTGATAAGGAGTCTAGAGTGTTTCCTTGACAATCTGAGGGAAGGAACTATGGGCTCATGGCCTACTATGTCATGCTAAAGTTTAGGCGTTTAATAATCCATTGACAATCATCAGGCATTTAGGTAAACAAAAATGAACATATCTGCCTGGATCCCATTACTTCATTTCAGATCTTAAATCTTTTGTAATAACCAGAACATTACAACAACATTAAGCCTTTCATATATGAAGTAATGTATTTCAGTAGAGGGATTTCCTAGGCTCTTGGTGGAGTAGTATGCAGAATGACTTCAGCCTCCTCTAATGTTTGGATAAAACGAAACCTTCAAATGGAATAAGTTCCACTGTTGTGTAAATCAGTCAAGATTTTTTAAACAACTATATAAGCTCAAGATGGTGGAGGCAAAATCCCCCACATAAAACATTAAGAGAACAATAAGAAGTATTCTCTGCTCCTATACTCTGCTTCCATCATGTCTGTACTCTGCTCAGAAACCTCCTATCCTGAGCCACAGTGTGGTGCCATATGCCTGGACTCCCACCTACCTGGGAGGATGAGGTGGGAGAATTGCCTGAGTCAGGAGTTCGAGGCCAGCCTGGGTAATATAGTGAGACCTTGTCTCTAAAAATAAACTTTAAGCAAACAAAAAAACACCCTAAAAACTCTCCTGTCCATCCCTCTTTTTTAGAGAAGGATGTCCCCAAATCTGTGCATGGAAGACATGTATTCTATAAGATAGTAAAAGATCTTGCTGAAAAATAAATGCCTGAGTAGTTTTTCCAAAATATATTTTTAAATCTATATATGTAAGAAAAATTCTAAGCACCTTTAAGATGTAATTAACATGGGATAATTTGTCTTTAAGAAATGAAACTAACTTCTGTGCATCAAAAAACCACTTTTAAAAAGTTATAAGAGACAATTGGCCAGGCGTGGTGGCTCACGCCTGTAATCCCAACACTTTGGGAGGCCAAGGGAGGTGGATCACCTGAGGTCAGGAGTTTGAGACCAGCCTGGCCAACGTGGTGAAACCTTGTCTCTACTAAAAATACAAAAATTAGCTGAGCGTAGTGGCACGTGCCTGTAATCCCAGCTACTCGGGAGGCTGAGGCAGGAGAATCACTTGAGCCCGGGAGGCAGAGGTTGCAGTGAGCCGAGATCATGCCACTGCACTCCAGCCTGGGCGACAGAGTGAGACTCCATCTCAAAAAAAAAAAAGTTATAAGAGACAATGATAAACACTGTAGAAGATACGTGCTGCACATAAAACTGATAAAATATTGATATCCAGAATATATTAAAAATGCTGGCAAAAAAATATGAGCAGGCAATTCACAGGGAAGAAGTCAAAATGACCAATAAACACACAAAAGATGTTCAAACTCACTAGTAACTAGGTCAATGCCAATTAAAACTAAAATGAAATACCATGTCTTACACTGGCAAAAAATTAAATCTGATAATGTTAAGTAATGTCAAGGTGAAACAGGAGTCACATACCTTGCAGGTGGGAATACAAATAAGTACCACTTTGGAGAGTGGATTGGTAATAACTAGTAAATTAAAGATGTGCCTAATCCATCATACAGTAGTTCCACTTCTAGATAAACGCACATGTGCACAAGGACATATATACAAAAATGTCCATCACATCATTGTTTGTAACAGCCAAAATTGGAAGCAATATATGTGTCTAAATGTACCTAAACAGGAGAATGGCTATATTGTGAAATAGTCATTTGTTGATTCAGTGAATATTTATTGAGCACCTGCAGTATGCTAGTGCTCTCTGAGTATTAGAAATATATCAGTAAACAAAATACCTGCCCTCACAGAGCTTATGTGTTATTGATAGGGAAGAGGGAGTGATGGGTGGGTAGACAATTTAAGGCTGGCCACGGTGGCTCATGCCTGTAATCCTAGCACTTTGGGAGGCCAAGGCAGGTAGATTGCTTGAGCTCAGGAGTTGGAGACCAGCCTGGGCAATATGGCAAGACCCCATCTCTACCAAAAACATACAAAAATTAGCCAGGTGTGGTGGTATGCACCTGTAGTCCCAGCTATTTGGGAGGCTGAGGTAGGAGAATCACTGGAACCTGGGAGGTTAAGGCCACAGTGTGTTGAGATCTTGCCACTGCACTCCAGCCTGGGTGACAGAGCCAGACCCTGTCTCAAAAATAGAAAAATATGACTTATAAGATGGTGACGTGGTATGGAGAAAGAAAAAACAGAAGGAGGAAGAGAGAGTACTTCTCGGTGGTAATGGAAGATCCCACTATGAAGGTGACATCTGAGCAGGACCTGGAGTGGTGAGGGAGCCAGTCATGCAGATAACGGGAAGAGCATTTGGGACCTAGGAAGCTGCACATACAAAGAATTTGAGGCAGGAGGATTCCTGGCATGGTTGAGAAAAAGCAAGGGGGCAGGTGCCTAAAGCCAGGTAGGCCTTAGCCCATTTTGAAGACCGCTGCTGTAATCCATGGGGCAAACATTTATTGAGTACTCACAATATGCCAGGCATCATTCTAAGCTTTTTCTTAATACATATTTTTTCTTTTCTTTTTTTTTTTTTTCACTGCAGCCTTTGCCTCCCAGATTCAAGCGATTCTCCTGCTTCAGCCTCCCAAGTAGCTGGGACTACAGGCATGTGTCACCATGCCCAGCTGATTTTTGTGTTTTTAGTAGAGATGGGGTTTCACCAGGTTGGCTAGGCTGGTCTTGAACTTGTGACCTCAGGTGATCTGCTCGCCTCAGCCTCCCAAAGTACTGGGATTACAGCCATGAGCCACTGCACCTGGCCCATATTTTTTCATTTAATGCTTATAGTCTTCTTAGGGAGGCAGTATTTAGCCTCATATCATAGATGAGGAAACTGAGTCACAGAGAGAGTAACTCATTCCAGATCAGTATACCGTGGTGTGCTGATTCAAATGCAACTGACTCCATAGGCAAATCTGTTAGTTACTGGGGAGCTGCCTCTTGCATTTGTTCTCTCTGGAGTGTTCCCCCTATGCCGTTTGTCTTTCCTACCATTCCAGGCTATGCCTGGGGTCACCTACTGGCCCTCTCCACTGTTTGGGTACCCTTCTGTCTTAGTCTGTCTTATGTTGCTACAACACATTACCACAGTCTTGGTAATTTATGATGTACAGAAATTTATCTGGCTCATAGTTCTGGAGGCTGGGAAATCTAGCAGCCTGGTGCCAGCATCTGGTGAAAGCCTTTGTGCTGTCTCCCCCTATGGTGGGAAGTAGAAGAGCAAGAGTGCGCAACAGAGCAAGAGCAGAGGGGGATGAACTAGCTTTTTATTAGGAACCCACTCTGGTGATGACAGCACGAATCCATTCATCCCCTAATCACTTCTTGACACCATCACAATGGCGGTGAAACGTCAACAAGAGTTTTACAGGAGACAGTCAAACCATAGCACCTTCTTCTTGGGAATCTTGGAATAGATGAGGGGGGACAGTCCTTCTTTTCCCTGGCCTCCTTATCTTTTCCATCTCTCCAACACTAGCCCAGCAGGCTGTACAGCCCTATGCAAATTTCCTTGATGAAGAGCTGGAGCAATTTCACAAAGGAATTTCACCACATCAGACTTTCTCTTGAGCGTCAAAAGAGAAGGCAAATTAACTTAGGCCGTTGGCCGGGCACAGTGGCTCACGCCTGTAATCCCAGCACTTTGGGAGGCTGAAGCGGGCAGATCATGAGGTCAGGAGATCAAGACCATCCTGGCCAACATGGTCAAACTCCATCTCTACTAAAAATACAAAAATTAGCCAGGTGTGGTGGCAGGCACCTGTAATCCCAGCTACTCAGGAGGCTGAGGCGGGAGAATTGCTTGAACCTGGGAGGCGGAGGCTGCAATGAGCCGAGATCACGCCACTGCACTCCAGCCTGGGTGACAGAGTGAGACTCCATCTCAGAAAAAAAAAAAAAAAGAAAAAAAAGACTTAGGCCGTTACAGAAAGAGAGTCCCTACTGAATACTTTCACTGTTCTTCATAGAAGAATGTTAAGATGGCTTGTTTGTACCCCTCCTTTTAAGCACCTCCTTCTGTGGAATCTATTATCTGGGCATAAGCTTCAAACTTGATTAGATTGTTTTAACTCACTAGTTCTTTTTTCCTGATTTGGTGGCAGTAGTGTTTTCCTCTTCCTTCTACCACACGTTTATGATGTTATTCTATTTCTATTATAAATTAAACTTTTGTAGCCACACTCATTCCCCATGAATTTGTGGCTGAAAGAAGCCAATTTTCAAAGAAAATCCTTCTTGGGTTTCTTACATTGTGCCTGAATCCAAATGCAGAGCTCTGAATACTTTAAAGTGAAGCTGAACAATGGCACCAGTAGTTTATAAAGAGCTGGGAAGAAAGTGACAGAAACAAGGCCCAGAGTGGTGTTTATGGTGTGTGCTCCCATTTGAGTGTAAAGATAGTCTCTCTGCAAGGACACCTGAGACACAGAGAGCAGCGGGTCTCTGGGGAGGTGAACTAAGATATTATAGCTCAGGGGTAGGAGAAAGGGAAACTTGCTGTTTACGCTTTTCCTTTTTGTACAATTAGACATTTAGGGTTTTTTGTTTGTTTTGTTTACTATTATACACAATACATTTTTCAAAAAAAAGTAATATAAACTCAAATTAACATTCTGGAAATGAGCTATTGAAAATATTACAGTAATTTTTGGAACAGCCTATTTCAAAAGTACTTAAATATTGCAAAATATGCTTTTTGCTTTTTCCCTTTGCTACAATGAACCTTGTGAAATGCAATTTTTATACTATACAGCAGTGAAAGCAAAATGAAGGAGTAGACCTGAGGTAGTGCCTGATATAAGAACCTGACCTGCAACATTACTGTTAATATCAGGTGGTCACATTATGGGGAAAGAGATCCCCTCCTCATGTAAAAATGTTTTTGCATGTTGTTTTGTATAATAAAAGTGTGAAATGGGTGAGATTTAGCATTATCTTTAATTTGTTCTTACTAAAGTAAGTGTTTTGATTTTTCTGTGGGTTAGGTGTGTTAAAACTGGAGAAAAAACAAATTTTGATCATTTATCTGAGGGGACATTTTTGGCTGCTTGCTTTAATCCAGGCAGGCACCGTATCTATTGATCTTCTGATGGTGTTTCATCAAGATGTTATACTCAAAAGCTTTTAATTTCCTTTTTTTTTTTTTTTTTTTCTGAGATGGAATCTCACTCTGTCACCCAGGCTGGAGTGCAGTGGCGCAATCTCAGCTCACTGCAACCTCTGCCTCCCTGATTTAAGCGATTCTCCTGCTTCAACCTCCCGAGTAGCTGGGACGACAGGCGCGCACCACCATGCCCAGGTAATTTTTGTATTTTTAGTAGAGATGGGGTTTCACTGTGTTAGCCAGGATGATCTCAATCTCCTGACCTCGTGATCCACCCGCCTCAGCCTCTCAAAGTGCTGGGATTACAGGCGTGAGCCACCACACCCGGCCAAAGCTTTTAATTTCTAATGGTCCTCCAATAAATACATTATAAAGTTTCAAACCATTCTGGGGTCAGTTAGTTTTGAAAAAGAATAGAGATCAAACTCCCCAGCCCTTCTTATTCTGGCTCCCGTTCACACTTCTTCCTTCTTTTGTGAACCTATTCTTCAGCCAAAATATTCTACTCTTTGTCCCCACTGCACGCCTTACATTTTCCAGGCGTTGTCCTTACACCTTCTCTCACCTGAATACTCCTTCTCCCCCCGTGTTCAGCTTTTAAAACTGAATCTCTCCTTTAACGGCCAGAGTAAATCTACCTTTTTCTTTCAGCCTTTCCTGACCATCCTCAGCTGCAGTGACATTAAACTCCACGGAATCTTCATGTACCGTTTATTTATCTTACTTGGTCTTTGTAATTTACTAGGTGAACTATGCAGAGTGATGGCTGATCATAGTTTATTTGGGCTGTCATAACAAAAATAGTATAGACTGAGTGGATTGTAAACAGAAATTTCTTTCTTGCGGTTCTGGAAGCTGGGAAGTCCAACATTAAGGCACTGGCAGATTCAGCCAGTGATGACTGCACACCTTCTGTTTCATAGGCATCTTCTTACTGTGTCCTCATATGACAGAAGGAACAAGGGAGCTCTCTGGCTCCCTTTTTATCCCATTCATGAGAGCTTTGCCCTCATGACCTAATCACCTCCCAAAGGCTCCACCTCCTAATACCATCACATTGGGGGGTTAGGTTTTGATAAATATATGGATTTTGGGGGATAGAAACATTCAGTCTATAGCAGTCCCCAAAGATGTCCACCTCCTGTTTCCCAGAACCTGTGCATATGTTAGCTTACATGGTAAAGAGAAATTAAGGTTGCAGATCAAGCCAGAGTTGCTAATCAGCTGATCTTAAGGTAGGGAGATTATCCTGAATTATCCAAGCTCCCTAATGTAGTCACAAGAGTTCTTAAAACTTAAGAGGGAGGCAGAAGACAGAATCAGAAAGATGCAGCATGGGGGGCACTGAGCACAACATTGCTGGCTTTGAAGGGGGCCACAAGCCAAGGAATGTGGGTGGCCTGTAGAAGCTGCAAAAGGCAAGGAAAGGCTGGGCGCGGTGGCTCACGCCTGTAATCCCAGCACTTTGGGAGGCAGAGGCGGGCAGGATCGCCTGAGGTCAGGAGTTCAAGACCAGCCTGAACAATGTGGTGAAACCCCATCTCTACTAAAAATACAAAAATTCACTGGGCATGGTGGCATGTGCCTGTAATCTCAGCTACTTTGGAGGCTGAGGCAGGAGAATCACTTGAACCTGGGAGGCAGGGGTTGCAGTGAGCTGAGATCGTGCCATTGCACTCCAGCCTGGGTGCCAAGAGTGAAACTCCATCTCAAAAAAAAAAAAAAAAAAAAAAGAGGCAAGGAAACAGATACCTTCCAAGCCTCCAGAACATATGCAGCCCTGCTGCTTCCTTGATTTTAACCCAATGAGTTTCATTTCAGACTCCTAACCTCCCAAACTGTAAGATAATAAGTGTATTTTGTTTAAGCCACTAAATTTGTGGTTATTTTGTTAACAGAAGCAATAGAAAACTAATATACTAGAATCACCTAGTTATCTTAGGTATTTTGACATCATCCTCTTAAGTGATTTTAAATTCTGAGAAGATGGATACCAAGCCTTACATATCTTTATAGGCCAATATTCTAACAGTGTACTGAGTATAACAAATGTTGCAATCTGATTCTAAGAATCCGGAAGGAGAGGTGAGTGTTAACCCCATAAGAGTTTGATTGTATACTGATTTTTAAATGTTATGTCTGCACATACAAGCTACCCAGGAGGGCAGTCATTCTCAGTTCTAATGGTTCTAATAGTAGCCATAAGGATTTGTACTTGTATTACACAAGACTGCTGAACCAAAGCTGAAGGAAAGGCATGTGGCATGTGTGCAGCTTCATCCTGTCCTTTATTCAATCCACATTGATGTGCAGGGCTTCAGATTGCTCTTTAAGGATGTGGTGCCATTGCTGCACTGATGTTTGCAAGACCCATATCTAACATTTACTGCATGCTTATTAAGAACCAAGTATGGTTCAGAGTGCTTGACGTGTATTACATCCCAAAAGGTAGGGTTGTATCATCCCCATTCTGAGGAACCTGAGAGAGATTAAATTGCCCAGTCACATAGAGCTTGTGAGTAGTGGAGCAGTGATTCAACCCCAGGCAGCCTGTCTTCAGAACCCCAGCTTTGAATTTTAACTTGTGCTCTCCTAGCAGTTTATCATAAATTTTATCAAAATTTTATGCCTCAGGCCTTGTAGTGTTTAGTAAAAGGTCAACAGATGTTCGGTATAGGTGGCTCTTGTTCCCACCTCTTTCTAGTCAGATTTGTTTCCTGATCAGAATTTGGAAAATTTACCCAACTTACATCTCTATGCTTTTCTGCATAATTTGCTCTTTTCAAAAACTACTCCTTTGTGAACATTTGGATTAGAAATTAAATTTGACATTTGGGTTCCCAAAGAGTATGTTTTATTCCATTTGTTAACATTAGATTCTCATTTATATAAAATACATTATATATCTGGTTGGTGAAATTGTGGGTGACTTTTGTGTTCTTTGACCTTTATTATCCAGATTTTTTAAGTGAATGTGAAACTTTTATGATTAAAAATGCTAGGAAAGGGCTGGGAATGGTGGCTCACTGGCTCACACCTGTAATCCCAGTACTTTGGGAGACCAAGGTGGATGGATCGCTTGAGCCCAGGAATTTGAGACCAGCCTGGGCAACATAAGGAAACCTCTTCTCTACAAAAAATACAAAAATTATCCGGGTGTGGTGGTACGCACCTGTAGTCCCAGCTACTCAGGAAGCTGAAGTGGTAGGATTGCTTGAACCCGGGAGGTGGAGGCTGCAGTTAGCTGTGATCGCATCACTGGACTCCAGCCTAGGCAACAAAGCGAGGCTCTGCCTCAAAAAAGAAAAAGAAAAGAAAAGAAAAATGCTATTAAAGTGTTAAATCACAAAATGAGTCATACTTTGTAAATTTTGTTTTTCACTTTGCTATATTTTATTTTTTATTATTTATTTATTTATTTATTTTTTGAGGCAGAGTCTCGCCCTGTCGCCCAGGCTGGAGTGCAGTGGTGCTATCTCAGCTCACTGCAAGCTCCGCCTCCTGGGTTCATGCCATTCTCCTGCCTCAGCCTCCCAAGTAGCTGGGACTACAGGTGCCCGCCACCACACCCGGCTAATTTTTTGTATTTTTAGTAGAGACGGGGTTTCACCATGTTAGCCAGGATGGTCTCAATCTCCTGACCTTGTGATCTGCCTGCCTCGGCCTCCCAAAGTGCTAGGATTACAGGCGTGAGCCACCACGCCCAGCCCACTTTGCTATATTTCAAACACATTCCCATCTTATTATACTACTTCAGTGATACTATCCTGTTTTATATGAATATGTCACAATTTCCTTTGCCAATATCTAATCACTTTTGCCCCACATTTAAGTAGTGAGAAACAATTTCACCATAACATCCTTGTAACTAAATATCTGTGTACTTTTAAAATTTCCTTAAGATCTATTTCTAGACCTGAAAATGCTATGCCAAAGATTTGTAGGTTTTTAGAGCAGATTTTTATGGCATTTTTAATGTATGCTAAATTCTCCTCCAGAAAGTTTGTACCACATTTTTTTCCCACGAGCAGTGTTTAAGAGGTTAGATTTTCCTCTCCCTTGATAATACCTGATATTTTATTTTTACTTGTGCATCTAAACATTTTCTTGTCAGGTATTCATGTCTTATTAATTACCTGCTTTGAGTTTTTTACTTTAAAATATTTATTTTTCTTATTAATTGATAAAATCTTGTATATTAAAGATAATAGTCCCCCCACACACTTTTTTTTTTTGAGACAGGGTTTCTCTCTGTCGCCCAGGCTGGAGTGCAGTGGTGTGATCTCAGCTTACCGCAACCTCCATCTCCTGGGCTCAAATGATCTTCCTGCTTCAGCCTCCCAAGTAGCTGGGACTAAAGGTGTGTGCCACCACGCCTGGCTAATTTTTGTATTTTTAGTAGAGACAAGGTTTCCCTACGTCATCCAGGCTTGTCTCAAACTTGTGAACTCAAGCCATCTGTCTTCCTCGGCTTCCCAAAGTGCTGGAATTATAGGTCTGAGCCACCGTGCCTGGCCTGTTTGTTTTGTTTTTGTTTTTTAAATATTTTCCATAGTTTTAAATTTGCCTTTGTGGCCAGGTGTGGTGGCTCATGCCTGTAATCCAAGCAGTTTGGGAGGCTGAGGCAGGAGGATCACTTGAGTCCAGGAGTTTGAGATTAGTCTGGGCAACATAATGCGTCCTCATCTCTACTAAAAATAAAAACAAAAAAAATAGCTGGAGGTGGTGGTGTGCACCTGTGATCCCAGCTATTTGGGAGGGAGGCTGAGGCAGGAGGATTGCTTGAACCCCAGAAGGTTGAGGCTGCAGTGAGCTGTGATCTCGCCACTGCACTCTAGCCTGGGCAATGGAGTGAGACCCCATCTCAAAAAGAAAAAAAAAAAAAGAATTGCCTTTGCATTCTGTTCATGGTAGAGTTTTTTGGTTTATTTGTTTGGCCTTGGATCAGAGAGATGGACTACACATACTTCTTGGTTAATGACACACAATTATCACTGTTTCATTTAAGGTGCTGCTGATATGTTATAATTTTTTTGTGTGTGTGTTTTCCAATATCCTCTTCCAGTTCTATTGTCCTATACCTACTCCCAGTCTTGGGCTGCTGCTCTAGAATGCGATGCCATTAATAACATATCCTTGAACATGTATATATTTTTTAAATATATACATATAAAATATATGTAGATAGTGTTTTATATGTGCAAGTTTTACATACTCATGAATTACACCGTGCTATAGATCTTGCTGTATTCTTTTTGTTTTTAGTCGATGGTATCATTTTAAGATGAATTCATGTTTTAGATGTACATGTATAGTATTTCATAATGTGGGATAAACTTCAGCATTTAACTTATTCATTCTAATGATGAACAACACATAGTTTACCACCAACTCCCGTCAGTGATAGACAACATTGGCCTAAACATCCCTGCATATGCCTAGGCACCTCTGTGTGAGTTTCTTTGGGACAGGGTTCTCAACTATGTTTGTGCTATGACTCCTTTAGCAGTCTGCAAAAACCAGATGGATCTTGATGGCTAATGGTGATATATTAAACTTAACCACTTAGTGAACCCTCTTTATAATTGATATCAAAAAGAACATGGTTTTTGTTTTTGTTTTTTGTTTTTTTGAGATGCAGTTTCACTCTTGTTGCTCAGGCTGGAGTGCAGTGGCTTGATCTTGGCTCACTGTAACCTCCGCCTCCCAGGTTCAAGTGATTCTCCTGCCTTAGCCTCCTGAGTAGCTGGGATTACAGGCATGCACCACCACTCCTGGCTAACTTTGTATTTTCTTTTTAGTAGAGAAGGGGTTTCACCGTGTTGGTCAGGCTGGTCTTGAACTCCCGACCTCAGGTGATCCACCTGCCTCGGCCTCCCAAAGTGCTGGGATAACAGGCATGAGCCACCACGCCCGGCCGAAAAGAACATGTTTGGAAGATCAAGTTATACATTGTGTGCCAGAGCTTGTATTGATCTTTTCTGTTAAATATGACCATTTAATAAAACTCTCTCAAAATAACATTCTTAAAGGCATAAGATAAAATATATAGAATTACAAAAGAAACAACTTATATTAATATACAGTAAATGTTTACCTTAATGAATTAAATAACAAGATATCATCACTATGACAGTTTCAAAATAGTGATAGCCATAAGTAATAATGTAAAATGAAAATATTTATGATTTCTATTCATCACAATGTCAGTATTACTGTGGTTTATTGTCTACCTATATAATTAAAGAAAATGCTAAATTTCATTAGCACACATAGCTGTGCCTCTGGACGGATTTTTCCCTTACTGCTCTCCTTTTGCACCATTCTTGGGTAGAGTTGTGTGTTCCAGCAGTCCGTTCGTGGCTCACAACAACATCCTGAGTGACCCATCTGACAACCAAGCCTAAGTCATATCTTCCCCCATCAGTTGGTCATAGGTGCAAAGTGAGGCATTGTTGCAATAGAAATAGAGACATGGGCCTGGGCGCGGTGGCTCATGCCTGTAATCCTAGCACTTTGGGAGGCTGGGGCAGGTGGATCACCTGAGGTCAGGAGTTCGAGACCAGCCTGGCCAACATGGTGAAACCCTGTCTCTAATAAAAATACAAAAATTAGCTGGGCATGGTGGTGGGCTCCCGTAATCCCAGCTACTTAGGAGGCTGAGGCAGAAGAATCGCCTGAACCCAGGAGGCAGAGGTTGCAGTGAGCCGAGATTGCACCATTGCATGATCTGGCCTGGGCAACAGAGTGAAACTCAGTTTAAAAAAAAAAAAAAGAAAAGAAAAAGAAATAAGAGACAATGGAGCTTGGGTCACCTGCTTATGTAATTTGCTTGTGGTCCATGGACATGCTGGACTTTATTTTGTGTGCACCATTTACATTTTATAAGGAATTGCTGCTTCACTCATCTGAATATATAGTTTAATGGCTGTTATATCCATGATGGGTAGCTCTGGTCACACAGTCATTTGGTGTCCCATGTCAGAAGCTCAGTCTCTCTTAGGGCCTAGTAGCACACCTGAAGTTGCTTTCCAAATGACAAACATCACCTTCTCTGCCCCCAGAAGGATCACATTCTGTCAGAATCTGGATTGTAACTCTTCTATTAAAGTTTGCCAGCAACCTACAATATCCTTAAATTATTAAATATCAAGGATGCCTCTAACATCATTGATTCATAGTTAGCATATGACCCAAGTGGCCTAAAACTGCTGATGTGTCTTCTCTTCCTTTTGGACCCACTCAAAGCTGGCAGCCTTTGAATCACTTAATAAATGGGTTGGAACAATATTCCCAAATTCAGTATATGCCGAAATCTAAACAGGCCCACCAAGCTCTGTGCCTCTTTCTTAGTGGTAGATGTGTAAGGTGCAACAAGTTTTCCTGTTCCTTAGGACTATCCATGACTTCTCAGAATATTGGACCTCCAAAACCTTTATAGTATTTATCTGCCATCCTCTGGCATACATGGGTCCTACTTGGGCATCCAGAGTACGTGTCACTTTCTTTTTTTTTTTTTTTTTTTGAGACAGGGTCTTGCTCTGTCTCCCAGGCTGCAGTGCTGTAGCACGATCATGGCTCACTGCAGCCTCAGTCTCCCAGGCTCAAGTGACCTCTCACCTCAGCCTCCCAAGTAGCTGAGATTACAGGTGCACACAACCATGCCCGGCTAACTTGTCCCTTTTTATTCACCAAGTCAATGTAGTATGATATCATAGTGGACCCACTTGATTTCCTAGAAAATATTGAGATCATCAAGAATTTTGTGGACCGTATTATGAAGAAAGCAGAAGAGTTTATTGACCCTGGGTCAAGATAGTAAAATGTACTTCTGACTTTCTCATGTAAAAGTAAAGTTTTTTGATCTTTATAGTGAGATATTGAAAAGAACATGTTTGTAAGATCAAGAGCTATACACCATGTGCTAGAGCTTGTGTTGATTTTTTTTATTCAAGATGCTACATTCAGGTGGTTAAATTTAACCAGGTGGTTAAATTTAATATATCACCATTACTTCAGGTGGCGGCAGGGACTTCAAGGGCTAGGGGAGCTCCTCTGAAGACTGGTCTATCCCTCTCCTTGCTCTGAGCCCCTGCCTCCGGACCACTTTCCGTCATTCACTCCATTCATTCATTCATTCATTCATTCATTCATTCATCTGTCCCTACCACCTGTTCCACATGGCTGGCCCAGCATCAGAGGAGGTGTGGGAGTGACAGAGCGGGGTATAGACACTGCCAGCAGGGTATGGTCAGGACCTGGTGGAATGAGGAACTGGGGAGGGGCACTCACGTGGGAGGAGAAAGGGAAGGCTCCTTGGAGGAGATGGTCTTAGAGCTGAACCTTGCAAAACTGTGCTCTGACCCACGAAGCCTCCCATGCATGGGTGAGATTTGGGAAAGGAAAATGTGGGACTGTGAAGACCTCCAAGTGCCAGTAAGGAGGGTGTCAGACAGATCTGTGTATCTGGAATATTCCTTAGGGGCTGGCGAGAGGTCTGGACCAGAGGGGAAGACTGAGGGTGGGGAGGCCTCGAAGGAGGATGGGCATGGTCCAGGCCGTAGAGAATGGGGCTCAAGTCTAGGCAACTAGGAGGAGCAGATACACAGGGAAGGTACAAAGGCAGGTTTGGGACATGTTCACTCTGAGGGGGCTGGACCCTGGGGGCAGGGACCTAGAAGCATCTTATGGGCTAAAGACAAAGATGGTCCAGGAAGCATCAATGTGTGGTGGGGGATGGAGGCACTGAAGCTGGGAGAGAGGATGACGTCTCCCCAGAACACAGTGGAGAACAAGGCCTGAGACTGAGCCCTGGGGCTCCTAACATCTCAAAGATGGCAGAGAACACAAGAAAGTGACAAATACTCTGGATGCCCAAGTAGGAGGTGAACCAGGTAAGGGTGGTGTCCTAGCGGTGGAAAAGGGAGAAGCATCAAGGAGCAGTGATGGAGTTCTTGGCATCAAAAGCTGCTGGGATGTGTGAAAGGACAGCCATGCAGATCCCAAAGTCATGAGGGAGGAAAGCTGAGAGTTGGGGCTGGGGACTGAGGGCTTGGCTGCTCTGAGTGAGGTTAAGCAGGGATGGGGAGGGAAGATGGGGACCCTGGTTGGGGGACTGAGGGTGGCTAAAATGAAAATGAAAAAAATATGTCACTATTAGCCATCATGATCTATCTGGTATTTGCAGGAGTCATATAGGTAAATTAAACAGGGATGTGATGGAAACCAACACGTCTGCATCCTTTAAATATCTGAGTTGTGCTTATTCCCAGAATTCCTCTTGGGATGTGTTTCTGATTTGCTATCTTGGCACTTTGGTGGCAGGAGGCGTTTTTCAGGGTTATTTTCTAGCTACTCTTACCATAATAACTTTTGGTAATAGGTCAATAACTTTTGACAATAGGTCAGGGGCTGTAAAAATTTGGCCAGCTGTTAAGTGTGTCCATTCAAACTTCACATATGAGAACTGGGGATATAGCCACAGAATAGGTTATTTCCTATTCTTCAGGATTCTATTTTGTAGAATTTTTGGACTCACAGTGATATGGCTTCTCTGTGTCCCCACCCAAATCTCATCTTGAATTCCCACGTGTTGTGGGAGGGACTCGGTGGGAGGTAATTGAATCATGGGGGCAGGTCTTTCCCATGCTGTTCTCGTGATAGCGAATAAGTCTCATGAGATTCTTCGGTATTATAAGGGGGAGTTTCCCTGCCCAGTCTCTCTCTCTGCCTGCCGCCATCCATGTGGAATGTGACTTGCTCCTTCGTGCCTTCCGCCATGATTGTGAGGCTTCCCCAGCCATGTGGAACTGTAAGTCATTAAATCTCTTTCTTTTGTAAATTGCCCAGTCTTGGGTACATCTTCAGCAGCAGCGTGAAAACGGACTAATACGCATAGTAACGAGGACTAGGGCCAGAACTGCATTTATTACCTGGCCTCCATACGTCCTTTCTCTACCCAGTGGTCTATGATGGCATTTTATGTTTGCTTGTTTTGGTGGCAGTTCAGACCCTGTTATGTAATAGTCCTCAAAATGCCTGGAAAATGCCTTTCCCCAGTGTACGGTTTTTTTAGTAAATGGCTGCAAGAGCTTTTGGGGAATAATTGGGGGAATGTTTATCGTACATACTTGAGCAGGTTTTAGATGGTCCTTCCTCAAGGAGACATATACTCCTCTTTGATCACAGGCTGTCACCTATGAACTGGCTAAAAACTGGGTGAGAGACCACAATATTTTTCCACTTTGCAGCCGATGTCAGTCTTCTCTTCAATTGTTTTGTGTTTTATTTTATAAGGTAAATAAGTAACATCCTGATTGATTGGGTATCCATCTGTCTTGCTCCTAGGAACAGCATGATCTATTAACCATCACCACAGATGTCTGTAGGTCAAGCCACTCTGATCGCCATTCCAGCCTTGCTATCTATTATAGCAGTGATGTCCGTATTGCCTCTGTTAGGTGCCACTCCCTGGCCTCTGCCATTCCAGAATCTTATTACGTCCATTGATACTAGAAGGCCAGTTTCAAGACTGCATCTCTTCAACGTATAGAAGAAATGTGTCATTGAGTTTCTGAAAGATCCCAGTACAAACTTCCTTGGTGCATTTCTTACTGCTTTAGTGAAGCAAATATCTTTCAGGGATTCCTGGGAAATATAATCAGATAGTGGGTTTTCTGATCATATTTAATAAGTGTAATACATATTTTTTTGTTTTAACATTTTCACTGCCATGTGCCTTATTACTCCCTCCTCAATATTCTGCCAAAGTAGTTCTGGCTTCTCCACCTCATTTACATAGGACATCAACATGGCCAAGAGTCAAGAGCAGCATATTAGAGTAACTCTGGTGGGATGCAGTGGCTCACACCTATAATTCCAGGAGGATTGCTTGAGTCCAGGAGTTCAAGACCAGCTTGTGCAACATGGCAAGATCCCGTCTCCACAAAAAATAAGAAAATGTTTAGCTGGGTATGGTGGTACACTCCTGTGGTCCCAGCTACTTGGGGGGCTGAGGCAGGAGGGTGGCTTGAGCCCAGGAGATGGAGGTTGAAGTGAGCCATGATCACGCCTCTGCACTCCAGCCTGGGTGACAGGGTGAGACCCTGTCTCAAAAAAATAAAAAGAAAAATAAAAAAGTATGACTCCATATTTTTTTTTCCAGGAGGCTAAACCCCAAGTCATAGGAGAGTGCTCCAGTGTCAACAAGCTTTTCACCGTTTTTTTTTTTTTTTTTTGAGATGGAGTCTCACTCTGTCGCTAGGCTGGAGTGCAGTAACACAATCTCAGCTCACTACAACCTCTGCCTCCCAGGTTCAAGTGATTCTCATGCCTCAGCATCCTGAGGAGCTGGGATTACAGGTGCCCACCACCACACCCAGCTCATTTTTTTTTTTTTTTTTGTATTTTTAGTAGAGACAGAATTTCACCATGTTGACCAGACCAGTCTCGAACTCCTCACATCAAATGATCCTCCTGCCTCAGCCTCCCAAAGTGCTGGATTACAGGTGTGAGCCACCACACCTGGCCACTGCACAGATTTATATTTTATCCCCTCATCACTCTCCTGGTTCAATACCCTTGAGATTCACTCTCATACATGTTCATCCATTCTTGCTAGTACTTCTTATTTTGGTCCTGTAATTGTTTTGATTGTGTAAGCCATTTCCTTCTAGAGTAGGAAATGCATTTTCCCTCTAGACCCTTGCTATTCCTAAGGCAGTGAAGGATGTGGTGGCAGATCTTGGACAGAAAAAAAGCATTGTCCTCCAAGACACCTGACTCAGGTGAGGTTTCTGCAAAGCTTCCAGGGATTGTGGAATTTTCCTCTCTAGCAAGAAGGAGAGTACGGCTTCTTCTGGCAGAAGATTCGGGGGAATTTGTGGGTTCCAGATGCTGAGGTTATCTACCCAAATGTCACTATGTCAGCTTTCAGGAAATCACTTTTCCTATCAAGTCCTCAGCTTTGGCATAGAATTTTTTTTTTTTTTTTTAGATGGAGTCTCACTCTTTTGCCCAGGCTGGAGTGCAGTGGCACGATCTTGGCTCACTGCAACCTCTGCCTCCCGAGTTCAAGCAATTCTCCTGCCTCAGCCTCCTGAGTAGCTGGGGCTACAGGTGCGTGCCACCACACCTGGCTAATTTTTTTGTATTTTTACTAGAGATGGGGTTTCACCGTGTTAGCCAAGATAGTCTTGATCTCCTGACCTCATGATCCGCCTGCCGTGGCTTCCCAAAGTGCTGAGATTACAGGCATGAGCCACCGTGCCCAGCCCGGCATAGACTTTTTGAGGCTGTGCATTCAGTCTCCTTTGCAGTTTTGCTGCTCTTACCGTTGAATCCTGGGCCTGATTTTTCAGCATATATTTCTCTACAGCTACAGGAAATGAGGATCGTTTTCTTTTCATTTCCCCCGCTTTTTTTGTTTATTTAGTTTTTCCCCCAAAGTATAACTCACATGCAGCAAAGTAAACACATCTAAACGTAGAGCTTGATATATGTTTATGACATACTTCTACACCCTTGTAACTACTGCTCAATCAAGTTGCAGACCATTTCTAGCATTTCAGAAGGCTTCTTCATGCCTTCCCACAATCAGCATTTCCCCCACAATGGTATCACTATTTTACTTCTTTCACCAGAAATTCATTTTCCCTATTTAACCTTACCTAAATGGATTCATGGCTTGTGATCATGATGTCTGGGAGATACGTGCATGTTGTGCAAAGCAGTAGTTCTTTTTTTTTTTTCTGAGAGTCTCACGTTGTCACTCAGGCTGGAGTGCAGTGGTGCGATCTCGGCCCACTGCAACCTTCGCCTCCTGGGTTCAAGTGATTCTCCTGCATCAGGCTCCTGAGTAGCTGGGACGACAGGCATGCGCCACCATACCCGGCTAATTTTTGTATTTTTAGTAGAGACAGGGTTTCACCATGTTGACCAGGCTAGTCTCGAACTCCTGATCTCAAGTGATACACTTGCCTCGGCCTCCCAAAGAGCTGGGATTACAGGCATGAGCCACTATGCCTGGCCCAAAGCAGCAGTGCTCGTTAGTTGCTGTTTAGCATTACACAGTATATTACGACTTATTTATTTATTCTCCTATCGATGGGTATTTGGGCTATTTTCAGTTTGTGCTATTATGATAAAACGACTATGAAAATTCTTCTTTTTTCTTTTTCTGAGACAGGGTCTCACTCTATCGACCAGGCTAGAGTGTAGTGGCGTGATCTCGGCTCATCACAACGTCTGCCTCCCAGGTTCAAGCAATTATCTCACTTCAGCCTCCTGAGTAACCGGGACTACAGGTGCTCGCCACCACACTCGGCTACTTTTTGTACTTTTTAGTAGAGACAGGGTTTCACCGTGTTGCCCAGGTTGGTGAAAATTCTTATATACAACTTCTGGTGTATATAAATGCTCATTTGTTCTGGGAGTAGAATTTTTCAGGAGTAGAATTTGCTGAGTCATGTGCATATAATTTTAGATAAAAACTGCCAGTTTTCCAAAGTGGTTGTACTGACTTAAACTCCCCCACCACAACATAAAATGTTCCAGATGCTCCACATCATCGAGTACTTACTTTGTGTTGACAGTCCTTTGAATTTTTTTTTTTTTTTTTACTTTTTTTTTTTTTTATTATACTTTAAGTTTTAGGGTACATGTGCACATTGTGCAGGTTAGTTACATATGTATACATGTGCCATGCTGGTGCGCTGCACTTACTAACTCGTCATCTAGCATTAGGTATATCTCCCAATGCTATCCCTCCCCACTCCCCCCACCCCACCCAGTCCTTTGAATTTAAGTCATTCTCATGGGAGTGTAATAGCATCAGATTATAGTTTGTGCGTTTCCTTGATGAATAATGACTTAATTGCCTTTTCGTATGCATTTTGCCCTTCGTTTATCTTCATTGTGAAAAGAGTTTTGGGTACAGTTTCTTAAAATTGGGCTATGTGGGGTTTTTTTCTTAGTGATTTGTAGGAATTTTTTTATACTGTAGATCTAAGTATTGTGTTGAACTATGTTCCAAGTTTTTGGCTTGCTTTTTAACTCTCCCAGTAGTGTCTTTTGAGGAACAGAAGTTCCTAATGAAGTCCAACTTAACATTCTCTTATAGCTAGTGCCCTCTGTTCCATTTAATCCCAAGGTCATAAATAGGATCTGTGTTTTCTCCTAGAAGCTTAATTTTTTTACCCTCTACATTTATGTCCATGATCCATCTAGAATTAATTTGGGGGTGTAGTGTGAAGTAGAGGTCAAAGCTTGTTTTTTTCACATGGCTATCCAGCACCAATTATCGAAAAGACTGTCTTTTATTTGGAAGTGTCTTTTATTATTATTATTATTATTATTATTATTATTATTATTATTATTTGAGATAGAGTCTCGCTCTGTCACCCAGACTGGAGTACAGTGGCATGATCTCGGCTCACTGCAACCTCTGCCTCCCAGGTTCAAGCGATTTTCCTGCCTCAACCTCCCGAGTAGCTGTGATTACAGGCAAGCACCACCATGCACGGCTAATTTTTGTATTTTCAGTAGAGATGGGGTTTTGCCATGTTGGCCAGGATGGTCTCGAACTCCTTACCTCAGGTGATCTGCCTGCCTCGGCCTCCCAAAGTGCTGTGTGAACCACTATGACAGGCCTCGGAGTATCCACTGCCATGGAGGACTCTTATTTTTATAGTGGGCAGCTACATAACATGAGTATGTTGATTTCTTTTTTTTTTTGAGACAGTGTCTTACTCTGTCCCCAGGCTGGAGTGCAGCAGTGGCACAATCTTGGCTCACTGCAACCTCTGCCTCCCAGGTTCAAGCTATTCTCCTGCCTTAGCCTCCTGAGTAGCTGGGACTACGGGTGTGCACCACCGTCTCCAGCTAATTTTTGTATTTTTAGTAGAGATGGGGTTTCACCATGTTGGCCAGGCTAGTCTTGATTTCCTGACTTCGTGATCCACCTGCCTCGGCCTCCCAAAGTGCTGGGATTACAGGCGTGAGCCACCGCGCCCGGCCGAGTATGCTGATTTCTTTTATCAAGAGTTTAAAAGCAGCTAACCAAAGCGAAGCCATTCTATAATTCATTTTAAAAATAATTTTTATGATGACTGTTGCAACCTCTTCCAGTGCTAGAATACCACATATTCTTTGTCTTCTGCCTCCACCACGTTCCAATCAAATGTAGACAGTGGCAATCAGGGAAGCCATTTTGTGAAGCTACCAGAGAGTATAGCCCTCTCACCTGTTACCAGTGATGGATTTCTTTTTGCTGCCTGACCAGTGGGTAATCCAGGTTTAGAATCCTGTCTCGAGAGCATTCTTTCTATGGCCACTTCTGTGGCCACACTTGCTTCTTCTGGGTTTCCCCCAAAGCAGAGCCTGGGCCTAGGGCTGCATGCAGGTGCTTGATTTGGTATGCGATTCCAGGGAGCAGGAGTGAGGGGCCAAGGAAAGTGAAGTCAGGAAGGAGAAAAAGGCAATGCTAGACTGCATTATTGGGTTGGCCCTGTTGCAGGAGATTGGTGTTTATTTCTGCTGACACCTGCAGATCTCTATCTGAGGGACAAAAGAGAAAGCAGTCTCCCCACTGGTGGTGAACACTTCTGGGTGCCTCAGTCAGTCCCAGTGGGCTCCTGCATTGTCCTACACCAAGGCACCACTAAAGACCATGGGCAGGAATCAAGAGAGTGTGACCCACTCTCTCTCTCTCTCTTTTTTTTTTTTTTTTTTTTTTTTTGAGATTCAGTCGTGCTGTGTCACCCAGTTTGGAGTGCAATGGTGCAATCTTGGTTCACTGCAGTCTCTGACTCTGGATTCCTGGATTCAGGCGATTCTCGTGCCTCGGTCTCCTGAGTAACTGAGACTACAGGCACCCACCACCAAGCCTGGCTAGTTTTTGTGTTTTTAGTAGAGATGGGGTTTCGCCATGTTGACCAGGCTGGTGTGGAACTCCTGACCCCAGGTGATCTGCCCGCCTCGGTCTCCCAAAGTGCAGGGATTACAGGCATGAGCCAACGCGCCCGGCCTGCCCACTCCTCAGGTGAGATACCGAGATAGAAAAAGAGTAAAAGTCTATGTGGAATCATTTGCATCACAACCAGATGTGAGAAAGGAGAGGCGCGCAAAAGCTTTCCAATGCATGTATTGATACATGCAGCTCCTTACACCCAAGGGCAACAATGCAGCCAGGTACTGAAGTCAAGTACCCGAAATGCCATAATGTGCTCTCTCCACATCTGCATTTCTCTGTGCATCTGCTTTACTTTTATCTCTTGACAATACAGCTTTTTTTGCTTCACAGGTACAAGATGGGTGGAAAACGACCATTTCATCTCTTTTGTGTTTACCTGTTTCCTACTGAATAGAGCAGCTGGACTGAACCAGAGCTCTTTGTTCCAAGTCCAAATACCCTTTAAAGGAAATCTGATTGCTTCAGGTTGGGTCCGGTATCAAGGGCTAGTGGAGCAGAATCATGTCGTTCTAACACAGTTGCTAAGAATCCAGTTCTATGGATTGGGTATAGGGCAGAGTTTTTGTCTCCTGAGCTAACTCCCTTTTGGAGGGGATTGCCTTTTAAGGTATCCACTACATTAACCAAGCTCATCAAAATCTTATTATTTCTATCTTTGGTGTAATGCTGAGAAAGTCTTACACTGCCCCATGATTGTATAAACATTCCTTTTACATTTTCTTCATATATATGTTTAATTAATTAATTAATTAATTTTTTTGAGACAGCATCTTGCTCTGTCGCCCAGGCTGGAGTGCAGTGGGATGATCATGGCTCACTGCAACCTCAAGCTCCTAGGCTCAAGTGATCTTCCTGCTTCTGCCTCCTGAGTAGCTAGGATTTCAGGCACCCACCACCACACCAGGCTATTTTTTAAAATCGTTTTTTGTAGAGACAGGGTCTTGCTATGTTGCCCAGGCTAGTCTCAAGTCATTCTCATGCATCAGCCTCCCAAAGTGTTAGGATTACAGGCATGAGCCACTGTGCCCAGCCTTCTAATATTTTTATGATTTTTAAAATTTAAATATTTAATCCACCTGGAATCTATTTAGGTACAAATTATGCAATAAGGACCCAGCTTTTGAAAATATGATTAGTTATCTCACCACCAATTATTTAATAATTCATTCTCTTCCCACTGATTTAAAATCCCAAATTTTTTAATATACCAAATTCTTATATATATATATACGTATACACACATGCATGCACATGGCAGTATGTGTGTAGTACTGCTTCTGATCTTTTCCTTGCTTGGTTCATTACTGTTTTAAATGTATATGTAATGCTTCATAACTAGCTTGAAAACAAATAACTCACACTGGTTTTAAATTTCTTTAGAGGGCCGGACACTGAGGCTCACACCTGTAATCCCAGCACTTTGGGAAATTGAGGCAGGAGGATCCCTTGAGCTCAGGAGTTCGAGACCAGCCTGGGCAACATGGCGAAACCTTGTCTTTACAAAAAATACAAAACTTAGTTGGGCGTGGTGGCACACCTGTAGTCCCAGCTACTTGCTTGAGCCTGGGAAGTCAAGGCTGCAGTGAGCTATGATCATGCCACTGCACTCCAGCCTGGGTGACAAAGCAAGACC
The DNA here is from genome assembly GCF_000001405.40 of Homo sapiens. NCBI lineage: Eukaryota > Metazoa > Chordata > Mammalia > Primates > Hominidae > Homo > Homo sapiens. Next base: position 138,732,719 of record NC_000006.12, on the reverse strand, counting down.
CTGTCTTAAAAAAATAAAAAAAATTCCTTTAGAGGAACAACTGATTACACACACACACACACACACACACACACACATACATATAATCTAGCAGTTTCTTGCATACTAGATAATGATAACAATTACAGTTTATATATAAGAATATATACACATGATTAAATTTAAGATATATATTACTTTATAGCTTTCATAAATTACATATCATCAGGAAAAGATTATATCAATATATTGATACATGTTTCTGTGTGATAGTTTCCATGGTAACCATTTATCTTTTATTATTGTTTTAAGTAATTTCCCTTCCTGAGAGAGGATTACACATATCTCTGCCCATAATAACTCACAGTGCCTTTGATATGGTCTGGCTGTGTCCCCACCCAAATCTCATCTTGAATTGTACTCCCATAATTCCCATGTGTTGTGGGAGGAACCAGGTGGGAGATAATTTGAATCATGGGGGTGGCTTCCCCCATGCTGTTCTCGTGGTAGTGAATAAGTCTCATGAGATCTGATGGTTTTATCAGGGGTTTCTGATGCTTTTGCATCTTCCTCATTTTCTCTTGCCATCGCCATGTAAGAAGTGCCTTTCACCTTCCGCCGTGACTCTGAGGCCTCCCCAGCCAAACTGTAAGTCCAATTAAACCTCTTTTTCTTCCCAATCTCAGGCATGTCTTTATCAGCAGCATGAAAAAGGACTAATACAGTAAATTGGTACCAGTAGAGTGGGGCATTTCTGAAAAGATACCTGAAAATGTGGAAGCAACTTTGGAACTGGGTAACAGGCAGAGGTTGGAACAGTTTGGAGGGCTCAGAAGAAGACAGGAAAATGTGGGAAAGTTTGGAACTTCCTAGAGACTTGTTGAATGGCTTTGACTGAAAGCCTGAAGCAGTGTGGACAATAAGGTCCAGGCTGAGGTGGTCTCAGATGGAGATGAGGAATTTGTTGGGAACTGGAGTAAAGATGACTCTTGTTATGTTTTAGCAGAGACTGGTGGCATTTTGCCCCTGCCCTAGAGATTTGAGGAACTTTAAACTTGAGAGAGATGATTTAGGGTATCTGGAGGAAGAAATTTCTTTCTTTCTTTTTTTTTTTTTTTTTCCGAGATGGAGTCTTGCTCTGTCACTGAGGCTGGAGTGCAGTGGCGCGATCTCAGCTCACTGCAACCTCCGCCTGCCGGGTTTAAGCAATTCTCCTACCTCAGCCTCCAGAGTAGCTGGGATTTACGGGTGTGTGCCATCACACCCAGCTAATTTTTGTATTTTTAATAGAGATGGGGTTTCACCATGCTGGCCAGGCTGGTCTCGAGCCCCTGACATCAGGTGATCCTCCTGCCTCAGCCTCCCAAAGTGCTGGTATTACAGGCATGAGCCACCGCACTGGTGGAGGAAGAAATTTCTAAGCAGCAAAGCATTATTCAAGAGGTGACTTGAGTGCTGTTAAAGGCATTCAGTTTTATAAGGGAAGCAGAGCACAAACGTTTGGAAAATTTGCAGCCTGACAATGTGATAGAAAAGAAAAACCCATTTTCTGAGGAGAAATTCAAGCTGGCTGCAGAAATTTGCACAAGTAAGGAGGAACTGAATGTTAAGCCCCAAGACAATGGAGAAAATGTCTCCAGGGCATGTTGGAGGTCTTCATGGCATCCCCTTCTATCACAGGCCTAGAGGCCTAGGAGAAAATGGTTTTGTTGACCAGGCCCGGGTCCCTGTGCTGTGTGTAGCCCAGGGACTTGGTGCCCTGTGTCCCAGCTGCTCCAGCTGTGGCTGAAAGGGGCCAACATAGAGTTTGGGCCGTGGCTTCAGAGGGTGCAAGCCCCAAGCCTTGGCAGCTTCCATGTGGTGTTGAGTCTGCAAGTCAAGAATTGGGGTTTGGGAACCTCCGTGTCGATTTCAGAAAATGTATGGAAACACCTGGATGCCCAGGCAGAAGTTTGCTGCAGGGGCGTTGCCCTCATGGAGAACCTCTGCTAGGACAGTGCAGAAGGGAAATGTGGGGTCAGAGCCCCCACATAGAGTCCCTACTGGGGCACCACCTAGTGGAGCCTTGAGAAGAGGGCCACCGTCCTCTAGACCCCAGAATGGTAGATCCACCAACAGCTTGCACTGTGCGCCTGGAAAAGCCACAGACACTCAACACCAGCCTGTGAAAGCAACTGGAGGAAGGGAGGTTGTACCCTGCAAAGCCACAGGGGTGGAGCTGCCCAAGACCATGGGAACCCACCTCTTGCATCAGCGTGATTTGGATGTGAGACCTGGAGTCAAAGGAGATCATTTTGGAACTTTAAAATTTGATTGCCACTGGATTTCGGATTTGCACGGGCCCTGTAACCCCTTTGTTTTGTCCAATTTCTACCATTTGGAATGGCTGTATTTACCCAATACCAGTACACCCATTGTATCTAGAAAGTAACTAGCTTGCTTTTGATTTTACAGGCTCATAGGCGAAAGGGACTTGCCTTGTCTCAGATGAGACTTTGGACTGTGGACTTTTGGGTTAATGCTGAAATGAGTTAAGACTTTCACGGACTGTTGGGAAGGTATGATTGGTTTTGAAATGTGAGAACATGAGATTTGGAGGGGCCAGGGGTGGAATGATATGGTTTGGCTGTGTCCCCACCCAAATCTCATCTTGAATTGTACTCCCATAATTCCCACATGTTGTGGGAGGGACCCGGTGGGAGATAATTTGAATCATGGTCGGGGGGTCTTTATCAGCAGCGTGAAAACGGGCTAATACAACTTTCTATGGAAAAAGTACACATTCCTGCTCCATTGATGTTGGTCTTCGACATGCAGCTTGTTTTGGCCAATGGCAGATGAGTGGATGTGACTTACATTATGTTGAAGTAAAAGTGTTGATCGTTCTTGTGTGTTTTTGCCAACTCTATCCTCTTTTCCCTGTGCCCTGAGAATGGCACATCTCAGATATTGAAGAAGACACATGGAGCAGAAGAATTGCCATCAACCCATGGCTAATGAGCAACATGAATGAGATATAATCCTTCATTGTTTTAAACCGTGGTGATTTGGGGGTTGTTACTGCAGCCTTCCTAGTAAACGCTGATGAGGACACCTGGCATGCTCACTGTTGACAGTCACATTTTGACTGCAATTATCATTTGGCTCAATCTGGCTGACATAGCTATCTTTTATAATAACCCAACACAGTTCTTTAACTCAATACTTTTTATAAATATGGCAAAAAAAGATTAATTAGAATAACAGACCTCAATGGGCATACAGCACATAAATTTTACTCAACAGTTATCTTAAATATAGTCAAGCTGGCCAGGCGCGGTGGCTCACGCCTGTAATCCCAGCACTTTGGGAGGCCGAGGCAGGCAGATCTGAGGTCTGGAATTTGAGATCAGCCTGACCAACATGGAGAAACCCCATCTCTACTAAAAATACAAAATTAGCCAGGTGTGGTGGTGCATCCCAGCTACGCAGGAGGCTGAGGCAGGAGAACTGTTTGAACCCAGGACACGGAGGTTGCAGTGAGCTGAGATCACACCATTGCACTCTAGCCTGGGCAACGAGAGCGAAACTCCATCTCAAACACACACACACCCATATATATAGTCAAGCTGTTAAGCTCTTCAGATTGTAAGTAAAAGAGACATCCTTCAGCAAGATCTAGCAGTGGTGATTATTATAAATATATATTTGGCAAAAAGAGACACAGAATCTCAAAGAAACTAAAGACCAACAGATATCTTCAGAATCTGTATTGATTCCACGGCAGCTAAGGGACAGTGCATTATCCTTGTCATTTGAGTGCTGTGGTATTATTAACATGACTCTGATACTCTTGATCTCTGCTCCTCTTAGTGTCCTTTTGCTTCCCTTTCTGCTACCAGCTGACTTCCTTGTGGTTTATTCCACACCATTTCCCTTCCTCAAAGCTTCTGCTGTAACTACCATTTATGATTTTTCGTACTTTTATCTTGCTCATAAGTTTGGTTTGCTCCAGGCTCCTCCTGCCCCTTCCCTTCTTCTAGGATATCTTTTAAACTTCAACTCCCACTATTAGTTACCCCATTTCAAATTCCTGAGAGTATGATTTTATTGAACCCAGCTCTAGTGGGTTAAATGTCTCTCCCTCCAATATTCATGTCCAGTGGGAACCTCAGAATGTGACCTTATTTGAAATAATATGGGGATTTTTTGTTTTGTTTTGTTTGTTTGTTTTGAGACAGTCTCACTCTGTCACCCAGGCTGGAATGCAGTGGCGAGATCACGGCTCACTGCAGCCTCGACCTCCTGGGCTCAGGCAATCCTCCCACCTCAGCCTCCCGAGTAGCTGGGACTATAGGCACATGCCATGACACCCGGCTTATTTTTGTATTTTTTTGTAGAGATGGAATCTCACTATGTTGCCCAGGCTGGTCTTGAACTCCTGGGCTCAAGCAGTCCTCCTGCTTCGGCCTCCCAGTGTGCTGGGATTATAGGTGTGAGCCACTGCACCCAGCCTAAAACCCAATCTTTATTGCATCTCTTTCTGCTAACCAACTGGCTTCCTTACAATAAATAATTTAATTTATTACAATAAATATTTATTGATTGACATACATTATTTTCTTCTTTAGTAAGTATTATTACTGATTAACAGATAGTAATTTGAGCCTGAAAATAGTGGGTTGTATAAGAACAGGCAGTAGGATAAGTTTGGCCCGTGGGCCATAGTTTGCCAACTCCTGCTGTAGAAGAGAGTTGCTGTTGCTTGTTCACCAAAAATAAATCTTACTTTCCTGAGAGGACCCTAATTTCCTTCTGGGAACTTTTCTCCTAGCCCCACCTGTCATTGAAAATGATCAGCGTGCACACTTCCAGTAACGCCACAGAAGCATGAGGCCCTGGCTACAGTGATTGGATCCATCTGAGTGAATATTACAGTTGCATGGGGTCTACTTTTTCTTTTTTGAGACAGAGTCTTTCTCTGTCGCCCAGGCTGGAGTGCAGTGGTGAGATCATAGCTCACTGTAGCCTCGACCTCCAAAGCTCAAGCAATCCTCCCACCTCAGCCTCCCGAGCAGCTGGGACCACAGACACATGCCACCATACCTGGCTAATTTTTAAAATTTTGGGTAGAGATAAGGTCTCTCTAGGTTGCCCAGGCTCATCTCAAATTCCTGGGCTTAAGCATCCAACTGCCTTGCCCTCCCAAAGTGCTGAGATGACAGGCTGAGCCACCATACACCCTGCCTCATTTTTCTTTTTCCACAGGAACCTGTGGTGATAAGGAAGATGTGAGCCTGGAGATACAGAAGCTACCACATGAATGTTAAAAATGAAGCTGACGCAGCAAAAGGCAGTGCCAAGGAACTAAAAGAAAACAAATTTTGATTACATTTTTGGAGTTCCTGGGTCAAGCAGTTCATGACACTGAGGCTTTTCCGCTACATGAATAAGTACTTTTTCTTTCCCGTTAAAGTGGGTTTGTGCTGGCTTCTCTATCACTCACAACAACTGGATACTAACTGAGGCAACACTTCCTACCTCTTACACACATTACACCCATAAAACAGAAACAACATCTAAAATTAGATTTCAACACAGCTACCAAGCAGAAAAGTTCAAATCAACAAGTTATGGATAATGTTTTATTGAAACTACATTTCTCCTCCCAATGTGAGTATGGTGTTGGCCAACATGTTGCGTGTTGATTCTGCTTGCCTTTGTGTCCTACATATAGGATGTGTACTGTGTAATGAATCGTTTCTTCATTATTTTTCTCAGCTTGCATGGTTGCCTCCCTCACCTCCATTCACAGAGCTCACTGTGACAGCATTCAACCTTGTCTTGGTACAAGTGTGTAATTTACATAATAGTCGCCTCTGTACTTTCCTCAGTAACTTAAACAAAGAAGACCATCACTCACTGTGCTTGCCTTTCAAATTAGATTTGATATCAAATTAAAGTCTCATTTTATTAAGTTTCTGAAGCCAAAGTCTTTGACCTATGAAAGTATGTTTCAATTATGAATGGAAAAGAGAAGCTTTGTGTTATTAACAGGAAAAGAATTCAAGTGTGATGGTTGTGTCAATGCCATTGGGACATGCCAGTAGTCAGTAACTCAACAGACAAGCCTGCTAGACCTGCTTTACTCATTTGTGGCGCTGTTTCTTCACTTTCTACTGACTCCCACCTGTGTTTCATAATTCTCTACATTGATATGGTTTATTACTTCTCATAGGGATCTTAAATTAATTGTGCAACTCGTTAGAGTCTCTTTATGTAAAATACATAGTCTTCATACTATTAGAATGTTACAATCTGGACCTACCAATGTGAACAAGTGAAAAAATGTGCTGTTTATTTTAACCAGCAGTGGTGTTTTAGTTAGCTATTTATCTCCTTATCTCCCAAATCTCAAAAACACTCAGTAGTTTACAACATGAAGCTTTTTTTTTTTTTTTTTTGCTTACAGGTCTGTGGGTCAGCTGGGATAACTCTGCTTCAGACTGTGGGTCATCTTGGCTTGGCAGACTTTAGGTTAAACATAAGACTGTGTGTCTCATTCTGGGGCCCAGACTGAAGGGATAGCAGCTAGCTGGTGCATGCTGTCTTCGTGGCAATCACAGGGGTGCGAGAGGCGGAGCTGAAGGACGCAAGCACATTTAAGTCTTTTGCGTGTGTCATGTTCAATGACATTCCATGTCCAGAGCCAGCTACATGGGTGGATCATGAATAGAGGGGAGAAATACACCCCACCCACTTCAGTGAGCTTTAGGTTTACATGACTGAGGGATGGAGGGAAGAATTTTGGACAATAATCTCATCTAGTACATATGGCTTCAATTTGTATGAACCCTATCTCTACTCCTCCAACCTTCTGATCTCAACTGCTATTGCTAATATGACCTGTGGGAGCGAGAGGACTTTCTATAACTAGGCTGAATTTTAAAGGAAGAGAATGACTTCCAGATAGCTTATTGGCTATCAATCTAGGAGCTCTTACAGCTGAGAAACATTTTGACCCAACCCTCTGGCTTCTTTGTTGATTTATTTTTCTGATAAAATTCATTTTTTTAAATATTAAGCTTTAAGAAGTACATGTGTTTTAATGCAGTAAAAAATAAAGCATATATGATTCAATCATTTGTAAATATACAGTATAACTAGTAAGAAATAAGGGGTCTCATTCACACCCAGATTTATAGGAGCCAGCACTATGTGCTCGGTATATAATAGAAGCTCAGTTAGTATTTGTTGATTGAAGTACCTTTTCTTATTTACTAATGATTATTATTAACAGATAATAATTTGGGCCTGAAATAGACATTTCCTTTTTTAATATAATTATATATATGTGCATATATATATCATCAATATCCTCTGACTTTATTAGTGACTGTTAACCACGTCGAAAAAAGTAAAGGTGTTTATTATGCATGCATAGAAAAATGATATGTTTGTGTTCGCTCTTTTTAGGACCAAGAAAAAATTATTGGTTGCTGTTTTCTCAGTTTTGGTTTTTTTTAAAATAAATTTTACTGTGTGTATTTGAGTTTTACAACATCAACATCATGTTATGAGATACATATAGATAGTAACATGATTACTATATTCTCAGTTTTGTTTTAAAAGAATACTTGTTTATATATCCTTTTGATGTGGTAAGAGACCTTAGGAGAATATCTAAACGGATAGTTAGAAATATGTGTCAATATAAGCAAAATCAAATTGTCAAGATTGTAAGTATCAGCCAATGAAAATGCCAGTTAAAATTACTTTTAAACAGCATTTAAAATTAAAATTATTTATGATATAGATATAAAAGATATAATTTTTTTATAGAAATCAAAAAATTGTTTTCTTCATGGGAGGAAATAAACTAATTCCTAGAGTTGATTTTATGAAAACTGAATGCATCATAAAACAAAAATAACTTAATTGAAAGATAGTTTGCTTTGTGTCATAGGTCATCTGTTTAGAAGAGCAATACTAAAGTAACTAAATGCCTTCTTGGGCTTCCTTCAGTGATTCTGAAGTTTCAGGCTATTTCCTTTGCTTTCTTCTAGGAAACATTTATTATGGCTTAAATATGCACTAATGTTTCAAGTTATAATCATCTTGCCAGATATACTTATGGCATAAAGACAGGAAGGAAACTAATACTCATGAAGGGTCTATTATGTATCTCTGGTAAGGTGTTAAAAGCAACACCTTGTTGAGATGAGAAATATTCCCATTTCGGAAGAGCGGAAACTAGGCTTAGAAAGTTGAAATGACAGAGTCTTTTTTTACTCCAAAATCATGTGCTTTGGCATGAGCCAAAACCTGAGAAAACTGTCCATGGGATAGTGTAGTAAACTGGTATGAACTCCCCTTGCAAGTTCAATAATTGCAGTATAGTAAAATCAAGCTTTGTTTAGAGATAAACAAACGACTCTATGCATATGTTTTGCAATAGACAAATCACAATAGTCCAAAGTCCTACAGTGATATTCTCCAATGCCACAGAAGAGGCCCTGAGGAACAGTTCAAATGTGGATCTACCCGCTAAATGCTCCCCAGGCATGGGCGGCCCCTCCTGGCTGGAATTTCTCTTGTGGTTATTCCTGCAGTGTCTGCAGCACTGACCTTATTCCTGGCCTCAAAATCCACTTCCTCTTCTAGTGAATATCTTGTTTTTCTCATGCTTCCTGACCCACTTTCCTAGTCTAGTGACACCTCTAGACATTTTTCTTCAACATTTCTTGATTTGTAAGAATGCTTCCAAACTCCTACACCAGGTAGGAGTTACCTCTTTTATCAAATACACTTTTCCCTTATCTTATCAATGACAAACATTAGCAAGTATTTGTTGCCTTCACAGTCTACTTCTAATCTGTGCATCCTGTCCTCAAATAATTTATAATCGACCTAAGGAGAAAAGCTATTCCCATAAAAATAATGAGATCTGAACATAAGAATAAGTTGTGTTACAAGACTTCACAGGAGGGGCCAGGTGCGGTGGCTCACACCTGTAATTCCAACACTTTGGGAGGCTGAGGCAGTTGGATCACCTGAGGTCACAGCAGCCTGGCCAACATGGTGAAACCCCATCTCCACTAAAAATATAAAAATTAGCCGGGCATGGTGGCGGGCACCTGTAATCCCAGCTACTTGGAAGGCTGAGACAGGAGAATCGCTTGAACCCGGGAGGTGGAGGTTGCAATAAGCCGAGATCGTGCCACTGCATTCTAGCCTGAGCAACAAAGCAAGACTCTGTCTCAAAAAAAAAAAAAAAAAAAAAAAAAAAGACTTCATAGGAGGGAAGGATGAACATGTACTGAGGAAGTTGAAAGTAGATGGAGCCTTGAAAGCATATGTTGACCACAGCACCCTCCCCACCACCGTGTCCCCATAATCTAACATCTTGCACTGGCCAGCATTAAAGGACACATCAAAGATGTCAAGAACACAGGAACACAATGAGGCCATCATTCTGGAGGAACAAAGGCATCAACACACTCTTTCTCTTGTGCTGAGTCATCTTCCCTCTCATAAAGTTCCCTGCAGAGCTTTAAGAGGGTTTGTTTTCTCTTTGGACTGTGACTTTACTGTCTAAGCCCCAAGCTTATGAGAAAAGATGCCCTGACTTTGCTCTGAGCCTAAAGGGAAGACATACTTGTGGTTTCTACCTTGTCTAGCCCAGCTCACAGAGTAGATGAATATCTGGCAGAAACTTTGGTCCTAGGACTAATAAATGTGCCTTTCCCTGGAAAGGGCTCTGTGTCATATCTCTCTAGAGACTTTTATGCTATGCCAAGACAGTATAGCAATGGTAAATGACTAAGGGCTTGGGGTTTGAAGTCAGCAGACCTGTTACATGTCTCCGAGATGGTTGCAGTCAGTATAGCTGTGAGAGTTGAGAGAGCCCCAGAGGCCTTCAACAGAGCTAATAGCAGAATTTGGAAAAATTCCAGATTATTGTTCTACTGCCCTAGAATAAGTTAGCAGACCTTGGTGCTCAGGATACCTGGGATCTGAGACTTTCTGTGTTGCTACGTGGTTCACACATGTTCATGTGAACAATCACCTGGTGAGGTAGTAACTTTATTTTTACAAACTAGATGAGTTAATTTGCCCACATTTGTGAAACTATTACGTGACTGATTGACTAAATACTTTTGGGGAAGTGAATGTAAGTTCATGGTTGTACTAGTTTTTAATTAATGCAATTAAAGAATTAGCAACCTGAAAGTCAAATGAATAGTTCGTTTGCTCCACTGTTCTAATTTACTAATCCAAGTAAACTTTAAAGTGTATGGGGATGTTGCTGAATAAATGTGTTGCCCCTCCCAAGTCATATATTTGCATTTATAACTGGCAGTAGGATGTATCTTAATCCAGTTATTAATTTTTAAAAGAAAATCAGCATAAACTTGCTGCAGTGAAATCTTACTCCAAAGTCCCTGAAATATAACTGCATGATGGCTCTATGAGGTCTTTTTTCCCTCCATATCTGTGGGGTTTTTTTTCCCTGAGTTAGCCCCTGGGTGACCCCACCCTATGCCCTAAATTATACAATTCTACGTGTGATGACCAACTACTAACTTAATCCCAGGGGCATGAGAACTTTGATCTGGCAGGTGTACAGAGGCCTTAAAATACCCACAGATGGATATTGGGCCCTTTCATAGCAGGTAAACCCTGCCTGTAGTTCAAAAGTCTCTTCTATTTTGAGGAAATCAGTTGAATAAAGATAGTAGTAGCTTTTCTGTAGTTTATAATACCATTAAGTAATTTTAATTACAAAAATTAGAAATAATCTAGAACTGTCTCCAAAATGTACGTCGTAAATTCAGAAGGAAAGGGGTGGGGCAGGGAGTGGTAGAGCTTGGAAAATCCCCATATTTGGTTCTAAGAGATGCACATATTTATTTACTTCATCTACCGCACCCCCAGTGTGAAAAACATTGTGTAATTGTAGGGTCAAGCACGGTGGCTCACGCCTGTAATCCAGCACTTTGGGAGGCTGAGGCGGGTGGATAACTTGAGGTTAGGAGTTCAAGACCAACCTGGCCAACATGGTGAAACCCCATCTCTACAAAAAATACAAATATTAGCTGGGCATGGTGGTGCACACCAGTAATCCCAGCTACTCGGGAGGCTGAGGCAGGAGAATCACTTGGACCCTGGTGGCAGAGGTTGCAGTGAGCCAAGATCGTGTCATTGCACTCCAGCCTGGGCAACAGAGTCAAACTGTCTCAAAAAAAACAAAACAAACAAAAAGAAAAACATTATGTAATTGTTATGCTGTGATATTTCAACTTAGTAGTGAAGAATGTTTTTTACCTTCTTTAGGAAAAGAAAACTGGAAAGATGTATCCACATTACAATTTCATTGATATTCTCTTAAAATTATATACATCAGCCTTCTGTATTCATGAGTTCTACACCTGTGGATTCAATCAACTGCAGATAAAAAAACTTCTAAAATTACCTCTGTACTGAACATGTAACAGACTTTTTTCCTTGTCATTATTCCCTAAACAGTTCAGTATAATGACTATTTACATAGAATTTCCGTTGTATCAGGTATTATAAGTAATGGTATTATAAGATGATTTAAAGTACACGGGGAGGATGTGTGTAGGTTATTTGCAAATAATACTATGCCATTTTATATTAGGGTCTTGAGCATCTCTGAATTTAGCTATCAGTGGGGGGGTCCTAGGACAAATCTTCCACAGGTACTGAAGGATGACTGTATTCATTCTACGTGTCAATAAAAAATTTCAAAACTGTTAGCTTTGTTTTTTCATTAGAGTTGATTTTGGTAATAAGTACAGGAAAGAAAAATTCACATTTCACACCATGTAAATCAAGTTTCTCAGGCATTCCTAGTGCAATCTGATGAAAACATCTTTCCTTAAGGTGCTTTATAGTCTCTGGAAAAATAAATTGCTACTTTTTTTAGTGACAGGTGATTGCTCTGTCACCCAGGCTGGGAGTGCAGTGGTGCAATCATAGCTTACTGCAGTCTTGACTTCCTGGGCTCAAGTGATCCCACTGCCTCGGCCTCCTGAGTAGCTAGGCTCATGCCACCACACCGACTAATTTTTTTTTGTAGAGACAAGTTGCCATTATGTTGCCCAGGCTTAGTCTCCTGTCTTCAAGTGATCCTCCAACCTCGGCCTTCCAAAGCTCTGGGATTTACAGGTATGAGCCACTGTGCCCAGCCTACTTTTATCAGTTATAAGTGTGTTTGCCTGCAAGCAACTGAAGACCCAAGAAAGGTAGGTTTATTTATTTTTATTTTATTTTATTTTATTTTCTGAGATGGAGTCTTGCTCTTGTCACCCAGGCTGGAGTGCAATGGTGCGATCTTGGCTCGCTGCAACCTCGGCTCACTGCAACCTCCGCCTCCCAGGTTCAAGTCATTCTCCTGCCTCAGCCTCCTGAGTAGCTGGGATTACGGGTGCCTGCCACCATGCCCAGCTAATTTTTGTATTTTTAGTAGAGATGGGGTTTCATCATGTTGGCCAGGCTGGTCTCAAACTCCTGACCTCAGGTGATCCACCCGCCTCGGCCTCCCAAAGTGCTGGAATTACAGGCTTGAGCTACTGCGCCTGGCCAGAAAGGTAGGTTTAAATAAGTAAGGAGTTTATTTGCCTCAAGTGACAAAGATATCTAGAGACAAGTTTCCAGGCCTGAGATGGTGGCTCAACCATGTCTTCATGTGGCTCTCATTTGTGTGTAAAATAGTTTCACTTCAGGCATCTTGTCAGTGTCCCAAGTGGGAAGAAAGAGGAAGAAGAAGGTGCAAAGTGTGGTGGAAGTTGCCAGCCCAACCTTTATTTGATTTTTTGTTTTGTTTTGTTTTGTTTTGGAGACAGGGTCTTGTTCTGTCACTCAGGCTGGAGTGCAGTGGTGCTATCACGGCTCACTGCAGCCTTGACCTCCCAGGCTCTCACCATCCTCTCACCTCAGCCTTTCAAGTAGCTGGGACCATAGGCTTGCACCACCATGCCTGGCTAACTTTTAAATGTTTTTGTAGAGACGGGTTCTCCCTATGTTGCCTAGGCTGGTCTTAAACTCCTGTGTTCATGTGATCCTCCTGCCTCGGCCTCTCAAAGTGCCGAGATTACACGTGTGAGCCACGGGGCCCAGCCTGCCCAGCCTTTAAAATAGCATTGCTAAGAAGCCTCAAGCAGAGACTTCTGTTTATACTTCATTGGGCAGAACTGGGCCATATGGCTATTCTACCTCCATCACATGGAGTGTAGGAAAGCAAGTGTCTCACTTTGCAACCTGCATATGTGTAGAGGAGGCTGGTTGAAAGGCAGTGAAGTGGGTGGTCAGAAAGCCAGCTCTTAATATGCCATCACTAATGTGGGATTCTTCTCTTACTGATTTCTTGTCATGTGGAATTACTTTAAACAAACAAAAAGTTTTCAGTTCAGAAGTTCTAGTTTAGGAATGCAATGTCCTCACCACTTATTTCCTCTTTTAAATGATAGATTTGCGCTGTCTTGTCTTGAAATAGCTACTTATTGTAGCTTGTGTTTTGAGAGCAGCCTATCTAAGATCAAATGACAAAATGAAGGGAAACATCTTGTGACCTTTTTGGTTTTAGTCATTTGGGATCTATTTCTTGCCAGGACAGACAGTTCAGTATTTTGAAATATTCTGGTGTTTATTTGTTCAAGACCAAGACAGAACCATCATGAATAATGAATATACAAAAAAAGAACCACGGCATGAAATATACATTTTTGAAACTCACTTGGATCTGTTGAACTAAGTCAGTTCCAATTAAAGAACTCTATTATCTTTTTCTTTGGAAGCAAAAATTGTATTAACTTACAAGGGTAAAATTTCCTTAGTTATAGTTCTTAAACTCTACTAAAGACATCTGAACATTGTTGACTGATCATAAAAATGTCTAATTTGAGTAGCAGATCATACTGTAATTCTAGTCATCAGATTATTGCAACTCAGACCTTTAAAAATATTTCTCTTTACAATTAGAATAAAATGCTCTTATTAGAGAATCTTATTGTAAATGATGAGAGACTATCCTTTTATACATACCCTATTATGAATACTTAACATTTTGATGTATTTTTGTTTATGAAAAGAAAATAATCAGTTATTATTAATTGAATATATATTCTATGCCAATAATTTAACATTTAACTTAATCCTCTCAAAAAGTCTAGGAGCTAGGTATGGTTTTGTCCCCATATTTACAGATGAAGATAGTTACAATTAAGTAATTTGTTCAAAGTCACATGGCAAGTAGCACAGCTGGATGTGAACTTAGAAAGTCTTCAAAACTTCAACATTTTGAGGACCTGCCAGTTTCAAGAATCTAGGAAGCTGAAGTAGACAGATACAAGGGTTTACCAATATTTTTCTTATATCACTTGATTGAAGATTCTGATTTTCAGAAAAGACTGATAACCCATCTGTCCATTAGCAGCCTATATCTGAGAGTTACGTTGGTCCTTGTTCTTCCTAAGGGCTGAAATTTCATGTATCCCTAGATTCTGTGAGCTCCTCTGTAGCATTCAACAAATTTTTGCCTTAATTTCTGGAGTGTTTCTGATGTGTCCTATTACAGAATACTGATACAACAGATTTTGTGACTTGGAAACCTAAACATCCTTTCTGTGGGAAAATGCATTGAGTTTCCAACAAGGAACCTATAGATGAGCTTCTGAAAAACCATTCGTTAGTCAGATATTCTATTCATAAATATAAAACATTGTCTGTTCCTTATATCCTATCCTAATTGACCTTCTAAAAAAAGTCTCTTTTTTTAGTACACTTGATCACTTTATTATTGGAAGTTATGAGCATAAGTCCCTAATAATATATTAGCCATTTCCATTCGGCAGAGACCTTATCTATTTTACATAATAGCTAGTACACCATTTACACTCAGTAAGATTATTAATACTCTTTCATTTGTTTTAGTTAAACAAGTTCTAGTGAATTTATTTATGTGCAAACAATTCAAACAAAACAGATGTAGTGAAGGGCTCCTTTTAACTGCTTCCAATCCCCATCCCCGCAGAGGTAAACCCAATTAACAGTTGGAGGTGGAAACTTCCAGTTCTTTTGTATACATTTACCTACATGTGTATGTTCCCATATAGAAATATAGAGGGTTTTTGGTGTATTTTATTTTAAACACTAAATATGCTAATGATTTGATTTGCTTTGCTTATTTTACATAGCAATGTCTTGTAGTTCTTTCCATGTCAGTGCAAACAGATCCATCTCATTCTTTTTAACTATTGCCAGGCATTGCATAATATGAATCTTTATGTATGTATGTATGTATTTATGAGACAGAGTCCTGCTCTGTCATCCAGGCTGGAGTGCAAGTGGCACAATCATGGCTCACTGCAGCCTCGAACTCCTGCGCTCAAGCTCCACCTCAGCTTCTTGAGTAGCTGGGACTACTGGTGTGTGTAGTTTTTTTTTTTTTTTGTAGAGATAGGGGTATTATGTTGTCCAGGCTGGTCTTGAACTCCTGGCCTCAAGCAATCCTCCTGCATTGGCCTCCGGAAGTGCTGGGATTACAGGCATGAGCCACCTAGCCCAGCTACGATAGGAATCTACAATGGATTGCATAACTAGTCTTTTTTTGATGGACAACTCAGTTGTTTGTAATTGTGTTATTATTACAATGAAGCTGTGGCAAATATCTTTACACATTTCTCTTGGTGCACAGGTTTATCTAGGGTAAATATCCAGCAGTTAATTTTTTTTGGATTGAAATATGTGTGCTTTAAAAATTTTAGGGAGGAGGAAGGGAGGGGGCTGAGGGCTGAGGGACTGCCTGTTGGGTGTTGTGCTCACTGCCTGGGTAATGGGATCATCCATACCCCAAACCTTAGCGTCATACAGCGTTTCCATGTGGCAGACCTGCACATGTACCCCCAAATCTAAAATAAAAGTTGAAATTATTTTTTAAAAATATAATACATACTCAGTAAAAAAATGAACCTGGCCGGGCGCAGTGGCTCATGCCTGTAATCCCAGCACTCTGGGAGGCCGAGGTGGGTGGATCACTTGAGGTCAGGAGTTTGAGACCAGCCTGGTCAACATGGCAAAACCCCGTCTCTACTGAAAAAACAAAAGTTAGCCGGGTGTGGGTGACACATGCCTGTAATCCAAGCTACTCAGGAGACTGAGGCAGGAGAATCACTTGAACCTGGGAGGTGGAGGTTACAGTGAGCTAAGATCATGCCACTGCACTCCAGCCTGGGTGATAGAGAGTCTGTCTCAAAAACAAACAAACAAGCAAACAAACAAACAAAACAAACTAAACTCATAGCCAAGTGTATGATCAAGTTAGCCACCAGTTCCTTGTGATCACACTAAATCTTTTGTTTCTCAACAGTTACTCTTATAGAAAAATCATTTTTATGTTCCATCTTTTGGATCCTCTCTCTCATACTTCCATTCCTCTAAATGAGGATGTATTTTTGGTGACAAGTAATAGAAACCTTACGTGAACCAGACAGAAAGGGTAATTCATGGGCTCATGTAATCAAACTGTGGGAAAGCCCCAGTCTAGCTACATCTAGCCCCAGTCTAGCAACATTTAGGCAATGCTGCCAGGACTCATTTTGCTTCTCAATTTCACTCTTTTACTGCAGGGCAACTTCTTTATTTTAAGAGTTCTTTGTATTCTAATACAAGTCCTTTATTAGATATGTGCTTTGCAAGTATTTTCTCCCAATCTATGGTCTGTCTTCTATTTCTCTTAACAGTATCCATCAAAGAGCATTTTTAAATTTTGATTAAGTCCAATATATTAGTTTTTAAAAAATGGATCATCATTTTGGTGTTGTATCTAAGAAATCACTGCCTAACCCATGGCCACAAAGATTTTCTCCTATGTTAGCATCTAGAAGTTTTTTAGCTTTAGGTTTTACATTTAGGTCAATGATCAATTTGGGGCTAATTTTTGTATATGGCACATGGCATGGATAAAAGGTTATTATTATTGCATATGGATGTTTTATTATTCCAGCACCATTTTTTGAAAAGATGATCCCTTCTCCACTGAATTGCCTTTGCACCTTTGTTGAAAATCAGTTTTCCATTTATGTGTGGGCATGTTTCTCCACTCTCTTTTCTGTTTCACTGATTTATTTGTCTACCTTTACTTCTATCTCACACTGTCTTGAACACTATATCTTTATAGGAAGCATTGAAATCAGGTAGAGTTAGCTCTCCAACTTTGTTTTGCTTTTTCAAAGTTGTTTTGGCCATTCAGGTCTTGATATGGTTTGGGTCTGTGTCCCCGCCCAAATCTCATGTTGAATTGTAATCCCTAGTGTTGGAGGAGGGGCCTGGTGGGAGGTAATTGGATCATGGGGGTGGACTTCCCCCTTGCTGTTCTCATGATAGTGAGTTCTCACGAGATCTGCTTGTTTAAAAGTATGTAGCATTTCCCCCTTCCCTCTTTCTTCACAAGCTCTGTCATGTGAAGATGTGCCTGCTTCCCCTTCACCTTCCACCATGATTGTAAGTTTCCTGAGGCCTCCCCAGCCGTGCTTCCCGTACAGCCTGCAGAATTGTGAGTCAATTAAACCTCTTTTCTTCATAAATTATCCAGTCTCAGGTAGTTCTTTATAGCGATAAGAGAATGAACTGATACAGAAAATTGGTACCGGGAAGTGGGGCATTGCTATAAAGATACCTGAAAATGTGGAAGCATCGTTGCAACTGGGTAATGGGCAGAGGTTGGAACAATTTGGAGAGCTCAGAAGAAGACAGGAAGATGAGGGGAAGTTTGGAACTTCCTAGAGACTTGTTAAATTGTTGTGAACAAATGCTGATAGTAATATAGACAGTGAAGTCCAGGCTGAGGTGGTCTCATACAGAGATGTAGAACTTACTGGGAGCTGCAGTAAAGGTTGCTCTTGCTATGCTTTAGCAAAGAGACTGGCAGCTCTAGGGATCTTTGGAACTTTGAACTTGAGAGAGATGACTTAGAGTATCTGGCAGAAGAAATTTCTAAGCAGCAAAGCATTCAAGATGTGGCCTGGTTGCTTCTAACAGTATATACTCATATGCATGAGCAAAGAGATGACCTGAAATGGAAACTTAGATTTAAAAGAAAAATTGAAAGAACTTCAAAGAAAATAACTTTCTCAAAATTTAATGAAGCATCTGTGCACCAAATAAAATCCTGTCACAGACTGCCAGAGATTCTGTTTCAAACTTTGGGAAACATTGGCATGATGTTTCCCAGCTCTTGAGTCCAAGTTCTTGAGGCCAGCAGGCTACGTTTAAATCTAGGGTCTTTCCCTCAGGTACTAGCCGTTTGCTGCTATGCTTCCCCTCTGAATCTGTTTCCTTACCTGCAAAATAACAGTACTAATAAAATTGCCTGTTTGTAGATATAAAATGAGATGAGGCATAAAAAGCCCTTGGCATAATCCCCAGTAAATGGTAGGTGCCTTGAAAATGTCAGTCATTTTTAAGGCAGGAAATCAGTGTCATAACTCAAAAATATGGGCCCTTTCTGTTATGGTCAGCTTTCTACTCTCCATTCTTACCCTCAAGTTTGAGACACTTGGCCTTGACTTAATCTCTTCACTCTCAAGGTGTAAAAGCACTTCACCAAACCTTTTATTTCAACAATAGAATCAGGACCATGACTCATGTATAAGTGACTGTGCAAGTTGATCTGGGTGGGATTGTGAGCCAGATCATCCAGAGTCAGTCTTCGCTTGCCATAATTGTCATGGTATCATTACTAACAGATATTTAGGGGTGAGCACCCATTATGGGTAAAACTCCATGACAGCTTCTGGGAGCACTATTCTAGATGGTCATAGTGAGCTTTTGGCTGGATGTCTGCAACACACTCTAAGAGGCCAACTGGAAGCTGTGGACCAGGCAGACTAGAGCCACTTTGCAGTGGAGAGGCACAAACTACAAGGAATAAAATTATAGGTTGCTAGAATTGTAGTCTACATTTCCCTTTGGCTGCCTGTTTGTTTCTCGATATAATTTGAGGTGTTGACTATAGACCACAAAAACCTAGGTGGTTTTGGGTACCAAGCTGTCTTATGAATTACCTTTCTCTCTTTCTAACTTCCCGGTAGCTAAGATTAGCAAGCATGGTTGGGATTATAATTGCTGCATTTAAACTACAGAAAGACTGTTCTTTGATGAAAGATTCTCATATTTCATAAATGTTCTAGTTTGATAAAACTTTAATGTCCTTACCAACAGGTCATAATGGACATGTAACTTTTTATGTTCTTACTACATTGGTTATTTTTAAAGTATACTTTGTTCTGAAAGTATACTTGTTCTCAAATCTTTAGAGGCACAAATTTTTACAAGTCCGATCATATCTATTACCAGATCAGTTGTATATTTGAATTATAGCCAAGTTCCCCTAGTTTACAAGGCAATGTGAATTATGGATAAATTATTAATACCAGTTAAAAGATAATTATTGAAATTACAATGGGGCTTATTTGAATATTTAAAAATCCTGGCTGGGGCATGGTGGCTCATGCCTGTAATCTCAGCACTTTGGGAAGTCGAGGCGGGCAGATCACCTGAGGTCAGGAGTTCGAGACCAGCCTGACCAACATGGTGAAACACTGTCTCTACTAAAAATACAAAAATTAGCTGGGCATGGTGGCAGGTACCTGTAGTCATCACTACTCAGGAGGCTGAGACAGGAGAATTGCTTGAACCTGGGCGGCGGAGGTTGCAGTGAGCTGAGATTGTGCCACTGCATTCCAGCCTGGGCAACAGGGTGAGACTCCATCTCAAAAAAATAAAAATAAAAAATAAAAATCCTGGCTGGGCATAGTGGCTCACACCTATAATCCCAGCACTTTGGGAGGCTGAGGCAGGCAGACCCTTTGAGCTCAAGAGTTTTAGACCAGCCTGGGCAACATGGCAAAACCCTGTCTCTATTTAAAAATGCAAAAAATTAGCCAGACATGGTGGTGCGCACCTGTAGTCCCAGCTACTTGGGAGGCTGAAGTAGGAGAATTGCTTGATGAACCAAATAGATGCATATTTTTCTTCAGTTGTAAGCAATTAAAATGGTATTTTATAGATGAGAGCTGGCTTGCTGTAGTTACAATCTTACTTTGGACAAAATACACGCTGAATTGCTTTTCATTGAGATGAGGCATAAATCTAGGTTTTAGGTATCCTGAAACGTATGAAATTTTGGAGTCCCTCTTCAAGTAAAAAGAATACCAGGCTAAGTGTAGTGGCTCACGCTTGTAATCCCAGCACTTTGAGAGGCCGAGGCAGGCAGATCACTTGAGCTCAGGAGTTGGAGACCAGCCTAGGCAATATGGCAAAACTCCATCTCTACAAAAAATACAAAAATTAGCCAGATGTGGTGGCACAGGCCTGTAGTCCCAGCTACTTGATAGGCTGATGTGAGAGGATTGCTTGAGCCCAGGAAGTGGAGGCTGCAGTGAGCTGTGTTTGAGCCACTGCACTCCAGCCTGAGTGACATGGCAAGACCTTGTCACACATGCCAAAAAAAAAACACCAAAAAAACAAACAAAAAGAAAAGAAAAAAGTCAGGCATGGTGGTTCACACCTGTAATCCTAGCACACTGAGGTGGGAGAATTGCTTGAGGCCAAGAGTTCAAGACCCACCTGGCCAAAATAGTGAGACTCCGTCTCTAAAAAAAAAGAGAAAAGTAGGGGAAATTTTGAAGATGGCTGAATAGGAACAGCTCTGGTCTGCAGTTCCCAGCATGATTGATGCAGAAGACGGGTGATTTCTACATTTCCAACTGAGGTACATGGTTCATCTCATTGGGACTGGTTGGACAGTGGGTGCAGCCCATGGAGGGCAAGTTCAAGCAGGGCAGGGCCTTGCCTCACCCGGGAAGCACAAAGGGTCAGGGGATTTCCCTTTCCTAGTCAAGGGAAGCCATGACAGACTACCTGGAAAAATGGGGCACTCACGCCCAAATACTGTGCTTTTCCCAAGGTCTTCACAAATGGCAGACAAGGTGATTCTCTCCTGTGCCTGGCTTGGTGGGTCCCACACCCATGGAGCCTTGCTCACTGCTAGCGCAGCAGTCTGAGATCGATCTGCGAGGTGGCAGCCTGGCTGGGGGAGGGGTGTTGGCCATTGCTGAGGCTTGAGTAGGTAAACAAAGCAGCCAGGAAGCTTGAACTGGGTGCCCACCGCAGCTCAACAAGGCCTACTGCCTCTAGACTGCACCTCTGTGGGCAGGGCATAGCTAAACAAAAGGCAATAGACAACTTCTGCAGACTTAAACGTCCCTGTCTGACAGCTCTGAAGAGAGCAGTGGTTCTCTTTGCATGGCGTTTGAGCTCTGAGAATGGACAGACTGCCTCCTCAAGTGGGTCCCCAACCCCTGTGTAGCCTAACTGGGAGACATCTCCCAGTAGGGGCCGACAGACACCTCATATAAGTGGCTGCCCCTCTGGGACGAAGCTTCCAGAGGAAGGATCAGGCAGCAATATTTGCTGTTCTGTAATATTTGCTATTCTGCAGACTCCACTGGTGATACCCAGGCAAACAGGGTCTGGAGTGGAACTCCAGCAAACTCCAACAGACCTGCAGCTGAGAGACATGACTGTTAGAAGGAAAACTAACAAACAGAAAGGAATAGCATCAACATCAACAAAAAGCTCAGCTACACCAAAATCCCATCTGTAGGTCACCAACATCAAAGACCAAAGGTAGATAAAATCACAAAGATGGGGAGAAACCGGAGCAGAAGAGCTGAAAATTCTAAAAATCCAGTGCCTCTTCTCCTCCAAAGGATCACAGCTCCTCACCAGCAAGGGAACAAAGCTGGACGGAGAATGACTTTGACGAGTTGACAGAAGTAGGCTTCAGAAGGTTGGTAATAACAAACTTCTACGAGCTAAAGGAGGATGTTCAAACCTTCACAAGGAAGCTAAAAACCTTGAAAAAAGATTAGATGAATGGCTAACTAAACAGTGTAGAGAAAACGTTAAATGACCTGATGGAGCTGAAAACCATGGCACGAGAACTTTGTGATACATGCACAAGCTTCAGTAGCTGATTTGATCAAGTGGAAGAAAGGGTATCAGTGATTGAAGATCAATTGAATGAAATAAAGTGAGAAGACAAGGTTAGAGGAAAAAGAGTAAAAAGGAATGCACAAAGCCTCCAAGAAATATGGGACTATGTGAAAAGACCAAATCTACATTTGATTGGTGTACCTGAAAGTGATGGGGAGAATGGAACCAATTTGGAAAACACTCTTCAGGATATTATCCAGGAGAACTTCCCCAACCTAGCAAGGCAGGCCAACATTCAAATTCAGGAAATACAGAGAACACCACAAAGATACTCCTCGAGAAGAGCAACCCCAAGACACATAATTGTCAGATTCACCAAGGTTGAAATGAAGGAAAAAGTGTTAAGGGCAGCCAGAGAGAAAGGTCAAGTTACCCACAAAGGGAAGCCCATCAGACTAACAGCAGATCTCTTGGCAGAAACCCTACAAGCCAGAAGAGAGTGTGGGCCAATATTCAACAATCTTAAAGAAAAGAACTTTCAACCCAGCCTTTCATATCCAGCCAAACTAAGCTTCACAAGTGAAGGAGAAATAAAATCCTTTACAGACAAGCAAATGCTGAGAGATTTTGTCACCACCAGGCTTGCCTTACAAGAGCTCCTGAAGGAAGCACTAACCATGGAATGAAAAAACCGGTACCAGCCACTGCAAAAACATGCCAAATTGTAAAAACCACTGATGCTATAAAGAAATCTATTAATGGGCAAAATAACCAGCTAACATCATAATGGCAGGATCAAATTCACACATAACAATATTAACCTTAAATGTAAATAGGCTAAATGCCCCAATTAAAAGACATAGACTGGCAAATTGGATAAAGAGTCAAGATCCATCAGTGTGCTGTATTCAGGAGACCCATCTCACGTTCAAAGACACACATAGGCTCAAAATAAATGGATGGAGGAAGATCTACTAAGCAAATGGAAAGCAAAAAAAAGCAGGGGTTGCAATCCTAGTCTCTGATAAAACAGACTTTAAACCAACAAAGATCAAAAGAGACAAAGAAAGCCATTACATAATGGTAAAGGGCTCAATGCAACAAGAAGAGCTAACTATCCTAAAAATATATGCACCCAATACAGGAGCACCCAGATTCATAAAGCAAGTCCTTAGAGACCTACAAAGAGACTTAGACTTCCACACAAGAATAATGGGAGACTTTAACACCCCACTGTCAATATTAGACAGATCAACGAGACATAGGGTTAACAAGGATATCCAGGACCCGAACTCAGCTCTGCAGCAAGCAGACCTAATAGACATTGACAGAACTCTCCACCCCAAATCAACAGAATATACATTCTTCTCAGCACCACATCGCACTTATTCTAAAATTGACCACATAAGTGGAAGTAAAGCACTCCTTAGCAAATGTAAAAGAACAGAAATCACAACAGACTGTCTCTCAGACCACAGTGCAATCAAATTAGAACTCAGGATTAAGAAACTCACTCAAAAACACACAACTACATGGAAACTGAACAACCTCCTCCTGAGACTACTGGGTAAATAACAAGATGAAGGCAGAAATAAAGATGTTCTTTGAAACCAATGAGAACAAAGACACAACGCACCAGAATCTCTGGAACAAATTTAAAGCAGTGTGTAGAGGGAAATTTATAGCACTAAATGCCCACAAGAGAAAGCAGGAAAGATCTAAAATTGACACCCTAACATCACAATTAAAAGAACTAGAGAAGCAAGAGCAAACAAGTTCAAAAGCTAGCAGAAGGCAAGAAATAACTAAGATCAGAGCAGAACTGAAAGAGATAGAGACACAAAAAACCCTTCAAAAAAATCAATGAATCCAGGAGCTGGTTTTTTGAAAAGATCAACAAAATTGATAGACTGCTAGCAAGACTAATAAAGAAGAAAAGAGAGAATCAAATAGATGTAATAAAAAACAATAAACGGGATATCACCACCAATTCCACAGAAATACAAACTACCATCAGAGAATACTATAAACACCTCTACGCAAATAAACTAGAGAATCTAGAAGAAATGGATAAATTCCTGGACACATACACCCTCCGAAGACTAAACCAGGAAGAAGTTGAATCCCTGACTAGACCAGTAACAGGCTCTGAAATTGAGGCAATAATTAATAGTCTACCAATCAAAAACATCCAGGACCAGACGGATTCACAGCCGAATTCTAGCAGAGGTACAAAGAGGAGCTGGTACGATTCCTTCTGAAACTATTCCAATCAATAGAAAAGGAGGGAATCCTCCCTAACTCATTTTATGAGGCCAACATCATCGTGATACCAAAGACTGGCAGAGACACAACAAAAAAAGAGAATTTTAGACCAATATCCCTGATGAACATTGATGCAAAAATCCTCAATAAAATACTGGCAAACCGAATCCAGCAGCACATCAAAAAGTTTATTCACCACGATCAAGTCGGCTTCATACCTGGGATGCAAGGCTGGTTCAACATACGCAAATCAGTACATGTAATCCATCACATAAACAGAACCAATGACAAAAACCACATGATTATCTCAATAGATGCAGAAAAGGCCTTCGACAAAATTCAACAGCCCTTCATGCTAAAAACTCTCAATAAACTAGGTATTGATGGAACATATCTGAAAATAATAAGAGCTATTTATGACAAACCCATAGCCAGTATCATACTGAATGGGCAAAAACTGGAAGCATTCCTTTTGAAAACTGGCACAAGATGCCCTCTCTCACCACTTCTATTCAACATAGTGTTGGAAGTTCTGGCCAGGGCAATCAGGCAGGAGAAAGAAAGAAAGGGTATTCAGTTAGGAAAAGAGGAAGTCAAATTGTCCCTGTTTGCAGGTACATGATTGTATATTTAGAAAACCCCATCATCTCAGCACAAAATCTTCTTAAGCTGATAAGCAACTTCAGCAAAGTCTCAGGATATAAAATCAATGTGCAAAAATCACAAGCAATCCTATACACCATTAACAGACAAACAGAGAGCCAAATCATGAGTGAACTCCCATTCGCAATTGCTACAAAGAGAATACAATACCTAGGAATCCAACTTACAAGGGATGTGAAGGACCTCTTCAAGGAGAACTACAAACCACTGCTCAACAAAATAAAAGAGGATGCAAACAAATGGAAGAATATTCCATGCTCATGGATAGGAAGAATCAATATCATGAAAATGGCCATACTGCCCAAAGTAATTTATAGATTCAATGCCATCCCCATCAAGCTACCAATGACTTTCTTCACAGAATTGGAAAAAGCTACTTTAAAGTTCATATAGAACCAAAAAAGAGCCCGTGTTGCCAAGACAATCCTAAGCAAAAAGAACAAAGCTGGAGGCATCACGCTACCTGACTTCAAACTATACTACAAGGCTACAGTTACCAAAACAGCATGGTACTGGTACCAAAACAGATATAGAGACCAATGGAACAGAACTGAGGCCTCAGAAATAACACCACACATCTACAACCATCTGATCTTTGACAAACCTGACAAAAACAAGAAATGGGGAAATGATTCCCTATTTAATAAATGGTGCTGGGAAAACTGGCTAGCCATATGTAGAAAGCTGAAACTGGATCCCTTCCTTACACCTTATACAAAAATTAATTCAAGATGGATTAAAGACTTAAATGTTAGACCTAAAACCATAAAAACCCTAGAAGAAAACCTAGGCAATACCATTCAGGACATAGGCATGGGCAAGGACTTCATGACCAAAACACCAAAAGCAATGGCAACAAAAGCCAAAATAGACAAATGGGATCTAATTAAACTAAACAGCTTCCACGTGGCAAAAGAAACTGCCATCAGAGTGAACGGGCAAACTACAGAATGGGAGAAAATTTCTGCTATCTACCCATCTGACAAAGGGCTAATATCTAGAATCTACAAAGAACTCAAACAAATTTACAAGAAAAAAAACAACCCCATCAAAAGGTGGGCAAAAGATATGAGCAGACACTTCTCAAAAGAAGACATCTATGCAGTCAACAGACACATGAAAAAATGCTCATCATCACTGGTCATCAGAGAAATGCAAGTCAAAACCAAAATGAGATACCATCTCATACCAGTTAGAATGGCAATCATTAAAAAGTCAGGAAACAACAGATGCTGGAGAGGATGTGGAGAAACAGGAATGCTTTTACACTGTTGGTGGGAGTGTAAATTAGTTCAACCATTGTGGAAGACAGTGTGGTGATTCCTCAAGGATCTAGAACTAGAATTACCATTTGACCCAGTGATCTCATTACTGGGTATATACCCAAAGGATTATAAATCATGCTACCATAAAGACACATGGATACATATGTTTATTGCAGCACTATTCACAATAGCAAAGACTTGGAACCAACCCAAATGTCCATCAATGATAGACTGGATTAAGAAAATGTGGCACATATATACCATGGAATAGTATGCAGCCATAAAAAAGGATGAGTTAATGTCCTTTGCAGGGACATGGATGAATCTGGAAACCATCATTCTCAGCAAACTATCACAAGGACAGAAAACCAAACACCACATATTCTCACTCATAGGTGGGAATTGAACAATGAGAACACTTGGACACAGGGCGGGGAACATCACACACGGGGGCCTGTCATGGGGTGGGGGGCTGGCAGAGGGATAGCATTAGGAGAAATACGTAATGTAAATGATGAGTTCATGGGTGCAGCAAACCAGCATGGCACATGTATACTTACGTGACAAACCTGCACGTTATGCACATGTACCCTAGAACTTAAAGTATATATAAAAAAATGTGACCCTTACATTGATAGGGCCTCCAGGGCCTAAGAAAAAAAAAATGAAGGGCTCTGAGGCTTCACCTTCATCATCTTCGCGGTAAACCCACTTCTGGACAAGATACATTATTGTGGAATTTTCTGAGAATGCTCCAGTTTCTCGAATTAATGAAAAAGCTCTTCAGTTTTGATACTTGGAGATGGGTAATATTACAAATAATCAGTTGCCTGCCCAAGATGATGGATTATTCTGTTACTGACAGTGTTCCCTTTTCAAGTTTTATTTGTTGAAGTATGATCATTTAAAAATTCCAGCATTTTGCATTATTCAAAAAAAAAAAAAAAGAGCCCAAATTATGATTAGCCACTTTCACGGGGTGTGAGAAATGGAAACAAAGGATTATACTTATCCAAAAGCATTGTTTTTCTCAGTATAAAATTTTCTCCTAGAGACTTAATAAGTAAGAAAATTGTATCTTGTTTGTGTTTGCATGCTTTCTCCAAGAAAATTACATACAAATATTAGATTTAATTGGTGGTTGAAAATGAGGAAAGAAAATAGTAAAGCAAGGAGCCTAAACTCATTAGAATAACTTCTCCAAAACTGGGAAAAAGCCATTTTTCATGTCTTGCTTAGATCTCCATGGTGGGTAAGAAGTGGACAATTTAGATAATTACTGTAGGTAGGAAATACAAACAGTCTCTGTAGATAATTCTAGAAGAAACTTTTTTTTCAGGACGTCACAAATCAAAAAAATAATTTCCTTAATTTTCTGCTCTTACTACAGAGCATTGGTCTTTAATTTTTTTCCCGTCTCAGGTACACATTTTAACAGTCTAATATTTGGCCATATTTTCCTCACTTCCTTCTGAGGATGAAGAATGAAATAATTAAATGGCCAAAAGAGGGATGGAGGAGAGGTACAGAATGAGGATTCTCAAGAGAAATTGGAAAATAAAGATAATATGAATTTGTGGAATAATAAATTTGTCTGGTGTGATGGTTAATACTGAGTGTCAACTTGATTGGATTAAAGGATGCAAAGTATTGTTCCTGGGTGTGTCTGTGAGGGTGTTGTCAAAGGAGATTAACATTCGAGTCAGTAGACTGGGACAGGCCAACCCACCCTCAATCTGGTGAGCACCATCCAATCAGCTGCCACCATAAAAGCAGGAATGGAAAGAACAGACTGCTTGAGTCTTCTGGCTTTCATTTTTCTCCTGTGCTGGATGCTTCCTGCCCTCGAACATCAGACTCCAAGTTCTTCAGCTTTTGGACTCTTGGACTTACACCAGTGGTTTGCCAGTGGCTCTCGGGCCTTCAGCCACAGACTCAAGACTGCACTGTTGGCTTCCCTATTTTGAGGTTTTGGGACTCAGAATGGCTTCCCTGCTCCTCAGCTTGCACATGGCCTATTGTGGGACTTCACTTTGTGATCGTGTGAGTCAATGCTCCTTAATAACTCCCTTTCATGTATACATTTATCCTATTAGTCCCGTCCTTCTAGAGAACTAATACATCTGCCCTCCCTATCATCTTCTCAAACTATCTTTGGAGTATGGACTCTGGAAGAGAGGCCTACTGTTTGGATAAGATGGTCAGGCATCAATCGGGGACTTGCTTGGCCTGTCCAGTCTGGGCAGTAGGGTGCGTCAGGTGGGCTTAATCAGTTCAGCTGCCTCCTGTTGATAATGCATAAACAATGTTTGCAACCTTAGAACATCAAAAACAGTATGAGGGGTTAATAGGGAATAATGGTATCCATATTAAATAATTGATTCACCAATAAACTAAATGTAATGCACACTTCATCTTCTTCACCAAGAATTTGAGGCAGCTCACCAGATACACTTGTCAAAAAGTAAATAAAAATTTTAAAGAGTGTGGCGATGGAAAATGGAATAGTAGGTTAGTAATCATGGTGGTGGGGGTATTGGGTACTGGGCAAATAGAACACAAACATCCCATCCAGAAGGGCCTGCCCGGACACTAAAATACAATGAATTTGACTCAGAAACCAAATTTGTCATCAAAACCAGTGATAAGAGAACTAGGGTTAGTTTAAAACTTTGATTAATCATGAGAGAGAGAAAAAAACTTATTTCTTCTAGGAAGAAATGCTATTCCTATTATTGCTTTTAAAAGGAATTTCTCAAGTAAATATTCATAGCAAACAAAATAATAGATTTATAAACTGTTTCTTGTATTGTTAGTTGACAAAGACCAGCTGAGTTTTCAAAAGGCTACTGGGTGAAAGCAGCTCTTCAGGGAGTAATCCATAACTAGATACAGTTTCCTAAACAGTTCACCCAAGCATACATACGAAAACAACAAACTAAAAAGAACACCTACTATAATTCTGATACTTCTGATTCCTTCTCAATATGGTGTTGGTAAAATTGGCTAAGAGAAACGCTTCTGCCCTGGTTCTGATTCAGGTTTTCTTTTCTTTTTGTCCATGTTCTTTATAAACATTATGTATTATAGTTGAATAACTGTAGAAAATTTGTTTCTAATTGCTCTTGTTGAGATTTTAAAGGATATTTATTTGCTGCATTTTATTTATTTTTTTAAGACAGGGTCTCATTCTGTCATCCAGGCTGGAGTGCAGTGGCACTACCTTGGTTCACTACAGCCTTGACCTCCTCCTGGGCTCAGGTGATCCTCCCACCTCAGCCTCCTGGGTAGCTGGGACCACAGGCGTGTGCCACCACACCCAGCTGATGTTTTGCATTTTTTGTAGAGATGGGGTTTTGCCATGTTGCCCAGGCTGGTCTTGAACTCCTGAGCTCAGGGGATTCTCCCACTTTGACTTTGGCCTCTCAAAGTGTTGGAATTACAGCGTAAGCCACCATGCCCAGTCTGCATTTCATTTTCTATAGCTATTTTCTCTCTTTGGATCACAGAACCTTAGTTTCTTTTTGAGATGGTAACTTGTAGAACAGAAGAATGGCAACATGGTTTCAATAAGGTTAATAGACTCCCAATACTTTTATAGATAAGATAGAGGAATATAATTTGGGCGGCTGATTTGTAACCAACTCAATAACTCTATCCCAAGGCTGTAGGCCGTCATTCTGCATGGAGGACTCTGGCATGCTGTGAGGATTAGTTCAGGTATAAGAAATGCAGAAGGAAGGGTAGTGGAGTAGATAGAGCTCAATTTTGGGCATATATGTTGGAGGTTCAGGTTGAAATTTCCTTTATTAGTTGAATATATTGATTTGGGGACAGAGAGAAAGAGACAGAGAAGGGGTAAGAGGGAAGGGGGAGAGAAAGGGGAAGAGGAAGGTATCTAGTGATATAACAAACATTTATTAACTATAAACCAATTATGTAACAAGTGATATCTAAGCACTTTACATGTTGTAACTAATGAGACCCTGGCAACCATGGCAGGGTTATCTCATTACAATCTGCATTTCACAGATGAACTGAAATATGAGTGGTGAACTACTTTTCCCAAGCCCACACAACTGGTAGGTGGTAAGAACTGAGATACGAACCCTGCTTGAAGATAGGGATTTTTGGCCATTATCAGTAAGTAAGTGATTGCTGAAGTCATAGGCATGGCTGAGTTGCTCAGGTTGTGTGGATGAACTGAGGTACATCAATTCCTAGAGGACTCATGTGTTGACTTTAGAGGTACAGAAAAAATAAAGGCCACATTTTGGGAGACTGTGTTCATAGCCTTCAGTCCCCAAAGCTTGGAAAGTGTGATATAGAATGGGTAATAAGAAGAGCATGGCAGACACCTGGGAACGAAGTTTCAAGAAAGTGGGAATGCAGCTGACATCCAAGGACCAAAGCAAGCAGGAAGGTGCCAGAGACAGCAGCAGAACCATTTCAAAGCAAGGATGGGTGAGAAAGCAGATGGCAGTGGATGGTTGTGCACCTGAAAACTTTCAATGCAGGGTATTCTAGAAGCTTGACCATGAAGGGGAGGGAGAAAGGGTTGTGGCTAGCTACTTAGAGAACTGAAATGAAGAGAAGGGTTTTAATCTTTCAGTGAGAGAGGCTTGAGTGTATTTTAAATATCGAGTGGCAAATGGAGAAAGAAAAGGTGAAGATGCAAAAAAAAAAAAAATAAATAAAGAGGGTAATACTTGGTGAAAGGTTGTGGAGGGTGCAGGAACAGATGGACTCCTAAGCCCAGGTGCTGAGAACATCTTGAATAGAATTGCGTTCTGCTTTAGGATGGAGGAAGGAGGTAATGATGAATGTATGAGCACAGCTAAATGTATAGGTAGAATGCCCATGCTTCTGACAGCTAAAAGAAAAAAAAACAGAAATTAATATATAGGTAGAGGAGAAAACTTTATGCTTTTCATCAGGAGGAAATGGAGGCCCAGACAAGCTAACGAATTGGTGTACGGTCAGTCTCACAGCCCTTTCCTTTATAAATCACCCAGTCTTGGGTATTTCTTCATAGCAGCATGAGAATGGACTAATACAATAACACAGTAGGGTGCTGGTTATTTTCTATTAGGTTGGTGCAAAAGTAATTGCGGTTTTAGACTGAATTTTAAATCATTATTACTAGGCTCAAACACATCTTTATTAATCAAAATAGGAACCATTACAGTCAACACATTTTTGCCAACAAGAAATAAGTTTGTTTATTCCTGTAGAATAAAAATCTGCTTTGGGGCCGGGAACAGTGGCTCACGCCTGTAATCCCAGCACTTTGGGAGGCTGAGGCGGGCGGATCACAAGGTCAAGAGATCAAGACCATCCTGTCCAACATGGTGAAACCTCGTCTCTACTAAAAATACAAAAAATTAGCTGGGTGTGGTGGCATGCGCCTGTAGTCCCAGCTACTCGGGAGGCTGAGGCAGGAGAATTGCTTGAACCTGGGAGGTGGAGATTGCAGTGGGCCAAGCTCACACCACTGCACTCCAGCCTGACGACAGAGTGAGACTCTGTCACCAAAAAAAAAAAAAAAAAAAAAAAAAAGTGTGCTTCGGGATTTGATGAACTCTTGGAAAGCATTTTCTGCATCCTGCTCGTTGTGGAAGCATTTTCCCCACAAAAAGTTGTCAAGATGCTTGAAGAAGTGGTAGTCGGTTGGCGAAGGGTCAGGTGAATATGGTGGATGAGGCAAAACTCTGTAGCCTAATTCGTTCGACTTTTGAAGCGTTGGTTGTGTGATGTGCAGTGGGGCGTTGTTGTGGAGAAGAATTGGGCCCTTTCTGTTGACCAATGCTGGCTGCCGGTGCTGCAGGTTTTTGTGCATCTCATCGATTTGCTGAGCATACTTTTCAGATGTAATGGTTTCGCCAGGATTCAGAAAGCTGTAGTGGATCAGACCGGCAGCAGACCACCAAACAGGGACCATGACCTTTTGTTGGTTCAAGTTTGGCTTTGCAAAGTGCTTTGGAGCTGCTTCTCAGTCCATCCACTGAGCTGGTTGTCGCCGTTGTCTATAAAATCCACTTTTCATCGCACGTCACAATCCAATGAAGAAATGGTTCATTGTGCATAGAACAGGAGATCACACTTCAAAATGACGATTTTTAAAAATTTTTGCTTAGCTCATGAGGCACCCACTTATCTAGCTTTTTCACCTTTCCAATTTGCTTCAAATGCCAAATACCTGTAGAATGGCCGATGTTGAGTTCTTTGGCAAGTTGTAAGAGGATCAGCTTGGATGATTGCTCTCAATTAGTCAATGTCAACTTCTGATGGCCGGCCACTATGCTCCTCATCTTCAAGGCTCTCATCTCCTTTGCAAAATGTCTTGAACCATGACTGCACTGAATGTTCGTTTGCAGTTCCTGGGCCAAATGCATTGTTGATGTTGCGAGTTGTCTCTGTTGCTTTCTTGAATAAGAAAACCGCTTGAATTTGCTTTTTGTCTATCATTTCCATAGTCTCAAATAAATATAAAATAAACAGCAAATAATAAGTCATTAGCAAAAAAAAAAAACCCCACAAAGTGTGAAATGTGCATTAAAATGATGTATAACATAACCACATTTAAGAATGTATTCCAATATCAAATAGCAAATTTCAACAATGCAAAAACTGCAACTACCTTTGCACCAACCTAATACATGCTGTCTTCCTCCTCTTCCTCCATACTTCATGTCTGAAAAGGCTCAGTTATGCAGCATTCCTCAGGTTTCCTTGCCAGCTGGCTTTTGATTGGAAGTCCTTGTTAACAAAGAAGGAAGGAGCCTTCTACTAGAGAACATAGCTGTTAGGATGTTCTCATATGGCTGTAAATACCTGAGGCTAGATAATTTATAAAGAAAGAGGTTTAACTGGCTCATGGTTCTGCAAGTTGTATAGGAAGCATGATGCTGGGCTCAGCTCCTGGGGAGGCCCCAGGAAGCTTACAATCATGGTGGAAGGTGAAGGGAGCAGCAGGCACATCACAAGGCCAGAGCAGGAGCAAGAGTTAGGGCGCGAGGTGCCACACACGTTTAAACAACCAGATCTTGTGAGAATTCACTCACTGTTGTCAGGATAGTACCAAAGGAATGATACTGAACTATTCATGAGATATCTGCCCTCATGATCCAATCACTTCCCACCAAGTCCAACCTCCAACATTGGGGATTACATGTCAACAAGAGATTTGGGCAGGGACACACATCCAAACTATATCAATAGCCATAGTTCTATTAAATTGGAAGCTAAGACTCTTAGTTATTTGGGGCTTCTTTTGCCACTGTATGTACTACCAGATTACTAAGGGGAAATTTTGTCTCTGCCCTCTTCTCCCCACTATTATCTATCTTCTGCTGTGTTTTACCCCAGAAGGCTGATTCCTGTGGGTTATGTCACCCAATGGCTTCCACCAATAGAAGGTCCAGGCAGGAAATAGAGAAGTGGGAGAGGCGGAGATCTGTTTTCCCTACTCACTGCTTGCCCAAAGTGGAAGCTCTTATAGGGCTTGGGTGACACTTTCTTTACCTTGGCCTTTCTCTAGGTAGGTTCTGTGCGAAGCAGCCCCTGATACTGTGCCCACAGGAAGTTAGCTGGGGAGTGTTCATGGGATGACCACTTGGGGTGGGGGAGTGAGAGGATCAGGATTGGGCAGAGTGGGCTAGGATGGCCCTGTAGTTAGTTGTCCCAATTTGGGGCATGTGAACTGGATCTTCACACCTCTGCACAGACCAGTCATTGCATGAGGCTGCCCCAGGGAAAGGGGGCATGCTTTTGGGTGAGGAAGTTCCCCTTAGGCAAGGACAGGTCCCAGAGAAAAATTTAGTTGAGACCTGTTGGTCCTGGCACTTCGAACTGCTAGTAGATGAGTACTCCATTCCTGGGGTGGGGAATCGAGGTGGTGCTCCCTTCTACCCCTTTGAACCAAGGATTCATAAAGGTTTCCTGCTCTTGCTAGTTCCTGAGTGCCGCAGCACCTCTGGTTTTTGTTTCTTCATTAAGTTCTCTTAGTTGAACCCTCTGAGTTGATTTGTTTCTTTTCAGGGCCCTAATATAGATAATAATAAATTATATAAATATATAAATAGAAACACTTAAATGTTCAAAAAGTTTAGTAGTCTAGAATAGGGAGACTTGATCTGGCCTGGGAGGGGAGGGCCAAGGAAGTGACATCTGAACCAAAATCTGAAAAGCTGACTGAACAAAGGAGAGAGAGAAGGGAGAATGGAGGAGGCATTGAATCCATATGGCCTGGATCACAAGGTGGGGGAGGCAGTACAGGAGGAGGGAGACAGGAAATCGGCTAGAGAGAAAGGTAGGGACAACACTCTCTGGGCTTTGTGGACCTCATTTTTGTTAATCCAAAAAGTAATGGAAAAGCTTTACAGATTTTTGAGCTGAGGGAGGGGGACACAATCAGATAAGCATTTTAAGAAGATCTCTCTAGCTAATCAAAGACCAGTGTTATTTTTAATTTGGTGAGAAATTACCACTTGCCTATGTCCGTTAGAAGCAGAAAAGTCTCTTTTTGGTTTACTAGTCTCCAGACTGGCTGGACCGAGGTTTCTACCACTTGGCTAATCCTGCATATAAACCACAGTATTTCATGGACAGAAGACTGCTACACGCTATACCCCACGGTGCCTGTTGCATCTTTTTCGCATCATGGCAATTTTTTTTTCCCTAGCAGGTAAGATAATACAAAAAATGTATCAATCATTAGACTTTTAATTCAGGAACAATTTGTACTATATATCAAAAAGTTGGGAAATAATATAGTCTATCTGTACATTCCACTTGTTTTTAGTGTCTTTAAAAAACACACAAATGTCCACAATTTTTGGTCTTGGAATTGATTTAATAGAATTTCCCTTTAGATATTAATGAAAAACAGAATGGAGAGTGTTTCTCATAATCACACACACACACACACACACACACACACACACACAGCTTAGGCCCCCAGGGCTCCTTTCTTCTTTCTCAGCTCTTGATGACTATTGAGCAGAGATGAACAGTCATGGGACAGGGCCCAACTGCTTAACTTAGGAAGTGACATTAAATTCTTCTTAGAAGAAGTTGGCACAATGTTTTTGTTCTGTTTTATATATTATTTAATGGGATGTTAGATGGGGAGTTGTGACTGATGCATCAAGAAATGACAGATACCAAAATCACTTACGAAATTTCAAAGTAAATAGCTGAGGACTGCTTAGATGCTCAATCACACAGGCTACAAAAGACTCAAGTGACTGCAGATGGAAGAGGGCTTTAGAGGATTTATTTGGACAGGGCTGTGCTGAGAGTCCCACCCTCACCCCACAATGGGCGGGGGCACTGGCATCGAACACCAAGCTGAGTGAGAAGGGCTCCTCCAGGCCTCGCAGGGAGCTTGCTGGCTTCTCCTGGCTCACAGCAGACTGGGCCCGACTCCCATCGGAGGAAGGCCAGCATCCTAGGGCAGCCAGTGGAGGGCTGGCAGAGGGCTGTGCCTGGGAGGTCACTGTGCTATCTTCCAACCACACTGTGTGAGTCTCAGATACCATATGTGGAATCTGCATCAGGAAGGTCAGCTTGAGGTCATTTTAAAAGGGATTCTTCGGAAAAAGTCTCACTGAAGGGTTGGCAGGACCCTGATGGTAAGAGTCTGCATGGAGGGGACAGAAGGAAGACCAAGGTTGGGGTAGAATAAGCAGCTAGAGAAAATTCATTGCCAGCGTCAGGAAGCATGGCCAGACATTCCCAGTGAGGGCTCACAACAGTGTTCACGAAAGAGTCACTTTCAAATACCCACCAAGCCCAGCGTGGGTGACCCATTCCACCAGAGGTCCAGTTCAGTACATGCCTTACTGCCGGCCTCCACCCCTCTCTTGCCTGCTAGCAAGTGGGCTGTGGGAGGGTGACATCGGGGAGGAACAAAGCTCCTTGCCCGCACTTCTGTCCATAGGAGACCCTGTTGGGGAAGGGGACAAGATTTGAATTACTGAATTAAGAGCAGGGTTTTTCCTCTTAAAGTAACAGGATTTTCTATTACCTGAGAGAATAAAAAAGTTATAGGACTGCCTGAGTTTCATTCTGTGGAAGAGGAAGAACTATCCTCATGGAACAGATTATTAACAGCAGAAGACTAAAAATTCAGTTGCTTTTATGGATACACCCATGAGTCCTGTTAATTCCATGTTCTGGTTATGTATAGAGTTTACATTCCACTTCTGGAGTAGTGAAATCATTCATTTTATAAAAAAAATTCTATTGATATTGCCCCAGGATTACAAATTTACAAAAATATTCTTGCTCTCTTTTTATTAGTTTATGTGGCTAAATCATAATTCTTTTCAAACCAATGGGAAAGTCTCAAGGGAATAGAAGAGGGAATAAACTAAAGAACAATGCTGGGCCGGGTGCTGTGGCTCACGCTTGTAATCCCAGCACTTTGAGAAGCTGAGGTGGGTGGATCACCTGAGGTCAGGAGTTCAACACCAGCCGGGCCAACATGGTGAAATCCATCTCTACTAAAAATACAAAATTAGCTGGGCGTGGTGGCAGGCACCTGTAATCCCAGCTACACGGGAGGCTGAGGCAGGAGAATCGCTTGAACCCAGGAGGCGGAGGTTGCAGTGAGCCAAGATCCTGCCATTGCACTCCAGCCTGGGTGACAGAGCGAGACTCCATCTCAAAACAAAAAACAAAAAACAAAAAACCCACAATAGACTGTTAAAGCAATCAGGAAGTAAATGTTACACCTAAGGGACTTGTATCTAGAATATTCAAGGATCTATTACATCTTGATAAGAAATGGACAAAAATTTGATTTAATAATGGCCAAGAATCTGAACAGACATTTCTACAATGTTATCTTTTTCCAAAGAAGATAAACAGGTAGCTGATAAAATCATGAAAAGATGCTCATTATCACTAGCTATCAGGAAAATGCAAATCGAATCCACAATGAGGTATTATACCCACTAGAATGGCTGTAATAAAAAAGACATAAAAATTAGTGTTGCCGAGGATGTGAAGAAACTGGAACCCTCATACATTGCTGGCTGGGAGGTAAAATGGTGCAGTCACTTCGGAAAACAGATTGGCACCATGACTCATCAATTCCACTCCTCGGTATGTACCCAAGAGAAATGAAAACACACGTTAACACAAAAACTTGTACACACATGTTCACAGCAGCATTAATCATAATAGCCAAAAAGTGGACACCCAAATGTCCATTAACTGATGAATGGATAAACAAAATGTGGCATATCCAAACAATGGGATATTATGCAGCCTTAAAAAAAGAATCAAAACTGATCCATGCTACTCCATGGATAAACTTTGAAAACATCACACTAAGTGAAAGAAGCCAGTCACAAACAATCACACATGTATGATTTCATTGATATGAAACCTCTACAATGGGCAAATCCATAGACACATGAGTGGTTGCAATTGGCTAGTGATGGTTTAGGAGGGAGGGAACTGAGTACTAAAGAGAATTGTTTTTTTGAGACTGGTGTGATTAAAATGTTCTAAAAGTGATTATGGTGATGTTTGCACAACATTGTAAATATACTAAAAAGCATTGAGTTATACACTTTAAATAGGCAAATTATATTGTATGTAATTTTTTTTTTTTTTTGAGACAGAGTCTGGCTCTGTTGCCCAGGCTGGAGTGCAACGGCATGATCTCGGCTCACTGCAACCTCTGCCTCCCGGGTTCAAGCGATTCTCCTGCCTCAGCCTCCAGAGTAGCTGGGATTACAGGCCCCCACCACCACGCCCGGCCAATTGTTGTATTTTTAGTAGAGACGGGGTTTCACCATGTTGGCCAGGCTGGTCTCAAGCTCCTGACCTCAGGCGATCCGCCCTCCTCGGCCTCCCAAAGTGCTGGGATTACAGGCGTGAGCCACGGCGCCCGGCCATATTGTATATAATTTAAAAATGTTATGCATGGTCCACTACACGAGAGTCTCATGATGGCAGGGACAGAGCCAGCTTTGCACATTACCTTATCTCTAGCCAGTGCCCAACACACAGGCACTCAACTAGTATTTCTTGAGTAAGCAGCATGCTTTTATACCGTTCCTGATGTTTATCCAGTGCTTCATAAATTGCAAAGCATGTTTTTTCACAGCAGCCGTTCCTTTGAGCCTCATAACAACCCTGAAGGTGGTCAGAGTAGGTGATACGAAATAGTTACTGGCCCACATTGTAAAAAATGAGGCGCTGTACAACAGGATAAAGACCAAAACACCACCACCACCACCACCAACACCATAACCCGTATCTGTCTAATAAGTTTTATTTGGAGGAGCTCTTTCCCAGGCCCATTTTTCTCCCACTGCTCCTGTCCCCCAGAGAGGGAACGCGCTTCTCATTACAATCAGCGCTGCTCTGGGAGACCGACTCCCAAAATGCCGTAAAACAGAGGAGCAACCAGGGTCAACTGGAAAGCAGAAACCAAAGAACCCAGATTCCTTTTCTGAGCAAACACAGCGATGGGCCAGTGGGATTTTAGCTTGGGGATATTGGACCCAGTCTTCTCAAAAACTTCCTACCAGAAGGTTTGTGTTAGCGGGTGTCCCATGACCACGATCTCAATAGCATGTGGCTTACATATCTTCCAGGCTCGAATTCAGGGTTCTAGGTTCTAGTCCTCCACCCCTAACTAACATGCTTGGTGGAAGAAACTCAGATTAGTCACATTTCAGCTTGGACCTTTCCAGCTGTAGTAGCAGGCAGCCACAGGGGGAGTCACCTTGCTGAAAAAAACTCACTGGACGCCCCCTGAAAAGAGGTCTTGAGTTGTTCCGAGTCGGACGCTGACTCCTAGTCGGCTACAGAACCCTTGGCCACCGGACATTTAAAGACGTTCTATTTGAGGTCCACCCGGGCGGCCCAGAAGTGTTGGCCACCTTCCAGAAGGGAAGTAGGAGAGAGCAGGGGGACCCCGAGGGGCCCGGGGCGTTCCCCGCGGGGCGGGGCGCTCCTGACTGCGGAGCGCCGTGGGCAGGGGCGCAGGTGAGCAGAGCGAGCGGAGCTGGCCGCGGCCGTCCTGGCGCCTCCGCCCTCCCGGCGCCCGCACTGCGCTGCACCCCGGCCCGGGGGGCGGGCGAGGGCTCTGCCCCACCGCCCGGGGGCTGCCAAGGGGAGTTGGGGCGGCGACGTGGGCGTCCCGGGACTGTGCGCCCGCACCCGCCCCGACAGGGTGCGCTGAGGCGCCGGGGCCGCCACTGGCTGCGGGCGCTGGGCGCGGCAGCCGCGGGAGCCGCAGGTGGTTCCCGGGCCGGCCCTTTTCTCCTCCCCCTTTCCTTTCTTTCGCCTCCCCTCCCTCTCGCCCGGTGTCGGCGGCACTTCCCTCGCTTCCTCCTCCCTCTCCAATCCGGAGGGAGGGAAGGAGCAGCCGGCGCTTTCCTGCCCGCCTGCAAACTTCAGCGGGACTCGCGGCTCCCCTCGCCGCCGCGGCCGCCGCCGCCCAGAGCTGCCCCTGGAACTTCCTCTCGCCGCGCGGCCCGCGAAGCCCTGCGGGTGGAGGAACGCCGCCGGGCGCCAGGCAGCCACGGCTCGGACCCCATTCCTGCCCCGCGCCGCCCGGGTGCCCGCTCGCCCGCGCGCCCGTCCGTCCGTCCGTCCTTCCTGCCCGCCCGGCCTCTCCCCTGCGGGCAGGGGCCGCCAGGCTTCCCTCGGCGCCCCGCCGCTGCCCGGGACTTCCTTTGTGTTGGATGCAGGCTGGCGCCCCGCGCCGACGGGAGGCAGACTGAGGGATCCCGCGCCGCCGGCCCGCCCCCGCCATGCCCTTCCACCAGAGGACCCTGGAGCCCGCGCGGCTGCGCCGGCCCGAGGCGGCGGGGGCCGGGGCTGCGGGCGCGCCACTCTTCCGCTCGCTGGAGCAGGTCAGCTCGCATGCCCTGGGCTGCCTGCTGGCGCAGCTGGCCGACCTGTCGCGCTGCGCCGGGGACATCTTCGGCGAGCTCGAGGGCCAGGCGGCCGCGCTGGGCCACCGCACCGCCGCGCTGCACCGCCGCCTCGACGCCCTGCAAGCCGCCGCTGCGCGCCTGGACCACCGCCGAGTGAAAATCCGTGAGTGGCCGGCGGGCCGGGGGAGGGGAACCGGCGGGGGAGGCACCCGGAGAGCTGCTCCCGCCCGCCCCCTGGCGGCCCTGGGTCGGCGCGGGGGCCGCGGAGCCCCGCGATGTCGGGGTCTCCAGTGGGGACTGCCGGACCCCAGCGGGAGGCTGGGCAGGTGGCAGGGGCGCAGAGCGCTCTGTGACTTTCGGACTCCTGGAGGGTCTTGGCTACCTCGAGAGAGTGGGCGCGGAGGGTGGGAATTGGACAGTCCCCTTGTCTGCTCCTTCTGTCTGTCTGTGTCTGTCTGTTTGGGAGACCCCGGGGCGCTGTAGACAGAGGAGAGCCAAGTTCGTGGGAAAACTGTCACAGGCAGGTAGCCTGTTGGAAAAGCCAGGGGAGAATATAAATTTGGGCATATAGTAGTTACAGTTTTGGAGACTTCAGGACGATCCGTTTGTAAAACCCTGGGGATCTCGGCGAGCGTTGGGGCTGCTTGCCACCTCTCTTCCCGCCGCCTACCTGTGTTCTTACCGACAAGCAAAACTATGCAGACTTTAAGGGTTTTCCCATTTGGCGCAGAATTTTCTTTCTTCTCCCAGACTGACCCACCAGCTCTTTGTGATTCAGAAGACGTTGACCTTGAGTTCAGGCTCTGAATCCCATTCATCTTTGTCCGGCTTCCTCCAACCCTGAAAGTCAAGTCTATGTCCTGATATAGTGATCTCTCCGGTGATCCATTTCATTTCAGCAGCTTAACTGGCTCCGGTGAATGAAGCAACTGGAATTTCCTGCTGGCCCAAAGCAGAGAAACTTTCAGTGTGATGTCTCTGTGGTTTCTCCCTTTTAAGTACGTGAACTTGGTCATAATCCTAAGTGTAAAGAATAAATTGGAGATGGTTGATGGATTGCTGGGTGGGAGGGGAGATGTTGATGTAACACACGCCTAGATTTCAGCAGCTCTGGATGAAATAGTTTTTTCTCCTAGAATCACTTCATATGCAATCTCGAATAGCTCGTTTTCCAGCTAGCTAGAAAAACTTAGCTATATTTTAACTACCTTACAGCCTAAGAGTTCAAAATTTTCAATTATTTAATTTCAGTGAGATTGCTTGCTATAATACATCTTTCTCCAAGTTGTATAATTAATTCGTGGCAGTTTTACATTTTTGCGTTCATCTCTTTGATTGTGCCGTCAACACATTCATATGAATTGTGGACAGTTCCCAACCTGGGAGAGCGTCCCCCTCCAAGAAAAAAAAATCAGTGGGGAGGAATCAAAGTGATCTCATAAGGTTGTTGACATAATCAGAATATATCTACTTAATGTGAGTGATGACTTCATGCATATGGTAGGATACACTGTCCTAGTAGGATGTCATGGTCTATGCGGCAATCACGAGTTGCTTCTATGCGTTTTCTGTCTAGGGTGTAGGTACGTGGGAGAACCAGAATTTTACCCTTGACAAAGAATGTGATGAGGGAGATCTGATTGATAGGTGAACTGATCTATTGTGGGAATTAAAAAACAAGAGGAAACTCCCTGAAGGTCAAGAACTCCTTCCTTTACTAGTTTGGTTTTACATTTAAATGTATCACTTTTCTCTGTTCTTTAGTACATATGCCCCAATAGGCTACTGTCCATAGCCAGAAATCCCCCAAATTCTCCATATTAACTAAGGTTGTTCTAATTACAGTAACTGAAATAACTCTTTTCAAAACTTTTCACAAGTTTGTTTGAATCTTAAGTGGTTGTGATTTCATACCTGTCTTCCAGGCTGGAGTGCTGTGGTGCAATCTCAGCTCACTGCACCCTCCGCCTCCTGGGTTCAAGCAATCCTCCTGCCTCAGCCTCTAGAGTACCTGGGATTACAGGCGCCCGCCACCACGCCCGGCTAATTTTTGTATTTTTAGTAGAGACAGGGTTTCGCCATGTTTGTCAGGCTGGTCTTTAACTCCCAACCTCAGGCGATCCACCTGCCTCGACCTCCCAAAGTGCTGGGATTACAGGTGTGAGCTACCACACGTGGCCCCATTTTTTTTTTTTTAATAATCATGCAAGAAGGCTTTTTATTGAATATAATTATGCCTGAGTATAAATGTACATGTAGAGAAGAAAGCTGACTATCAAGACATTAATTTTTGTGGTTTCTTTCACCTTCACACACTTTGCTTTTTTATGTGCTTAAAAGCAGTGAAATGCCTATGCATTACCATCTGTTAGGATTCTTTTAAAACAATGCCTCAAACCTTGTTTCTGTGTAAAAACTACAGTTTGAAGTTGTTCTGCCATTTTAGGCAGGTCTTCAGAATATCATACTCCATTAGTATGGATGGCTAGACTTTTAGACTTGGAATTGACCGTAAAGGCCATCCATTTCGTGAATTCTTACCCAGAGAGGAAATCCAGTCCAACAGCATTGCAGTTAATTCACCCCAGGTTAGGCTGTGGGTAATGACACATCCGGGCCTGAAGCCCAAACCTTCTGATTGTCTCGCCTGTCGTCCCACTGCCTGTGTTCCTTCCCTTTAGAAGAGTGTGGAGCCAGGCACAGTGGCTCATGCCTGTAATCCCAGCACTTTGGGAGACCAAGGTGGGCGGATCATTTGAGGCTAGGAGTTCAAGATCAGCCTGGCCAACATGGCGAAACCCCGTCTCTACCAAAAATACAAAAATTAGCGAGACTGTCTCAAAAAAAAAAAAGGTGTGGAAATGGGGAGCAAAGTTTAGATATGTTCCTTAAACAGTCCTAAGGATAACTGTGACCGTTAATTCCACCCTTCTTGTCAGATAAACCATTTAATGAGTCTCCCCAGGAGCAATTAACAGAATCCAGCAGTTTACCAAAAGCCTCTAGCAGTTGGGGACAGCATATTTCAGTGACCAATAATAGCTTTCTACCATAAGAAAGGATGTGAGAATGTCAGTGGAACAATTTAAAAAAATGTATAAACACTCTTTGCAATACAGAGACAGTATTTTAGTCCTGTGGGCTGGCCCTGCTGGCCTCAATGATCCTGAGAGGTATTTCATCAAGTTTGCCATTCCTCAAAATCTCATGGGTAGAAAGTTATCCAAAATAATTTTTTGTCATGCCTTGGGGAGAATGCATGTTATTATTCTGTTCATTGAAGACTCCTACTTTCTTTCCCTGACACCCCCAGGTTGAGGGGCTGTTCCCATGGCATTGGTTCACCTCGATCACCACATTTACCAAGGGGACTTCTGCACCCCTCTGCCAGACAGCAGGACCTTTGAGGTCCAGGATGGCCGAGTCTTTGTTTTTCTAGAGCTTAGAACAATGCCTGGATGTGATAGCTCAATAGATGTTTGAATTGAATTAATACTTAGTGACTTAGTGCTTACTGTCAGGAAGAATAACTATAAAAACCTTAGGGAGGAAGGAGGATGGATCTTTTGAGGCAGGTGGATCAGTTGAGGCCAGGAGCTCAAGACTAGCCTGGCCAATATGTTGAAACCCCGTCCCTACTAAAAATACAGTACTAAATACAATACTAAGTACAAGTACAAAAATACAATACTAAAAATACAATACTGCTACCAATGTAAGTGATCGAGACAATTACTTTACAAAAATAAAAATGTAAACTTTCTGCCTTTAATGTTTAGTGCTTAACCACCAATCTCTGCTCCTGTCTGTAAAAGTCAGACTTCATTAATTTTGCTGACACAGTAAGTTCTCATGGAAAATAGTGACAACAGCCAGCAATGTGAATAGTTACATCTTGGCTCTGTAAATATCAAAACAGACTTTGCTAAGCAGAAATCAATAGACACTCGATCAAATAGTCTGTTTCTATTTTTTTATTTTTATTTTAATTTTTTTGAGATGGAGCCTTACTCTGTCGCCCAGGATGGAGTGCAGTGGCGTGATCTCAGCTCACTGCAACCTCTGCCTCCCGGGTTCAAGCAATTCCCTGCCTCATCCTCCTGAGTAGCTGGGATTACAGATGCCCACCACCATGCCTGGCTAATTTTTGTATTTTTAGTAGAGATGGGGTTTCACCATCTTGACCAGGCTGGTCTTGAACTCCTGACCTCGTGATCCACCCGCCTCGGCCTCCCAAAGTGCTGAGATTACAGGCGTGAGCCACTGTGCCTGGCCCCTGTTTTTATTTTTAAGCCCTGTGTGATTGGGTTTTCTTTCTCTTTAAAAATAGTTTTGTTGAAATAAAATTTACACACCATACAATTCACCCACTTAAAGCATACTGTTTGGCCGGGTGGAGTGGCTCACACCTGTAATTACAGTACTTTGGGAGGCCAAGGTGGGCCGATCACTTGAGGCCAGGAGTTCGAGACCAGCCTGGCCAACATGGCGAAACTCTGTCTCTACTAAAAATACAAAAATTAGCTGGGCATAGGGGCACATGCCTGTAATCTCAGCTACTTGGGAGGCTGAGGCATGAGAATGACTTGAACCCAGGAGGTGGATATTGTAGTGACCCGAGATGGCGCCACTGCACCCCAGCCTGGGAGATAGAGCAAGACTCTGTGTCCCCAAAAAAAAAAAGTGTACAATTTAGGGGTTTTTAGTGTATTCACAGAGTTGTGCAACCATTACCACAATTTTAGAACATTTTTATCACCCCAAAAGAAACCCCATACTCATAACTAGTTATTCCCCATTTCCTGTCAACCCTCCCAT
The DNA here is from genome assembly GCF_000001405.40 of Homo sapiens. Classification (NCBI taxonomy): domain Eukaryota; kingdom Metazoa; phylum Chordata; class Mammalia; order Primates; family Hominidae; genus Homo; species Homo sapiens. Next base: position 138,687,820 of record NC_000006.12, on the reverse strand, counting down.
TCCTAGGCAACCACTGATCTACTTTCTGCCTCTATAGATTTGACTTTTCTGGACATTTCATACAGATGGAATCATGTGCCTGGCTTTTTTTACTTAGCACAGTGAACTTTTCGAAGTTCATAATTTGTTTCTTTTTATAATTAAGACTTTTATGATTGAAAAAGTATCATTCATATTTATTACTTGATGAAAAACCTTGTGAGATAGGAGGGAAGGCCAGGTTATATTATACACACTTATTACTTTTTAATTGATACATAATAATTGTACATATTTAACATTGTACATTTGCAAATACAGTCTTTGCATAAACAGGACTGAGAATTTGGCAGACACAGTAGGCTCATAGTTCTGAGGAGTATTTTAGGTGTTGAGATGCATTCTCATACCTCACAACAGACTGTCCCCTCACCTAACCAGAGGGTTGGCTGGTCCTGATGTCAGAATATCTTTGCTTCTTCCTCAGAACGCAAGGCACTTGTCAGAGTTCTAAAGACAGAGTGTTCACTGCACTTCGTCTTCTTCTTCTTTTTTTTTTTTTAATTTAAAAAGAGATGAGGTTTCCATACGTTGTGCAGGCTGGTCTGGAACTCCTGGGCTCAAGCGATCCTCCCTCCTTGGCCTCCCAAAAGAGCTGGGATTACTGGTGTGAGCCACCGTGTCTGACTGACTGCATAAGAATAGGTTGTATGGCTGTTTTTGTGTCTGACTACTCATAAATGTTTGGCGAAATTGGCATAAGATTTGCTTTCATTGACACATACCACATGCTAGAGAGGATGTTGGTGGCTGTGTGGCCCGCACCCCCCTCTAATCCCAGTCCCTCAATTTATTAAGAGAAACTGACAGTAGCTGAGTGGTCAGATTGCACCATCAGGTTAAGGAGGCGAGGTGATTCCTATACTTGACTAACTTTAAGAACTGCTTGGAACTTTCGTTAAAATTAGAGATTCCCAGACCCTTCCAAAGCCCTGTTGAGCCAGAGTCTCCAGTATGTTTAACAATGCCATGCTGTCCTTTGGCCAGGCAAATTGAGAAGCACTGCAATCGTCTAGAAAGCTCATTGGATTAGGAATTGGGAGACCTGAGCTTGGCTTCACCTCTGCCATTTTCTAACACAGATTTTGAGCAATTTATTCAACACCTCAAGGCCTTAGTTTTCATATCTGTAAACAGAGACCTTGACAAAAATAATCTCTACTGGCCTTTCCAATTTTGGCGTTTTGTGATTCTACTGAGGGATTTAAAAAGTTTTAATTTATTTTGACAAAATAAATAGGAAAATTAAAGTTGCATGTATTTATGGGAAACAACTATTTTATTTTATTATTATTTTTTTAGACAGGATCTGGCTGTTGCCCAGGCTGGAGTTCAATGGCTCAAATGATCCTCCCACCTCAGCCTCGCTAGTAGCCTGGACTATAGGCACATGCCACCATGCCAGGCTAATTTTTACATTTTTAATAGAGACAGGGTTTTACTGTGTTGCCCAGGCTGGTTTCAAACTCCTGGGCTCAAGCATCTGCCCGTTTTGGCCTCCCAAAATGCTAGGATTCCAGGTGTGAGCCACTGTGCCCCACCAACATGATGTTTATATATTGTGGCATGGGTTAATCAAGCTAATTAACATATAGGCATTATCTCACATACTCTTTTTTTTTTGGTAAGAACACTTACAAGTATGCAATACATGTTATTAGCTATGGTCACCATGTTGATTATAGATCTCTTGAACTTATTCCTCTTAACAGAAATTTTGTATCTTTTGACCAATATCTCTCCAATACCTTCTTCCTACAGCCCTTGGTAACCATCATTGTACTCTCTGCTTCTATGAGTTTCATTTTGACTATTTGATAATACTATATGAAGTGGATACCCTTATTTCTGTGTGACAGATGATATAGCTAAGGCACAAATAATTTGTTTGCCCATGTTGATAGCTGGTAAGCAATGGAGCTGGGCTTTGAATCCAGACAGGGTTCAAGTTCAGATGAATTTGTAAGTACAACTTTGATAAATAATCTCTTTGATTCTTTTGATGAGGGATTAAAAAAAAAACTTTGTGTCTGAAATAAACTCTTCATGACTCTATGGACTCTTTACATTAAAAAATTATTTATTTATTTATTTTCAGAAATTGATGTCTCACTGTGTTGCTTAGGCTCATCTCAAACTCTGGCCTCAAGCAATCCTCCCACCTTGGCCTCTCAAAGTACTGGGATTATAGGGGTAAGCCAGCACACCCAGCCTGTATGGGCTCTTTTAGCTAATATTTTATTCACATAGAGTGCGTGGATCGTCACATGTTGAGGGATTAGTCACTTGCCAAGCAGATCAGGCAGGTACTTGTTTCTAATTTGTGTATATTCTGCCCACAATACATTCATAGCTTCCTCCTCAGCTTTAAAAAGTGCAATGTCATTATGGAAAGAGAATTATGTTTAAATGCATTTGCCAAATATTCAGATTTCTAGGAGAGTTATTTTTTGAATTATGAGAGTATATCCTTTAAATCAAAACATCAGTCTCCTCATTGACTCTTGGGTATTGGGAAAATGATAACCTGCTTAAAAAGCTACCTACATTTAGGTTGAAATTATTTATCTAGCCGTAATCTAGTTTTCTGCTATATTAAAGAAAACCCTAATATTAACATTTTAGCTGTATATATTTTAAAATCGAGAATAGCAAATGAAAAAATTTAACAAAAGAGAAACATTTGAGTTTCTTAATATTTTGGGGAGAAAATTCAGAAACAAAACTAATGCAATATTTGCCTCTGGCAGTCATTTTATTATGTTTAAAAAACCAAGTTTTTCCAGCAGTGAAGGTGTAAAAAGAAAAAAAAAATCGTTATAAGTATAAAATAAAATGACTTGCACCTAACTAGGCCCCTAGTAACTTACTTAATTCTGTTTCTCCTCAAATTGGTTTCTATCCTGGAATGAATGACTTCTGCAGGAACTGAAGTTCAGATGCAGCAGGAGGGTACTGACCGCCATCTTGTTCCACATGCCGGTTTCATTTGTGGTCTGCACTTGTCACAGTGTGCACTTCAGCTGCACTTTGGGCAAAGGTAGAAGAGCTGGAGCTTCTGTGTTTGACTGAGGAACTCTCTGAGAAAAGGAGCTTACAGGCCCCCCATGTTTGTTTGTTTGTTTGTTTGTTTTTCTGAGACGGAGTCTCACTCTGTTGCCCAGGCTAGAATGCAGTGGCGCGATCTTGGCTCACTGCAACCTCTGCCTCCCGGGTTCAAGTGATTCTTCTGCCTCAGCCTTCTGAGTAGCTGGGATTACAGGCGCACGCCACCACGCCCAGCTAATTTTGTATTTTTAGTAGAGATGGGGTTTTGCCATGTTGGCCAGGCTGGTCTTGAACTCCTGACCTTGTGATCCGCCCGCCTTGGCCTCCCAAAGTGCTGGGATTACAGGCTTGAGTCACCGCGCCCACAGGCCTCCCCCTTTTTTTGGACAAATGATGTGTCTATGAAAGCCTTTGGCATTATTCAAACAAAATATGTCATTACTGTTACCAATATCAAGGCAGTAGCATAATTCTGCTTTCTGATGTCAGACTGTCTTTGCAGGGATTTTTTTTTTTTTTTTTGAGAGGGAGTCTTGCTCTGTCTCCCAGGCTGGAGTGCAGTGGTGAGATCTCGGCTCACTGCAACCTCTGCCTCCTGGGTTCAAGTAATTATCCTGCCTCAGCCTCCCGAGTAGCTGGGACTACAGGTGGGCACCACCATGCCCAGCTGATTTTTTGTATTTTTAGTAGAGATGGGGTTTCACCATGTTGGCCAGGCTGGTCTCAAACTGCTGGCCTCAAGTGATCTGCTCGCCTTGGCCTCCCAAAATGCTAGGATTACAGGCATGAGCCACTGTGCCCAGTGCTTTGCAGGGGTTTTGTATTGCCTGATGATGCTGTCGACGAATGCTGGACATTGGCCATACGCCAAACACCTTAATATGTACAATGGCTCTGTGAGATGGATATTATTATTATTTCTGTGTGACAGTGATACAGTGAAGGCACAAATAACTTGTTTGCCCACATTCACAGCTGGTAAGCAATGGAGCTAGGCTTTGAACCAGGCCAGGGCTGTCTCCAGGATTAGTCCGCCCAAACATCGCGTGGCAGTGTCTCTCAGTTACCTGATCTAACTTCAAATTATGACCTTCCCATACTCAGATGAGGCCAGGAAGATACAGTGAAAACCTGTCAAATATCTGAGGAAAAAACAAGAAGGCTTTTGGGCTTTTCCCTTTTCCTTCTCTTTGTTTAGAAACCTCTCAAACTACTAGCAGATGGCCAAGAAATTTGAGACACGCATCAAAAGTACTTACTTAGCACAGCGCCTGGCACATAGCTAACATTTATTTAACAGTTGCTGCTGTTGTTTTGGTGACATTGAAGGCTGAGTTAGCATGTGTGTGCGTCTGTGTCCCTGTATCGCCACAGATGGCCCAGTCTGCAGGAGGCCGTGCCACTGAAGCCTGGAAGATGAAAGCTGACCACGGCTACATGAGAGCTGGTGTCAGAGATAAACACAAAAATACCTCTGGTTGGAAAACCAGAGAGTTCTGCACAGGCATGTGAAAGTATATGTGGCTCCCGAGAGCAGTGTGTGGAGGGCTGTTGCTTTCTGTCTGCTTCACTGGGGCCGGGGAAGCCAGGCCTGTTTCCGGGGCCTTTTTATGGACATGGACATGGGCTTGCTTTCACAGAGCCCTCTCGCCCCCATTTCCTCCTGCCGTGGGAACTGGAGGGCCGCTCAGCTCCCACCTCGCTTCCTAGCTATGGGAGAGCTGTCGCTTGTGCCTCACTTGGCCTGGGGTTGGCTATCCAAGCCCCCAATGTCACGTTTTCACCCGGAACTTGACGGGCTCAGCCTGCACCTCGGCTTTCCTCGGGCATCTTGGAACGTGCAGCAGCTGTTCATCTCCGGGTTACCCACACTTTCTGAATCATCGGAGTCACTGGGAGCTTGGTGAAAAACACCCCCAGGTGGCCCCGCCCCTGGAGATTCTGAGTCAGCGCAGCCGGGTGAGGCCAGGAACAGACCTCCCTAGCAAGGACCCCCAGGTGATTCCAATGAGGCGAATTTGGGAAACACCCATCTAGGCCGTGTGTGAGGCATCTTGTTTATTCAGGGCGGCAGGACATTCATCCATTCATCCATTCCTGAACTGTATTTTGAGTTATTCTGTTAGTGCTAAGTGGTGAGGATTACACAGGGTCCTTCCTTGAAGTACTTGACAGTTTCATGTGGATGGTTAGATATATAACTAAATAATAAGGAATAGAATGACCATTTATAACATTGTTTCTGGAAGAAAATCTGTTCTGAATTCCAAATCGCCAATTTAAATTGCATTTTGAGACTACATCAAACTTAGAAAAGCTGAATGTAAGTTTCTGGGATGATGGCACTCCTACACATATAAAATAATGATTTCAAATGTTTACAGCATATTTTATCTAAAAATTAAACTCTGAGAAACAAATATAAACCCTTCTGGAATAATTTTATTTTTCCTTTGGGATGGTGGAAATTTTCTTCTGTTTTATTTTCACTTACCCTTTTGATTGGTTTCATAAGACATTTCCACCCATGTAGAAAAGCAGTTACCAGCCTGGCCAACATGGTGAAACCCCATATCTACTAAAAATACAAAAATTAACTAGGCTTGGTAGCAGGTGCCTGTAATCTCGGGAGGTTGAGGCAGGAGTATTGCTTGAACCTGGGAGGTGGAGGTTGCAGTGAGCCAAGATCACGCCACTGCACTCTAGCCTGGGCGACAAGATCAAAACTCCGTCTCAGAAAAAAAAAAAAAGAAAAGCGGTATCTTACTTTGGAAGGATAGACAATGGTTTTAGATTATTCCTGTAGGGAAATCCTTTGTTATACTTTACTTCCCCTGCACTCCCTGTTATGATTAAAAATTGTTAAAGGTGTTATCAGTAATATGCAGAGGGCTGTGTAGTAACTAGCTAATTTAAATTACAATAACACATGGTGAAATATGAGGGCTTTCTGCATGACAGCATTACACATCTGATAAAATGTTCTGAGGACTCAGAGACCACGATGTGTAAAAAAAAAGGAAATAGAATTAAGTGAGGGTATGTTATGCATAATCCAATTATACCTGATTATGTTGGCATCTGAGAACTGCTGTTGAGGTGCACTGTGGTTTCTCAGCTGATGGTCTTGCTGCTGGGACCACCATCCAGGCAAGGGCACTAGCCTGCTTCTCCCAGGATATTCCAGGTGTGCTCATTAGCTAGTTGGTGGGCCCTCAGCTCCAGGCAGCCTGACTCCATAGCCTGTGCTCCTTACCTTTATATTACATGAGGACCAAGGTCAGTGGAAAAATCATGATGCAGCCCAAGTAACCTCAGCATAAATTTTCATGTAATTTATTGAATAGACAGTAATTCACATTGTTAAAAAATATGCATACACAAAGGCCATGCAGTGAAAAGTCTCACTCCTTCTGTCCAGCATCAACTCCCCACTCCAGATAACCACGTTTACTAGTTTCTTCACATGCTTCCAGAGGTTTCTGTATACAAATATGAAAATATTAATTTATGTTATTTTCCCCTCTTTTTTATACACACAATTTCTGGGTTATCCTGTTGCTCTTCTTCATTCATATATATAATCCAAAGTATTATTTTCCTCATTGTTCTGTATGTCTTTTAGCTGGTTTCTTTTTTGTGAGATCTCAGTTACATTTCGTTGTTGTTAGGGAAGTCTTTTGATTTGGGAAAAAAGATTAATTAACATTGGAATAAATTGTTAACTCTTAATTTTTTTATTGCTTGATTTTTAGGAATAGTTTATGAGCTTCCCAAGAGATGATTAAGCCTTTCCTATATTAAGAAAGGTAAAGGGGGCTGGGCACGGTGGCTCATGCCTGCCATCCCAACACTTTGGGAGGCTGAGGCAGGCAGATCACTGTGACTCAAGAGTTCAAGACCAGCCTGGGCAACATGGTGAAAGCCCGTCTCTACATTAAATACAAAAATTAACCAGGCGTGGTGGCTCGCGCCTGTGGTCCCAGCTGATTGGGAGGCTGAGGCTGGAGGGTCGCTTGAACCTGGGAAGCAGAGGTTGCAGTGAGCTAAGATCACACCACTGCACTCCAGCCTGGGTGACAGAGTGAGAACCTGCTTTAAAAAAAATAAAATAAAAGAGGAAAAGGGAGGAGAGGCTTCTGTTAAATGTCTGCAACAACATAGTTGGGTTTATTTAAAAGTAGGCATTTTCTGCCTTTTAATCTAGATATCCACATGCTAAATGTGAATTGCTTTCTGACTTAGGAGTATGTTTGTATCTAGAACTGTGTTTGAATTTTAGTGTGGAATGTTTTACTCTGAGATGGTGACTTCATTTGCTAAGTAAATGCAATTGGTCATGAGTCCTGTTTGGTGTATTTGATTTCACTGGGTTGGTTTTAACAACCTGACTGCGGTGTACTAGGTGGTGCTGCGACAGTGCAGAGTGACACTGACAGACATTTGAATAGAGCAGCCGTGGTCAGTGGAGTTATTTTTCTCTAGTGGTTAGCCAGTTTAAGACCAAAGATTTGTGCTGAATTACTACAGAAATGACTAAAAAGAGCATTATTCATAAGTATAGACTCAGACACATAATCATTGAATTACGTAACCCACTATGTAAGTTTTGTGTAAATAAAAATACATCAACAAGTTTTCAGTCTTACAAAGTATGCCGTAAAATGTTTCTGATGATAAAATTGAGGTATATTCATCCTAAATTCCAAACTTGTAAAGTGCAGAAAATATAATGAAGAAAAAAATCATAACCTAGAGAGTATTGCTTCATTTTCTCTCTTTTTTTGGCCAATATATTTATATGTTTGGATCTATCTATATTTAATTATAGTAATCAATAGCATTTTAAACTGAAGTGGGTGCATCTTTCTCTGTTCATGAGAACAGAGAAATTTGTGTCCTGAATTTTGAAAGTGTAGCTTATATCATGAGCTATTCCCCCATGTTGTAGATATCTAGAGGCTGTTTTAAAAACGAGAGGCATTGGGGTGCATCTCTCTGACAATCTGTTTTGGATCCCAAGTAAAGCCCTTTTGATGTCCTCAGGGGTCTGCGTGTTCACACAAGAGTTATCAAGTGGACAGAAGTTTGTTATTCTTCTGGGCTTCCTAGGGCCTCTTCTTCAAGGATTTAATTATTTGTGAACCTTTCAATTGTACTCATGATGTGTTATTTAGGAGTAGATGTGTTTTTCTATCAATTACTGTAGTATTAATATATTGCTAACTCTTAGAAGTGGCCACCATTATCTTCTAAACAAAAAACATATTTTATGTCTAAGATTATTTGCCTATGAGGACAGTTCTGTGTATCATCATAGCTAACAGATTGAGTCAAAAAAGTTAGTTGTCTCCTCACTTCCTTATGGTTCTTTACTTGAGCAGCATGCCTATTGGTCTAATCAATTATCATGTTGCTTTTTTTTCTTTGAAGTGATGTTTCTCTTTTCCTCTTAAAAAGCATGTGGAGTTTTCCCTTTCCCCTTCACCAAAATGGCAGTCTGACATCTGTCTCAACTTTTCTCACCTTGGTGGTTGCCTGCTTTTGGCAACATATGGGGTCTGTTTAGATTTAGTTCGACAAGATTTTAAAACAAAGGTCTGTTGCATCTCTTCCTGCAAATTTGGTTCTTGTCTTGTGGAAAGATGAGGATTAAGCTTAGATCTGCTGCTCCTCTTATTCTAAATGTTGGACGGTTTAATTGAAAAACTTAGCTTATAAAAGAATTGGGGGACTCTGGGCTAATTCACTCATGATAGAGGTGGGAGGCGATGAAGGTGTGAAATGAAGTGGGAAAAATGTCTTTGAGTGCCGTTAGTACTTTTCACATAATCTAAACACATTGTTTTGCAAATTTGCAAGTTTTGATTAATATCATTAATAATTTATAGTAACACTTACAGGATAACATTTGTAGCTAACACTTATAGGATACTTACTATGTGCCCATTTTATTTAATCCTCATAAAAATTGTAAGAGAGGAACATTACCAACCCTCCATTTTACTGATGAGGAAACAGTGGCAAGGATAGGCAAAGTAATTTGCCTCAGGTCACACAGCTGGTCAGTGATAGAGATGAAATGATGAAGTATGGTATAGGTGAGTTCATACTGCCTCTGTAATGTGTTTAAATACTTCATCTGCATAATTTTATGTTTTAATTTTTGTGAACTTTTAAATTCATTTTAATTTTGAAAAATTTCTGAGTTTGGCTAGGGGTTTACAGGTATTTTCTGTCTTAGCCTGATTATTTTAAATCATGGTGCTACTAGTCCAATGGCATGACTCAGGGAGGTGAATTAATGTCCCATGTGACAATGCTATTATGAATCTATAGAGAATTCAGAAAGTTTCTCTGGTTCTTTGAGCTGCACTGATGAAAGGTCATCTAGTCTCTAAATACAAAGTCTTTTTGTTAGTGTTGCCTATCATTCTGGCCTCTTTTGCCAGACATTCATGATCAGTGTCAGAAGATAAGTGATATAGGAACAAATGAAATTTCTGGCTTATTTTTATTTATTATATGTTAGGAGAAAAAAATCTTCTTTTTTCCCCTTTCCCTAAACTTGCAATATTTAAATAGTATGACACCATAAAATGCCACCTCAAGCCTGCATTTCAAGGGAATTGCTGAATTTTCCTGCTAATAAGTGGAGGATGAGAGCAGCAATGAGAACTAGCTGGTTGTTACTCTGCTCTGCAATACTCTGCTCTCTCTTTACTGACAGAAAGTACCTTTAATTCTGTGGTGCTTGTTGGTGGCACCAGCCTAGAGAATGGTGACCCATACCCCTTAACTTACATCAGTGGTTCTCAAAATGTGGCCTCAGAAGCAGCGTCATAAGCATCTCCTGGGAACTTGCTAGAAATGCAAAATCTTGGCCCTACCACAGACCTACTAAATCAGAATCACTGGGGGTGGGCCCAGCAGACGTGACCTAAAGAGTCCTCCAGGTGATTCTAACACACGCAGCAGTTTGAGAAGCAGCAGTTTGAGAATACCATTTGCAGTATCCACTGGCCCAGGGCCAGAGGACTGAATCTGCGTAGACACCTTAGCATGTGGGCTCTGCTTGGGGCAGTGATTGGAGCTGCCAACACTAAATTTCCAGAGGGTTCTTTAAAAAGCTTTTGCCTCTGGTCAGGACAGTACTTTAAAGGCTTAAGAACTAACGCTTCATTATCGTGCAACAGTGAGTCTTGTTTTAAGCACCCGTTTGTTCTTTTGAGGTACACTTGGTAGCAGGCCTTCACTATTTCAAGATTAGTAACATGGCCACTGGCTTGTTCATGGGCCTTTGGGCTTAGGGCAACCTCTCTTGATTTCCCTTTTCCTAGAACTTTAAACAGCATCCAGAGAGCTGAGAGGTGACTCGACACAATCACAGGGTAGGGACATACTTTTTAAACAAAATTGGAGGAGAGAGGATTATGCTCTCTAAATACTCATTGCATAAAACCCTCATTTTGATATCTTAGAATGCCTCCTAAAAAATGTAACTAGGAAAACTTGAGGCAGACATAGGAAATTTTGCTTGTGGATGGGACATAAAAACATTTGAATAAACATGAGAAAAATTTACAAGCACAAAACTTACTGAGTAGTTGATGTTCTTTTGCTTTTAGTGGAATCCTGCTTTGCTTTACCTAATTCAGCTTTATAATTTATTACTTACTTCTGTAACCTGTCCATCAGTTAGCTGTTAGTACAGTATAATCCACTGTAATTTGGAGAGGTCAAACATGATTGAAACAGTTTGATAAAAGGCAGCAGATGGCCTGGGGCAGTGGCTCACGCCTGTAATCCCAGCACTTTGTGGGGGCTGAGGCGGGTGGATCACCTGAAGTCAGGAGTTTGAGGCCAGCCTGTCCAACATAGTGAAACCTCGTCTCTACTAAAAATACAAAAATTAGCCAGGTGTAGTGGCATGTTCCTGGAGTCCCAGCTACTCAGGAGGCTGAGGCAGGAGAATCACTTGAACCCGGGAGGTGGAGGTTGTAGTGAGCTGAGATTGTGCTGCTGCACTCTAGCCTGGGTGACAGAGCTAGACTCAGTCTCAAAAAACAAACAAACAAACAAACAAAAAGTGGAGGCATTAGAACATGGCATGTAAGAGATAAAATTTACTAGCGGTGTGAACTTGAATATATTACCCTTTCTGCTTAAGTTCTTTCCTCTGTAAAATGGGCATTGTACTAATACTTGAGATGGTAATTGTGTGGATAAAATGAGATATAGAACAGTGCCTGTTCTATAATAAACAATAAATATTAGCCGATATTTTGGATTGGACCTTACTATTTTTTAGACTAGTTTTATTTTTTTTTTCTGAGTGTATTTTAAAACCTAAGTGTAAATAAAGTCAAGATGTTAGAATAAAGGACTGGACCTTAATAATGTAAGGTTTCCTAGTGAGTGTCCTTATGTTCTGGTTGAGTTTTCTCCATAGCTGATGGTTAGATTTGTTAATTGGGTTATTTTGAGGTTTTTGGATCTTTTTTTGATATCACGATATTCCATTCTGAAAGTACAGAATATTGGATTAAATTTATTCAGCATGTTCTCTAAAATGGTGTTTTGAGTACATCTCTGATGTGAATTTATTTTGATGTCATTTTCCTCTTTTCAAATCGAGATCCAGTAAAATCAAGTTAGGTAGGGTTTTGCTTAGTTGGGTTCCAATTAGTTTAATTATATGCCGGTAATCTCTAATTTAGAAACCTGTTGAGATACAGAAGTTAATTTTTAAGTTATTTTGAACTTGTAATATATTTCTTCCTAAAAACCATATTTCCAAAGCATGACCAGGCATAGGGCAACCCCCAAAAGCCTGTTCAACCTCAAATATAGATATGTAGACCTACAGTGCAGTGAGATATAATCATGTAAGAATTTTAGGCCAGGTGCGGTGGCTCATGCCTGTAATCCCAGCACTTTGGGAAGCCAAAGCAGGTGAATCACCTGAGGTCAGGAGTTCGAGACCAGCCTGGCCAACATGGTGAAACCCCATCCCTACTAGAAATACAAAAATCAGCTGGTGTGGGGACATGCGCCTGTAATCCCAGCTATTTGGGGGGCTGAGGCAGGAGAATCACTTGAACCGAGGAGACGGAGGTTCCAGTGAGCTGAGATCACACCACTGCACTCCAGTCTGGGTGACAGAGCGAGACTCTGTCTCAAAAATAAATAAATAAATAAATAAATAATGTAAGAATTTTCTGTGGGAAAATGAATTATAGGTGACAACCAGTATACCAAGATGACATTTTCCTACTCCTCCCACCCTCTTCCCTAAGCTGTGTGACCCTGACCTCGTCTACAACATGAGTGATTTGGGTCAGGCCTCCACTTGCCTTTTGGAGGGTGAAGGGGGTTCCTGTGGTATCATGGTGGCAAGATATGTGGTTGTGAAGCTTTGGAAGCAGCAGATAGCTTTAGGGTAGTTTCTAGGGTGCTTTGGCTTGTGGGACTGAGAGCTTTAGGCTCTAGAGTCTCAGCTGTGGGGATTCATTGTAGATGAGAGCACCAAGCCAGAAGAGGGAAGGGGAGCCACCAGCAGCCTGCAGATCCATTGTCAGGCAATTGGTGACTGTAAGCAGAACATTTCTATCTGAGTGTTTGTAAATAGGGGGCTGTTTGTAGTGCCTCTTTTAATTTTTTCCTGGGGGATTTTTTTTTTTTTTTAGGAGACTGGTGGCCTAGGTTGGAGGACAATGACAGGATCATAGTTCTCATAGCTCACTTAACCTTGAACTTCTGGGCTCAAGCCATCCTCTCACCTAAGCCTCTGGAGTAGCTGGGACTACAGATGCGTGCCACCTTGCTGAGCTGCTGGGGAACTTTAAATGGATGATGGCCAGAAGTTTTATCAGTCTTTACCCAGCAATCCTATTACTGGGTATGTAGCCAAAGGAATATAAATCATTCTGTTGTAAATATACATGCACGCATATGTTCATTGTAGCACTGTTCACAATAGCAAAGACATGGAGTCAACCCAAATGCCCATCAGTGATAGACTGGATAAAGAAAATGTGGCATGTATACACCATGGAATACTATGCAGCCATAAAAAGGAACAAGATCATGTTCTTTGCAGGGACACGGATGAAGTGGGAAGCCATTATCCTCAGCAAACTAATGCAGGAGTGGAAAACCAAACGCTGTATGTTCTCACTTATAAGTGGGAGCTGAACAATGAGAATACATGGACACAGGGAGGGGAACAACACTTACTGGGGCCTGTGGTGCGAGGGAGGGCTAGGGGAAAGCATTAGGAAAAACAGCTAATGCATGCTGGGCTTAATACCTAGGTGATGGGTTGTTAGGTGCAGCAAACCACCATGGCACATGCTTACCTACGTAACAAACCTGCACATCCTGCACATGTACCCTGAAACTTAAAAAAAAACACACAATAAAATAACCAAATTACACGCTTCAAAAAATTAAAAAAATTATATCAACAGATGCAGAAAGAGCATTCAATACAATTCAACATCCTTTTCTCATAAAAACTCTCAGTAAATTAAAAGGAGAATTTTTACCTAATAAAGGATATATTTTAAAAATTGAAAAAAAAAATTTGTTGCTTTTTTTACTTAGCTCTATTGCTGGAAATGATTATTTTCATGTATATGTAGTTTTATCCTTGCTTTGAATACCATACCTTAGTTTATAGCTTTGTATCTGTAATCCCATTTATCTACTGATAAAATACAAGAAAACATTCAATTTTATGAGAGCATCCATTTACCTTTAATTTCTGTTTAAAGATTGTGGTGTGTATGTGTGTTTTAACAAACAGCATGCTGACCATTAAAAGCCCTTCCCACTTGCACTATGCAGTCTTTGTAAAAGGATCTGAATGTTTATAGAACCCTGCAAGCTTTTGGTAAAGTACATGTTTTTAAATCATGTTAATCGTGTAAAGAAAAGACAGACTTGAGCTTGTTAAAAATTACTCCTGTCAAGTGCCATGTAGCTTCACATGTCAAACATGACTTGAAAATGTTTTCCCCAAGTGGCCATGTCTTAACAATTTATGTTCCAGAAGGAGTTTCTTGGAAGGAATTAAGTAATGAGAGGTCACATTTTTCTTTCAAGTTCGATTTCCAAAGTGAAAATTAACTTCTGTTTTTTAACTTAAACTTGAAAAAAATTCAGTGAGAGCCTTTAGACTTGTGCAATGATTGTGTTATATGGAATTGGGCCTCCCTATCTCTGTTGCCAGAAATGAAACTTGACTGTGTGTTTTTTGTTTTTTTTTTTGTAGCTGTAAAAATGAAGAAATAGAAGAAGTAAAAAATGCTGAGTCTGGGAAACTGTTCTAGTCACTTAAATCTTAGCTACATAAATGTGTGTTTATATTAATGGGGCAGGACAAAATAAGAAGAGTCTTTTTTTTTTTTTTCTGGTTAAATACTGCCCCCTCACCCCCGCCCACCAAGTATTGCTTTGCAAATTCCTCAGACTTTCTCATTGAAAATATATGAATAGCTAAAAGTGAGTATTTAGCATGATTAGAAAATATCATACAGTTTTTACAGTGAAATTCCAATCAAGTTACTGGATTCCAAGTTACAGGAATTCCAGTTGGTTATTCATTTTTTCTTGATATTTGAGCTAATGGAGAAGAGAGATAATAGAAATAATCTAGAAACATTATCTATCTATCTATCTATCTATCTATCTATCTACCTATCTATCTAGCTATCTATGAGACAGTCTTGCTCTCCCAGATTGGAGTGCAGTGGTGCGATCTCGGCTCACTGCAACCTCTGCCTCCCTGGTTCAAGCAATTTTCCTGCCTCAGCCGCCCGAGTAGCTGGGACTACAAGTGCGTGCCACCATGCCCAGCTAATTTTTGTAATTTTAGTAGAGACAAGGTTTCATCATGTTGGCCAGGCTGGTCTTGATTTCCTGACCTCGTGATCTGCCTACCTCGGCCTCCCAAAGTGCTGAGATTACAGGTGTGAGCCACTGCGCCCAGCTGAAACATTTTTATTATAAGTCCTCAAAAAGGAATATATCTCATGTTTTAGGAGACATAATGTAGTATTTGAAATTGAAATATGGTGAACGTCTGTTTCAAAAAGAAGTGGAAAGTGTTCTGAATTAGCTATTATGTTCCTTTTGCTCAGATATTCT
The DNA here is from genome assembly GCF_000001405.40 of Homo sapiens. Taxonomy (NCBI): domain Eukaryota; kingdom Metazoa; phylum Chordata; class Mammalia; order Primates; family Hominidae; genus Homo; species Homo sapiens. The sequence continues at coordinate 138,672,580 of NC_000006.12, read as the reverse complement.
GCTTGTACTTGATTCCACTTTAGAATTAGACCATATTGCCCCTCAGATGGCTTCACAGACCTAGACTGAGCTGAAGTGTTCTTTTAGTATACTATGGTTTTTAAAAAATTTTTTCCTGGGTTATAGATAGTAATTACCTAATTCCATTTTTAGTTTTATTGTTGAGTGCTGGGCGGTCAGAGGAATAACTATGAAGGGGAAAGAAAATCATAGGGAGGAGGTAGCGATGAAATTCCTTCTTGACTGATAGTTACTGCACGCTTTAAAAAATAATGTATTCTCCTTAGCATTCAAGGATGTAACTGTTATGAGATTGTTAAGCTGCCTTCTTTGACTTTTTCCCCAATGGTTGTAGAGGATTTATGGTGAAAAAGTTTTCATTTCATGCTGTATACAGTCTCTCTTGGTGAATGAGCTGACTGCATGGCCACAGACACGAGCACTGGGCATGAGCCAGTGTGAATGGTCATGGGTAGTCATTCAGAAATTTTAGCTGATTTTAAAGAAATTTTCCTCTGTATCTCCAAACATTACGCTCCTTTTGCTCTTTTGTGGTTTTTTAGTTTTAAGTATTGGTATCTATTGACCTCTCAAGATGAGGATTTAGCCCTTTTTTCCTTCCTCAACCCACCCCCCTATAGGTATACCTCCCATCCTACATCTTCCCTATCCTCTTTCATTGCTTTGTTTAGTTCAGCATTCAGTGTGTATAGCGTTAAAGCAGTGTCCACCATTCGAGCAGAGCCACATCATCAAACACGATTGCTTTTCCTTTATTTTACAACTTTTGTCTCTCCTGACATAAATAACGGCTTTTTGGGGTGTGTATATTTCTATGTGTTTATTGTTGTTTCAACTTTCAACTCTACCCTATCAGTATCTTCTTTTTGCCTTAAGAATTCACTGAGTTTTGTCTTCTTGGAGATATGACTCCTAGAGCCTTCCAATCTGATTTAATCTAATCTAGATGAGTGTTCCTCCGTGGCTGGTTCTCAGCCATCTGTGTGACCTCCTTCACTGTCATCCTAGAGACTTCCTTTCTCTTCTGATGCCTGTCTCCCCTAATCACTTTCTTGGTTTACTTCTTCATTTGGTGGAGCCCTGCCTCTGATATCTTTTTTTTTTTTTTTGGAGACAGATTCTCGCTCTGTTGCCCAGCCTGGAGTGCAGTGGCGCGATCTTGGCTCACTGCAATCTCTGCCTCCTGGGTTCAAGCAATTCTTCTGCCTCAGCCTCCCGAGTAGCTGGGATTACAGGCGCACGTCATCATGCCCGGCTAATTTTTTAGTAGAGACGGGGTTTCACCATGTTGGCCAGGCTGGTCTCGAACTCCTGACCTTAAGTGATCTGCCCGCCTCGGCCTCCCAAAGTGTTGGGATTACAGGCGTGAGCCACCACGCCCGACCTATTTTTATTTTATTTTTTAGAGATAGAATCTTGCTCTGTCACTCAGGCTGGAGTGTAGTGGCGTGTTCATAGCGCACTGCAGCCTCAAACTCCTGGCTTCAAGTGATCCTCCTGCCTCAGCCTCCTGGGAGTATCTGGGACTCCAGACATGCACCACCATGCCTGGCTAAGTTTTAAAACACTTTTTGTAGAGGTAGGAGTCTCACTGTGTTGCTCGTCTTGAACTCCTGGCCTCAGCAATCCTTCCTCCTCAGCCTCCCAGGGTGCTGGGATTACAGGCATTGAGCCACTGTGCTTGGCCTATCTGGTCCATTTCTTATTCTTTCTTTTTCAGTCCTTCTACTGAGCTTTTCATTTTTGCTATCAGGTTTTTCATTTGCAAGAGCTTGTTTTGTTGTTCTTGTTCTGGGTATTCTTTTATATAACATCCTGCTTTTAGTTTATTGATGTACTGTCTCTTCTTATCTCTGAGACTGAGTTTTTAAAGTTTTTTTTTTTTTTTTTTTTTGAGACGGAGTCTCGCTTTGTCGCCCAGGCTGGAGTGCAGTGGCGGGATCTCGGCTCACTGCAAGCTCCGCCTCCCGGGTTCACGCCATTCTCCTGCCTCAGCCTCCCAAGTAGCTGGGACTACAGGCGCCCGCCACTACGCCCGGCTAATTTTTTGTATTTTTAGTAGAGACGGGGTTTCACCGTTTTAGCCGGGATGGTCTCGATCTCCTGACCTCGTGATCCGCCCGCCTCGGCCTCCCAAAGTGCTGGGATTATAGGCGTGAGCCACCGCGCCCGGCCTTTTTTTTTTTTTTACCTTCAACGGTGTTTGCTGCAAGTTGTTTTTTTCTGTTTAGATCTCTTTTCCATTTGAATGATTTTCCTAAGGTGTCTAGTAGTCTCTGGCTGTCTCTATTCATGTAAGAGGGTGAGGGACTCAAAGGCTGCTTGGAAGGTCTGAGTGTTTGAAGGGGGCTTGTTGGCTGGGTGGGAGCGTTGTGGGGAAGAGGACCTGTCAGTAACTTTATTGATTGATTGATTGATTTTATTTTTATTTTAGTTTTTGAGATGGAGTCTCACTCTGTCACCCAGGCTGGAGTGCAGTGGCGTGATTTCGGCTCACTGCAACCTCCACCTCCTGGGTTCAAGCAGTTCTCCTGCCTCAGTCTCCCAAGTAGCTGGGATTACAGGCACATGTTACCATGCCCGGCTAAATTTTGTATTTTTAGTAGAGACAGGGTTTGACCATATTGGCCATGCTGGTCTCAAACTCCTGACCTCGGGTGATCCACCCACCTTGGCCTCCCAAAGTGCTAGGATTACAGGTGTGAGCCACTGCACCCGGCCTGTCAGTAACTTTATTTAGGTCATCTTAGGCTGCTCAGTTTCTCCAAAGAAGACCCCTCTACTCTCTTAGCTGGCTGGTAAGGCCCAACTGTCAGCTTTCCAGGAGCTGTGTGGAAAGAAGCCTGGGTCTCAGCATTCAGAATGCATCTTTTTACTTACTTCCTCTATGTTTGGTAGGTTCTCAACTGTGCTTTGTATTCTCAGACCAGAAACCTTCTGTTTTAACCCTTTAACATCCAGTTTCCTGCCAGGATGGGAAGGGTGGCCACTCGTGGCTAGGAATGTGGTCAGGAGATGTAGGGTTAACAATTTTCAACCAATTCTTCTTTTAACTGTTCCTTCTTCCCCAAGAAAATCAATTCACCTCTACTTCCAGAAGTCCTTATTACCGCCAATACCTGCACTTTGGGAACTCGGCAGTATAAATAGCATAGGTTCTTAGCTTCCCCGCCGAGTTGGTTTAGGATTGTCTTCATCAAGTCACCCGTCTGTTATGGCTCAACCTTTATTCTCCACTTTATGAAAATTTTTTTGTCACCTCTTCCCCCATTCTCTCCATCTTCTTAAAACAATCTCTTTGCTGCAGTTTCAGTAGGGCTTTGAGAGGGGTCTAGATTTGACATCTGTGTTCAGTTCGCCCCCTTTGCTAGAACTCCAGGACACTTTCTATGTGTGTGTTTTCCTATCTTCTCAAGCAGAATACCTTTCCCTGTGCTTTCCTCGCCTCCCCTGTTCTATGAAGGATACCACCATGCTTTTAGCCATCAGACCAGAACTTAAGGGTCAGCTTAAGTGTGGAATGTTTTACTCTGAGATGGTGACTTCATTTGCTAAGTAAATGCAACTAGTCATGAGGCCAATTTCCCTTGCTTCCTCCATCGTGTATCCAACCAGTGAACAATTTTTCTTGTTTCTAGGGCCGGGTACGGTGGCTCACACCTGTAATCCCAGCACTTTGGGAGGCCGAGGTGGGTGGATCACAAGGTCAGGAGATTGAGACCATCCTGGCCAACATGGTGAAACCCTGTCTCTGCTAAAAATACAAAAATTAGCTGGATGTGGTGGCACGTGCCTGTAGTCCCAGCTACGCGGGAGACTGAGGCAGGAGAATCGCTTAACCCGGGAGGCGGAGGTTGCAGTGAGCCGAGACTGCGCCACTGCACTCCAGCCTGGCTACAGAGCAAGACTCTGTCTCAAAAAAAAAAAAAAAAAGAAAAAAAAATTTCTTGTTTTTAAATTCTTTTTTTCTTTCCTTTTAAAAAAGTTTATTTCATTTTTAATTGACAGATAATAATTGCATATGTTTATGGGGTGCAACATGATGTTTTGATAATGTATATATGGTGAAATGATGAAATCAGGCTAGTTAGCAAAACAATTTCTTTTCTTTTTTTTGAGATGGAGTTTCGCTCTTGTTGGCCAGGTTGGAGTGCAATGGCACCATCTCGGCTCACTGCAACCTCCGCCTCCCAGGTTCAAGCGATTCTTCTGCCTCATCCTCCCTAGTAGTTGCGACTACAGGCATGAGCCACCATGCTTGGCTAATTTTATATTTTTAGTAGAGACGGGGTATTTTGTATTTTTAGTAGAGACTAACCCCTGACCTCAGGTGATCCATCCACCTCGGCCTCCCAAACTGCTGGGATTGCAGGCGTGAGCTACTGTGCCCAGCCACAATTTCTTTTCTAACAAGGTCTCTCACTCTGTCTGATAAGTCACCAGGTCCCCATGTTCCTGGAGGGGCTGCCCATGCTGGTTTAACCTGTGGTGTGTGTCCACTAAAATGAATTCTTTCTGAGTGGTCCTAAGTGTACCACACAGTCAAAAACAAAGATGTTAGAATATTTTTTTGATTTCAAAGGAAGTTAAATATTAACTATTAAAATTATAGAACTGTATAAAATTACAGAGCTATGAAGAAAGTAGTGAACTTTTTTCGTAGTCCTAACCCTCAGATATAATCACCGTTAGCAGTTGGTACATAACAGAAGCATTTGAAAATCAAGAATATTTTCTAATTATCAGCACTTCACTTGATATTCTCCTGTCTACATTAATGTTAGTGAGAAAATAGAAAGGACATGAAAGAAGAGAAGATAATGAACAAAATATACATTCCCTGAGCAGGCAATTAAAGAGTCTGAAATTCTTTTTGTTAGCTGTTTTGCATTTTGATTTACTTGGAATTTGGTGAGTGAATGAAATTCTAGAAGAGAACTGAAAACATTGTGGTTGAACAAACATTGACATTTTGTCCTCCTTTTCTTTTCCTCTTTAGAATAATGTCTCAAGTATATGCATTTCCAGTCAGTCTTTTCTAGAGAAATTATGTAATGCTGAGTGATGGTTATGCGATCCTCCTTAATTTTTTATATACAGCTTAACAGCAGTTTCATTGACATGAATTTTGCATTGTCTCAGATTATGGTATCATGTATAAAAATCCAAGGTTTTGGTGTAGAGTAGAAAGCAGTTCTTAGTATTGAAATTTTCTGTGACTTCAGGTTATCTTTTAATAATTTAAAAAATTTACTTTGGTTTTTCTTGTTATGCTTGTTCTATTAATTAAAATTAGAAATGGGACTCCTCTTGCCTCTTTCTACATTTAGAGCTGTAGCTGGGGTTGCAATTCTAGTTCTTTGCCTTTGCTGAGGAATTGCCATATTTTAGAAATATTGACAGCAGGTGGTATTGAGGGCCCCAAATTATCTGGTGGAACACAGCTCTGAAACGCTAATGGCTGCAAGTGGAAAGATGCAATTGGACATTAAAAGAAACTGACAAAAATTCTGTACATTTCAGTGAAAGCATTCTTTTCATAATAGTCACTTGAGAGAGTATGTGTTTAATTCAGTATCGTTGGTGTTGCTAAAAACATTGTTGGATTTAAAAAAAAATTGAATCTGGAATCCGTGAATATATTTATATTTTTAGTCTGTACTCTTATTGGTGGTATGATTAAATTCCCATGGAAGAGATTCCAGCGTTACAGAATTTATGCCCTGCATGCCTCTCTTCAGAGCGAGTCATCGTCAACATTTGAGTGTCCATCCTCACATTCTGTGTTATTGTTCCCCTCCTGTATATCAATATACGTATATACATTCCTTTCTTTAAAAAAAATGACTGGGATCATATTATATATAAATTGTGACTTGAGTGTTTTTTCTTTTAACAATATGTCTCACAGTTTTCCATGTCTGTTCATACAGATTTGTCACATCTTCTTTTTTTTTTTTTTTTTTTTTGAGATGGAGGCTTGCTCTGTGTCTAGGCTGAAATGCAGTGGTGCAATCTCAGCTCACTGCAAGCTCTACCTCCCAGGTTCACGTCATTCTCCTGCCCCAGCCTCCCTAGTAGCTGGGACTATAGGCGCCCACCACCATGCCTGGCTAATTTTTTTGTATTTTTAGTAGAGACGGGGTTTCACCGTGTTAGCCAGGATGGTCTTGATCTCTTGACCTCATGATCTGCCTGCCCAAAGTGCTGGGATTACAGGCGGGAGCCACCGCGCCTGGCCCTTGTTTTTGTTTTTGAGACGGAGTTTCGCCCTTGTTGTCCAGGCTGGAGTACAATGGCACAATCTTGGCTCACTGCAACCTCCACCTCTGGGGTTGAAGTGATTCTCCTGCCTCAGCCTCCCGAATAGATGGGATTACAGGCGTGCACCACCACACTTGGCTAATTTTGTATTTTTAATAGAGATAGGGTTTCTCCATGTTGGTCAGGCTGGTCTCGAACTCCTGACTTCAGGTGATCCGCCCGCCTTGGCCTCCCAAAGTGCTGGGATTGCAGGCGTGAGCCACTGCACCCGGCCAATTCTTTCTTTACTGTGTGTGTCCTTATGGATTGAGCACCTCAAGAGCTAGCATTTGTCTTATGGATAATTTTATTCTCAATAGACACAGTGTATGACTGAATAGTGGGGTTAACTACAGAGAGAGCCTGGGGCTTAAACTGGGGAGAAACTTAATCACTCGGGAGTAAAGCTTGTGGTTAATTCAGTGGGAAAATAAAGTTTTTTTTTTAATTAGAGGGGCGATAGGATTATAGCTCTAATTAGAAAAATTAAGTGTTAGTAATGTCTAGGATGCAATAGAAAACTGAGACAGAAGTTAAAACAAATTGGGATATGATGAAAGTGGTCTGGCTTATATTTGTATAGTAATAATGGAAAAAAGGGAATTAGTATTAATAATTTGGAATATAATTTACCATAATTGATAAGTTATTGTGTTCAACATTCATTCATTCATTTATCCATCCATCCAGCCAACTTGCTGAGCAGCACTGTGAGTCAGGCAGTGTGCTGGGCATTGCTGGTAAAGTGCAAAGGACAGGCTGAACCAAAGGTGCTGAGCAGGCCTTGGAGAGTAGGTGGCCTCTATGAAGATGAGACCGACCACAGAAGTTGTAAAGTCGGGAAGAAGGAACTGGTTTTGTCCGACAATTTTGTTAGCTTTTAGACTCACAGATGTTAAGCTTCCAGGGGATATTCAGCAGGATGTTGGCAATATGAATATTTTGAAATAGATTTTGAGTTTAGTCTGTGTGGTTGAAGATGATTGAAGCCACAGAAGTGAAAAATGGCAAAGAATTAGTTATTGGAAAGCTAAGTTGATCTGTATTATGACACAGCACATAAGCCAAGTGTTACTAGAAATAGAAATAAAAACTGAGAAATTAACGCTGAATTTGGGTAAAAAAAGAGAAGATGGAAAATAGACAAAATAACTCCTAATTTTATTGCATCTGTCTCTTCACTTTTCTGACTTGGCTTCAGTGATGGTTAATATGATGTGTCTACTTGCTAGGCTATAGCGCCCAGATGTTTGGTCAAACATCAGATTAGATGTTGCTGTGAAGCAAGTTTTTTTTCATTTGAATAAAGCTGGGTGGGCCTCATCCAATCAGTTGAATGTCTTAAGATAAAAAGCTAAGTTTCCCCACACCCTGACCCCAGGGAGAAATTCTGTCTCCAGACTGCCTTCTGACTTGAGCTGCAACATCAACTCTTTGCTGGGGCTCCAGCCTGCTGGCCTGCTTTGCAGATTTCAGATTAGCCAGCTCCGACAATTGCATGAGCCAATTTTAAAAATAAATCTTTCTTTTTCTAGGCTGATCAGTAGATAAAGATAGAGCTACAGATTGGTCTGTATGTTTGCCTATATCTTTCTGTTGATTTGTGTCATATTCGTTCTGTTTCTCCGGAAGACCTTGACTAATACAGATTTTCACATAGCTAGAGTCAACATTGTGTTTTCTATTTATTGAGCTTGTTCTTTAGCATTTAGCTCCATCCTTGATTCCTTGAGTCCTTTGACAGACAATTCCTCTCTTTCCAGGCAGTTATCTGATTTTCCTTTTGCCCAGTAGTGCTCTGTGTGTACCTCTCTTAGGCCATTATGTTATTGTAATTCTTGGCATATGTGTTTTTTCCCTAAAACTAATCTGTGAACTTCTTGCACACTAGAAGCTCCTACTAGCTTGTGTGGCTTGGGTACCCAGCCTACTTGGCGCGTAAGAATTTGTCACTGTGTGTTTGTTGAGTGAAAGATTAGCTCTGATCTAACTCTTAAGTATGACACTAGGAAAGAAATGAAAAGGAGAAACATTAAAATGTAAAGTAAATGTGACCAAAAAGCCAGGAGAGGTTGGCAAGCACATGGTGAATATCTTCTGGATCTTCCCCTGGAACGCAGGTGTGAAATTTATTGTGGTGATCTCTGGAACACCACAGTGACCATTATCTAATCCGCATTTGTTTGTTTTTCAAATTGTCAATCTTTATCCAGACTTGACTTTGCCCAGTGATGGCTAGATAAAGCCAGACTTTAAAATATTTCAGAGACATTTCAGGAAAACACAGAAGTATCAAGAAGGACAAATAAATGCTTGTAACCTCATTATCTGTGGTTAACTATGAACATGTTTTGTGTAGATTTTCCTAGAATGATTTTTTTTCTTTGAGATAGAGTCTTGCTCTGTCACCCAGGCTGGAGTGCAGTGGCACAATCTCGGCTCACTGCAACCTCCGCCTCCCAGATTCAAGCAATTTTCCTGCTTTGACCTCCCAAGTAGCTGGGACTACAAGCATTCACCACCACACCTGGCTATTTTTTGTATTTTTTAGTAGAGATGGGGTTTCACCATGTTGACCAGGCTGGTCTCGAACTCCTGATCTCAGATGATCCACCCGCCTCAGCCTTCCAAAGTGCTGAGATTGCAGGCGTGAGCCACCGTGCCCGGCCTAGAAATTTTTTTTTTTTTTTTTTTTTGAGATGGAGTTTTGCTCTTGTTGCCCAGGCTGGACTGCAGTGGCGTGATTGCGGTTCAACACAACGTCTGCCCCCCGGGTTCGAGTGATTCTCCTGCCTTTAGCCTCCCGCGTAGCTGAGATTACAGGCATGCACCACCATGCCTGGCTAATTTGTGTTTTTAGTAGAGACAGGGTTTCTCCATGTTGATCAGGCTGGTCTCGAACTCCCGATCTAAGGTGATCTGCCTGCCTCGGCCTCCCAAAGTGCTGGGATGACAGGCGTGACCCACCACGCCTGGCCTAGAATTTTTAATATACACAGACATATACAATGACAGCATACCATATATGCTGTTTTGTTACTTGCTTTTTTCAAGTAAATGTCGTAACATCTTTTGCTGTTACTAACTATACATTATTTTTAATACCTGCATAGTATTCCACTACAGGGAAATATGTATTATTTGACAAATATCTGATTGTTAGACATTTAATATTTCTTTTTCTTTTTTTTTTTGCCGTGAGTTCGGTGAACATATTTGCACATGTAGCTTTGTGTACTTGGCTATTATTTCCTGAAAATGGATTGTTAAAAGTAGAGTTCCTGGGTCACAGGTAACCATTTTTTTTTTTAAAGGGGGTTTTTGCTATTTGTTACCTAAGTGGCCTCCAGAAACTTTTTACCAATATACATCAATTCCAGCAGTGTATGAAAGTTGAAGTGTGTTCTTACAACAGGTATAGGTACATGACTGATTTTTTTTTTCTTCTGAGACAGGTTTTTTTTCCCCTAAGTCTTGAGTATTCTTTATCAGATCTTGTTCAACCTGTTAAGCCTATTAGTGATTTTACCAGGATAAATGAATAGTCGTCATATATCCATGCTTGTTTGAACAAAATACTCAAGCATCCAAAATATGAGTAGCCAGTCTTGCAGCATTTGTGAATGACTCACTTGTTTGTTTGAAATGAGAAAACACAGGAGGAGGCAAGTCAAATGACTATGAATCTTCTTTAAAGGAGCCATAATACGATATGTAAGACCAAAGGACTAGCCCCAGTCCCAGGCTTTGGAGGATATACATTCAATCATGTTTTATTTATTGCCATACAATTGCAAACTAAAACAAAGGATACAACTATCAGTTAAAAATAATGGCTTTCCAAGGACGAGGATCCTAACCTTTCAGTTTGTACCTTAATGTGCCTCTAAGAAGAAATGTTAAAAGAGTAATATTATAGGTTCATTGGATTTTTCTCATGGATTATGGTTAAACTACACTTGTAATGTTATTTAATGACAATCCAGGAATCTTTTAGATCAGAAAGGAATCTGTGAAAGCTATGGTGCTTATTCTTTTTTTGTTTGTTTGTTTGTTTATAAAGATAACTATTTAGGGCAAAGGATTATCATTCTAAGATTTTTTTTTTTTTCTGAAAAAAAGCTTACTCTAGAATTAAATCTGTTTCTAGCTGAAATTATTATTATTGTTATTACTATTTTTTAGAGATGGGTCTCCGTCTGTTGTCCAGGCTGTAGTGCAGTGGTACAATCATATCTCACTGCAGCCTCAAACTTGTGGGCTCAAGTGATCCTTCTACCTCAGCCTCTCAAGTAGCTGAGGCTACAGGTGCACGCCACCACTTCTGGCTAATTATTTTCTAATTTTTTGTAGAGACAGAGTCTTATTTTGTTACCCAGACTGGTCTCGAATTCTTGGCCTCAATCAAGCAGTCTTCCCACCTCAGCCTCTCAAAGTGCTGGGATAATAGGCATGAGCCACCTGCCTGTCCCAAGCTGAAATTATTAAAGAATCTTTTTCCTGCTTAGATTTACTTCATTCTATATTTAATGAAGACATGCTTTAACAGAATTAGTTGTGGTGTTTCTTTCTTTCTTTCTTTTTTTTTTTTATTTGAGACAAGGTCTCATTCTGTCGCTTAGTCTGGAGGGCAGTGGCACAATCATGGCTTACTGCAGCCTTGACTTCCGGGGCTCCAACGATCCTCTCACCTCAGCCTCCTGAGTACTTGGGACTACATGTGTGGCCCACCAAGCCCAGCTAATCTTTTTTTTTTTTTTTGAGACGGGGGGCTTGCACTGTCACCCAGGCTGGAGTGGAATGTTATGATCTCAGCTCACTGCAACCTCCGCTTCCCGGGTTCAAGTGATTCTCCTGCCTCAGCCTCCCACGTAGCTGGAATTACAGGCACCCACCACCTTGCCTGGCTAATTTTTTAAAAGTTGAACTTCTACAGAGAGTACAGTGGTGTTACCAGGGGCTGGAGTGGGAGGTGGGAGAAATAGGAGATGTTGGTCAAAGGGTATACAGTTTCAGTTATGCAGTAGGAATACATTCTGGGGGATCTAACATACAGCCTGGTAACTATACATGATAATGTATGAAATTTGTTAAGAGAATACATCTGAAGTGTTTCCACCATACACATACATAAAAAAAGTAACTATGGGAGGTGTTGGATATGCTAATTAGCTTGATTGTGATAATCTTCTCAGAATGTATATCAAATCATGTATGAATCTTCTTTAAAGAAGCCATAATATAGTATATAAGACCAAAGGACTAGCCCCAGTCCCAACTGGGACTACAGGCGTGCGCCACCACGCCCAGCTAATTTTTGTAGTTTTAGTAGAGACCAGGTTTCACCATGTTGGCCAGGCTGATCTCGAACTCCTGACCTCATGGTCCACCAGCCTCAGCCTCCCAAAGTGCTGGGATTACAGGCATGAGCCATCGTGCCCAGCCAATTTTTTTTTTTTTTTTTGTAGAGACAGGGTTTCACCATGTTGCCCAGGCTGGTCTCAAACTCCTGGGCTCAAGTGATCCACCTGCCTGGGCCTCCCAAAATGCTGGGATTATAGGTGTGAGCCACCATGCCCAGCCTGGTGGTGGTATTTTTTTTTTCTTTTTTTTTTTGAGACGGAGTCTTGCTCTGTTGCCCAGGTTGGAGTGCAGTGGCGCGATCTCGGCTCACTGCAAGCTCCACCTCCCGGGTTCATGCCATTCTCCTGCCTCAGCCTTGGTGGTGGTATTTCTTATCTCTCTTTACTGCTGTTAAATTAAGGAGGTATAGGGGATGGAATAAATATTGCTTTCTGTGTCTTTGGTCAGGGTCTATATTTTTCTCTCCGAGATTTCAAGGGTGGAGTACTTTTATTATATAAATGGTTCTATGTAATCAGGTCTGAGTTTGATTCCTTAAATATTCAGGTGGAAGTACTGAGACACATGTCAACCTTAGATTCAAGTAATAGATCCCACACCTTAGATGTTTCAACACAGCTCAGTTAAGTAGAGGAAGTATACAAAATGAATAAAGGATTTAAAAGCAGTGCTGATACTGGGTATGCTACTGAGAAAAGGAACTACGTAGGTGTATTTCCTCCTGCTAGCTGTAGTTAAAACTGCTAGGTTAAGCCACTGGAGCTCATGGGTCTTCAGAGATGCAGTGTTTTGAATCAGCCACGGAGTAAGAGGAATGTGAGGTGTTATTTGAAGAAAGGACATCATACAGGTGTTTTAGAAAAGATGTTGTAGGAATGGCCAGGCATGGTGGCTCACGCCTGTAATCCCAGTATGTTGGGAGGCCAAGGCAGGTGGATTATTTGAGGTCAGGAGTTTGAGACCAGCCTGGCCAACAGGGTGAAACCCCATCTCTACCAAAAAATACAAAAATTAGTCAGTTGTGATGGTGCATGCCTGTAATCCCAATTACTCAGGAGGCTGAAGTGAGATTTGCTTGAACCTGGGAGGCAGAGGTTGCAGTGAGCTGAGATCGCTCTACTGTACTCCAGCCTGGATGACAGAGTGAGACTCCATCTCAAAAAAAAAAAAACAAAAAAAAAACGTGGTAGGAAAAATAACTCTTAATTAGCTCATTATGTTAGTTGCTAGACTTAGATTATATTCAATTAATGTAATAAGCAAAACGTCATGAAGTATTTTTACCACTGGGTATTTTTATAATTCCTGTGCTCTTCCATCCCCAAAGAGTCAACTATTAGGTGTTAGAGCATCATTCTTTCAACCCCAGATGCTAACTTGGCAGGAGGTGCCCACCGTTTTCTTGGCTATTCTTTGGTTTGGGAGAAATATTAATTCTCCTTCACAGCTGCCATTCAGAAATATCTTAAATTTCAAAATATGTTCAGTAGTAGCCAAGAGGAGCGTGAGGGTGATTTTTACAAACATTAAGAATTACAGTCTAGGCTGGGCACCATGGCTCACACCTGTAATGCCACCACTTTGGGAGGCCGAGGCAGGCGGATCACCTGAGGTCAGGAGTTCGAGACCAGCCTGGCCAACATGGTGAAACCCCGTCTTTACTAAAAATACAAAAATTAGCCGGATGTGGTGGTGGGTGCCTGTAATCCCAGCGTCTCAGGAGGCTAAGGCAGGAGAATCACTTGAACTCGGAAAGTGGAGGTTGCAGTGAGCCAAGATCTTGCCACTACACTCCAGCCTGGGTGACAGAGCGAGACTCTGTCTCAAAAAAAAAAAAAAAAAAAAAGATAGTCCACATCTCAAGCATGTTATACATAGTGACTTCCTTATTCCCTTGCCCTTTGTCAGTATATGTCAATGTTTGGTTGGTGTCCAGCCCTGTCTTAGTGTGAGTACAGGTCACTTTACCAGGCTGTGGACATAATAGGTATGGGGGAAACGGGTACAACTATACATTTAAAAGAAACAAAACGTAAGAAAAGTCCATCTCCTTCCTACTAGCTCCAAGAAATTCCTTTGGTCATCAGAGTGGATTTTGTTAACTTATTTACAATTCCTTTAATCTCAATTTAAAATTAGAAGGATTTCGATGGTCTTATTTATGGACCCAGCAATCCCACTACTGGGTATATATCCAAAGGAAATGAAAAAAATCACCACATCAAAGAGATACCTGCACTCCCATGTTCATTACAGCATTATTTGCAATACCAAGATATGGAAACAACCTTTGTCTTTCAGTGGATGCACGGATAAAGAAAATGTGGTGTTTATTTACAATGGAATATTATCCAGCCTTAAAAATAAGGAAAGCTCACTATTTGCTACGATATGGATGAGCTTGGAGAGGATGTTATGCAAAGTGAAATCAGCTAGACATAGAGTCAAATACTGCGTGATATCACTTATAAGTGGAATTTTTAAAAAGTTGAACTTCTACAGAGTACAATGGTGTTACCAGGAGCTGGAGTGGGAGGTAGGAGAAACAGGAGATGTTGGTCAAAGGGTATACAGTTTCAGTTATGCAGGAGGAATACATTCTGGGGGATCTAACATATAGCCTGGTAACTATATATGATAATGTATGAAATTTGTTAAGAGAATCATCTCAGAATGTATATCAAATCGTGTTGTACACCTTAAATATATACAATTTTTATTTGTCAATTATACCTCAGTAAAGCTGAGGGCAGAGGAGGAGGTGGAGAGTTAGAGAGACTCCTATAGCCTCATTTATGGACCATAATAGAACTCAGTAACAGCTAGAGACTTCATTTTCGGGAGATGGCTGTAGATAGCAAAAGATTTCTGCCAAGATAGTTTTACAATTTCCTCATCACTAGTTTTATTATTTTATTCTTTCGTAAACTAAGAAATATGTTCAGTTTTTTCTTTTAATATTTTTAAATATTAAATCTTATATTTAATTATATCTTAAAACTTTTTTTGGCAGTTGTTTTCTCATTGAAATTATTTATAGACTCTTTTTTTCTTTCTTTTTTTTTTTTTTTTTTTTTTGAGATGGAGTCTCGCTCTGTCGCCCAGGCTGGAGTGCAGTGGCGCGATCTCGGCTCACTGCAAGCTCTGCCTCCCGGGTTCACACCATTCTCCTGCCTCTGCCTCCCGAGTAGCTGGGACCACAGGCGCCCGCCACCAAGCCCGGCTAATTTTTTTGGTATTTTTAGTAGAGACGGGGTTTCACCGTGTTAGCCAGGATGGTCTCGATCTCCTGACCTCGTGATCCGCCTGCCTCGGCCTCCCAAAGTGCTGGGATTACAGGCATGAGCCACCGCGCCCAGCCTAGACTCTTTTTTCTTACCTATATTTAGTTCATTTTTCAAATAGTTCAGGGATATTGTAGAAGCACCCAACTTCCAGACAGAAATTGAAGAAATGTTTCATACAGACAAGGTGAATCAGCCCTAGTGTTGCTTCCCTCTCTTTACTATGTTAACAAGTGTAATAAAAGGTAAATCTATGAGAAATGAAATATAAATGTTTTCATGTTTGATCATTCTTACTATTTAAAAGAAAAAGCATTGGCTTTAGGGCTGACAGCCTGCCAGGATCTGTGGATCTTCCAAAATAGGAGGAGCCAGGTCCTGAATGACATTGTTGAGCAGCTGCACTAATCCTGGATGGATGGACTGACTGCAGACTGGACGTTCTGTTACATGAGGAAAAAAAATGTCTGTTTACCCCAATGCAGGGGTTTTTTTTTTGTTGCAGGTGAAAGCATTCCTAATGATACGTTATCTATGGGGAAAAATTAGCACCACACTTTTCATTGATCTTGTTACTGAGACTTGAAGGGCATCTAGAATATTATGGGGAAATGGAAGCTCTGATCTAGATAATAAATCCACATATGAATGAGAAGGGAGAAACCAAAGTTGCGTATGTGTAATGAGGTGATAGACACAGGCACACTGAGGATTTGCATCTGCAGTTGACCCCTAAATAAAATTGACATTCCATCTCCAGGCTTGGATATACTTAGGCTTCCCTTTTTTGGCAGCTTCTTTTGAAGCTGAACGCTTTTTTGGATCACATCAATAGCACATCCTAATTAGCCAGCTAGGAAAACATTATTAAGAAACCCGAGGCAGGTTCTCAGCACCACAAATTATCCTACGAGGACAACCACAAAGAAAACTTATGTTTCCTTACACACCATGTTTTAATTACTCATTTCCATGTTTATCAGCTGCAGTAATCCAATCTCATTTATAGAAGATTTAAACCTGATGTATTATCGCTTGAATCTGTCTTCACTATCCTCCACCCTGTAAAATACACATGCACATTTCAGCTCACAGGTGCTGATCTTCTGCAGTTTGAACTGGATTTCCATGCTGACTGTACTCATGCATAATTGGGCAAATCACACAAATGCATTGCTCTGAGAGGGCCGCATGATTTACAGCCAAAACAACATCTTAGGAAGTTTCCCATACCGAGGCACCTGAAAAATCAACACAGATTTTGTTCTGTTGAAAAACCAGATTTTATAAAATTGGAGTTAATGCATTTTTAATTCTTATTTTATTGAGCTTTTCTGTAATTTTGTAAAAGAAACTCGTAAGTTTTCAGAAAAGTTTTATAAGCAAATTATCAGAGGTCTTGGGTGACATTAGAAACACAGTGCCAAAGATTCATGTTTGTAAAGATACCAGAAGAAGTCATTCCTTTCATCGAGGACCGGTGCTTAAGCATTTTAGATCCACAGTTTGTGTCTTTGTCACATGGGTTTCTCCTCAGAGTCACGAGTTGCCTGCGGCATGTCCAGGACCCATTGAAGGCAGAAAGAAGAGGAAAGAGGGAGGGCTTTCTCTGACTGAGGTTTTTTGGGGGAGGTAAGCTCTTTCTGGTGACTTCTGCTTTCATCACATCGGAACTGTGTATGTCAACTTCCAGCTGCCTTGGTGGGGGTCTTGTGTTTTTATCAGGGCACACGGCTGCCCTAGAGAGTAATTGGTGTTGTATTAATACAAAAAGAGAGGGCAATGGGTACTGGATTGGCACAACAGTATATGCCATGTTATGCTTTTATTATTTTGTTGATTTTATTTGGATATAATCCTTTTGAAATAATTGCTCCCATCAAAGTGGTAGTACTTCATGTGGCTTTGCTGAAATTTTTTTTTAGTTTCAAAGTTATGAAAATAAACTTAATACTCATTGTATTAGCAAGTAAAGGACAATTGTAATTTTGTTTTCAACTATTGCTGTTGAATGTGATCCATTTTTCTCTGACTCATCTTAGTGTTGTAAACTAGTTAAAAGTCATGCCAAGTTAGGTGTCTATTTCACGGATTTTTAAAACATCATTCCACAGCTTCTTATGAAGCAGCTACTTTTCTAGGGAGAATGGACAGCAAGAGATCAGTGGATGGGAATGATAAGAAATATCCTCTGACCTCAAAGAGCTTCTAATCTGCTGGGTCAAGCGGGAGAGCGGTTGGTAACTATAGTGAAAGGAAGCATGAAACACAAGCTGGATATGGAGGTTAAAGGAAACATTTCTACAAGTCCTGCGGGAAGAGGGTGACAGGACATAAAACAGAGGTAGTGTTATTGTTTAATTTCCATATTTTTAATTGTATTTTTATGAAACTCAATTAGTGTATTACAGAACTTGTCACTTTAGTGAGGAAGGAAAAGGGACTTTATGAGTCAAGGATGTCATTAGAACATGTTAATTCCTCTTAGTTTCTTTCCCTCCTTGTTTTAGAGCTCTGCCAACTCCCAGTGCTTCAAATAGCCACTTTCAGTGGGTGAATATGTTATGGATTTTAGTTTCCCCAAATAAAATATTGTAACCTAATCAAATTATCCACCAGTATGGAAATAAATTCTTAAAAATCAAAGCTTATAGAGCAGACACTGTCAACCTCTTTTCACACATCCTCTGACTCATATCATTCATGTGCACACCCCTTAGAGCGTGGGTGGTTTCTTTTCACATAATTAGAATCATACTGTATGTATTGTTCTGCAACTGGCTTTTCCCCACCTCGTAACAGCTTTTAAAAATTCTTTTCTCCTCAGTATACATGGAATAGTGTTTTTTTTGTTTTGTTTTGTTTTGTTTTTCAGTCAAGGCTGGTACCACCCTTACCTGGGGATTTAAAAAACAAAATATGTGGGAGCATTTTATGGAGGAATCGTTGGCCCAGAATACTAATAGCATCTCATTGAGAAACAATGATATGTGTACTGAAAAGAAATTGAATTTGTCACATAAAAAAAAAGAATGATATGGAAATACCTGCTGTTCTTAGTATTTCTTTAAAAAAATTAAAATAATTTAAAAAATATGATTGTACCTTAAGTATTTTCTTATCAATGGCCAGTGTCTTTACACATCTATTGGTTTGCATGTACAAGAACATAGCACAAACTAGAAGAATTGCTGGGTCAAAGGATATGCATGTTCAAAATTTAATGATGCTCTCGAATCACTCTCCAAAAAGGCTGTACAAAATTGCAGTCCTAATAACAGCATACACATTTTCCCACATCCTTTTCAACACTTGATAGTATCAGTTAATTTTTTTTGCAAGCATATTAAGAAAAAATAAAGTCTTGTTTAAATTTCCATTTTCCTGTCCAAAAAAAGTCTGCAACAGAGTACTTTCAGTTTAATGATAAATGACTAATTTACTCTTAGATATGCAGTTAGTGCTCGTCTGCTCTGGATTCTCTGCTGCCTATTTCATGTTTCAAAAACAGACTCATTTACAAATCAGTCACCTCTTTGGAGTGTCTTTTTAGTCCCATCTGCACAGGGTGTCACACTGATCCTCATTGGCAGGAGTAAATTTTATGAAGAACTATGAATTGGTATTTGCATAGAGGGAGCTGTATTTTCCAAACTGTGGTTGCTACTGCATCACTGGGTTGGTGAAATCAAATTAGGGACAATGAGCAATGTAAACAAAGAAATAGAATATAAAATATTGGAGCGTATCATACAGTAAGGGTAAGACATGTTTCGTGAAACATTTCATATGTATTTGTGTTTTGAATATGGGTTTCTGTGTACATATATATGCATATATCATATGTATACTGCGTGGTGATGTGAAATATCTCTGAGCTATGGAATGCTGGTATGGAGAATCTCAGCTTTAAACATTTATTCAAGGCACAGTTTATTTCTGCCCTGCCTGAGGCAACAGTTTCATACTTGATTGTGGCATTTCACAAAATAAGTTGCCAATCATAACAATACTTTGTGAAAGGTTAAAGACTAAGGCTTTTTTTTTTGAGACGGAGTCTTGCTCTGTTGCCAGGCTGGAGTGTGGTGGTGCGATCTTGGCATCTCAGCTCACTGCAATCTCCGCCTCCTGGGTTCAAGTGATTCTCCTGCCTCAGCCTCCCGCATATCTGGGATTACAGGCACATGCCACTACGCCTGGCTAGTTTTTGTATTTTTAGTAGAGACGGGGTTTCACCTTGTTGGCCAGGATGGTCTTGATCCCTTGACCTCGTGATCCACCCTCCTCGGCCTCCCAAAGTGCTGAGATTACAGGCTTGAGCCACCGTGCCTGGCCAAGACTAAGGCTTTTTAAGAGGAACTTAAATGCTTAGAAATACATGTCACCTAGTTAGACCTGGAAATATAATAGGTGTGGAAAGTCAAATTGTCTTGAGTGCAGAATGAAGAAATGAAGTTTTACACCCTACTAAATTTAATTTCACTGAGCAATTTAATTTTTCCTTGCTCCAGTGCAGTTACTGAACTTGACTCTGTGGTAGCTGTTTAGCTCTGCAGGCAAGAGAATGCAGAGGAAATCCTTGAATTTCAACAGCCTCTCCCTGTGAGTGGGCACAAGTGCAACTGATTATCCAAAAGTAGTTGCTTAAACTAATTTAGACTATTTAGCTAACCTCAATCCCAGTGCCGATCTTATGTTGCTTAGAAAATTACCTGTTGGTGATTATAATAAATGGAGGTAATTAAAATTTTAAAAAGTGATGGAACATTCTGCATGTGGGTGTATTTAATTATCTGGCAGGTGTTCATATTTCTACAGTGTGAAACTTGTGCATAAACAATAGCCTTTCTGTTAGAAATTCTGTTCACACTTTTGTGTTTCTCCCCTTTTAGAGGTAGGTATTTTCAATTGCTTGGAGAATAACAGTGATGATCTAACTAATTTGTTTTGCAGTGTGTGTTTCCTAAGTGGTTATATATTTTTTTGCTTGTTTTACTTCAACTGATTCTAACTTTTCTTACTTGAATTACTCTTATTCAGTAATTGCATCTTCATAAAAAATGATATGAATGGAAACATGATTTTCTAGATTTTAAAGTAATTTTAGAAAAATTGGGCTTTTAAAGTTCTGTGATATAGCCATACCTTAATTTTTTTTTTTTTTTTTTGAGATAGAGTTTCACTCTTGTTGCCCAGGCTGGAGTGTAATGGCGCGATCTCAGCTCACCGCAACCTCTGCCTCCGGGTTCAAGTGATTCTCCTGCTTCAACCTCCCGAGTAGCTGGGATTACAGGCATGAGCCGCCACGCCTGGCTAATTTTGTATTTTTAGTAGAGTTGGGGTTTCTCCATGTTGGTCAGGCTGGTCTCGAACTCCTGACCTCAGGTGATCTGCCCACCTCAGCCTCCCACAGTGCTGGGATTACAGGCATGAACCACTGCACCTGGCCAGCCATACCTTAATTTAAATTTTATAAGGTATTACTGATACATTTTAGCAAAGGTAAACACAAAATAATAAATATTATTTCATCTAGCAAAGAAGATGAAGTGAAAGTTCTTTAAGGACTATCAACCAGAACATAAAATTATTGAATACTAATGTTCTGATACAGTTTCATGGTCTATATTGTTAATAAGAAATAGAAGCAGTATTAACATTGAGTATACTTATTGTGTTACTTTAAATTTAGGTAAAATTATTTAACCCCAAAAAAGTGTGAAATAATTTTATACATATTCAGTCTAATCATATCTTTGTGATGGTATTTTCTATTGATCTCATTTATGTTTGGTCATAATCTGATACCTATTGTGATTTCCAGTGGGCACCTCCTGTCAATGTAACTTTGCTCATGTAAGCGCCTTGAGCTCTTTGCTGGTGGTGAGTGTGATGACTGACATTTCTGTCCTGTAGCTTCTGGAATGTTGTCAGACAGGAGATCCTTCACATGAGTATATGGATAGTATATATGCTCCGGATCCATGTTATTACCCTTATTCCCTTCCTCTTGGAAAACATTCCTTTCCGTTCACCTTCCGTCTAAAGAAGCTGCTGCTACATCTGGAAAGAGGAGACAAGGTTAGGGTTAGGTGATTTCTGAGTGAGCATTGAAGTTTCGTTGTTTCTACAACTATTCTATTTTGTTAACGTGTGTCATAACTTAAAATGATGTAAATGCTAATTAAACCAATTGGCTTGATGAAAGAAGCTTGCATATTACAAAAAGAAAGTCTTATTAGTAGATGTTTAGAAATACAAAGGAAAACTGTCATACCACAGTTTGTGCTCCAAAATTTATTTTGTGAGTTTCTTTGAATAGAATTCTTTGTGTTCCTTAACGTTTTTGCTTTTCCTAAGATTTGACCTCTCCAAATTTAAATAATAAATGGAAAAAGCTTGTCAACATTTAGGTTAAACTGAAGAAATACCAATAAAGGTCAGTTGTAATACATATGCTTTTTTTCTTTGAAAAATATTAGATATTACATTAAGTTGGTTGGCATGTGTAGCTATTAAAGCTTAACAGATGAGTTTTATGGCATGTTATCAAAATACGAGGTAATTTAGAAGAACTTTGTTACGATGAGATCGAACTTGCTTTAATTAAGGAAGACCCAAACACAAAGCCTTATGTGCTGGGGAGGAAGGTCCTCTATCTGCCAAGCTTCTTCACCTATGCCAAATACATTGTGCAAGTGGATGGTAAGATAGGGCTGTTCCAAGGCCCGAGGCCCCAGCTGATGTCCAACGCCCTCTTCACTGTGACCTGGGTAGCATGAAGAAGGCTTTCCCTGTAGATGAGATCTAGCAGGTTTCCAACAAGGGTGATATGAAGACTTCCCTGAAGAAAGTTGTGAAGGAGACCTCCTATGGGATAATGATGCAGTGCGTGTCCCGCATGTTGACCCACCCCCTGCATGTCATCTCAATGTGCTGGATGGTCCAGTTTGTGGGATGGGAAGCCAAGGATAGTGGCGTGCTGAGCTCCATTGGGAAGCTTTTCAAAGAGGAAGGGCTGCTGGAATTTGTTGGATTAATCCCTCACCTCCTGGGTGATGTGGTTTTCTTGTGAGGCTGTAACCTACTGGCCTACTTCATCAGTGCCTACCTGGTGGATGACAGCCTCCACCAGGCCCTGGCCATCCGGAGCCACACCAAATGCTTGACAGGGATTGCAGTGAGCATGCTGACCTACCCCTTCCTGCTAGTCGGCGACCTCATGGCTGTGAACAACTGTGGGCTGCAGGCTGGGCTCCCCCGTTACTCCCCGGTGTTCAAATCCTGGATTCACTGCTGGAAGTACCTGAGTATGTAGGGCCAGCTCTTCCAAGGCTCCAGCCTGCTTTTCCACTGGGTGTCATCAGGATCATCTTTCACCCTGGAGTAACCTGAATCATCTAAAAAACACAGTCTTAACCTGGCCACCATGAGTGAGGCCTGACCATCTCGGGATACCTGCAAGATGACTCCAACCCAACAACAACCAGATGTGCTCCCGCCCAGCCGGGCTTCAGTTTCCATATTTGCCATGTGTCTATCCAGATGTGGAGTTGGGTGGAGGTGAGGCTGCACCCAGTGGATTGGGTCACCTGCCAGACCTGGGAAAGGTTGGGAGAAATGGGGAGTTGGCAGAATCCCCATACCTCCTGGATTTGTTGAGTCTGTCTTGTGCAGAGGGCTGGAGAATGGCTCGTGGGGGCCCAGGTTGGATGGGGAAAGGATAATGGGGTCAGAACCCACCCTATCTACCCCTCCAGTCAGCCCAGAGCCCATCCTGTAGGTCAGCTGGGAGCATCATTCTCCTTCTTCGTAAATAGGGCGTGATCCCCTGGCACACGGCCACCATCATGTCTAGGCCTATGCTGGTAGGCAAATGCTAGGCTCTGCCTGCGTTTTTCTCAACACTACTCTTTTTATATGAGGGCAGCACCTTCCTCTGAATGGGAAATCATGTGACTACTCAGAATGTGTCCTCCTCATCTAATGCTCATCTGTTTAATGGCGATGCCTCACATATAGGATCTGGTTACCTGTGCAGTTGTGAATACCCAGAGGTTGGGCAGATCAGCGTCTCTAGTCCTGTCCAGTTCATAGTAAGATTTGACCCCATCTCCTGCAAATAAATGTATTGATGGTGGAAAAAAGAAAAAAAAAATAGAATTCCCTGGTTTTTTTTTTTGGATGGCTTTATAGAAGGAAATAAGGATATATATTATATATAGGTCCAATTTAAGGAAGATCCATAGAGTATCAAGTTTCAGAATGGCTTCATTGACTTGAGGAAGTAAAGCTATTAAATACAAAGGGTATACGGAATGAGAGTATTCTCTGCCTTTCCTAGTGAGAGACGACTGACTAGATGAAGTGTATAGAGCTGACACCCTCCCAGGCTAGTGGACTGTGAGAGGTTCTGGATGAAAGGTTAAAAGATTGCTTGTTCTTGTCTTTCCACTGATTCTGCTGGTTAGCCTGACACTCACCCTAATGGTGGATGAAGTGTAGCGTATACACTTTCCTGTAATAAACCTGGTGTATCATTTCCCTTGTTCAGCTTCTTGAAGATTATGTGTTGCATAATAACTAAGCCTCTATATACACCTCCTTCTTAATTTTACCAATAAACAAGTTACATTAAAAAGGTATATGAAGGACTACATTTTTATACTAATGCTGTTCAGATATGCTATTTTATAGTTGACTATATTCATTCCTCACCCCCAATCTACTACTCATCTATTGCCTTGCTTTCAAATATTTTCCCAGAAGTTAAAAAAAAAAATTCTTGCCTCTTCTATGCTCTTAGCCCCCAGGAATACAGTATAAGTTCTGAAGATGGAATATAAATTGCTCTTATGATCTGTTACAGTGAGGGCTCCAAGAAAACGACTGCTTTCAGTATTTACACCATTGGGTAGGCCCTTCTTTCTGTGTGTGGCATAAGTCTGAGACTTTAACTGATAAAATCAGCAGAATCGATACTGTGCAAGTTCCAGGCCTAAGCTTTGAGAAGTCCCAGCAATTATATCTAAGAAGTCCAGTTATTTTAGTGGGAGGTCACATGAATGGAGAGAGGCCCTAGGACTACATGCTGGGAGAGACGGAGGCTTGGCCATCCAAGTATCCTACCTGGTCTCGGTCAGCTAAATGCAGCCTTATATGATGGCTGGGGAGGTGAGCAGAAGAACTGTTCAGCTAAGCCTTGCCTAGATTGCAGAATCTTGAGCAAAACAATCCATTGTTTTTTTTTTTTTTTCAGTGTCCGTAAAGTTTTATTAAAACATAGCCATGATCATTCATTTATGATTGTCTATAGCTGTTTTCATTTTTTTAAGCCATTAAGTTTTAGAGTGGTTAGTTATGCAGCAGTAGATAAGTGAAAACACTCCTACATTGATGTTTATTGATAGATGCATTTTAATAACTGCTTAGCAACTGTGTGTGTGTGTACGGTCTGGAAAAGTAAAATATATATTTTGCTAATCAGCTATAAAAATAGGTTCATCAGTGTATTATGTGCTATTTACTAATATAGTTACACCAAGAGGGAAGGAAACAATGAAATTGAAGAGATTTGAATGTCACGCAGCGCTGTTATAATTAAATGCAAGCTTCCATACCATAACTCATTAAAAGTAGTGGTGACTTTGAAAAATTTGGCAACAATTTAAACTGCAAAGTTGAAAGAGAAATGTGTGTAAGAAAATTAGACACCGGTGCAGTGGCTCACGCCTTGTAATCCCAGCATTTTGGGAGGCCGAGGCAGGTGGATCACTTGAGGTCAGGAGTTTGAGACCAGCCTTGCCAACATGGTGAAACCCTGTCTCTAGTGAAAATACTAAAATTAGCCGGGCATGGCGCGCATCTGTAATCCCAGCTACTCGGGAGGCGGAGGCAGGAGAATCACTTGAACCCTGAGGTGGAGGTTGCAGTGAGGCGAGATTATGCCACTGCACTCCAGCCTGGGCACAGAGCGAGTCTCCATCTCAAAAAAAAAAAAAAAAAAGTGAGAAATATTTTTTGATGGGATCAATTTTTTAAGTTCTTTTTCCTCACAAAATTGTTTTCAATTGACATTTCAAGCAAAATGCCTCTGTAGGTTGACTGATTACAAATGTTTTCACTCAAGCACACCGGCTTCTAAATCTGTCTGTAAGCTGCTTTCTTAAAAAAGTGAATAAGCTTAGGAAATAATTATTCCTCAAAGTACACAAAACTCCCGAGCAAGCTTTTGTTTTGTAGACAGATCTGATTCATCAAGAAACATCAAGATAATTGTCACGATTTAAAATTTTGAACGGAACCCAGGAGTCTTGGCTTAAGTATAAAACTTTCTGTTGCTTTCTTGGCATGATGCCTCCAGTTGAATATTTTGTGCTGTACGTTGCTCCATTTTTTTGTTTTGTTTTGTATTTTCGCCCCCAGGACAGGAAACTACAGAACAAAATATATTCATTTTGGTAACCAATGCTGGTCCTTTGGTGATTCACTGTTTTTGGGAGATTAGTACAGAAAGGAGAAGCTGAGAGTTGGATGTTGTGTCCTAGTGGATGCAAATGATGACCAAGATTTTACTCTCCATCACGGATGTTTGTAAAACTGGGAATCACAATTTTGACACATGAAGAACAACATTCACATTAAAGTACTCATGTCTCATAATTCATTTATTTCAGGCAGTAGTGTGTGCCATTTTAATTAAAATTCTTAATGGGCTCAAACAGTTCTTATTTGAATACACCAGTGTTTCCTCCTTGGGACTGTGTGATTGTGTAAAAGTAGAGAAATGTTTTCTTACCAGGTTGTAAGCTGCAGGAGAGCAGAGTCACGTTTCATTTGCTCATGACTGTAAACCCAGAATGGAGGACAGACCCTCACATTTGTAAGTACACACTCAATTTTTTCTTGAATTAATGAATTTAGCTTTTTAATCAGTTTACCCCTCACCCCTTACCCTCAGGAGTTGCTGATTTAGGTAGAACTTCAACAATTCCAGATTGGCAGATTATATTGAGGGAGTTGTGTATTCCTACTTTTTCCTCCATGGATAGTCACTGATTTATTCTACCACATTTCCATGAAGTATTGATAAGAATTTTTTTTTTTTTCCTCGAGACAGTGTCTTGCTCTGCCGCTCAGGCAGGAGTGCTGTGGTGCAATCTGCAGGGGCTTATGCAACCTCTGCCTCCCAGGCTCATATGATCCTCCCACCTCAGCCTCCCAAGTGGCTGGTTGATAAGAATTTTTAATTCAATTACCTGTATATGCTGAGTCTTTTCAATATATTATTTCTAATCCTTACAACAGGTTCTTTGGAGTTAGGGGTTAAAAATATTGGTGTATTTAATTTTCTTGTAATTCCGTATTGAAAACCTATAACAAGGGATTTATGTGGTATGTAACAAGGGATTTGTGTGGTATGTTGAGAATGTTAAGATGTTTCTGGAATTACTGAGTTGGAAGATGCTTGAGTAAGAAAGATGCATTGGAAAGGCTATTGTATTCCTATAATTAGATGACAAGAGGAAATTGTAGGTTCTTGAGAACTTGTACTAAGATTCTATGGTAACTGCTTGTATTTAAGTTTTTCTCCCACCTGAAAGAGTATAAAGAAATGTTGGCTCTAGGTTTATCTTTTTGCTGATTATATCATACACTCATTCATTTAAAACATTTTTAACAGTATACATTGAGCACTTATTTTCTGCCAGACACCTTTTAAATTCTTCAGGTTCTTCAGTGAACAAAAAGACCAAAATTCCTGCTCTGGTGATGTTTGTGGAGGCAGAGAAAAAACACTACAGGCCAGGTGGGGTGGCTCACGCCTGTAATCCCAGCACTTTGGGAGGCTGAGGTGAGTAGATCACAAGGTCAGGAAATCAAGAGTATCGTGGCCAACATGGTGAAACCCCATCTCTACTAAAAATACAAAAATTAGCTGGGCATGGTGGTGCACACCTGTAGTCCCAGCTACTCGGAAGGCTGAGGCAGGAGAATTGCTTGAACCTAGGAGGTGGGGGCTGCAATGAGCTGAGATCACACTGCTGCACTCCAGCCTGGGCAACAGAGCAAGACTCTGTCCCAAAAAAAAAAAAAAAGAAAAAAGAAAAACACTACAATAACAAAAAGTCAATATTATAGTACGTTATAAGGTGATTAGTGCTATAGAACAAATAAAACAGGCTAATGGACATCCAGGAGAGAGAGAGAGGGTTACAATTTTCAGTAGGCCGGGTAGGCCTCATTAAGGTGACTTTTGAGCAAAGATGGGAGAGGAGCCGGAGAACCTTTGTGGTTGAGGGAAAGGCCAGAGTGCTGAGTGCCCGGGGCCCTGTTGCATTGGAGGAATGCATTGACGTTTCAGTGTGGTCCACATTGCTGTCAGATCATGCTGGTGTTTATGGACCTTATTGAAAATGATTATCATATATAACTCTATTATCCTGTCATCAAATCATACAATAACACTAAACAGAAACATCATTAGAACAGAACCACATAGTAAGATGTGACCTGGAAACACTTATTTTGTCTTTTATGGTTTTAAAGGTTTACACACATCATGCTGTGCCTCAGTGACAGATGACTCTTGTTCCAGAATTCCTGGTCAGGCCCCAGAGGCCTTTTAGATGTTTAGGTTTCAAAATTATTGACTCTGTATTCAAGGTCAGAGACCATATAAATCAGCTGTAGGATAAAGGAGTTGAAGTATGTAAAATTCCTTAAATCTGTGCCTATAGATAGTAAGTATTCTACCAATATTAATTGACTCTAGAACAAACATTTTAAGTTAGTAGATACATTTAAAATATGTACCCGTGTAAAAACACATAAACTAAGTTGAAACTTTTATTAAGAAATAATAATTTATCGTTTGTCTCCTTCATTTTGTTTCTTATCACCCTATTTCCTTATCTCTCAGTCCCTGCTCCTTTTAAGTAAAAACCAGATTTTCAGGTAATAACAGTATTAATAACACAGCAATGCCTGTGTCTCTTTTTTGAAAAGGTGGTTTTATTTGTATGTTTTATGTTTTTAAACTTTTCAATACAGATGACTTTTTCAACTATGTGATACTTCAGAAGAAATTGCTTTTTTTTGTTGTTGAGATGGAATCTCGCTCTGTTGCCCAGGCTAGAGTGCAGTGGCACAGTCTCGGCTCGCTGCAACCTCTGCCTCTCGAGTTCAAGTGATTCTCCTGCCTCAGCCTCCTGAGTAGTTGGGATTATAGGCATATGCACCACCACGCTTGGCTAATTTTTGTATTTTTAGTAGACACCAGGTTTCACCATGTTGGTCAGACTGGTCTCGAACTCCTGACCTCGTGACCGACCTTCCTCAGCCTCCCAAAGTGCTGGGATTACAGGTGTGAGCCACCGCACCTGGCCAGAAATTGCTTCTTATTGAATATTATAATTTGAAAATAAGTGTTTTTGAGAATTGTTTTGCAGTCTTGTTCAATGATTTCCTTTTTAAATGACTAATTGTATAAATTTGAGAAGTAAGTTTTGTTTGTAATAAAAAGATACAATTCTCAAATAACCGAAACACTTTTCTGAATCCCAAGATAGAGGCACTTGAGCTGCTTAGCTTTTTTTTTTTTTTTTAATCTTAGATGGAATCTTGCTCTGTTGCCCGGGTGGAGTGCAGTGGCACAGTCTGGGCTCACAGCAGCCTCCGCCTCCTGGGTTCAAGCAATTCTCCTACCTCAGCCTCCTGGGTAGCTAGGATTACAGGCACCCGTCACCATGCCCAGCTAACTTTTGTCTTTTTAGTAGAGATGGGTTTCACCATGTTGGCTAGGCTGGTCTCAAACTCTTGACCTCAAGTGATGGACCTGCCTCAGCCTGCCTAAGTGCTGGGATTACAGGCATGAGCCACCAAGCTGCTTAACTTTTATTGAAAGTGTAAATCCTCCAATTCTGTTAAAATAGTACCTAATTATATCCTAATTTTGATGACTGAGATATATTTATTAAAAGCATACTATTTGTCAGAGGTTCTAAGTGCTAATTCAGGTATGTTTCCATCTTATGCAACACATATAGTATGGGATAAATATTGGCTCTGCTAGTTTTAAAGGTGTACCCTTCTTCAGGTTGATCATTTTTGTTAGACTGAGTTTAATAGTGGATACACATTATTATGTATTTGTCCAGACACATAAAATGTCAACACCAAGAGTGAACCCTAATGTGAACTATGGACTCTGGGTGATAATGACGGGTCAATGTTGGTTCATCAGTTGTAACAAATGCACCACCCCATGGAGGATGTGGATAAAGGAGGAGGCTGTGCAGGTGTGGAAGTAGGGAGGTTGGGATCTGTATCTCCCTCAATTTTACTGTGAACCTAAAACTGCTCTAAAAAAAATAAAGTCTTAGAAAAGGAACTAACGATACCTACAGAATTGTGAGGAGGAAAGATGATGTTGGCAGAAGGCCTAGCACAGTGTTTGACACATAGTAAGCCCTCAGTAAATGGTAGCTGCTGCTAAAAAATATCATCTCACTATCTATCGTATTGGCTTGATCTGTTTTCTTTAAAACATCTTTAAGATGTCTTCTACCTGCTGTTTTAAGCTCATGGTAGGGATAGGTAAGCTTAAAACACCAGCCTTTTGAAAATAACCACTTGTGTTTGATGAGGACGTTTATGAAGCAGATCCAATATTTAAAGGAATCTTAGAGTGAAATACTTTGGGAATGGTTACCCTTTAATTATGGTGTCTTTCTTTGAACTCTCAAGCTTCCTTTGTATGATTTTCTCCCCCCAGCGACCCACCGCCCTTATCTGCATGTGCCTACATCACTGTCTGAACCTTCTTTTGGCTCTCCCTACTAATTACCACCTCCCTCTGCTGCTCGCCCTCTTCACTGCTGTTCTAGTCTTTACATTGTTGACAGACCTGATTCTCTAAAACATCCTTCCACTCTTATTTTCTTAAAATTTACATTGGCTTAAAAAAAACTGAAACAAACAAAAAAGCCAAGTCTGAACTCCTTTGCCTAAACTTCATGGTTCACGACAATCTGGAATAATCATATTTTTTTCTTTATTCAGTTTGACTTTCCATGATTTCTAAACCATTTAGTGGAGACACACATCAACCAACACTGTACATTTCACATGCATTCCTTGAAGCTTTTTTGCCCATGTCATTCTTTCCTCTTAGATGGTTCTTCATCTTCTCTGCCTTAAGTCAACATTTTATAAGGCTGTATTCAAGTTCTATGTTCTCTTCAAAGTCTTTTCCTGACTCATCCAGGTTTTGGTATTTTTTTGCATGTGTGTATAAAATTGCAAATTAATTAGAGAATGTATACAGCCTGAAGTGCTCATTTTAATCTAACACTTGAGGAGAAATATAAATTAAAAATTTTAATTTTTAATTTTTGTGGGTAGAGAAATACAAATTCTTGTAGAATTAGGTATTCTATAACAGAGTCTGGCCAAGTATTGACAACTCAAAAATTTAAGTGATTTGATTCTCTAAACTCTTATTTTTAAAAATTGATTTTTTTTGCATGAATTTGGGAACATAATATGGGTTATAAGAGAAAGTTTAATGAGATGTCACCTGAATTTTTAAAAAGAATTCATTTGTAATAAATGTAACATGATACCTTAAATTTTTTCTTTTTATAGTCTGAAATGATATGTTAGAGAACATGGAAATTTGTTACTTCAGAAAACTTTTTATGTGAGGGAAGCATTGAAATATTTATAGAAATCGAAGAAAATATAGGAGACAGGAGGTGGGGACTGAGAGTGAGGGAATATCTTTTCAGGCAGGAGTAGAAAGGGGCTTCATGTCTTCACAGGCCAGAGGAATTCAGCAAAGAATGAGGGACACTTGATCATTTAAGGGAGGAAGAAAGGTTGGGTGCAGTATTCCTGGGAAGGTAGTGATGGCTTTGGATAGGGCATACTGAAAGCAGAGGAGTTCCCCACTGCCATGATTTTTTTTTTTTTTTTTTTTTTTTGAGACGGAGTCTCACTCTGTCACCCAGGCTGGAGTGCGGTGGCACGATCTCAGCTCACTGCAACCTCTGCCTTCCGGGTTCAAGCGATTCTCCTGCATCAGCCTCCTGAATATTTTTTCTTTATTCAGTTTGACTTTCCATGATTTCTAAACCATTTAGTGGAGACACACACCAACCAACACTGTACGTTTCACATGCATTCCTTGAAGCTTTTTTGCCCGTGCCATTCTTTCCTCTTACATGGTTCTTCATCTTCTCTGCCTTAAGTCAACATTTTATAAGGGTGTATTCACGTTCTGCATTCTCTTCAAAGTCTTTTCCCGACTCATCCAGGTTTTGGTGTTTTCCTCTGTGTATAAAATTGTAAATTAGAGAATGTATACAGCACTAAGTGCTTGTTTTAGTAATCCCATTGAGCTGGGATCCCATTGAACTGGGATTACAGGCACATGCCACCACGCCTGGCTAATTTTTGTATTTTTAATAGAGATGGGGTTTCACCATGTTGGTCAGGCTGGTCTTAAACTCGTGATCTGCCTGCCTCAACTAAGGGGGGCAAGAATCTTCATCAGCTGAGATTGGCTTTGGGGTGGGAGGACTGTTTTGTTTCCCATTAGCTTTTAAATTCTGCTTTTGACCAAGTCTACAATATTTTGGAAACATTATTTTTCAGTTAGAAAACCATTGCCCACTGATGTCAGCAAAGCTGACAATTTGTGTATGTTGAGAGAATTCAGTCTGGTAATGGATCAGCCCATGTGCTTGAATGGATTCAAGATTGAAGGTGGCTTCAGTTTTATCAACCAGTAAATACAGTTGACCCTTGAACAACTGGGGGTGGGGGGTTAGGGGAACCAACCTTGTACATTTGAAAATCTTTGTATAACTTTGACTTTCTGAAAACTTAGCTACTAATGACCTTCTGTTGACCAGAAGCCTTACCAATTACATAGTCAATTGACACGGATTTGCATGTTACATATATACTGTATTCTTACAGTAAGGAAAGCTAGATAAAGGAAAATGTTATTAGGAAAATCATAAAGAAGAGAAAATATATTTACTATTCATTAGTGGAAGTGGATCATCATAAAGCTTTTCATCTTTATCATATTCTGAGGAGGATGAGGAGGAGGAGGGATTGGTCTTGCTGTCTTGGGTGGCAGAGGCCGAAGAAAATCTGCATGTATGTGGGCCCATGTACTTCAAACTTGTGTTGTTCAGGGGTCATTTGTATTTTTTAAATGTCTACTACATGCTAGGGATTTTGATAGGTGCTGTGAAAATGCTGAGAAGTACTAAGAAATTACAGAATAAGTTTGTTTGCCCTAGCCTAAAACTCAGAATAGTTAGGTTCCTTTCACTTTCTAGCTATACCACTTTGTAATGTAAGGGAAGTTTTGCCTTGGGATTTCCCTAACTGTATAATAGAGGGTGCAGACTAGATGGGCACCAAGATGCTATAAGATGGAGAAAAACTAATCCATACTTTTTCTAGACAATATTGACCTATAGATTATTCAGAAGGGGGACATGCTGCAGAAATGTGCAGCGCTTTACCAATTCGCATGTAACACAAAAAGTTCCAAGATAGGCTTGTTTGCAGCTCTCCATGAGATTATAGTCTGTGCAATACGATGATGAGAATTTTGAAATACTGATAGAACTTTATCAGGTATTTATGATAAAATACAGCATTGTGGAGAAAAGCTGCATTTTGTAAAAAAAAAAAAAAAGCTAAAATTTGAAAAATGGTTTGTAAGAATGAGAAGGTTATTTATATACATATACATCAACTTTTTTTTTTTTTTTTTTTTTTTTTTTTGAGACTGAGTCTCACTCTGTCCCCTGGCTAGAGGTGCGACCTTGGCTCACTGCAACCTCTGCCTCCCAGGTTCAAGTGATTCTTCAGCTTCAGCCTCTCAAGTAGCTGGGACTACAAGTGCGTGCCACCACGCCCAGCTAATTTTTTTTTTTTTTTGAGACGGAGTCTCACTCTGTTGCCCAGGCTGGAGTGCAGTGGCCCGATCTCGGCTTACTGCAAGCTCTGCCTCCCAGGTTCATGCCATTCTCCTGCCTCAGCCTCCTGAGTAGCTGGGCTACAGGCGCCCACCACCATGCCCAGCTATTTTTTTTCTTGTATTTTTAGTAGAAGACGGGGTTTCACCGTGCTAGCCAGGATGGTCTCGATCTCCTGACCTCGTGATCCACCTACCTCGGCCGCCCAAAGTGCTGGGATTACAGGCGTGAGCCATTGCGCCCAGCCATACATCAACTTAAAAAAAAAAATCAATGAATAAAAGTTGTTATAGGGGAATTATTTATTTTGTGGCAAATGAAATATACTTTATACCAAATTCTCAAGTTTTTAGATAATGTGTTTTATCTTTAAGATATTTTCAGGGAATATCTATAATTGCTCCCAGGAGTAGATAGAGAAAAGAAGTAATTTGACAGTGCTTCCAGATGGCTCTTAAAAAAATAATACATTCCTTCAAGTTCTTGATTCCTAATACTATGGATTTTGTTGTATCTCCAAACAAATCAAGTAATTCTGATGTAAGTATGAAGCTGCTGTAACCCAGATTTACCTTTATTAAAACAGATGGTACAAAAAAAGAAGAAAAGTATTTTACCATCCCCTTTGGGCACAAAGCTCAAACTTATTTATCCCCATCCAAAGGCAGTTTCTCTCTGGTTTGGCCTGACTTCTGGGAGCCCAGAACTCTTAAAAGATGTTTTCTTGAAAATAGTGAGCTCTTTTCTTGTCTGTCCTAGTATTCTTGGCCGAGTTTCCTGTATTCTGGCTGCTCCTACTCATTAATATGCAGCTTGATCCATAGTGGCTGGGAAGACAGCAGAGGGTTGGAAGTTAGTGCAATGAAAGCTCCTATGCGGGCTTTCTGAGGAAAGATGCAAATGTACCCAGGAATAGTGTACCCAAGTTTCATTTTCTCAGGTCAGTTGAATAATCGAAGCTTTCAACAGATTTAAATAGAAAGTTTCTTTTTTTCTTTTTCTTTTGATGTAGATTCAATTAGGACTTAACTTTCCTACCTCCTTGACAGTAAGTATACTTTTCTTGTTGACAATAAAATGATTAATTAAGTATTGCAGGTATCTTTTTAATTTTTAATTTTTGTGGGTGCATAGTAAGTGTATATGTTTATGAGGTACATGAGATGTTTTGATACAGGCATGCTATGCATAATAATCACATCATAGAAAATGAGCTATCCATCCATTCCTCAAGCATTTATTCTTTGTGTTACAAACAATCCAATTATACTCTTTTAGTTTAAAATGTACAATTATTGACTATAGTCACTCTGTTGTGCTGTCAAATACTATGTCTTATTCTTTCTATTTTTTTATACCTATTAACCATCACCCACCCACCCCACTGCCCTTCCCAGCTTCTGGTAACCATCCTACTCTTCTATCTTCGTGAATTCAATTGTTTTAATTTTTAGATCCCATAAATAAGTGAGAACATGTTATGTTTGTCTTTCTGTGCCTGGCTTATTTCACTTAACATAATGACCTCTAGTTCCATCCATGTTGTTGTAAATGACAGGATCTAATTCTTTTTAATGGCTGAATAGTACTCCATTGTGTATAAGTACTACATTTTAAAAATCCATTCATTTGTGGTTGCTTCCAAATCTTGGCTACTATGGACAGTGCTGCAACAAATATGGCAGATATCTCTTTGACAAACAGATTTTCCTTTATTTTGGGTATATACCTAGTAGTAGGATTGCTGGATAATATTGTAGTTCTATTTTTAGATTTTTGAGGAACCTCCAAACTGCTCTTCATAGTGGTTGTACTAATTTACATTCCTACTAACTGTACGAGGGTTCCCTTTTCTCCCCATCCTCTGCAGCATTTGTTATTGCCTGTCTTTTGGAAATAAGCCATCTTAACTGGGGTGAGATGATATCTCATTGTAGTATTGATTGGTGTTCTCTGATGATCAGTGATGTTGAGCACCTTTTCATATGCCTGTTAGCCATTTGCATGTCTTGTTTTGAGAAATCTTTTGCCCATTTTTTAATCGGATTAGATTTTTTGCTGATAGAGGTGGGTTCCTTACATATTCTGGTTATTAATCACTTGTCAGATTGATAGTTTGCAAATATTTTCTCCCATTCTGTGGGTTGTCACTTCACTTTGTTGATTGTATCATTTACTGTGCAGAAGCTTTTTAACTTGATGTGATCCAATGTGTTCATTTTTGCTTTGGTTGCCTATGCTTGTGGGGTATTGCTTGAGAAATTTTTGCTCAGACCAATGTTCTGGAAGGTTTTCCCAATGTTTTCTTGTAGTAGTTTCATAGTTTGAGGTCTAAGATTGAAGTCTTTAATCTTTGATTTGATTTTTGTATGTGGTGAGAGATACGGGATCTAGTTTCATTATTCTGCCTATGGATATCCAGTTTTCCCAGCGCCATTTATTGAAGAGACTGTCCTTTCCCTAACATATTTTTGGCACTTTTGTAAAAAATGAATTAACGGTAGATGTGTGGATTTGTTTCTGGTTTCTCTATTCTGTTCCATTGGTCTGTGTGTCTATTCAAAACTGTGCTGTTTTGATTACTCTGTAGTATCATTTGAAGTCAGGAAATGCGTTTCCTCTAGTTTTGCTCTTTTTGCTTAGGATAGATTTTGCTATTCTGGGTCTTTCATGGTTCCATATAAATTTTAGGATTGTTTCTTCTATCTCTGTGAAGAATGTCATTCATATTTTGATAGGGATTGCATTGAATCTGTACATTGCTTTGGATAGTGTGAACATTTTAACAATGTTGATTTTTTCCAATCCATGAACGTGGAATATTTTTCCATTTTTTTGGTGTCCTCTTCAATTTCTTTCATCAGTATTTTATTGTTTTCATTATAGAGATCTTCAACTTCTTTGGTTAATTCTTATGTATTTGATTTTCAGTGTGGCTATTGTGAATGGGATTACTTTTAAAATTTCTTTTTCAGATTGTTCACTGTTGGCATATAGAAATGCTACTGATTTTTTTATGTTGATTTTGTGTCCTGCAACTTTACTGAATTTGCATACCAGTTCCAATAGTTTTTTGATGGTCTTCAGTTTTTTCTGAATATAAGATTCTATAATCTGCAAACAAGGAGAATTTGACTTCTTCCTTTCCAGTTTGGATGCCCTTTCTTTCTTTCTCTTGTCTGATTTCTCTAGCTAGGACTTCCAGTACTATGTTGAACAACAGTGGTGAAAGTGGGTATCCTTGTCATGTTGCAGATCTTAGAGGAAAGCCTTTTACTTTTTCCCTGTTCATTATATTAGCTATGGGTCTGTTGTATGTGGCATTTATTATGTTGAGGTATGTTCCTTTTATACCGAGTTTTTTTGAAGGTGTTTATCATGAAGGGATGTTGAATTTTGTCAAATACTTTTTCAGCATCAATTGAAATGACCATATGTTTTTTTTCCTTCATTCTGTTGATGTATTTTTTTTTTTTTTTTTGAGACAGAGTCTCACTATGTCGCCCAGGCTGGAGTATAGTGGCACTATCTCAGCTCACTGCAACCTTCGCCTCCTGGGTTCAAGTGATTGTTCTGCCTCAGCCTCCTGAGTAGCTGGAATTACAGGCCTGCACCACCACACCTGGATAATTTTTTTTTTTTTTTTTTTTTTTAGTAGAGACGGCATTTCACTATTTGACCAGGCTAGTCTCGAGCTCCTGATCTCAAGTGATCTGCTCACCTCAGCCTCCCAAAGTGCTGGGATTACTGGCGTGAGCCACTGTGCCTGGCCTCTAATGTATTGTTGAGGTCAGTTTGCTAGTATTTTATTTAGCATTTTTGCATCAATATTCTTCAGAGATATTGTTCTGTAGTTTTTTGTTTGTATGTTTTTGTTTTTGTTTTGATGTGTCTGTGTTTTTGGTATCAGCATAATACTGGCTTCGTAGAATGAGTTTGGAACTATCCCTCATTCTCTATTTTTCAGAATAGTTTGAGTAGGATTGGTATTAATATTAGTTCTTCTTTAAATGTTTGGTAGAATTCAGCAGTTAAACCATTGGGTCTTGGGCTTTTGTTTACTGGGAAAGTTCTTTGATCTCATTACTTCTATTGGTCTGTTCAGGTTTTGGATTTCTTCATGGTTCAATCTTGGTATTGTATATTTCTTGGAATTTGTCCATTTCTAGATTTTCCAATTTATTGGCATATAATTGCCCATAGTAGCCACTAATGATCCTTTGAATTTCTGCAGTACCAGTTGTAATGTCTCATTTTTCATATCTGATTTTATTCATTTGGATCTTTTCTTTTCTTAGTCTGGCTAAAGGTTTGCCAATTTTGTTTCACTTTTCCAAAAAACCAACGTTTTGTTTCATGTTTTCATGATTCCAAAAATACAACATTTTGTATTCTTGATTTCAATTTTATTTCTGCTCTGATCTTTTATTATTTCTTTTCTTCTAGGAATTTTGGGTTTGGTTTGCTCTTGCTTTTCTAATTAAGATGTATTGTTAGGTTGTTTATTTGAAGTTTTTTTTTTTTTAATGTAGGTACTTGAGGTAGCTATAAACTTTCCTCTTAGCACTGCTTTTGTTGTATCCCATAGGTTTTGGTGTGTTGTATTTCCATTATCATTTAAGAAATCCTTCAATTTCATTCTTAATTGCTTCATTGACCCACTGGCCATTCAGAAGCATGTTGTTTAATTTGCATGTGTTTATATAGTTTCCAAAATTCCTCTTCTTATTGATCTCTAGTTTTTATTGTGGTCAGAGATGTTTGATATTACTTTTTTTTTTTTTGAATGTTTTAGGACTTGTTCTGTGACCTAACATATGGTCTATCCTTGAGTATGATCCATGCGATAAGGAAAAGAATGTGTATTCTGCAGCCATTGGATGCAATGTTCTGTAAATATCTCTTAGGTCTATTTGGTCTACAG
The DNA here is from genome assembly GCF_000001405.40 of Homo sapiens. NCBI lineage: Eukaryota > Metazoa > Chordata > Mammalia > Primates > Hominidae > Homo > Homo sapiens. Next base: position 138,634,679 of record NC_000006.12, on the reverse strand, counting down.
TGCAGATTAAGTCCAGTGTTTCTTTTTCTGTGTGGACAAACTGTCTAATGCTGAAAGTGGGGTGTTGAAGTCTCCAGCTATTATTGTATTGGGATCTCTCCCTTTTTAGCTCAAATAATATTTACATATCTGGGTGCTTCAGTGCTGGGTGCGTATATGTTTAAAATTGTTATATCCTCTTGCTGAATTGACACCTTTATCATTATATGGTGACCTTCTTTGTCTCTTATAGTTTTTGTCTTGAAATCTGTTTTGTCTGATGTAAGTATAGCTACTCCTGCTCTTTTTGTTTGTTTTTGTTGGCATGGAATATCTTTTTCTATCCATTTATTTTTGGTCTATGTGTGTCTTTGTAGGTGAATTGTGTTTCTTGGAGGCAACCGATTATTGAGTCTTGTTTTTTATCCATTCAACTGCTCTCTGTCTTTTGATTGGAGAGTTTAGTCCATTTACATTTCAAAGTTATTGATAAATAAGGACTTACTCTTGCCATTTTGTTGTTTTCTGGTTGTTTTATGGTCTTCTCCTTCTTTCTTTCCTTCCTGTCTTCCTTTCAGTGAAGGTGATTTTCTCTGGCGATATGATTAGTTTCTTGCTTTTTATTTTTTGTGTATCTTTTATGTTTTTGGTTTGAGTTTACCATAAAGCATGTAAATATTATAACCCATTATTTTGAGCAGATAACTTAACACTTTGCATAAACAAGCAAAAATGAAACTAATAAAAACTCTATGTCTTAACTTTATCCCCCTGCTTTTTAACTGTTTGTTGTTTCTATTTATATCTTATTATACTTTGTGTCTTGAATAGTTGTAGTTATTTTTTGTTTGGCTCATTGTTTAGTTTTGCTACTTAGAATAAGAGTAGTTTACACACCACAGTTACAGTGTCAGAATATTCTGTGTTTTTCTGTGTGCTTACTATTACCAGTGAGTTTTGTACCTTTAGGTGATTTCTTATTGCTCATTAACTTCCTTTTCCTTCTGATTGAAGTTTTCCCTTTAGCATTTCTTGTAGAATAGTTCTGGTATTGAAATCCGTCAGCTTTTGTCTGGGGACGACAAATTTCTTTCTCCTTTATGTTTGAAGAATATTTCACCAGGTATACTATTCTAGGGTAAAAGTTTTTTCCTTCAGCACTTTAAGTATGTCATGCCACTCTCTCCTGGTCTGCAAGGTTTCCACTGAAAAGTCCACTGCCAGATGTATTGGAGCTCCATTGTATGCTGTTTCTTTTTCCTTGCTGCTTTTAGGATCTTTTCTTTATCCTTTGGGAGTTTATTAACTGCCTTGAGGTGGTCTTTTTGGGTTAAACCCACTTGATGTTCTATATAACCTTCTTGTACTTGGCTAGTGATATCTTCATCTAGGTTTGGGAAATTCTCTGTTATTATCCGTTTGAATAAATTTTCTGCCCCTGTCTCTTTCTCTACCTCCTCTTTAAGGCCAATATACATTTGTCTCTTTGAGGCTATTTTTTGTAAATCCTGTAGGCATGCTTCATTGTTCTTTATTCTTTTGTCTCCTCTGTGTATTTTCAAATAGCCTGTCTTCAAACTAATTCCTTTTTCTGCTTGATCAGTTCTGCTATTAAAAGACTCTGATGCATTCTTCAGTAGGCTAATTGCATTTTTTATCTCCAGAATTTCTGCTTGATTATTTTTAATTATTTCAATCTCTTTGTTAAATTTGATAGAATTCTGATTCCTTTTCTGTGTTATCTTGAATTTGAGGTTTCTTAAAAAAGCTATTTTGAATTTTCTGTCTGAAAGGTCACATATCTCTTTCTCCAGGATTGGTCCCTGGTGCTTTATTTAGTATATTTGGTGAGGACATGTTTTCCTGGAATGTCTTGATATTTAAAGATGTTTGTCTGTGTCTGGGTATTGAAGTGTTAGATATTTATTGTAGTCTTTGCAGTCTGGGCTTGATGTACCAATGCTTCTTGGGAAGGCTTTCCAGATATTCAAAAGGACTTGGGTGTTGTGCTGTAAGCTGTGAGTGCTTTAGGGGGCATACCAAGCCCAGTAATACTGTGGTTCTTTCAGACTCGTAGAGGTAACACCTTGATGATTTTGGACAAGATCTGGAAGAATTCTTTGCATTACCAGGCAGAAACTCTTGCTCTCTTCCCTTTCTCCCAAAAAAGGTTCCTCTTTCTGTTCTGAGCCACCTGGTTGGGGGTGGAGTGACACAGCACCCCTTTGGTTACCATCTACTAGGACCGCGCTGGGTCAGAACTGAAGTCAGCCTAGCAGTGGGTCTCACCCAAGGCCTGCTGTAACTACTCTCTGGCTACCACCTATGTTCACTCAAGGCCTTGGGGTTCTACAATCAGTAGGTGGCAATGTGGGCCAGGCCTGTGTCCTTGCCTTCAGGGTGGCAAGTTTCCCCAGGCTCTGGATGGGTCCAGGTGCTGTCTGGGAGTCAGGGACTGGAGTCAAAAACCTTACAAGTCTACCTGGTGTTCTAATATACTGTGGCTCAACTGGCACTCAAACCACAAGACGCAGTCCTTCCCACTTTTCCCTCCCCTTTCCCAAGGCAGAGGAGCTTCCTCCCATGGGCATTGCCACCACAGGCCCACGGACAGTACTGCCAGACTACTGCCAATGTTCTCTTAAGGCCCAAAGGCTCTTCAGTGAGCTAGTGATGAATGCTGCCTGGCCTAGGACTTGCCATTCAGGGCAGTGGGTTTCTCTCTGGCCCAAGGCAGGTCCAGAGATGCTGTCCAAGAGCCAAGTTCTAGAATCGGGGACCCCAAGAGCCCACTTGGTGCTCTACCTCCCCGTGGCTGAGATGGCACCTGAGATGCAAGTCTAAGCCCTCTTTACTTTTCCCTCTGCTTTTCTCAAGCAGAAGGAGCCTTGCCCCTTAGCCACCACAGCTGAGAATGTGCTAGGTCATACATAACTGAAACCTACGAGTCTCAGAGGCTCACCAAGGCCCTTGAGGTAGTACCTAGGTATAGCTGCTGGTTGTTTAGGGCCCAAGGGCTCTTCAGTTAGCAGGTGATGAATTCTGCCAGGAGTAGGTCCTTCCTTTCAAGGCAACAAGTTTCCTTCTGGCCCAGGGTGTGTCTAGAAATGTTGTCTTGGAGCTAGGGCCTGGGAAGGGGGCCTCATGACTTTGACCGTTGCCCTATTCTGCTGTGGCTGACCTGGTATTCAAGATGCAAGACAATGTCCTCCTCACTGTTCTCTCTCCTCACCTCAAATGGAAGGAAGGGGTCTCTTTTGGATCCATGAGCTGTGCAGCCTGGCATTAGGGGAAGGGTAATGCCAGCACTCTTAGCTTCCCCAGTTGGTGTCCCAGTAGTTCACATGCCCTGTCTAGTCCTCTGGCTCTGGGCCTAGTCCAGCACGACTTGCCTAGAAGTTGTAGTCTTTGTGGCCTAGTCTGCCTTAACGTTTATGGTGAGCCCCAGAGCACTTTAGCTCGTGGTGGTGAGGCTTGCAGTAACTCAAGATCTGACCGCTGGAATCGGTGATTCCCCTCTGTCTAGAGTTGGTTTAAATGCTCCCTGCGTGGGCGGGCGTCAGCTGAGTTTGGTCCGGATTTTCTTTCTGCTATAGCAGAGCAGCACTGAGTTCAGTGCCTCACAATTGCTGACTTTCCCTCTCCCCAGAGCACAGGAACACTGTCCATACCACGCTGCCACTGGGGGATGGTGGAGGGATGGCATCTGTGATTCAAGACTTTTTCCTACCTCCTCAGTGTTTCTTTCTGCTGATATGAAGTTAAAACCAGGTACTGTGGGTGCTCACCCAATTTTTGGTTCTTATGAAGTTGCTTGTTTTGTATAGATAGTTGTTAGATTGGTGTTTTTGCAGGACGATGGGTGGAGCCTTCTATTCCACCATCTTGCCTTGCCCCCTTCCCATTGCAAATTTCTTAGCTCAAGCATATTTAGAGAGTGACAAATACTAAGTTGTTTTAGGAATTGCTGTCAGCAATTTAGCTAAAATGAAATTGATTATAAAAATGGAAACTTAAGGCTGGGTGCGTTACTCACGCCTGTAATCCCAGCATTTTGGGAGGCCAACACGGGCCGATCACCTGAGGTTGGGAGTTCGAGACCAGCTTGGCCAACATGGAGAAACCCCATCTCTACAAAAAATACAAAGTTAGCCAGGCATGGTGGCGCACGCCTTTAATCCCAGCTACTCGGGAGGCTGAGGCAGGAGAATCACATGAATCAGGGAGGCGGAGGTTGCGGTGATCTCGGCTGGGCACTCTAGACTGGGCAATAAGAGCGAAACTCCATCTCAGTAAAACAAACAAACAAAAAAACACGAGAAACTTCAAACTTCAGAAGAGTTTTCCTTTAAAGCATATTGAAAAAAACCACATTTAGATATTCATCCAAGGGTAAATTATTTCATTCAAAGGTGGTTTTGAAAAAAATAATCAACGTATGTAGTTTACAAGGCTTCACAGTGTGATTTTTTTTTTTTGGTGGGAGTGGGCGGGGAGACAAGGTCTTACTCTGTCGCTCAGGCTGGAGCTGCAGCATGGCTTACCGCAGCCTCTAACTCCCAAGCTCAAGCGATCCTCCCACCTCAGCCTCCCAAGTAGCTTAGACTGCAGGCATGTGCCACCATGCCAGGGTAATTTAAAAAGATTTTTTGTAGAGACAGGGTCTCACTGTGTTGCCCAGGCAGTTCTCAAACTTCTGGCCTCAAGCCCAGCCAGTTAGTGTAAATCTTTTAATCAAAACTTTGGTTTGTCTACTTTGGGGGAAGTAATTGTGTACTACTAAAAAAATCTGAAAAATATGTAATGTGTTATTTCTGTAGACTATACAACTTTATGAAGCCTGGTTTTGTAGAAATCAATTTCTACTTACTATGTGTTTGCTTATTAAGGTTTGAAGCTTCACATATGGTTAGAAAGAAATCCACTTACCACAAATGCCTTCTGTAACAATTGCCACAACAACTAAATCTGTGCATTAAATTCAGGCATTTGCTTCTCTTTAAGAAATACTGATGTAAGGCCGGGCGTGGTGGCTCACGCCTGTAATCGCAACACTTTGGGAGGCCAAGGTGGGTGGATCACCTGAGGTCAGGAGTTCAAGACCAGCCTGGCCAACATGGTGAAACCCCATCTCTATTAAAAATACAAAAATTAACTGGGTGTGGTGGTGCACTCCTGTAATCCCAGCTACATGGGAGGCTGAGGCAGGAGAATTGCTTGAACTTGGGAGGCGGAGGGTGCAGTGAGCCGAGATCGCGACACTGCACTCCAGCCTGGGCAACAAGAGCGAGACTCCGTCTCAAAAAAAAAAGAAAGAAAGAAAGAAAGAAATACTGATGTAAAATTATTGGGCAACAAATAAATTTGGTGCTTTCAGGACATAATAGGATATGACCGTCATTGAAATAATTAGTAGTGAAGATTCCTTGCTTCCTCATTTACAGCTCAGTTGTCCAACATAGTAGCTTCTGGAAGAGCTGATGGGAAAGCAGCAGATACCATTGTCTCCCTCTCGGAGGATAACTTTATTCAGTTACATTATAAGGAGAATATTCCTATGTGTACAGGCGGCAGAACTTAAGATTATTTGAATTTCAGCACTTTTTTTGAGGTTGCAACTATGGAAGAAAACTGTGCTTTATTGGAATTCTGCCTGTGCCTCTCAGAGGCTGGCGTGGAATGACTGAAAGTAGTTGAGCACCATAGTGACATGTCTAATGTTTTCTTCTCAGTCTTGTCAGTGTTCTGATAAAAATTGTTGAGTTTATTCAGTATTTATTCATCCCATCGATATTTACTAAATGCCCAGTTATGTGCAAGGGACCAAATTTTCTTGGAGTTATTTGAGTCTGTAGTAAGCATTTCTGCTAACAAGCGTGGTTTCAAATAAATTTTAGTCTTGGTTAGTGGTTACTGCGGAAAAGAAATGGAGGAACTTTTTAATTTTCTTTTTGAAACAGGGTCTTACTCTGTCACCCAGGTTGCAGTGCAGTGGTGCAATCTCAGCTCACTACAACCTCCACCTTCCAGGTTCAAGCGATTCTCCTGCCTCAACCTTCCAGGTACCTGGGATTACAGGTGGAACATTTTTAAATTAATAATCCAGAACCAGTATTTCTGGTCACATGATTGAATAATTCTCATGAGTACTCAGGGTAAAATACTGAAATGGAATTTGCTTAACCAGGGTAGGATGCAGTATTACAAAGTGTGAAGATAAAGCTATCGTCTTCAGCTCCATACAGTAACTCAAAATTGCCTTGCCGTTTGTAATGCCAAACATTAACATGCTTCCCAAAATATGCATATTAAAGATGGAATATAGGAAATCATGAATATGGATCATAATGGATCTATGGATATACCACTTTTTTTCTTTTTTTTTTTTTGAGATGGAGTTTCACTCTTGTTGCCCAGGCTGGAGTGCAATGGCAGACCTCAGCTCACCGCAACCTCCGCTTCCCAGGTTCAAGCAATTCTCCTGCCTCAGCCTCCCAAGTAGCTGGGATTACAGGCATGTACCACCATGCCTGGCTAATTTTGTATTTTTAGTAGAGATGGGGTTTCTCCACATTGGTCAGGCTGGTCTCGAACTCCCAACTTCAGGTGATCCACCCACCTCGGCCTCCCAAAGTGCTGGGATTATAGGCATGAGCCACCTCGCCCGGCTGGATATACGTTTTACGTATATGTGTGTATGTATTTGAAAACTTAAAAGTAACTTTGAGCTTTTCCAGATAAAATATGTTGACAAGAATATTTTAAATAAGCTGTAGAGTTCATATAAATAAATTTTTTAAATTTTTTTTATTTTTATTTTTAGACGGAGTCTTGTTCTGTCGCCCAGGCTGGAGTGCAGTGGCACAATCTTGGCTCACTGCAACATCTGCCTCCCAGGTTCAAGCGATTCTCCTGCCTCAGCCTCCTGAGTAGCTGGGATTACAGGCGCCCGCCACCACGCCCAGCTAATTTTTTATTTTTGGTAGAGACAGGGTTTCACCATGTTGGCCAGGCTGGTCTCAAACTCCTGACCTCGTGATCCACCTGCCTCAGCCTCCCAAAGTGCTGGGATTACAGGCGTGAGCCACCGCGACTGGCCATAAATGAATTTCTTATATCTGGTATACTACTGATATATTTGAATACTATGAAAATTTAGATTTTTTTTCTGACGATTAAAGAAGCTTTAGTTTATATATACCAAATGTATGATGTGTGCGTGAGACAGATGTTTTGTCCTAATATAAATTCAACAATGTATTAATAGTTGAGCCACTACCACAATAGTAGTCTATAATGTTAATACAGTGGATATTACAATTATTTACAAAGAAGAATACATTCAGGAACATTCTATTAAGTACTATTGTTGGTACATATAAAAAAACTTTTTGTGTATTAATTATTCATCCTTAAAACATAGACCAAAAGCAGTGGTTTCTTGATTATAGTAACCTATATAAATTGACAGACTGTGTGGTAGGTAGCTTGAGAATTTAATTTTCTAGGTGTAGAATTTAATCCTCTTCCTTTTGGGAACAGGTTTGACATAGTTTGGTATTTTTGCAGAGAGCAGTGTTGCATAGAGAAGACAATTTCTCATCAACATCTCATTAATCCTATTATTTCCCTTAGAATAGAAAGAAATGGCAAATGTTCTAAATTGTTTTAGGTGTTTTATGTGCAGCAGAATTTTAGACTTTCAATAAGAAGGTGTATATGATATACAGTAATGTTTTTGTTTAGTCTTGATTGCTTATAGTGGTAGTTACAATTTTTTTTTTTTTTTTTTTTTTTTTTTTTTTTTGAGACGGAGTCTCGCTCTGTCGCCCAGGCTGGAGTGCAGTGGCGGGATCTCGGCTCACTGCAAGCTCCGCCTCCCGGGTTCACGCCATTCTCCTGCCTCAGCCTCCCAAGTAGCTGGGACGACAGGCGCCCGCCACTACGCCCGGCTAATTTTTTTGTATTTTTAGTAGAGACGGGGTTTCACCGTTTTAGCCGGGATGGTCTCGATCTCCTGACCTCGTGATCCGCCCGCCTCGGCCTCCCAAAGTGCTGGGATTACAGGCGTGAGCCACCGCGCCCGGCCTACAATTTTTTTTAAGAAAGTTTCTTGATTATATAAACAATATTTGCTAATGCTGAGAATCTGGAAAATGTAGAACTTACCATGGGCTCGAAGAGGTGTTTTTACTTTTTAAATTCTGTGTTTTAATGGATGCAAATGCCTTCTTAATATTTACTTAAAGCTATGCCGTCACAGAGAAAAGTCAAGTGTGTCTGATGATTTAGTAAAATTTATGGACTACATAATCAACCTATCTACCACTGTTAACAGTGAGAAAATGTCTGTGGCTCTTTCAAGATTTTGCTTTGCGAGGGAAGAGACTCCTGTATTAACATTCTACCTAAAGAGTTTGTTTCCAAAAGCTAAGTGAGGTTTTAGAATTCAAGCAAGTGGACTGATCAGGCAGGACTGGATGGTTGTTTCCATATGTGCTTTCACTGATTTGTTGGCTAGGAAGACAGGTGGAATAATTTGGACACCTCAGTGCCAGGGATCATTTGATCAATTAAAACCAAGCTGTCCAGAGACAGCCTTCTGCCTGTTCTTGAGTCTAACAGTGGATTTTTATAGCCAGTAATGCCTCAGTGCAGGAACAAGAAGCTGGACTGAAGGCAGAAGAAAAACTCAACAGTAGTTTTCCATTGAGAAAAGCTAAGATAAGGAAACAACTTTCATTCAACAAATACTTTCGGTTGGGTGTGGTGGGTCACACCTGTATTCCCAGCACTTCGAGAGTCCTAAGCAGGAGGATTGCTTGAGGCCAAGAGTTTGAGACCCACCTGGGGAACAGGTGAGACCCTATCTCTACAGAACATTTATAAAAATTAGCTGGGCATGGTGGTGTGTGCCTATAGTCTTAGCAGCTAGGAAGACTGAGGTGGGAGGATCTTGAGCCCCGGAGTTTTAGGCGGCAGTGAGGTGTGATCACTGCACTGCATTCAAGTCTGGGTGACAGCAAGACTTTGTCTCTAATTTTTTTTTTTTTTTTTTTAATTAAAAAAGCACAAAAACAAGTACTTTAGAGCTCATACTGTACTCATGGCACTATACTATTCTTCAAGAATATATAAAGAGAAAATAAAATTGCTACTGTCTAGGAAGGGGAGATAGTAGTTACCCAGTAAGGAGTGGTGATAAGTTCTAGACCAGAAGTGTGAAAAAGACCTAAACGCTGGAAAAGCAATGTCCAGCTGTAATCAAGAAACATAGCAAATTAACAGTTCACACTTTGGGAGGCCAAGGCGGGTGGATCACTTGAGGTCAGGAGTTTGAGACCAGCCTGGTCAACATGGTGAAACCCTGTCTCTACTAAAAATACAAAAATTAGTCAGGCGTGGTGGCGCACACCTGTAGTCCCAGCTACTCAGGAGGCTGAGGCACGAGAACCGCTTGAACCTGGGAGGCGGAGGTTGCAGTGAGCTGAGATCACACACTGCACTCCAGCCTGAGTAACAGAGCAAGACCCTGTCTCAAAAAAAGCAAAGCAAAACAAAGCAACAACAACAAAAAAGTGTTAATTGATGATTTAATTATTTAAATTAATTATATCTTTGTAAATTAATATCCACCGTATTAACATTTTAGTTTAATTATTAATACAGTTGATTTTATATTAAGACAGAATATCTCTCTCTCACACACACACACTATATTTTGTATATATAAACTAAAAGAGTTCTTTAATCATCAATTCTGGCCTTTTATTCCATGATGACCTTGCAAAGAACTTCAGGAAAACCTGTAATTGAAAACGGTAGAGATAGGTATAGCTATTATAAGAAATTTGGTTCTGATGAAGAATCCTTCCAAGGGTCTACCAAAGCTTTTGCAAACACCTCCTCTGCTGCAGTTTAGGATGCTCAGCAATATTAAGTTCATCAGTTCACTTGCATGAGGAAGACATGTTAGACGAGGTTTGATTTTATTTAATTCAGGTGGGTGAAGTGTCAGAAGGAGGCTGTTTCTGAGCAGGGCAGAGCCTCAGTGATCTGAGTGTCACTCAGCAAAAGGTTTCTGAGAGATCTTAATTGTCCATTCAGGAAAAATGGGACACCCATTGTTCTGCCTTGAGATTACATGATTTCCCTAGGTAATCTAATTTCATTCTTCCTTTTTTTTATAGTGTGTATACGTGAATGAATTATTCTCAATTCTCTATGTAGCTCCAGGTAGAGTACCAGACTCATATATCCAGCCTCAGTGACCCAGAGTCATCTGTGTCATACAATGAACGCTTACATTTGCCCTCCTTCCCTTCTCTTTTCTCTGATTCTTGGTGCTTTCAAATTCCTTGCTTTTCAAAATGTGGTCCATGACACATCAGTGTCACCTACGCTTGTTAGAAATGCGGAGGCTCAGGCACCACCCTAGACCTACTGAATTAGGATCTGCATTTTAACAAGCTGTCTAGGTGATCCTGTGCATGTTAAAGGTGGAGATGCACTCTCTTAGCGTCCACCATTGCTGCCACCTCTTCTCAGCCAATCAATCAATAACATCAAAGATTGTACCTCTTTGATGACCTCTTGTATTAGTTGTTCTCACACTGTTATGAAGAAATACCCGAGACTAGGTAATTTATAAAGGAAAGAGGCTTAACTGACTCACAGTTCCACATGGCTGGGGAGGCCTCAGGAAACTTACAATCATGGTGGAAGGCAAAGAAGCAGCAGGCACCTTCTTCACAGGACAGCAGGATGGAGCGAATGCAAGCAGGGGAAATGCCAGACGCTTATAAAACCATCGGATCTCTTGAGACTCACTCACTATCACGAGAGCGGCATGTGGAAAACCACCCCCATGATCCAGTTACCTCCACCTGGTCCTACCCTTGAGACATGGAGGTTATTGGGATTATGGAGGTTACAATTCAAGATGATTTTGGGTGGGGACACAGCCAAACTATATCACCTCTGTAATCAGGATTGTGAGTTTGGCTTGTAAACTGTAAAACAAAGAGAGAGACTGAGGAGATGTAGGTCAAAGGATACAAAATTTCAGTTAGGAGTAATAATTTCAGGAGAGCTATTGTACAACATGATGTCTATAGTTAATAACAATGTATTGTATTCTTCAAAATTGCTGAGAGAGTAGACCTTTAAATATTCTCACCACAAAAAATAAGTATGTGAGGTAATATGTTAATTGGTTTGATTTAGCATTCTATAATATATACATATATCAAAACTTCATGTTGTACACCATAAATATATATAACTTTTATGAATTAAAATAAATAAATGAATAAACAAACCAGACAGACACTGTAGAGGGATAAGCTCCCTGTACCTCTCTGTTGCACTCCGGGCCCTGTTGTCTCTTCGTCTCCTTCAGTCATTTACCTGCCTGCCTCTCAGTTTCTGAGCAGAGCTCCCTGTCCACCCTCACTTTACTATGCCAGTGCAGGCCTTCATTTTCTGTGCTCTGAATGACTGTAAGGGCATCTAAACTGGCCTTTTGCCCACATTCCCATCGCATTGTTCTCAGATCCACGTCATTAATGCAATGATTTTGCAAATCCAAATTGCACACCTGCTCAACATCCTTGGTGACTTCATCACTTGCTGCCCTTTTTTCTAAGTGGCTTTCTGAACATGCCTGGCTGTTGCAGGGCCCTGTATTATGCGTATGTTACTTTCCCATATCCCCTTTTCTCCTTTCCTTTTCTTTGCTTAGAATTCACTGTAGTGTTACCTACTTTATCGCCTCTGCCCTGCGCTCCATTACTTCTGTAGCAGCCACCCAAAGGAATGCTTAGTGTGTGCTGTGCCTCTCCCACACTAAAATGTGAACCCCTTGGGAGCAGGAACTGCATTTATATTTATCTCTGATATCTGGTGTACCAAGCGTAGGCTCTGATAATTATAGTGAGTAATCAATAGATGTTTGTCAACTTGCATTGGTTACACTGACTAGGAAATTTCATTTGCTTTCTTGGAATTACTAAAAGATAGCTAAGTATTTTTTTTCCCCTTCTGAAATTCAGGTACACATAATTAGATTAATTGTAGTCCTTGGCTTATGGCAGATTTTTATCTTTGGTCCATACTTGCCCCCACTTTTGTTTTATTTAATATTAAATTAATGTACCCTCATGAAACACCCCCACGTGGGAACCAAAAGGTTATTGTTTTTTTCTTTCTTTTTTGAGACAGAGTCTTGCTCTGTCACCCAGGCTGGAGTGCAGTGGTACGATCTTGGCTCTGGGTTCATGCCATTCTCCTTCCTCAGCCTCCCCAGCAGCTGGGACTACAGGCGCATGCGGCCACGCCCGGCTATTTTTTTTTGGATTTTTAGTAGAGACTGGGTGTCACCGTGTTAGCCAGGATAGTCTCGATCTCCTGACCTCGTGATCCACCCACCTCGGCCTCCTAAAGTGCTGGGATTACAGGCATGAGCCACCACGCCCGGCCAAAAGGTTATTGTTAATCTTTACCTATGCACTTCTTCTTCATATCATTCCCTCCTCACCTTCTTCTTTCCCCATCCTTCCTTGATGATTTCTTCTTGAATTTCCTGTTTGCTTTAAGACACTCTGAAGTTCTTCGATTTCATTATAGCTAGCTTTTTTTGAATGCCCGCTACATAGGAGGGTGGTCTCTTTCACACACCTTACCTCATTTAATCTTCATGGGATCCCTGCAAATTAGGTGGCATTATTCTCATTGTGCAGAGGCTGAAGCTGAGGCACTCAAGCTGACACATTTCTCCAAGTCACATACATGGCAGGAGAGGGATCTGGACCTAGTGCTGCCTCCTTGCTAGGGCTGGCCCTGAAGCGTGGCCTTTCTGTGACAGTGACAGTGGGATTGTTCCTTTACTCTGGGTTTTGTACAGACTGGGTATATCTGGGACTGCCCCCTTACTTTTGGTTTGCATGCATATTTTTTTTGGATAGCTAATCAATCACATTTGAGGCGGACAGATCATGAGGTCAGGAGTTGGAGACCAGCCTGGCCAACATGGTGAAACCCCATCTCTACTAATTCAAAAATTAGCTGGTCGTGGTGGCACACACCTGTATTCCCAGCTATTCAGGAGGCTGAGGCAGGAGAATCATTTGAAACTGGGAGGTGGAGGTTGCAGTGAACTGAGGTTGAGCCACTGCACTCCAGCCTGGGCAACAGAGCAAGGCTACATCTTGGGGGGAAAAAAAAAAAATCAATGATACTTTCTAAAAATAGGAAGTTCATTGTATTTTAATTTAACTTTTTTACATTTGAAAGATTTCATAACAAAAGTGACCAGATATAATGGAGATCTTTGTGTTGTTCTCCACTGTTCTTTCAGTGTTTGCATTTTTCTTGCTTTGGTCCTTCTGGGATGGACTTAAAGCTTTGACTTCCCATGGAACTAAATTGGATGATAATGAATGAAGCATACTTATTATAGACAGTTTTGAACTTTCATATGTTTGACTTGCATACCATTTGTAGCAAAACTAACCCTTTTCAGCAATCTCTTTATTCAGGATTCCGTCTTCAGGTTTCTCAACTAATGTTAATAGAGCAGCAGTGTCTGGGGGATGCTGGCAGGGGGGCAGGAGCCAAGCAAGCATGGTGGTGCCACTGGGGCCTGGTGTGTCCAACTTTCTCCTCCTTCTTACTTCTCCCTTATCCCCCACACTAGCACCTGGGAGTCCTACAGCATGTCCCCTCACTCAACCCATCTGTCCTCCCCAGCTGCAGTTTCTGTGTGAAGCCAGGTGGAATTGCTCTCTCTTTACTCCTGCTCTAGATTCCCAGTGTGTGGCATGATGTTTGAAGACCGAAGACTGGCTCAGAGGATGTGGGAGGGTCGGGCAATTGGGAGATCCATCTACTGTAGTCTCAGTAAACATTGCCACACGCTGCTGGGGCAGATGGAAGTTATATTTACTGGCACAGTTAGAAGTATTATTATATTTTTTTTAAGTTCTAGAATTCTCTCCTTGCAGAATGGAAAAGTGTATTTGTTCTAAAGTTAGATGTTTTTCAACATGCTTTTGGATTGTTATATACAGATAAAGGAAATGCTTCAATTTCCATTTTTTCCATTAACATTTTTAGTAAAATTGTTTAATTCTTCTCATTTTATGTTAGCAACCACCAACCATATTGACCTATTTTCTAGAAATGATACAAAGTTTAGCTTTTTGACTTCGTCATATTTCATCATTGTAGTAATATAATCCCTTGTGAAGTTCTGTCCTTACCCCTTACCCTTCTCAAAAAAAACAACTAATGTTATAAATAATTGTATTAATAACATTTTGCTCACAGTAAATTCCTTTTGGGGAAGGCCTGAGTTTCATTCATAAACACTTTTTACCTTATTGCTTTTGTTGTGCCTTTCTCAGATGTTGATCTGTTGACAAATTGTTTCAGACCATTTAGGTCATGAAATATTTTTCTTGTTTCAAAAAAAAGGGCTTTGCCTCACTGCTGGGCTGGTGGTGACTACTTGCCTTGTGCAGATTTTCTTTCAAGCTCTTCTTTCTCTTTACCTAAATCTGAAGGATTCTTTAGTTTCCATCTTAAATGTTATCTTGTTATCTCATCTTCTTTCTTGGCAGGTGTTAAGGAGTATCTTTAAAAAAAAATTAATACAGTTTAAAAACTGATTATTAGGTTATGGTTGTTTTGTTTTTGCTTTTGTTTGAGTGGTTTTAACTTGGAGATTGCTATTTTTTTTTTTTTTTTTTTTTGTGATAGAGTTTCGCTCTGTTGCCCAAGCTGGAGTGCAGTGGCACGATCTCAGCTCACTGCAACCTCCGCTTCCCGGGTTCAAGCAATTCTCCTGCCTCAGCCTCCAGAGTAGCTGGGACTACAGGCATATGCCCCCACGCCTGACTAATTTTTGTATTTTTAGTAGAGATGGGGTTTCACCATGTTGGCCAGGATGGTCTCGATCTCTTGACCTCGTGATCTGTCTCAAATTCCTGGCCTCAAGCAGTCCTACTGCCTTGTCCTCCCGAAGTGGTGGGATTACAGGTGTGAGTCACCATGCCTGACCACTCCTTTTTAAAAAACACCACGGAGAATGTACTATTTGTACACTCCTCAAACTTGGTTTTCCACTTAAACATATATTGTGGGTATCTTTAGCAGGTTCTTTAATTAGGTGGGAATAGTAGGTACGAAAAGTAACAGTCAACCAATCTCTCCCATAACTTCTGGATTTAATGATTTTTGTTCTACTTCTAAATTAATTAGCTTTAATCTTAGCACATTAAGGATTATGTGCTGCTCCTATAAATAGGTCTTGGTCTTGGGAAATCTTGATGGACCAGTTGTTACTTATACTTTATTTTTTTGAGACAGAGTTTTGCTCTTGTCATCCAGGCTGGAGTGCAGTGGCGTGATCTCGGCTCACTGCAACATCTGCCTCCTGGGTTCAAGCAATTCCCCTGCCTCAGCCTCCTGAGAAGCTTGGATTACAGGCTTCCACCACCATGCCCGGATAATTTTTGTGTTTTTAGTAGAGATGGGGTTTCACCATGTTGGCCGGGCTGATCTCAAATTCCTGACCTCAGGTGATCCACCTGCTTTGGCCTTCCAGAGTGCTGGGATTATAAGCGTGAGCCACCGCACCTGGCCAACATTTTTCATTTTATTTTAAGTTACCTGTGTCCTCCTCTTTCTTGCTCTCCTATAAGAGAAAAACTCAGAGGAAATGGTAGGAACTCCTGCAGCAGGTAGAGTGACACCCAAG
The DNA here is from genome assembly GCF_000001405.40 of Homo sapiens. Classification (NCBI taxonomy): domain Eukaryota; kingdom Metazoa; phylum Chordata; class Mammalia; order Primates; family Hominidae; genus Homo; species Homo sapiens. The sequence goes on along the minus strand of NC_000006.12, from coordinate 138,618,940 downwards.
GCCCCAGGGGCTGAGGCAAATGACTTGGAAATGAGAGGGTCATGACATGTGGTCTTTAGCTTCTTAGGTGATTATATATATTTTAAATGCCAAATGTGACAAATTAGATTTAGTAAACAATTATTGCTCAGCTGTCTGGATGTGTTGAAGTGCTGCCTCCAGTAGGCAGATCACTCGGTACAAGTCATTATTTCTTTTATATAAAAGTGTTTTGAAAGAGCAGATGATTCTAGATAGGCAGAAGAAAGAAGAAGGGAAAATATTCTTCCCTTCCATAATGGTGTTTATTTCCTTTTCTACCTTTCTCTTCTGAATATCATAGTTAAATGTGTTCATTTAAAAAAAAACTGATTTTGTGTCTTGTTGCTAAGATATCATACATCTGTCTGGTCATATTAAGCAGGTGAGTAGCTTTTCTGCAATGACCTAAACAGCTAGTCAGAAAAACCGTTGCTCTCAGCTTAGTATATTTGTTTGAAAAGTGCTTCCCCTTTTAGATTGGATGGGACTTGAACACAACTACTGATGAGTGTCCACAGATTGCCTGAAATCTTCTCGGGAATTCAAAACAGTGGTTTTAAATCAGGTTTTAATTGTGTGTCACAACCAGTTGGAGGAGCTTTTTGAAAATATACACATCTGTGCATCATTCTTGTCCTACTTAATCAGAATCTCCAGGGGTTGGGGCCTGGGCGTGTAGCTATTAGCAAAATCTCCTTGGGTAGCTGATGTATAGCCTTGATTAGGAAGAACTGATTTAACAGGTATTCTTCCTTTAGCATTACCAAGAATGTTTGCATCCTTTTTCCCTGCAGGAAGGTCTCTGTTATAAGTTTCTGTAAATTAATGCTTATAAAATCGTGGCATATAAAATTATACCCATATGAAAATATCAATATACTCTTCATGAATTTGCTAACAGAGGTTTTCTATTTTTGACACTTCTTCTTAGCTGTCCCTCTGCATCTCCACGGTGCTTCATGAGAAATGTTTGGTGGTGAGGTCCCATCCTTGTGCATCAGTGACGGCTGCAGATGTGAGAATCAAGCTGCCATCACCTTGCAGTTCCCTGCACCCCACTGGGCACAAGTCATTTGGAACAGTGATGGACTGTGTTGAGATCTGACAGGGAGAGGGACACACATCGTTCCATGGGACTCAGCCTGTCCTCCAGGAGTAATGAGAACGCAGTACCTGCAGTTCCGTAGAATTCTTGACCTTCTCAGAAGCTCTGTCAAGCTTAGCTGATAGTCGTCTAGTATCTTCATTGTGTTTGTGTATGTGTGTCTGCGTGCGCATTGTTCTCATTGTCTATTTGTTCCACAAGCATGCATTCCTCTTCTCAGCAGTCCTCAACATGAAGGATTCATGTTGTTCTAGAAAACAGTGTTTGCTCTATATACAAATACTGGACAGAGGGAGGAATAGATTAATAGATGAGCAAATGAAAGTGTACTTGATGCCTTTGAATTAGTGGGGGTGAAAGGGGAGAGACAGTGTGAGACAAAGAAACTGACCTTTTCAGTGAGTCTAGGAAGTAATGTGGATTTCATTAGGGCGTGGAGAATGCAGTCTGTCCTCTTCCCTGTGAGGTCTCTCTTGTAGCAAACAGGAGCAATGGCAACTTCATGTACATGTTACCTGTGTCCCTTCCCACCGCCTGAAAGATCCCCTTTCCGTCTCTGATTAGCCAACATTTTCCCTTATATGTAAGTCTTGGTCATTATGATATAAAAGTCCCATTCTATATGTCTCACCATTGCCATGTGGTCACCTTTTCCTCCTCACCCCCTAGTTACTATAGTACTTGAGTTGCCCTACCCAGCTTTTGCACTTAATTATAGTTGCTCATGATTTGCTTATTGCTTTATGTGAACCATATAATTTATCTTCCCAAATAGACAGTAACCTTTTAAAGAATAGCACTGCATTTTAGGCTACTTCTGCATTTCCTATTGCACCTAGGAGAGCCATGCCGGTACTTCCAGGTCCTTCTGAGAGCTGCTGGGAGCACTTCCTTTAAGCTAGTGTCTTAATGGGTGGTTGACAGAGTAACCTCTACCCTTGACTGCTCAGCTCTAACAACATAACTTGAGTCCATTGTGTTTCTTTGACCTGGTTCTGGCAGATTAGGCTCTTTTCTTAGACAGTTTACTTACAGTCTTGATAGGAGGAGGTAGGGATATAGACTTGTTTCAAAAATTCTAAAGATCTAGCAAGACCTGTTCTGGCCTCTCCCCTTGGGTTCAGGTGTTGTCAGGTGGGCTCTATGATCTGGTTTATCCAGACTTGGTGGAGCACCCCTACACGTGCTAAATGCTGACCCAAATACTTGGGATGGGAAGGTACACCCAAATCAGCTTTCTCCTTTGTGCTCTCTCTTGCTCACTTGCTCTCTCTCTCTCTCTCTGTCTCTGCCTGCCCCCTTGTTCCCTCTTCCTCTCTTCCTCCCCCTTTCTCTATTTACTTGTTCCTACCACCATCCCAAGAGTTTGTAATACCACAAACTGGCTTGTACTGCCCCTGCTACAAATGTTGCTACTCATCCCAGTGAGTATTCTCCTTGAATTAACTGTTGTTCATTGACTAATATCTTGGTGTTCAAGGAATACAATGTTGTAGGCTAAGTATCTAATATTTATGAAGTCACACTTTGAAAATTTAAACCTTAGGTAGCTGTGCAATAACAATTTAGGTGTGCCGCAATGTATATAGTCTGCGTGTGGTCTCTTCAGCATGTATTTTAGAAATAATATTGATAAAAAAATTTGTGTATGAATTTGTTCATTATTTGCTCTGATCTCAAAAGACTAGCAAATCAGAATAGATTTATTATTTCTGGGACATTGGTAAATTTGATTAGAGCAAATGTTTTGAAATAGAGTAGTAATTGTTTTCTTTTCTGTTTTAAAAAATAAAGATGGGGCCTTGCTATGTTGCCCAGGCTGGGCTCAAACTCCTGGGCTCAAGCGATCCTTCTGCCTTGGACTCCCTAAATGCTGGGACTACAGACATAAGCGCCTGGGGAGTAGTAATCTAAGTCAGTACAGTTATAACCAGGAGTCACAGGTATTGATGTAAACTTGGGCATTGCCCCTCCATTCAGTTGGTATCCGTTTGGATTTGCATTTTCCTCCTTTTCCTGCTTCTCTTCTTAAGAACCTGATTTGGGACAGGTGCTGTGGCTCACGCCTGTAATCCCAACACTTTGGGAGGCCAAGGCAGGCGGATCATGAGGTCAGGAGATTGAGACCATCCTGGCTAACACGGGGACACCCCCGTCTCTACTAAGAATACAAAAAATTAGCCAGGCATGGTGGCATGCGCCTGTAGTCCTAGCTACTCAGGAGGCTGAGGCAGGAGAATCGCTTGAACCTGGGAGGCGGAGGTTGCAGTGAGCCGAGGTTGTGCCACTGCACTCCACCCTGGGCGACAGAGCGAGACTCCGTCTCAAAAAGAAAAAAAGAACCTGACTTGCTTGCATGCTTGGGTTATTTCCATATAAAAAAGGTGTTTCCTAAACTGGTGTCTCCATTCATAGATAACCTGAATGTCTTTTTGTAGCCAAAGAAGATTGGGAGTATGTGTATGAATAGAATCATAATTTCCACCAGCAAAATAGCAATGTTGACAACAAGGGGCTGGAAAGCAACATTGTAAACATATGATAAGAGTGCCTTGAACAAGCAACAACAAAATTTTCCTCAAGTTGCTTCCTGGAGGGTGTGGGCTGGAAGGCTCTCCTGGCTGGAGAGACAATACGGATGGATGGCACTGACCTGGCTCACGCCCTGCTGCAGCCTGTGGGGCCTGAGGTTTCCATAATTTTGCAAGCCGAGACCTGGGGAGGACTGGGCTCTCTCATTCTTTCCCATCATCTTGGTGTTTGTCTGAACTCAAATTCCAGCTTTGCCATTTGCCAGCTTTGTGATCTAGGGCAGTGGTCCTCAACCTTTTTGGCACCAGGGACCAGTTTCTTGGAAGACAATTTTCCCACAGACCTGGGGTAGGGTGGGTGGGTGGTGGTGGTTGTTTCGGGATGAAAGTATTTCAACTCAGATCATCAGGCATTAGATTCTCATAAGAAGCATTCAACCTAGATCCCTCCCATGCGCAGTTCACAATAGGGTTCATGCTTCTATGAGAATCTGATGCCGCCGCTGATCCGACAGGAGGTGGAGCTCAGGCGGTAATGCTTGCTTGCCTGCCACTCACCTCCTGCTGTGTGGCCCAGTTCCTAACAAGTAACACACCAGACTGGTACTGGTCCATGGCCTGCGGGTTGTGGACCCCCTGACATGGAGTATTTTATTTAAATTCACTGTGTCTCAGTTTCCTCGGTTGAAATGGGAATATGGGTAGTAGCTACCTTGTAGGGTCATTGAAAGGATTCAGTGGGTAACTTACTTAGAACAAGGCCTGCTTGTATAGTAAGCACTTGTTTCCTTGAGTTACTATGCAGCTGCAAGTAACAGATCCCAAACACCAGTGATTAACACTTGTGGATGTTTATTTTTCTCATGTAATGAGAAGTTCAAAAGTAGGCAGCCCAGGGCTAGGATGGTTTCACGAGGCCATCACCAGACTCCAGTATTTCCACTCAGCTTTCCTTAGTGTACGTTTGTCATCTCACAGTCACAAGTGGCTGCCTCATCTCCAGCATCATCCTTACATCCCAGCAGGAAGAAGAGGAAGGTCAGAGAGCAAATGGTGAGCACCAGCTGAATTGCCTCTCTTTATAAAGAGATTTCCTGAGAGCCTCACACATCAATTTCTATTTACATTACATTGGCCAAAATTATATCACATGATCTTATCTATAAGGAAAGAAAGGAAGTATAGTTTTTAACTGAGCATGTTATCATTCCCCCAAACATCAAGGCTGTTATTGGTAGTAAGGAAGAATTAGAAAAGGGATATTGGGTAGGCAAACCAGCCATGTCTGCTGCAGCACTCAATATTGTTACCATAGAAATTGTCCTTGAATGTGGCTGTCCCTAGAGATAGGAACCTTGCAGGAAGAAGGTTTCAGGATTCTGATTAGGAATCATGGAAATTTGCAGAAGCAGCAGCATTCACTTCCAGGCCATCCTGCACTAAATGTGGGCCGACGACTGACCCATTCTACATCTTTCTCCTGCTTTCTCAGCCTAATTCGCTTCCCCTCTCCTATTACTGCCCAGGGACTTAAATGTCTTATCAAATGTCCTTATTCTGTTGCCTGCAAATTCCAGGGTGCTTTGGGGGAACACCTGGAGGCAGTGGCAGTCTGGTGGCCCCACTAGCACTGAAGGCAGGATGCAGGGCAGTCCGTTTATCCGCAAGACGTGGGACTGGACAGGTGGCATGGCCATGGGGGATTTGTTCAGTTCCAGCTCTCCACTTGCTGCACTTTTTCCTCCTCTAATCGAACACTTAGGTGCACATACTCCCTCAGTTTTACTGGCATTCCATTCCCATGCTGCATGTTGACGAAATGAAAAAGAGCCTTTGCCTGCATTTGTCAGCAGGGGAAAACTTGGCTCACACTCTCGGACCCAGGCATGGTGTTTCCCATCTGTGGTGGCCATCACTGACTGGAGCAGTGTGCTTCTAATACACATCCGTCAGGGGTTCTAAGCTTGGGGAAGGGCAGAAGGCCAGATACCATCATCTAAAACTCCACCTCGATCAGAAACCGTGAAAACTTTCTCAAGATGGGCACAACTACCTAAAATGTTGGCTTGGGCTTTGTTATAGGCTGGTTCACTAATGGCCAATATTTTGGCCTGCAGTTAGTTAAAAGCATAATACCAGCCAACCTTGAGGCAGCGTTCCATACCTGTTTGCATCATTTTATTTCCACTCCAGAATCAGCAAACTTTCCATTAAGAAAATGGGCCTGGTGTGGTGGTTTCTTAGGGTTTGCTTGAAATCTTTTTCTACTTCCATTAGCTCTCAATACAGAGCTACTGCAAATTCAATAAACGATGGCTCATGATGAAGGCATAAATGCTTTGTGGTCCGACTAAGACTAAAAGTGGTATCTCCATGCCCTTTCCTTAAAAAAGAGATAGTGTTCCTCCATCAAAGAGATTTGTATCAGCAAGGGAAGTTAATTTTTGAAAAAACTAAATCATTTAGTGATATTTAAACTCCACAAACTCACTCATTTTGTAAAAGGAAGATAGATTTTTAAAGTTCACAAATAAAAGGTAAGTGCTACTGTGTCAGGTTAGTTAAAAGGGAAGATGATTGAGAGGGCAGTGTGTCATTAATTTTTGTGTGTGTGTATACAGAAGCTTTCTCAGAGAAAAACATTCAAATATTACAATTCTTCTTGACCAACCCCCTCCTCAGAGGTGACCAGTATTTTCACTCTCTCATGTATCTTCTAAGACTTTCTATGCATTTATATTTTTTCCATGGAAATTATCTTTAAAACTGTATATGGTATTATGCTGTGCATTATACAACTTTCAGCTTTTAACAATAGTATATCTTGAAGGTTATTACATACTGGTACATTTATACTTATTATTTTTCATTGCTGCATATACCATGGTTTTAATCCTTCCCCGGGCACTTAGTTGTTGCTAATGCTTTTGTTTCTGGCTTTGTTTTTTGGGTATTAAAATTACGCAGTTCTTGTATTAGTGTTTCTGTACATATGTGTGAGTGTTTCTACTGGATAGATACTGAGAAGTAAAATATTTGAGGCAAATGGTATATGCATTTCAAATTTTAATAGATACTTCCAAATTTCCTTCTAAAGTGGCAATACTAATATACCCTCCCATCAGCAGTATGTATACAAGAGTTTCAACTTACTTTTTTTTTTTTTTTTTTTTTGAGATGGAGTCTTGCTCTGTTGCTCAGGCTGGAGTGCAGTGGCGTGATCTTGGCTCACTGCAACCTCCGCCTCTTGGGTTCAAGCAATTTTCCTCCCTCAGCCTCCTGAGTAGCTGGGATTACAGGTGGCCATCACCACGCCTGGCTAATTTTTGTATTTTTAGTAGAGATGGAGTTTCACCATGTTGACCAGGCTGGTCTCAAACTCCTGACCTCAGATGACCCACCTGCTTTGGCCTCGCAAAGTGCTGGGATTACAGGCATGAAACACTGTGCTTGGCCTCAACATATTTTTTAGTGTCGCATTTATTTCTAGGTCTTTAGGCAGCCTTTATTTTTTTATTTTTATTTTTATTTTTATTTTGTGTTGGAGTCTCGCTCTTTCGCCCAGGCTGGAGTGCAGTGGCGTGATCTCAGCTCACTGCAAGCTCCGCCTCCCGGGTTCACGCCATTCTCCTGCCTCAGCCTCCCGAGTGGCTGGGACTACAGGAGCCCCTCACTGCGCCCAGCTAATTTTTTGTATTTTTAATAGAGACAGAGTTTCACTGTGTTAGCCAGGATGGTCTCGATCTCCTGACCTCGTGATCCACCTTCCTCAGCCTCCCAAAGTGCTGGGATTACAGGCGTGAGCCACCGTGGTGGCATGGCAGCCTTTAATGTTTACCTTTTGCATACATTTCTATTATATGGTGTGTTCTAGGACTACAGTTAGCACATACCTATTTAGTAATGCTTTACTTTGAAATAGTGGTAAATACGAAATCATTCCTATACCACTGAAGCAGCAGCAGCACACTGAGAAATTGTGTCACCTTTAAGTCTTTCTCCTTTAGTGAGGCATATGTGAAACACTATTAAAATGCTGCCTGTTGATTGCTATTTATAGTTGACACTGACGGTTTCCTACTAAGCATTCATCTTCCCAACCCTTTTCTTATTAGTAGAAGCCCCTGCCTCCTTTTTCTTCAGAAAAATGACCCCAATTCAGAGATGAATTGTTGAAATACCATTCTCCTTGCCACTTTTTTTTTTTTTGGAGACAGTCTCTCTCTGTCACTCACTGGAATGCAGTGGTGCGATCTCAGCTTATTGCAACCTCCACCTTCTGAGTTCAAGTGATTCTTCTGCCTCAGCCTCCTGAGTAGCTGGAATTACAGGCATGCGCCAACACACCCGGCTAATTTTTGTATTTTTGTTAGAGATGGGATTTCACCACGTTCGTCAGGCTGGTCTTGAACTCCCGACCTCAGGTGATCCACTCATCTCAGCCTCCCAAATTGCTGGGATTACAGGCATGAGCCACTGCGCCCAGCCAATAATGCCTTTATTTTCAGATGCAGGGAGGCCACCTGTCTCATTCTTGGCTTCTCTGGCTTTTGGAATAGATGAGTAAGTGTGGACAATTGCCCCAGGTCTAGCTATAGTTACCTATGAGTCTTTGGGTGGAACTATCGGGATAGGATGAAACTAACACAAAGGAAAATGGAGCTGAGAAGGAGTTCTGTGATCACCTGTTGTTTGCTTTCTTTTCTTTTTATATATATATATAATATATATATATTTTTTTATTATTATACTTTTAGTTCTAGGGTACATGTGCGCAACGTGCAGGTTTGTAACATATGTATACATGTGCCATGTTGGTGTGCTGCACCCATTAACTCGTCATTTACATTAGGTATATCTCCTAATGCTATCCCTCCCCGCTCCCCCCACTCCACTACAGGCCCCGGTGTGTGATGTTCCCCACCCTGTGTCCAAGTGTTCTCATTGTTCAATTCCCACCTATGAGTGAGAACATGCTGTGTTTGGTTGTTTGTCGTTGCGATAGTTTGCTGAGAATGATGATCTCTGGACTCTTCACATTTTGTTTGTCTTCTAAGTTGTGGTTTTAGTATTTGCTACTGAATGCCTAACATACTGCCTCCAAATCTAGCTTTTCTTGCTCCTCACGTTTTGGTTGGCTCGGAAGGGGACATTTTGGGATGAGGCATTGGTGGGGCCCTGTGGGAGCAAACAGCCAGCCTCTTTCTTGTGGAAGTTGAAACAGGTGGGGGTGTTATGGGGAAGAAAAGTGAGAATTTCCTGTAAACCCTCAGGCTTGGCAGGGGGCCTAAGATGCATCATGCAACTGAACACATCTGTGCCTTAAAATGGACATTTCATGGAAGGATGGCATTGATGGTAGTCACCATCTACTACTACAGCCATACTGGCAATATTAATAACAATGAAAATTATTGAGTATTGGTGCCTGCCAGGTGCTGTGCTGAGCACTTTACATTTATGATCTCACTTAATCTCTATAATAATGGTCTGAGATAGATGACATGGATAGCACTATTTTTTTTTTTTTTTTTGAGACAGAGTCTTGCTCTGTCTCCCAGGCTGGAGTGCAGTGGTGCAATCTCGGCTCACTGCAAGCTCTGCCTCCCGGGTTCACGCCATTCTCCTGCCTTAGCCTCCCGAATAGCTGGGACTACAGGTGCCTGCCACCAGGCCTGGCTAATTTTTTGTATTTTTAGTAGAGATGGGGTTTCACCACGTTAGCCAGGATGGTCTCGAGCTCTTGACCTCGTGATCCGCCCACCTCGGCCTCCCAAAGTGCTGGGATTACAGGCATGAGCCACCGCGCCCGGCCGGATAGCACTATTTTTTAGAGGAAAATGAAGTTAGGAAAGTTGGTCAAGGCCACATGGTCAGTTGTAATGGTGGGGCTTGAGCAGCCTAATTCTTGGGCTGTGCGTGAGCCCCAGCGGTGCATTGCCAGCTTTCCCAAGCAGCCTCGACTCTGCGTCTCACATTCTTCCTGACATCCACATTCCTCCATAGCTTTGGTCCCAGCTCACCCTTGCACCATGTCCAGCACCATTTCTATGAGCTTTGACCTATGCATTCTGCCCACCCTTGGAGGCCTAAGCAACATCCATTTGCTTGTCTGCCTTTCTTAGCCACTTTATTTGTAAGTAATATATTTATTGGGAACTCTCCAGCACATATTGTCTGTATCAGCATTTCTTAATCTTTGGGGATCGTGGACCCTTTACATAGGCATTATTCTCCCTAACAAAAAAAGTGTATATAGTGTATGCATGTAAATTTGCATGCAATTTCATGGAGTTACAAATACTCTGAAAACCAGTTTCTCTTTACATGCCTAGCATCTTCTAGTAACCAACAGAGTAGATGGGCAAGACAGTGGGGTTGAATGAAATGTTCCTGTCGTGTAAATGTCTTTCCTGTGTTTAAGATTTCTTCCTAATCCCCTAAAAGGGAGGGATGGTCTCAATCTTTGAATATATTTGTATATTATGATATAACTGGCACAGTTATTTGTCTTATAAATTATGGAGCTTTGTTTGTAGTGGCAGTTGAAGGAGGCCGCTCTGCTTTGTTTTTTGCCAAATTATTTTCATTACAAGTAACTGCAGTTCGTAGTTAGTAGTCATTGATCAGGAATTTTCTTTATGGGAAGTTAACTGGACAAAGTAGAAATAAAATTTTCAGTATGGATAACAAGTTTTATCAAACTTAATAGGCTCAAGAAAGGATTTTTGTGCTACAGATCCTACTGTATTATAATGATGCCTATTTTATAGAGAAAGCAGGAATTATTGAGTTCACATTGAGTTGAAACTCATTTTAAAATTTTCAACTCCATTTTTTATCTGTTTCAACTGACTTGGACATAGAGAACTTGAAAATGACCTAATTTCTTCCAAGGCCAACTGTTAAAATTCTGCTTCATGTATGAATTACAGCTTTTGTGTTTGGATTATTGGTGCTAAGATTTAGAATCTTGAGGCTATCTCGTTGGAAACTGACTTCCTTTATCTCAGAAATTACTCAGTATGAGAAACATGTCATTCAAAGTAATTTTCATGATTTTCTGACAGGCAGACATGTTAGTGCCTTTCAAACAGACTAAAGCCTTCATTTAGTAAGATTTATCCTCTCGCGAGCTAAAATATGTCCTTTGAGAAAGTGTTTTCTTGGTCTAGAATTCTTTTGTTGGGGCTCACTGTTGCAGAAGAGTGTTCCCTGCTGCGCAGTTCCGCTTGGTCCTGCAGCTAGACAGTGAGCGAAGCTGACAGGGTTGAAGGTTAGCATCCTAGGACTTGGGGGAGCTCAGCCCTTCTGTTGGGGTGCATGGGAATGCCACAGTGTCTCGTAGGAGGACCTCTAAGGTCCAAAAGAGGCATCCTGCTCCCTCCTTCTGTCACTTATCTTTGGAGTCTCAGTCATGAAACTTTTGATTCTGTTTCTTAGGAGGTATGAATTTGAAGACATTACAAAGCACCCATTTGGTCTCTTGAATATAATTCCTTGGAGTAGTTGTCCTTCTGAAACAGAAGCATTTAACTTCAAAGCCTCATGGGAAGGAAGGAAGCTGACAAGAAACCCCACTCCGATTATGACTCCTGGCGGTCCTTGCATGTATGAGGCATTGGCCACAGCTTTTGTTCTTGCTTTTGTTCCATGTACCACAACTTGTTTTTCTAGAATTCCCCAAGCTTTTGTATGCTGAAGAAAAAAATCAAACCATCACAATTTTAATCCTGATCATATTCCATCTCACTTCCAACTCAACTTCATAAAAACACGCACAGTTTTAAGGTGTGTTGTGCTAAATTGAAAATTACATTGCTATAATATTCTTTGTTTGCTTTTTTTGTTTATGAACCAGATGAAGTAGTTTGACCTCTCACTTGTTTCAAGGCTAATCTGGGTAAATACTTTTGTTTTTGTTTTTTTGGTTGGTTTTGTCCGATGATAGTATATTTAGAAATAATGTTCATAGCAATAAGGTCAGAGACTTGTAAGAGGGAGACTGACTGAATCATCTTTCTGTTGACAGCATTAACACCATAGCTTGTGTTCAGTGAATGGATGCATTTATTACTTGAGCACTTAAGAGTGTCAGGCGTGATGCTAATTTCCAGAGATCCAAAGTTGAGTGAATTGGAAAAGGGAAATAAAGAAGAGGAAATAATTCCCAAACAGTGTGGAGCATTACCTACAGATGCATAGGTTTTGATGGTAGCACCTGGGGGCACCTCCTCTTTGAGGATGTCCTATCTTAGCTGATTAAAGAAGTAGCATGGGGGCCGGGCGTGGAGGCTCACACTGGTAATCCCAGCACTTTCAGGAGGCTGAGGCAGGCGGATCATGAGGTCAGGAGATCGAGACCATCCTGGCTAACATGGTGAAACCCCGTCTCTACTAAAAATACAAAAAAATTAGCCAGGTGCGGTGGCGGGTACCTGTAGTCCCAGCTATTCGAGAGGCTGAGGCAGGAGAATGGCGTGAACCTGGGAGGCGGAGCTTGCAGTGAGCTGAGATTGCGCCACTGCACTCCAGCCTGGGCAACAGAGTGAGATTCTGTCTCAAAAAAAAAAAAAAAAAAGAAAGAAAGAAAGAAAAAGAAGTAGCCAGATGAAGGTGGGGTAGGGACACTGCCAGTCACAAAAAGCACGGAGGCAATAAATGGCATGATTTTGCTGGGGAATATGGGCACTGGGGACACAATGCTAGGTGGCTGGTGTCAAGAGACCTATGAAGTGGATCTGTGATAAGGGCCCTTGTTGTAGACGGCTTTGTAAAGCATACAAAAGAGATTTAATCCCAGCCTATTTAATTGATCAAGAATGACAAGGGCAATATGCCGAAGCTGCTGCTGATTCTGTAAGCTTACTAAATCAATAGACATTTTAAAAGTCCATCATCATGGATGCCGTGGGGCTTAGTATCATTTTGTTATTTTGAAATGTTGTGATGATAGTTGATGAAATTAATTAATCATACTCTATCGCAGATGGAAATGAGACAGTGGTAAGTTCTTTCTCTGTGGGGAATGAAGTATTTTGGTTGCAAGAAGAGGAGGAAGGTGCCAGGTCTTTCCTCTGCAGCCTCTTCAGGCCAGAGGAGCCTGTGTGGGTTGTGATTTGTGGGTGGCTTGTCATTCTGTGGGTGGCAGGCACAGCAGGGGGCTGTGAGAATGCAGGAACAACTTGTATACACAAAGCACTTTGCAGTTTTGTGAAGCCCCTTCATCCATGTTATTGATTCTGAGCTCACAAAATCCATATTTAAAAAGCAGAACAGCAAACCTCTCCAGTTATTCCTATAGTTGAAGTTCAGAGAAGTTAAGTGAGCTGTTCAAGGATATGCAATTAGAAATCAAAGGATATTACATAAACCCCAAATTTATGACTCTCGTACTCACGCACTTTCCACATTACCACACTTCTGCCTTGCTTGATAGCTATTCAAGAGACCTGGCCATTTTCCTCTCAAAACTACAAGTAGTTCCCTTCAGCAGAGACACTATTGAGTGAACAGATTCTTAACAGTGTAGAAACTTACCTTAATCAGATGAATATGGTGTTGAGTCTGTTCTCTGAAAGCAAAATTATTTTAATCATATGATGCTTCTCTTTGATGAATTGTTGCCTTTATATTTGTGCCTGATGTCTTAGAAATAGCTTTCAAATCAAAGTCGTGGTGGGTAGACACAATATGAGTGAAGCTGGAGCTAGAACAGTTTTAAGATAGCTGACACCTTTGTCTTTTTATGCTTTGAGCTGATGAAAATCTGTTCCATTTTTGACTGCCACAGTATTTTAATTCTGGTAAACTTTTTTTTGTGGGGGGTGAGAATGTGAGAGTTTATATTTTTATTTGCTTATATGAAAAGGTAATTATACAAAAAAGAAATTAGCCAGGCCTGTTGGCGCACGCCTGTTGTCCTGGCCACCCGGGAGGCTGAGGTGGGAGGATTGCTTGAGCCCAGGAGGTTGAGGCTGTCGTGAGCTGTGATAATACCACTGCACTCCAGCCTAGGCAACAGAGCAAAACCCTGTCTCAAAAACAAACAAAAAAGGTAGTTAGATGAGTACATGCGAAAAATGGTGAAATCCAAGTCAGGTCCGTTGTCTAGTTAATTGTGCTTCATGCCAGTCAGTTTTCTGCTTTTGATAATGCAGTGCAGGTTATGTAAGATGTTACTGTTGGGAGAAGCTGAGTGAGGAGTGTACCAATCTCTGTACTATTTTGGCAATTTCTTGTGAGTCTATAATTATTTCAGAAGAAAAGGTAAAAGAAAAGTAATTAGGATATGTCAGTCAAGTAAGTCAGATATTTTCCTTAAATTTGAAACAATTTGTCATGACTAAATTGTAGTGCAGGCTGGGCGTGGTGGCTCTTGCTGTAATCCTAGCACTTTGGAGTCTGAGGCGGGCGGATCACTTGAGGTCAGGAGTTGGAGACTAGCCTGGCCAACATGGTGAAACCCCGTCTCTACTAAAAATACAAAAATTAGCCAGGCTTGGTGGCACATGCCTGTAGTTCCAGCTACTCAGGTGGCCGAGGCATAAGAATCGCTTGAACCCAGGAGGCAGAGGTTGCAGTGAGCCAAGATCACGCCACTGCACTCCAGCCTGGGCGACAGTGTGAGACTGTCTCAAAAAAAATTATTTTAAATAAATAAATCATAGTGCAAATAACATACTCATCATTCATTCATTCATTCACCAGATAATTGTTGAGTTCTTTACTTTCTGCCAGGCATTATTTTAGTTGCAGAATCAGAGAGCTGTGCCTTATTGTAAGAGGTTAACCAGAAAGAGCCTTCCCTCCTTGCTTCTTAGTTGTAGAGCAGGGCTTCTTAACCCTAAGCTGTGGATTTTAGGGATAGCATTTGTGTTTTCTGCAGAAAGTATCCTTAGTGTTCGTTAGATTTTTGAAGTTTAAGGACTGCTGCCTTAGATGATTACTTCTCATACATGGCTTTTCATGAATACAGGGAAGCCTCTGGCATTCTGAATGCATTAACCTTCTGATTAATTGTCTTTGGGAAACTTGAGCTTTGCAAGGTTCCTATCAAACTTCTTTATTTTTCTTTTTAGTTGACTGATGGGAAAGGTGTTGGATACTTAGAAACAGTTTGACTTCTGAAACAAAAATATTTAGAGCTACTTAAGTTGATCCATGTTAGCTCTGGGTGGTCAACTCACTTAGCAAAACTTAACGCTGATGATGAAGCTTCTAAAATGTTTTCGTAGGAGCTCTTGTGTAAGTGTCATACTGAACACTGTATTGGTACTGAACACATTTTTATTGCCCCATCCATTCCAAGGGGCCAATGTGCCTGACACATCTCTTTTATTCAGAGTCTGTGTGGTGTTTAAAATTAGTTCCAGGTAAGACTTAAAATTCATGATATGTTTTACACATTCTCTCTTTTATATGTGGTTGGTACAGGTATGTGATTTTTCTCTTAAAGAAAAATGAAAACCAATCTTAAACTTCCATCAAATTACATTGCCCTGCAACTATACATATTTTCCTTGGTAGCATTTAGTGTACCTGACATGCTTCTGTTTTAAAGGGATGAGATGCTCTTAGAATAAGAGACTTAAAGTACGAGAAGGGGAGTTTGGACTAAAATAAGTCTGACTATATCTACAATAATTTATAGTGGTAATTTTCAAGTTTGTCTTCTGTCATTAGACTTTGAGCCCCTTGAGGGCAAGGCTGAGCTCATTTATGTCTGTTTATTCCTCGGCTCCTAGTATGGGATCTAGCAGCCTGTAGGTGTTCAGGAATTGTCTGTTAAAAGACCTTCAAAACACTATTTACAGGTACCACCAAACCTCATAGTGCTCACCCAGGAATGCATGGGAAACCTTTACACTAATCAAAGATCCCTGTTGGCTAGAGCACTGTGTGTGGTGGTGTTTTTAAAATGCTCAGAATCCAGGCTGACACAGTTGGCTCATCCCTGTGATCCCAGCACTTTGGGAGACTGAGATGGGTGGATCGCTTGACCTCAGGAGTTCAAGACCAGCCTGGGCAACATGACAAACCTCATCTCTACAAAAAATAAAAAAAATGTAAAATTTAAAAAAACCCCTCAGAATCCTCAAATGGTATAAATAATCCCCTCTCAATATACTCTTTGGCTTTAAA
Organism: Homo sapiens; assembly: GCF_000001405.40. NCBI lineage: Eukaryota > Metazoa > Chordata > Mammalia > Primates > Hominidae > Homo > Homo sapiens. The sequence continues at coordinate 138,603,139 of NC_000006.12, read as the reverse complement.
AGCTTAAAACTGATAGTTATATTTTGGCCATTGCTTAAGTAGCTAATTTTGGGAGTGGAAGGTATCTTCTTTCCATAAAAGAAAACCAGCAAACAACAATGTGAGCTGAATTAATTTTTGTTTATAATGTAATTTCTCTGTTTGTTTGGAGGGCTTTTTCTGTGGGTGCTTCATAGATTTAGCCATGATGATTTCCATTTTAGATTTATGAACTGTCCGGGAAGGAATTCTGTTTTAATTTGTCACAACACCACAGTCCCTTGAAGGCATGGATTCTTAATGCATCTGATGAGGAGAATGTAATTTTAAACACTTACACCTACCAATGATGAAAAGAACAAAAGGCATGCTATATTCAGTTCCAAGTGGATTCTCTTTATCCATGGGAAATGATAAATGCCCCATATTGTTGGGAAAAAAAATTAGATGAAACAAACATTTGTAAATCTAACAAAATTTGCATTTCCATGGAAACTGAAATTAAAAATACAATAACCGGCTGGGCATGGTGGCTCATGCCTGTAGTCCCAGCACTTTGGGAAGTTGAGATGGGCAGGATCGTCAGAGGTCAGGAGTTCGAGAGCAGCTTGGCCAACATGGTGAAACCCCTTCTCTACTAAAAATACAAAAATTAGCTGGGCGTGGTGGCAGGAGCATGTAATTCCAGCTACTCCGGAGGCTGAGGCAGGAGAATAACTTGAACCTGGGAGATTGAGGTTGCAGTGAGCTGAGATAGTACCACTACACTCCAGCCTGAAGACAGAGTGAGACTCTGTCTCAAAACAAAAACAAAAACAGAAAACAATAACCGTATTTGCACATAAGAAAGGAAATACTTAGGTATAAATCTAATGAAACATACAAAATCTGTATGCTGAAAATTACAAAATGCTGATGGATAAAATCAAAGACGTGAACACATGGAGAGACATATCATTTCATGGATTGGAAGACACACCATAGTAAAGATATCAATTCTCCTGCAAATTATTCTATAAATTTGACACAACTTTTAGTAAATTGATAGTGATATCAAAATAACAAGCTTAAAAACATAAGCCTGATATTTCATCTTCACATCTTAAAAATCCCAGCTTAATTAGTAGTTACCATTTTTCTGTATGCTGCTATCTCATTGTAGTCCTGTGAAATAATGATAAACTTATCGGCTTTATAGGTTTGCAGTCTGATAGATCTTTCAATGAAAAAGTTAAAGTGTGTACATTTTCTTATTCTTTAGCCTTAGTTTTTTGTTTTTGTTATTAAATAAATTCTTGAGTTTTTGTGATACTGTTGCTGGATTTAAGAAAAACTTTTTTTTTCTTTTTTGAGATGGAGTCTCGCTCTGTCGCCAGGCTGGAATCCAGTGGCGTGATCTCGGTTCACTGCAACCTCCACCTCCCGGGTTCAAGCGATTCTTCTGCCTCAGCCTCCCGAGTAGCTGGGACTACATGTGCGTGCCACTACACCCAGCCAACTTTTGCTTTTTTAGTAGAGACAGGGTTTCACCATGTTGGCCAGGATGGTCTTGATCTCTTGACCTTGTGATCCGCCCGCCTCGGCCTCCGAGAGTGCTGGGATTGCAGGCATGAGCCACCGTGCCCGGGCAAGAAAAACTCTTATAATCAGTATTAATCATTTTAGATTCACCTAAGAGTAAATTTTTTAAAATAGTACTCCTCTTGTATGAGTTTTCTGCATAACAGGTGCAATTGAGCAATAGCCACACAAGTGTCTAGGGATGGTGCTGAATGTGTAACAAAAGGTTAAAGGGTTTTCTAACAGATTGCCAGCAGTGTTTTACATTTCCTGAATGATCTAAGTGTTGGTTTAGCTTGGGACTGGAGAACATAACAGATTTAAAAAATAACAATGAATATGGTTGCTATGTCAGAATTAAAGAGTTATTTAAATAAAGTCAGGCCAGGGAGTATAATCAAAAGATTCCCAACAATCCTGGTGAGTTTTACTTTAGAAGAAAGTTCTGGGATAAGTGATTCAGATTTATAGTGGAACCAGATTTTATGTTCATTTCTTTCCAGTTAATCCAGATTCTATTTTATACATTTAGTACCTTAAAAAGTAAATGAAGGGACATACATTTGAATGGAATCCTTTGTTTTCTATTGAATTTAATGCTTTCATAATCATTATGAGAAAATACTTTCAAATGATTTACACATGATTTAGAAATGCAGGCAGCCCTTTCCAAGTGGTTATTGTATTCTGACACACAGTGATTTTTGTAGATATATCATGTTACAGAATGAAGTGGCCATTTTTGTGGGATGAATTTTCTAAAGAACATGTTGAAATATTGGAGGTTAGGGTTATTTTAAAACATGAGTTTCTTCTCTCACAAATTAAAGTGTTTGATCCCTATAATTGCCAGACTATAAGCTCTAATAGGGATAGTAAGATCTAAGTGTTGGTTTAGCAACGACATTAAGAAAATTTTAAGTATAGCTCTGAATTTAAAAGGTATTAATATTATTTTTCATTTAAATTGATAGTAATTTCATGAAAAACAAATGGCTTAAACCCAGGGAAGCAAGGATTATAATTGATTTTTTTGAGCAATGTTCTCTTTTGGTTACAAAGTAAAAGGTAAAATAAAAGTTTAAAAGCATTTGGAAAGAATGTTCTTTGGTTTTTTCACTCAGTAACCTAAAGTTTAATGACCCTTTACAGTGCTGATAAACACTTAAATTTTTGCAGTAGGCATTGCTAGTTCAAATTGAAGGAAGGTTGCCAGGCTCATGCCTATAGTCCCAACTACTTAGGAGGCTAAGGCAGGAGGATCCCTTGAGGTCAGGAGTTCAAGGCTGCCATGAGCCATCATTGTGCTACTGCACTCCAGCCTGGGCAATAGAGTGAGAACTGGTCTCGAAAAGAAAAGAAAAAGAAAATAAAAGAACAGAAAAGAAAGCACTGAGTGGACCTTAAAATACCTCTGTGTTGCTTCATTTTAATTAATTAATTAATATTTTTTTTTTGAGATGGAGTCTTGCTCTGTTGCCCAGGCTGGCGTGCAGTGGTGCAATCTTGGTTCACTGCAACCTCTGCCTCCTGGATTCAAGCAATTCTTCTGCCTCAGCCTCCCTAGTAGCTGGAGCTACAGATGCATGCCAACATGCCCAGCTAGTTTTTGTATTTTTTTAGTAGAGATGGGGTTTCACCATGTTGGCCAGGCTGGTCTCGAACTCCTGACCTCAGGTGATCCACCCGCCTCGGCCTCTCAAAGTGCTGGGATTACAGTCATGTCATGAGCCACCATGCCCGGCCTGCTTCATTTTAAAGGTACTTCATTCTTCCTTGTATCCTGAAATCTCTCAGCACCAACAGGGAAGGCATTTAGGTGACATTGGAAAGTTACTTTCTGATGCCTTCTATAGGTACTAAGCTGACCCTGCCTGAGATCTTGCCTTGAGATCTGATTGGACTTAACTGAGCATTTGTGATTTGATCATCTTAAGGTATCTCAAGCACTGAATGAGAAACTGGAAGTTTCTTGTGTATCTGGGTTATACACTTGGTCCATTCTAATTTCAATAGCACCATTATTTCTGCATATGTTATATAAGGAGAAAAAGACCTTAAAGAGTTCTAAATCTTTCTGTTTTTTTTTGAGACGGAGACTTGCTGTGTTCCCCAGGCTGGAGTGCAATGGTGCAGTCTCGGCTCACTGCAGCCTCAGTCTCCTGCATTCAGGTGATTCTCCTGCCTCAGCCTCCCAAGTAGCTGGAATTACAGGCACCTGCCACCACACCCAGCTAATTTCTGTACTTTTAGTAGAGATGGGCTTTCACCATATTGGCCAGGCTGGTCTCGAACTCTTGACCTCAGGTGATCCACCCACCTTGGCCTCCCAAAGTGCTGGGATTACAGGCATGAGCCACTGCGCCTGGCCTTACATTTTTTTATATTGTACTGGTTACCATAAAACACTAAATTATGTAGAATTTGTTTTGAAAAAAATATGTAATAGAATCCAAAACAATTAGGTAGCTCAGAATGTTTTCTTAGGTTATACTCTGTGCCTGGGTCAAGAGGTAACAGACAAATAGGATCCAAATTTTACAGCTAGATGACTTGGACACACAGAGAGTAGGTGACTTGCTGATGATTAAACAGGGAATCTGATGGATCTCCAGGCCCTAAGCTCTGACCTTGGACTCTTGCACTTTTTGCAGTCTAATGTTTAGAAACATATGGGTGAACCTGAATTAAAGAGAAATACATGTAAGTCCATTTACTTTAATTTCATTTTCATTATTGTACTTAAGAGTGTGAGGATGCAGTCGTCTTTGAATGAAGGCAGCATTCAGTATTAGTGGGATTGTTTAGCTTCACCCACCCTACCACAAAGAGATGAGGAAACGCTGGACGTTGTTTTAGTCTGGTCAGCAAATCCAAATCTATGAGCATTGTGGAGAAAGGGTCTATGTTCACATATATTTTTAGTAGTTCTTAGAAGAAAGAAAAATGCTGCTTTTTTTTTTTTTTTTTTTTCTTCCAGATGAAGTCTTGCTTTGTTGTCCAGGCTGCTAGAGTGCAGTGGCATGTTCATGGCTCACTGCAGCCTCAAACTTCTGGGCTCAAGCCATCTTCTGACCTCAGCCTCCAGAGTAGCTGGGGCTACAGGTGTGCACCACCACATCTGGCTATTTTTTTTTTTTTCCAAGATGGAGTCTTGCTCTGCCACCCAGGCTGGAGTGCAGTGGCGCAATCTTGACTCACTGCAACTGCCGCCTCCCAGGCTCAAGCGATTCTCCTGCCTTAGCCTTCCAAGTAGTTGGGACTACAGGTGACCACCACCATGCCCGGCCAATTTTTGTATTTTTGTAGAGACAGGGTTTCACCATGTTGGCCTGACGGGTCTTGAACTCTTGGCCTCAAGTGATCCATCTACCTCGGCCTCCCAAATTGTTGGGATTACAGGCGTGAGCCACCACGCCTGGCCTAATTTTTTAAAAAATTATTATTTGTAGAGATGGGGTATCTCTACAATTATTTGTAGAGATGTTGCCTGAGCTGGTCCTGAACTCCTGGCTCCTATGATCCTCCTGCCTCGGCCTCCGAGAGTGCTGGGATTATAAGCATGAGCCACTGTGCCCTGCCAAAAGCTGATTTTTAAGGTGGGGGACAGTTTCACCTGCACCGCCTTCTCTGCTGGAAATCATCATCAAGGTCACTGATGACATTATCATCGTCACTGGGGAAGTGCTGGCATAACCTGTAGGTCAGTGCTTCTCAGTCATAAGAAATATTTTTATTATCTTTTTTCTACCCTGAAATGAGTATCACATAGCCAATATAATACATCTATTCATGCATGCTTAAAAAGTCAATATAATGTCCTACCTGCAATGTAAGGAGAAATTAAAGAAGGCCATTTTTACCTTTTCATATTCATTGCTCACACAAAACTGTACTTACTGGAAGATGGAATGAAACCGTTGGATGCTTACATGTGTGTGGAATTACCATGATGAAAAGCTAGTGACTCAAACACTACAAGCGGTTAGGTGGTCAGTGATATGATTTTTCAGAAATGGTGAACAATTCCTGCCAAAATTCCAAAGTAAGCAAGGAGTCTACACTAGAATAACCAGAAACGAACAACATGTACCCGGGACCTGGAAGTGAGGCGTGTATGGTGATGTTTGATTTGAATTTTGGACTAAAGTTCCGTGATGATTAATAGCACAGGCAGCCAAATGAAAAACTTGTCAAATCAATAGTTACGTAGATTTTACTATTAAAAGGAAATAACAGTATCTGAGATGGAATTAAAATTTCCAGGCTCCTAAAATCATTTCCTGTAAATTCTTTGTTCTTTAGGCTATATGACACCAGATCAAAACTTCGGAAACTAACCAGCCATTTTTATGGATTGATGCTTCATATGCCAGCACTGAATTAGGCTTTTGTATTCTATTCGCTGTTTGCAGGTCTTAACTTTTTGTTTTTCTTTTTGAGACAGAATCTCACTCTGTCGCCCAGGCTGGAGTGCCGTGATGTGATCTTGGCTCACTGCAGCCTCTGCCTCCCAGGTTCAAGCGATTCTCCTGCCTCAGCCTCCTGAGTATCTGGGATTACAGACATCCGCCACCACACCTGGCTAATTTCTTATATTTTTTGGTAGAGACAGGGTTTTGCCACGTGGGCCAGGCTGATCTCAATCTCCTGGTAGGTCTTAACTTCTGATTGCAAGGCGGGAACCCTGAGCACTTCAAACTCTGCTTGAGAGAGTTTTTCTGTCACGCTTAACTCACGCAAGGTAGGAATGAATAATTTGCTGCTGCCGCTGCCTCTAGAGACTATTTTAAAGGATTATCTCATGGAAGCTTTCAGAACTTCCCCCCCACCCCCGCCAATTGAATGTGGGTGAGAAACGGACGTGAACTTAAAAAACTTACCAAGCTTGGTTCACCTCTCAGGAGCAGGTCTGCTTAAATTAGCTGCATTGAGCTCCTCGATGTCCTTTTGCGGCGCTGCTGATTCTTTCAAGAACCTTGGCTACCTTGCCAAATGTATCACTCCTTTATAATCTTAAGCGTTTTAACAAATGAAATACAGTTCAGTTTCTGCACTTGGTTTTAAATGTCATGATGTGTCTCAGCAATCCACTTAGTCCATCAAAATCACATTTTGACTTGTCCACATAATCCTTTTAGACTGTTTCTGGATTTATTAAGTGCTTTTTCATGCAGTTGATGAAAAAGCTTTCATTTTAAAAATAATTTCCACATGACGCTGGAGGCCTCCCATTGTAGTTTAACAATAGTTGAGATGTTGTATTGTTTATTCAAAACTGCCAAGTAGCGTCAGTGCTGGTGGATGGGAACCCTGGATGGAATGCTGGGAGAGCCCTGGGGAGGTAATTTAACCTCTTCGTTGTTCAGTCCTGATGTCCAGTGGGTTTCAGCAGCGTGTCTAGGTTTACTCCATTGCCAGGCAGAGGTAGATTCTGCCTCCTCTGCCCCTTTGCATTCCTTGGATCGACCATTGACTACTGGAAGGCATTCAGACCATTACCTTTCTATGCCTTTTCCTTTGCATAAGACCTGCAAAGGAAAACATACTTTCATCCTGGATATTTTTTGGTTTTAGCTTCCAAGTAGGGTTTATGGCCTTTTTTTCTCTTGGGGTTGGGAAGAAGGGCAGTGTTGGAGAGGAAGAGACCCAGAAACACCACCATGCTAATAATAAGGAGGAGAAAGTCGGGCCATGTTGGAGTCCCTCTGCCAATTATACAGATCGTGGCACATAGGTGCAAGGGTGGCATGGCAACCTCTGGACCCCTCACTTTCCACTTTCTCTTACCCATTGTCTCCATAGGACTCAGCGTTTTGTTTCCGAAATCTTTCAACTTCACCTGTATGCTGTGCTATTCTTACCCATTCATTGTACATAAATATCTTTTCTGCTGATTAAAAAAATTCAAGAAAGGAAAGAGGGAGAGAATCTTTTTATAATTGATTCCAGGTTACCCTATGATATTGAAGTTATTGAAATTCACTTTTGTAAAAAAGACTTAATATATCTGTTTTAAAAAAAGAGATAGGGTGTCACTCTGTTGCCTAGGCTAGAGCACAGTGACAGGATCACAGCTTACTGCAGCCTAGAACTCCCGGGGCACAAGTGATCCTCCCACCTTGGCCTCCTGAGTAGCTGGGACTACTGGTGCTTGCCACCACAGCCAACTAATTTTTAAATATTTTTTGCAGAGACAAGATCTCGTTATGTTGCCCAGGCTGGTCTCACACTCCTGACCTCAAGTGACCCTCCTGCCTTGGCCTCCCAAAGTGCTAGGATTACGGGCATGAGCCACTGTACCCAGCCTATATCTTTACTTTTAACTCTCTTCCTCTTCTTAGTGGCTGGTCCTTTTCCTGACATATACTGCCTAGAGACTGTATGCATAAAATAGCTTAAGTAAATATTATTTAGAAAGAAAATGGTTTTCAAAAAATCACTTTTTATCTTCTGTAGGTGATTGACGTACTTAGAAGGCCTGCAGAGGCCTACACCCTGTGATGTATATTGTACAGTAGGCTTGGCTTCAGCATAGTGGGAATCTCTGGTTTTGAATTTCTAAAGTGACTTGCAAAGGTCCAAGACATATAGTGAAATGTTGAGTTGCAAATTAGGGTCATGTGCTGGATGGGGCTTGTGCTGGGGAACAGGGTCTGGGCTCACGTGTGAACCAGCAGCCAGCTAACCACAGCAGGCGGCCCCTGAACGATTTTGTGGTGCACTCCTTGTTTTAAGCACTTTGCTCCTTTCAAAGTACATTTTTCTTTCTTTGTGAAAATCATCTAGAAAAGAAAAAGTCCACTTTTGAGTGAGTGATACAGAGAAATCTGTAAACTTGGGGTCTCATTAAAATCTTGCTATGTAGCCCTTTCCTTGTCAGTGTCAACGTGCTCAATTTAAAGTACACACCCTCTCAATTATTTGTCTGTTGTCTAGCTCTTCCTAGGAAGCAGAAGAGTGGTTTTCAGCTCTCGGTGCTGCTTATTGGGGATCGTATTGTATTTTGTAGATTTGGCAATGGGCCCATACATCTGTGGAGTGAAAAGCTCCCTAGGTGATTCTGATGTACAGCCATGGTCAAAAAACATTGAAATAGACAAGTGCATGAAGATCAAAGAGTTGAGGGAAAACACTCAACGATGTCACGTCAGTCCCCAAGAACAGGTACAGGGGCTGTTTTTGCTTAGAGCCGGGGAGGAGTTGCAGAAGCCCCGCGAAATTGGCAGTCCTATTGGCAGTAAATTAAGCTCTCAAGGATTGAGTTCTACGTAGCTTCATTCTCCCAAATGACTGAATAGATACTCCCACCTTGTCCTGAAATAGTTGTGAATGAGAGTCTAACTGTTCTTTGCTACTGAATACCAAAAATACTAGTACTTTAGCCAAACCCTTTCTCTGTTGCTTAGAAGCTGCTGAATCAGTGTAGTGCATTTCTCCTATTTTATCCACATCCCCCAACCACATAATTAATGTGATCAAAATAAACTGACCCCCACCACATCCCTGGAAATTTACAGCAACATTAGCATGTCAAAGGCTGGGAAAGTCCTGTAGTGAACAAGACAAAAAACCTTTTAAAAACTTTGTTTGCCCTAAGCTTATTTGCATAGGAAGATACTTTTTGCTCCTATACCTACAACTGAACAGTTTTTCCTTAACACCAGTTTGGGAAAAACTGCCCAAGTCACTTTTTGATTCAGCAGTTTTCTTAGAGTTAATTTCTGACAGCTGAACCTCTCTTTAAAATCCTCTTTGAAGTTGGACTGAATTAACAAATGGAAGGCTTGGCAAAGCAGTTTACTAATTCATAACTCTATCCCTCAGCTTTCTTTGTGTTGCTAAATACTATAATCTTTGACCCGAAAGGAAGAATACTGCTAACAAGTAAATATTTAAAAGGTCCCATGAAATATAATGTGCATGAGTTTGTGCCTGGGGAGACCGTCTACTGGAAGAAAGAAATGACTCACTTTTCATCTCCTAATGAAAGTGAGTTTGTTGTTTTACAGTAGGTTGAAAGGAAGTATTTTGAGTGCTAAGGGCTAGATTTCCTTTTATTTTTAAGTTTAGTTAGCCGTTGGCCTCACTGATTTGAGAATTGCATGTTAAGTCATAATTCCTAAGTGCGTCAGCACTCTCTCTCTGTATGAGTGAATTAGCATGATTGTGAATGAATGAACTCTGTGCTACCAAAGCCCAGCATTTGGAACAGTGAGAGGAAACGGAAACGTGACTCACTGATGTACTTGAAGACTATGAACGGGGAATCACGAACTTCAGAGCCAGACCTGAAGCATGGGAGAGTGGGCAGAGCCTGGACTGGGGCAAGGACAACGGGATTCTAGTCCTAGCAGTGCTCCTGACTGCCTCCGTGTCAGTGCTGGAATCACAGAACCCGTCTACCTCCTGTGATTAATAGGACATGTGAATTATTTGTCACTCGGATCCTTTACAGTTTCAGGATTCAATAAGTCTTTGAATTCTACTGATTCTCTGGTTTGTGTGGAAGTGGGTGTGTATGTTTTAATGGCTTTCAGATGGGATTCATCCAGGCTCCATTAAATCAACTTTATTTTTAATTTTGAAGTGAACTGCCATGACAGAGTTTGGCTAGGAAAGTCCATAACAGAAAATGAGGAAGCAAGTAAACTGATTTATAAGGCTGTGGGCAACTGACTTCCTGTGGCTGTGGCATTTGGTATATAGAATGATATATATGTGATGCTTTTGGAGAAAGGTTAATTATTGTCTACAGGCAAAATTTTTGCTCCATCACAATTGCTTTTAAAAAGCTGAAATAGCAGCTCCTAGCCACCCTGTTTCATATGTCTTACGATATTTAGAAAATATTTAGACCAGCCCACTAAAATATATCCACACACCTTTTTCCTTAAGGGCAATTACCTGCATACTTGTCAGTTTTCACTCTTTAGTTCTGGATATGTAGGGGTTTTTTTTGTTGTTGTTTTTTGTTTTTTGTTGTTTTTTGTTTTTTTGTGCGACAGTCTCGCTCTGTCGCCCAAGCTGGAGTGCAGTGGAGCAATCTTGGCTCACTGCAGCCTCCACCTCCTGGGTTCAAGTGATTCTCATGCCTCAGCCTGAGACTGTAGTAGCTGGGATTACGGGCGCCTGCCACCACCCCAGCCAATTTTTGTATTTTTAGTAGAGACGGGGTTTCCCCATGCTGGCCAGGCTGGTCTCAAACTCCTGGCCTCAAGTGATCCACCCGCCTCAGCCTCCCAAAGTGCTGGGATTATAGGTGTGAGCTACCGTGCCTGGCCTATATAGTTTTTACACAGTCATTTTTGCATATGAAGAATCTTGTGTTCTATTTTCATTCAGTTGTTTTCTTTCATGCAGGCTAAATTGACCTTGAGATGTGGGTGTGGGACCTATTAGAAATTACCTGTGCAATCTTGAAAAGTGATAATATGGGTATTTAATATTGTGTTTTGGGGAGCAGGAAACTGTAGTTTTCTTGAGGGTGATAATTAAATTCTCTTTAGTTTGATTATAGCTATGAGAATGCATTTATTGTCATGGAATAATTGAGCAAAAAACCCAAAAAACATTTTCAAATGGGAACTTTCAAAGTTACAGTCGTCTCCCTTTATCCATGAGGGATAGGTTCCAAAACCCTCGGTGGATGCCTGAAACCATGGATCCTATGGAACCCTAGATACATTATGTTTTTCCAATCTGATAACCGAGTAGTCTGTTCAGTAACTCAGGAGAGTGTGTGTCCACAGCATGGATCCGCTGCACAGAAGGATGATCCACGTGCACGTGCAGGGCTGGACAGAGCAGGACGGTGGGAGATTTCATCACGCGACTTAGAACCGCGCTCAATTGAAAACTTATGAATTAGCTGGGCAGGGTGGCTCACACCTGTAATCCCAGCATGTTGGGAGGCTGAGGCAGGCAGATCACTTGAGCCCAGGAGTTTAAGACCAGCCTGGGAAACACAGGGAGATAGCTCTACCAGAAAACAAACAAACAACAACAACAAAAAAATCAGCCAGGCATGGGGGCGTGTACTTGTGGTCTCAGCCACTCAAGAGGCTGAGGTGGGAGGATTGCTTGAGCTCTAGAGGTGGAGGCTGCAGTGAGCTGTGATCAACACACCACTGCACTCCAGCCTGGACAACATTGTGAGACTCCATCTCAAATAATAAAAGAAAAAAAGAGAAAACTTATGAATTGTTGATTTCTGGAATTTTTCATTTAATGTTTTAGACCACAGTTAACCTCAGGTACCTGAATTCAACTGCAGAAAGCAAAACTACAGATAAAGGGGAGGGACTACTTTAAATAATATTTGAAAACTTTCATAATTTTATCCCTTTTTTCTGCAACTTAAGCCACAGTGTAATATTTAGCACCAGTGTTTCCCCCCTTGATAACTGGTATCAATAGCCCCTTACCTATTCCTTTTGCTGATTATATCCTGCACATTCTCAAGTTCAAAAAGATAGGTCTGAGTGCCTCCTGAGTGCTCCATGCTTGCCCCATACAGTCACTAGGTGGCAGTATTGCTGTTCTTTTTCTTGAGAGGAGGCGATTCCCAGAGGATTGCCCGAGATCAATGGTCAATACACAGGCCTGCTGAAATCAGGATTAGAACCCAGCCCTGCCTGATTCAAATATTTGTGCTATTTGCCTCTCTCTGTGTTGTTCCAGCATATTTTTGAGAGGGGAAAGGAAAAGACTAAAGCTTTGCTTCTTACATTATCCAGTAAAATTTTATTGACCATCCACAAAGTTAAATTTTTTCTTAAGGAACTGATTATCACTGATGGACAGGTGAGGTGTCAGTGGTCTGACATCAGTAACCCACGGTGCAAAGGAGGGAAATCCCATATGACCAGGCTTCCTGGTACTATGCCGATTCTCCCAATGGAGAGGGTAAACAGCCGCTTCAAGGGTCAGGGATGATGCTGAAGAGTATGGAGAACTGGGGAGTCCATACAGACAGGTTGGACTCTGTTGTTGGGGATGAAATGGAAGGCAGAGGAGCTTGGGTTTCATGAGGCAGAGGCCCCGGGATAGCAGTTTGACAAGATCAGGGCTGGAGTTGGTGGTTGATTGGGCAGGATGTGTAGGCCAAAAGGAAGAACCAGAGGGAAGAGGGGCAGGGGCTTTCCTCAGGGAGTGAGGGGAAAGGGAGAAAGGAGGGGCTTGACTCTTTGTAGTTTTATGCAAAGGGAGGTTATCTTTGAGTTTGGGAGGGAAGGTGGAAGTAGGCTTCAGGGAAAACCTAAAGGTTTGGAATAACCAGAGCAACATGAAAGGTATGAGTAGGCCGGGCGCAGTGGCTTACGCCTGGAATCCCAGCACTTTTGGAGGCCAAGGCCAACGGATCACCTGAGGTCAGGAGTTTGAGACCAGCCTGGCCAACAAGGTGAAACCCTGTCTCTACTAAAAATACAAAAATTAGCCAGGCATGGTGATGGGCACCTGTAGTCACAGCTACTTGGGAGGCTGAGGCAGGAGAATCGCTTGAACCCAGGAGGCAGAGGTTGCAGTGAGCCGAGATCGCACTGCTGGACTTCAGACTGGGCAACAGAGTGAGACCCTGTCTCAAAGTAAAATAAAATAAAAGAGTAGAAATATTGTAGAAAAACACTAGAGGCTGGCAATCAGGCTCAGAGCCAGCCCGGTCAGCACATTCAGTGTCTTCATTTGTGAGGTGGCTGGGGACCCATGGAAGGATCAGTGTGGATGCCAAGGTGCAAGGGCCAAGGAAGAGGGAGTGCTGGGGATGCAGAGGCTGGGGCTGTGCCGACTCAGAGGAGCAGCCAGCTGAGGAGAGGCGATTTGCTGTCTGATGTAGAGGATCAGAGGTTGTCAGCAGAGGGAAAGGAGCGTATTATCTAGAAAAAGAGATTGAAGATGCAAAGGAGGAAACCAATTCATTCCTACTGTGAGAAGGAGGTGGAATGAACAGGACAGGGAAGGCATAGATGAGGGTTTAGGGTAAAAGGAGGCTGGGGAGGGTACAGGTAGAGAGACTGTCACAGGCGACCCTACTGAACCCTCTGTGTGCTGAGCAGCGAGGGGCAGGCGAGTCTCTGCCAAGCCTCTACATTGCTGCCTACCCTGAGCACATGGTGGAAGGTGACTCCTCACCTGTGGGCAGGTTATGGCAGTGCCGTAGTGCACAAGCCAGCCAGGCCCCCGCTTGGCTCGTGAGGCCCCCAGGTGATTCTCTGGTCCTCTCCTCACATGCTCTGGTTGTCTAGGGTGGGCCCCGGGTCTGTATTTTAATAAGCACCCCGCATCATTTAGGGATCAGGTCATTTGATATGGCCCCTGGGATGCTGGCACGCCCTCTGTGCTTTCTCCTTCACGCCTCACCCATACTGTCCCATGAACGCACAGGATACACTTCTGAGTGTTAATCTCCAGGTTGTTGAAGCTAATGGATACTTGATTGCTTTCATTTTATGAGCCACCCTCAGATGTTAGTTGGATGCAGGATCCTTTGCGGGTTCCTACTGCAATTTTGGCGGGTGTTAGGATACAAATACTCCCTCCCTGATGGTCCACCCACCAGTTCTCTTCCTCTGCCTGTTTTTCTTGAGAATGGGTTGTTCTGTTCTGCCACCTGCTGGTCAACTACAAGCACTGCATGTCGTGTTCTGAGGGTGGCTCCATATGGAAGGCGGGATTTCAAACATGATTTTCAGTGGGGTGTGTGGATGAGGTAAAAAGTCTTATTTCGAACAGGCAGGGATACTAACCATGATACTAACAAGAAGCCGTTAAAAGTCTTATTTCTAATAGAGCCATCTGCTCTAAGTCAAACCATTTACCCTTAATGTTGTAATATAAGAAAGTTAATTTCCTCTTCTCTAGAGCTTTCTTTTCACCCAAACTGTTAAAATTTAATAACAACAACACGTTTTAAGAGATCAGCTTGCTGTATTAATCTCAGAAGGAATGTTTTTTAATATGCCAAGTGTCTGTTCTACGGACAGATGATTCTGGTGATTCAAGTCAGTGGTGAAGACAGATAGGTTCAAGCTCCATGCTGTTGGAGGGGTATGACCTTGGAAAATGGCTTTACTTAGCCTCAGTTTGTTTTCAGTGTAGTTGCAGTGTCGTTATTTTATTTTTTATTTATTATTATTTTTGAGACGAAGTCTTGCTCTGTCACCCAGACTGGAGAGCAATAGCGTGATCTCGGCTCACTGCAACCTCTGCCTCCTGGGTTCAAGCGATTCTCTTGCCTCAACCTCCCCAGTTGCTGGATTACAGGCACACACCACCACACCCAGCCAATTTTTGTATTTTTAGTAGAGGCGGGGTTTCACCATGTTGCCCAGGCTGGTCTTGAACTCTTGACCTCAAGTGATCTGCCCGCCTGGGCTTCCCAAAGTGCTGAGATTACAGGCGCAAGCCACCAGGCCCAGCCAGTTATTATTGTTATTATTTTAAACTGTGTCTGTTTCTGGGTCCCAACTTTGCTGATGACCAAGCCCTGAGAATTAATTTCTAAGGGTTTTATGGAGTACCTGCTAGGTGCTGGGCCGCACAGCAGTAGACTGCTGAGATGTGATTCCTGCCGCCAAGGGGCGAGCATCACCACTAGCACATGACCTTTCTGGTTCTGTTTCCTCATCTGTACCATGAAGGTGTATGATGGGATTATCTCTAAGCCCTTCTTGGGCCCCAAGGTTCTGTAACTTAAACAAACAAACAGTATAAAGTGTTTGGCTTAACTTTCCTGGTGACCGTGGGAGGCAGTGTCTGTTGTTGTGTCCTTCCTGATGGAGCCAGGTTGTGTCTTTTTAGACTCAGAGACCCACTGACCTTGGCATGTTCCATGGGAAGCTTCCAAGGCAGTGAATTTCAGGCTTTGCATCTGATGTGCATTTAAACATTTTAAAATATTAGAATCGAAAAAATGTCAGGCTTCTTCATTTTCTTTGTCTTTTAAATATTATTCTTTGAAACACAGAATCAGCTTTTAACTTGGCAGCTCTATCTATAAACAGAATGTAAACTTTCTTAAAGATCAGTAGTTCTTAAAGGTAGGGTAGGAGGCTTACTTTACACAGAGCATGAAGGCTTTTTTTTTTTTTTTTTTTTGACAGAGTTTTGCTCTTGATGCCCTCCCGAGTAGCTGGGATTGCAGGCGCCCACCATCATACCTGGCTAATTTTTTGTATTTTTAGTAGAGATGGGGTTTCACCATGTTGGCCAGGCTGGTCTCGAACTCCTGACCTCAGGTGATCCACCCACTTCAGCTTCCCAAAGTGCTGAGATTACAGGTGTGAGCCACTGCTCCAGGCGCATGAAGCTGTTTAAAAACACAAGTGCCTCCAGGTGTGGTGGCTCACGCCTGTAATCCCAACACTTTGGGAGGCTGAGGTGGGCGGATCGCCTGAGATCAGGAGTTTGAGACCAGCCTGGCCAACATGGCAAAAACCCACCTCTACTAAAAATACAAAAATTAGCCGGGCATGGTGGCATGCGCCTGTAATCCCAGTTACTCGAGAGGTTGAGACAGGAGAATCGCTTGAACCTAGGGGGCGGAGGTTGCAGTGAGCGGAGATTGTACCGCTGCACTCCAACATGGATGACAGAGCGAGACTCCATCCCCACCCAAAAAAAACACACGCGCCCAACGAGAAAACTCAAACCCACTCTACCCATAACCTATTGAATAAGAACCTTTATGAAAGATGGCTCTGATGTTCAGCCATGGGTGAGAATGAAAGCACTGATGCAGTTTCAGTTGGGCCTGGCCCATCCTGTGTGGTTTGTTTTTGAGCAGCACCAGGCTGTCAAACACAGGGTACTCACAGTGTCCCAAGCCCTGTGCTTGGCTCTGGATCCTAAACCTGCACATGCTTACTGATCATCCCCTCTTTCACACTCTCCCCACTACCTTTATTAGGCTGGTGGCAGAACATTTGATGAGACTATTGATTTCTCTAGGTAGACTTTATTATGAAGCTTACCCTAGTTAAGTAAATTAGATTTTAATCTTTCCTCAGACCTCATTGTAATCTTATTTTGTAAAGGGTGTGTCTTCTGGAAGTGGCTGAGCATATATTGACATATTAATTCTTAAGTGGCTTTGTTACTTCTTAAGTGATGTTACTTACTGTACCTCAAGTGTAGGCTATACCCTGCTATAATTCCCTATGTGCTGAATAACTGATGTTGGACTATGTTATAAATTAAAGATTTTGGGCTGGGCACAATGGCTTATGCCTGTAATCCCAGCTCTTTGGGAGGCCAAGGTGGGCAGATCACTTGAGATCAGGAGTTCGAGACCAGACTGGTCAACATGGTGAAACCCTGTCATTACTAAAAATACAAAAATTAGCTGGATGTTGTGGTAGGTGCCTGTAATTCCAGCTATTTGGGAGGATGAGGCAGGAGAATCTCTTGAACCTGGATAGTGGAGGTTGCAGTGAGCCAAGATTGCACCACTGCACTCCAGCCTGGGCAAGAGCAAGACTCCATCTAAAAAAAAAAAAAAGGTTTTGACACTATTAACTTTTTCTTCTTATTTATTTGTTTTTGTTTTTAGAGTTGGGGTCTTGCTCTGTTGCCCAGGCTAGAGTGCAGTGGCACAATCACAGCTCCACTGCAACCTTGAACTCCTGGGCTCAAGTGATCCTCCTGTCTCTGGCTCCCTTGTAGCTGGAACTATAGGCATTCACCACCACACCCAGCTAATTTTTAAGTTTTTTTTTTTTTTGTAGAGACTGGGACTTGCCGTGTTTCCCTGGTCTTGAGCTTCTGGCCTCAAGCAGTCCTCCCACCTCAGCCTCCCAAAGCGCTGGGATTATAGGTGTGAGCTAACATTCCTTGCCTTTTCCCCCTATTTTGAAATGTAACTCACTTTTAACTAAGCATTTTCTTATCAACTGTAACCAGTGGTGTGTATTTTATGGAGCGATTCAGTGCCTGGTATTTTTCTTCTGTGTTCACTTTTTTTTTTCCTTAGAAAAATTACCAGTGAAACAAACTTTAGGATGGAACATAAGAGAGAGAGAAGTTTGACCAAATTTGGAGTTTTCAATTTTTTAAAATTTTTCAGTCGTTTAAAATAACTGACATTCCTTATGAGGTAAGGTAGCTATATTTGTGCTATTTTTGTAGTAATTTCCTTTAACTTGTCGGAATTTCACACTCTTCTTTGAACCATTCCTTGCCTCACATCCTTTAGTGAAGAAAAATATGCCTCACAAGTAGGTGAAATGACACAAGTTGGTCACTTTTAGAATCGTATTATTACAGGTGAGACTTGGGTGCTCACTTCTTTTCCTCATAATTCTGGCATGAGTGAAATATCTCCCTGATGGGAAATATTTTCCTGATGGGAATCTGACTCTCAATCCCAGCTCACCTCTCGCTCCCTGTACACACCAGGTGTAACTAATCATCTGCTTCCAGCCTAGCCAATCATCTGTGCTGGTCCACCAGCCACATCTATTTCAAGGACTGCTCCTGCTGTTGCTGAAAATAACCTATCAGTTACTGAGTGCTAATAATGTGCGTTTCTCACTTAGTTTTCATAACAACTCTAAGAAATAAAGGCCCGGGTGTCTGTAGCATGCCGGGGTTCAAGGAGAGAAATGAGAGCCAAGGGTGAGTACAGCTGTTAAGGCCCTGTGGTCCTTACCCACACAGGTGCATTTTGCGGCAGCTCTGTTGTAGTTCTTCCTGTGTTTCAGGGAAATGCCTGCGTGGCTGGGCTGGGAGGAGGACGATTAGGAAGGAGAATCTCTGGAACAAATGTCTCCGTCTGTGCTCGCCAGTCTCCATCAGTCCACTTCAGTCTGCCATCAGTGGAAAGGGCGTGGTGTTTACTTTGTAGAGGTACTTCGTCCTTCTTTGAAGTTCTTCGTGGTGGCATATCTTCATGGTAATAGAAGTTGTCTTGATTTAACACACCCAGTTTTGGTCCTGGGGAACAAGTGTTTCAACCTCAAATTTCCGAGTGTCTGAGTGTCTTAAGTGTTCTTTAGGCCTTTTGTTCTCTACATTTCTCCTTATTGAATAAGTTCATTACTTTAAGACTGTAACAAAAGTAATTGCACAGGGACCACTGAAGTAGTCATTATGAAATTGGATTCCCCTTCACTAAATAGCCCTTCTACTTATGGATTTTGATGACTGTCGGGAGAGTTGGCCGTGCACATGGCTGTAAAAAAGTGTAGAGCTGAAGAGAAAAACATACAAAGATAAAGTCATCTTAAATTTTTTAAGTTTTAAAAGAGTGAAATTTTAATACACAGTATGTGAGAGAAACACAAACAGCTATGCCCTTAATCAAATTTGCAATAGAGATCAATTTTTAGATATATCCAGCTGTGAAGTGTTCATTTAATTACACAAACAAGGTTGTAGGAAAAGGATCAGGTGAATTAGTTTATAAGAGATACCAAGTCTATGGTTCCTTTAGTTGCAGAGTCAGTGGAAGGTTTTTAATATTATTTTATTTATTTATTTACTTGAGATAAAATCTTGCTCTGTTGCCCAGGCTGGAGTGCAGTGGTGCATTCATAACTCACTGCAGCCTCAAACTCCTAGGCTCACATGATCTTCCTGCCTCAGCTTCCTGAGTAGCTGGGACTATAGGCGAGCACCACCGCATCCAGCTCATTTTATTTTTTGTAGAGACGAGGTGGGAGGTGGGGTGTGGGGAGTGTCTTACTTTGTTGTCCAGGCTGCTCTCCTACTCCTGGCCTCAAGTGATCCTCCCACCTTGGCCTCCCTCATATGGCAGATTGAGTTGTTGCAGTGGGGACTATAGAGTTGACAAAGCCTTAAAATATATGCTCTCTGGCTCTGTATCTAATCAAGCCAGATTAGATTATGTGGGGGAATATCAAAGGAGGTCCAGTAAAGAAACTTGAGTTCATCTGTCAGGAGAGAGTTGAACATGACGATGAACAGCATATGATGGACCAGTGCAGTTTAACAAACATCAGTTTAGTGCTTACTGTATGCCGGGTCCTGGGCACACAGTGACAGAAGCCTCAGTTCTTTCTCTTGGGTGGTTTACAGTCTGGAATGGCAAATGCATAATTTCAGATGTGACGGGTGAAGCGCAGCATCTCTCTGCGTGGGGTGTTACGGGAACACATAGCAGGGGTACCTCACATAGCCCAATCCCTGAGGTCAGGAATGGTGTTTTTGGAGCCTTTAACCCTTGGTAACTTGCCCAAGTAGGTGCCTGTGGTAGATGAGATTCAGAAATATTCACCCCCTGCCCCCACTTCCTTGGGCGAGTGGAGTTATTTCCCTTCCCCATGATGCTGGGCTTAGGCACATGACCTGCTTTGGCCAGTGGAAAGTGAGCAGCCCTCCTGCCTAGGAAGCTTCTGCAGCTGAGCTTGTGCTCTCTGGTGCCATTGCCATGGAAAAGACAGGCTTGGACTGGCCTGCTAGTCCTAGGAGGGGAAGGGACACCTGGAGGTCACCGCCAAGGTGACCAGCCATCCTTTGTACCCAGGACTGCCCCCATTTTAAAACTGCAGTTCCATGTCCCAGGAAATTCCTCATTTTCAGGCACACGGGGAGAGCCACCTTGGAGCAAAGCCACCTTCAGCCGAGTTCAGCCGAGATTCACTGCCCTGCAGATGACCCACTAGCTTGTGAGAAATTGTAACTGATGACTGCTTTAAGCCATTGGGTTTTGCAGGAGTTTGGGAGGCAGCAGTAGTTAAGTGATACAGGACCCAATAAACATTTGCTTATTTGAATGGAGACAGCTCCCGGCAGAAGTTTTGAAGGGTGAGTAAAAGTAAAGCCGGTGGAAAAGATGAGAAATGTTCCAGAGATGGAGGAGATAAAGAGTCAAGGGCCTGGAGGCATGGAGCGTGGTGTGCCTGGTGGTAGGGAGGACAGATTGAAGGTGCACAGCCAAAAGCAGGTCACCCAGTTCCCAGGGCATGGCAGTAGCCCAGGGGAGACACCCACAGGCAGTGGCCCTCAGCAGAGTTAAAGGGAAGGCTCCTGACTTGGGGTTGGGCGGATGCTCAGCTCAGAACCTTAGGTGAGATACTTCATCACATTCTTCCTCAGTATCTTCACCTATCAAATACATCTACACTACCAAAATGGCAGCAGTGATCTGTCTAGAACAGGGTGACTGAAAGCAAATGGGTCATTATGACTATTTGCTTACTGGTTTCAAAATTTTTCGAAGTTTTTTTGGTCCCATCTCTTTTTTTTTTGGTCCCATCTCTTTTTTTTCTGTTCTTTTAAAAATGTTTTACATTCTCATTCATGGTCATCCAGTTATTCCTCAGGGGAAAAGGGATTTTTTGGTATTGAAATGGAGTGCCCTGAAATTGTTGAAGATTATTTATAGTATTCCATTTACATATTCTCAGTGATTTAAAAACTGCTCTTTAAATTAAGGCCACTTTGGGCCAGGCACAGTGGCTCACGCCTATAATCCCAGCACTTTGGGAGGCTGAGGCGGGCGAATCACTTGAGGTCAGGAGTTCCAGACCAGCCTGGCCAATATAGTGAAAGCCCGTCTCTACTAAAAATACAAAAATTAGCCAGGTGTGGTGGTGTACGCCTGTAATCCCAACTACTTGGGAGGTGGAGGCTCGAGAATCGCTTGAACTTGGGAGGCAGAGGCTGCAGTGGCCGAGATCGCGCCACTGCACTCCAGCCTAAGCAACAGAGCAAGACTCTGACTCAAAAAAAAAAAAAAAAAAGAAAGAAAAAGTAGAACCTCAAAATCTAATTTTTTTTCCTCATTCAGAGCATTCTGATATAACAGAGTAGACTACAAGATTCAGAAAGTAAGAGCCTGAGGCCACACCAACCCAGTGTCACTGCCTCTCAACACTTGGTGTAAATGCTTGCAGATCCTGCTTTGACTTTTTTTCCTGAAATTTTTTTTTTTTTTTTTTTTTTTTTGGAGACGGAGTCTCACTCTGTCACCCAGGCCAGAGTACGGTGGCATGATCTCGGCTCACAGCAATCTCAGTCTCCTGTGTTCAAGCGATTCTCCTGCCTCTGCCTCCCAAGCAGCTGGGATTACAGGCACACACGACCATGCCCGGCTAATTTTTGTATTTTCAGTAGAGACGGGGTTTCACCATGTTGGCCAGGCTGGTCTCGAACTTCTGACCTCAGGTGATCCTCTCACCTCGGCCTCCCAAACTGCTGGGATTACAGGTGTGAGCCACCGCGCTCAGGCCTGTGAAAAATTTCTCTGAGTTGCTAGTTGTTGGCAACTTAAACTGCCTCTACTCATTCCCTGTTAGGCCTAGTCTTCCAAACTTTTGCTTTTATGAACAACACCAAAAAAGGACTGGTAAGGAATTAGAAAATTTGAAAAGTACGAGTGCAAAAAATCTCAGAATTCTTACAAAATGAACAGAAATGCTTAAAGATAGAGCAGGTTGCAAAACTCCCATTGGTACTCCACTGCATCAGTTTCCTACGGCTGCTCTAAAAACCACCACAAACTTGGTGGCTTAAAACAATGGAAATTTATTCCCTCATAGCTCTGGAGGCCAGAAATCTGAAATCAAAGTGTTGGCAGGGCTGCATTCCCTCCAGAGTTTCTAGGGAAGATCCAGTTCTTTGCTTCTTCCAGCTCTGGTGGCTGAATCACTTCGATCTCAGCCTCTGTGGTCACATTGCCTTTTCCTCTTCCAGCTGAAACCTCCCCCTGCTTCTCTCTTTGAAAGGACACATGTGATTGCGTTTATAGCCCGCCCAGGGCTATATTAGCCCGCGCTAATCCACCATAGTCTACATCTCCAGATCCTTAACTGAATCATACCTATGTATCTTTTTCCCATGTCAGGTAACATTTATAGATTTCTCTCCCTCCACCCATGCTAATACTTAAAGAATTGGTAATTGTGGGGCTATTAATTTTCTACCAAGTTATTGTGTTTGCCAAACGATTGTGTTGGCCAAATTCAGTGGTGTACTGGAGCCAGCACGTACTGACTATGGGAGCCAGTTCTTAATTTCAAGATTTTAGCAGGCTGGTTGTTAAATTGTTGGTAGCTTGAAAGTGGCCATGGTGGGAGGCTTTATATCATGGAAACTGGCAAATATGTATTATAAGTCATGGCTTCCCACGTCCCTCATCCCCGCCCCAGAGAGCCAGTTTACTAACACACCACTGGTTGGCTAAATCTCCCGACTGCTAGAAAACTCAGCTAGAGAGTACATCTCATCCCGAAGAAATTACTCAAGCCCAGAGGCTTGACTCAGGCCTACTACTTGTTTCTTGTATTTCTTTTTTTGCAGTATGTTGAAAGTAACTGTGCATATCTGTCTCCTACAACACATTTTATACTCCTCTAGGGGAGGGCCCTATCTTTTGTGCTTTAGAATCAGTCTGCCTGGCCCATCTCCTAGCAAGAGATCAATAAATATTTGAACTGATCCCTGTAACTGGGCTCTTTGCCGTTTCTGGAGGTGATGCACATACTGATGCCTAGCTGCAATAATTCTAAATATATGTATTTGCATTTCTGTCTCTTTCCTTGTTTGGAAACGTACTCGATATTTTTGCTTCCTGGATGCTCCTGATTAAAGAATTTTGTTACTTTATATTCAATTCTGTTAATAGATTATTAAAAGTAAGGTTCATCTGCTTCACTGGAAATCACTGCTTGTATCAAGCAATGTGTCACATATATTTAGCATGTAGGAGTAGCACAGTAAAAGTAGGCTGAATTGATAGAACGTTAAAAGTCAGATATATTCGGTGTAAGCACTATAGAGCCATAGTGAGTATAGTTTTAAAGATAGAGTTAAATAGAATAAATGCTTTAAAAGGTCACGTAAGGTCGATTGGAAAATTCTTTGTAATTTTTTAAACATCTACTAGGAAAAACTGATGTGAAAAAATTTTCCACTGGCATGGAGCAATTCAATTCACCTAGTAGAACCCAGCAGATCCCAGCCTGTGTGTGGATTATCAGGTAGAATGTAGGCTGCTTTTTGATTTGGCTCACTGTTGATTGCACTGGGCTGGTCTGGATCATTGGATTCTGAAGTTCTCGTGGATGGAAGCAGTGAAGATGTCCTAATAAATGAAGAAAAGCATACGCCTATCAGTTAATAAGCTTCTTTCTTCCCAAAGTGAAACAGTATGGCCATATGAATGGGGTTTTATTATTAACCCTTTAATTCAGGTTGTATACTTTTTGCCAGTTTATACATTTTACTTTTGCTTTTTGTGATTTAGTGATAAAGGAATGATTGCTATAAAGGCCTAATTATCTCCTTACGCTGAAACTTGTTAAGATCAAAATAAAAAGGTAACATGGAAATGATGGATGGTTCCATTTTTTTCACCCTGTCAACCAACATTGGCTAAATGCTGGCTGTGTATAAGGCATTATAAGGCAGGGGTCCCCAAACCCCAGGCTGTGGCCTATTAGGAACCAGGCGGCTCAGCAGGAGGGGAGCTGTGGGCAAGCGAGCATTGCTGCCTGAGCTTCACCTCCTGTCAGACAGGCAGCGGCATTAGATTCTCATAGGAGTGCGAACCCTGTTGTGAGCCATGCATGCCAGGGATCTAGGTTGCACACTGCTTATGAGAATCTCATGCTGCTGATGAGCTGAGGTGGAAGTTTCATCCTGAAACCACTCCCTACCCTGCTGTCCATGGAAAAATGGTCCTCCATGAAACTGGTCCCTGGTGCCAGAAAGGCTGGGGACCACTGCTGTAAGGGACAGGAAGATGACAGATGAGCTTCCTGGCCTCAGGGGCATTATAGTCTAGCACTGTGCTAACTTAAATACAGTCTGTGCACTAGCATCACTTGGGCGCTTCTAGGAGTTCAGAATTGCAGTCCCTTCCCCAGACCTGAATCACACTCTGCATTTCAATAAGATCTCCTATGATTTTAAGTGCTTAATACAATTTACAAAAAAAAAGAAAAACTGGTTGAGTAGATTAAAAAAAATAATAACCACAGTGATCACTGGAGAGGCTACAGGAAAGGTATCAAGAACAAAGGAAGTCATGATTTTTAAAAAAGTTATTTATTTGGAATTTTATTTTGATCTCAGAATAAGTTTGCCCTTGGTCTTCTTATATTAGAAGAATCTCAAAGTTGATGCTGTTTTAGGATTTCTTGTAATCTGAACTCCTTAGGTTGGGGACATTTTCTTGGTGAAAGTTGGTACAGATGTTGCATTTTTGGTTATGTACTGCTTACCAAGCCTCTGACGTCCATGTTCTGTGTCAGTGGCGGCTTCTTTACCAGCGACATCCTTTGTCCCCTTGCACCTTAGGGGACTGAGAGCAATAATCTGCCATATTGCTTCTGTATCAAGTGATCCCATGGGGACAGTGCAGCTAAGGCTTAGGATGTCAGATCTGTTCGCCCTTTTCAGGCATGAAGACTTTGAAAGGTGGGAGTTGGGCTGGTGGTGATACATATGCATAAATGTTTGTGTTGAGTCTTTCCCTTTGAGGGGAACAACACTATTAATTCCGTTGAAGGCACTGTGGCTTTTAAAGCCAGGGTTTAATGAGAAGTCAGTGCTTTTCCTTCTTTTAAGTTTTAAAGCAGTGGTAGTTGAGGGCAACCTGAAAACGGGGCCGGCGCTGATTAGGTAATTAGCTGCGTTTTGCCTTCCATGACTTCTTTCTAGAGTACAATCACTTGTTTCATTCCTTGGTGGGTGGAAAGGTGGATAAAGGAAGAAGGATTTAATGTACTATGGGGAATGTGTTTGCTGTGGTCCTGGGGGTAATACCGTTTGGTTGTTTTGTTTTTTTAATTATAAATATCTGGCTCAAAGTATTTACTTTTGATATTGAGATAAGCTTTCATTATTCGTGTGTACAAATTACCTCATAGAAAGATTTCCATTTAAGTGTACTCTTAAATTATTCACAGGAGATGACAGTTGGAAAACCTACTGTACGCTGTCCTAAGCTAAAGGTCCCTGTGGGTTGTCTGGGTGATTCATGTGGTAATCTGATGAGAGGCACACTTCACTGCTCCCAGCCCAGGCAGGGCCACTTCAGAACGTGACACCATTGAGAGTAGTCCTCTTCTGTGCTCTATGTGGTTCTCTTTGCACCTTTGTCTCTTTTCACATGCCTTCTGTTTATGCACCTCACTCCCAGCCAAACCAGCCAACCCCAGCGGCGCTTGCAATCCAGCCGTGTTTTCCCATTGATTTCTAACTTCAGGGTGCTGCCTCTCTTGTTCTCTTTGCTAGGTTTGACAGGGCAGGCAAGCTACACATGGAAATGAAAAGTCACAGTGCTCATTTGTGGCCTGTGAGGCCAAAAAACTGATGGCACTTGAAATTAGTTCCTATTTTTGGCTGGCATTTTACACAGATGGCGAGTAGAGCAATTACATGCCTGGTTGCGTTGAAAGGTTTGTCTAATCCTATATCCTGTCCTCTTTAACACTTTTTATTAAGTCTCCAACTTTCATTTATGATAAACTCCTTTTTCAGGATGCCAGTATATGCTGAAACATAAAATATTGTGTCTTATGGCAAGAACCTTCCAAATATATTCAGTCTATTCCTTTGACTCTTGGTAGAAGCATAGATAAATCTTTCCAAATTCATGGGCATTTGACTTAGGAATTCCCAAAGGAGATGATTCTAGAACTTCCTCTAGTAATTTATTCTGGTGCCTCCAGTTTTTATAGTTAAATTTTCCTTAATGTATTATGTAAATCATTTCTGAAATATATAGAGTAATATAGAGTAATTTCTTGTCCCTTTGTCAGCAGTGATGGGTAAGTGACCCTCAAATGTGGAGAACTAAGTATAAAAGATGCAATTGATCATAAACATGGTGTAAAGATCCACCTGGGGGTCATTATGCAGGGTCTGCTCCTCCAGCCATTTCAGCCATTTCAACCCTGGGGCTTCCGTCCCGCTGGTGAAGGAGGGGGGTGCTGGCCAAAGGCAGCTGCGACAAAGCCCTTCCACAGAGGCTCTGCCTTTTATTCCGTGAGCCCTCATTAACTCCCATTAAACATGTAATTTAAACAAGCCTGTTTATGTGATTCCTAAGGCCTGAAGCTCAGCAGTGGCAAAGTGGTAGGAAGGGAGCAGTTATTGGCACATGTGATGACAGCAGAAGTTCGAATTTGACAGCCTGACAGTGAGAGGGGAGGGGGCAGCCCAGCACGGTAAGGAAGGCAGATAAAATCTGTTCAGCACGTCTGTCTCACATGGGGACAAGGCAGTCTAATGTAGGTTTTCTTGGAGAAAAATAGCTACGTTAAGATGTTTTCATTACTTTGAAGATTATAGCTGAAGTTATTTTTTTTAAAAACCAATTACTGTAAAAGTAGGATTTGCAGGCGGGGAGCGGTGGGT
Organism: Homo sapiens; assembly: GCF_000001405.40. Taxonomy (NCBI): domain Eukaryota; kingdom Metazoa; phylum Chordata; class Mammalia; order Primates; family Hominidae; genus Homo; species Homo sapiens. Next base: position 138,576,274 of record NC_000006.12, on the reverse strand, counting down.
CATGCTTGTAATCCCAGCACTTTGGGAGGCTGAGGCGGGCAGATCACCTGACATCAGGAGTTTGAGATCAGACTGGCCAACATGGCAAAACCCTGTCTCTGCTAAAAATACAAAAATTAGCCAGGCGTGGAGATGCGCGCCTGTAGTTCCAGCTACTTGGGAGGCTGAGGAAAGAGAATCGCTTAAACCCGGGAGGCGAAGGTTGCAATGAGACAAGATCGCGCCACTGCGCTCTGGCCTGAGTGACAGAGTGAGACTCTGCCTCAAAATAAATAAATAAATAAATAAATAAATAAATAAATAAATAAATAAATGTAGGGATTTTTCCACGGCAGGGTTATTGTGAAGGTTAGCAATAATATACAGGAAGCTTTTGGCACAAAGTAGCCTTGGCCCTGCTGCCAGGAGGGGCTGATTTGTATGGCTCTTGGGTTGATAATCCACATAACTAAAATGTGGGGTTCATCGTGGTTGCTAAACAAATATAGCTTGAGTGAATATAGTAGCTTCTTAAGAAGCCCACTTAGGATGTTCTAAGCTAATTAGAGTATATATCTAATATGCATAGTTAAGATCTAATTATTACCTACAAAGCTGATTTAAACCATTATATTCTCTTGATCAACAGGAACTCTGATCCAGTTGTAAAAGTAGTTAATTTATTTGACTTTCTTAGATAAATGAAGATTTAATAATCAAGGCCCAATATAACAGAAATATGGACTAGCCAGTAGACAGAGAATTGGTTATTATACAAACGTATCCCTAGGTCTTATGATTTGTGGGTGCACAGTTTCTGGAAATCTGGCAGACGTGGGCACTTACTTTGACGGAGAGTCATGAGTCTAGTCCCTGAATGGACTAGTTATCATTTTGGCTGCTTGGCAGGAAATGTTCCTTTAGCTTCTCCTGTTAACCCTTTCCTTGAAGTGTACAGGGTTGGGGGCCCTGGAGGAAAACACGCCAGTTACTAATGATACCAATTCACCTTTGCTGCTGTGTGTATGCACATTCCATGGAGGGGGAGTTGAGGAAAGCGCTCAACAGCACTTCTGGTAAATAAAAAATAGCACTTGGACCAGGCACGGTGGCTCATGTCTGTAATCCCAGCACTTTGGGAGGCCGAGGCAGACAGATCACCTGAGGTTGGGAGTTCGAGACCAGCCTGACCAACATGGAGAAACCCCGTCTCTACTAAAAATACAAAATTAGCTGGGTGTGGTGGCATATGCCTGTAATCCTAGCTACTCGGGAGGCTGAGGGAGGAGAATCACTTGAACCCGAGAGGCAGAGGTTGTGATGAGCTGAGATTGCGCCATTGCACTCCAGCCTGGGCAACAAGAGGGAAACTCCGTCTCCAAAAAAAGAAGAACACACAAGGTTTAAGCATATATATAATTTTTTATTTTTATTTATTTCTTTTGAGATAGGGTCTCACTCTATTGCCCAGGCTGGAGTGCAGTGGTGCAACCACAGCTCACTGAAGCCTCGATTTCCTGGGCTCAAGCGATCCTCCCACCTCAGCCTCCTGAGTAGCTGGGACCACAGGCAAGTACCACCATGCCTGACTTAACTTTTTTTCTTTTCTTTTTTTTTTTTTTTGCATTATTTGTAGACACAGAGTTTTGCCATGTTTCCCAGGCCGAGCTTGAACTCCTAAGCTCAAACGATTCATCTACCTTGGCCTCCCAAAGTGCTGGGATTACAGACGTAAGCCACCGTGCCCAGCCAGATATTTTTAAATTAAAAATGCAGCTGCAGGATGTAGAGAGTAGGGAGAAGAGAATTGTGTTCATTGTTTGGGTTCCATGGCTCCTTTGAGTGTGCACAGATGTGTGGCGGGGGTCTCGTGAACCAGTGAAATGGCAAACAGCATTTGGGGCATTAATGGATTTCTCTGGTGAGATGGTCTTTTTTTACTTTTCCTTTTATATTTTGAGACTCTCAAAAAGTGTTTTCTACTCAGAAAGAAGAGAGTGGATGTTTGATGTTAGCCACTGGTGTTATGCACAACTATTTTAACTTTGCCTTTATAATGGTAGTCATCTGGGTGCGGTGGCTCACGCCTGTAATCCCAGCACCTTGGGAGGCCAAGGCAGGCGGATCACAAAGTCAGGGGATCGAGACCATCCTGGCTAACACGGTGAAACCCTGTCTCTACTAAAAATACAAAAACAAAATTAGCCAGGCGTGGTGGCAGGCGCCTGTGGTCCCAGCTACTCGGGAGGCTGAGTCAGGAGAATGGTGTGAACCCGGGAGGCAGAGCTTGCATCATGCCACTGCACTCCAGCCTGGGCGACAGAGTGAGACTCTGTCTCAAAAAAAAGAAAATAAAATAATGGTAGTCAAAGTGGAGATATTATTGCAATTAATAACTGAAACAGGCCCAGAGCACTTGGTGATGTAGCAAGCATCCCTGGTAAGTGTGTGAATCTCTGATCCAAGTGGTGTCGGCTGCAGCCTGGTCCTCATTACTGACTTCTCTGTGTGACATTGGGTATGAACATACTTTCTCTGGGCCTGAGTTTTCCTATCTGAAAATCATGGAGTTTAAACTACGTGATCTCAAGGACTCTTTTAGCTTTTAAACTGAGGCTGCTTTGTAGCTTCTGCCTTAGTAATACCTGTTCTCTGTCATTATTTACATGGTGTAATATGAACTGCCTATCTTAGTAACACTTTGTAGAACTTCTGACTATCTTCTACAAGTGTTCCTGTCCCAGTAAGCTTGTAGAGCCTTCTTCTTAAAATCTCAGTGAATTGGAGTAGATGTATGATGCAAAATTCTGGTTTTAAAATTTTTAATCAGTTTATTTTCTATTGCAGTTTGTTAATTTTAATGTATCTGATCGATGCTGAGTAAAGCAAAGTGCTACAGACCTAGTTCTCTACTCGTTGCTTATTTGCCTTACCCCAAATAACGCTTGGGAGAAGGAGATGCCGACCCAAGTCTCTATGATGGAAAGTTGCAGGGACTTTTAACACCCCTAGGACCGTGGAATTGTAGTAAGTTAGCCTTGGGTGAAATGCTACACCCAAATGCATTGCAAGCTGTGGCTCTAGATAGTTTGCAGAGGAGGCTCAGGGCTAGAGCCTGCAGCTAAGTGCCACTAGCGTAGCTCTCTGATGACTCTTTGTGATAGGATGATCATTCAAGGTTGGAGAGGAATAACCCCCAGGGGCTCCCAGTGATACGGCAGAGGAGGATCCAGCCCCACACTCTGGCTGCTGGTGACAGGCAGGAGTGACAGTAACAGGTACAATGATGGCTGCGTTTCACCTTTGTTGGAAGCTGGGAGTGAATAGCCGGGTCCGTTATATTCTCTTTGGAAATATACTTCCTTAAATGATGGACATTCCTAAATCCATCTAGGAATGTTGGATGTATCTATCTATCTATCTATCTATCTATCTATCTATCTATCTACTGTATTAAGCCCCTTCTCAAAATTGTAGTTTCAGAAGTATGGTTTGATAATTCATAATCAAGTTCTTTTTCTTTATGCCCAGAAGTCTGTATTCTGCACAGACTTGCATACCCCTAGCTGCGCTAAAGTTCAGAAGTTTGAGCTGCCACTGAAGTATTGACTGTGGAGAGGCGGGGTTTTCTGTCTCCAATGAGGTGCCTTTGGTGTCGGGAAAGCCTATCGTCTTTCGCAGGAGTGCTTGCTCTGTAATCCAGGCAATAGCCACGCAGCCGGTTTTATTGTTTGCGGAGTCCTGCGGCTCTGAACGAGCGCTTCACAGACGGGAAGGAGAGCAAGTGGGCGGTTTATGATTCTGCCCTGTGCTGGGGCGAGTGAGCTGAGCTCTTTGATTTCTCCCAAGTAACCGTGTGGGTGAACTGTAAACTGGGTGCCTGGCTTGACCCTGACTCTTTTTCTCTAGGGTGAGGAGTTACTTCACCAGGGCAGCTGGCTTTCTGCCCTGGTGGGGAAAGATGCCCAGGAGAGGAGTAGGATTACAATTTGGGATGCTAGGGACACGCCAAAGAGTCGGGGTGCCTTGGCTTTGTGTTTTGCAAAGTCCTGACAAGTACTCCTGAAATGAACACGCTGCTTCATTTTTTAAATTATACTTTTATTTGTTTATTATTTTTTGGCCGTGGATATCGCGGATCTAGAAACGGAGTCCACAATGTGGCTAGGGTAAAACATTTTTCTTTTCTTTCTTAACCCCTCCTTTTCCCTTTCTTTTTAATTGGGTGACACAGAAGCCGTCTTTTTGGATAATGCGGTGCCTGACTGTCAGCGTTGTCTAAGAGGGAAACAGCAGGCTCGTGGAGAGGACCTGGGCCAACGCAAAAAACCCAGCGTTTTGTTTGCTGGGCTGTTCTTTGTCTCTAGTTGATTTTGAAAAGAAGATGAAAAAGGAAGGCTCTTCAGGTTCCTTCAGACTCCAGCCGAATACAGGTTCTCTCTCACGTGCTGTAAGTTGGATAAATTTCTCCTCCTTGTCCAGGCAGACAAAGAGGCTGTTTCGCAGTGATGGAGAGCTCTCGGTTTGTGGGCAGCAGGTGGAAGTGGATGACGAAAACTGGATATACAGAGCCCAGCCCAGAAAAGGTGACTCGATTTTTAAAAAATTTAAACATTTGAAAAAGTTTGTTATGTAGAATTCTTTGTTTCTATCACTCCCCCTTCATGATTTTTGCCCCCATTAGGAGTTTCTTTTGAAATGTTTGTTTTTGTATTGGAATTCGGCGTCATTTGTTTACATGTCTAAAATAAAAATGCTCTTCCTCAGCTTGAGCTTGTATCTTGTATCATTCAAAGAAAGATAAAGTAGCTGTTATTTGTTCTCGGCAGCCTCCCTCCCTCCATCAGAGCCACATGCTCATGTGACTTGTGAAAAGTTCAATGATAAACCACCCACCACCCTAGCTAGAGAGAATCTTCTGCCCTTATAGCAATCTGGGGCTAGAACGTGGAACTCTTGTGAAACTGCACTGAGAAAACTTCGGGAATCGTACATAGTCTTCTTGCATCCTTCTTCTAAGATTGAGGAATTACATGAATGCTTGAATTAAACCAGTGTTGGGCTGTGACATCAAGGAAAATGAACACGCAAGGGGCTTAACACTGATATGTTGGTCCCAAGGAGTTTCTGGATTTTTTTTTTCTTTCTCCTTTCCTTCTTTTAACCAGAGTTTTTAGATTTCTATCAAGTTTCTTTTCAGACTGACATTGGCTCTGTTCTCAGGATTAACATGTTTTGCCTCCAAGATGAAAAAAAATACCAGTCCTGCTGGGAGAGAGGGAAACAGTTCGATATTTCTTAACACACCCCTATTTTATATTTAGATTTTCTGAATTCTTCCTCTTAGTGTGTGTAGGGACTGAATTGTTAAGCTCTAAAATGGTTTCTCCATTCGGTGCAGTGGGCAAAGCCCAGTAGGGGAGTGCTATTTAAGTATCACAAAGGAATCAAGTCCAGACCTTCCGCGTGATTGTGTTTTCCATGTTTATCACATTCTTCCCCATGCCAAAAGAAACCTTGCTGGAGTCTTTCAGGGACCTGTGCTTCCCCCTGCTTTGGAAAGCAAAACTACTGAAACGTGAGAGAATCAACTAAGTTAAATATGTGCTTATGAGTATAGTAATTATGTCGCACAGGCTGAGCATTAATGCAGCCCTTCTTCAGAGTGAATGTGTGTGTAAACTATTTGTTCTTGTCTGTTAAACTATGGCACAAGAGGGACTAGCTAATAATCTTTGAAGATATCAGTTGTTTATTGTATCAACAAGGTGATCAACAATGAGCCACTGATTCTGAGCTTAAAAATGTGGGTTTTCAGTTCAAATGCTGTGTGATTGCCAGGCTTAGAAAAGGCATTTGTGCTTTCTGGCTGGAGTTGTATAGTTTAGTAAGTCCGTGAACTTTACTTTTCTAAATCAGGAATAAGCTGTGGTTTTGGTAAATGATTGGGTTGTAATGTTTGAAACAAAAATGTTTGGAGGGTGGATTCAGTAGTGCTGTGGTCGCAGGAGGGTATAGTTTTGATTCCTTTGGGCTTTGCCAAAGGTTGCTTTGTAGGACTTGTTTGACTTTAAGTCAACCACTGTCAAGTCTCTGTTAACGACTGTATACATGTGAGCATGAGGCTGTAGGATTTCTACTGTAGATGCTTCATCTGAATTAGCATTAAAGGAACAGAGACTGAATTTGTGTGTATTAGTTTTAGTTGGGAAATAAAGCAAATACTGTACATGTGACTTGTGGAAAATAAAGAAGTCATTGTAAAGGACAGGGGCAACTTGTGAAGGGAGGACTTGCTTACGTAGCGATACAAAAGATTGTGCCCTTTATCCCTTAACGGAATAGGGGATACAGTAGCTTCATGAAGATAAATGGAAGCATAATACAGGGTGTAAGTTTATGTGTTTTTTTTTTTAAATAATTGGGCATGAATAATATGATTTTTGACATACGGTGTCAGAAAGAATCCTTAAAAAGCTGCTTATACATCAAAATTCATGGCATTATATTCTGTTTTCGCATTTGACTTACAAAAGAAAATTGGCTTCCAACTTTGACATCTTGTCTCAGGGGAATGTTATAACAGTTGATCTTTATTCCACACAATTCCTTCCTTTGGAGAAATACAGAAGTGACATTTGTTTATGTGAGCAGATCAAAAGAGGAAAAGTCTTCAAGAAAAAATATGCAGAAATGAAGTTTTTTCTTAGAAGCATCAAATAGGCTGAAACTCTAGCAAGGATTATCAGTCAATGCTAAGAATGCCCAATGGCCACGTTAGGATTTGGTTGCAAATAAATATGCACTGGGAGACACATTGGTCTGATGGGAATGTGTAGCATCTTTTATATCTCTCTGCCCAAATCACACACAGCCTAATCCACCTTTCTTTCAGTTTATTCCGCAACCCCCCTAACTTACATTAACATTTTTTGATTTACACAGATTGCCAAAAACTCTCCCTCCTCCCCACTCTCTCGCTCTCTCTCTTTTTCTCTCTCGCTCTCTTTCTCTCTCTCTCTCTCACACACACACACACACACACACACATATACACACAACCATCATGCAGTGACAGCTAGATGTAGGGCAACTGTAGCTTAACAAGCTAGCCTCGCATCAGTTGTCCCCCTGTGGGATCTCTGGTTGGCGGGGGTCCGGTTCTGCAGCTCCTGGCGTTCTCCCTCCCCTCCAGCAGCTGCTGCCAGGCCACACTGCTTGCCTGTTCCCTGCCCGCTGTCTCCAGGTATGCTTTGCACCATTAGCCTGCTGAGCTCCTACCATCAGTGTGGATAGTGTGTTGTATGACACACATTCAATTTCTGAAACAGAAGGTCTTTTAATAGGGAATTTCTATGCTGGATTGTTATCAGGAACATCAAAATAAAGTTTTTAAGTGGTTACCCTTATGGGTATCTTTCAGTACAACAAACCCATAGCTTTATGATTTAATGTCAAGAAACTAGGGATAAAATTATAGTGCTTGATTTTCTTTTTCTTTTGAGAATCTTTTTATACGATTAGAAGCTACTAGTATGCATTTTCTGATTAGACTACTGTTCCTCAGCTTAAAAAGTAATTACAAGATACATATTGATAGGTCCAAAGCAGCCACCAGTAAGCATCTGTATGTTTTCTTTTGTATGTGTGTTTGACAGCACACTACAAGTTTCAAAATTCTCTTGAATCCCATCCCCGTTTATACTCAGAGAGGTAAGAATGAACTGGGTAACAGCAATGATCAATTCTTATATTCCTAGTATGATATGACCCACTACAGTAGTAGATGATGTTTTGACTTAATTAGCCATACAAATCAAGGGTGTGAATCAGTGTCTTCTTTATAGTAAAAAAGTGGAATGCAGTGGTAGATAAGACAATATGTAACTTTTCACGTGAAGTTGTGAGAGCATTTATTGGTGGAATCATTACTGAATACTATGTGCAGGATACAAAGAAAGATAGCACTCAGGCCCTGAAGTCATGGAGTTCATGCTTAAATGGAGAAGCAAATAAGACATCTAAAGCAGGGGGGTTAAAGAGAAAATGTAGGATAATTGTGAAAAAGTGCAACACGATGACCTAGATGAGAAGGTCCGCATAAAGGAACTTTATCTGGAACATTTTCATGTTTTGCATGGTCTTCTAACTGTTAGCATTTAACTGAACAAGATTTAATGAGTGCCTGCTGCTTTTCCAGCACTGTGGAAGGTCCTTGAGGAAAACTAATGACTAGTAGTATTTATTCTGTGCTTTCCCTTTCTTGCTCACTCAAATAAAACTAAAAGAGGTGGAATCATATGGGGTGTCCGTCTTCTCATTGAGCAGAGCTTGTTTTGTTGTATCCCCAGCTCTCCATTTAGCTGGGCAGAAGCGTGATTGATGATCCTGGTATTGGCAGGTCAGCAGATAGAGAAGGTAATTGACATGCAAAGCCTTGCTTTGAACAATGTTTCATCCTTTCCTTCTGGACTTTATCGTACAGACTAGTAATGTTACCAGCTTTGAATCATTTGAATGTCAGTGTCCTCCCTTCTCAGCCACTACAAAAATGGCCAGAGAATGACCATACTAGGCATCAAGGGTAATGAATAATCCATATACTAGATAATCAATTTTTGAGTGTGGGAGTTGGATCTATTTAAAGTAATTTCATCCCAGTTTTTCTCCTAATAAAATAGTTGCAGAAAGCAGGATCCTTGCACATAATTAGATTACTAATGACCAGATATTACAGTGGAGAAAAATGACATGAAAAACCAAAAGCAGCTAGGTCAAAAGTCAAGATCCTGTTTCCATGTAAATAGCTGTGATCTATTTCTGATAATAAAATCCTTAAATTGGTGGGACTTAGGAATAGCTTCCTGGGCCAGGCGTGGTGGCTCATGCTTGTTATCCCAACATTTTCGGAGGCCGAAGTGGGCATAACACTTGAGCCCAGGAGTTCAAGACCAGCCTGGGGAACACGACGAAACCTTGTCTCTACAAAAAAATAGAAAAAGTAGTCAAGTGTGGTGGTGTGTGCCTATAGTTCCAGCTACTCAGGAGGCTGAGGTGGGAGGATCGCTTGAGCCTGGGAGGTCGAGTCTGCAGTGAGCCGAGATCACACCACTGCATTCCAGCCTGGGTAACACAGCGAGACTAGGTCTCAAAACCAAACAAACATAAAGACTAGGTCTCAAACCAAACAAAAATCCTCCAAAAAAAAAAATAGCTTCCTTCTGGCATTAAGAAAACCTAAGAAATATTGACAAATATTGTCAAGTAGCATCACAAATTTAAGAGTGAAACAAGATCAGTAAGTTTTATTTATTCTGATGGTTACTACATATATCGGAAAAATAGCCAAAGGAAGTTTACCTTCGTGTCTTAACAAAAGAGATCAGTGAATGTCATGGTTTTGCTCTTACTTCCTACTGAAGTTGACATTCTGTGAAAGAGACACACAGTGAGTGCCACTTAATGTTTTCTCTGGTCCATTGAGACTGCCCTTTATTGACCTTTGATTATTATTATTTTTTCTTCTGAAGTTGGGACTCTGTTGTCTCACTGCCTTGTTCATTTTAATATGTCTTTATTTGCAAATTAAATTGTTGAAGTTCGATTTAAATGATATTTTATCTAGTATCCTTCCTTTTTTAGTTTAAAAACTTTGTGCATTTGTTTTGAGAAGAGGCATTTAAATTATGAAAAATATGGTTTTTTTTTAAATTATGAAAAGTATCTTAAGAGTGATAAAAAGAAGCAACTTATTGTCAGGGCTTGAGTTTGGAAGTGAGTAACCTATGTTCTTTTCCATTAAAATGTCTTTGCTAAGTTATGGAAACCTTCTTTGAAACTGATCTTTATGAACAGTTTACTTTTTATTGATTGATTGATTGATTGATTGATTGATTTTGAGACAGAGTCTTGCTCTGTCGCCCAGGCTGGAGTGCAGTGGCACAATCTTGGCTCACTGCAGCTTCTGCCTCCCGGGTTCTAGTTATTCTCCTGCCTCAGCCTCCTGGGTAGCTGGGATTACAGGCACCCGCCACCACGCCCGGCTAATTTTTATATTTTTAGTAGAGACGGGGTTTCACCATGTTGGCCAGGCTGGTCTTGAACTCCTGACCTCAGGTGATCCGCCCACCTCAGCCTCCCAAAGTGTTGGGATTACAAGCGTGAGCCACCACGCCTGGCCAACAGTTTGTTTTTAATAATTTTAAAAGATCCTGCATGTTATCTAGGGTTAATTTTTATGTCTCATGCAATTATTATAAAATATATTTCCATGTAATTTCAGGGTGTTTTGGTTTAACTATAACATGTTCTGTCAAATTAGAGGGGTTTGTTTGTTTGCTTTTTTTTTTTTTAGAAACAGGGTCTTGCTTTGTTGCCCAGGCTGGAGTGCAATGGCACAATCATAGCTCCCTGTAACCTTGAACTCCCAGGCTCAAGGGATCCTCCCCGCTCAGCCTCCTGAGTAGCTAGGACTACAGGCACAGGGTACCATGCCTTTCTAATTTTTTATTTTATTTTATTTTATTTTATTTTTGTAGAGATGGGGTCTCTCTCTTTTGCTCAGGCTGATCTTGAACATCTGGCCTCAAGTGATCCTCCTGCCTTGGCCTCCCAAAATGCTGGGATTATAAGCCTGAGCCACCATGCCCAGCCTAGAGTTTTTTTTGAAAACTACAGTATTTTCTATCAAATACTTCAGTTTAATCTCCTAAAGGTCTGCTGTATTTGCACCTAGATGTCCGTCCTCATAGAGCGTAGGCCCTCATCAGCTCTTACTTGGACTTCTAAATGATCTTCTGTCCTCTCTTGCTTTCTCCACTCTTGTTCCCCTTTGATCCATCCATGAGTCTACACTGTCTCCAGAGTGATCTTCCTAAGATACAAAAACCAGCTGGGACCAGTGGCTCAAGCCTATAATCCCAGCACCTGGGGAGGCCGAGGTGGGAGGAACATTTGAACTCAGGGGTTCATGACCAGCCTGGCCAACATGGTGAAACCCTGTCTCTACTAAAAATACAAAAATTACTCGGGTTTAGTGCGGCATACCTGTAATCCCAGCTACTTGGGAGGCTGAGGCAGGAGAATCGCTTGAACCCAGGAGGCGGAGGTTGCAGTGAGCCGAGATCTCACCACTTCACTCCAGCCTGGGTGACAGAGCAAGACTCTGTCTCAGAAAAACAAGAAACAGAAAAACCCACAAAAACAACTGGATCACCTTTCTGTAGCTCCCCATTGCCTACAGAATGGAGCTTACATCACTTTACATGGCGTGAAACTTTACGGGATCTGCCTCCGTCCTCTCCCCTGCAGAACTAGCATACAGACTCATTGCTTTTTCACAACTCCAGAAACTGGCACCTCCCGTTCCCTCTTATTCCCTGTGCCAGGGTGCTCGAGTCGCCTCCCCTGCCTGTTGACCTCCTACTTATCCTTCTAGACTCGCTTTAAAACTCTGTGAAGTCTTCTCTAACATCCTCAGGCAGAGCTGATGGCTCTTGTCTCTATGTTATTTCTCTGCCTTCTTCATTCCTCTCTAATCGTGTTTATCATACACTGGCTTATGCTTACTTGTTTACTTGTCTGTGTCTTGAACTAGCCGTGACCTGTTTTAGGATGGAGACTCAATCTTATTTTTTTTTTTTTTATCCCCAAGGCTAAGTGCTCAATAAATGGTTGCTGAATGGGTAAACTTAACACATCTGGGACTCGATTAAATGGTGCTTTGTGCACAGGCTAATGTGCTAAGCAAATACTTTCTGAATTTGGCTTAGTCTGGCCAGTTTTTGTATTTTTAGTAGAGACGGGTTTCACCATGTTGGCCAGGTTGGTCTTGAACTCCTGGCCTCAAGTGATCCACCTGCCTCGGCTTCCCAAAGTGCTCGGATTACAGGCTTGGCTTGAGCCACTGCCTGTAATCCCTGTTTTGGGAAGATCACTCTAAAAACAGTGATGGATCAAAGGGGAACAAGGATGGATCAAAGGGGAACAAGGATGGATCAAAGGGGAACAAGAGTGGAGACAGCAAGAGAGGACAGAAGACCATTCAGAAGTCCAAGTTATAGGTAGCACTGTATGCTTATTCCCAGTGCTCTCAACTCTGGACTTTTTTGAGTGTAATAAAAGAGAGGGTTCTGTTTGTGGAAACATAATTTCGATGGCATACTTTTGGTGTTTTCTGTTGCTTCACACAAACTATGCATGTATCAAGCTCTTTGGATAAAAAAAAAATTTGATCAGGGCTGTTTTGACCAATTAGTAAAGTTGGCTTTAGTGAACAGAGATATGGAATTAACGATGCCAAGCCTGATAAGGAGAAGCTCCATTGTGCTAATGCAATCTTTTCTTAACTGGTTTCCCTGCTTTCACCTTTGTACACACCGCTCCCCTCCCCACCAATTGGTCTGATCTTAACCTAGCAGCCTCAGTGATCCTGTTAAACCTCAAACATGAGTCACGTGTAACTTCACTGCTTGAAACCCCTCAGGTGCTCTCCTTCTCCAGGGAGTTGAATAGCTAAGCCTTAACAATGCTCTCTTAAGCCCTATACATGCTGCTTCCCTTACCCCATTGCCTCCTTGTGCTTCCTCCTCACTCTCTCCTCCACACTGTAAAATGGGATAATACCTATTCATCATACATGCATACCAGTAGCAGGTACAATTTATTTATTGAATAAATGAATGTTTGTTTTATAGATATGCTGTAAGCCTACAAATTCGATCTATTGTATTTAATGATACTGGCCATTGGATTGATAATCTCTTCACTATCAATAGTCAGTTGAGTCAAAAAATGTCTTTATCCTAGTGTAGACTATGCTATTATCTAGAATTTCCAGTTGTGGAAGTGTCTTTGGAGTGCTTGTATAACCTAGGCAACTCAAGTGGAACCTATCACTTCCTTTACGTAATCCTTCAAGGAATTGGTATCTCAGTGTTGACGTCAAATCCTGAAATGATTAAAATACTAAATTGAAAGTCATGTCTGAATCAGTCGACCTATCCATAAGCTTAACAATAGCTAATATTTAGTGAATGTTTACCGTGGCGAGACACTATTATTAAAACTTTACATGAGTTCATTCATTTAATAAACATAGTCTGGATATCATAAGTGACCAATAAAAACAATAGTTGGTTTGGTAAGGAAGGGTCAGATCATTAGAGAGAACTGAAAACTGGGCAGAGAAACAGATGTGGGGAAGCAGGGAACTGAGTATAATTCTTCAGATGGAGAAATGACATTGAAAGCACCTAGGGCGTTTTGGCATCAAGGACTTAATAACTTTTGGTTTAAGGGCAAATACTCTGCTTTGAGAATATTTGAGTATGCACTTCATACTTCTCCTAGACTTGAAGCCCTTTGAAGTCTAGCCTTTTTCAAGTGCTTTGCACTTTGCAGATAGTAAGTAAATATCTATTGTGAATACTCGGTCGAAGCCGTATTGGAAGGAACCTGCTCTGGTTATGGCGTGCAGAAGGGATTGGAGCATTAGGGGTTAGAACCAGGTCATCTAGGGGCTGTCGTAACCGAGAAAAGACAAAGTTCTCGTTGAAGGGATTATATAGGCACATGAGGAAAAGTAGTAATGAAACCACAGATTTTCATGTTAGGCTATATATTTTTTTGTGTGTGAGACAGAGTCTTACTCTGTGCCCCAGACTGGAGTGGACTGGTGTGATCTCGGCTCACTGCAATCTCCACCTCCAGGGTTCAAACGATTCTCGTGCCTCCACCTCCCCAGTAGCTGGGATTACAGGTGTGTGCCACCACGCCTGGCTAGTTTTTGTTGTGGTGGTTGTTGTATTTGTAGTAGAGATGGCGTTTCACCATGTTGGCCAGGCTGGTCTCAAACTCCTGACCTCAGGTGATCCACCCGCCTCAGCCTCCCAAAGTGCTGGGATTACAGGCATGAGCGATCACACCTGGCCATGTTAGGGTATCTTTATTAAGAGAAGTCACAGATTTTCATAATTACTTTTTCCCTTAGCAACGGCATCTGTGATTTTTTCCAATGTATAGTTATACTTTTTCTAGCGTTGTGAACTATGGGTAGTCTTTACCTTATATTTCTAATCTCCCTAATTAAAGATTATATTTATGGCAATCACTGTTTTAATAAATGTGATTGGAAAATTTATGTGTAATCAACATACACACTGTTCATATACACAAATGTGTGTGGTGTGAGGCTGGGGATGCCTGAAGCTGGTTGCAGTGGTCTAGCTGTGGTCTGCCCCTCTTCAGCCTGTACCACACCTCTTCTCTGTTCCGTTGAATTCAGCATCTCTGAGCATTCTCTATCAGTTCATCGCTGACATTTGATGACTGACTAGTAGATATCATAGACATTAAACTAACATTTATTTACTTAGTTTTTGCTAAAATTCGTTACTGTGCTGGCTGCATCTTGCTTTGGATATTTAGGCTGTAAGAGAAATGGTGAATGCTTGCCTAGGCAAGCAGTTGTCTGAGACCATCTTCCCCCAGTGGTTGTAGGGGGAGGATTTGTTGGCCAAGTCTCCCAGCTAGTGCTTCCCCTACCAATACCATCATTTGCTGGGCTAATTTCTAGTGTTTGAGTGCATGCTTGGGCGTGTGCCTCATGTGGCGGGCACATCGTGGGTTCTTGTGTTTGGAGAGCCCCTAGTGCTGCATACACTTGATATAAAGCAACCTTCTGAGTAACTCACACTGAGGAGAGACCCTTTCCCAAAGTCAATGTGAAAATGGCTTGAATTGTGAAGTTACTGGGAGCAACCTGGCCTACAGGGCGTTTCCTAGAGTGGGAGCTCATTAGGATTAGTGGAATGAAGAGGGACTCTACTTTTCCATTTTCATGCCCTCTTATTTTTGAAAAAGACTGTATTGGGAATGGTAGTGAATGGAAGAAGGTGGCAGTAACCTGGAGGGAAGAGGAGGGAATAAGCTATAAGGAAAGAAGAGATCATCACTCCCATACTGATCCGGTTCCATGCCCCGCACCCGCCACCGCTTAGCTAAGACTTTTTGGATTCCCATCCCCTAAGTAATTGTGGTTTGTGGGAGCTTGGTCAAATTTCTGAATATGCTGCTTGCATCGCTAATTGTACACTTGTAGTATTGTAGGTTTGTTTTTATGTTTTAAGACATAGCTTAATAAGTTTTTGTGCATTATTGAAAAAGGTATAGAACAAGAATAAAGGCTAATCTATTCACTGGTTAAAATAATTTTAGTGGTACAGTAAATTGTCAGGCTTGGGCTTAATATATGTTTGGCTTTCTCGAAGGAAAACTCGCAAGTATTAATAAAAGCCACAAGCAGTTGAGATTTCTTTAAACAGTATCACTTGAGTTTTGTCTTTTCCATAAACTTGACTAGAGAACATGAGAATAAGTATATTTTATTGTCGATACAGTTCCCTTGCCTCTATTCCCTAAGCTTCTCTTTAACTTTGTAACTAGAAACGCCTCAGCTAAAGCAGAAACTGGGTATCTGGTGTTTCTGGATTGCCTTCTGAGATAAACCAGCATTCCTTCCTGAATACGGGTGGGTATTGCTTTAGTCTTGATTGGTCGGGGATTCTTTTACAAAGCAGACACAAGGCAATTTGTGAATTTACCTTGTGGGTGGTTGTGGCTGGTGCTTAGTTTGGTTGCTGTGATCATCTTGCCTGGTAGTTATTTATTTACATAAGTTTTTCACCAGTAGAAAGTACATAGAATGCTCTGACTTCCTGGAAAAAGAACTTTGATTTCTACCGTAAAGTCATTTCATTGCTGAGTTCTTCAACACACTCTATTCCCATTATAAAAAGATGTTTCAAATATTTTTTCCTTGCTAGCTTCCCAAGTCCAACTCTTTGTCCTTACGTGTGCATGCCTGAGTGTTGTTCTGTCATAAGGATCTTAGCTCTGTTCCATTTGCAAGCCACTTTTAAGCCACCGTGTCTCATTTGTGTGCTATTGATGCTTTATGAAGCTGGCGAGGTTGGGGTTTCTGTCTTTCGACATTGCTTTGGATCAGCAGACCTTGGTTACATCGCCACTCTGGAGAATGTGTTGGTTTATTCAGTTGATCTGTGTTCTTATGTCACTGTAACCAGGGGAAGGTTATGCCACTGACTTTAGAAATCTCGAAGGTTATGTTCCAACTCCAACTAATAATAAAGGTTTGAACAAAAATCCAATTAGTAAATTCTTCTCTAGTTTCTGAGAAAGTTGAGCTAGTTTTCTCTAGAATCCATGCTTGTTTCAAATGGGGGAAATAATCTCCTACAGGAACTATGGTGTGAATGTTTTGGGGTTTTCAGGGCCTGAAAAGTTTAATTATAGTTTATTTTTTAAGTCAGAGAGTTTAAAAAGTTTTGTTTGTGTCCAAAGTAATAAATACACTTTACATTGGTTCCCATGCCACACATGGCATATATGCATGGCATGCGTACATGGAATAGCTTTGTGGAATGATTTACCTTTACTGCGTGTCTACATATGGTACTCTGTTTTCTCTGTTTATTCTATTCTATGTTATCAAACAGAAAATGTCAGTCCTGACTTACTACTTGATTTTATGACCCTCAAAAATGGTGCTTTCGGTAGACTTCACTTTTTTCAGTAGGGTGTTATTATGCATGTGTATCACATAGCTTTTTTTTCTCAATATGTAGAAGTTACAAGCTATGATGGAATTTCTGTAGATAGTCCACTGTTGTCTTGGTGTTGGAGAAAGGCCTGGTATACCAGGAGTACTTTGAGAAACAGTGTAGAGTAGTGGTGCCTCTCAGAAAACCATCTGGTCCAAAACCCAGCTTGTGACTCTGAGCCACCTACGCATTCATCCACCATAGGAAGTCCTTTTCTGAGTTCCCCTCTGCGCCCCTAGTCCAGGACCCCGTTGGTGTATAAGCCTTGAAAGTTGGCAGCAGGACCGAGTGATTGCCAACAGGAGCCTTGCTGCCTGCTGCAGGGCAGTGTGGAAGAGCCTGCTGATGCACTCAGGCTGATTCCCTGCACCTGCTCACTGGCCCTAGGGAAAGCCCATGAATAGCAATGTCTGGCCAGTTTCTGCCCTGATCCTGTAGATTTCTCTGTCTTTATTTACCAGCCTACTGTCCATCCCCCATAGGGGAAAATTAGTTGTGAAGTTTAGTCCAAAACTTTAACTTCCAATTTTTGGATTCTAGCCTGTATGTAGCAGAGATCCTATGTTGGAACTGGAAAACAAAAGCAATGTTTTGGTGGTTTTCTTTTTTTTTTTTTCTTTTTAAAGAGATAGAGTCTCCCTCTGTCGTCCAGGCTGGAGTGCAGTGGTGCACTCATAGGTTATTGTAACCTGAACTCTAGGGCTTAAGGAATTCTCCTGCCTCAGCCTCCCAAGTTAGCTGGGACTACAGGGGCCTGCCGCCATGCCTGGCTAATTTATTTTATTTTGTTTTTTTGTAGAGAAGGGGTCTTGCTATGTTGCCCAGGCTGGTCTTCACTCTTAGCCTCAAGTGATTTTCCCACTTCAGCCTCCCAAAGTGCTGGGAATATAGGCGTGAGCCACTGCCTGGCTGTAGTGTTTTTTTTGAAACAGTTACTGTAAAAACTGGTAACTGGGGCCAGGCACTGTAGCTCGTGCCTGTAATCCCAGCACTTTGGGAAGCCGAGGCAGGTGGATCACGAGGTCAGGAGATCAAGACCGTCCTGAACATGGTGAAACCCTGTCTCTACTAAACATACAAAAATTAGCTGGGCATGGTGGTGTGCTCCTGTAGTCCCAGCTACTCAGGAGGCTGAGGGAGGAGAATTGCTTGAGCCCAGGAGGCGGAGGCTACAGTGAGCTGAGATTGTGCCACTGCACTCCAGCCTGGGCGACAGAGTGAGACTCTGTCTCAGGGAAAAAAAAAAAAAAAAGGGTGGGCACAGTGGCTTACCCCTGTAATCCCAGCACTTTGGGAGGCTGACGCAGGTGGATCACGAGGTCAGGAGATCGAAACCATCCTGGCTAACACGGTGAAACCACATCTCTACTAAAAATACAAAAAATTAGCCGGGCGTGGTGGTGGGTGCCTGTAGTCCCAGCTACTCGGGAGGCTGAGGCAGGAGAATTGCTTGAATCCAGGAGGCGGAGGTTGCAGTCAGCCGAGTCCGCACCACTGCACTCCAGCCTGGGCAACAGAACAAGACTCCATCTCAAAAAAAAAGCCCCCCAAAAAACCCTGGTAATTGGTTAGAGATACTTTTCTAAATTGTGATCATATAGACTAGATATTAACTTGTATAAAATACTAGAGAAGTATGCCTTTTACTTATTTGTAGTTCCATATAACAGAAGCTTGCCTCGTTCATCTTTCAGAATTCTAAAACAATTGAAAATATTTTTTAATGAACATCTTTCTAAAGTATAGTCTACACCCAGAGCCTGTTTACAGGTCATGGTTTGTGCAGTAGTCATGCATGGTCTTTTTTCATCGTAAGGATAGTTCTGTGGGAGTGGCAGGACAGGTGGCATTGCCCCTTTTTGTTGTGAGCAAGCAGTTCCTGCAATATTAAGACTTGCCTGAAGCCATAGAGATAATTGGTATAGACTGGATTTGAATCCACTTCTCGTGACTTAGTCCCACACTCTTCATGACACTTCAACAACTCTGCTCAATCAAAGAGTACAATTTAACCTCGTTTTAATGCCCTGGTGTCACTGTGACTAGTCATTGGACCTGGTGATGCCCTGATGGCCGCTGAATATTGTAGAGATCTTTGCTTTGGCATGAAATGGATCTCTGCAGTGTTCTTTAACTTCCAGTGACTGTTTTGTATTTCACTTTTGCTGGAAGCCTTTCTCTTTCGACAGTGTACTTGCACCTGTCTCTGGTAGTCCCCACCACTCTTTGGCTTGGTGTTGCTCCTGTGTTACCTTGTGTGGGGGGGTCTGGGTAACCCAGTGTATTGCAACAGTATTGACTGGAAGATGCATGAGATCCCGAGCCACAATCCTGTGGGCAGTGCTGTCTGGTGGGAGGCCATTTTGATTTCTTCTTTGCCATATTTTGAGTGGTTGAATTTGTCAGCAAAATGATCCGTTGATAAGTGGATGTTACTCTAATATGTAACTATGTTTTTTACATGTTTATCTTCTGTTGGCTTTTCGTTTTGGTACGGTGGAATAAAGTACATGTTTGTGTTAACATCATGGACCGGTGACTGTATTTGGCCATCCCAGTGTTTTCTGTAAACATTACATTTTAATCACTCCTGTAAAAATCACTCCGAGTTTTCAAGGAGGATTATCATCTACTGCTTTGTTTCACTTACTAAGCAAGTATGCTTTTAAACCTTGATTTCACCATTAACCACTTTCTCTAATTACTTGTTGATTGTCACTCTCTTTTCTCCATCTGATATGTAGACACCAAGTTTATTTACTCATTTTTCATTTGGTTGAAATTGCATCCCCCAGATTTCTATTTCATGTTCTTGTTTGTATCCTCTATATTTAAAAAGTCAAGAAATAGTGAAGGTAAGACGTATTTCAATTATTTAAAACCACTTCTACTCTACTAAACATTTTTGGCCAAATACTTTAAACGATATTTGAGCCTCATTAATGCGAATGGGAATGATATAAAATGTGGCTGAAAAAGCTGATCTGACCCTCTGGTTTTCCATGAATTTGTTAATGAACCACTAATATCCCAGTGCAGAGAATTCACATGACTTTTTACTAGTTTGTGTTGAAATGCTATAATCCCCATTTTGCATCCTAGATCCACAGTGTTTGCTCAATGAGTATTTTGATTTGCACATAGGAGACCTACAAAAATGTTTAAATGCAACCTGAATTAATTGAAAATAGAGATTACAGAAAATTCTGTGACTCAAGAAATGGGGCTCAGAGAAAAGAAAAATAGTTATTTTTCTACAATGACAATGACAATAACAATGACAGAAGCATTGTTATTCCTTCTGTCATTCTCTAAACATTGAAGAATTGACAGAAGAGTCTCACTCCTGATAGGAAAAGCTTTTGGTACTTTACATAGTTACTCTCTATTTTGGTTGTAAAATATCAGAGATGATGATAGTTTTAAAGATGTCTTTCTTTTCTAATGAAATGAAAACTCAAAGAATTCTGACTTTTGTGTTTACCTAATGAGAGAAATCAACTTTAGTAATTATTTAGAGAGAGCTCTTATTGAAGCAATGACCACACATTTTCTTCTCTCGGTGCCATTTGAAGCATTTTAGTAAATATATGTACACAGTCTTTAAATTGGACATGTGAAGGGATCCAAGTAGAGTTAGCTTAACAACAAGGCTAACTAACGTGTCAGGGCTGGAAGGAACCTCCGAGATACCCTGTCTGATCCCTTGTTTGGCAGCTAAGAAGGGAGGATGCAGAAAAGTGAGTTAGCTTGCTCAAGGCCTGTACCCAACAGGGCCCAGTGAGGCTATGTCCTTACATTCCTTTGTCCCCTCTTAAGGTATTGAGAGTGTGTTCCTTTCTGTTAGTCTCTTTAATTTTGACATTCCTGACTGCCCTGTGAGGGTCAAGTGACAAATTCCTTTTCTGACCTTACAGAGCAGGTTTTGGAAGCGTCTGAGTCACTCTGTATCACACAGAAAGTTTTCTAAGCAGATATGCAGAAGATAAGCAACTTACCATAGCAAAGACAAAAGAGGAAGAACGCCAGTCCTGAAAACAGGCTTTCTCATGTCACTTTTATTCCGCACAAGAACAGAATTCATTCAGTTTTCAAAGAATGAAAGAGGAAAAAGAAAACAAAAACAAAAAACCAACCCAAGGGCACCAGGCTGCAGCCTTTCTTTGTTAGGAACTGAAGTCCCTAGAGACAGTTGAGTAACTTAATAGAGCTGTCAGAAGCACACCTGCCTCGAAAGCAATAGAAGCATTTTAAAACTTTAAACTTAGCATTCTATTTTTGACTTGGAACTTTTTCCCTCTTGAGTGGCTGTAGACTTATTATAGTTAATAGCTGAGTTTACAAAGATGCATTAAATAGAAATAGAACGCAAAGGAAATCCCAGCCATTACCATGAACAAAATGGTAAGTTACTTCTACTAGAACTTTACTGACTTTAAGCTAGAGAGAAAGAGAAAGAGAGAGGTAAAACAAAAATCAAAAAGGAAAAGGCTCAGATCATGTTCGGCATGATCAAGAGGAGGGTCAGAAGAGCTGTTTTTGTGGGCCGCACCGTGCTCTGTGGATCTTGTAACTCTGGGATTATTATGCACCGTGGCAAGACTCCACCCCTGAAGATGGTCTGCCGATTTGAAGAATCATTTTCTTGCTTATTTTTAAACTCTTAAAGACAGGGAAAAAGACTGAAGGAGCCTAAATGCTGTGGTTTCCTCAAACCATTATTGTTGTAAATCCTATGGGTCCTGAAGTAACTCACTATTCCTGAAGTTTCAAACTGCCTCACGACTCAGAAGCCTTGGCAGTTGAAAGGGAAATTATTAGCTTCTTCCTTGAAACGTTGTCACTAAGGTTAAAGGGGGACAAAAGTTGGTGAATGTGGTGAATTTCAGAAGTAAACTACCTTTTTATAGAAATTCCATAGTTCTTTACAGAGCTTTGAGTTTTTCAAATACTTAGTTGGTTTCAAAACACAATATTTTAAACAAGTAGGCCTTAAAGAAATTAAATATTAGAATAATGTATTCAATTATCTATGCAGAAGTTACCAGAAGCCTGGACATTTACCTTGGCGTACCTTGCTCTTAATATCTTAGTATGTCTTCTGGAATTTTATCTTTTTGTTTGATGATTAAAAGTAATTATAGTCCAGTTACGCTCTCTGGTTATGTTTTATTAACACATATATTGTGGCAGAACTGTGGTCCGCCTGGTTGATTGGTACATGAACTTGAATAATTCTTGATTTTGTGGGTGGAGAAGTTGCACCTGTTTCTGTAGTTGAAGGTTGGTTATGGTTTTTACTTCCTCAGATTACTCAGATGCTTAGGAGAAAATGACACAAATGACTTTTTTTGGTGGGTGGAGGGTCCCGTTGATCTGTATACATTGCAAGTCAGTTTATCAGGGAGCACGTTGAAGAAATACACAACGTGAAAGGACCTACTGTTGTATCTTTCCTATGAGGTTATTTTTATGTGCTTTAACCTAAACCCTCTGAAATATAATACACATATGTTAGGCATAGTGGCAATGGCAAAGAGAAAACAATTTAGACTCCAGTGGTTTTGTTTTTCTCTCCTATAATACAGTTCCTTATAAGTTTACTAAGAAAGGGAATTTGGGGACATTATTATGACATCTTTCGGTATCCTCCCTCCATCTGGACATACTGGTGTTAATTCTTTTGTAAGAGATATTTCCAGAAAATATTTTTCTTCCTTTTTCACTTCCATCATCCTTCAAATATTTAATTCAGGCAGAATGAGAGTAGGAAAAACTGCTTTCTGAGTTTGTTGTGGTGAAGTTGCCTGGAGAGAGAATGGTATCTGTGTTTGTGTGTTTGTAAATGAGACTCTTTCAGATTATTAATCCTTTAAGGAAATGATAGTTTATAAAGATTTCACCATAAAGTTTAACTATAAATGATCACTGACTTTTCATTTAATAATGAGTTTTAATACCGTCATGTGTAGGGAAAATACATCTATTTAATTGTAAGGAAAATATGACTTTTCATAGGAATCTATGCTGGTGGTTATGTGTCTTATCTAGGTTTTATATACTTTCCACTAATGATTTGCTTTTGGATGAAATAGCAAAGTAATAATAATTCTGCTTTACATATCTGTGCAACAAACATGGATCACCTATCATGTTCCAGCACCCTGAAAAGTACCAGAAGTTAAGTGTGAATGAGCAAGTTGCTGCTTTAAGGATCACTCACGTTGGGTGGGCAGAATTGTAATACCATGCCAGCCACGTGAATGAAGTGCCATGGGACATGGTGCAAGCTTGAGATTGATCCTGCTACTGGAGAGGAGCATGGTTAGATGAGGCTTTAGAGAAGTAAAAAGCAGAGTATGGGGGTAAGGGCTGCATTCCAGACAAAGGAGGCAATAGCCTGATTCAAGACAATAGAGGTACAAGACCCTATGGAATATGACGCAGAGCTTACCAAGGGGGTCACTTAATGGGATACATCCAGAATAGTTTGGAAAAAAATACTGAGTACAAGTCCAGACAGGCCTTTATTTGCTACATGAGGAATTTAGGATTTATCCTTATCTTGTGTTTTTTACATAAGTAGAAACGTGATTTTTTTTTTCCTCTGGAGGGAAAGGATGGTGCAATTGGAGTTCTTTTGGAAAGATGTAATAGGTGTGAAGGTGGATTAAAAGGTCAGATTTCGAAAGAAAAAATATCAACTACAAAGGTACCAAGGAGTACTCTGTCTCAAAGAAACATCTCAGCCATAGGCACTATGCTTTGAAGCGACATCAGGGCTGGATAAATGGCACAAGGTTCCATAATAAAATCTCCTTTCTGCACTGTTGCTCATGAGGTGTCACTGTGCTTCTGA
Source organism: Homo sapiens (assembly GCF_000001405.40). Taxonomy (NCBI): domain Eukaryota; kingdom Metazoa; phylum Chordata; class Mammalia; order Primates; family Hominidae; genus Homo; species Homo sapiens. The sequence goes on along the minus strand of NC_000006.12, from coordinate 138,552,814 downwards.
GGAAATGAGTGGAGTTACAGACTGGAGCTCAGTGGACAGCAGTGGAAGTCAAGGCAGCTTGCCACAGCTAAGGGCAACCGAAAGAGGCTGGAAGGTTATCTAAGCCAAGAGCCCAGGTCAACTTGGAAACTCATCTTTACCTTCCCTGGGAAGATGAAACCAGAAGGACCTAAAGGTTCTTACAAAAAAAGAGAAAAATCTAACACTTTGAGTGTTAGGAGAGCCAGCTAGGGTGCCATGAGTGAAGGCACAAATTTCATGAAAAGGAGCCAAATGAGGGCTACTTTCTTGACTGATGTCAAGAGACCTAGGCTTGGCTATGAAGGAAAAAAAAGTTGAAATAACCTCAAGAACTGGCTCAGGAGGGTGTATATAGATATCTATATATCTCCTGGGGGATGGAGCCTCACTTTGTCCCCCAGGCTGGAGTGCAGTGGCATGATCTCAGCTCACTGCAACCTCCACCTCCCGGGTTCAAGCGATTCCCCTGCCTCAGCCTCTTGAGTAGCTGAGACTTAGAGGCGTGCACCACTATGCCCAGCTAATTTTTGTATTTTGAGTAGAGACGAGGTTTCACCATGTTGGCCAGGATTGTCTTGATCTCCTGACCTCGTGATCCGCCTGCCTCGGCCTCCCAAAGTGCTGGGATTACAGGCATGAGCCACCATGCCCGGCCCCAGGAGGGTATATTTTTAAATGGCGAATTAGAGCAGAGCTCCCATGATTCAGGGAGGAAATACAGTGATGTGAATGTGTCTACCCAAGGCCAGAGGCCATTGAAGAGCCTCCATGAAGCATTTGTGTAGTTGCCTTACTGCTCCATGGTTAGTTTGAGTCCAGCACAAAATACCCCAGGATTCAGCTGTTTCCTAAAAGAAAATGCAAAGAGGATGAAGGTTGCCCTTGGGACTCAGTAGGTCAGGCCTGGCTCTGGAGTGGAGTAAACTCAAACAGGATACAGGCTCGGATGATGTTGGTGAGAGGCAGTGTCCAGAGCAAAAACCCGCGTTCCATATTCCCCTGCCTACAGAGCTGGATGGACTGAAGGCACTAAAATGGAGACTGGTTTTAAATCAGTTTCCCTGGTGAGCCAGGGAGACAGTGAAATTAGCCAGTTTAAAGTTATAATGCTATAATTTTTTTCTTCTTTCTGTTGTGCCTGAGGTAGTAATAAATATATAGAAAAACCCAGATTAAATCTCTTGTCTGAGAGATTCAGAATACTGGTGAAACTAGAAGTATTGTAGAATAGTAGGGGAGTGGAGAATGATTAAAACTTGGGTAAAATGTGTTAGTCATGGTCATAGGTGCCACCAGAGTGGATTCTTCTCTAGGGAATTGGCTTAACCTGGTCATTGTCATCTTAAAAGTGTCAGAGGGTTTCAGCATCTCCAATCTCTTGCATCCAGGGGGAAATGGAAAGCACTGTGATGGGAAATATGTCTTCAGTCTCCTCCAACTTCACAAGCTTCTCATGCTTTAAAAGCATGTCTAGAGATATGGCTATGAAAATAAGCATTGCCTGTCTGAATACAGTAGCCCCACCTTATCCTTGGGGGATACGTTCGAAGATCACCCAGTGGATGCCTTAAACCACACATAGTACCAAACCCTATATATACTATATTTTTCTTATACATCCATACCTATGATAGTTTATGAATTAGGCACAGTAAGAGATTAACAACATAACTATAACAAAATAGAAAAATTATAACAGTATGCTGTAATAAAATTAATATAAATGTGGTCTCTTTCCCTCTGTCTTGATATCTCTCTCTGTTTTAATATTTTTGGACCTCAGTTGACCAGGGGTAACTGAAAGTACTGAAAGCAAAACCTCGGATAAGAGAGGACTACTGTACTGTACTTTGCAGCTGAGGTGAAACAGACTTGTGAATGGGTATGGAGAAGGATTTTTCCATCTTTATCTGGGCTTTTTGGCAAGAGTAAGAGGATACATAGGGAGGAGATATGGTTTGCCTGTTTTGCTTGTATAATTTTGTTTTGTGTTTTGCCAGGAATGAAGTCAAATTTTGAGCTGATCTAGACGCACTAATTCTGTGTATTATGCAAACTAATTTCTAATTTATTCTCATCCCCACTATTTTATGGAAATCAAAATTAAACTGGTAGCACACAAGTGAAATCACACTGGAGTGGTTTTGAAGACATAATTATCTAAATATTTTTGGCTGCATGTGTGGATACCACTCCCTCTTGTAGAGATAATAATGTTAAACTTTAACATGATGCTGGATGTTGTAATCCTACAAGGGAGAGAAGTGGTTGCCGCCCTAAGGTCATGGTTGGCAAAGGCCAGACCTTTGTGCTGTCCAGAGGACTACAAATCCTGTGAGTGTGCATCATCTTGGACCTACTCCCTTTCACAAAGCTTCCTAGGTATTTATTTTTCAGTCTCAGTAGCAATGATCAATGGTGTCAGACAATCATAATTTCAATGGATAGTTCTTATTTTTTCCTAGTTTGAACAGTGTGCCTTTTCATGTTTTATTCTCAGACATACAGTTGTAAACACAAGGGCTTTTTAAAATTATTTTATTATTTTTTTTTTGGAGATAGAGTCTCACTCTGTTGCCCAGGCTGGAATACAGTGGCACGATCCCAGCTCACTGCAACCTCCGCCTCCCAGGTTCAAGCAATTCTCCTGCCTCAGCTTCCGGAGTAGCTGGGATTACAGGTGTACGACACCACACCTGGCTCATTTTATATTTTTAGTAGAGATGGGGTTTCGCCATGTTGGCCAGGCTGGTCTTAAACTCCTTACCTCAGGTGATCAGCCTGCCTTGTCCTCCTAAAGTGCTGGGATTATAGGCATGAGCCACTGTGCCCGGCCCACAAGGGATTTTTTTTTAATATGATAACTTTATATTTGACATTAAGAAAAACCCCTTTTGTTGTCATTGCTCGAGGTTAATGCTGTGAAGTTTTCAGATAGTGATACCTATAATTTCAGCAATTTAATAGAGGTTGGTATGTGTGCTGTTTAGAAGTGCTATAACATTTTGCTGCAGTAAGTACAAGGGTATGGAAAAAATAGGTTTTAAGCCTATGTAAACATAAATTGAAGACGATTTAAAAGAAAAACAAATCATGCCCATCTCACGTAATTATTACCTTGCTAAATGTATAAGTTCCCTAGAGTCACTGTAACAAATTACCCCAAGCGTGGTGGCTTAAAATAACCAGTTTATTCTCTCCCTATTTAGGAAACCCGAGTTCTAAAATCAAGGTGGTAACAGAGTCCTGCTCCCACCAGAGGCAGTATGGGAGAATTCTGTCCTGCCTCTTCCAGCTTCTGCTGGTTCCAGGTGTTCCTTATCTGTGACAGCATCCCTCCAGTCTGTGCCTCCATCTTTTATGACCTTCACTGTGTCTCTGTATCCTTTTCTGTCTCTCTCTCTTTTTTTGAGACAGAGGTTTGCTCTTGTTGCCCAGGTTGGAGTTCAATGGCGCAATCTTGGCTCACTGCAACCTCCGCCTCCCAGGTTCAAGCAATTCTCCTGCCTCAGCCTCCCATGTAGCTGGGATTACAGGCATGCGCCACTACGCCTGGCTAATTTTGTGTTTTTAGTAGAGACAGGGTTTCTCCATGTTGGTTAGGCTGGTCTCGAACTCCTGACCTCAGGTGATCCACCCGCCTTGGCCTCCTAAAGCGCTGGGATTACAGGCATGAGCCACCATGCCCGACTCCATTTTCTCTCTTATTAGGACACTGTGAGTGGATTTAGGGCCCACCTTAATGCAGTATCATCTCATCTTGATTCTTACCTTCCTTAACTTATGAAGACTTTATTTCCAAATAAGTTCACACTCTGAGGGTGGACATGAATTTGGGGTGGACACTATTCAACCCACTACATTAAATTATATATGCTTTAACTTTAGGAGAGTAGCTTAATGAGATGGCAGTAGGCAAGAACTACCATTGATCATTATTAATTTTGTGTATTCTTCTGTTATGTGACTTACCACACTGAATTATATTTATTCCACTCATCTCTTGCACTAAACCACAAGAAGGCAAAGATTCTTTTCCTGTGACCTGACATAATGTACCTAATAGTATGTGTGTGTATTCATACCAAAAATAAAAAATTATTGAGTTAAGATGGAACCTTAGAGTTAATTTAGTCCCCTTGTTCTATTCAGTCCTCACATTTACAGGCCATGAACTGCTGTGAGACTAACTATTAGGGCATCCAATCTTTTGGCTTCCCTGGGGCCACATTGGAAGGAGAAGGATTGTCTTGGGCCACACATAAAATACACCAACCGTAATGATAGCTGATGAACTTAAAAATTGCAAAACAATCTCATAATGTTTCAGAAAGTTTACAAATTTGTGTTGGGTCACATTCAGAGCTGTCCTGGGCTGCATGTGGGCCACAGGTTGGACAGACTTGAACTAGATAGTCATATAGATATGACTGGAATGAGATTCTCTTTACTTTTCAGTCCACTATACTTTCCAGCATATAAAGTCATCTCTGTTTAAAAAGGCTTAAACTGCCAGGTGCAGTGGCTCACGCCTGTAATCCCAGCATTTTGGGAGGCTGAGGTGGGTGGATCACGAGGTCAGGAGTTCAAGACCAGCCTGGCCAAGATGGTGAAACCCTGTCTGTACTACAAATACAAAAAAAAATTAGCCGGGCATGGTGGCGGGCACCTGTAGTCCCAGCTACTTGGGAGGCTGAGGCAGCGAATTGCTTGAACTCAGGAGGTGGGGGTTGCAGTGAGCCAAGATCGTGCCACTGCACTCCAGCCAGAGTGAGACTCGGTCTCATTAGCCTGTGTTCAAAAGTCTTAAGTCTCTAAGGTAGGAGTTCCTTTCTCTCTCTGTACAATTTGAAAAGTTAAATGTAACCCATGAAAATATTTTCAGGAATACCTCTGTAATTCGTAAATTACATGGGAGAGACTACTCAGAACAGGAGAGGACAGAGAATAACTCAGATCAGCCATGGAGAGAGTCCCGTGGTGAGATGGAAGAGGCTAATCAGCTGGTCTGGTTTTGATCTTGTTTGTTAGGTGAATCAATCACCTCATGGTTTACACAAATGAAATGAGCTATGAGGTTCCCTCCCATTCTGTTCTAAGAGTTAATATCAGGCCGGGGATGGTGGCTCACGCCTGTAATCCCAGAACTTTGGGAGGCCGAGGCGGGTGGATCACAAGGTCAGGAGATCGAGACCATCCTGGCTAAAATAGTGAAACCCTGTCTCTGCTAAAAATACAAAAAAACATTAGCCGGGCCTGGCGGCGGGCGCCTGTAATCCCAGCTACTCGGAAGGCTGAGGCAGGAGAATGGCGAGAACCTGGGAGACGGAGCTTGCAGTGAGCTGAGATCACACCACTGCCCTCCAGCCTGGGCAACAGAGTGAGACCCTCTCAGGGGAAAAAAAAAGAAGAAGAAGCGTTAATATCACTGTTCATCATTCCCCATGCAGTTTTTTTTTTTTTTAATCCTAACTAGCTTCTGGCTAGAGACCTCTTATATATTCTTGTGATCATAGAAACTAGTACAGTGACTTCCTTATGGTAGACAACATATTTATTACCCAGGTGCTATTGGTGATTCATGGTGACAGGGAGCAGAAACCCAGCTGGGATATGCTGCACCGTATGTTGAAAACCAAAAGAACATAGAGCATCCTTACTGTGTGGCAGTGAGCACCCCAGGACACAGACAGATAGATAGATTGGTTCTGTGAGTCAGTTTCCTGCATCCTGTGGAGTCAAAAGGAAGACCTGCAAACAGCAACGGGTCCTGTGAACAATGGCCACTTCCTGAGCCAGGAGACTCACGTCTCTGTGGGGAAGGACCACGGGGCCACTTAGGGTTCAGATGGTACTTTTCAAGCAGGGTGCTCCTGAGGCAGTATTTGTGGACTGTTTCTCATCAGGTCTGTCATAAGATTCCTTCTGCCACTTTCCACCTGTGTTTGAGAGTCCACAGTCAAGTAACCTTGAACTTGCCAGAGTGAATTTAGCTTTCCAGTGGAGGGGAAGAAATGTACTGATCTGATCACAGCCACAGTACAGTTAGAAATTCTCGTACTCTAATGCTGCATTTGTTTCCTCATTTGAAAAAATGACATTGCCATAGAAGTGTAACATGCTTCACATTTTTATCCTAATACTCAAGTGGTTTTCTTGTTTTCTGTTTGTTTGTTTTTTGTTTTGAGACAAGGTCTCACTCTGTTGCCTGGGCTGGAGTGCAGTGGTGTGATCATGGCCCAATGCAGTCTCGACCTCTTGGTCTCAAACAATCCTCCCTCCTCAGCCTCCCAAGTAGCTGGGACCACAGGTGCATGCCACCATGCCCAGCTAGTTTTTTTTTTTTTTTTTTTTTTTTTTTTTTTTGTAGAGATGGGGTCTCACTGTGTTGCCGAGGCTGGTCTCAAACTCCTGGGCTCAAGTGATATTCCCACCTTGGTCTCCCAAAGTTCTGGGATTATAGGTGTGAGCCACCATGTCCGCCCCGTTTTTAAATAGCAGTATGTAGTAGTAATGATAGCACTTACTTTGTGCTTATGATTTGTCTGGGACTGAAAGAGCATTTCACATATATTCACTCATTTACGTAGACTCAGACAACAGAGTGCAAAGTTTCCTATTATAATGTGCAGTGTTAATTATGTACCAGTATATGGTGTGTTCTATATTAGAAAAAAAAGGGGAGCATGTGAACAGAAAAGGAATAATGAAGTCAGTGAATAGTAAGTCATAATTAATAGCAAAAGGTTAAACTGAATTGAGTGATTTCTTTTTTGTGTTGTTGATCACGTGAAGAGCTGCATCCGCTGTGGTGGAAAATGCTGAGAGAGAAGCACAAACAAATGGGCTCGCCCTTGGGCTGATCTGCACTGGACTATATGAACGGTGACTGCTAACCCCTGGCTCCTTTCCCCTTTCAAGATGATTGCAGGCTGATTCCATGGTGTGAAATAACCCAGGAGAGATAGGGAGGTGTCAGCAGCACAGCCCAGCAGGCTGGGGATTGGGCAGTGGCTTCCTGGAGTAACAGGCGCTGGCTGGCCGCCCCGCTCTCTGGCAGTGAGCGCTGAGGAGGTGGGCTGGGAGACAGCTGTGCCTAGCACTGCAGGCTTCATCAGACCACAGAGCACAGCCCCTCCATGGAACTGCTGCAGAATGTTCTGTCTGAAAGGTGAGGGGACTTCGTGTCCATTTGGGTGGCAAAGTTCTACTTGGGGAAGATTGTCATTTAGCATCAGAGTCTAAATCACAGAGCTGATTCCAGTAAAAATCAAAGTTTGAGGGAGTTTTGTAAGTATGAAAGTGAAAAAGTCATTGTTCTTTTTTGTTGCAAACAGGAAGAAAGACCTCCTGCTGGGGAGATGGAATTCTCTTCTAGACAGAAAGGATATTTCTGTGTTTGAATGTGTTTTGTGTGTGTTTTGTTATAGACAAAAGTAGCTAAAAGTTTAAAAGAAGGTTTTTAAAATCAACTCAATAAATATAGGAATAGTTTACAGCAGTAGTAGAGAAATTTTCATGTAAGGAGTTGTTCATGTAAGGGTTAGAAGGAGTAGAAAGGGTAAAGGATTCTATTGCTTTAAGCTTTACTCTGTGAACTTAGGAGTGAAATTAATTTGACTATAGAACATACTTCTAGGCTGGGCGTGGTGGCGGGTGCCTGTAATCCCAGCGACTTGGGAGGCTGAGTCAGAAGAATTGCTTGAACCCAGGAGTTGGATGTTGCAGTGAGCCGAGATCGCGCCACTGCACTCCAGCCTGGGCAACAAGAGTGAAACTCGGTCTCAAAAAAAAAAAAAAAAAAAAAAAAGAAAAGAAAGAACATACTTCTTGTTCTGGCCACATATGGATTATAATACTTCCTAAGTACTATAAGATGGTGATTATATGAGTATATGTCGTCATTCCCTGATTAGTCAAGGAGTATTTTCTCTCTTTAGGCATTTATTTTTTCCGTCAACTCTATTTTTCTTCCAACTCTTATTACAATGTAATTAATGTAGGCATGTGAGAGTGTGTTTGTCTATGTGATTGTTGAAATGGTGGGGGTAGAGGGGGAGATGAATTTCCTTGGAACTGTTCTGTTCATATCTTTCAGTGTATGTCATTCTGTTGATGGGAAATTCTTGACATCTTTTCAAGTTTTGGAAATAAAGTGGTCCTGGCTTATTTGCTTTGTGGATTGCTCCTTTGTCCTCAAAGTCTGTTCATGAGGTATAGACGTGGATTCTGTAGACCCAGGCTTTGCAATTTTAACCTTATTTTGACATCTTAAAACCTACCAGTCTTTAATATTGAACTTGGTGTTTGGGATATTCCTTTATATAGTAGGTGCAAATTTGGTGAAATTGAAGGGGTAAGAACAAAAAGGAACATCACATTTTTCTGTCCTCAAGCATTCAATTAATTCTTACTACAGAGAGTATCTAGTTGCAGTGGATTTCCAAGGAGTCATGGGCTGACATGAATTTAAGTATTTCTGAAAAATAATTTTAGATGAAAGGCATTATGAGCTCTCATGACACTGTTTCTTCCAAAAATTGTTCTACAAAATGTTTAGGTATGAAGAGTCAGTGGTATTATTGGATGAAGGTACATGCTACCTAGTGTAATTTCCACAGTGCAGTTGAAATCATTACAATCCAATGATAGCTTAAGGTTTACAATTTTTAATTGAATACGGTTGTGGAATTGTTACTGGGTAGGACATCTGCAGCTTCAACATATTTTTCTCCACCTATTCCCATAACAGCCATTTCATTTTATTAAAGAATCTCTCATTTTCTTGGACTCTTAGTTTCTGTGGTAACTCAGAAAATTTTAAAAACTCAAACGTATGGCATGTGATGACAACTAAGTGCTTTTACGCTGAAGTGTGTGTTCTAATCAGGAATCCACAATCGCACCCTTTTAAAGCCTACTCTCTGATCTCCCGGCAGCTAGGACAAACAGTTGACATTCTACTTTCTTCCTGTGACTTATAGCTTGTTGATTTACAATAATGATTTTTAAGTTGTCCTTTGCCCTACATATGAAGCAAGCCCATGATAAAATAAGGGTGAGTGAGATTAAGCAGAAGAATAGTAAGAGCTACTTGTTGATGCTTTGTGTTCTTACTTTGGAAAAGTGGCTTTCATTCATTGGTCTGTGGCTAGCCAAGGTCCTAGGGGCTATTGCATATGTGGTTGTGATTAGCATTGATTTTAAAGGAAACATGATTGCTCTTCCTTTGGTTTAAATCATGTTCCTGTGTGTTTCTTGTAATTGCTGAAAGAAAATATTTAAATCAGATCGCTTCCCACATTGATGCAGGATTTCCTTTTCTCTACTTAGACTGTTTCTTTTCTGAAGCCAGGTCTGCTCAGCTTTTTGTCAATTTGGCCTTCCTTGAAGAAGGATGCCATCTTTCTCATTATTGTCACTATCGTAACTTATATAGTTACAATCACTCTTTGCTATTGAAGTATCTCAGATACATCAGCTTCTCCCAACTGCATTTTGTATGTGCAACATTTGAGCACTCAGTCTTTGTGAAGATGTTCTGCGAAGTTCAGCTAAGGTCTCTGTGGCTAACAAAGGCATGGTACGTTCCTTCACTGTGTAGCAAGTGATCCATTATGGTCTGGGAAGTGAATTATGGCTAATCAAATAATATGATTAATAGCGAATAATATGATTAATAGCAAACTACCATGTGTACCATTCACAGATTATTCTAAGACGTAGAATAGGCCAGGTGCCATGTCTCAAGCCTATAATCCGAATGCTTTAGAAGGCCGCGGAGAGAGGATCACTTGAGGCCCTGAGTTCGGGACCAGCCTGGCTAACATAGGGAGACCTTGTCTCCACAAAAAATTAAAAAGTTAGCCAGATGTGGTGATATGGAACTGTAGTCCCAGCTACTTGGGAGGCTGAGGCAGGAGGATTGCTTGAGGCTAGGAGTTCGAGGCTACAGTGAGTCATGATTGTGCCCCTGCACTCTAGCCTGGGCAATAGAGTGAGACCCTGTCTCGAAAAAAATGTTTAAAGAATAAATAAAAATTAGAATAAAATGTTTTTACTACTAAAGCTACGTGGAACATAATTACACTTCTCTGAAATAGTTCTGAATGTAGATTTCTTAATTATGGTACATCAGCTTTAACTTTATAAATACTAATTATCTTTGCAGTGCTTCTCTAACTTCGGTGAAGACTTTTTAAAAGAAATTTCCAAACCATTACAGACTGATGTTTTGTAAAACACAAAATCATGTGCTTGTGTGATATCACCACATTGTCAAACAGCTATAAAAGTTCTTAAACATTTAATCTCATTTCCTGTACTAATCTAATTGTGGACTGGTAGTGAAGTATTGTCCTACTGGCACTGGTTAGTAGACAAATCTGCATTAGTTTCCCAGAGCTGTCATAACAAATTACTGCTTAGTGAGTGGCTTATCCAGAAATGTATTCTCTCACAGTTCTAGAGGCTAGAAGTCTGAAATCAAGGAGTTGGCAGGGCCGTGCTCCCTCTGAAGGCTCCAGGAAAGACTCTTCCTTGCCTCTTCCACTTCCTGATGGCTCCAGGCATTTCTTGGCTTTCGGTAGCATCACTTGAGTTTCTGCCCCTCTTCCTACCGCCTTCCTTCCTGTGTGTTTCTCTGTGTCTCTGTGTCAGATGTTTTTCTTAAAAGGACACCACTTATTGGACTTAGGGTCCACCCTTAATCCAGTATATCACTTCACCTTAACTAATTACATCTGCAAAGACCATATTTCCAAATAAGGTCATATTCCAGGGTTGTGAGCGGACATGATTTTGGGAGGACGCTATTCAACCCAATTCAGTGGACCGCATGTAAAATCACATAGCCTGAGGGCAGCTGCATGGGAAGTGTGTTTAATGGAAAACTGTAAGAATGATATCCAACATAGCTGCTTTGAGGATGCCTTTGAAACTATGGCAATGCAAATTTAAGATGAGTTTGTATGTGTAGGTAGAAGAGTTGAAAATGTACATACCCATTATGATCAGTCATGCAAAGGAAAATGTTGCCTTTTTATTTCCTTTAATCGATTCGGCTTCTTTCATGAACTTTTATCCCGCTGAGAAGGGGAAAAACAAAAAACAAAATTGAACTTAGTTCACTGCAGTCAACTCAGTGTGAGCCAAAAATTTAAACAGTTGCATTAGATAGCTCAGTCTGTTGGATGACTCAGTCTTTCAACATTCTCCTGCTTATCCTCCTTCTCTTCAAAGGGGACTCTGTTGCTAAGTCCCCCTTATTAGTATAACAGAAGTAAACCATGCTAAAATATGTACTTTTGAAATCATTGGTGTGATTGTTACACAATGTTGAAAATTTTAAAGCAGACTCTCTGCTGTTGAGTTTTAAAAACGAGGTAATATTTTTTAAATGATGTTGCTTTTATTCTTATTTTTTTTGAGACAGAGTCTCGCTCTGTTGCCCAGGCTGGAGTGCAGTAGTGCGATCTTGGCTCACTGCAACCTCCGCCTCCTGGGTTCAAGTGATTCTCTTGCCTGAGCCTCCGGAGTAGCTGGGACTACAGGCATACACCACCTTGTCCGGCTAATTTTTGTATTTTTATTAGAGATGAGGTTTCACCATGTTGGCCAGGCTGATCTCGACCTCCTGACCTCAAGTAATTCGCCGCCTCAGCCTCCCAAAGTGTTGGGATCACAGGCGTGAGCCACCACGCCTGGCCTGATGTTGCTTTTAATATGGACAGGATGCATACATATATCCTTCTGTGCCCCAGGAATAATTTCACTATATTTTATAAGCATCACAGACCTCAAGTTCCTGAATTTACTAATGGATTTTACCTGGTTTCGCATTCTCTCTAGGGACTTTTAACCTGGTTTGTGTTAGACAGGTTCTTTCCCTTCCTCAGCCTTTATGTGTCTTCCAAGAGGTAGAAATCTAGTTTCATGGAGCAGAAAAGTGGTGAATTCTGTGGAATTGGGTGTGTCCCAGCTGCCTGCATGCCCCGAACGATAGGGTCCTATACTCTTCTGCTTCACAAGTTACTGATTTAGGAAGGCCTTTAAGTTGTCTAATAATAGCAAAGAGTTATGTTGGAGATTACAGCTATGAACAATCTCAGGCATGTGCCTCTGCTCCCACAAGGGCAGTTCATATTAGAAACTAACTCTATCCTTCGTCATCGTGCACCCTGGAACAGATCACAGGCCTCTTTCCAGTTGTCTTTTGTATGTTGTGTATGTAAAAGAATTCCTTAGATTCTTTTCTTGGCAGCATTTGGAAAATAATGTTAGGAATCAGAAACAGATTTGTTATTTCTGTGCTGAAACAAGTGCATTTTTCAAGTGAGCTAGTAAGCAACCATTTGCTCTGGAAGGTCCCTAGCCCCTTCTTAAATCTGGTAATAAGCTATCAGATAATCAGTGAGCAAAGTTTATGCTAGTTGATTCTGAGCACCATTTTGAAAGACTTTTAAAAATCAAAATGCAAAGCAACCCTGGGAATATTGCATCTGTGTGACTCTGGACATTTTACTATCATACATTTAGATGTCTGGTTTTATATAAATTATCAGTGGCTTTTAGAACCATTGTTCTACAATTCTTCCTGGTTCTTTCCTCCTCCTTTCATTTAAAATTGCATATAATTGTTAGTGGGTAATCTACAGCTACCAAAGGGAATTCCCACTTGCTCAATCTGCAATTTAAAGTAGCACTTTTAATAAACACAGTGGTAATAACATGCATTTTTCAAACTGGTGGGGAAAGCCCTTGGAATTTAATAAATGAAACAAAGCTGGCTAGCCCTTTATTTCTTTTGTCTTTCCCTTGAAAACGTTATCATGCTTTTTAGTTCTCTTTTTTTCCTTCCATGAGTAGTCAAAATCTGTTTCTTAAATCTGTTGCAGTAGAAGCCAGATTACCATGCTAAATAGGTTGTGTAATACTATAAATTGAGATGCTACCCTATGGACTGAAAGAGCAGTTAACAGAGTTTTGCCGCCTAAAACGAGGAGAACTTGGGGTCTGCTTGTTTCTGGAGCATGCTCTGTGCAAGGATTCATGCTCTGGGTAATTTTGTGGAACTGAATCAAATGACTTGAATTACTGAAAGCATTAGCTAAGATTTCAGTTAAACTCTTCATTTTAATATCTCCTGTTCCATTTCTACCTATTCTGGTTTCCTTTATTTGCTGATTTTCATGTTTGTCTTTTTTAGGCCCCCTACCTCACCTTAGCTGTCCTCCTCTGTGATGGCTCATTGGGGGAGCAGTATTACACCTAAGCCATATTGAACTCCTTCTAGTTACAAGGATGTGATCAGTAGTCTACACATGCATTAGAAAAGGTGATAGTTAATAGGCAAGGCAGATGGACCCGTGTGATAAAGGCAGGACATCATGTCACCACCATTAACCAGGTACAGATGTATGCAGGGGTATGTATTTTTCTGTGTTAAACATCAGAAGAAAATACTGCTGAAAACAACCTGAGGGTCTTTAAGCAATTAATAGATTTTGCATGATTAAACAGTTTGGCAGGATATGGTATTGGGGATGCGGGGTGGAAGATGGGTAGTCTTAAATTAGGAACATTAATTATTTTATAAAATCGTATGTAGCAATTGCATTTAAAATTAAGAGATCCTAATTTGACAGCCAACAGAATGACAAACTATTTGATTTAATGTCAGCAGTGTTCATCTTCTATCTGGTGATTATGTGACATTTATCAGTCTTTGTTAACTTAGATTACATTTAGAACTTTTTTTGTTGTTGTTACTGTCAAAATGTGGTTAACCCTGAGATCCATTGAAACAAAAGGCCTGAGTGACTTGACTGTGGGTTTAACTTGGGGGAGGGGGTGCATGATAACAGAAATGTGAGTGCTCATCACCACTTTTTCTTTGGAATGTCTTCTTATAACAAAAAGATATAAATAGCATAAAGTGAGCTTTAGGAGCCACAAGTTGTAGTACACTTTAAGTGAATTTATATATACACAGAATAGTTTTCAAAAGGTCAGATGATAACATATGTTTGTACTTGTGAAATTTTGCAAGACAGCATTTGAGAGCAAAAGAGAAAATCTCGGCTTTGCTGACCACAAGAGGCCATCTATGTTCTTCATTATTTTGTTTCACTGAGTGAACTGTGCAAGGTTCATTGTTGCTGGAACTTTCAGAATAAAAGTTGGGACAGACGCCTCTGCTCTCTCGAGGGCGCGAACATTGGGAGCAGGTTCAGGGGAGGATGAACAGTGACTTAATGTGTGGTCTCTTAGGAAAGGGAAGGCAAAGGACCACAGGAGCCTGGCTGACGAGCCTGGCAGATGCCCAGAGGATGCTTGACTTGGTAGAAGATCACGTGGGGAAACTGGGTTATACCAGACACTGAGAGTAGCAACTTTTCTAATTCCAAACAGAGCAAATGAGAAAGGGGCCTCAGAAAATGCCTTGGTGTTAGCTATGTGGGATGGCATGGCAAAAGAAAATGAAGTATATGAACACACCTAGCCCCCAGTGGTGGTACTCTATCTCTCCTTCCTTAGCCATCTCCTACAGATTTGCACTTTTGCTTTATCTAGACCCTTTCCTAATTTTAAGAGGACAAAGGAAGCTCAAGTCCCTTCTTTTTTCCTGGAAAAGTTTTGCTGTAACAGAATACCCAGTATTTTATGCAAAAGAGATCAATATTGTCCCAAGGTGGCTAATTTATATGTCAAAGGGTATCCAAGATTTGTCGACATTTTGAAATACCTCTGAAGTTCATCAACTCTGACCAAAATATTTTGATAGAATTTGGGGTGTGTTATTTCATTGCGTGTTGATGAGCACTTACCATGTGCCAGTCACTGTTCCTACCCCCAGGAAACTCTTCCTGTCTGATGCTCTGGACTTCTCGCCGGCCTGGATCTCTGCAGCCCCAAGACTTCTGGTTGTTTTCCTGCCCACTGTAAAGGTGCTACTGCTTGTGCCAGCTTTTGGCGGTTCTTTCTCCAAGATTGACTTTGGGAACAAAGCAAAGCCAGAGACTTTGTAAAGGGTTTCCCTGCTAATCATGACCCAAATAACAAAAATAATTAACACAGGTTTGTAAAGAATATTCAAGAAATCCCAACTCTATCCGTTAATCATATCATCTTATCCCTTGAGTAAAGATCTCCTTAGCTCTGAGAATGGATCTGCCTAATAAAATATTGAGGATTAAGTAAAGCTTACATAAGATGCTGGTATTTTCTCTGTAATATATAGTGATGTTATTTAAATTTGACCTCTCTAAGGGCTTAATTTGGTCTTTGAAAGTGAAGACTGATTTGTACCCTAATTTGCAAATGTAGTATTTCTACATAGTGAGAAAGGCAGATGTATTTCTCAGTTTTCATCACAGCATATTTACGCCAACTTTTAAAAAGTTTTCTGGACCTACACAGTTGTATAAATACATCCAGATGAATAAAAAAGTATTACAAGTCACATATATTGGCAAAGGAGCGTGGTAGCAACACAAATATTTTGAAAGCTATGTAAGCCAGTGAGAGTATCCTGATACCGCTCTAACAGCTCCAACGGAAGTGTTTGCTGCCACAGCAATTGAGACAAAACCTTTCCTTTTTGGAAATGTTTCCTGGCAGAACAAATACTTGATAAAAATTTAAAACAAGATTTGAACTGCTCAAGATGGTGCCTTTCATAAAATTGTTTTATTTTTACAAACTCTTTCCACATCAGGAAGAGAGAAATCTATGGGTGGATGGTTTTATCCTTATATAGGTGGAAATGTCCTTATTTTAGGTTGACTGCTGTACTGAGGAATTGGGAATGAGCTCCCCTTAATTATTGGGTTATTTCTCTTCTCGTTGTATTTCTTCTTCTGTCAGTAATTGGCAGCCTATTTTTCATCTTAGAGAGAAGAGGCCAGGGAGTGTAAGAGCTGTCCACCTGAATTGTCAGTCAGTAAATTACGATGGAAGTTTAAAACAAGTAGCATACTCAGAAGATGACATATGTCTGGAGTTGGGGGAAAGAGGAGGGAGAGCATTAGGACAAATCCCTAATGCATGCAGGGCTTAAAACCTAGATGACGGGTAGATAGGTGCAGCAACCCACCATGGCACATGTATACCTACGTAACAAACCTGCACGTTCTGCACATGTATCCCAGAGCTTAAAGTGAAAAAAAAAAAAAAAAAAAAAAAAAAAAAGATGACATATGTCCCTCTCCAAAACCACGGAATCTATAAATGCTGAAAAGATTGAATGCAGATGATTAAATTTGTGATGTCTGTAAGCATGATTTAAATACAAAACATTAGTTTGATGTTTGCCATCACTTTTAGGTTTGGGTTTACAAGACTGCTCCTATAGAGATGGCTGCTTTTCCGTGTCCAGTGAGAACTTTTAATGCTAAAACATCCAGTGTCGTTTCTGCTTGCCACAGAAAGTCAATGTTGGTTGGTATGGCAAATATCATAAATCCTTATTTGTATGTTATTTGACTTACGATAACACACTTGGCTGAAAATGAGTTTGTCTTAGTCGCTCCCCAGTCCTCACTCACCTTTGTGAAACCATAGAATGGATCCATTGTTGGTGTGTTATCTGCAAAAGATAAAGTGTCTATGAGCTGGGGAAAAACTGGAGCCCCCAAAATAAATGAGATTCCTTTAACACATGCCATACCACAGGTTTCTCCCAGACTGCTGTTTTGGACTATGTTTGACTAGATTTCCTTTACTCTAATTTTCCCTTGCCCTCTTTTTAATTTTGGAAAGCTACCTTCAACCTCTGTGTGTGAGTAGCCACCCTCCTTTGTCTCTTGCTTGACGTTGGCCCCCCAGCAACTAGCTCAGTGTCATGTCTAAAATTAGATCAGTCTGTATGGATGCCCTGTAGGGAAGTGAGAGAACAGGCTCTCTCTGCCAGAGCAGATCCTCACCACACAATGAAAATTCTCAGTTTACGATAATTCCTAGTCAATGTCATGAGTCTTTTGCTGTTTTACAGTAAGGCAGTCTGGTATTTGGTGTACTGAACTGCAGATATGAATATCTAGCTGCCACATTTTCACCTGGATGTCTAACTGACCTCATGAACATATCAAAATTCCTGTCCCCCACCCCTATCTATCCCACTGCAGACTTCCCCATTTCGTGGCAAATCCACCCTTCCAGTTGCTTATCCCAAAAACCTTGAAGTCATTTATGACTTCTTTTTTTGGTAAGGGGGTGTCGGGGAGGGGAGACAGGGTTTTCTTGTTCTGTTGCCCAGTCTGGAGTGCAGTGGTGCAATTATGGCTCACTGCAGCCTTGACCTCTTAGGCTCAAGTAATCTTCTCACCTCAGCTTCTTGAATAGCTGGGACTACAGACATGCACCATCATACCTGGCTAATTTTTTTTATTTTTGTCGAGGTGGGGTTTTACTGTGTTGCCGAGACTGGTCTCGAACTCCTGGGCTCAGGCAATCCTCCCGCCTTTATCTCCCATAGTGCTGGAATTATAGGTGTGAGCCACTGCGCCCAGCCAACAACTACTTTTTTTTCTTATTCCTACATTCAATTTGGCAGAAAATTCTATTGACTATATTAATTTTTTTCCCCATTATCTGACTACCTCTTACCATCTAAACTGCTACCTGCTTGGCCTGAATTTCACCTGGATTATCATAATAGCTTCCCTTTATAGCCTACTTTCAACCCAGTAGCCAGAGTAGATCTTTTAAGACCAGCGATATCGTGCCAGTCCTTTGCTTTAAAGCTTCATTTCACTCGGAGTAAAAGCTCGTCTTGGCAATTTCTCTTTATTTTTGAAATATCAATCACAGGCCTGAAATAAACCTAGGAGGAGAAAGTCTGTTTTCTAAGCTACAGAACTTGCAGCTGCATCAAACCTTTAGTCTGGAAGAAAAGGAAAAGGTTTCCCTGCCGAACTACAGTCCCAGCTGAGTCGTGTTCTTGTTTGATGCTCCAAGAAGGTATGGTCTTTAATGAGACCCCTCCATCTTTTCCTTAATGCAAGTGAGGATCGTTCCACCCCATCTCATTTTATCATTAAAAGTGGCAATCTGTGTACTAAATGCAGCCACAGAGATTTACCTTTGGGCTTTATTGACCAAGTTTGATAGAGTTTCTGTTGGAATTTTGGAAAACTGATTTCCATGGCTTTATTGATAGGGATTAAGTTAGAAATAAACAGCAGGGAGCCTGTAGAAGTTAGAGAACTAACTTAAATGTTGGAGCAGGTTAGTTTTTATTTGTATGCATATATCTGTTGTGCTGAGGTTGATGTGTGATGAATTCTATGAAAAAGGCTCTGCTGGTAAATACAGGGTATTTTACCCTTTCAAAGGGCTCCTTTTCTTTCATAGCATTATTAAAATGGAGAGTAGGATCCAACCCAACTCACTGAGTGGGATTTGCACGTTCTATGGGACCTGAACCCTCTTTTTTTGTGGGGTCGTCATGTACCAAGGGTCCTTTGCTTTGACGACTAGATTGTAAGCTCCTTGAGGGCTAAGTTCATTAACTTGATCCAGAAGAATTCCAGTAGATAATTGCTGATTAAAGGAATGAAATATTAATATTTAATCTAGTTTGGGTAAAAAGACTTTAACCATCACTCTCTATGAAAACAAATGGACTTGTTTGAGAATAGCTTAAAATATAAAAGTAGATTGTACTACTTTCAATGGGACTGAAAATACGCAGGCTATTAATTAGCAGAGCAAGAAAGATTTTTAATTCTGAGTTTCATTTTTTGTAGCAACTCAACCAAAAAATCTGATGAAACAGTTTCAATCATTAATGGCCTGTAGCATGTGGAAGCTGGTCATAGAGGAGGAGAAAAGTTAATGTGTTTCTAGAAATTTAAACATTCAGAACAAATGAGTCTCAGCTTCGTGGTGACTGGAAGGAAGATAAGCATCCCATGTAGCTTCTTGGTCTTAGAAGTGGCAGGTCACCGTCTGGAAAATGGCCCATTGCCTGTTGGCCCTTCTCAAGCATCACTCTGAAGTGGCTACACTTCTCTTGACTAAAAAGGATTAAGGATTTACTCACCAAGGAAAAACACACCCTTTATCTAAGCACTTTCCTGGCTCTTGGGTTTTCAATGTTTTAGAAAAACACTCCAATGCATAGTCCCATGAATGGGCAATTGATCATAGACAGAAAAAAATTATTTTCAGAAATATGAGATTATTTCTCTTAGTAAATCATCATTTAAATGTGTATTTTTTAAATTTATTTTTTATTTTTTTGAGACGGAGTTTTGCTCTTCTTGCCCAGGCTGGAGTGCAGTGGCGTGATCTCGGCTCACCGCAACCTCCACCTCCCAGGTTCAAGCAATTACCCTGCCTCAGCCTCCCGAGTAGCTGGGATTACAGGCCTGGCTAATTTTATATTTTTAGTAGAGACGGGGTTTCTCCATGTTGGTCAGGCTGGTCTTGAACTCCTGACCTCAGTGATTTGCCCACCTCGGCCTCCCAAAGTGCTGGGATTACAGGCGTGAGCCACCATCCTGGCAGTAATTTTTTAAAATAATAATATTCATTGAAATTTTATTTCATTTGGTCTTTCTACCCTTTGTTCTAAATTTTTAGGTCCATTTGATTATTTTCTAGGGTTCCCCTGTATCTATTTCTTTGTATTGCCATTACATTTGTTCCTCATTTTCTCTAAATGTGTTCACAATCAAGTCACTGTGTGTTTTTGTCTGTATTAGGTACTATTTAAGCGAGTTGATTATTACTCAAGACCCCAAGTCAGAGTGCACCTAGAGGTACTCTGTTAATCTGTTGAGTAATTAAGTGCTTAGCTACCGTAAGGACTTCATTCCTTCCCCTTTATTTCTGTGAACTGTTATGGTTATTAAAAGTTATAGGAACCTTGACCTCTGATAGGCTGCCTTTTCAGCTTCTGTCTTGTAAGTGGGCTCATCATTTTAATGTCCAGTTGAGATCTTATTAGATTACACATTCGGGATGAGCCTGGAATCTTCCATGATGCTATTAGCCGTGAGTAAAATTTCTGCATGTAAAACAGAAAGACCCCTAACCTAGGAATCAGAGTTTCTGATCCCAAGTCTCACATTTATTGACTCAGAATAAGCCACCTAACTACTCTGAGCCATTTGTTGCCATCTAATAAATAGAAGTGATTGCCCTGCTTGCTTGATGGGGTGATTTTGTGGGGGATCAAATGAGATAAGATACCCAGAATGTAGCCAGAAACTAGGAACCCTCTTTCTCTCTCCTCTCCCATTCTCTTGTACTTCTTGTCAATTCCATCCCTTCTCTCCAGCCCTTGGGTCACCACTGCCTCAGTGAGATGACTGTTAGCATCTCATGCCTTTATTAGGCTCCTGACTCACGGATCCTAGGCTAATTACCTAGCATCCCTTCTCCAAACTCTATCCAGAATGAAAAAACAGATTGCAACTGTTTCTTCTCTGGTTAAAAAGTCTTCAGTTCCCTACCACCACTGTTCCATTGCCTTCAGGATGAAGTGTAAATTCCCTAACATGACATAGAGGAGCCCTTCATGACAGAATGCCTCCTTATTTTCTTCTTGAGCTTCAATTCTCAGTAGCCTCTTCCCCCATCCATATTTCCCACTGTGTTCACCTTCCTTGGCACGTGCCAGGACCCTCTGCCTTGAGGGAATATCTGCTTCTCCCCTATTGCTTCAACCTGATCTTTAGATTAGACTTACAGGATTCAGTTCAGATGTTACCTCCTCTTGGAAGTTCTCTATAATATTCCAATGCTGGTTAGTAACCCCTTCTCTGAGTTACCTATCACAGTGTCATACATCTGTCTGTTTTCTTGTGCTAGGCAATAAGAACCTAGAGGGTAGGGAATGTGTATTGTTCATTACCATTGATACCAAGAAGCACATAAATGTTGGCTATATTACTTTGTTAATAATTGAAAAAAATTTAAGATATAAAGGAAAATTCTGGTGTATCATCTGGTTTAATATCAGAAAAAGAATTAGCCAGGTATTGTGGCTCACACTTGTAATCCCAGCACTTTAGAAGGCTAGGCAGGCAGATCACTTGAGGTCAGGAATTGAAGACCCGCCTAAGCAACATGGCAAAACCCTGCCCCTACAAAAACAAAAAACAAAAAGACAAAAAAGTTAGCCAGGTGTGGTGGCACATACCTGTAGTCTCAGCTACTGTGGAGGCTGAAGTGGGAGGTCAAGGCTACATTGAGCCAAGATGTTGCCACTGCACTCCAGCCTGGGCAACAGAGCAAGACCCTGTTTCAGGAAAAAAAAAAAAAGAGAGAGAAACAAAATGGTTGACAAATGAAGTAGATCTAAGAAAAACAGAAACAAAATGGAAAGCGTTACCCTGCCCCCTTATTTGAAGTTACAAAAGTTACAAACTAACTGTTCTTACCTGGAATACCATGCCTTGCCCTGGAAGATTGTATTTAAGAGGAAATACCACAGTATTCTGTAAGAGTAAATTAGAATGGACATTGTCAACCAAAGGCAGTTATTCAAGACTAGGAGTGATGCTGTTTATTACCTGGAATGGTGGTGAAAACTAAAAATATGAACCCATTCAAGAAAATGCAGACAAACAGTTTAATTTTTGATTTATATCTTAGTTCAGACTGCTATAACAAAGTACCATAGACTGGGTGACCTGTAAGCCACAAATTTTATTTCTCACAGTTCTGTAGGCTGGAAGTCTGAGATCAAGGTATCAGCATGAATTCTGGTGAGGTTCCTCTTCCGGGTTGCAGACTGCTGTCTCCTCATAGTATTTTCACATGGAAAAAGAGAGGAGAAAACTGTGGCCTTTTTTTTAAAAAAAAAATATTTTAAATTTTATTTCAATAGTCAAAAACTATTGAACAGATGGTTTTTGGTTGCATGGATAAGTTCTTTAGTGACGATTTCTGAGATTTTGGTGCACTTGCCACCTGAGCAGTGTATACCCTACCCAACATGTGGTCTTTTATCCCTCACCCACTCCCATCCTTTCCCCCAAGTCCCCAAAGTCCATTATACCATTTTAATGCCTTTGCATCCTCATAGCTATATATCACTATATTTGGTAACTCACTTAGTAGCTACCACTTATAAGTGAGAACATACAATATTTGGTTTTCCATCCCTGAGTTGCTTCACTTAGAATAATGGTCTCCATCTCCATCCAAGTTGCTGCAAAGACCATTATTTCATTCCACTTTATGGCTGAGTAGTATTCTATGGTGTGTATATATATCAGATTTTCTTTATCCACTCTTCAGTTATTGGGCATTTAGGCTGGTTCCACATTTTTGCAATTGCAAATTGTGCTGCTATAAACATGCATGTGCATGTATCTTTTTCATATAATGACCTCTTTTCCTTTGGGTAGATATCCAATAGTGGTATTACTGGATCGAATGGTACTTCTACTTTGAGTTCTTTAAGGAATCTCCATACTGTTTTCCATAGTGGTTGTACTAGTTTACAGTTCTGCCAGCAGTGTGAAAGTGTTCCCTTTTCACCACATCCCTGCCAACATGGTCATTCTTGCAAGAGTAAGGTGGTATCTCATTGCAGTTTTAATTTGCATTTCTCTGGGGCCTCTTTTGTAGGTGCACTAATTTTATAGGTGTACTAATTCCATTCATGGGGTCTCCACTCTGATGACCTAATCACCTTCCAAAGGCCCCACCTCCTAATACCATCACATTGGGGATTAAGATTTTAACATAAGAATTTTGGGGAGACAAACATTCAGACCATTGTAATCTATAATTGATTATTAAGGCAAAATGGTCTGTTTGAGTCTTCTGGAATTAAAGAATTCAAATAATGGAAAACAACTCCAGTCTACTAAATATGATAGGCAAAAATTTTTACCCCTGTGACTTTTATTCCTGCCATGTCTGTCAGTATGTTACACTACATGGCAAAAAGGGACTTTTCAGATGTCATTAAAGTTACTAATCAATGACCTTACCCAAGGGAGATTAGCCTGGATTATCCAAGTGGGCCTAATGTAATCACAGGAGCACTGAAAAGCAGAGCTCTCTCTGGTTGATGGCAGAGCGGAAGTTGAGAGATTCTGTGGGTGAGGAGTCAGTACGCTGTTGCTGGCTTGAAGATAGAGGGAGCAGTAGGAGACTGAGAAGGAACTGAATTCTGCCAACAATGAGCTTGGAAGCTGATTCTTCTGCACAGCCTTCAGATAAAAGCCCAGGCTGGCCGACAGTTAAGTTTAGGCCTTGTGAGACCCTAAGCAAGGCCCCCAGCCAAGTCTGCTGGACTGCTAACCTGCAGAACTGTGAGATAATAAATGGGTATTATCTGCAGGTGCTAAATTCATGTTAAGTTGTTATAACAGCACTCATCATAACATGGCTCTCATCCGAGGCAACATTGAGAATGAGCCTTTAGAAAGGCTGTAGAAAACTACTACGTCATTAAAACAAAACAAAAAATGGAGTTGAGGGACAGGAGTGTCTTGCTTTGGGAACCTTTCTATTAGATTTGATTTCCAGTAGAACTTAATATTGGACAATGTCTGATAAACACCAAAATTGAATGACCTTTCTGACACCTGCAAGGGAGTCTTTATTTCTGGCTGATGCAAGAGATCTTTCTCTGACCCCTGGAACATCATAGTTGACCCAGTGCAAGCTCCGGAGTGTGTCTCAGACTTCTAAAGGCCCCAGCGGAGACATCAATCAAGGGAATCTTATGCTATTATATGCTGACTTTGTGCAGGAGAGGTTAACAATAATAAATTCAAGGAATGAAGATTGTTTTGGGTAGTAGAATATAAAAGGCTCATTCTCAATTTTTCCAAGTGTTTTGTAAAAAATAGGACATTTGAGATGTTTACTTCTTTTCAGCACTGTTTTTCTAATGTCGCCTTTATGAGGGCCATGCTGTTTGTCAAAGGCTCCCTCGAACCTCAAACACTGGAAACATACTAATCTTGTTAATGAGAAGAGAGGATTTGATTTTGACTTCATTCCGGAAATACTGTATTCTCTTACTGCAATTCTAAAAACCATTCATTTTAGTTGTCATGTACAGGATAGACAAAGACTTAAGTCTGGTCTGTGTTTTGCCAATGTGGTGAATCCATCCATATTAAATATTTAAACAGTTGACTTGGTATCAAAATAGAGAACAATTTTGTCTGTATAGGGTGATAATTAATAGCAGTTAGAAATTAACAGTTGATAATCCTGTTTAATCCCTCACCTTTGTAGAAATTAAGTGATTACTGCCTACATTTGTCTAGAGAACAAATCATGAATTATATGTTTTTCCCTCTCAAAACATCAAATAACAAGAATTATAGATAACTTCTTGAATGACTAGTCAAAGAATGAAAATTTAAAAGGCAGGGTAGGTTGGCAGGTAAATCGTCACTCTCCACTTCCTTTCTTCCTGAACTCCAGAACTTGGTACAGTTGTCAACTCATATCTGCCTTGATTTTTTTTTTCTTCTAAAGATGACCTCATCCCTTCCTTCTGAATGAATACCTCTGGCTCTTTCACTCTGTTCTGCAGCTCTCCTTTGCTTCTCTGTTACTCTGGCTATTCCCTGAGTATTAGGAATATATCTTAAAAAGTAATACAAGAAATAAAATCTTGGTATTTTAGGCTTATCATGTAATCATCTGGAATTATATTTACTTATACAGCTTTATAATTATGTCAAATAACTTGCTTTCTCTCCACAATCACCCTGAGTTTTATACGTATAATTTACCAGTTTCCAGTACACTACAAAATATGGATTGGAATATGGCCCGCTTAGCTCAGAGGAGGAATGTAAGAAGCATAAATGAAAAGAAAAGTCTGGCATTCGTTCACAGGCTCTTGTGTGAGGCTTTCTAATCACTAATGACTTTGGCTTAGCCAGTAGAAGTATGTGGCAAGTCACTTAACTTCCCGAGGTCCCAGCTCTTTCATCTCAACTACACAGATGGTAATTCCCTAACTCATAAGAGCTTCATGAACTTTAAATGGGGCAATGCATGCATAGCTTGCCTGGAACCTGGCTAGACCCAGGAACTGTTAACTACTATTTTTCTTTCTGTCATGTGTGTGTGTTCAATGCTACACAGCCTCTGAAAATCTAACTGGTATTTGTCACGCTGGAGCCTCAAAGAGGATCTTTTCACTTTGGGTTTTCAGTCTCCTAAGTGGATTGGTAAGGGGCGTAGTATGTACCCACTTCTTTCCACTGTTCATATGTAAATGCTTTCAACAAATGCCTGGACACTGGTAATCCGGCTGCTCTCTGACTTGCCATTTATCTTGAGCTATAAATTCAGCCGCTATTCATGGATGCAAATGAGGGGATTTGTTTTCATGGTGCTGCAAGCCTCATAAGCCTTATTACTCTTTTGTCACTTCAGATTAAAAAAAGAAGAGAAACTTTTTTTTAAATTTTTTGGGGCAGGGGGCACTTTTGCCCTCCTTCTTTTAGATTCCCAGACTGCAGTTTGTGAGCAAACTCAGAGCGATCCTCTAAATGTCTGTATGATTTTTGGTGTTTCATAGTGGTTTTTTTTTTCCCTTCTGTACTTAATCTTAGTTTCCCAAATATGTAACCATGAAAGAAATCCTCATCTGCACAAAATCCAATGCAGCCTCCCAGCGCTGGTCTTGACCTCATATGTCAATAGGATAAAGAGGAGGAGACTGAAGAGCGACGGCTCGGATTTGTGTGCTGCCTACACAGCTGGCTCAGTTTGCTTTCTTGTTTAAACGCCCCAAAGCAAAGACAAAGACGCTAATGTTAGACACATGACAGGGTAGAGTGCCGTTCTGAAGTGTATCTTTAAGCCCAAAGAAGCGGGATAAATGCTGGTGGAATTCCCAAAACTACCACGAATGACAAACTTTATCGATACTATCAAGATGGATTCTGTTCAATTTCTGACGATGTATCAGCTGATTTTGAAATTCATTAGTATAGTGGTTAAAAACACAAGGAAAAGAGGATATTTAAATTTTAAAAGCAGACTTTTTAAAGAAATAAATGATATAAAGTTACATTTCAAAACTCATGGGATGTGGCCAAAACTATATGCAGAGGGAAATTAGTAAGCTCATATATTTTTAAAATAAAAAAGAATAAAAATTAAGCACGCAACTCGAGGTAAAGTATAAAGAAACATTGAAAAAGCTTATCATAAAAATAGGAGAAAAATGGCAAACCCACTGGAGTTTGTTTCATATATTTACAGGTGTTCTGGGTAAAAGTAGAGAGGGCAGGGAAGTGGCAAGTACAATATAAAAAGGAAGAAGAGTGGGCACTGTGTGTGGTAAAATAGGAAGTTTTGTTTATTTTTCCAGACAGGGCTCACTCTATCACCCAGGCTGGAGTGCAGTGGTGCAATCTTGGCTCACTGCAGCCTTGACTTCCCAGGCTCAAGTGATCCTCTCACCTCAGCCTTCCCAGTAGTTGGGACTACAGGTGAGCACCACCAGGCTTGGCTAATTTTTGTATGTTTTAGAGACAGAGGTTTGCCATGTTGCCCAGGCTGGCTCCGAACTCCTAAGCTCAAGTGATCCATCCACCTCAGCCTCCCAAAGTGCTGGGATTACAGGTGTGAGCCATTGCACCTGGCTACAAAATAGAATGTTTTGACATTATGATCTGGGAACTCAAGGGCATGTTTAAAATTCTATTCTTTCTATTTTATTTTTGCCCAAATATTTTCTTTTTTTTTTTTTTTGGAGACAGAGTCTCGCTCTGTTGCTCAGGTTAGAGTGCAGTGGCATGATCTCGGCTCAGTGCAACCTCCTCCTCCCAGGTTCAAGCGATTCTCATGCCTCTGCCTCCAGAGTAGCTGAGATTACAGGCTCCTCCCACCACAGCTAATTTCTGTATTTTTAGTAGAGATGGGGTTTCACCATGTTGGCCAGGCTGGTCTCGAACTCCTGACCTCAGGTGATCTGCCTACCTTGGCCTCCCAAAGTGCTGGGATTACAGGTGTGAGCCACTGCGCCTGGCCAGGTCAAATATTTTCAAATAATTCTTTTTTCTAAAAGCCTTCCTTATCAGATCCCAAAGTATTTCTCCAACACTTAAGTTGTCATTAAAACTCCCCTATGTACCCTCATTGTATCAACCCAGCTAACCTTCATTTTTATTTTGTTTTTTATTTGGCAACAAAGTACGTCCTGATTTTATATAGTCTAGCTTTGGGTACATTATAGAGTGAGCATATAGGACTGCATCTTTCCCTTTTTATTTATTTATTTATTTATTTATTTATTTATTTATTTATTTATTTATTTTGAGACAAGGTCTCACTTCGTTGTTCAGGCTGGAATGTAGTGGAATGATTTCAGCTCACTACATCCTCGACTTCCTGGGCTCTGGCGATCTTCCCACTCAGCCACCCTGAGTGGCTGGGACTACAGGTGTGCACCACCACACCTGGCTACTTTTTAATTTTTTTATAGAGAGAGAGAGAGTTGCTATGTTGCACAGGCTGGTCTCCAACTCCCGGGCTCAAGAAGTGTGTACACTTTGGCTTCCCAAAGTGCTGGGATTATAGGCATAAGCCACCGTGCTCAGCCCCTTCTTGTTTTTGATAGGGCTGAAACATTATCTTTTTTGTCTGTATGACACAATATTGCACCCAGAATCGAACTTAGAGCTCAACTAGTGCGACCCTATCATTACAGAGGTAAAAAATCCAACGCCCAGAGACATTAAGCTTCCAGGACTCACCTGGCAAGGTGAGGACTAGAAATGTCCATGGTGGGCCAAAGCTGCTCTGTCTCCATCATGGTTCGTAGCCGCCCATTTGCCACTTACACATATCCTTTCAAGATCCTTTCAGCCAAATTTTTCTTTAGCTTTTATTACACAAACCTTTGGCAAGCAGGGCTCCCGTCATTCAGATGATTTTTAAGTATTCTTTTAAATTTATTTCTGATGTTTAAGAATGGGCTTCTGGTAACGTTTTATGAGATCCTTCAATATTTTTTTGTGTGCCCATTTGCTAGGGAAGAAAACCTTTAAATCACTCTACTAGTGTTTCCTATTTGGGAAACTTTTTGGCAATATCTCCTGAAGCTGACTATGCACACACTCTGACCCAGCAAATTCCCCTTCTGGGATTATACCCACCATAACGAGATACTTAATGTTTACCAAATGACATGCATGAGAATGTTCATAGTGCACTATTCCTAAAAGCCCCAAACTGGAAAAAAAAACACTAAATGTCCATTAATAATACAACAGATAAGTAATCTTTTACCATACCAATAAGAATAAACATGTTACTGCTACACACAACCACATAGATGAATCTCACAAACACAGAAGAGTGTGATTCCAACCATATAAAGTTCAAAAGCAGGCAAAACTAATCTATGGTGATTTTATTAGGGTAATGGTTATGTGTGGGGATGGGGCTAGTGGCTGCAAGGAGGGCATGAACAGGAGGTCTTGGGAGCTGGTAATGATCTCTATCTTGATCTGGGTGCTGGTTACATGGGCGTTCACTTTGTGGCAATTCGTTGAGCTGCATACATAATTTGTGCTCTTTTCTGTACCCAATGAAAAGTCTGCTTAACACCAGGCTTAATTTTAGCTTTCAGTACCCCTGTTTTGTGTGAGCCTGTGTGGGGCTTGCTTCTTGATTTACTCAGGTAAGTGCTCATTCTTCAGAGGTAAATAGGAGGGAACCTTCAGGGTCCCAGACCTGGCTTGAATTCCCACCCCACCACTTGGCAAGCTTAAGGCCTTTGGAAATTACTTAGCTTCCTACTCAGTCTTCATTTCCTCAACTCCAAAAATGGGCATAATCACAGCTCACACATCTCAGGTCTGTAATGTGAGTTCAATGAGATCATTCACATAAAATTCCCAGCCTGGAGTAAGCACAATTAACTTTTTGCTATTATTTTTATTTTGTTTCCCTAAAGACTATTCTATGTTTTTATGACACAAGCAATCTTGCCATTTGGCTGCAGGCTAGACCTACAGCATGGACCTATGGCATAGGATTTGGGCTTTCCCATTCAAAGGAGATGTCACATCCCAAATGACTCATCTTCTTCAGTACTTCAAATTCATAATCATTTCATGTCAGTAAAACCAACCAAGAATTCCCCTGTGTCAGTCTCCTGTCTTCTATTCCTGGAGCTTTTAGCTCTGTTTTTTTTTTTTTTTTTTTTTTTTTCCTCTTTAAAACATCTCTAGGCTGGGTGTGGTGGCTCATGCCTGTAATCCCAGCACTTTGGGACGCCAAAGCGGGAAGATGGCTTGAGTCCAGGAGTTTGAGACCAGCCTGGGCAACGTAGCGAGACCCTGTCTCGACAAAAAGTTTAAACAGTTAGCTGGGTGGTGGCTCGCACTTGTAGTCCCAGCTACTTGGAAGGCTGAAGCAGGAGGATCACTTGAGCCCAGGAGTTCGAGGCTATAGTGAGCTATGATCTCACCACTACACTGCAGCCTAGGTGACAGAGTGAGACCCTATTTCTAAAACATAATAAAATAAAATAAAAACAAAATTTAAAAACTCTCTTTAATTCACTGCCTTCTCTGGCTCCCCTTCTGTCCCCACCATTCCCCTGCCCCACCATTAATTTTTTTTCTCATAAATACAGAAAATACTTGGTGTGCCGCAAAACTTTATTGGCCTGACTTTCCCTAAGGACCTTAGTGGGTATATTCTGCCCAGATGAGTGATTCCTTCCAGGAATGTTCTGGAATCTGCACCAAGCCAGTTAGTTGATGGTAGACTACAGAATGTTATACAGAGAGATCATGAAAGGGTGGGGGTGGGGGGACAGAGACCCTTCCTTTTATTTTATTAATGAAACTCATTCATTCAGGAAATAATTCCTAGCCTTTCCGCCTGAAGATTATTGTCATTCATTAACCCAGATTGTTAAATCTTGTTTTGTTATGTAAATCTAAAAAGGCTTTTCATTTTCAGTGCACCATAGACTCAAACAAATTAAGAGAGCTCAAAGAGAAAGTAAACTTTTTTTTTTTCAGACAGGATCTTGCTCTGTCAGCAGGCTGGAGTGCAGTGGCACAATCACGGCTCACTGCAGCCTCAGCCGCCTGGGCCCAAGTGATCTTCCTAGCTCAGCCTTCTGAGTAGCTGAAACCACATGTGCGCCACCACACCTGAGTAAATTATTTTATTTTATTTTATTTGAGATGGAGTTTCACTCTTGTCACTCAGGCTGGAGTGTAATGGCGTGATCTCGGCTCACTGCAACCTCCGCCTCCCGGGTTCAAGTGATTCTCCTGCCTCAGCCTCCTGATTACAGGGATTACAGGTGCTTGCCACCACGGCTCAGTAATTTTTGTATTTTTAGTAGAGATGGGGTTTCACCATGTTGACCAGGCTGGTCTTGAACTGCTGACCTTAGGTGATCCATCCGCCTTGGCCTCCCAAAGTGCTGGGATTACAGGCGTGAGCCACCACAACTGGCCTAAATTTTATATTTTTGTAGATACGGGTTTTGCTATGTTGCCCAGGCTCCAAACATTCTTTGAACAAGGAAGTTACAGTGATGGATTTCCATTTTTGAAGTTACTTTCTTGACTTCACATGTCCTTCAGGGGCCATCCATTTTTCTATTTATCTTCAGAGCAAAATTTAATAATAAAAAAGTCTGCATCTGATCTGCTTTCTCACCTCCTCTTCAGTGCATCTGACTCTGGATTTCTGGCTCCACAGTATCACAGGATTGTTCTCCAGGGTGTTCACGGTTTCCACGTGGCCAGACGCAATGCTCACTTTTCTGACTTTGCCGTACTTACTAGCATATTCTAGGGAGCTGAAACAGTTTCCTCTGTTGGATTTCCTGAAGTCATTGGCTGCACTTCTGGGCCTCCTCCAAGGCTCCTCCTCTTCTTTCTGACCAAGAGTCTTCCTCTTTTCTCTTCCTGCCCTCTTTCCCTTGATGTTCTCTTTAAGTGGCTTTAAGTATCTTTTTATAGGCTAATTTTAAAGTTTTTAAAATCTCCCGCCCTGACCTCTGTTATGATGCAGACCCCATGCCCATATGAGGTGTTCCACTTTGCCCATCTAATTATCTTCTAGCCACTGTTTCCTCCGGGTTCTCCTCCCCAATAAATAGCACCACCAGCCTGCACTTAGGCACCTTCAGCAAAAAACTCTAATCCTCTTTGATTCCTCTTTCTTCTGTCCCACATCTAATCCTTTCCAGTGCCAACCTAAAATGTGTGACAGAGACCAACTCTTCCAAAGCAAAGAATTTATTTGGGAATAGCAGGGGATTGCAATCCAGAATACTCATGCTATGTCAAACCATAGGCATATTCCAGGGGGGTGAGGCAGGGGGTAGCTGTTTTGTTTTGTTTGAGGCAGGGTCTCACTTTGCTGCCCAGGCTGGAGGGCAGTGGCGTGATCATGGCTCACTGCAGCCTCAACCTTCTGGGCTCAAGGGGTCTTCCCGCTTCAACCTCTTAAGTAGCTGAGACCACAGGTGTGCACAATCAGTCCCAGTGAATTTTTTTATTTTTATTTTTGTAGAGATGGGGGTCTCACTATGTTGCCCAGGCTGGTCTTGAACTTCTGGGATTACAGATGTGAGCCACCACGCCTGGCCTGGGGGAGGCTTTTAAAGACAAAAAGGAAAAGTCCACCTAAGCTGTTTTGAAACGAATACTATTGGTTACAGGGACTTGTTGTAGATGTTGGCATTAGCTAATTGGTGGAGACAATCACACCTGATAGGTGTGCACTTGTGCAGAAAGTTTATCTGGAATACTGTGGTTTTGAGGAATCCCTTGCATAGCTCCCATTATAGGCATACCTGTATGAGGGCCCCACCTTCATGGTCTCTCGGCTTCAGTTTTTTGGGTTTGACATTAGTGGCTCCATTTTGATACTGATAACTTTCACACTGATCTACCTCCAAATTATATCCAATCCACCCATTTGTCTCATTTCTAACAGGGGTTCAAGCCACCATATTTCTTTCCTAGTTGATCACAGT
Organism: Homo sapiens; assembly: GCF_000001405.40. NCBI lineage: Eukaryota > Metazoa > Chordata > Mammalia > Primates > Hominidae > Homo > Homo sapiens. The sequence goes on along the minus strand of NC_000006.12, from coordinate 138,520,827 downwards.
AGCTTCCTACTTTTACTTGTCCATGCACAATCTGTTCTCCACACAGTGGCCAAAGAGATCTGGTTGAAGCCCATGTGTTTGTCACAAAAAGTAGAAATCAGTTGTTCTTTCAGGCTCTGTCATAGGCAGTATCTGTGGTAAAATATTTGGAAAATATTTCTGAGAAATATTCTCATTTTTACCAGCAGAGGGAGATTAACTTGGTCAAGGTTATATACAAGTGTAAAAAGAATTAAACTGCTGGGCGCAGTGGCTCACGTCTGTAATCTCAGCACTTTGGGAGGCCGAGGAGGGCAGATTGCCTGAGGTCAGGAGTTTAAGACCAGCCTGGCCAACATGGTGAAACCCCATCTCTACTAAAAATACAAAAATTAGCTGGGTGTGGTGGCACATGCCTGTAGTCCCAGCTACTTGGAAGGTGGAGGGCAGGAGAATTGCTTGAACCCGGGAGGCAGAGGTTGCAGTGAGCCAAGATCGCACCACTGCACTCCAGCCTGGTGACAGAGCGGGACTCCATCTCAAAAAAAAAAAAAAAAAAAAAAAAAAAGAATTAAACTAGGCAGCGTATTCCAGCACTCAGTGTTGGGAGAACTGTGTCCAATTTTGAAATTTTATTGGTTAGTTATTGATATTTATTTTGGTATGATTTTATATGCCAAGACTGTGTAGATTTATATTTTATTCTTTTAAAACAATCTGTTTTGCCTTATTATGTTATTATTGTTATTATTCTTTGTCACTAACCTTAAAGAACACATAACAATTGGATTTGGGCAATAATGAATTGTATACTGAATGCCAACGGTTATGGGAAAAACCCTGTATTCCCCTTGTTTCAGAAAGGATTGAAGGCAGCTGGGAAAGTATAAAACGTGAAAAAGGTTGAGAGGGAGTAGGAAAATTTTTGATCAACTAGTCTTCATCTTTATCAACTTTTTAAGGGATGGCTCTCAAATATGTATTTTTAAAACAAAGAGTATTTCAGTAATATAAATATGGAACAAACAGTTGCCAATCAACTCTATCTGAATACTGAAATGGAGGGAATGGGAAATACTGCCCATGTAAGTGTTCTAGATCTTTCTCCAGCTACCTTGCTAGAGATGCCTAAGTATGTGTGAAGATGTATCCTTTCTGAAGTGCAAGAAGAAACTAGCACCAGACAGCAACCTGCAGACACTGTGCTTGTTTGTAAAAATTTTTCACAAGATTTTCCCACTCCTCTGTTGATTTTCTCACAGGGTTGATGTATCATGGACAATGGGAAAAAAATCTTGTGCAAATGTCATTCCAGCCTTGCATATTAAATTATTCATGTATTGTGATGGTAGCAAATTACTTTCTTCATCTAAGATATTTCTCTGGTTTAAAAAAAAAGACAAGAATGTTAATATTTAATGCTTTTATTACAATATTTGGGTGTTTATGAAGAAGTAAATATTTTTGAGTTATGAGAGACATAAAAATTCCATTTGTTTTTGATAACACATTTTTTTAAGGTCATTGCTTTATCAAAAGGAAAATTGGGTGACAGAGCAGATTTTTTTTTGAAGATTCACTTTCTTTTAAATTTCTACTACTAAATTATGCTTTGAAAAAAATACTATTGAAGTTGTTAGTTGTTACTATACACATGGTAAGGCTTTTTTTTTTCTGTGTCATTCAGAGGAGGCTTATTTACGCAGTGGTGCTCAGAAAAGTTATATTTTCCCATTAGATGGTTAGCTGTGGAGTGTTTTATTCTAAAGTGGCATTTTATTATGTATGTATGTATGTATTTATTTATTTATTTATTTATTCATTTATTTTTGAGACAGTGTCTTGCTCTGTCACCCAGGCTGGAGCGCAGTGGTGCGATCTTGGCTCACTGCATCCTCCGCCTCCCCGGTTCAAGTGATTCTCCTGCCTCAGCCTCCCGAGTAGCTGGGATTACAGGCATGCACCACCACACCCAGCTAATTTTTGTGTTTTTGGTAGAGACGGGGTTTCACCACGTTGGCCAGGCTGGTCTTGAACTCCTGACCTCAGGCGATCTGCTGGCCTTGGCCTCCTAAAGTGCTGGGATTACAGGCGTGAGCTACTGCGCCTGGCCTTCAGTGGCATTCTAGAATGTTCTATTGAAGTTACTATGTCAGTGCTTGGATTTCTTACTGTCTTCCCCATTAGAACGTAGTATGTAGTGAAGAATTAAAGCCAAACATAAACATTTCTAGTTTTGTTTTTGTTTTTTTCCAACTTTAATTATATAGGCTAGCTGGAAGAGTGAGTTAATTTAACTTGTTAATTTCTGAAGTGAGATTGCAACAACCCATGAAATGCTCTGGGTTTTTCTAAAAAAAAAAAAAAAAAAATCATTCCTGTGGACGTTCTACCCTCACTTCTATTATTTTTCTTATATAATGTGAATTTGTGCATCTCTTGAAAAAAAAAAAAACCTGCTGTAATTTTTTAAAGCTCTCCAGAAAGAGAGTCCATGGAAAGAAACCAAACCTGGACTGTGTTGAGTTGATAGACTTAGCAGGTGACACTGTTAAATGCTACTGGGTGAATTCTTGTGGGCCACTGATACAATTTGAGTCAAAGAGTTCTCTGACACTCTTCAGTTTCTGATTCAGGAAGTTCAGATGTATTAATAAATAACTGTATTTCTGGATTTGAAGCAAAACTGAAATAAGAGACCACAAATCTCAGGTGACTTTGGAACCTATATTAGTAATTGTTCTTACTGAAGAACTTGTCCAGAAATCTTGCAGCAGTTTCTCACTCCAGTCCTGTCCCACTCCCTACTGCCCCTCCCCACCATCTGACCTGACTTCCTCCCCTAACCAGCCACAGAACTAACAACGTTCGCTTCCCAGACTCCCTTGCAGCTACAGTACAGGTATGTGACCTAGGCTGTGCCACCCTGACCCACTCATTGGATGTGGATGACAAACTGAGGGATGTTAGGCAGTAGCTGAGTAGGTTGTCTGGATCTACTGGCAAGCCCAGCAGCACTGACCTGCTCTGGGAGCTGCTTCAGTGGCTCCACAAGTGTAGGCATCCACACTTGCGCATGCTCTGTGATGACCAGCAGGTGGCAACAGCAGCAGTGTTTCACTGTTACAGTCCTGGCTGATTGGCAGGTAAACTTATCCTCTGGCCCTCCTGGAGATTCTGAGAACTCCTTAATATCTCTTAATAAATAGGATTTGCTTAATTAATATGATGAAACTGGATTCTATTGTTTGCCTCTAAGTGCTCAGACATTGCTTTCATATCTGCTTTAACAAGGCACTGGCTGTCTTGTTTCAGTAATCTGATGTTCTTTCCCTAAATACTGATAGTGGTTAGATCTTACATGTTCTTTATCAGAATGTATGTGATACTTCAGAACTGTATATAACTAAAATTGGGGAAAACTCAGCATTTAAAAAATGAATACAGAGAAAGCTTTTTATGTCATTGTTACTTTCCATTCATGGGCTTTAATCATGACCATCCAGTTTCTGCAAACCCTACTTGTAGAAAAAAATCAGTCTGACAATGCAGGCAATAATCAGGAACTGAAATATTCATCCAGAATTCTCCAACAACATGAAATCAGAGAGTCTGGTGAGAACAGAGGCTAAGTAGAGTCAGAATGTGACAGTATCCTACCTCCTGGACTGTTGGTGTCGTCTTGGACTAGGTAACACACTTAAGAGAGGCAGAAAGTGTTATGATACAGCCAAAGAGTAGGCATGGGGGAAATCATTGTGCAGAAGATAGACTGTTTACTTCCATCCCTTTCTCATCAACATTATAGTTCACCTTGGATTTAAACATTTTGTCTATTTTTAAAATTTAGTTTTCTATGTCTCTAACGTTTTTCTAAAACACAGAAGACTATTTTGCATGGAAACTTTCATGTTGCCTGGATGCAGTGGCTCGCGCCTGTAATCCCAGCACTTTGGGAGGCTGAGGCACGAGGATTGCTTGAGCTCAGGAGTTTGAGACCACCCTGGGCAACATGGTGAAACCCTGTCTCTAAAAAAAATACAAAGATTAACCGGGCATGGTGGCATGCACTTGTAGTCCCAACTACTTGGGAGGTTGAGGTGGGAGGATGACTTGAGCCCAGGAGGTAGGGGTTGCAATGAGCCAAGATCACACCACTGCACTCCAGCCTGGTCAAGAGAGCTAGACCTTGTCTCAAACAAACAAAAACACGAATTGCCTATTTTCCCAAATTAACAACAACAACAACAACAACAACAAAACAACTTTGATGTTCAACCATTGCTAACTGAGAGTTCTAAGGTCTTTGGCTTGACACCAGTGATGACTTAACTTTTCTAGCCATATCTCCCACAGCCATTGCCACAAACCCCACTTTGTCATCCCAGCAGGCCAGCAGATGGTCTCAGGCACGTTCAGTTGCAGACAACATTGTAAGCAGACGGGGATTTAAAATAGAGTATATGGTATCTACATGATCATTGGAAAAACCTTTAGGAATAGGCCCAAGCTGAACACCCAGGCATAGCTCTCTCAGCTGGCCAAAGGAGCTGTTATCTCTGCCGCAGTCAAAGCTGGCACCCAGGTTTTGACTCCACGCCCACACTCCCTCAGCTGTGTACCTTACCAGCAAAATGATCACTACATGCCTTGCTTCCCACCTCCATGAAAGTAGGGATGGCACACTGAGACTTCAGTTACCTCAACAGTCAGACTTAGCAGCAGAAACAGCCGAAGCCGCAGGAGCATGGAAATGAGGACTTGTATCATCAGTCATGTGCATCTGCTTTGCAAATGCTAGGCCGGCTGCTGAGGCCCCTGTGTCAAAGAGTCTGGGAAATGTGGTTTCCAACTCCCAGCCTCTCATTGTGGTGCACTGGACAAGGAGGTGACTTGCCTGGGACTGTGAGAGACGGCGTGCGCCTTCATGACACACACACTCAGTATTCCCAACTCCAGACGATTCACTGTCTTCTTTATGCCCTCTTGTTGAGTTGGAATGTGTTTCATATCTGTTTTCCTCTAGCAAACGTTTACCTACCCATCCAGGCCTAGCTCACATGTCACCTGCTACGTCAAGTTTTCCCCGATACTATTAACTTCCAGCCGTTAGAGTTATGCACTTCCTAATTTAAAATGTACCTTATTCCCATTTTATTGAATTCTGTCTTCTTCCGTCCAATAGAATGCCTGATGGACAAGAAATAGATAGTTTATTTCTTTATTGCATCATTTGATCAACTAACTTACTGGCATCTCCAAAGCCAATATGGCCCAGTTCCTGTCCTCCAGGAGCACAGCTCCTAGCAGGGAAGACAAATGAGCACAATTATGGAGCGGATAAGCCATAAATAAGTGAAAAATCCACCCTCCTGGGGAGAGGATGCGAAAGACTAAAAAGTCAGAGAAGGCTTCATAAGAGAAAGTTGTCTTTGTTTTGATGTCTCTGGTGCCTAGAGTATTGTTTGGTGTGTTGAGTCCTTAATGAATGAGATGAGGCTGAAGATGAATGAACTGATTTCTGTGAATGAACTTTTGTCTCCAGTTAAAAGCTCCCTGCCAATCTTAGTGGCTGCAGATATTTTACAGCGGTCTCCTGTTAGCCTCAGTTTTTGCTTCTCGTGGTTTCAGTTACCCATGGTCAACTGAGATCTGAAAATATTAAGTAGAAAATTTTAGAAATAATAATACATAAGTTTTGAATTGTGTGCTGTTCTGAGAAGTGTGGTGAACTCTCTCACCCTCCTGCCCCATCCTGCCCAGGATGTGGTCAGCTGATCCACACTGTAGACACTGCCTGCCCGTCAGTCACAGTTATCAGATCTGTCGTGGTATCTCATCATGTAGACACTTTTTTTTTTTAATCTTACGTCCTCAGAAGAAGGGTGAATTCAGTACAATAAGATTTTTGTTGTTGTTGCTGTGTGAGACAGGGTCTTGTGTTGTCGCCCAGGCTGGAATGCCGTGGTGTGACCACAGCTCACTGCAGCCTCGAACTTCTGGGCTCAAGCTATCCTCCCACTTCAGCCTCCCGAGTAGCTGGAACCACAGGTGTGAGCCACTACATCTGGCTGATTTGTATTTTTTATTTTTTGTAGAGACAGAGTCTCCCTATGTTCCCCAGGCTGGTCTTGAACTCCTAGGCTCAAGCCATCCACCTGCCTCGGCCTCCTAAAGTGCTGAGATTGCAGGAGTGAGCCACCATGCCTGGCCACAATAAGATATTTTGAGAGAGAGAAAAAGAGAGAGGGAGACCACATCCACATAACTTTTACTATAGTATACTGTTGTCATTGTTCTGTTTTATTATTGTTAATCTCTTACTGTGCCTAATTTATAAATGAAACTTTATCGTGGATATGTATGTGTAGGAATAAATGTAGCATATGTAGGGTTTGGTACCATCTGTGGTTTTAGGCATCCACTGGAAGTCTTAGAGTGTATTCCTTGTGGATAAGGGAGAACTACTGTATTTTTTTTAACATCCTAAGAATAAAGTTTGTTTTGTTTGTTTGTTTGTTTGTTTGTTTTGAGATGGAGTCTTGCTCTGTCACCCAGGCTGGAGTGCAGTGGCGTGATCTCGGCTCACTGCAACCCCCTCCTCCCGGGTTCAAGCAATTCTTCTGCCTCAGCCTCCTGAGTACCTGGCACTACAGGTGCTCACCACCACGCCCGGCTAATTTTTGTTATTTTTAGTAGAGACAGGGTTTCACCATGTCGGTCAGGCTGGTCTCGAACTCCTGACCTCAGGTGATCCGCCCGCCTTGGCCTCCCAAAGTGCTGAGATTACAGGCGTGAGCCACCACGCCTGGCCAAGAATAAAGTCTTTAGAGTTGGTAATGTAAACTATTTCTTTTCCTGCTGTATTAAATTCATTCATTTAATAAAATAATATGAATTGCATGCCCACAGTGTATCAAACCTGGCACTGGGCACCTTGTTGCTGTAGGTTCAGTGAGCCATGGCCTCTGTATCATGGTCCAGATCATGTGTTTAGTGGGAGATTAAACAAATTAGTCATTGAACAAATCACTACAAGTAGTAGTGATATAGAAGAAAAGTATAGGTTTCGATGAAAGTGAACAATGGGAGGTCTAAATAGAGTCCAATTCAGACCTTGAAGAAATGGCAAATTAATCTGAGACCCGAAGGATGATGGGAAGAGAGTGGGTAAAAGGCCAATCCACTGGCCCTCTGTCTCTTTACACAGCAACTAAGATAACTCTTGCTTCTTCCTTTACCCACCAGCCCCTGTAATCATTTGATTGCCAAAATATCTGGTATTCAAGAAAATAAAATCCAATTTCAACACACAGGGAAACTTTTCAAAAAGTTACTCATCCCAGCTACTTGGGAGGCCGAAGCAGGGGAGGATTGCTTGAGCACAGGAGTTGGAGACTGTGGTGAACTGGGATCTGCACTCTAGCCTGGGTGACAGAGTGAGTCCCTGTCTCTGGAAAAAGAAAAAAAAAAGTTACTTACATTCATGAATAAATGTTAGGTTTATTCATAAATGTGTGGACATTTTTGTTTAGTATTTGCAAGGCGTTTCTTAAGGAAAATTTTCATAAAGGTTAGAAAATTATGGCACTATGTGACAAGAATGCTTTAAAGTTCGCCAGGCTCTTTTCCTTCCCAACCCATTTCTATGAATGTTACCTGTTGTCCCATTGTATCCATTTTCACAACAGCTGGTTTTGCATGGCACCGAGGTTGGCACTGTGCAAAGTGAAGGGCATGGAGTTGGCTCTGGCCCTCCAGGAGCTTCCAGAAATATCAGAGGGGGTGTCTGCCATGTGTAGAACACATAGCACATCAAGTACGAATTTTAAATGAACATGTTAGTTTAGGTCTGGGTAACTGATGGCAGAGCACGAACAGATTGAGGGTAGGTGCATTTTATTAGGAAACCAGGAGGAAGAAACACATTAGTTGTGGAGAAGGGAGGTAACACCGGGGAAAACCCCATCTAGACAGGGCAGGCTGAGGGGAATTAGCGATTCCTCCTTTGATCACTGTGGGAATCTTCTGAAACCTTTCTCTCGCCATGTGCATAGACCTGAGAAGAATTTGCAGGCAAGGGCTGAAAGCGGTCGTCTGCCCCAAGACTTCTTAATGATCCCCTTTGCCACTGTGATGTTTTTAGGACATTCTACACATTTTGTTTCTCTCTGAATGAAGCATTCACGTTGCCATTGAACACATCTAGTTTGGGGTGCATTCTAAGTCGAATTATACAAGAAGCTATTTGTGGCATTCAGCAGCTGCAGAAAGAAGAGGCTGGGTTTTTTTTTTTTTTTCTTTTTTGGTGTCGGGGGATGTTAAAAACAATTCAAGTAAAGCTAGAAAGTTCAGAATATAGAGTTATCCTGTTGACGAGCAGTTAGAATTGTATTAACGAAGAAGAAGAGGGAGGTTACTGAGCAAAGAAGTGAATTTTATCCTATTTTAACATGGGACATCGTGCCGGAACGAGTTCTCCATAGATGCTCTGGGATTTATTTTGATAATGAATGTAATATATTGTCTGGAGTCTGTGACCGATTCCTCTTTCCCGTGGGGTGCAGTTGGTGAGTATCTCTCTTCAGAAAGCAGTTGTAATAAGATAATTAAATTTGTCTGATTAAAAATGATTGTGCATAAACATTAAGCATGGGAAAGTGCAGGTATTTTAAAACTGCCCTCAGCAGCCTAAATGTATACTTAATTAAATATGGTTTGCTAATGAGAATTGATTGTGGCAGCTTTATTTAAACTTGTTTTATCACATAATGATTTATATGCATTGCAGCACACAAAGAGATAGGTGTTTCAGATGAGGTGATACAAGTGGATCCATCTGACTCTTCTGAGAGCTGCTATGCAATTTTCGAGAAGTTTGGAAAAACTGCTTGGCATTGGAAGACCCTGTTTATTTTCTCCCTCAGATATCTTACTTTTCAAGACAGGATCTCGCTCTATTGCCCAGGCTGGAGTGCGGTGGAGCAATCTCGGCTCACTGCAACCTTGGCTTCCTAGGCAGCTAGGATTACAGGCAGGCGTGTGCCACTGTGCTCTGCTAATTTTTGTATTTTTTGTAGAGACGGGTTTTTGCCATGTTGCCCAGGCTGGTCTTGAACTACTGGGCTCAAGTGATCTGCCCATCTTGGCTTTCTAAAGTGCTGTTATTACAGGCGTCAGCCACTTTGCCTGGCCTATTATTTTTCTTTTCCTAGTTCCAGGAAGACATCGATGTCTTCATTGTTGGTCAAATTCTTATAGTGGCTGGGCGTGGTGGCTCATGCCTGTAATCCCAGCACTTTGGGAGGCTGTGGTGGGCAGATCACTTGAGCCCAGGGGTTGGAGACCAGCATGGGCAACATTGGGAGACCCCATAGACCTACTTTCTTCAAAACACACTCACACACACATACACACTCTCTCTCACACACACACATACACACACACACTCTCTCTCTCTCTCTCAGTGGTTTTTTGTCTACCTCACCTTTTTTCTTTAGTAAAAAACAAACTTTGGGCCAAATTATGAAATCTCCATACCTGCCTTTACAATGCCAAGCTTCAGTTTTGGCTGCAAGTTAAAAATATTGTTAGGTACACGAGGAAGCCTGCTGATCTTACTTAGTCCTTCCAAATATGATTTTATTTGCTAAGATATGAAGAATGCCATTGTTATTTTTCTGCTTTCTGTTCCAAGCCTCCATGATGCTGATGAAGAAGAGCTAAGCGTATCATTTTTACAAAGTCAGTGCCATTACCTAGAATTAGCATTATCGTTTCGCTTCCTGGTTGATTTTTTTCTCAGATTCTGTGTGGGCCAAATTATGTGGGATCTGCAATCAATGCACCTTCCTTCCCTTCCATCTGTGCCCAATTGTATTGCCCTCTAATAACAGGGAATACCCAGAAGCCTGGAGGTACTTCTGTGGCATCAAGTCAGAAATCTACATTGTGACATTCTTGCTTTAGAAATACCAGGGTACTAGAATTTAGAGATACTAAACAATATGTCTCCATACAATGATTGATGTTTTTGTTCTTGTCCCTTGCCTTTATTTGATGTTTACTTATTAAAAATGGTCTTTTCAATATGAATTGAAAGAAAAATCAGTGAACGAATATGAAAAATTGAGGTTATAGGAAGGTTTTTATTTACTTAAAAAGTCTTTGGCTAACTGACATTAATGGAAGTTCTGTACTTTCTAGGTGAATTCAAATATCATCTTAGGTCAGGCTGAGCTTCTTTGCTCTTATGCCTCACTTCTGCCATTAATTCTAAAACCCTTGTAGCACTCATGCTTCATAAGAACCTGTGATTTTGCTGTTTGGAGAATTTTGCTGCTGTGTATTCTGTAGTTTAGGACAATGAAAAAAATGTTTTGAAAAGATCCAACACTAATCAAATAAAATATTATCCTCATTTAGGTTAACCTTTACCATTACTAGAAAACCAAGTACAGCTGGAGACTTAACTATAGGTCTTGCTGTTCGTTCATCAGCAAACCAAAATGGTCTAATTTGTCTCATTAGCATTTTGCATGTGAACCAGCTGTCCTCTTAACAAAAGCAGTTGAGCACACCAGCCGATTAATTGTAGCATTCATCTTAACCATATGTGAAACAATATTAGAAATCACAGGAAACTGAGAAAAGAAAAACTGAACAGCCAGTTAATCTTCAGAACACAAGTTCACAGCGATTGTTTCATGGCTTACTAAATAATTAACTCTATCCTTTTTCTCTAAATCTTTATACTTATTGATTATTAATTGGGAAGAAGTTAGACAGTGATAAATCTGATTTGCCTTCAGTCATTTTAGGTTGTATTTTGTATTCTTGGACAGAGTGATTTCAGAATCTTCATCAGTCCAAATGAAAACACTTTTGGACTCCTTTGTGTAAGGCTTTACCTTTTGGTTATAAATTGATGTAAATTTTTTTCTTAGCTCTGTTATTCAGTTAAACACAGCTGCCCCCTTATTGATTTAGAAATGTTTTGTATAACTCAGGGGTACTTCCTTAATGTGGGCTTGGTTGCAGACACTAGGTGGTTTATGAATATTCACAAATCTTTTTGAAGGTGTGATGTCAATGTTGTCCGAATTGAGGCTCAAAAGGGCACAGGGATCATAGAATATGTCTTTCTCTGGTGAAGGAAGACAAGGATATTCTTTTGAGACTTGACCATGAATGAGAGCATGTTGTCTTCTGTAAATGACAGCTGAGGGAATCATTTTCATGCACCAGTGTGTCGTTGAGTGTCATGGTGTCCCCTGTAGGTGGCGACCTTCTACTTTATTTTGTCAGTTTCTCCTGGTAGTCTTTATTAGGAAGTCTTCCTTTGCTCTCATTTTTTTCTACGTTAAAAAATCCCTTTCGAGTATAGATTCTTTGTAGGTTTTACCACACCATCAATCAAACAGGTTCTTGATATTATCCAATTTTAAAAATACGAGGGAGCTCAGAGTATAAAGCACTTAGCTAATCACAATTCTTTTAAATTAGATCTCTAGGATCATCATAGTATACTTTGACTTTTCATTCCACAATGAGATTTTCTTCCCTGAAGATTTTAGAAGAAAGGTTGCATCAATTTTTTTCTATAAAATTTCGATTCATTGTTTGAATTATTGTTATTGTAAATGTATGATTATGTTAAGTATAAATAGCACAGGAAATAAATTTTAATTTCTAAGTGATTGAAAAGTATTCTCTAAGATGTTCTAGATCCTTTATAGGCATTCAGAAAATGTGTTTTGAATGACTGAATTGGGAAAGGCCAAGTGAGTTAACTTTACAGTTGAGTTCATCAATATGTAGCTCTACTTATATACATTATTTCTCTCCTGAAATGAGCCTTTATATACCTAGTATAGCCTTTGAGAATGAATTCGATGAATTTGTATTACTTGGGTAGATGGATTAGGGCTGTATAACATGTCACAAAGAATAATTGGTTCAAGTATAAGAGGTTACAGTTAATGAAATTATTTTTTTTCTGCAAGAAAGGCATAGCTCACTTTGGGGGAAGTTATCCTTGAAATAAAGTGACATATTTTTGAAATAGAGTGACAGTCTGTCAAGGAATGCTTCTTAAGAAAGGTTAACATTTGAATTATAACTTGAAAAATGAATAGAGGTATGCCAAGTGGGTAAGCGGAGGATCAAGCATCCGAGGCAGATTAATAGCATGTGCAAAGGCATAGAGGTGGAAAGAGTGTGGACAGTGGGATCCCTCACCTCACTGGCCCTTACTGAAGGCAGCAAGTAGCACATGGAATTGAAAACTGGACCACAAGATGGGGTATCAGTACAGATGCTGGGTGGCCCTGTGATCACTGCAGGTCACTTATTTGTAAAATTGTCTTAAATGTTCCTTATGACTTTCTTCAGCTCTAACTTTCTAGGGGCCTATGAAATCTCCCTTTTTTGATTTGCCTGTGCTATTTCCATACTCACCAATAATTCCAACATCAGCACCCATCCCTTTCACAAAGCTCTACCATGTTAGCCCGACCTCATTTCTAACATCTCAGGACAGTCTCTGGATGATCCCAGCCATGCACTAGAGCGACTTTGCAGCCTTCCATTCCTGCAGGCGTGGTTGAACTTTGAATGCTGTGTCAGCAGGGCTCCCTTTGTGTTTTGGACTTTTGATTTGGGTTTCTTTTTTTCATAGCATGTTTTCTGTCTGCCTCGCCTTTCGTTTGTTCAACATTTGTCACATGAATATTGTGGCTTGGCTAAACCAGTCACAGTGATAGCAGATGTTTAGAAATTGACCAAGCCGATGGCAGCAATGATATTGGATTAAATTATTAACTAGGATCTACAGCAGAAGCCTTTAGCTTCAGCACATGCAGAGTAAAGGGTGTTTCCTAGCATCAAAATTAACTGGCAAAGTGGATGCCAGATCAAGTTTCTTCTAAAGAATTGATACATTATCATCTCCTAAGGTTCCCCTTTCTGTCCCCAACCACTCCCCCAACCCCATAATTGATGAAGAGAGAGATTTCCATTTGTCTTTTTTTCAGTATGTCATATGTTTCATCATTAAAGATTAATTCAGAAACAGAAGAAAGAAAAGGTCATTGTACCCATGAGATTCTAGAATATTGGTGATTTTTAACATGCTTTTGTGAAATAACATTCGTGGGACAGTTAAAATAACTCTTCATGAGTATCTGTTATCAGATTCCTGTTTTCATTCTGTGGACAGTATCTCTGCATTACCTTTTAAATGTGTATGTGTTTCTGTTTACCTCATTATGCAACTGTAAAAATTGAGAGCATAAGTGTAAGATCACACCCAGTGTCTATTCAATTTTTTCCACTTATCTGTAAAAGACTTTATAGCTTGTTTATCCAAAACTAGCATCCCATCCAGAATCATGTTGTGATGTTCTTTAAATCTCTTCTAATCTGGCACATTCCCATTATTATTAGTAGTAGTAGTGTTAATTATTTGATAAGTTATTGGAGAGGCCAGATCAGCATAATGTCCCACTTTAAGTTAAGACTGATTGCTTTTGCTTTTTCTTCCAGCTCTTTTATTTCCTATAACCTGGGATAATTTAACCTGTCAAAAAAAACTTTGATTTACCATAGGTGATGTTTGTACTTGGTATTTCATCACATCAGTGGACATAACATATCAGTTGCCCACCATTAGTGTTTGCTGGATTAGGGAGATGCCTGGCCGGTTCTTCCACTGTGTGGCTGCTCTAATATTCCTCTTACATGGCAGCTCTTCAGTAGGGAGTTAAAACTGACAAAGAAAGATAGAAGGTTCAAATATCTAAGATTTAGACTACTAAGAAATGAACAGTAGTAATCTGTAAGAAAAATGCCGGATGCAAAAAAATTAGAGATTGATTCTTAAGGCACAAGTGACCAATTCATCTTTTGGGTTGTTTCTAGTCAAAATAAATGCCCAGCAGCAGGAACTTTATAAGTCCACTCAATTTGTCTTGATTAATCTTAAGTAGTTTTTTTAATCTGCCATATCAAATAAAGTGATTTTTAACATTATAAATTATAATTGTATTAACTTTTACTGTAGATTTTTGAAAATTCCTTTAATAATGTCAACTGTTGAAGAATAAATCTTTATTACTAACCAATGGTTCTTCTTCCAGCTACTCCTATCAAACTCTTACTATTCTATGACCTTAGATAATTTTTTAAAATTGTACTTTAAGATTTCCAGATTAACCAAATACAAGATGCCCACTTACATTTAAATGTCAGAGAAACAATGAATTATATTTTAGCATAAGTGTATCCCATTCAATATTTGGGACATAGTATATTTAAAGATTATTTTTTATCTATCTGGAATTCAACTTTATTTGGACATCATATGTTTTATCTGGCAGCCCTATTTTTAAAAGTTGCCATTTTATTTACACATTTATTGACTGTATTAATTTACCTGCCTGTGTTACTAGTTTGCTTTGCAGCTTCAATAATTCAGTAATAATTGTTTGAATAATAATTCAAAACTGTTATTTTGCTAGACAAGAATTACAGACTGTACATAATTGCTCTCAATGTGAAACTATTAATAAAAACAGGAAACATAATTCTTACCTTCAAGAGTTAACATAGGAAGATTTTGTTCCTTAATAAACAGGATAGGCCTAAATTATCTTTATCTATTGGTAAAACATTATGAATGTTTATTAAGTAGATGATGTAAATTTTTAGAAATGTCTAAAATCCCTTACTACTCTGTACATTTTATTTTATTGGCCCAGAATGCATGGGTTGTGCTTTCTGCTGTGATGTTTTCCAATGTTTCAATGAGTCTGAAAAGCATAAGAATGAATGGGTGTGTCTATAGATTTAAAAATCGTATTTGAAGTATTTTAACCATGCATAAAGATGACATCTAAATTACCTTAGTCATATACAGTCTTCTATGCTAGATGTTAAACTTGATTTTTAAAAACACCCTAAAATGAATTAACAATCAGTAAAAGCACCATTTATAGATAAGGTTGCCCTGAAAAATTTTCTGTTTGAAGAGCTAAATTCCTTTGAGAAGCATTTCAAACGGTCATTTAATACACAGCCCTGAGCAGAACTCTATTATGTCTGACTTTTATTTCCCCTTTCTCCTCTTCAGGTTGGAAGAAAATAATGATCTTCATTGATTGTATATTTCATATTCTTTTTTTTTTTTTTTTTTTTTGAAATGGAGTCTAGCTCTGTCGCCCAGGCTGGTGCAGTGGCGCAATCTCAGCTCACTGCAACCTCCGCCTCCCAGATTCAAGTGATTCTCCTGCCTCAGCCTCCCGAGTAGCTGAGACTACAGGCACGTGCCACCACACCTGGCTAATTTTTTGTATTTTTAGCAGAGACGGGGTTTCACCATTTTAGCTAGGATGGTCTCGATCTCCTGACCTCGTGATCCGCCTATCTTGGCCTCCCAAAGTGCTGGGATTACAGGCATGAGTCACCATGCCCAGCCCCTGTTTCATTTTCAATTGCTCAAAGATTCAAATTTTATCTAATTCGAAATGCGTACATATGATATAAACATGGCTCATTTCTGCATAAACTCCTGTGTACAATATTTGAAAATGACCCTTTTTAGTCAATATTGTTTAACAGTATTTGTGAAAAAGTTTTTGGATTCCAAATAAAGACTTTCAGTACCTTAACTGCATTTGATACACTGAGGAGGGCCTGTGGGTTTGTGTAAATAGGGATGGGGGCGGGGATGGGCAAGGCTATGTCTGAGTTCTAGAAGCTGTAGACAGCTCTGCTCTTAAGAAGCTTTTAGGTTTAGACATATAATCTTTGGCCTTCATAAAAATAATGAGGGTGTACTTTAAGATCATACTAAAGATAAAAGCATGGGTCGTAACAGAGTCATTTATTTAAGTGGCCAAGGTTTAATTTTTTGAACTTTATACTTTAGGTTTATTTGGTTCCTGAAACATTTTACAGGTGGTGAAACATAGGCTGATAAAACCAAGTTGTTCTAGAGAAAGAAAGTTATTCTGAGCTGAGAATGAATTCTGACCTCTTCACATTTTGTGTGGATTGTGGCACCATTTTCTCTCCCCGCCTCTGGTCAATCCTATTCAAACCTACTTGTCATTTGACACCAGAGTTCTAGTTAAAATGCAGCACTGGCCCTACAGGTTCCCCTCTGATCCTCCATCAGGGACCCCCTTGCCACCACCTACCACTCACCCACGGTGGCAAGCAAGACCCTGCGGGCCTGCCCTGCCTCTCTCCATCTTCCCCACCACCTTTCCCCACAGGGCTGTCCCATGAGCTTTCACCGAAGTTTCAGCATATCTCCCCACATCCCAGGTCTGGGCTTTACCCAAGAGTCTCTTCTCTGTACTCTAATAGCAGGTGGTCCTTTAAATGAGGTGGATGTGTGTTATCATTTTACCTAGGAACTTCACCATCATCTCTCTCTCGCTAGACTTAATCTTTATATCATCATTTTTATCTGTGTGGGTGTGTCTTTTCCACTAGACTGTGAACTTCCAAAGGTCAATGATCATGTTTGATTAATTTTTAACCTGGACACCTAACACAAGGCAGCGAATACGTTCTCTCTCTCTTTCTCTCTCTCTCTCTTTCTTTTAAGAGACAAGGTCTCATTCTGTCACCCAGGCTGGATTGCAGTGGTATGATCATAGCTCACTGCAACCTCAAACTTCTGGGCTTAAGCAATCTTCCTGCCTCAGCTTCCTGAGTAGCTAGGACTACAGGCATGAACCACCACACCGGGCTAATATTTTTTTTGTATTTTTGGGGGGATAGGGTCTCTCTGGGTTGCCTAGGTTGGTATTGAACACCTGGCCTCAAGCAGTCCTCCTGCCTCAGCCTCCCAAAGCTCTGGGATTACAGGTGTGAGCCATTACATCCAGCCTCAGTTTTTACTTTTTTAACTGGGGATTAAATTTACCTGTCTGGTTCATGGAGGAAAAAAAAAAGATGATAGTCCTAATAGATGTAAAAATAGTTCCTGAGAAACAGTTTGGGGGGCAAAGCAGATTGTCTCAAATTAGATATGTTGAACTTGAGATAATGTGAAATCTGAGTAGAGGTTAGCAAATGGAACTGAGGGCAGACAAATGGAAGATAATAGAAATGAAGGTTGAGCAGGATGTTTAAAGGCAGTAGCTTAAGCCATGAGCCAGCCGTCTTTTTCTCTTAAAGGTCCAGGTAGTAAATATTTTCAGTTTTGAGGACCATACAGTCTTAGTCGTAGCCGCTCAACCCTGCTGTTACAACCCAAGAGCAGCCTTAGACAATATTTCAACTAATATTTGAACAAATGGGTGTGGTGGTGTTCCATTACAACTTTATTATTGGACATTGACATTTGAATTTCATGTACTTTTCACGTTATGAAATAGTCTTCTTCTTTTACTTTAAAAAAAATCATTTAATGGCCGGATTTGGCCAGAGGGTCATAATTTGCTGACTTCTGCTCTATACTAACAAAACCATTCAAGTTTCAAGGGGAAATAAGTAAATAGCATAGGACAAAGGCTTAAGGACTAGATCTTTGAAGCTTGGTTAGACTTTGTTGGAATTCGGAGAAGGAGCCATCATATGCAGGAGAGGAACTAGTGTGTTGCAGTGTCAATGAAGAGGATCAAGAGCTGGGTGGTTGGAAGTATATGATTAAGAAGATCATTAGGAAGGTGAGGAGAAAGAAAAACACCATTAGTAGGAGTCAGAAATTCACCGATGACCACTGAGAATTTTTTAAAAATTGAAATAAAATCTTAGACAATAGAAAAGATAGTATGTGGATATAAATTGGAAGCAGGGGGTATAGAGCAATTACTCGAGGTGTTGGCAGTTTAAGTCAGAGACAAGTAGGAAGACAGCCATGGGGTCTGCTACACTGATTCCCTTGCATGAAAGCATGGCCCTTTATTAAGCAGAAGGCTGCTAAGCTATCTCTTGAGATTTTATTCATTGATTTAACATACACTTACGTATGTTTACATACCAGGTACTGTTCTAAGGAGTTTATCAATAATAACTCTTAGTTTTCATCATGACCTGGTGATATAAACACTGTTGTTATCCCGTTTTACAGATGAGCAAACCAAGGCATGGAGGGGTCACTCCTCTGGTCAGTGGCTGGTAACCTGGGTAGGATGGTTCCAGAGGGGGACTGCTTTTCGCTATTATGCATTAGTGTCAAGTTTTTCATGTCTAGTTCATTAGAACATTTCTTTTTCTTTTTTTGCCCTGTGCAATGGGCCTTGCTTGTAATCCAAACACTTTGGGAAGCTGAGGTGGGAGGATTGCTGGAGGCCAGGAGTTTGAGAACAGCCGGGCAACATAGTACCCTATCTTTATAAAAACTTTTTTTTTTTTTCCGCCACTGTCATATATGGCTGAAGTAGGCATCAGAAGTACCATGGATTTATATCTTTTCTGTTGCACGTATAAATTGAACAATTAAAAAATACAGTTCCAGAAGAATACGGCTCTTCCATCAACCACAGCATTGAGGCATGCAGATTATATGATGAAAACATTTCCCTGTGCTCATGCTCATATCAAGGATGTAAAGTAAGAGCTGGCAATTGATTGGGTAAACTTTCTAATTAATAAGTGCTTTCAAAATACAACTTAATATAGAACGCAAGAAATGTGATAGTTTATTTGGTTTATTTCCTGGAGATCTGGATTTTATGGTGTTATGTGGCAGTGTGGAATAATGCACAGAGGATGAGACATCCTAGGATGCCGGGATGGAAGCCTGCATTCTCCCCCAGGTTTACCACTTACTCGTGTGTAACCAAGTACAGTTGGCTCTCCATATCCACAGGTTCCACTTCCGTGGATTCAAGCAACCATGGAACAAAAATATTTGGGGAAAAAACCACAATAAAAGTAATGCAGCAATAAAAAAAATACATATTTTTAAACCAATACAGTATAACAACTACTTACGTAGCATTTACATTGTATTAGGTACTATAAGTAATGTAGAGATGATTTAAAGTATATGGGAAGATGTGCATAGGTTGCATGCAAATACTACAGTATTTTATATCAGGGACTGGAGCATCCAAGGATTTTTGTATCCAAGGGGCATCCTGGAATGGATACAGAGGAACAACTGCGGCCACTTTATATCACACTTAATATTGAGTGAGAAAGGAAATTACCCCATGCAAGATTCTTCCTACAGTTCATTTTCTGAGAGGAAAGAGCACTTCTCTAGTCCTGGGGGATGGAAATGTGTCTCACAGCCTGAGGAATCTCTCTCTCTCTCTTTAAAATGAGAGCCAGTGAGATTCATTACACAGTTTTGTTTTCTTGCCATTGCCTCCTTCAAGGTTTTGCTCAAATCTCGACTTTTCACGAGGACCACCCTGACTCCTACGATGCTGCAGCCTGGCCACCCTCAAACCCCCTTTTATGTTGCTTAACTTTTTTATTTTGTCTGTTGCACTCAACTCCTTCTAATATACCACAAAATTGTAGTTCAGTGTCAAATAATTTAAGCTCCATGAGGGCAGGGATCTCACCTATTTTGTCCAATGATGTATCCCAATGAAATGAAAGAGTAGCAGTTAGCATCGGTGCCTGGTATTTATCTTTCTGATGAACGAATCTATATTCAGATGCCATTGTTGAGCACATGGAAAGCTACATGCTATGGAGGGTTGAGCATAATCAGAGTTTCTTGAAAGAACAATTTCTGTTTTCACTGGACATTTGCATGGTGACACTTAACCTCAAACACTTGTGGATTGTGCATATGAGTGTTTTTGCCCACAACTCTCCTTGTGTCTAATGCAATGAGCAGAGCGAGGTCACTCTTGCAGATAAATTTGTTTTCCAAAGGGGAACTTTGCCCGCTAATTTAAGGCAGCCACATAATCTGACTTACAGGCTCAGTCGTTTCTCATTTGCCATCTGGCAATTTAATTACTTTAAAATAAAGCTATATATAAAATGAAATAACACAAATTGGAAATCTGTGATAATATGTATGATAAGATGGTAACGTTTCTATGTGTTCTTTTGTTTTGTTGTTGTTGAAAAAATAAAGGGCATAAAAAGACCTGAGAAGGAATCATTTCAAAGCTTTCCCCTATGTGTTCTTTTGTTTTGTTGTTGTTGAAAAAATAAAGGGCATAAAAAGACCTGAGAAGGAATCATTTCAAAGCTTTCCCTAGACAGAGCCCCTTATATAAATTTTATTCTTTGACTAAGAGCCTTTGTTATAAACTAAATGTTTTGAATTAGTGGATTATTACATTTTTCCATTGAGTTATAAGTCTGGCCCAAAGCTATGAAATAAGAGGTTGTCTAAATTGTTTCAAAAGTGTTTGGCCATGAAGTGGAACTGGGCTGAGATGTGAGGAAGATTCTTTTCCTTTTTCCGTTGTCATAGTATTTCCGGATCTATATTCTCCTCTTTTTTCCTATCCCTTTACCCCTGGAATATGTTTTTTCAGTGCCTTCTTATACTCTGTTTCTGATTTCTCTGTCTCTACTTGTGCTTCCCTAGTTCTCTGTGGTTAATTGCCAATGGGCAAAAGAACCAGCACTCTGGATGGTAGATTCAAGTTAAAGAGTAACTCAGATAATGTTTGTTTGAGACAACATTGAGGGAAGGGCGATTATGGAATTCTGAAAACCAGGAGCCTAAGTGACAATTACATATAAAATAAAGATTAAAATGATTAGGGTACTTTATCTAATTTATCATTTGGAGTGGGGAAGTTGTATTTTTTTTGGTGGATTTTTTTTTTTCTTGATTGTTGTGGCAGCTAGATGCAAATAAGATCATGCTTTGGAACACACAATGCTGATTCTCAATCACTGGCAAAGAAGGGTGAGAAGACAGAGCATCCTAATTTGCACAAAAATGCAACCAAGTCATCATTTGCAGCTCCTTGGAGATTCTATTCTAAAGTTTTACTGCTTGTACAAGTTCCTTTGGTATCGGAGGCAGAGCCTGGGGCGTGGTTGGGAAACAATAGTTTGGTTTTTTTCCCCCCTAAATCAGTTCAAATCCCATATACCCTGAATTAACTGGAATTGCTGTCAGACTTGGCAGCTCCTGTAAAAGATCTGGGTGTTCATAGGGGCCTAATGAAATGGGGAACACATTTGTTTCATCTTGACTTCCGTAGAGGAAAGTCTGCACTATTTTTGTGGGCTCAGAGAGGAGGAACTTCTGATCTGTTGGAGAGAAAACTGAATGAATGGGCACTGAGGCAGAAAGCCTGATGTGGCTGTCATGCAAATAAGAACCGTGATTGGCTTTCTCTTTCTTTCAGCGCACGATGTCACTGGCTGCTCTCAGCCTTAAAGATTAGGTTTCAGTAGGAGTTTTTCAGGTTCAAGGACTGTTAATGGTTTGTAACTGCCTGACAATAAACTCAACCTCAGTTACATCAGCCTGGGCAGATGTCTAAGGATATGAGACCGGGGGAAGAAAAAGTTAGAATCTGTAGCAGAAGGACGAAGCTTGCCACCTGCCTACTGGGCTGAGCTTTTAATGTGATTTACATTTCTAAGCTCTATGTAGGTGCCCTGGAAATGGTGGTCTTCATTAATGCAAAGATTAAGTCTTTAATTAAACTTTTTAAGAAGAAAAGTAAGTAGTTCCTTTTCTCTCTACTACCTATTGTGTGCATATGTTTCCATATGTGTATATGTCCCTGTGTGTCTGTGTGTGTGTGTGTGTGTGTGTGTCCATGTGTGTGTTTTAGGTCCTTCGTTCTTTTGTGTGAAGAAATTAGAGTGTGAAACAGCGTAATAGGCATGAGTTAAACTCTACTCTATACCAGGTTGTTTAAATACCTCAGACTTTTGTAACTCTAGGACAGTATTATGTGATCTTAGCATGTCTTATTTATTTATGATTGGGGTTTTAAGTGAATTCACTTCTTCTGTGCTTTTCAAAAGAAGTCCTTTGAAGAGGGGGGAAATTCTTGTACTTAATTTATGTTTCCCTTGATATCAAGTGTATGATTTTTTGATTCTTTGGATAAATATGCAGCTGAGGTAAGGGAGCCTCTGTGTAATGTATCACATATTTCTGGTGGAGATAATCCCCTGAAACTCCCTGGCACTCTTTGTTGTGTATTTAAGAGCTCGAGCACAAACTGTCTAGACTGATCAGTGATTGTTGTAAGGTACAGAACTTTTGTGATGTGGCTTTATTGTGTACTTACCATTGACTTACATTTCTTTAATGTAGGTGCTTCTTCATTCTCTTGAAAATAATAATTTTTATAACTACTTGGCTTTGTTTTTACATAGTCGGTGGTTTATTTTATTTTAGTTTAGTTTAGTGTTTGGACCAGTGACTTATACTGGATAAATGAACATGGGTAGGGGCATTGGTAAGAGGAGCTTTGGAGAAAGCTACAAAGAGCAGCACGGTGGGCTGATTTTCTGCAGCTCCTTGCTAAAGGCTGCCTTTGGATGAACAGATTAAAAGTGGCCCTGGCGAGAGTGAGGAACACGAGGGGAAGAGACTTTTTCATAGGAGCCAGTTGGTAGCTGTGCAGTGGGGCCGATGGTGCGATTGATGGTGCAGACACGAATGCCATTACTTGGATTTGATTTGAAATTGTCGAATAGGAAAAGTTTCCATTTTCAATAGTTTCTAACTCTGAAGTATGGTAACTCAGTCTTTAAAATAAATGGACATCAGCACAAAACACTGTGATGAACTCTGGCTACACTTTGGGGGGACATATGGTGAGTTTGGCCCAATGCTAGATTCTTCTGAAACACAAATGAGGGTTAAGTCAGGTCTTTGTGGATTTTGTGTATTAAGATTGATAGTTGTATGCACCATGCAAAACATTTGCTCAACAAGAGTTTACATGAAATACTAGGTGCCAAATTCACATACTGCTTTTGTCAAATACTAAGCAGAAAGCACAATGGACATTTCTGTTTTTAACTTGATATCTAGTTCTCAATGTTTATTTTCTCATTTAGCAACTTACGGAGAAGGTGGGGTCCTTTTGAAAATGAGTTATCCTGTTCAGATTCATAAGATTGTAAAATTTAGTAGCTGCAGAAAAGATGGTATGTGAGATGAGCGCTAGCATGTGGCCCAGGTTTACAAGAGACAGTGACAGTTCAAAGTTTGGGGCCTCGTTAGAATAATTTTTACTGTTCCTGCCACAACCATGTTTTACCTGAGTTATTTCTTGAGCTAAGTACTTTATGTATATTGGTTCATTTGATCTTTAGAGTAGCCCTAATAACTGTGCTATAGAGTATGTTTAGTGAATTTTAGATGTGCTCAAATGGATTTAATAGTTTATGCGTGTGTTCTCATGTTACTTTGAGAATTCATTTTATGGTCTAGTTTCCAGGTACATGTTATGTTGGGGACATGGATACGCCCAGTGTGAACTCTATAGCATAGATCAGAGTCAGGAAGACTTGCTCCTCACTCACAATTCAAGTATCTGCTGGCTTTACAGGGGTTAGACTTGCTACCTCAAGCAAATGCCTCAGCACAAGGACTTTCTCCAGTACCTTTCCAGTCTCTCTTATGCCTGGGTTACATGGCAGGTATATAGAAAGTATTAAAACATTGTTGATGAATTTGTTTTGGTGCTGTCGGCCTCATTTTGGGCTCCACTGATGCCCCAACTTAGCTCGTGTTGTCAGGAAAAATGAACTAGAGAGGTCTCAAGCCTCCGAGGATTTAAAGAAAAATTATTGTAGAGATTTATCTTACTCTCAGGATTTTACCTGTTATTTTGTCCTCTAATGTCTTGGTCTCTTCTGTGCTGGGAAAATTTAGTTGAACTGGATTGTGTTGGGAAGAGTCAATTGCATTGTAATTTTAAAAATGTTTAATATAAAAGGGTTTCATGAAAGCAAGAAATGCAGAGAGAATTTTGTAACACAAATGGGTCTCCACATGTATTAGCTATGTCATTTACATGTAAATTGAATGTTTACGCTTAATTTTTTAAAAATGTAATTGAGTTTATAACAGTGATGCTCTTTAAATAATGCTGTAGAGGGAGAATATTTGTTATAAACCTCCTGGTAGGAAATTCATTTCTATCAGGACAGTCTAACATTTACTGTTGCGATGGCATTATACAGTTGAGTAACTGCTATTTGTTGTGTGTGTGCGAGGGGGGTTAAGTAGGAATTGGAGGTCTCTATCAATTCTGTCAGATGTTTTCAAACATTGGAGTAAAGGGAGGACCTAAAATGCTGGGAAGCAGTTAACTGAGCAAATGATTCTATGAAAACATTGTTTGGAGGGTGGACACTTTCAGCTTTTCTTTTATAAGTAAAACACTGTGGGCGAGACCCCTGGAATCTAAGATTAAAACTAATTTAGGATTTGCTCCATTGCTCCCTTGCTGGCCCTTACCCGTGGATGTGTTAGACATGGAAACACATCATGATGTAATGAACTCGTAGCCAATGAAGTTGACACCTGAATGTATTCTATCTTTTTTTCTATAGCGGTTTCCAACCTAGATGAGGAAAGCCGATGGACAGTCCACTACACTGCCCCGTGGCACCAGCAGGAGAATGTGTTCCTTCCCACCACAAGACCCCCCTGTGTTGAGGACCTGCACCGCCAAGCCAAGCTCAACCTCAAATCAGTACTGAGGGGTAAGATGGCATCCTCTGTGAGCTTATTTTCTTGGGTTACTGGCTGCTGAGAGCATAAATTTGATATCTATTTATAAAACCAGCTCTACTTTTATTGAATGTATAGTATGCTACGTCTTTATACGATATCATAAATACAACCTAATACATGCTGATATGGTTTGGCTGTGTCCCCACCCAAATCTCATCTTGAATTGTAGCTCCCATAATTCCCCTGTGTTGTAGGAGGGACCCAGTGGGAGATAATTGAATCATGGGGCCAATTTCCCCCATACTGTTCTCATGATAGTGAATGAGTCTCATGAAATCTGATGGTTTTATAAGGGGACACCCCTTTTGCTTGGCTGTCAATTCTCTCTTGTCTGCCGCCATATAAGACGTGCCTTTCACCTTCTGCCATGATTGTGCGGCCTCCCCAGCCATGTGGAACTATGAGTCCATTAAACCTCTTTTTCTTTATAAATTTCCCAGTCTTGGGTATATCTTTTTCAGCAGTGTGAAAATGGGATAATACACATGCCTAAGATGTTCTGGTCTCTGCAGAAACTTGCCTATTTGCAGATATGCAAATCTGTTTCCAGGAGCCCACACCTTCTTAGAAACACTTTAGCATGTTTAAACCGCCAGTGTTAATTTGATCCAAATAAACCACTGCTGACATGGGCAGTTTTGCCACTGTCTTTTTAAAACCATTGTAAGTATTCAAAACCAATTTGTTTTTTTGAACACACTTGTTTGTTCTGTTTAGTTCAAGCTGGCTGGAAAAAGGACCTATGTATAGACTTTGAAGACATGCTAAATGGTTTGATTTATCAGAACTGGGGTATCACCCAACTGGGCTCCTCTGAGCCTAGGTTCTGCCAGCAGATGAGCAAGGTATACTTGGTCAAGTAGAAAATATAGGAAGAATGTATTCCTATATCTAGTTTAAAATTCTCATTTTTACTTCAGTTCATTGTGGTTTGTTTTTCTTATTGAGATGGAGTCTCACTCTGTCACCCAGGCTGGAGTGCAGTGGTGTGATCTCGGCTCACTGCAACCTCCACCTCCCAGGTTTGAGCCATTCTCCTGCCTCAGCCTTCTGAGTAGCTGGGATTACAGGAGTGCATCACCACACCTGGCTAATTTTTGTATTTTTAGTAGAGATGGGGTTTCACCACTTTGCCCAGGCTAGTCTCAAACTCCTGACCTCATGTGATCCACCCACCTCAGCCTCCCAACATGCTAGGATTACAGGCATGAGCCACTGCACCCGGCCCAATTTATTGTTGATGTTAAAAAGTAAATGTGTGGCAAGGAGGGCAGCCTAAAGGTGATAAAGAAGGAAAGTAGTTCTTCAAAGAGGAAGGAGTGACTTGTAAAATTCAGAGACTTTTTCTTAGTACAACAAACCAAACTTCTTATTCTACCAGATGCTGCTCCTACCAGACTTCTCCTACCATGCAGTATTTGGGACTTTAGTATACCAAAGAAGTATTTGTTATTTATCTGAAATGTAATTTAACTGGGGCTCCTGTATTTTATCTAATTGTGGAAGACTTGACTTTGGGAGAAATTCTGTCATTGATTCAAGGAAAATCTAGAAAAATAATTTTATCTTGTATGTCAGTCACTTATGAAGTGATTCATTCTTTAATGTACCACCACTATGATGACTGATAACATTTATTAAACACTTAACTCTAATGCCAGATACTGTTCTAAGCCCACTGAATGTATTATCTCATCTAATTTTCCCAGTGATCCTACTGCTTACTGTTACTGTTGCAGATGGAAAAATGGAAGCACAATGATTAGAAACTTTCCCAAGATCTCCAAGTTAATTAGCAGTAGGACCAGGATTTAAACTTGGACAGTCTGAGGCTGTGGAGCTCATATTCTTAACTGCTACACTATACTGCCTTTAACAATGATTTATTTATTGGGAATCTGTTATTCTGGCAGAAGTGCAGAGTACAAAGGCAGGGTCCTAGCTCTCAAACACAATGTGGAAAATACTGAGGAGACAAACTAAAAATTGCTGTATGGGAATTAAAGAGGGCAGATAACTTCTGCTTGGAGAGAGAAAGAATAGCTATCCATAGGTTCACCATAGATTTGGTGTTCTGAACAGAACTGTGCAGACATTTCAGATCATGGTTCTATTTTTTGTTCCTTTAATCTTTTGTAATGCTTAGATTATCTAATGTATCTTCCAGTATCTTGTATCTCATAGCTTTGCTATTGGACTATCCAGAAGTGAGGGCATTGTTGGTTTCCCTTTTTATTTAGCCTGAGTAACCTCTGTCTTTAGTGACTTCAGTCTTAAATAAGAAGAATGGCATTCGTTTGGTTCGTTTGTAAATGGCCTTGGAGTTGTGCTTTGAGCTTTGTTGCTGTCATAATATTGGTCCCTTAATGTACCTAAATCCAACCAAAGTTTCTTCTAGATCCCTTTACTTCCTTGTGATTTATCTTTAGTAAATTGTGACCAGGAACTTCTCTACTTATAGTTCACCTTCCTCCACCAAATTGCTAATAAGAATGTTAAATGGCACCGTTCCCAGGACAAATCCCCGAGGCAGTGCCTCATTAGCATTTCTCTGCCCAGCTCCTAAGCAACAGAGCACTACATGGTCTGGCTTGTAGAAAACGCTTTCGTGAAGGTATGTGTGAGTTTGAATAGTCAGGCTCGACTGTTTTTGATCACTCTCCAGGAAACTGTGCTTCACTCCCATTTCATGTATTTTCAAGTTCCAGATCAGGACTTGACTTTTCTCCCCTTGAAAAACTGAACATCTGTTTATAGGCATTTCTGCTTTTCTTTTTGAATATGCAGTACATCTATATGAAATATCATCTATCCCCACTGGTTTTGCCTAAACTTGAATTTTATTTTGAAAAGATAAATGCTTTCATAATTGCTTTAATGCTCTAAAATGGTTCATCAAAGGGATTTACTATTAATAAAATTAATAACTTTGGAAAATTCCTGGAGTGCAACCTTTAAAGTCTGGATTTAAAAACTTCGTAAGAGATTTTAGATAAATTATAGACTTATGAACTGTGGTTGGGAAGGATGAAATGAGAAAGATTATCTGAGTTCTTTTGTTCTCAGTTATTTACTTTTAACCACATGTACAGAACTTCACGTACCTCTTCCCCTATATCATCTCAGCAACCTGAAATAAACACAACATGAGTGCAAGGTATTTATTACCTCATTATCAGTGAAGATTAAAAAAAATCAGTCTCTGAATATGTGGCACTATTAAGATTTGATGTTATATAAATTATCAGTCTAAGTTCATTCAACCTCAGCATTCTCTACTTAAAAATATAGAAAGGTAGCTAGGTATTCACAGTGAGTAATCATTTTGTTTCTTCTTCTATTCTTACTGTGTCCATAATTTTAAGAAAAGAATACCATTCTTTAATATTAAACAGGTTATTCCTTTTTCATCGCCATTAAATGCTTATTGTATGAATTAGTCTGTCAGTTTTTATGGGGAGCTAGTCTACTCTTGGGAACCATAAAGTGTGAAGGGAAACGACACAGCGAGTATCAATAAATGCATAATGAAATGTAAACATATACATTTTAAAACAATGCATAAATCCTTAGTAGTTAACAGATTAACTGAAGAAGCCACAGAATTACTGGAAAATGTTTTGTGAAAAAACTGAGTTTGACTTAGTACATAAAAGCAGATAATAGACATAAATTAATCAATATTGAGCATCTGTTCTGTTCTATGCCAGGAGTGTTTAAATGAACGGATGAAAGTTCCTGGGTCCTCAATTTTAAAGAGCCAGGCCTGCTGTCTTGGCAGCAGCTTGTAGCAAAGTTTGTCTTGAGGTTTGCTACTGCAAGCTTACTGTCTTACGGTAGTAAACAGGCAGTAGTGTGATGGAGGTGTGCATGAGGTACATTGTACACACAGGGAGAGAGGGCTCAGTCAGAGAACAAAGAAAAGCACTGGGAGGTCCCCTCACTCCCCCACTCCCTCCTGCTCCCATCCCCACATGAGAGAGGAGATAGTCTTTCAAGATGTGTAAAATGGCATTTGGAGCAGGCTCTTGTCCATGTATAATTTCGCTCTACTCTGATCCGAATATAGCAGATATCTTTTGTATTTACAGCTGGAGAGTCTCTGGAGACTTTGATAAAATTTGATGGTCACAGGCTTAGATTAAATGTCTTGATTTTGTTTGTTGATTTGTTACTGGAGATTTAGGTAATGATTCACTGCTAATGAAGATACAAACATGTACAGGTTGAACATCCCTAATCTGAAAATTAGAAATCTGAAATGCTCCAAAATCCAAAACTTTTTGAGCACTGACATGATGCTCAAAGGAAGTACTCATTTGAGCATTTTGGGTTTTGGGATTAGGGATTCTCACTCAGTAGTTATAATGCAAATATTCCAAAATCAGAAAAAAACCCAAATCGGAAACATTTCTGGTCTCAAGCATTTCGGATAAGAGATACTCAACATTTACCCAGATTTAAAAATGGCATTTTAATATTTGCTTCAATAGACATCTGGCTAGCAACAAAAAATAAATTTTTGAAGATGGATCCCATTATCTGTGAAGAATTCACTCAGCTTCTTACTGAGTTTCCAGAAGAAGTCTACCCTTTTTACATCCATCATTGTTTGAATCCTTCATGAACTTCATTGGAGATAGCTGTGATGATAAGTAACCTAAATCTGGCTAAATTTTTATCTGCATAGTTTTTGGCTTTATGGAACGGGCTACAACTAAGTGGAAAAGAAATCAAGAGATAGGAGTAAGCTGAATGAGAGGTTCAGATTTTGCTTTTTTGTAACCTGTAGACTTCATTTGACAACTATGAGCATATTAAAGGCTGAAATAAAGACATGTCACTTTTAAGGCTCCATCCCCAAAAAGCCCAACTTGAGAGAGAGATAAACATAATTTCTCACAGTATGTTTAACAGGCACTTTAGTTACTGTCTCTGTGTACATTCCTGCCTGAATTAGTTCACAGAGCAGCTGTTGTTGGCATCAGAAATGTTCTCTAGTCACAGCTCTTTCCTGAAGAAATGCATTTTAGCAGGTCAGCATGCTCCATGGCTCTAGAATTTAAAAAGTGTGAGCGCAAGGAGGAGTGTTGAATCTGGCCTATGTCATTCAAAGTCAGAGGGTTATATTTATTATACCTGAAAGGATAGGAGTTGAGAATTTATTACACAATGTGAAAAAATAACTACTTACAGCAAGTGATTAAAAACAATGGTGCACACATCGACCTGTTTAACATTAAAGAATGATTTACCATCCAGGCGCGGTGGCTCACGCCTATAATCCCAGTACTTTGGGAGGCCAAGGCGGGCGGATCACGAGGTCAGGAGATAGATACCATCCTGGCCAACATGGTGAAACCCCGTCTCTACTAAAAATACAAAAATTAGCCGGGTGTGGTGGCGCATGCCTGTAGTCCCAGCCTTCTCAGGAGGCTGAGGCAGGAGAATCACTTGAACCTGGGAGGCAGAGGCTGCAGTGGGCTGAGATTGTGCCACTGCACTCCAGCCTGGTGACAGAGTGAGACTGTCTCAAAAAAAAAAGGAGAATGATTTACCTTTCCTAAAATTATGGACTAGATTTCCAAGTTGTTCCAGCCAGATTTCTCTACAGTTACCGACAGCAGACTTTGAGGGTGACTGCATCCACCCTTAGTTGTCATGAAGCCTCCTAGCTCCCTTTTGGTGTAGACAAGTATGTTTGTCTTGGGAGAGATTGTGGGCCTCCTTCTGAATTTGATGAGGGTGCTTGTCTGTCTTATTTATCTGCCTAGAGCACGTGGGTCCCTGAGATATCGCAGATACCCCTTGTCTTTCGCCATCGGTTCTCCACTTGAAGGTCCTGTGGCACTTTCCCAGAACTGTGTAGGAGGTGCCTTTGTAGGAATGGCCTGTGGACATTGATTGAGAGCTCTCCCTGATGGCATGATGCATCTGCCCACCACCTCAGACAGGCCCAAGATGGACATCTGCTTTGCCCACCTTGTGCTAACCACGTTGAATTCTTCATCTTTTTTTCTGTAACTTTAAAAAAAAATATGACATATAACACAGAGAGGTACATAAAACATGTATGGCTTGAGAAATAGAGTGAACACCTGTATAACCATTACCTAGGTCAAAATGTGACCTAAACTTCAGAAGCTTCCTGTTCCTGCTTGCTTGCCTTTCTTTTTTCTTTGTCTCTCTCTCTCTCTCTCTCCCCCTCTCCCCCTCTCCCCCTCTCCCTCTCTCCTTCTCTCCCTCTCTCCCCCTGTCTCCCCCTCCCCCTCTCCCCCTCTCGCTCTCTCCCTCTCTCCCTCTCTCCCTCTCTCCCTCTCTCTCTCTCTCTCTCCCTCTCTCCCTCTCTCTCTCTCTCTCTCCCTCTCTCCCTCTCTCCCTCTCTCTTCTTTCTTTCTTTCTTTCTCTCTTTTTTTTTTTTTTTTTGAGACAGGGTCTTGCTCTGTTGCCCAGGCTAGAGTGCAGCAATGTGATCACGGCTCACTGCAGCCTTGACTTCCCGGGCCCAATCCATCCTCCCACCTCAGCACCCTGAGTAGCTGGGACTACAGGCACACAACACCGTGCCCAGCTAGCTTTTGTATTTGTAGAGATAGGGTCTTGCCTTGTTGCCCTGTCTGGTCTTACTCCTGGGCTCAAGTTGTCCACCTGCCTCGGCCTCCCAAAGTGCTGGCATTACAGGCGTGAGCCTCCACACCCAGCCATCTTCCTGTTTTCTAACAGAAGTCCAGGTGTCATGTGAAGTACTTTGAGTCACATCTAAATTCCAATCCTGACTTTGTTACATACTAGGTATAGGTTACTTGAGTTTAATTTTGTTTGTTTCTTCAACATTTTGATCTTATTTTCTCATCTATAAAGGCCATAATATCTGTTTACATGGGAATGAAATGAACATATTCATGTAAAGTATTAATATCTCAATGTACCTGCCCCTCAATGTGGAAGTTATAAGTGTCTGTGGAGGGAGGGGTGCATTTTAATTGAAGTGCAATGGAACACAGATATAATTTTACAAATCTCAAATGGCCTCAGGATTTAGTTGGGTCTTTCTTTCCTACCTGTTGTGCTCCAGAGATATACTGTGGGGAGGAGGGATAAAGGAACAGAACAAGGAACACCTTCTGATGACAGTGACAGACGCTTAATACTCAGGTTCATTTCATCCACATGAGCAAGATGCCTTTCGCCACTCACCATCAACCTCTGAAAGACCCCTAGAATGCTGGAGCTGAAAGGAGCTGCCCAGTCCTCTGGTCAGTCCCCCTTTCCATTTTGTAGATAAGCAAAGCAAGACCCAGAGAAGTTAAGGGTTCCTGGTGCTCACGCATGCTGGCCTATTCTGATCTCAGACCTCACAAGCACTGAAGAGACCTGTCCCTTTGATGCCCTTTCAGCTGCCCTCCACTTTATGGAAGTTCACAGGGACAAAGCTCACCCTGGGAATCTC
The DNA here is from genome assembly GCF_000001405.40 of Homo sapiens. Classification (NCBI taxonomy): domain Eukaryota; kingdom Metazoa; phylum Chordata; class Mammalia; order Primates; family Hominidae; genus Homo; species Homo sapiens. Next base: position 138,488,737 of record NC_000006.12, on the reverse strand, counting down.
ATGGCCAAAGATGGATTTGGTTTCTTTAGCCAGTTAATTTAGAAATGCAAATTGGCTCATCGTTGCCTAAAGGTGGTGACTTCATGGTTACTCCTGAAGTCTCCTCACTCACCCCTGATTTCATTAAAATTCAAATAAGTCTAAGAGAAATAAAGGAAGCATCACATGACATGTTTGATTAATATCTATAACCATTCTTTCATCTTAATGGCTTTTGGTGCTTATTTTTAGGGTTATAATTGGTTATTAGTAACTCAATAGACTTAAAAAATAGGCACAGGTTGCAAGGGAAGGAAAGATAAACATTTGAAATTAATAAATACACTAATGATTTAGCACTTGCAGCTGAGTTTACAATTTGCCTAGTTTGTTACTTCCCAAAGAATACTTCAGTAAAATTGATATGCAAAAGGTGAAGGTCAGATGTCTCTGGCTAAGGTATTCTGATTTTTTTTTTTTTGAGACAGAGTCTTGCTCTGGTGCCCAGGCTGGAGTGCAGTGGTGTGATCTCGGCTCACTGCAACCTCCGCCTCCTAGGTTCAAGTGATTCTCATGCCGCAGCATCCCAAGTAGCTGGGACTACAGGTGTGCACCACCATGCCCAGCTAATTTTTGTATTTTTAGGACAGACGGGATTTTGCCATGTTGGCCAGGCTGGTCACTAACTCCTGACCTCAGGTGATCTGCCTACCTCAGCCTCCCAAAGTGCTGGGATTATAGACGTGAGCCACCACGCCCAGCCACTTAAGATTCAAGCAAGAAACTTTCGATTACTTATATTCATTTATACAATTTTAAATCGTTTTCTAGTTGAAACAAATATTGGCATAGAATTGGGGGGCAGGAGGAGTGCTATGTTATTCTGAAAAAGCAACTGAACAGAGGAAGGAAGTATAATTGTCTCATATTTCGCAAAACCGCAGTAGCACTGACATCTTGTTTTGTTGTCATTAGTGATTCCAGAAGATGAGATGGGAGACCAGAATTCTGGTTGCAGTGTTGTCAGTGGTAAGCTGCAGGATATTGGAAGTCAGGTCCCATCTTCGTACTTGGCTTCCACCTCTGAAAAACAATTTATGATTTCTATGTTCCCTTCTAAGCTCTAAAATTCTGATTGGCTTCTCAGTACTTAACTGTTTAAGGGTAATATGTGTGAAGTTAACTGACACAAAGATATTACCGATGGCTGAGCCTAAGTCCTGACAAACTGGGATGTGTAATCTTAAGTTTGTATGGACGGAAAAATTGTCTAAGTGCATACTGCAAGTGAAGCACTGGGCTGGATATTATAGTGCAATCAAAGATGAATGTCGTCAATGCTTTCCTCCAGAGGCTGAAAGCTAGCCAGAGATAAGATGTATGTATGACTAGCTTATGTGCAAGGTTCATAGCGGTGGTATTATTAAGCCTCAACACTGGGTGTTATCTTTAAAACGAACTTGGTCAGCCTGCCCTAGTTAAAAATTCTTTACCAGCTCCCCATTACTAACAGAATATAACCTAAGCTCTTAGCATCTAGAAACCTTCCTGAACTCAAGCCTGTTTGTCTCATCTCATCTGCAGAATCACCTTTGCTCCCCAGACATCTCTACTCCTCCACCCAATTTTTTTTACTTTGTGCCTTCACGTGTAATGATAAAGTCCTTCAGTTGGAATGCTAGCTTGTCTTGTTCTTCTTTCTGTCTACTGCATGTCCCAAGCCATACTTTTTCCCTTCTGAACCACAACCTCTCACACCTGGCCAACTCCTGTTTCCCCTTTGTGAGTCATCCTTGGGTGCTAGAGTCCCCCACAACCTTTCCTGGATTTCCCCTGGGTAGCCCCAGGAAGTCCTTTTCTACCTTGTCATGGAAGCTTACACTCCACCATTCTGCTGCTTATGATACACTATATAATTGTGTTTGCATGTTTATCTCCCTACTTGACAGTAACATCCATGGGAACAGGGCTTTGTCTTTTCACTTGTGTGTCCCCAGCACACAGTCCAGTGACTGGGACTGCAAATACTGTTGTGTTTGTAGAAGGCCTGAAAATGTTTGGAAAAGTCACCTAAAACACAGGAGAGAGATCAGAGTCAAAGCCGGGGAACAAGTAGTGAGAATGTGGAGTGATGAGATTGGGGATGGAGAGGGCCAGTGGTGAGGAGGGGGGCGGTTGAGGCTTGGAAGCTTTACTTTAGGGCACTGGGAGGGAGAAGTCTGCAAAAGAGCACAACTGGGGAAGAAGAAAGTTTAGCCAGGATGAGGCAGTCATCATGGCGCTCACAGGTGGGGAGAGAGTCATTGTAAGAAAAGGCTATTGAATCGGTTGTTAGGTGGTGATTGGTGACCTTTGAAAGGGCAGTTTCAAGGAAGTCTTTAGATTAAGAAGCCAGATTTCCTGAGATAAGAAGGATTTTTATAAGCAGAAAAACAATAAAAGTAATTGTTTTAAAGAAATAAAGGTGAGTGAATGATGCCAACAGAACAGAGAGGGAAGGGATAGTATTTTGAGGTGGTGGCACGGTACAGCTGATATTATTACATGTTTTAAAAACTAGAGCTTATGAAAACAGGGCCGTAGACAAAAGGAGTCAGCAGGAGGGGAAAGGATTACAGATATGGAAAGAGAATGGGAGGATGTTCTCTGAAGAAGCAGGAAGGAGGCAGTCAACTCAGGGCAAAGCGGAGGGTCGGAGGTTGCGGCCTCTGTCTCCTAGAGGGAATTGGGGAAGCGTGTTATGAGACGGAGCCAGAGATCGAGGCTGTTCATTACATGGTGTGGGAGCCTTGCTTGCAATGTGGCCCCCGCCATATTGTTAGTTCTTTGGTGAAAAGGATGACTTTATTTGGTGCTCTCTCGCTCAGGTCTTGTGAATTTAATTAGGTTGACTTTTCAAAGACAAATGATATTATTAAAGGCTTAAAAAAAATATGTGTGGTATTTCATTTGGCTCTATTGGAATTTTTGTCCTGAGGGAAAGTTGCCCAGCCGGGTGAAACCACGGATTAAATGCCCTATTGAGAAAAAGAAAAGAGCAGACAAAAATATGGGATTAACAGAATGGGAATTATATACAAAAAGGGGCTATTTAACTTCTCCTATTGAATTTGATGGCACGGAATTTTCTATAATACTAAGTACTACTCTGGGTACAGTAACTCCAAAAGAAGTGCTTTCCTTGGTGTCCTTAACTCGGGAGAGGGAAGTTGGATGCAAGAGCAAAGGAAAAATGAACAATCATTGCTTTTTCAGATAGTTAAAGAGACGTGTTGCCCCCACCCCCATACCTTTTTTTTTTTTTTTTTTTTTAACGGTAAGCAACACAGAAAAGATAGAATGGCAAAGACAGTCATTTAAATGATCCAGGTCTTAACAAAGCACTGCGGATTGTTTAAACAAAAGGCTTTTTGTTTTGTTTTTGTGTCTGTAGCCAGTCTGCTGTTTCAGCAATTCTATTTTAACTCCCGATAAAGTAAGTAACTTGAGTGGCCTCTATATTTCACTCAGGGCAGCATAAAAACGATACATTGAAGGTACTGTTGGTAAGGTTTGTTATCATTCACGATACAACCGAAGTCTCCCGTGTTGGCTTAGAATCTTTGCAGGCGATTTGATCTTGAGTAACCTTGGTGATGCTCCTCTGCTGCCAATGATACGGCTTTTTAATTCTAAAGTGAAATGAGATCGCCTCCAATTTGGCTGCTCTCTCTGGTGGTGCTCAACTAGGACTTGCAGACTCTCAGCACACTCACATTAATCATGGCATCAGAAAGCTCTCACCTTAATTTAAATCAGATTTAGTTCTTCAAGGCTTCTTAAATTAATCTGGGCATGTGACAAGAAGAAATGTTAAAAGCTGGTTTTCTGCAATGGCAAATGACATTTTAATAATAATTCTTGCCATGGTGTGCAATGAAAAACAAAGCTAACAGACAGTTTATCCAGTGGCTCAACTTTTAATGTTTAACTCCTTAAGGTTTTTTGTTGTTGTTTGTCTGTTTTGTTTTGTTTTGGGAGGTTTTAATTTCACTCTAATAGGAATTAATCACAGAGCAAGAATATTAATCAAAATGGCCGTTTATTTTTAACCCTTCTACATAAAATGAGATTGTCTATGGTGTTTAATGTCAGTGACAGAGATATTGGTCCCAAGACATGGGGGAAAACCAGTCTTTCTAAAATGTGTTAATGCATTGTTAACAAATTCATTTCCAGTTTGACTGTTGAGCCGATGACCACAATTAGTAGTGTATTTTCCCTCTGTGGTTCTTCCCAACCTGGTCATTTTATTTTGCTAAATATACAATGTAAATTGTATATTTACATTGTAAATGAGAAGTCATTTGGAATTGTGTTATTATAAAATAATTTTTAGGCAGTCTGCTTATCATTCCTTTTTTTTACCCCCTCCCCTGGCAAAGAAACCTGTCCATTTCAAAGGTAGCATTCTGTCACCACCTCCTCTCTTACATCTTACTCCCCGCCTACACTTGCCTGCAAGCTTTTTCTGAAAATGCAGCTTTCCTGTGGCATCTGTTCTGTCTGACTAGAAAGCTTTGGGGAGTTGCCCATGATGCAGTTAGCTTTTTAATCCTAGATTGGTCAGTTTCCCTGAAATTCTACTGAGACAAAATTTCCTTGGATAGATAACCATGATGGTGCACCAGACATCATCTTCCTTATTCATTCTGTTCCACCTACTCTCCTCTCATCCTCTTATTACTCAAATATGTGAGTTGTGGATGGGAGAAGAGGCCCATTTAATGGGAGGTCAGGTCATATGCCTTGGGTTAATGAAGGTGGAAAATGTGGCTGAGGATAAAATCTACCTGGGTGACCAATGGGGCCATCACCTTTGTCATATAGTTACAGTACCCCTTCAAGCACGCTACTGTCCAACAAATACAGATCATTCATTCATTTAAGGAACTCACCGAGCACCAGCCAGCCACCCACATTGAGCCATATCATGTAGGGCTTAGAAACCATTAGGAGGATTTTGGCTTTTACATTCAGGGCGTGGAGAGATTTGAACTTAGAAGTGACATAATCTGACTCATTAGTTTGAAATGGATCCATCTGATTGTGTGTTGAAAGTTCACAGTAAAGGAGACAGGGGTGTCAATGTAGGAGACCAGGTGGAGGTCACCATCAGGTGAGAGATGGTGGAGGCCTGATCAGGAAGTTTTCCCTGCAGTTGCAGCTGGAGTGGAATGTTAAAATAAATGTAAGAACCCTCCAAGCATTTTAAGGAAATCTTGACATGTAAGACACATTTCTACAGTAGCAAAGCTAAAGCTTTTCCTGAAACAAAATGGCATTCTTTAGGGACTAAAAGTAGATACCAGATATAGCATTCCCCCACCATTGATCTGTACCATATCAGCTAAATTCTTTATCCTATGTTCCCTTTTAAGTTATTCGCTTGGCGAGTGTGGATCATTTGTGACATAATAAAAAGAACAGACCAACCCTCTTTTCCTTTGGGCATTTTATCATTTGTCATGTGGAATATGTAGGAAGCAAAATTCTATTGCCCTCTTTGGGATCCCCACCGAACACCTCCTCTGAGTAGAGAAGACTTCTCCTCTTTCACTTTTACCTCCACCCTAAATGGATATCATGTTGATCCCTTTAATTTTATTTCTACTTCTCTTTAGGTATTTGCCTTACTCTGAAACAGTTTTCTCACGGTGTGGCTCACAGGACAGCTGCATCAGCATTGATTGAGGACTTGCTAGGAATCCAAGTTGTCAGGCTCCATCCCAGACCTACTGAATCAGATATGGGAGTGGACTCAGCAGTATTTTTATAACAAGCCCTCCAGGGGATTCTGATGTACCTTAATTTGGGATGCCACTGCTCTGTACATTGGCCTGTGAATTTGTTTAATCAGGCAGCTAAACTGTAAGCACCTTGAAGGCGGGAATGTAACCCTTTAGTCCCACTACCCTTTACAAGCTACAAGTTAGGATTCCAAGACACAGCTACCCAGTTTCAGAGTTGGTGCTCTTGACTGCTGCTGCTCTTCTCTCTCGTTGGTGGCAAAGGTGACTTGAGAAACTGGTGTTGATGCCTCTGTGTATTCATTCTGTGTTTTCTCCAAGCTAGCTCTGCCTTGACTGTCTGGAAGAAGAGTATTCAGAGGTTTAGAAAAAAATGGCTGGCCAAAGCACAGGTCAGGAGAATCACTGAACCTGGAGGTTGGAAAGAAAACATAATTGTCACCAGCTTGACTTTCTCTTTTCCAACTTTCTGGTGGTATAAGTCTAGATAACTTTCATCCTCCTTTTTTTTTTTTTTTTTTTTTGAGACGGAGTCTCGCTCTGTCACCCAGGCTGGAGTGCAGTGGTGCCATCTCAGCTCACTGCAACCTCCGCCTCCCGGGTTCAAGCAATTCTCCTGCCTCAGCCTCCTGAGTAGCTGGGACTACAGGCACCCGCCACCACGCCCAGCTAATTTTTGTATTTTTAATAGAGATGGAGTGTCACCATGTTGAACAGGCTGGTCTTGAACTCCTGACCTTGTGATCCGCCCGCCTTGGCCTCCCAAATGTTGGGATTACAGGCGTGAGCCACCACGCCCGGCTTCATCTTCTTTTTTTAAGGCAAAGTAAGACTTAGTCCCTTCAGGAAATTTCCCTTTTCCCTGACACCAGGGTGATAGTTGGCATACTTTCATATTGGCCCTCTCTTTCTTGCTTCACCTGCAGCTAAGCACATTGTACTCTATTACCTGGAATGTTTTGTCTTTATAGATTCCATTAAGAGATAAAATATTTACTTTTAGAACTTTTAGAAAGTCTTGGGCTTACTCGTTAAAGACATGTATTTTCTCTTTTTTATGTTTTATGTTACTTTGAATGCTAAGTGTCACTGAAGTGATAATTGGTGAAGAAGTGGTCTTATGGGCTCAAATTTGCATTTATTAGGAGGCAAATTTGAGTTTAATACTTGAAATATAAAAGCATGCTTTTATGCTGTTATACATATTCCTGTATAGCTACATAAAACAGCTCTTGCTCTAAAAAGAGGGGAAGGGAGAAAAGAATAAATCATTAGTCTAATAATAAACCAAAAGGGCCTATTTATTTGAAACTTATTTAAAACTACTATAAATTATAAAGGAAAATATTCATTGAAAAGATCTGTATTAAATACACAGTGTCTTTGAGATTTAAAACAGCTTTTCACCTCTTTGATATGCTACACACAACTGAGTGACTTAAATGTTTGAACATCTATTGTCTTTTAATTATGTTCTAGTTTGTTTATTGTTGAAGACAATTTAAATAAATTGAAGTTCAACTGCTTTGAAGAATTTATGGAAAATCTAAACATATTTTTGGAAAATTCATCGTGCATGAGTGACAAGGGAGAATCCTAACTATATCAGTATGATTTCTTTCTCTTTTCCAGTATTGCCAAGCCCAACAAATTTATGAAGGGGTAGGTAAATAAATCCCTTCTATTTTAAATGCACTTTGGTTTGGTTTTTCATTAAGAAAATAAGTTCTCTAATATTCACAATACATGATATTTAGGTGCAGTCAGTTTTTCCTGTGTATTTATTTGAAAGCTCAAACTAGATTATTTAGCTATACAATACTTCATTCAGCTATTGGGCTGGAATTCATTTTCTTCTAAACATGAATGTTTATAGTCTTATGTATTCTCAGTCCTTCTGGACTAAGATGAAGTTTTGTGATAGAACTGGCCTTTTACCCTGTTATTAATAATCTGGTAGATTATTAACTGAGATAGAAGTTTAAAAACTTCGATCTACCAGAAACTTTATACCTGGGCTTCAGAATCTGTAAGACTGATACAATAACTGCTTTCCTTCAATTCTCAGAGAATTATTGTAAACACAAATCAGGTAATGATAACAAGAGGCTTTCAGTTTTAAAAAGTGTCAGTAGTATTAGCTTTAAAAATCAGTCATCCGAAAAAAGATTTTTTAGACTCTAGATCATCATAGGACTTTCTCACTGAAGCAGTACATCATGACTGCTATTTTTATAATTAACTTTGGGACTGGAGTCCTCCCAATGCTTAATGACCTTGAATTACAGTAGGAAGGTTGCAAAAGATTCAATGCTATTAAAAATAAACCACATTCAGTTTTTAAAATATGATATATGTAGAATACCATGCTAGAAATAACAAATTATGCTTTGACCTGAATGTTTCAAAACTTTCCTAGGAGCTCATACTCATACACGTCAACACTACCCATGACCGGAAAAATGACAACTGGCCTACCGAACTGGTCCTTCTGGCTTTTCACACTGCAGTGCTTGTTTGAAATACAGTTGACCCTTGAACACAACACATTTGAACTTGGAGGGTCCACTTATATGGATTTTTTCAATACAGTCAGCCCTCCATACATTCTGGGTCCTGCAACCGAAACCAAATGCGAATGGAAAATACAATACTCAGGTATTTTCTGCATCTGAAACCAAATGAGAATGGAAAATACAATATTCACAGGGTGTGAAACCTGCATTATACAGAAAACCGACTTTCTGGGTCTACGATTTGCAGGAGTTTAGTATGCATGGATTTTGATATTCTGGGGTTCTGGAACCAATCCCCTTCTGATACAGAGGAATGACTGCTGCTTCCGTCAGTTCTTTGCCTTTCTCACGCAATCTAAGAAGTCAACAAACTTCTTACTTTTTTTCTTTTAGCATCCCCTCATCTTCCCATATCATTTTCTTGGGAAATAGAAAAACAATCCCATCTTATTCCACTTCGCATTCAATTTCTGTTTCTTCTATTTCTCCATCTCCCTCTCATTTAAGCAGGTCATACTTAGTAACCATCTATTTAAGGACTTTACCCCTTCAGATTATATTTCAGAATCTTTATAATAAACTTGGGAAAATTTTCACTGCATCGTATGCTTCCTTTTGTGGAATTATGCATATGAAGAAATCCATCATGACAAATTACAGAAGTCAGTGATAAAAATGTCCACGTACTTTTATCAGCATCACAAAGCACCTTGCATTTTCCTCATGTAGATAATAGCATGTTTAAAGTAGTCCTCTCTTATTTGTGGTTTCACTTTCCATAGTTTCAGCTACCTGCAGTCAACCATGGTCTGAAAATTTTAAATGGAAAATTCCAGAAGTGAACAATTTATAAGTTTAAAGTTTTTGCCATTCTGAGCAGTGTGATGAAATCTCACAACAGCCCCCTCCATCCTGCCTAAGACATGAAACCTCCCTTTGTCCATCGGATCCACGCTGCAGACACTGCCCGTCCATCAGTCAGTTTGTAGCCAGCTTGGTTATCAGATTGCCTGTCAGCATCTCAGTGCTTGTATTCAAGTCACCCTTATTTTACTTAATAATGGCCCCAAAGGACAAGAGGAGTAATGCTGGCCATTTGGATATGCCAAAGAAGCTGTCAAGTGTCTCCTTTAAGTGAAAAGGTGAAAGCTTTTGACTTAAAAAGGACAGCAAAAGAAAATCATATGCTGACGTTGCTAAGATCCATGGTAAAAATGAATCTTCCATCTGAGAAATTGTGAAAAAGGAAAAAGAAGCTCCTGCTAGTTTTCCTGTCACACCTCAAACATTATCATAGGTATAGATGTCTAGGAAAAAAACATAGCAATAGATAGGATTTGGTACTGTCTGTGGTTTCAGGCATCCACCAGGGGTCTTGGAACATATACCCTGAGTATAAGTCAGGGACTACTATATTAAAAATTGAATGACTAAAGAATAGCTTAATGCATAGAGATTTGGAGGCCACAGCAGTAATAAATTCATGTGAGAGTCAGATGACCATCTAGCGCTATGACATTATTTTTTTCTTCTGTATTTGAAACTTTGGTCTACCAAGAAATGTTTGTCCCTCGTCCTTGTGCTATGGAAAATGGATTGACACGAAAGGAAGGAGGAGGAAATTTAAGGTTGGGAAACTAGAGGACACAACCAACAGTGATACCTTTATCCAAGCAGTAGTGTGAGAACAATAACACAGTTTTGCTGTAAATTTCTGTTGCAAGAAGAATATGTGTGAACGATTGGTCTTCTTTTACATTTAGGATCTTGTTTCTAGCCTGTGGTCGCAGGCATAACCTGGCTTTAAATTATGCTCTGCTTTGCAGTTACTCTCTCAGTTCAGTGTTTAAAAAGTCTTTGCTTATTCGTGATGGCTTGCTCTCACTTTTGTTTCACCCCACAGACAAGAAACTCCAATTCTAATGAACAAAACCATGGTTTTAGAACCTGAGCTCTGTTGCAACTTGACAAGAGGAGAATTTTCTGAATTTCCTCTAGAGTTGGAATAAATGACAGTGGAATTTTATGAGTTTACTAGATTTCAGAAATGTGATAAGAGCAAAAAAAAATTGGTCAGCTGCCATGAATTTATATTGTCTAGTCTTATCTTAGATCAGCATCATATTTCATTTGTTCTACTACCATTTATTATACTGCTATTAAAACATTTTTATGGCCAGCGCGGTGGTTCACACTTGTAATCCCAGCACTTTGGGAGGCCAAGGCAGGCAGATCACCTGAGGTCAGGACTTTGAGACCAGCCTGACCAAAAATTAGCCAGGCATGGTGGTGTATGCCTGTATTCCCACCTACTCAGAAGGTTGAGGCAGGAGAATCGCTTGAACCTGGGAGGCAGAGGTTGCACCATTGCACTCTGTTCCAGCCTGGGCAAAAAAAGCGAAACTCAGTCTCAAAAAAAAAAAAAAAAAAAAAAAAAAAAAGTGACATAAATTTCATGGTGAAAAAAAGATGCATTGTCTTCTAAACTGGGCTCAAAAAGGTGACACACACTGGAAGTACTAATAGTTGCTGGTCTTTCATGCTTTTAACTTGTGGATGATGATTTTGCAATATTTGGTCTTTTAAAATCTAACACGTGTCAAGTCATTTTGGCTATTTTCAATATTATTGCCAAGAATATAAAACTAATAATCATCCTTAGAAATGATCTTGCCCAGCAGTCTCTTCTTATTTCCCAGGGAAACGTCCTTTTGAAACACAGTCTTCCTTGGTATCCAATACCTTACATATATTTGTAAAAGTAATGTTTGAGTAGTGTTAAGTTTTATAATTTAAATTTTTAAAACATAATTATTTATTATTAGTCATTTTACTATTATTATACATTTTAGAGGCATGGTCTTGCTCTGTCTCCCAGGCTGGAGTGCAGTAGCCCAATCATAGCTCACCACAGCTTCAAACTCCTGGGCTCAAACAATGCCCCTGCCTCAGCCTCCTGAGTAGCTGGGACTACAGGCACATGCCACCATGCCCGGCTAATTAAAAAGAATTTTTTTCTAGAAATGCGGTCTCATTATGTTGTTCAGGCTGGTCTTGAACTCCTGGCCTCAAGCAATCCTCCCACCTTGGCCTCCCAAAGCACTGGGATTACAGGTGTGACCCACTATGCCCTACCCTATAATTTAAACTTCTTATAGGGTTCATTTAATGAAACAAATAAAACAATTTTGAACAACAAATTAATTTAGTTTAAAAGGGCTTTGGACTTCTCTCTATATTTGTGAAATATTTCAAAACCCTGAATTACATAGATAAGTAGCTGCAAATGGTAATAGTTTATATTGGTTTATTTTACAAGTTTCACTCTGATCTTTAGACTTTAGTTTTACAGAGATAGCAGGAATAGCTTTATTTCTAGGACCACAGGAAAGTTAATTTAGCAGCATAAGTTAATAAATTAAGTCCCTCATTGTCTTAAAATTTGGTATGTAAAACTATTGAACTTGAGTCTTTTTTTTTTTTTTTTTTTTTTTTTAGATTCAGGGAGTATATGTGCAGGTTTGTTACATGGGTATATTGTGTAATGGTGAGCTTTGGGCTTGTAGTGTACCCATCACCTAAACAATGAACATTGTACCCAATAGATAATTTTTTTTCTTTTTTCTGAGATGGAGTTTCGCTCTTGTTGCCCAGACTGGAGTACAATAGCATGATCTTGGGCTCACTGCAGTCTGCCTCCCAAGTTCAAGCAATTCTCCTGCCTCAGCCTTCCAAGTAGCTGGGGTTACAGGTACCCACCACTATACCCGGCTAATTTTTGTATTTTTAGTAGAGACGGGGGTTTTTCTGTGTTGGCCAGGCTGGTCTCTAACTCCTGACCCCAGGTGATCCGCCTGCCTCGGCCTCCCATAGTGCTTGGATTACAGGCGTGAGCTACTGGCGCGGGCCCCCAGTAGGTAATTTTTAACCCTCACCCTCCTTCCATCCTCCCTCCCTTTGGAGTCCCCAGTGTCTATTTATTTCCATCTGTGTGTCCATGTGTACCAATTGTTTGGTTCCCACTAATAAGGTGAGAACATGCACTATTTGATTTTCTGTTTCTGAGTTATTTCACTCAGGATAATGGCCTCCAACTCTGTCCAGGTTGCTGCAAATTATATGATTTAATTCTTTTTTTATGGCTGCATAGTATTCCATGGTGTGTATCTACCACATTTTCTTTATTCAGTCAACTGTTGATGGATACTTAGGTTGATTCCATAGCTCTGCTGTTGTGAATAGTGCTGTGATAAACATATGAGTGCAGGTATCTTTTTTCTATAATGATGTCTTTTCCTTTGGATAGATGCTCAGTAGTGGGATTGCTGGGTTGAATGGTCATTCTATTTTTAGTTCTTTGAGAAATCTCCATACTGTTTTCCATAGAAGTTGTACTAATATACATTCCCACCAATGGTGTGTAAATGTTTCCTTTTGTCTACATCCATGCCAACATCTGTTGCTTTTGACTTTTGTTTTGTTTTGTTTTTTGAGACAGAGTCTCACTCTGTTGCCCAGGCTGGAGTGCAGTGGTGTAATCTCAGCTCACTGCAACCTCTGCCTCCCAGGTTCAAGCAATTCTCCTGCCTCAGCCTATGGAGTAGCTGGGATTACAGGCGTGTGACACCATGCCTGGCTTTTTTTTGTTTTTGTTTTTGTTTTGCATTTTTAGTAGAGACGGGGTTTTGCCATGTTGCCCAGGCTGGTCTCAAACTCCTAGCGCCAAGTGATCCACCGGCCTCAACCTCCCAAAGTGCTGGGATTACAGGTGTGAGCCACCATGCCCGGCCTTGCTTTTTAATTGTAGCCATTCTTGAGTGTTATTTTTTAATCTTAGCTTTAAGGTGGCTATTTAAAGAAAATCTAATCCAGTATTTACAGAATCCCTGAACTCTGCAGAAAATACCATTTGAAAACTACTAATCAGACCGGGTTCAGTGGCTCACGGCTATAATCCCAGTACTTTGGGAGGCCAAGGTGGAAGGATCGCTTGAGTCCAGGAGTTTAAGACCAGCCTAGGTAACATAGTGAGTCCCTGTATCTAAAAAATAAAAAAAATAAAATAATGCCAGGTGTGATGGCATGTACCTATAGTTCCAGCTACTCAGGAAGCTGAGGTGGCAGGATCACTTGAGCCTAGGAGATTGAGGCTGAAGTGAGCCGTGATCATCATGCTACTGCACTCCAGCCTGCGTGACAGAGTAAGACCCTGTCTCAAAAAAAAAAAGAAGAAAACTACTAATCATGTTTTATATAACATTATCTCTGTAGAGTGAGAATAAAACTTCTTTTTTTTTTTTTTTTGAGACCGAGTTTCACTCTTGTTGCCCAGGCTGGAGTGTAGTGGTGCGATCTCGGCTCACCGCAACTTCTGCCTCCCGGGTTCAAGCGATTCTCCTGCCTCAACCTTCCCGAGTAGCTGGGATTACAGGCATGCGCCACCACACCTGGCTAATTTTGTATTTTTAGTAGAGACAGGGTTTCTCTATGTTGGTCAGGCTGGTCTTGAATTCCCGACCTCAGATGATCCTCCTGCCTTGGCCTCCCAAAGTACTGGGATTAAAGGCATGAGCCACCGCGCCCAGCCTGAGAATATAGTTTCTAATCATACTCTTTATTTCAGGAAAATTGTCAAATGGAGAAAATGTGAAAATATTTCTTATAAAGAGTTAGATTAATATGAGTAAATTCTCATTAAAAATATGTTGTGTTCTGGAATTTTCAGAAATTTTCTTTAAATATCCATTTTAATCAATATTACAAGTAGTTGCCAGCCCAGACCACAACATTTTTGACCTATAAGTAACTGAAGTAGTATTAGTTAGCTATTTTATGATTAACATATGCATTTTTTCATTAGTTTGCCATTCTAACAGATCCTCATTTTTGTCTGATTTGCAGTTCTGAATTGTAAACGTTGTCCTTCCACTCCCTCTGTGAGGTAGCAAAGGAGAATCAGGACTTTTTTTTTTATCCCCTGGCTTATTTAAAATTGGTCTAATATTTTTAGCCCTCCACTGAAGTGACTGCCGTCTCCTCTTTGAGGAAGAATCATGGATCCTGATGTCAGAAAGGAACTCTGAAGATGCCCTAGTTTAGTTCTGTGCCTGTAGGTGCATGGTTTTTATAAAGCTATGCAAAGAGAAAACTTTTCCAAAACCACACACGTTTTGTGCTCCTTTAGAAAGCTGGATAGTTAAAGGAACCCTGTGGCAAATCCTTTTTTGAGGCAAATGCCCCTTTGTGCATCTTGGTGCTTTAAAGAGCCATTGGAAGTTTTCTTACAGCACCGGCCCCCACCCATGAGAGCCGCCAGCACAGTGCTTTCCCCTAGAAGGGGATCCTCCTTTCCACACAGCCAGTGGCCCCAGTACCCCGAGATCCATGGCACCATAGTGGTGCCACGCATTCCTCTGTGGACTGGCAGATGTCTCAGGCTGGCACCTGCCTTCCTATTAAATTCCACACAGCATTTACAGGCTGTTTGACATCAAAATTAAATTGAGAAAATTAATATAAAATGAGAGCATTATAATCCATGATCTCATGTGTCACTTCCAGCTAATGAGTCTAGGAAACAAGCATAGCATTAGCATCACTTTTTTTTTTTATGTGGAATAATATCATCACATAATCTGGTAACTAAGGCCCTGGATTAATATTCCGAGTCCACTGCTCACTTGCATAACATTATTGAGCAAATAATATAATTACCCTAAACTTCAATGTCCTGTGAGTAAAGTAGAATTAATGATGGTGTCTACCTCACAGGATGGTTGTGATCTCTGAATACAATCTTATCAAGTATTAATATTAATTAATATTTAATTGATATATGGTATGTAGTGTGTAGTAGGTACTTTAATAATTCTTAGCTGTTTTTATCATTATTTTAAAATCCTATTAATGCCTAGAAAAATATAACTTTAAAAAGTAAAAAAGAGGAGTAAACGTAAAGTAAGTAAAGAGGAGTACAGCTTTTTAATGGCCTCCTTCCCCTCCCTGCGTGCCCCTCTGCAGAATGCGATAAGTTGCGGCATGATGGCTACCGCAGTTCTCAGTACTACTCTCAGGGACCCACCTTTGCGGCCAACGCCAGCCCATTCTGTGATGATTACCAAGATGAAGATGAAGAAACAGATCAAAAGGTAAGCTTCAAAGTTCAACACGGGGTCCTGGGTTGGGTCCCAGAACAGAGAAAGGATATATGTGGACAAACTGGTAAAATCAAAATTGAGCCTGTATTTTAATCAATAGTATTGTCTCAAGTGAATTTCTTGGTTTTGACAAATGCGCCATAATTATGTAAGAGTAACATAAATGGAAACTGGGTAAAGGGTACACAGGAAACTTGCAATACTCTTTGCAGCTTTTCAGAAAATATAAAACTATCCTAATTTTTTAAAAGGTAAGATTATAATCTAAGGAATTCATAAAGGAGACGTAAAATCAGTGTATTTGTGCATCTCAAATATTCTTTTTTGGTTAGAAAAATAAAGGGCTTATTTCTTTTGTTTGAGTTTTCATATGACCAAGGACTCAGTTGTATGACAAAGAAGAACTCTGATCATAATAGCAGAACCCACTGTTTACAGTGCTCAGTGTTATTAATAGAGACAGAATAGAAGAAGTGCATTTACTTAATATTATTGCACTAGCCAATTCATTTAGTGATGCTATTTTACATTTGGGTTCCTTTTCCTCTGCCATCTCTGGTGATATGCACAAACCACTTAAGATAAGTAATTTTCTCAATACTAAATACACATGAAAGAGTAAAAATATATGAAGATTTTCATTTATGTAGTTTTATTTTCATTTACTAAGTAATGTGGATTGACACTGGAATTACTTAAAATAAGATTTGATGAATAGTGTTTTGTTTCACAACCATTTTTAATTAATTAAAAACTTTCAATGGAATTAGGCCAATTTATAAATGCCTTATTGATTGGAGAACATTATTCAAAATTTATTGTCCTTTTCCTCAAATAGGTAACTTCAGAGAATAAAATAATAGTTGATCAAAAAATGGGAAATTAAGCCAGGCATTGTGGCATGCATCTGTTGTATCAACTACTTGGAAGGATGAGACAGGAGGATCCCTTGAGCCCAGGAATTTGAGTTGTGGTCACTCCATTGTACTCCAACCTGGGCAATAAAACAAGACCCTGCCTCAAAAAGCAAAAGGGAAATTACTACCTTAAATTTTTGATCTTCAAATGATCTTCACCCAGATTGTTTTTTAGATTCTTTTTTTTTTTTTTTTTGGTGAGATCTTGCTTGCTCTGTCGCCCAGGCTGGAGTGCAGTGATGCAATCTTGGCTCACTGCAAACTCCATCTCCCAGGTTCAAGCAATTCTCGTACCTCAGCCTCCCAAGTAGCTGGAATTACAGGCACACGCCACCACGCTTGGCAGATTTTTGTATTTTCAGTAGATACGGGGTTTCACCATATTGGCTGGGCTGGTGGTCTTGAATTCCTGACCTCAAGTGATCTGCCCACCTCAGCCTCCCAAAGTGCTGGGATTACAGGCATGAGTCACCGCGCCTGGTCTACATTTTGTAATTAATATTTTAAATTGATAAGTCATAATTATATACATTTATGGAGCACAGTGTGATGATTTGATACAATATGGAATGATTAAATCAGACTAACGTATCTGTCACTGTGCTTACCTTTTTTTTTACGGCAAGACATTTGAAATTTACACTCTTAGTTATTTTGAAATATACAATTTATTATTAGAGATTGTAGTCATCCTGCTGTGCAATAGATCTAAAAACTTATTCCTCCTGTCTGAAATGTTGTCCCCTTTGGTCAACAACTTCCTATTCCTTACCTCCCCACCCAGATTTTTATCACAGAATGTTTTTCCTATTTCTTGAAAGGTATTTTCACATATTGGATTACTCCTTTGAGCCTTTAAAATATACAAAGACGGTATCTTACTATAATGAGTAAAGCAGCCATTTCAAAATTAATCTGAACCTTAATTTTGAAAATTTTTATTTTTCTCTTGTTGGCATGAGTGGAAAATGAAAACCAGAAGGTGAATTACAGAGTAGGACTTCTGTTTATTCAGATACACTTTAGCCTTATACTGATGCTCAGAGAAGGAAGAGAAGTTTATAGTGGGGCCCAGTGAGACAGATGGTTTCTGGGTGTGTAGAGACCACTAGCAAATTGGCATTGTCATGACAGCATCCTAAGATTTTTCTGGAGAATGGAAAAATAATTTCTAAATTCTCACATAGCTCTTTGCTTACCATGACACTCAACTCTGAGGGAAGTTAGCCTCTGCATTAGTTTCTACTCCTCTGTACCATTGCCACGGACCCCGATGGCCAAGCAGCCCTCTCCCAGATGTGTGTGAGAGGGTCGACAAATCACCCCCTAGAAAACAGGCTCCTATCCTGCTGAAAATGAGTGCGAAGAAAATGGTCGTGTATAAGGGAATATATATAAAAGTCATCCTTTATATGATGTGATATGTCATGACATCCCAGTAAACACAAATGTTTCCGTAATAATTACCTTAGTGTGATTTGCTGGCACTGGCATCACTAGACCAGGAATGAGAAGTTGACTGTGGGACCCTTGACAGGTCTCCTTGGGACCCACAGCGTCCTTCTTTTTGTGAAAGGGAGGAGGTAGACAGTGGGGAGGACCTGCCTGGTGTTTGTGGGAGGAGAGCTATTTTCTGGGGTCCCTCCCAACCCTCTCCAAGTTACAGTGTCTGCCCTCATGGCTTTCCTATATTTGGTCTCTTACAAAAGCACCAGCCACTTTCAAATCTTAACTTTCTTTGCTGCTATAAAATTTTTGTTACTTTTGTGATTTTTAAAAATCCAGGTTTGATTGGGCGTGGTGGCTCACACCTGTAATCCCAGCACTTTGGGAGGCCACGGTGGCCAGATCACTTGAACTCAGGAATTCAAGACCAGCCTGGGCAATGTAGCAAGACCTTGTCTCTACAGAAAATAGAACAAAAACTAGCTGGGTGTGGTAGCGCACCTGTAGTGCCACCTACTCGGGAGGCTAAGGTGGGAGGATTGCTTAAGCCCGGGAAGTCAAGGCTACAGTGAGACGTGTTTGCACCACTGCACTCCAGCCTGGGCAACTGGGTGAGACCCTTTCTCAAAAAATAAAAATAAAAATTCAGGTTAATCTTGTTCTCGGGTAAAAGTATTTTGAAATCCTTGGAATATATCATTAGAGATATTTATGGGGAACTTGTATTTTTCCTTTTCTTAAATAAGTAGAACCAAGTTGAAGTATATTAGAAAAATGTTAAATCATTAGATCTGAATGTCATCTCAAGGCAATCTCTGTTAAGAAATTGGTTTCAGAATAAAATAAATATCAAATTATTTTATCAAATATATATTAATTAGACATTATTATATACTAATTAAATATCAGCTAACAAATTATACTATCATAATAGCTAACTGCCTTCTTCCCCTTCCTGCCTCCCCCACTCCCTTCTTTCCTTAACATTCTTCTCTTTGAGCTACCTCATTCAGTGTTGTATTAACCATTTCTTGATTCTGTGGAGCATCAAAAAAGCCACTTGCCACCCACTATAACGTAGCCAATTCGATGACCTTAGGGCATGTTTTCCATCCTTTTGCTTATTCCTCATGATTCGATTAATTGCAGCACTCTGTTTTTTGTGTTTTTGTTGTTGTTGTTGTTTTGTTTTTTGTTTTTGAGACAGGATCTCACTCTGTTGAGTCTGTTGCCCAGGCTGGAGTGCAGTGGCGCAGTCACGGTTCACTGTAGCCTCAACCTCCTGGGTTCAAGTGATCCTCCTGCCTCAGCCTCCCGAGTAGCTGAGATTACAGGTACACATCACCACGCCCAGCTGATTCTTGTATTTTTTTGTAGAGATGGGGTGTTGCCATGTTGCCCAGGCTGGTCTGGAACTCCTGGGCTCAAGCAGTCTGCCTGCTTTGGCCTCCCAAAGTTCTAGGCTTACAGGCGTGAGTCATCGCGCTCAGCCTTGTTCTTCTTAACTATATAAAGTTAACAAGTCTTAGTGCTGCTGTCAGTGACAAAGATCCTGAAATTGGTGTGGAAATTAAACGCATAAGCCTTATGTTTTCTCTACCGCTTCCTGCAGGTCCCTCTACGTAACTCATGTGCGAATGTCTTCAGGTTGAAGTGAGGGTTTCATTTGTGTGCATCCGCATAGTACGTGATTGGCTGCTTAGTTGGCTTATTTATTCAACAGTAATTCTTTGAGTTATTGCTACTAAGTAAATATTTGCCCTGAGTCCAAATCTTTATTAATCTTCATGGCCCTTCCTGCCATTCACTAGGTCACTGTGATGCACGGATGCATCCAAGCTGTACAGCCAGCAGTGGTGGTCATTTAGGACCCAGAAACACTCCTCACCCCTCTGTAATGTGTTCTGAAAAAGAGCTCCTTCAAGCACAAAATTATAATTCCTTTGCAAAATAAGGACTTATTGATCACCTTCTATGTGCCAGAGACTATTCTAGGTGTTGGAGATGTAACAGTAAAGCAAATGCAAGAAATCTCTGTCTTTGATGGAGCTTTGATTTCACGGGGAGGCACTAAGAGCAAATACAGTCATGCATTGTGTAATGACAGGGATACATGCTGAGAAATGCATTGTTAGGTGATTGGTCATTGTACAAATATCATAGGGTATACTTACACAAACCTAGACGGTACAGCCTACTACACACCTAGGCTAGATGGGATAGCCCAGTGGCCCCCAGCTTTTTTGTCACCAAGGACCAGTTTCATGGAAGACTATTTTTTCATGGACCAGACTGGGGTGGGTGGGGCAGTTTTGGGATGAAACTGTTCCATGTCAGATCATCAGACATTAGTTAGAGTCTCATAAGGAGCGCACAACCTAGATCCCTCACATGCACAGTTCACAATAGGGTTTGCGCTCCTATGAGAATCTAATGCTGCCGCTGATCTGACAGGAGGCGGAGCTCAGGCAGTAATGCTTGCTTGACTGCCGCTCACCTCCTGCTGTTCAGCCCAGTTCCTAACAGGCCACAGATGGGTACAAGTGCACGGCCTTGGGGCTGGGGACCCCCGGTATATAGCCTGTTGCTCCTAGGCTACAGCATGTTATTATACTGAATACTCTAGATAATTGTAACATAATGGTGAGCATTTGTGTATCTGAACCTAGGAAAGGCACAATAAAAATGCAGCAGAAATGATGAAAAATGGTACACCTCAATAGGGCACTTACCATGAATGGAGCTTGCAGGACTGGAAGTTGCTCTGGGTGAGTCAGTGAGTGTGGTGAGTGAATGTGAAGGCCTAGGGCATTATTGTACACTATTGCAGGCTTTATAAATACTGCACACTTAGGCTGCACCACATTTACAAAGAAAAATTTTTCTAGCCAGTTTCAGTGGCTCACACCTGTAATCCCAGCACTCTGAGAGGCCAAGGTGGGAGGATTGCATGAGTCCAGGAATTCAAGACTAGCCTGGGCAACAAACTGAGAACCCATCTCTACAAAAAAGAAATATGTTTCTTTCTTCAATAGTAAATTAGCCTTAGCTTATTGTAACTTTTTTACTTTGTAAGCTTTTAAATTTTTTAAACTTTTTGACTGTTTTGTAATAACACAGCTTAAAACATAAATACATTGTATAGCTGTACAAAGATATTTTCTTTATATCCTTATTATGTAACCATTTTTCTATTTAAAATGTTTTCCTTTTTAAACTTTTTTATTAAACACTAAGACACAAGCACACATATTAGCCTTGGCCTACACAGGATACAGGGTCAGCAGCATCAATATCACTGTCTTCCCCTCCACATCTTGTCCTACTGGAAGTTCCTCGGGGCAATAACACCCATGAAGCTGTTATCTCCTATGATAACAATACCCACTTCTGGAATATTTTCTGAAGGACCGGCCTGAGGCTGTTTTACAGTTAAGTTTTTTTCATAAGTAGGAATACCTTCTAAAATAACAAAAAATACTGGCCGGGCGTGGTGGCTTACGCCTGTAATCCCAGCACTTTGGGAGGCCGAGGCGGGCGGATCATGAGGTCAGGAGATCGAGACCATCCTGGCTAACACGGCAAAACCCCGTCTCTACTAAAAATACAAAAAATTAGCCAGGCGAGGTGGCGGGCACCTGCGGTCCCAGCTACTCGGGAGGCTGAGGCAGGAGAATGGCGTGAACCCGGGGGGCGGAGCCGGCAGTGAGCCGAGATCGCGCCACTGCACTCCAGCCTGGGCGACAGCGAGATTCCGTCTCAAAAAAATATATATATATAAAATAAAATAAAATAACAAAAAATATAGTATGGTAAATACATAAACCAGTAGCATAGTCACTTGTTATCATTATCAAGTATGATGTATTATGCATAATTGTGTCATATTTTGTTTTTTTGTTGGTTTTGAGATGGAGTTTCACTCTTGTCACGCAGGCTGGAGTGCAGTGGCACGATCTCAGCTCACTGCAACCACTGCCTCCTGGGTTCCAGCAATACTTAGTAGATTTTTAGTAGAGACGGGGTTTCACCATGTTGTCCAGGCTGGTCTCAAACTCCTGATCTCAGGTGATCCACCCGCCTTAGCCTCCCAAAGTGCTGAGATTACAGGTGTGAGCCACTGAGCCGGGCCTCATATTTTTATATGTGTCATATTTTTATATGACTCTCAGGGCAGTGGGTTTGTTTACACCAGCATCACCACAAGCAAGAGTAATGCGTTGTGCTGTGTTATGATGGCTGCAACATCACTAGGCAATAGAAATTTCTCAGCTCCGTTATGATCTTATGGGACCACCATCATATATGCGGCCTGTTGTTGACTGAAATGTCATTATGCTGCACATGACTGTAAGTAATTTTGCTCTGTTAGAAAGTGGCATATGCTCGAGTAAAATAAACTGGAGGGACGGTTGCAATGTTAAATGAAAAGGATAGGCCTTACTCAGCATAGAGGTGATTGGGATTGAAAGAATGAGCATTTCTGGAAGAACATTTTAGAAACAGAAAAATCATTCATTTCTGGAAGAATGTTTTAGAAACAGAAAGCAGCCAGTGCAATAAATGTTTCTTAAGAGTGTATGTGGGGCCAGTGGCCAGGCGTGGTGGCTCACGCCTGTAATCCCAGCACTTCGGGAGGCTGAGGCGGGTGGATCACAAGGTCAGGAGATTGAGATCATCCTGGCTAACATGGTGAAACCCTGTCTGTACTAAAAATACAAAAAAAATTGGCTGGGCATGGTGGCGGGTGCCTGTAGTCCCAGCTATTCGGGAGACTGAGGCAGGAGGATGGCGTGAACCCGGGAGGCGGAGCTTGCAGTGAGCTGAGATCGCACCACTGCACTCCAGCCTGGGCAACTAAGCAAGACTCTGTTCCCCCCTGCCCCCCCCCCAAAAAGGAGTGTATGTGGGGCCAGGCGCAGTGGCACACGCCTGTAATCCCAGCACTTTGGAAGTCCGAGGTGGGTGTATCACCTAAGGTCAGGAGTTTGAGACCAGCCTGGACAACATGGTAAAACCCCGTCTCTACTAAAAATACAAAAATTAGCTGGGCATGGTGGCAGGCACCTGTAATCCCAGCTACTCGGGAGGCTGAGGCAGGAGAATTGCTTGAACCCAGGAGGCAGAGGTTGCAGTGAGCCAAGATCATGCCCCTGCACTCCAGCCTAGGCGACAGAGCTAGACTCTGTCTCAAAAAAAAAAAAAAAAAGAAAAGAAAAAAAAGTGTAGGAGATATATCAGATGCTGCAAAATGCAAAGATTAATAAGATATCTCTACATGCCTTAAGGATTTTATAGCTCTCCAGGGTAGGGAGAACTAAGTAGAATAAAAAGCATTATATATAACCTGCTGTTATAAGTGTTTGGCATACAGTACTAGGTGAAAAAGAAATTCTTCTGACTTGGATAGTCAGGAAATGGGGGAGGGATCCAGAGAGGGTAAAGTATGTAAGAAGAATAGTTGTGGGGCTGTTGCAACAGGCAAAACGGCACTGAGGACTGAGACCAAAAGTGTAGTTGTGTGAATGATGAGGAAGGGAGTTAGTTAGGAGATGGTGGCATTCAGAGTTAGGAGATCAGTTTCAAGTTTAATTCTGCCACTTGCTGTGTTTCTTTGGATGCATCACACCCCTTTAAGGCATTAATTTCCTTATGTAGAAAGTGGGGAGTGGAGTAAGATTGTTCCCTGTGAGCTTGCAGGACTGGAAGTTGTTCTGGGTGAGTCAGTGAGTGTGGTGAATGAATGTGAAGGCCTAGGGTATGAAGTTGTTCTGGGTGACTCAGTGAGTGTGGTGAGTGAATGTGAAGGCCTAGGGTATTATTGTACTCTGTGAGCTTTTTGAACAAGCAGTTTATTCATTCTTTTTTTTTTTTTTTTTGAAGGCATACATATTGCTTTATGTAAAACATACAGTGAAGAGAGCCAGGCAAGGTGGCTCATGCCTGTAATCCCAGCACTTTGGGAGGCTGAGGTGGGTGGATCACCTGAGGCCAGGAGTTTGAGACCAACCTGGACAACATGGTGAAACCCTGTCTCTACTAAAAATACAAAAATTAGCGAGGCGTGGTGGCACGCACCTGTAATCTCAGCTACTAGAGAGGCTGAGGCAGGAGAATCACTTGAACCTGCGAGGCAGAGGTTGCAGTGAGCCGAGATCATGCCACTGCACTCCAGCCTGGGTGACAGAGCCAGACTCTGTCTCAAAAAAAAAAAAAAAGAAAAGAAAAAAAAAAGTGAAGAGAAAATATCTAGCTATTTGAACGTAATTATTCCAAACAGCGAAAACACACAATTAAAACAAGTGAAGGAAAGCTACTATAAAATAACAGATTAGATACTTTTTAAGGATCACTTATAGTAAATCTAGAAATGGAAAAAAAAAATCACAGAGACAGAATTTGTTTAGCGCTAAGTGCAAATGCTGCTGAGATGTTAGTGGACTGAGGCTCAGAATTTAAGCACTGCAGCTGTTCTCCAGCGGCCTAGGGCTGCTGTCTTCTGCAGCGCTCCCATCCTCGGCCTTCCTGCCCTGACCTGTCTTCAGAAGTGCCTGGCGAAGGCAGCGATGGCGACCACCTGCAAGATGGCCTCCAGGCCGTGGAGCTCCAGGAGTGTGGCGCTGAGGGCCCAGTCCGCCCACGACACCAGGGTCTGCCAAAGCAGGAAGTGGGCAGAGAGGAGGACGGTGCCGGCCGTGATGGCCAAGCTGGCGGCCAGCAGCCTCTCAGCCTCTGTCAGGCTGCCCCTGGTGCCCAGGTATAACTGTACTGCTTCCCATCAGAAACAACGGAGTGAGATCGAGGACCAGATAGCGGTGAGGATAGCTGAACACCTGACCTCGTGCGCGGCCACCATCTTGCTCACCCCCTCATTCATTTACTGAGTAAATATTTATTCAGTCTTGCCAATATGCCAAGCATTGTTCTAAGTCCTGAGAAGCCATCAAGTGAACCAAAGCCACTTCTGTTGAAGGAAAGATCATGGTGAACAAACAAGCATCATACAACACCAGGTGGTGATACGTGTTATGAAGGTAAATAAAACAATGGTAAGGGGAGTTCTAGAGCAACAGGACTGCCATTTTAGATTGAGTGTCCAAGAAGGACTCTGAGAGTCATCATTAGAGCAGACTACCGAGTGACATATAAGAACGTCACACAAGTGGGAGTTGAGCAGTGAGAACACATGGACACAGGGAGGGGAACATCACACACCGGGGCCTGTCAGCGGGGTGGGGACAAAGGGGAGGGAGAGCATTAGGGCAAATACCTAATGCATGTGGGGCTTAAAACCTAGACGACGGGTTGATAGGTGCAGCAAACCACCATGGCACATGTATACCTATGTAACAAACCTGCACGTTCAGCTCATGTATCCCAGAACTTAAAGTAAAATAAAAAATAAAACTTTAAAAAAAAAAAAAAAAAAGAACATCGCACATGGGAAGGCCTGGAAACCTTATTTTAGTTATCCTGCGAGAAGAATAGCCACACACCAGAGCAAGTGGGCACTGAGCAAGGGGAAGAGTGGCGATAATGACTTTGGAGGAAATAACCAAGGACCAGATCACATAGGACCTAATTAGCCATAGTAAAGATTTTGGATTAGTTGCTCCTGGGTGAGATGGGGAGTCACTGGAGGAGTTGAGCAGGGAAGTAACATGATCTGATTGATTATTTAACGGGATTGGTCTGTAGGAAAATTAGACCATAGAGAGTGGAAGACAGAAGCACAGAGACAAGACAATAGGCCCTTGCAATAATCCAGGCAAGTGATAGCCAAGGGTGGCTGGGACCAGAGTGGCAGTGGTGGTGTTTCTAGGTTTATTTGGAAAGTGAATCCTGCAGGATTCGCTTAAGTTATGAGACAAAGAAGAGTTGAGGATAACTCCATCTGCTATTTTTCTAGCTTGGTCTCTCTAGAATCTCATTACAAAAATTATTTCACCCCCTGAGAAATTCTCACCCATTAACCCTGCCCTCTTCATCTACACACTCATCCTTCCTTGGCTTATATTACATGGCCTGCCATTGCACTCACTTCTTTGCCCACATTTTCAACTCTGCTGGCTCCTTTCTTCTTCTGCCACTTTCCTGGCAAAGAACCCAACTCCAGTTTGATCCACCTTTTCCCTGCTTTGCACTAAAGCCTGATTGGTTAGTTAAATGAGGCTAGAGAAGAACGCCAAGGTATATTTCACTGTAAATGTATGACCTCAAGCCTCAAGTGCTGCCTAGCAGTCCTACTATATTAACTCATCAGTTCATTCTTCCACTCTCCCAAGTAATATTTCACACCTTCTCAAATCTCCAAACACAACTTCTTCTGCTTCACTTGCAGATCCTGCCTGCTGTGGTTTGGATATGGATGGAGTTTGTCCCCACCAAAACTCACATTGAAATGTGATCCCACTGTGGTAGTGTTGGAAGTTGGGGCCTAGTAGGAAGTGTCTGGGCTGTGGAGGAACATCCCTCATGAATAGCTTGGTGATGTTCTCTGGCTTGGTAGTGAGTTTCTGCCCTCTCTCTCTTGATGGGATTGGTTCTTGTGGGAATAGATTAGTTCCAGTGAGAGTCAGTTGTTATAAAGCCAGGAGCCCCTCAGATCCTCCCCTCATTGCATATGCCTGCTTCCCTTTTGATCATCTCCACCATGTTTTGACACAGCATAAGAGCCATTGCCAGAAGCCAGGGCCATGCCCTTGAACTTCCCAACCTGTGAAACCATAAGCTAAATAAACCTCTACTCTTTATAAACTACCTAGTCTCAGATATTCTTTTATAGCAACAGAAAACAGACTCAGACTCTTCCCTTGGTATTTGCTGCACTAGGAAAACAAAAGCAATCAGGGGTCATATCTTTTCATCACCAAACCCATCAAACTTCTTACATCTCCTCCTTAATGGACTCACCCTTTCCCGCCATTGTAATGCCCTGCTGTGTCCCAAGTGGCTAGCTCAGGGCCTGGCACACAGTAGGCACTCAGTATTTTTCCAGTGGGATGAATAAGGCCAACCTCTCAAGGACTTCATATTTGCAATTCATCCCTCTCTCTTAGCCCTAATCAATTTTCTGTCTTGATTGCATCATAACCATCATTATACAAACATGCTATATTTTCTTTCATCTTGAAGAAACCCTACTTTGACCTTTCATCCCCCTCAAATTTCTACCACATTGTTCAGTTCAACTTTATAATTAAACATGTCCAAAGAACTGTCTAGACTTGCCATCTCCACTTCCTTTCTTCACAATCTCTTTTGAAGCCCCTCCAAACAAACTTTTATCCCCAGCGCACACTTAAACTACTCTTGTTAAGTCTACCAGTCACCTCCACGTTGCCAAATCTAATATTTAATAGTTAATTCTCAGGCCTCATCTTACTCAACCTCTCAGCATTTGACATTGTTTATGATTCTTTTCTTCTAAGAATACTTGGCTCTCATGACACAACACACTCCTGGTTTTCCTCTTCCCTCTCTAGCCATTGCCTCTCAATCATTTGTTGAATAGTCCTTTTCTTCCAAATATGTAAAAGTTGGTTTAACTCGGGGCTCAAACCTTGTACCCCCGCTACTCTGTAGCAGTCTGACTCCTTGGGTGATTTCACTGAGTCCCAAGGCTTTAAGTACCATGCATTGATGTTTCCTAAATGTATATCTTTAGCCCAGACTCATGCAGTTATCTGCTTACTGTCCATCTCCACTGAAATGTCTTACAGGTATCTCAAACTTGTCCAAATCCAAATATGTGATTCTCACATTTCCAAAAAAAAAACTTCCTTCTTTCATAGTTTTTCAAAACCACCTCAGTAAACCACAACTCCATTCTACCAGTCACTTAAGTCAAAAACATTGGGCCTGGTCTCAATTCTTTTCTTTTTCTCGCACCTTCGGCAACTTCTGTAGGATTACCAATTTTTGAAACACCTTTGAAACCTCAATTCAGGCATCCTGCAATGGGTAGGTCAGGGAGTATGTCCATAGAGTAGGCAGCCAAGGCAGGTTAGAAGCGAGGCTGTGAAGGATTCAGGTAGGTGTTGGATGGGTCGTGCTATGGATATTGAGTTCACCAGGAGTGATAACAGGAGTGCTGGTGGAGGGAGGCTGAGGTGCGCTCACAGAGGGGCAGTGCTAAGTGAAGGAATTCCTTTATTGCATAGCTAACAGGAAATCTCTAACACATTTTTTAAGCAGAGAATTTTATGATTAGGAATAAAAATTATATACAGTAATCCCTCAGTATCCATGGGCAACTGGTTCCAGGATTTCCCACAAATACCCAAATCTATGGATGCTCAAGTCCCTTATATCAGATGATGTAGTATTTGCATATAACCTACACATATCCTCTCATATACTAGATCACCTCTAGATTACTTATAATAACTAATATAATGTAAATGCTATGTAAAGAGTTGTTATACTGTATTGTTTAGGGAATAATGACACAAAAAATGTCTGTATATATACAGTTACAAACACAGCCATTCTTTTATTTTTTGTTCAAATACTTTTAATCCATGGTTGGTTTAATGCACAGATACAGAACCCCACGTTATAGAGGGCTGATGTATATCATCTTTTGATAGATGGGAGATACATAGGTAATTTTGAAACTGATTTTCCAGTTTATACATTGTATCAAAACTGACCCTAGAAAAGAGGAAATATTTTATCAGAGTGATTACCATAAAAAAAAAGAAATCTTATCAAACGTTTACATCAAATTGAAAAAAATGCCAAGCCCAGATGGTCTTGTGTATGTTGGGTGGGGGCGGTCTTCTACCAAAGATTTTAAAGAGTAGGTAAGTCCAATGCTTAAAACTTTTTCAGAGCAAAGGGAAAAAGTGCGGTTCTTTTTAATGAATTAGTTTAACACTGATGCCAAAACCTGGCAAAGACTGTACAAAGCAGAAAATTAACTGGCCAGTCTCACTCATGAATATTGGCATTAGAGATCATAAATAACACATTAGGAAACGTAATCTGACAGCTCATTAAAAGAAATATTCCAAAATCAACCTGGGTTTATTCCGATAGCAATGCAAGGATGCTTGATACTAGGTAATCTAATTATATATTAATAATATTAATAGATCTGAAGAGAAAAATTTTATATAGTCAAAACTGTAGATATTGACAAGTTATTTGGTAGAATTTAATGGCCATTCTTGATTTAAAAAAATATAGCAGAACTTAACAAAATTTATCTGCCTTGTCCTCCAAATCCAACAATTTTTAATGGGCTGTTCCCACTAGAATGAGATATAAGAGAAGGACATTCACTATCATTATTACCACTTAGCATAGTATGGAAAGAGGTAGCCAAGACAATCAGGAAAGCTGTAGTGTAAAAAGTGCAGAAGTGAGAAAGATTGAGATTATATTATCACTCTTTGTTCATGGTTAAGTCTTTCTTGGGTAAATCCAAGAAAGTAATATTTCAAAACTTCTATAAATAACAGTTCAATGATATAGTAAGGTATACAAGTAATATACAGCAATCAATAACTTTCATATCTACAAAGTCAAATTAGAAGATACAACAGGAAAAATCTATTTAAAATAGCTATTGCAAAGTACAGATACATTTAATAAGAAAAGGACAAGATCTATATGAAAGAAACTTTAAAAAATACTATATGGTCAGGCGTGGGACTCATGCCTGTAATACCAGCACTTTGGGAGGCAAAGTTGGGTGGATCACCTGAGGTCAGGAGTTCAAGACCAGCCTGGCCAACATGGCGAAACCCCATCTCTACTAAAAATACAAAAATCAGCTGGGCATGGTGGTGTGTGCCTGTAATCCCAGCTACTCGGCAGGCTGAGGAAGGAGAACCCAGGAGGTGGAGGTTGCTGTGAGCCGAGAGTGTGCCACTGCACTCCAGCCTGGGTGACAGAGCAAGACTCTTTTCTCAAAAACAAAAACAAACTATAGAACACAAATAAGATTTGA
The DNA here is from genome assembly GCF_000001405.40 of Homo sapiens. NCBI lineage: Eukaryota > Metazoa > Chordata > Mammalia > Primates > Hominidae > Homo > Homo sapiens. The sequence continues at coordinate 138,458,974 of NC_000006.12, read as the reverse complement.
ATAACTGAAAAGACATATCACATCCTCAGAGGCGTTAATATCAGAAAGCTCACCATTCTGCCCAAGTTAATTTATAAGATTAACACAATACCAATAAAAACGTGAGTAGATTTTTTCTGGGTTTTTTTTTTTGTTTTTTTTTTTTTGAGACAGATTTTCACGTACTCTGTTGCCAGGCTGGAGTGCAGTGGTGTGAACTTGGCTCACTGCAACCTCTACCTCCCAGGTTCAAGCGATTCTCCTGGCTCAGCCTCCCGAGTAGCTGGGACTACAGGCACATGCCACCACACCCAGCTAATTTTTGTATTTGTAGTAGAGACTGGGTTTCACCATGTGGCCAGGATGGTCTCGATCTCCTGACCTTGTGATCTGCCCTCCTTGGCCTCCCAAAGTGCTGGGATTACAGGTGTGAGCCACCACGCCCAGCCTAATTTTTGTACTTTTAGTAGAGATGGGGTTTCACCATTTTGGCCAGGCTGGTCTCGAACCCCCGGACCTCAAGTGATCCACCTACCTTGGCCTCCCAAAGTGCTGGGATTATAGGCTGTTCTGTTTTGTCTTGATCTGAGGCTACTTTGGGGGATGAGAGGAGGAGAGAGACGACTAAGGAAGCTGAATCTAAAGTTTGTGTAGCTAGGAAAGCTGTAAAACAAGAGAGCAGTAAGGAAGAACTGACTTGACCCGGTATGAGAACATAGAGTTAGGGATTCCTCCATTGTGGCAGCTGAATGTGCAAACCAGTATAACAGAATATTAAAAACAGAATAGAAGTCTAGAAATAGACCTAAATCTTCATGGGATTTAGTAGATCATCAAGCTATCATTTGAAATCAAGTGGGAATCCAGTAACTGTTGAAAGGGGCTCCAGGCCAGCAGTATGGTCTTCCGTGTTAAGACTAAGACTCCTAACCGTGGTTCATGTTCTTAACATCACCCTAACAGTTGGGATTTTTTTTTTTTTTTTTTTCAGTTGGAGTTTCACTCTGTTACCTAGTCTGGAGTACAGTGGCACAATCTTGACTCACCACAACCTCCACCTCCTGGGTTCAAGAGATTCTCCTGCCTCAGCCTCCCGAGTAGCTGGGACCACAGGCACGTGCCACCATGCCCAGCTAATTTTTGTATTTTTAGTAGAGACGGGGTTTCACTATGTTGACCAGGCTGGTCTTGGGCTCCTGACCTCGTGATCCGCCCACCTCGGCCTCCCAAAGGGGATCATTTTAAATATAGAGTGTGTAGGAGTCAATTTGGAAGGGAAATTCGATCTGGAAAACCTTTTATTTTGTATTTCCTAGTAGGTGTTGAGGGGAGGGGTGTGTTACAAAGAGCAGTGACTATATGGAAGAAGGGATGCATGAGTTAACAAATTATTGACTTTAAAAGAGGTATTTCTTACAAAAATCATCTAATTTGCATTCAACAAATATTAAAAATCCATTATGTGCTTAAGATGAGTTGCTAATATGGCAAAGGTTAAGGACATATAAATTAGAAAAGAGAACCTAGAGGACGTCGATTCTGGTTATTTACTCTGGCTAATTGTTCTAGAATAATTATCTTCATTATCCTAATGTGAAACACCAAGTAGGACTCTATGTGTTATGTTATGAAGAAAGATGTTTTGCTAACGAGATCCACACATATCTTTGATGTTCAAAGTGGGAATATAGTGTAGCAAGAAGAAAATTGTTGAAAATATTTCCAATTGTATATGTTATGCATATCATCTAAACATAAACATGATGCATTGAAAAAAATACTGTTGGCAAAGCAATTTAGAAATTCCAGAAAATAAGCCAGGCATGGTAGTGTGTGCCTGTAATCCCAGCACTTTGGGAGGCTGAGGCAGGCGGATCCCTTGAAGTCAGGAGTTCCAGACTAGCCTGGCCAACATGGTGAAACCCTGTCTCTACTGAAAATATAAAAATTAGCCAGGCGTGGTGGCATGCACCTGTAGTCCCAGCTACTCAGGCTGAGGCAGGAGAATTGCTTGAATCTGGGAGGTGGAGGTTGCAGTGAGCTGAGATCGCACCACTCCACTCCAGCCTGGGCGGCAGAGTAAGTGAGACTCCATCTCCAAAAAAAAAAAAAGAAAGAAAGAAATTCCAGAAAATACCTTTTCATTCAACTCTGAAATCAAAGAGTACACCATTGCTTTGTGTACTGTTTTTGACTTTTTTCTCTTTTCAGTTTTCAGCATATGCCAAGTACTGCCAAAGAGGTTCTTGCATTTGAAGGCAGGTCAGTTATCAGTGCGAAAATACTTACTGTGAGTCGATAGGGAATTTTTCCACCTGCCATTATCGGAAGTTATATTTGATGATACGTTCACTGAATCTGGGAAACCTTCACAGAATCCCCATTGTCTTAGCAGAAAGGATATCAATCATGAGTTATGCAATCTCTTGTGTAAAATTCACCCCTAAAGAGATGTATTAGATCTAGATTTTTGGCAGTAAACAGTTGGCTTTAATAGTCGTGACAGAAATCGAAATTTCCCTGTTTCCTGTTATTCTTTGAACTGGCATGTCAGCTTCTGTTTTAGGCTTTGTTGATAAGAAATATTTAAATCAAAGGAAGACTTTGAAGAAAAGGCAGTAACCTTGCTGCCATACCTGTAAACACAGGAGGCTTATTTAACATGATGCTTGAGAGCGTAGGTTTGGGGCAGCTTTTCCACCTGTCAGAGCTCAGTGGCCTTGGATAAGTTGCTTTCGTCTGTGAGGTTCAGGTTCCTCAACTGTAAAGAGATAAAAACCACATGTTCCGGTTTGCTTAGAACAGCCCTGGTTTACAGCTGTTATTCTGTGTAATTATTAATTGCACCCCCTTTCACTCTCAGAGGTGTTCTGGTTTCGATAAAATTACATAGTTACCCTAACCTACCTTGGAGAGTTGGTGTGAGGTTGAAGTAAATTAATGTTTGTGAAACCCTTAGCACAGTGCCTGGCACAGACTAGATGCTCAGATGATGATGATAAGTATTGTTAAGCTGATTGGTATTTCAAACCACGCTTCAAAGAAAATGATTCAATAGACAATGTCTGTTTTTATAAAAATTTGGCCACTCTCCCAATCATCTCGTCTTTTGTTCCACCCACATAGAATTTCCTGCCCAAGGCAATAAATTTGAGAGGTTTCAGCAGCTACTGACGAATTTCTGATTGTCATGGCTTTACAGGTTATCTAGGTGTGGCACTACCAGTGTTTATGCTATTGCTAGCTTGTTCATCGGGGTACACGTTAGGATATAGAACTTTTTCACAAATTAGATCTTATTTTCCACAAACAGCCCCATGAAACAGATTATTTTAATAGCTATTACTATTATTTTAATCTGGAAATGGAGACTCAGAAATATGAAATGGCTTTCTCAAGATCACATAGCTCGAAAGCACCAGGAAGCATGCGAAGGCGGGGCTCCTTGCAGGGAGCATGTGAAGGCGGGGCTCCTTGCAGGGAGCATGTGAAGGCGGGGCTCCTTGCAGGGAGCATGTGAAGGCGGGGCTCCTTGCAGCTCATTTCTTTTCATCGCACCATGCTGGTTAAGCAAAAGGGCAAGATTACTCAGTTACCTCAATTCCTCCTCATTATGCCCAATTTTGTCATCTCTTATTCCTCTTTGACTTGTCTGGTATGCTTCACTCAATTTTTTTTTCCCCCAAAAAAGTTTTTAAGTGCTACTTGGTCTCAGTATATGGATCCCATTCTTGGCCTAGGGCAGCTTACAGTCGAGAAGTGATTACTCCATGTCCAATCATGTGTTACTGGGTCTCTGTGAGTAATTTCAGGAAACTGTAGAAACACAAATGAGTCAATGCTCACTGCTCTGCAGTTATGGCACCTTCTTATTCCATGCCATTGCAGACAAAAATGAGAAAATTGGGGTCTGTCATTCCCACGCCTTTTTGCCTGCAAACCAGTGAGAATGTCTCCAATGACCCATTCCAGTTTCTCTTGCTGTTTCCATCCCACTACTCTATAATCAGGGTCTGTTTATACCTGCCTTCTCTTCTAGATTAATGGACAGCATCCCTATCTTGTTGATCTCTGTGTTTCCAGTATGATGCCAAGCACTTGGCACATGGAAAGGCTCAGGCGCCAGGGACTGTGCTCAGTGCTGTATGTGAATATATTCAGTATTTATTGCAACCATGCAAAGTAGCTTTGATTATGCCCATATCATGGATGAGAAAACTGTATCTTGGAGAGATTAGATCACTTGCCTAAGATCACATAGTTTTTAAATACTGAAACAAGATCTTTCTTTATTAAAACGCCTTTTATTGAAGTATAACTTACATAAAATAATCTATACATATTTAAAGTATACAACTTAATAAATTTTGACATATGTATACACACAGGAGACCATTACCATAATCAAGAGAGTGAACACATCTATCACCCCTAAAAGCAAAACCAGGATTTAAACCTAGACTTACGACTCTAGAGCTCATGTTTTTCCCCCAGTAATGACTGTATGGGGAGTAGAGCCTTTGCCACAGTCCTTTCCTCCTAACCATTCTCATTCTCTTATGGGGAGTTTTGCATTGTTGAGATAATACAAAGAGCATCTTTTACAACCCAATTGTCCATCAATAAAAAATGTGAATAAATTAGTACTGGAGTGGAATGTATACCCCAGTGAAATGAATGAATTACAGTTTCACACAACTACATGGATGTGTCTTAGAAAGATAATAGTAAGAAAAACACAAAGAGAATAATACTATTTTTGTAAAAGTCAAAGCAAGTTTATGCACGCACGCACACACACACACGCACACATATAACAAGGAGTAATTAGGAACACAAAATTCAGGCTAGTGGTCACCTCTGGGGAAGTAGGGAGATGGGATGGGGCATGGAGGGAGATGCAGGTTTTTAGTAATATTTTAGGTCATGGGTTGAGTAGTGAGTTCTTGAATATTCATTATGTTATATGATTTTAATACATAATTTGTTATTCTAAAATATGATTACAAACAACTTACTGTATCAGTTTAAACATATATGTTCTAATTAAGTATTTTCTTTCATTTGAGGAAAGGATCGCTTAATATGGGATAGTTAAGATCCAAAATATTTTAATTCACTGTGTGATAAGAAAGTTTAGAGCTCTTAGGGCCTGGTGCAGTGGCTCAAGCCTGTAATTCCAGCACTTTGGCAGCTGAGGCAGGAGGATGGCTTGAGCCTAGGAGTTCAAGACCAGCCTGGGCAATGTGCAGGACCCTGTCTCTACAGAAAGTTTTCAAAAATTAGCTGGGCATGGTGGCTTGTGCCGGTCATCCTAGTTACTCGGGAGGCTGAGGTGGGAGGATCGCTTGAACCCAGGAGTTTGAGTCTGCAGTGAGTTGTGATTCTGCCACTGCACTCTAGCCTGGGTAACAGAGTGAGACCCTGTCTCAAAAAAATAATAATACAATAAAAATAAATGAAAAATAAATAAATTAGCCAGGGACGCTGATGCACATCCATACTCCCAGCTACTTGGGAAACTGAGGCAGGAGGATTGCTTGAGCCCAGGAATCTGAGGCTGCCATGAGCTGTAATCACTGTGCTGCACTCTAGCCTGGGCAAGAGGGCAAGACCTCATCTCAAAAACAACAACAACAAAAGAAAGTTTAAAGCTCTTGATAAAGCAATTAGATTTGAGGTAAAGGGACTAATATAATACATATGAAAGAATGAACAATTAGGCTGGGCATGGTGGCTCACGCTTGTAATCCCAACACTTTGGAGGCTGAGGCGGGCGGATTACCTGAGGTCAAGAGTTTGAGACCAGCCTGGCCAATGTGGTGAAACCCCATCTCTACTAAAAATACAAAAATTAGCCAGGCATGGTGGCACGTGCCTGTAATCCCAGCTACTTGGGAGGCTGAGGCAGGAGAATTGCTTGAACCTGGGAGGCGGAGATGCAGTGAGCCAAGATTGCGCCACTACACTGCACTCTAGCCTGGGCGACAGAGTGAGACTCCGTCTCAAAAGAAAAAAAGAATGAACAATTAAAGTTACTTAATAATATGGATGTGGAAGTCACCTGTTGGCCATCATGGAGTTGCTGGATGAACCATGAACTGTGCTTCTACATGGATTCATTTCCACTACCCCCACTTTTTCTGTTGTTGTTGGCGCCAGGAGAAAAAAAAAAGAATGCACAGAGAACAGAAATCAGTGAGGGTCTCTTGTGTCTAAATCTACTAAAGACAGAAGAAACATATAGCCAAAAGGCTGCAGACGTTTTGGCACCCTATGAAACTATTAAGGATCTTGAAAACCAAGAGTCAACACAAGAGGTTTAATTCTGGGAGGAAGAGCATCAAAGACTAAGTGTCTTCCAAAAAGGACTGGAATGTATGTGGCTGTCTTCTTAAAGACATCAACTATATAGTTCTGTATAGTTGATATGTTCTATATAGTTTCATCTGTTCTCTATTTTCATGTAATAATTCTAAATGAATACTAAGTTTAGCTCTGGCTATAATTCAGTTTTCTAACTTTTACTAACAAATCAAAACAAAAAAGACTGAATTAATCTGTGTTTCTTAGTTAATCCCACTTTTGGATCAGTTGGCTCTTCTGAGAAAGAGAGCATATTTCGTATGAGAATATATGGGAAAGAGACCCTATTTCAGGCCCCACACTGTCCATCTGGTGAGAGCTTGTCTGATTTCCGGGTAGAACCTAGAAGTCTCTAAAATGCAGGTCTTCCAGCATCCAAAATTTACAAAGTAACTGTCAGTGTTGCCTGTTTCTCTCCCTTTCTAAATGAAACAATTTGACACAAGGAATCATGGCTTATGTTTCATTTGTGACTCTCCATTCCTCCCAGGACCAGGATATGGGGTATTGGTGAACATTATTGACCAACTGACAGATCCCAAAACTGCATTTAAGTTCTGAGAGCAAGGCAATTTTAAACTCAGTTTTTAAAAAAGTCACCCTATATTGAGGGATTTCATTAACATGAAGCATTTGAATGCTACTTGGGTCATTCTGTTCTCTGTATGGGGAGATTGAGTTGATCAAAACATACACCTAGTAAGTGACAGTGCCAGGATGCTGGTACACACTGTTTTTTTACTTGTATAGCTTTTCAAAAGGTTTCATTCTTATTTACAGACATAAAGGGAGATTTTGTTTTGAGACCAGAAGACCTAGTAATTTATTGTAAATATTGCCACATTGTTATTTTACACTGTTTCACAGGGGAGACTTTGGGGTCAGTTCTGGCTTCTAATCTCAACTGCCCACTTGTGAACTTTCCAAAAGTCAAGTTACTTTACTCCTTTGAGTCTCCACTTCCTTATTATTAAACAAGGCAAACACTGTGAAGATTAAGTGAGATAAGTTCTATAAAGTCCCCACCAAGGGCAAGGCATATAGCTATCAGTTACTAAATCGTGGCCCTTCTGAAGCTCAAATTCTGAAATAACCTTCTATGCAATTCTGATTCAAAGCTTCATGGAACTTATATTCTTGTCGGAGAGACAATATATATAAATAAAATATATGTGTACTAGTTATATGTACTAAAGAGAAAAAAAGCAGGGAAAGGGGATACAAAATATTAGAAAGAGGTTGAAATTGAATAGGATGAACAGTTAAGACCTCAACAAAAGAGGACTCTTAAGGGGACCTAAAGAAAAAGAAGGGGCTACCTGTGTGGATGTCTACGGGAGGAGCATTTCAGGCCATGGGAACAGCAAGTGCAAAGGCCCTGAGGCGCGAGTGTGCATGGAAGGTACAAGGTACAGCATGGAGGATGGTGTGGCTGGAGTAGAATAAATATGGGAAAGAACAGTAGGAAATGCAGTCAGGGAGATAACAGTGGCCAGCTGGTAGATCATGTAGGGTCTTGGAGGTCATAGTAAGGACTTTGGAGGGTTTGAACAGAGGAGCAACATGATCTGACTTACATTTCTAAAAGGATTCCTTCGCCTGCTGTATTGAGAGTAGACTATTGGAAGAGGAGGAGCAGGGGAGGATGGTCAACAAGGGCAGAAAAGTGGGGGTAGTTAAGAGGCCAGTGTAATAATCCGGTATTACTATGTCCATCTTAATGGGCTAATCATGTGTTCTGCCACTGAAATGAGGGAGGTTTTTCTGTGCCCCTGCTGTGTTTATACACACTGGGAGGCATGAAAGTCATATCATTGTGGAAGTCATCCATGCTGGTGTTTTACTGTCATCTAGTAGATTGTGAGACCTAACAGTCACATTTGCATATAACTTTATCTGTGCCCTGCTTGTCTGGGAAATTTTCTTGTAAGAGAAAGGAGCACTTTACAAAATGGACTCTCTTTGTCAGTTGTCATGCTGGAGTGATCTGTGGTGATTGTCCCTACGGGGAAGTGCTGTTTCATTATGAGAGTTATCGATTCTGACAGTGTCAGTCAACTAGAAGAAAAGTAGGTTAGTGGGGCTGATGAGCACCATTGAGATGCTTACAAATGGTAGACAGTGCTTCATCCTGCTCCCACAGCAGACGTCATGTGGAAAAGGGAGCCCTTGCTCCAGGGCATAGAGAGCTGTAGCCTGAAAGCTTTACTTTTCTTTCTTTTAAACCTTTCTGGTTAGGATTTGCTTCTTACTGCCTTCAAGCTTTATACTGTAATTCAAGGTTGCCTGAAAAATTATATTTATGTGTATGTATCAGGAAATTGGAGTAATCCTCTAATTTACTAGCTTGAAATTCAAACTCAGACATGTGGCCCTTATACAAACTGCCATGAAATTCTTCAGTGACATTAATTTTAAGTGTGTGTGTGTGTGTGTGCACATCTCAAGGGTAGAGAATATGTATTATAAATCAAACTTAAGTGTCACAACTGCAAAACAGCTGGAAATAATTGATTTACATCAGTATGGCTTAGCTGCTGCTGACCCAAAAATTCCTTTGATTGTCTTTAAGGATCTGTGTGAGTTTTAACCCTTTTAACCAGAATCAGATCAAGTATCAATGGATATAGTGCAATTTAGTATTACAAGACACCAACAACATGCTCAGTTTATAAATTGAGTATATTTGTCAATTTAATTAAAACATTATTTCACATTTTCCTTAGGTGGAAAAGAAACTGGATGATCATTTTATGTGTTTTATTTATTAAGAACATCAAGTAAATGTATTGAGATATCTAATTATATGATTTATCTTTTCCACATGCCTTTATTATTGTTAGTCTCCTTGTAAAAGAAAAAAAAGTGAGTACATGTCAATTCATGACTTTGCTTTTCTAAAGTCATATTTATATCAGCACCACCTCCATATCCACAAATTTTTTTTTTTTTTTGAGACAGAGTCTCGATCTGTTGCCAGGCTGGAGTGCAGTGGCGCAACCTCAGCTCACCGCAGCCTCAGCCTCCCGAGTTCAAGCGATTCTCCTGCCTTAACCTCCCGAGTAGCTGAGACTATGGGTGCACACCACCACGCCCAGCTAATTTTATTTTTATTTTAGTAGAGACGGGATTTCACCATTTTGGCCAGGATGGTCTCGATGTCCTGACTTTGTGATCTGCCCGCCTCAGCCTCCCAAAATGCTGGGATTACAGGCATGAGCCACCACGCCTGGCCCATATCCATGATATTTAACAGTCATAGACACTTTAACATTTATCATCTTATTGGGTCCTAAGAACACCTCTGTGGATGCACAAAGGTAGGCTGTATAGCCCCATTTTACAGCAAAGGAAACATCAAAGTTTAGGAACAGACTCAGGTCTTTGGATTCTTAGTCTAGGGCCCTATCGCCAACAGCAAACTATTTTCATTAGCTCTTGCCTAATCTTTTTCAGATTTATAGAGCCCTAGTAGTTGTAGAATAAATACAGATTTTTGCAGCAAGATGAATGCAGTAGCAGTAAACAGTGATGACAGTATTCTTGTGTTTGAATTTTTTTTTTTTTTTTTTTTTTTGAGACAGAATTTTGCTCTTGTTGCCCAGGCTGGGGCGCAATGGTGCGATCTCGGCTCACTGCAACCTCTGCCTCCTGGGTTCAAGCGATTCTCCTGCCTCAGCCTCCCCAATAGCTGGGATTACAGGCATGCGCCAGCACGCCCAGCTAATTTTGTATTTTTAGGAGAGACAGGTTTTCTCTGTGTTGCTCAGGCTGGTCTCAAGCTCCCGTCCTCAGGTGATCCGCCCACCTCGGCCTCCCAGGGTGCTGGGATTACAGGCGTGAGCCATCGTGCCTGGCCTAAAATTTCTAATCAATGCATTTCTTTATATTTCTCATCTGTGTCCTCTTAGAGACTTGCCTTAAATCCAGAAAGGTTAAAACATGCCTTGTAAAGTTAGATAAATCCTCACAAACATAACGTTAAGTGAAATAAATAGGTCACAAAAGAGAACAGACAGTGCGATTCCCTTTACAGAAAGTTCAAATATAGGCAAAACAAAGCTGTGGTATTAGAAGTTGACATAGCACTTACCCTCGTTTGGGGGTATGTGGTTGGGGTAGCGGGTGTATTGAACTGGGTGCTGGTTGTACAGGTATTCCCTTTGGGAAGGTTCACTGACTTTTTATTCTCCAGTGAAATTCTTTCTAAAAGCTTTATTTTCATAATTGGTAGTTCCGTTTAAATGCTTCGGACTTAAAGAGCAGTTATTACACATTTATTTTATATTATAAGCTGTCATTTCCCCCACGAAAGTCGATTACCCTTTTTCGTTGTGTTCCTAAGCACCCTGCACTCATTTGGCCTTCTTGGAGCATCTTAGTCACAGAACCAGCTGCTGTGGAGCCAGGCTGAAGTCCATCAAAAAATGCTCGCCAACACAACTTTCTTGCTTACACTTTTTAAGGTGTTATGGGAAAGAAAGGTATTGAAGAAGGGCTCTTCAGTGAGGATGTTAATCTGTATCAAAACAGACACTGCTAGAAATGTTTTCGTAGAATTCTGATATGGCTCAGAGCAGAGCTTTAGTCAGTGCCGTATAAGTTAACAATTTCACACTGATTTTTTCCCATATAAATGGCTTTGGAAGAGCACAAATAGTTGAACAACAATAGCTCTATCATTTTTGAAATGTCCTTTGAAGTCAGAGCCTAAAGGAAATAAGATTGAGGCTAGAAATTACTTTGAGCAAAACTAAATTTTAATAAAAATGGAAACTGATGGCCACAGCCATGATGTTTTTCTCTAGGCTTCTAATGTTAAACTAAACCCACGAACTTTCTTTTTAAAATTTTTTTTTTAGACAGTCTCACTCTTTTGCCTAGGCTGGAGTGCAGTGGCACAATCTTGGCTCACTGCAACCTCTGCCTCCCGGGTTCAAGCAATCCTCCTGCCTCAGCCTCCCAAGTAGCTGAGATTACAGGTGCCCACCACCACGCCTGACTAAATTTTTTATTTTTAGTAGAGATGGGGTTTCACCATGTTGGCCAGCTGGTCTTGAACTCCTGACCTCAAGTGATCCACCCACCTCAGCCTCCTAAAGTGCTGGGATTACAGGCATGAGCCACCACGCCGGCCATTCCATGAGCTTTCTGACCACAGTAGATAGAGGGAAAGCAGAAAGGACTTCAAAGATTTTGTGGGTCAGCAGAACCTTTTGCAGTCCTCACAGTTTACAGACTAAGGCTGGTGTGAATCATGCATATTATAGGTCAGACTCAAGAGGCTGAGCAAACCATTGCTTCTGTTCCTAAAAGCGATCAATTATTTTGGCTTCTTTTAAACCAGTCCAATTTTTTTAAAAATAAGAAATATATTTTAAAATGTTTCTGCCAGCTCTTTATACACTGTGGCTGCTGCTTCTTTTTTCTCTGCAGTGTTCTCTGTCTTCATCAGAAGAAGAAAGATTTATTTCCATCAGGAGACCTAAAACACCAGCCTCAAGTGACTTCTCCGACCTTAATACTCAGACGAACTGGACCAAGTCGCTTCCACTGCCAACACCAGAAGAGAAGATGCGACAGCAAGCCCAAACAGTCCAGGCTGACGTGGTGCCTATTAACATAACTGGTACGCTTTGCTAGCCAGACAGGTTCAGAATGTACTTGGGAGAATGACTACAGCTTTTTGTTTTATGCTGTTAGCATTTCATTGCTACATCAAAGGTGAATAGCTGTGGTCCAACTTCATGCTCTTTGTTTAATGAGAGGAATATTAAAACTACATATGTGTGTGCATATAAAATGTCTACTGCTTGTTGGGTTCGAAGACTATGTCGCCAAACACTGGTGTCAAAGAACTCAGTGGTCCAACCATTCATCTTAAGAGTGTCTCTTTTAATTAAATTGCTTTTTAGTAAGCCTTTGGTTATATGGAAACATCTTGTAAATGTGGTCCTAGGTATGAAGAAAAAGTATATATTTCCCTTCTAAAGGGTTAAGTAATATTTACAGAAGTAAATAATTATTTTGTGATGTTTCTAATGATAGATTTTCTAGAAATTTCCTAAAGTAGAAAAAAGGAGACATTACTTATTTCTTCTGAATATAAAATTTTCAGAATATGTTATATTAAGCTAGACTACAAATATTAATTGCCAAACCTGAAATTCAAGTTCTTATGGAATATTATACTCAGCCTGTAATCATTTGTGACAATTAAGGTGACAAGGTACATAAAATTCAAAGATGATCTTTCATGAACTTAGGAGAGCTGCTAAAAAGATAGCAAAATTGGCTGGGCGTGGTGGCTCACACCTGTAATCCCAGCACTTTGGGAGGCTGAGGCGGGCAGATCACCTGAGGTCAGGAGTTTGAGACCAGCCTGGCCAACGTGGTGAAACCCTGTCTGTACTAAAAATACAAAATTAGCAGGGCGTGGTGGCACGTGCGTGTAATCCCAGCTACTCTGGAGTCTGAGGCAGGAGAATTGCTTCAACCCGGGAGGCAGAGGTTGCAGTGAGCCGAGAGATCGCACCATTGCACTCCAGCCTGGGCAAAAAGGAGCAAAACTTCACCTCAAAAAAAAAAAAAAAAAATCAAAATTTTCCTGCCTTATCACCTCCATAGCCCACAAGGAGCATGGGTTAGTGGTTTGGGGAGGGCACAAAGTGCAAAATAGACATGTGAAGAGTTAATAGCTTCAACTATTAATTGAATTGTATGTTTGATGGAAGCAGATGACTAATAGTGGTCATTGATAATCAAGTCATACAAAGCAGGGCCCTTAAGGCCAGAAGCTAACAAAAAAACTAGGTGACCAAAAAGAATGAGTTTTCCTGAACATTTACTCTGGAAACCCATAGCATCCTTGCTGTGCTTCTGAGGCTACTGCTGTTAGAAAGCTTTAGAAAGCTTTTTGCCATGGCACTGGTGAGCTTGTAAGGGGCTAATAGCATTTTCATAGTCACCGAAGATTTTTTTTAAAACCTTACCAGATATTTAGAAATTACATTTAGAACTCATATTTTAAATTCCATAGAAATTTAATAAATAAGTGCATGAATTATTTTCAATTCAGTATATATTTTTCCACATTTATTTTACTTAAATCTTAAAAGAATAGCAGGGCATTTTAAGCCATTTTCTCAGCAAACAGTGTTATTGATCTTTCTGAATATGTTTCTTATTTACCGAGATCATATTTTTTAAAGATTATTTTTAAAAGTATAACTATGTTTTAGAACAAAGTATAATGTGTACTGGTCAATGAAATACAAGGCTGCTTATTTTCTATAAGAAAATGAATTACATTATTTGATTGATTAAATGCAGCAGAAATGTAATTACATTATATATAATTAAGTGCCTATGAAATAATATTATAAGATAAGAAGATTGTGCAATGAAATATGACAATCCTTAATGGAATTAAGGTGAAATGCATTATCTTGAGATTAAGAGATTTAAAATAGAGTAATTAGAGTTTCAGGAATGAAGAATTATTTGCAATGAATTACACTGTCACAACAGAAGACAGTGTCATGTCTCTGAGCTTTAATTCTATCCTATCTGATGACTAAGTAGAGATGAATTAGACTTTAAAGAGAGGCCTTTAAAATGCTACTCAGGAAAGGTGAATGACAATAAAGAAAGAGCAGTATGAGTTATGTCAAAATGTAATTTACTTTTAATCGAGTGATTAACATTTTGCAGAAATGCCAAAAGTAAATATAATACCTAATCACGTATTTATTGATCCATTTTCTACATCTGTGTGTTCACATATACACACATATTTCTTAAAGAATTAGTTTTTCTAATCTGTCATAAAGAAGCAATAAATTTAAAATTTTCACTTTTAGTGGTTGAATTGACATAGGTTATACAGCTTCCTGCTCTTTAAATTATGTATTTCTAAAGTCCTAGAAGATATTTGAGATTAAAAAAAGAAAATTCCTCTAGGGAACTGTCATGTGCTCGTTCGCTGGGGTGAGCATTGAGCCTCTAGTTTGATTTTCCTAGTAAGGCTCAGCAGGAAAAAAAAAAAAAAAATGGCGATTTCAAATCCAGAGTGCAGCCCACCATGCATAGAGGTAGAATGTTAGCACCATGAGCTGCTGGCTTGAAAATTGATTTAATCCCTTTAGTTATAGTCTTGTGGGCACTCGGCATGTTCTAAAACTGGAGGAAAAAATACTTAATATGTACATATAAATATCTTCTATCATCTGCTATGTGGGACAACAACTCTTCCATCTGGAAGATAAGTGTAGAGGATAAACATACTTAAATAATTTTTACAAACTGGCTTTGTGCTGGTGTTTGAGCTATCCAAGTTTATTTCTTTTTTTTTTTTTAATTTAAAAGAGTTTAATTGAGCAATGAACAATTCATGAATTGGGCAGCCTCCAGAGCCAGAGTATGCCCACAGACTTTCAAGTTTATTTCTAAATAGTAACCATGACTGATGAATGCCATTTTTCAATTAAAGGCAGTGAGTAATTCAACAGATATTTATTGAATAACTGCTTTGTGCCAGGCATTAGCTGAGTGCCATAGGGGATGCTAAAGTACATGCATCACAGTCTGTACCCTCAAAAAATGTATAATCCAGTAGAAGAGACTTTTAGGTCATGATGCAAGATCAAGCATTTGGTGCCTTCAATGACGTGTGTCTTAGGTGTTCATCCTCAAATGGTTTGTTTCTTAATTTTCTGGGAGCTTGGGTGATTTTATCTTTTGTCTAGGAAGCAAAACTGGAGACTAAATGCAACTTTATTTTATTTTATTTTATTTTTTGATATGGAGGTCTCACTCTGTCGCCCATGCTGGCATGCAGTGGCGCAATCTCGGCTCACTGCAACCTCCGCCTCCCAGGCTCAAGCGATCCTTCCACCTCAGCCTCCTGAGTAGGTGGGACTACAGGCACATGCCACCACACCCAGATACCTTTTTTTGTATTTTTGGTAGAGACAGGATTTCACCATGTTGCTTAGACTGGTCTTGAACGCCTGAGTTCAAGTGATCCACCCACCTCAACTCTCCAATGTGCTGGGATTATAGGTATGAGCCACCACACTGGCCTAAGTGTAACTTTCTATTAATGTTTTGTCTGTTCTTAATGTCTTGATACAAGGAAGTTTTTTCTTCTGCTGCAGGGAACTAATGAAGCACTGCAGTTGTGACTTGCCCCTCACATGTGCCATTTATGCCATTGCACTTAGCGACCCAGTTTTTCACAGCATTGGCACCTTCTGGTATTCAAGGGTCTTCTCTCAGTCATTTCTGTTTTTCTCCATTAGCGACAAGGTTGTAAGCATTTGTAAGTTTGCAAGCATTTATTTAAGTTTGTTCCTCAGTAGGGGAAATGTGTTTTGATCATTCAGATGTTTTATTCTCTGTTTTGATTAGATAAGGTTCCCAATTTTTTCTTACCAAAATAGAAGTTACATTGTCCACAATATACCTACATTGAATATGTGTCAATAATGCTAAAAGTGAATGTTTTATACTTTTATGCATAAAATGATAGAAGTTTTTAATGTGTGTGTGTGTATATATATATATGTGTGTGTGTATATATGTATATATATGTGTATATATATATGTATATTTGAAAATAACTTTTTGAGGAGAATAACCATTCAAAAAGGTCAGTGCTGTAAGACTTTAAACTGGCAGGTAATTTAAAACAGATCAATCAATAACAGATGTTGTTATATACTTTATTATTTTATGGTTTCTCATGATGTGTTAATCAAACACACCTACACTCTAGAAGGAAAAAAAGAAGTCCTATGATGTGGCATTCCAGGTTTGATTGCAAAATCACTTGAAATGTCTGAATTAAGATCAACTTTAAAAAGTAATTGTGAAATAGAAGCAATTCATCTTTAACAACAGCAGCGCTACTGGGTCTCATTGTGGTAAAAGTACTTTATCATTATAAGGCGTTTCATTTTTCACTATAGTTGTATGTCACACCACAACAATTACCACAGTCTATCCAAATTGTCAGCCTCCTTGATTGAAGAAAAAGCTTTTCATTCAAGAAATCTTTATTAAGTTACTTATTTCATCACACAAGGCAAGACATTAATTTCGATCTCTGCAAGATGACCAGATGAATGAAACATACTCATTACCATCACCACCTACACGCTAATGTAGAGTGGTTTTGGTGACCAGAGGATATATTTGAAACACTTCCAAAATTTTGTTTTGTTAAATAACACAGAGTGACTCTTCCAGTGTGTTATTAAACTTGCATTTGCTACTCCAGCTCATTTGAAAATGAGATCAAGGTGCTTCCTTTGGAAGGTGGAACTTGGAAAACAGCCTTACTGTGATAATGTGCTTTTCTTCCTTTTTTGCCCTTCAGCATTCATCATCATATGACTGGCTAACATTATTAATACCTTCTTATCATTTTACAACAAGCTTCTGGAAGAAAGTGCATGGTGTCAGCTTGCTTGAAAATAACATTGCTTTGCTTGTTCTACTACTCTACATTAGGGGAGAATTTCGATCGCCAGGCCAGCCTTCGGCGGTCTCTAATTTACACAGACACTCTGGTAAGACGACCGAAGAAAGTCAAAAGGAGAAAGACTATTACAGGAGTCCCTGACAACATACAGAAGGAGCTAGGTATGGCTCATCAGAACTGTATTCTGTTGCCCTTCACTGCTGCTCGGCCTTACTGCGCTAACCTCATTCATGGTGCTTATAAAATCGATACATTCTGATAGCCGTTTGGTGCCCCAACGGGCCAGCTTCCTTCCTGAATGAGGCATTAGGTGCAAATCTTAACATCCCATGGAGAGAGAGAGTTGATTGAATTTTGGGGAGAAGGTACAAGGAGAAGGAAGAGCTTACATGAAAACGATTAACTGGGATGATAGAATTCATAGTTAACCTCATCATTGTTATGTGACATGGAACATTGGCTATTCCCACAATTAAATTTACTTGTCATTTAGATCTTAAGTTTTCATGAAACAGAAGTCATTCTAGGACGTCAGATTATGAATATGGACTTTCACTATAACTATAATGACACTACTGGTGGCATTTTGTCATCAGAAACAACAGTCTGGGATTATTGGTAAATGTCAATAAGATAGAAAATAGTCATTTATGTTGGATGGTGCCTTTATTACTTTCAGTGAAACAATTTCATAGCTTCTTTATCCTTAATTCTTTTTGTTCAATCTGTGTTTGGCTGGTGAAGAGGGTTGTTTAATTACTTACCCATTTTGTTTCTGGTTATCATTATAAATGCTTTGGATAATCCCTTCATTTTCCTCTTTCTAGATTAACTTCCTCTCACTGTTTTCTAATAGGGCCCATAATACCAGAAGGTCTGCAGAGGCACCATAGCATAGCTCCTGGGTTAGGACTAAGGACTCCAGTGCCAGCCCGCTTGGTTGAACCCTAACTCTGCCACTTGCTCTCTGGGTGACCTCAGTTAACTTCGTCTCTCTGAGTCTACTTCCTCATTTAACAAACGGGCTTGGTGATGTTAATAGAACCTACCTCTTAGGGTTGTTTGAGGACAATTTGTGCATGTGAGGCCCTTGGTACTTGGTTAGTACCTGGTACTACCATAAACGTAATAGCTACTGTGGTCATTATTATAGGAAACTTAATACTACCTGTCTTGAAATGTGTCCTTTCCTCTTTGGCCAACCTATGGACTTATTTCCTAATAGTTACTTTCACCTGATGTTTTTATTTACTCTCAAAAGTTACACTCTAGAAACTCAGAGTCATTATTTCTAAAGTTTGCAGTTAGTCTTTTAGTCAAAATGAGTGTAACCAGCAATAGTGATATATCTGTGATAGCACCTTGAGGTTGTATGTCACCTTCTGGGTGCTACAGACATTGTGCTTCTCTGTTTGTTTTCCCAAACATCCCTGATTGAATGCCTTGTATTAGAGAGCACAGACTCACTTTTCTTTAGCTGGCATTTTCTCCTTTACTGCCATCCACTTTTGTAGTATATATGCTCTGCCTTCCATGCTGTAGCAATAGTCAGGTGAGAATAGCAATGCTCTGCCTTTGCCGCAGGCAGCCACAGTGACCCAGATGGTATACAGGTGTTTGCCCTGTTCTATCATGGATTGGTTTATTACAAACAAAGGCAAGACTGCAGCAGCTCCCGTGGGATTGTGAAGTCTGTCTTTGGTTCGTGCCCCACATGCTGCTGCTATTAGTGGCCTGGTTCCTCTGTGGCTACCTGAGGTCTCCAGGCACCTTCCCTCAACCTACCTTAAGGAAACATGTGTGCTTTCTCTCTCTCCTCTCAGTTTATGCCTTATTCTTTCAGACTCTTTTTTCCATTCTTGAAGTGACAGCTAACTAATTCGGAAACTAATCTGTACTCATATGTTCAGTAGATAGTTAATGGAGTAATTTCCTAAAGCATTCCAGCAACATTTATACTTTAACTGGTCTTTTTAGGAGATGTGACTTCAAGGAGTGACTTTAAAGACAGGCATTTAGGCCCTTTGTAAGATCAGAAGGATAGTGTGGCCCAAGTAAAGATGCACATACACATAAGTATTCCATATGCATTGTCTGTATGCATATGTAATATGATGTCTAGAATGAGAGTTACAAATTTTTATCACTTTTATTACTGAACCAACCAGTATGGAAGCCAATAACTCAGTTGTTTCTTTGATCTTACTAGAATGTTCTGGCCAGCTAGATAAATCATATCTTTTGTAATTTTAGTATTTTTTAAATCAGTGATTAAAATCTCTGGAATCCACGTTCATTTCTTTTACATGTGACATGGAACGTCACTAATGCTGGAGGGAAGAAAATAGCTTTCCCCGCATCATCTGGGTTGTGACTGTTGCCAGACACGAGACAGTCAATATCATTACGGTCGATGACATGACCTGGATTAGAACTGGAGGTCAACTGAGACAACCGTATCTAAGAGCTAGTTTTTTTAAAACAAAAAAGATAATTAGACAAGGACTGTGGTTTTATAGATAGGCTAGTTGGAGGATTACTGGATAGAATGAGGAGTTAACATTTGTATACAGTTTTATTTAGCAAAAATATTGGATTACATATTTATTTGTTCTGTCCTTTCAGGACTTCTGGTTGATCTTGCCTTTTTTCCCAGTATTTTACACTTATAAGGACTCTGGTTTGGAAGTCTTAAACTACCAAGGTAGTATATCTAGGTAATGATTATCAAATCATACCTAGGTAATGATGATCAAAAATAGACACTTTATATTTTCTTTAAAATTAGTCTTCTTCTAGATATAAGACACACAAGGGAAGTATAACAAACAAATTAGACAAAAAAGAAAATGATGTCCCAAAGGAAAGGCATTCACTGGGAAAGATGCACCCTGTCCAAAAGATGTTGCCCAAGTTGCCAGCGGCTTTGGATTTTTAAAAAAATCTAACCAGAGAGGTACTTCCATGAATTAGAAAGGATTTATATTATCCTTAATTATATGCAGTTTTTATTTCAAAATCCACAAATAATAGACTCTGGAGACTAGCCAATATATAACACTTTAAAATCAAGGTATGATATTTAATGCTTATTTCCAAAACTTATCTGATAAACTAAAATTTGTTGCCTTTCGTTTCAGTGAATTGGACATTTTGAATTTTTTCTTTTATCTTAAATCTGTACAGAAATGTATCTGAACATCATCTTATGAGGTTTCATCTTTTAGAATCAGATAGGATTATTTTGTTGATATATATATATAACACTTGGCTACTGAACTTATCCCCATACATATTCTCTAAGCAGAAAAGGCCTCATCTAAAGGAATCCCTTTATTAATAATTTTTGGTAGTTTATACTAAGAAACTATCTACTTGACAAGACTTTTTAAAAACTCATAGCCTAATCCTTAAATAAACTAACTTGTAAATATTCAGCATCCTTAATTACATATATTTTTTAGAAATTCAAAATATTATTAATAAAAGAAAAAGTATAAATAATTATTTCTGTACATTATGTCTTAAAATCAGATAAATCCCATCAAGTTTGAGCAGCACCTAAGTGGTCTACACTTGTTTGTAGTTGTCTTTTTGTAGTTTGTTCCATCCTTTAATCTGTAAAGACATACCTCAGGGTTATTGCAGCTATAGTTCCAGACCACTACAATAAAGTGAATATTGCAATACAGCAAGTCACACGAATTTTTTGGTTTCCAGTGCCTATAAAAGTTATGTTTACACTGTGCTGTGGTCTACTAAGTTTGCAATAGCATTATGTTAAAAAAAAATGTACAGTGTAAAAATACCTGATTGCTAAAAAATACAAAGGATCATCTGAGCCTACAGACAGTTGTCATCTTTTTGCTGGTGAAGGGTCTTACCTCAAATTTGATGGCTGCTGACTGATCAGGGTGGTGGTTGCTGAAGGTAGGAATGACTGTGGCAGTTTCCTAAAATAAGACAACAGTGACATTTGCCACACTGACAGATCCTTCCTTTCTTGAAAGATTTCTCTGTAGCACGTAATACTGTTTATTAACATTTTACCGACAGTAGAACTACTTTAAAAATTTGAGTCAATCTCTCAAACCCTGCTGCTGCTTTATCAACTAAGTTCATATAATATTCTGAATCCTTTGTTGTCATTTTAACAATGTTCACAGCATCTTCACTAGTAGAGTCCATCTCAAGAAAGCATTTTCATTGCTCATCTGTAAGAAGCAATGCCTCGTTGTTCAAGTTTGATCATGAAATTGCAGCAATTCAGCCACATCTTCAGGCTCCACTTCTAACTCTAGTTCCTTGCTGTTTCTACCACATCTGGAGTCACTTCCTTCACTTCAGTCTTGATCCTCTCAAAAGTTATCTACGAGAGCTGGAATCAGTTTCTTCCAGACTCTTACTAATGTTGATATTTTGACCTTCTCCCATGAATTAAAATTGTTCTTACTGTGCTAGAGTAGTGAATCCTTTTCAGGTTTCCAACTTACTTTGCTCAGATCTATCAGAGGAATCACTATCTGTGGCAGCTTTGGCCTTACAAAATGCATTACAAAATTAAGACTTGAAAGTCAAAATTACTCTTTAAGCCATGGGCTGCAGAATGAATGTTGTGTTAACAGGCATGAAAACTTTGTACATCTTCATCAGAGCTCTGGGGTGACTAGGTGCATTGTATTTTTTTTTTTTTTTTTTGTGTGTGTGTGTGTGTGTGTGTGTGTGTGTGTATATGTGTGTATATATATATATATGTGTATATATATATGTGTATATATATATATGTGTATATATATATGTGTATATATATATATGTGTGTGTGTATATATATATATATATATATATACATTTGTGTATTTTTTTTTTTTGAGACAGAGTTTCACTCTTGTTGCCCAGGCTGGAGTGCAATGGCGCGATCTCAGCTCACTGCAACCTCCGCCTCCTGGGTTCAAGCTATTCTCCTGCCTCAGCCTCCTGAATAGCTGGGATTATAGGCATGTGCCACCACGCCTGGCTAATTTTTTTGTATTTTTAGTAGAGACAGGGTTTCTTTATGTTGTTCAGGCTGGTCTCGAACTCCTGACCTCAGGTGATCTGCCTGCCTTGGCCTCCCAAAGTGTTGGGATTACAGGTGTGAGCCACTGCCCCCTGGCCTAGGTGCACTGTAAATGAAAGAAATCTTTTTTTTTCTGAGCAGTAGATCTCAACTGTGGACTTAAAAGTATTCAGTAAATCATGCTGTAAGCTGACATGCTGTCATCCAGGCTTTGTTGTTCCATTTACAGAGCACAGGCAGACTCTATTTAGCATAATTCTTAAGGACTCCAGGATTTTCAGAATGGTAAAAGAGCATTGGCTTCAACTTAAAGTCACCAGCTACTTTGGCTGTAACAAGAGTCAATTTGTCCTTTGAAGCTTTGAAGACAGGCATTGACTCCTCCTCTTGTAGCTTTGAAAGTCCTAGATGACATCTTCCACTAGAAGGTCGTTTCATCTACATTGAAAACCTGTTGTCGAGTATAGCCACCTTCATCAATTAACCTAGCTAGATTCTCTAGATAAATTTCTGCAGCTTTTCCGTCAGCATTTGCTGCTTCACTTTTATGTTATATAAATGGCTCCTTTCCTTCAACCTCATGAAACAACCTCTGCTAGCTTCCAGCTCTTCTTCTATAGCTTCCTCACCTCTCTCAGCTTTCACAGAATTGAAGAGAGTTAGGGCCTTGATTAGGCTTTGGCTTAAGGGGAATGTTGTGGCTGGTTTGATTTTCTGTCCAGACCATTAAAACTTTCTCCATATCAGCAATAAAGCTGTTTTTTTATTTGTGTATGTTCTGGAGTAGCACTTTTCATTTCCTTCAAGAACTTTTCCTTTGCAGTCACAGCTCGGTTAACTGTTTGGCACAAGAGGCCTAGCTTTTGGCCTATCTTAGCTTTTGACATGCCTTCCTCACTAAGCTTAATCATTTCTAACTTTTGATTTAAAGTGAGAGACATGCAACTCTTCCTTTCGCTTGAACCCTTAGAGGCTATTGTAGGGTTATTAATTGACCTAATTTCATTATTGTTGTATCTCAGGGAATAGAGAAGCCCAAGAAGAGGGAGAGAAACTGGGAAACAGCTGGTCAGTGGAGCAGTCAGAACACACACAACATATATCAATTATATTTGCTATCTTATGTGGGTGTGATTTGTGGCACCCCCAAAACAATTACAATAGTAATATCAAAGATCACTGGTCACAGATCACCGTAACAGATCTAATAATAATGAAAAAGTTTGAAATATTGCAAGAATTACCAAAACGTGACACACAGACACACAGTAAGCATGTTAGAAAAATGGCATCAATAGACTTGCTCAACACAGGGTTGCCACAAACCTTCGACTTGTAAAAAAAAAAACAAAAACAAAAAAACAAAAAAAAAAACCCCAGTTATCTGCAATGCACAATAAAGCTAAGCACAGTAAAACGACGTATGCATCTATAGCATTCATCTGTTTCCTATCATATTCTGAAACTTTTTATACTGTGAAAATATTGGAGGGTCTGTTTTGGGAATAGAATTTTGGTGGTCCTTGTGATAAGATATATGAGTTTTTTCATATGCTTTTTAAGGTCTTTAGGAAATGTTTTTGTTTTAATAAGAAAGTTATACTTAGCTCTAGAGGGTGATAAAATAGCTGTATTTCTATTTTTTTTTACATGCCTAGAATGGTTTCACATTTAAAACTGCTACCCAAAAGTATCAGGATTTTGTTTATGCTACTTAAAGACAGTTAAAAATCTACCACTAACTCCATGCAAAAACTAGTACAATTTTGAAAGGAAAAAAAATGTATTTGTTTATATGAGTTCAACTCCAAACACTCAAAACTCATTGTTGAATGGAATGAGATATTTTGAGTGTTTGGAATTGAACTCGTATACACTGATACACCGATACCAGTCAACTTCCCATCTTCTAAATTACTAAATGGCAAAATTTTGCACTTCCTCAAAGTGGGTTTTTCTTCTGTCCTGCCCTTTTGCCCATTTCCCTCTCTGTGTGGGACAGCCTCGTGTGTGTGTATGTGTCTGTCTATCTGTCTTCAGTGAGTGAGTACTTGAAAGAGGGTAGAGAGAGGAAATAGATCATCTTCGCTAAAAATACAAGTATAAAAATTCCTCTCCATCATCACAGTGAAGGAGAAGGCTTTATGCTGGGATCCTTCCTTCCAGGGTGCCATCTCCTTTGAGGTTGATACAAGCACAGTGCTGCCATTTCAGTACTACCCTCTGCTATCTGAGTGAGCAAAAGGCATCCTATATCCAGTCCATGCCCTGGTTAGATTATGTGTTGGGAGAGGGAAGCCTTAGAAACCCCATCAGTCCTAGGGTCGCATCCAGGTGTCCACTGACACAGAGGGGTGTGCTTGACTCGCATTGCTCAGCAAAGCCCGTGTTGAGATAGATACTTTTGGGTCCTTGTTGGATGGAGATAACATAGGGAGAACTATAGTTTTACTACTATTTTTAGAGATTCGATTTGTCTTAAGGATTGACTTTTTTTTTTCTCAGTACACTTTGGGTAGGTTCTTGTCTTTGTGATTTTTTTTCTTTTTTCTCATAAGCTCTGTTCTTTCCTGGGTAGCTTGAAATCTAACTGTTTACACTTAAAGTTTACCTCGTCCACGTCCCTCTCTGTTGGCCCTTCCTTGTGTTTCTTTCTTTCTGTCTTTTTTTTTTTTTAACATACTATTCTCTGTTTGGTTGTAAAACTCCAACGAATAAATCATCCTAATTTGAGGAAATGTTCACTGGATCAGTTCCTGCCAGTTTCCCCAACTAGAACACAACAGATTGCTGTTGAATTTTGAATGTCACCAACAGACAGATAATGGCTTCAGATGGATAATGAAATGTTTGGAACACAGATGGGCCTGTAAATCAATTTTCTTTGCCTTAGAATTTCCTTCTGACATAAAGAATTAATGTAATTAACACTGTTTTATACCAGTACCCCTCAAATATGGTATCTCTGTGGCCCTATTGTTCAATTACTACATTCATCTACCTTTGGGAAAGATGTGTCACTGCTTGATAGATGGTCTGCACAGTCACCCAGTGGGCGAAAGGCTACCTTGAAGACTTTACTGAAAGGTGATTATTTCAAAGTAAATCCTCCTCTGAGCCCTTGGCAGCCTTGATCTTGAAGGGATACCCTGAGAATTCCATACGCAGCACTCAAGCCATAGGAGGATTGGAGGTACAAATTAAGAGAAGTACCTGACATTCATGACAATAATTTTCATTTTAGAGCTATCAGTAACTTTTTAAATGTACTTAGATACCTACAGGAGAAAGGAAATTAAATCAAATAGAAAAATTTTTTTAAAATTCTGTCAGAGGGGTGAGGGTACACGTGATGAACTATGGATTTTATTTTCAGGTAACAAGCCTCTTTCTGCTTTATCTCCAGCATCAGGCACTGGCCAAGATGATGCTGATGGCCACTCAGTGTACACCCCTGATCACTACTCTACACTAGGAAGGTTCAATAGCTGTCGGTCTGCTGGGCAGCGCTCAGAAACCAGGGACTCCAGCTGTCAGACGGAGGATGTGAAGGTCGTACCACCTTCCATGAGGAGAATCAGGGCACAGAAGGGGCAAGGCATTGCTGCCCAGATGGGCCACTTCTCAGGTTCCTCTGGCAACATGTCTGTGCTGAGCGATTCTGCAGGGATCGTATTCCCTTCCCGCCTTGACAGTGATGCTGGCTTCCATAGTCTTCCGCGTTCTGGAGCAAGGGCAAACATTCAGTCCCTTGAGCCGAGGCTGGGTGCCCTCGGCCCTGCAGGAGACATGAATGGCACTTTCCTCTACCAGAGAGGTCACCCACAAGCAGATGAAAACTTAGGCCATTTAGGAGGTGCCTCAGGGACTGGAACACTTTTGAGACCCAAATCCCAGGAGTTGAGACACTTCGAGAGTGAAAATATAATGAGCCCAGCGTGTGTGGTTTCTCCTCATGCAACCTACTCCACCAGCATCATCCCAAATGCCACACTGTCTTCCTCTTCCGAGGTCATCGCTATTCCCACTGCTCAGAGTGCGGGACAGCGGGAAAGTAAAAGTTCTGGCTCATCACATGCAAGGATAAAATCCAGAGACCACCTCATCTCCAGGCATGCTGTGAAAGGTGATCCTCAGTCTCCCGGTCGCCACTGGAATGAGGGCCATGCCACCATTCTTTCACAGGACTTAGACCCTCATTCCCCTGGTGAACCCGCACTGTTGTCCCTCTGTGACTCAGCCGTCCCTCTAAATGCTCCAGCAAATAGGGAGAATGGGTCCCAAGCTATGCCGTATAATTGTAGAAACAACCTGGCCTTCCCAGCCCACCCCCAAGATGTGGATGGCAAGAGTGAATCTAGTTATTCAGGGGGCGGAGGGCACAGCAGCTCGGAGCCCTGGGAATACAAATCCTCAGGTAATGGAAGGGCATCCCCCCTGAAGCCGCATTTAGCAACTCCTGGCTATTCCACTCCCACAAGTAACATGAGCAGCTGCAGTTTGGACCAAACGTCCAACAAAGAGGATGCTGGGTCGCTGTATTCTGAGGACCACGATGGCTACTGTGCATCTGTGCACACTGACTCTGGACATGGATCTGGGAATCTGTGCAATAGCAGTGATGGCTTTGGGAACCCCAGGCACAGCGTGATCAATGTTTTTGTTGGAAGAGCTCAGAAAAACCAAGGGGACCGGTCCAATTACCAGGATAAATCCCTATCAAGAAACATCTCTTTGAAGAAAGCAAAGAAGCCTCCCCTGCCACCCTCCCGGACAGACTCCCTCCGCAGGATTCCCAAGAAGAGCAGCCAGTGCAACGGGCAGGTGCTCAACGAGAGCCTGATCGCCACACTCCAGCACTCGCTGCAGCTGAGCCTCCCAGGCAAGAGTGGCAGCTCGCCCTCCCAGAGCCCCTGCAGTGACTTGGAAGAGCCCTGGCTGCCCCGCTCCCGGAGCCAGAGCACAGTTAGTGCTGGCAGCAGCATGACTTCCGCCACCACCCCCAATGTCTACTCCCTGTGCGGGGCCACGCCATCGCAGAGTGACACAAGCAGCGTCAAGTCAGAGTACACGGACCCCTGGGGTTATTACATTGACTACACGGGCATGCAGGAAGATCCGGGGAACCCGGCAGGGGGCTGTTCAACCAGCAGTGGGGTGCCCACTGGGAACGGGCCAGTCCGCCATGTCCAAGAAGGGTCCAGAGCCACAATGCCCCAAGTGCCCGGTGGTTCAGTCAAACCAAAGATCATGTCACCAGAGAAGTCACACAGAGTCATTTCTCCATCCAGTGGGTATTCCAGCCAGTCGAATACACCCACAGCACTCACCCCTGTGCCTGTGTTTTTAAAATCAGTGTCACCAGCAAACGGGAAGGGGAAGCCCAAGCCCAAGGTACCAGAAAGGAAGTCCTCTCTGATATCTTCAGTATCCATTTCCTCATCGTCCACTTCTCTTTCTTCTAGTACTTCTACTGAAGGAAGTGGCACTATGAAGAAGCTGGATCCAGCCGTGGGCTCTCCCCCGGCTCCTCCTCCTCCTCCTGTTCCCTCTCCTCCATTCCCTTGTCCTGCAGACAGGTCTCCTTTCCTTCCTCCCCCACCTCCTGTCACAGATTGCTCCCAGGGCTCTCCTCTGCCTCACTCTCCTGTGTTCCCCCCTCCGCCGCCAGAAGCTCTCATTCCTTTCTGCTCCCCACCTGATTGGTGCCTTTCTCCTCCCCGCCCTGCACTGAGCCCCATTCTTCCAGATTCACCTGTGTCCTTGCCATTGCCCCCACCTCTCTTACCTTCCTCGGAACCCCCACCTGCCCCACCTCTTGACCCCAAATTCATGAAAGACACCAGGCCGCCTTTCACAAATTCTGGCCAGCCAGAATCCTCCCGGGGATCCTTGAGGCCGCCTTCTACCAAGGAGGAGACCAGCAGGCCCCCCATGCCCCTGATAACCACGGAAGCATTGCAGATGGTGCAGTTGAGGCCCGTGAGAAAGAACTCAGGCGCTGAGGCGGCACAGTTGTCTGAACGAACAGCTCAGGAACAACGAACTCCAGTTGCTCCACAGTACCACTTAAAGCCATCTGCTTTCCTGAAATCCCGAAATAGCACAAATGAAATGGAGAGTGAAAGCCAGCCTGCCTCTGTGACAAGCTCGCTTCCGACGCCTGCCAAGAGCTCGAGTCAGGGTGACCATGGCAGTGCGGCTGAGCGTGGTGGCCCTGTGAGCCGCAGCCCTGGAGCTCCAAGCGCTGGGGAGGCAGAGGCTCGGCCCAGCCCCAGCACCACCCCACTCCCAGACTCTTCACCCAGCAGGAAGCCACCCCCCATTTCCAAGAAGCCCAAACTGTTCCTGGTGGTACCACCTCCGCAGAAAGATTTTGCAGTGGAGCCCGCAGAGAACGTGAGCGAAGCCCTCCGAGCTGTGCCCAGCCCCACGACGGGAGAGGAGGGCTCTGTGCACAGCAGGGAGGCAAAAGAGAGTTCTGCAGCCCAAGCTGGCTCTCATGCCACGCACCCTGGCACCTCGGTTCTTGAGGGAGGAGCTGCAGGATCCATGTCTCCCAGCAGAGTGGAAGCCAATGTCCCCATGGTTCAGCCTGATGTCTCACCAGCCCCCAAGCAGGAGGAGCCAGCCGAGAACAGTGCGGATACTGGGGGCGATGGGGAGAGCTGCCTATCTCAACAGGACGGAGCAGGTGAGTCTGGCTTCCTGGCTTCTCTCTCCTGTGCCCTCTGCCCATATGCAGCTGAACCAGATAGGGTTGTTGAATGCTCACACGTGGAAAGAACCCAGGTAGATCAGATTCCTGTTAAAGCTAGCAGTATGTAGGCTTCCTGTGTTAAAACACAGATTAAGTTACCAACTTTGCATTTTGTTATTATTTTTAAAATCTAGACCTAAAGGCATGGCAGAAAATAGGGGGATGGAGATGATCTGCAGCAGGCTGGGTATTAAATAGCAATGGGTAACACCTCCCTTCCGAAGAGCCGCGCAAAGAAACGTTGCAACAAAATTTAAGAGAGATGCCATGGGCGTTCCATACTTTAACAAAGAATGAGCTCTGGCTCTCAGGCTAGTGTCATTTCCTCCCTTCTTTGTAAACTATCAAACTACAGACCCACGGCATCTCCCTGTGGTTCTCACATTGTCGGGAATGGCAGGGAAGCAGCATATTTAGAAGCTTGGCTGAGGACTGAAATTCCAGTCACTTGTGCGTCTTGTATGCCTGCCTGCTCTTCTGTAGCTGGGGTGCCGGAGACCAACGCAGCCGGTTCATCCTCAGAGGCCTGTGACTTCCTCAAGGAAGACGGGAATGATGAGGTAATGACCCCCAGTCGACCCAGGACCACAGAAGACCTTTTTGCAGCTATTCACAGGTATTTCAAACTCCTTCCTCTGACTTTAATCTACTGTGTAATTCCTTCTTTCCAAGCAGCACCTCAATTTACTTTTCTTCCTTGAGGTTTCTTCTGTCACCCAATCATAACTCCTTAACTTTACTGTTGATTTTTTAGTGGGTTTCTACAGTTTTATTTCCTCTGGCTCCAATTTCTGTTTTACTTTGTCTCACTGATTTTTATGACATTGGGGACAGTGGCTCAATGTGATACGTTCTGGTAGGCGCTGCTCTTCCTGGCAAGGAGCGCAGTGTGGCAGTCATAAGACAGAGTATATTAGCAAGAGTCGGATTAAAGTGACTGACAGTGCAGTCAGGAGGAGGAATGCTATGTTCTGTGGACTTAGGATGCACAGACTAGCTCCATGGGACTCTCTTCCTAAAGATGTTTTAGTTTATTCTAATTTTTTTCATTTTACAGAAAAACCACAGTTATACAGAGCAATTTCTTTGGCTGCTTAAGTGTTTCTATAAAAGAGTACGGCCCTTTAAGCGGGAGCAAAAGAATGACTTATGCTTGTTAATATACCACTAGTGCCATCTACTGGCATCAGAAATCGTTGGGTTTAAAAACAAACAAAAAGGGTAAAATTTTCAAAGTAATGGCCTGAACTGTTACACTTTTTATATGTGGTCACCTTTAAGAGTAAATATGATTTAGCACTGAAGTTTTACTTACTGCATCACTTTTCTGATTGGAAACAGCTGACTACTCCCACACAGTGTCATCGTAAAAGCTGATGACTGTATATGTGCAACTACGTTAAGCCGTAATGCTGTATAAACCTTTTGCTTCCTTCTAGACTTCTCTACCACGGTATTTCCAGGTAACTCTAATGAATGTCCTTATGCTGCCAAGGCCTTATTTTGCCCTGAATGAAGATCCTTTCTTTTTTTTTAACCTCCTGAAACAAAGCATCCTGTAGAATCATTTGATTCTGTGTGTGAATGATCTTATGTCAGCACTGCTTTCCCAATTCTTGGACTCTCCCTGAAAAGACTATTGCATAAGATGAAAAACATAGTGCTGTACCTACCTGAAACTCTTCATGCAACACATTAACATCTAACTTGGTGTGGGGGGAACGAAGCCGGTGAATTAATGTTCTTGTCAAGAATTACGCTCTTTACGTCGCTCCTCTAGTGTTGGTATAATAGATCCTAAAGACTGCCCCTTTTAACATGGACTGGTTTCTTCAGTCTCATTAGAAGTGAAAAGGTAGCTGGTTGTCCAATTATTTCTCAAAACAGAGAAATGATAAATGATGCATCCTTTGAAACTTCAGTGGCAATTCTAGAAGTTCCCATAGATGTTTCTAACTCTTAACCACGCTAGACACATAAGAAGCACTCAATAAATATTTCCTGAATTAAATGAAACCAACTGGTATTTAACCATTAGAAGATTCTTCCAAGACTCAGAGTATTTCATTTAGTATGGAATGCACTGGGTTGCTAAATATACAGGCATATCTGTCTATTTATAATAGCCATCCACAGAGAAGATTTGCGTAGCCTGGTTGTTCTGTGTACTCGATACTTGGTTCCAGTGAGGAAACCCAACTGTTGTGGGTCCAAATTACTGCATATTTTTTCCCAAAAATATGCCAAAGGCCTCTTCTATATTTTGGCAACCTTCTTAAGGCATCGAAAAATGTGTTGTTTCTCTTACTAGGACGTTACATCGACTGCAGATGTAGAAATCGGTCAGTTGGTGTTACTCAGTGCACGTATGAGAGAAGTCAAAGCCAAATAGGCCTTAGGAATGGATTGCAGAGAGAGAGTGAGGACATATGCTAATTTCTGTTGTAGCGTTGAGAATAAATTAGCAGACATAGTAAAAATCCATCTACTGTCTGTGCTTTTTTAGGGCTTTATTTTTATGTCCTTCAGCGCTTAAGCTCATAATTTAAAATAAAGAATATCTAAGTTGAAACACAGCTTCCAAATTTTATAATGCAAATTAATTCGCTTCAGATTTAAAGCCAGATGGAAAATGTAGAACACCAGTTGAGGTGTGAAGTTTTTATATTTATTGAAGTAATTAGTTTTAAAATCAGTGTTAACTGTTTAAGCACTTTTTATAGCTCTCTTCATTAAAAATACATATTCGTGTGTGTGTGTTGTGTATGTATATGCAAAGAATTTGTACATTTAGATTTAATTATTTTAGTGGGCACCTGCTCTTGAGAGATGACAGTGCTTTCATAAAATCCCATCTTTCTTCCTTTTTTTTTTTTTCTTTTTGATACAGAGTCTCACTCACTCTGTCACCCAGGCTGGAGTGCAGTGGCGCGATCTTGGATCACTGCAACCTCTGCCTCCCAGATTCGAATGATTCTCCTGCCTCAGCATCCCAAGTAGCTGGGATTATAGGCGTGTGCCACCATGCCCGGCTAATTTTCGTATTTGTAGTACAGACATGGTTTCACCATGTTGCTCAGGCTGGTCACCCCATCTTCTTTCTTAATTCTATGTCTACAATTAAAGGTCATAGTTTTACTCAAGTTTAGTTGTGACTTGTTTAATGGATCTCAGCATACTCTCACCGTTTAAAATCTAAATTACAAATTAAGTCACCAGCCAATACCTAAAAGAATGAAATGAGCAGAGCTGCTTTGGGGAGTAGACCATGTAAGTGGTGAGGCCATGTGCTATAAGCTCAAGTCCTAGTTGTCATACTAACAAGTTACCTTTTCTCAGTTACCTTTTCTGAAACCCAAAGTGGTTGGACTAGACCATTTCTAACGTCTTTTCTAGCTCTACAGTTTCGAGATGTTAGGATGTCTGTAGTTTTGTCAGCCGGTCCTAACTCTTATCAGGGCAGACTGCTCTTGTTAACTACTGAGTGGGACCATGAAACCTGTATGGTAGGCCATGTTCTGCAGTCCCAAAGAGTCTGGTGCCCTGTCCACTCTGGCCACCCTTCAGACCCTGTATTGGGTCCTTACCATTTCCCAGCCTCTGCTTTAGTGGCATCTTTTTGACCAGAAGAATGGAGATGACGCCAGGAACACCAAGCCCAGGGCAGCCAGCATGGGCCCATGCTGCCCTCTGTCTTGCTGTGTAAGCCACGTAAAAACTAAATCCATTTTCTATGTGACATTCAAAGGTTTGTTAAGCACCTGCTCTATGCCTGACCAATTATGGCTATCACTGCATTCATGAGTACTGACAAACTGTGACCTATATACTGTTATTCCCCTTTTGGTGATAGGAAAAATACACAGTCAGAAATGTTAACTTGTCCAAGGTGACAGAACAAGGAAGCTTTAGCAGTGGGAGTTATGTAGCTAGCTTCTTTATTTCACTTAATCTTCACAAACCTGTGAGGTTGGTATCTTATAAGTGAGGAGGCATGGCATGCATGGGTAATTTGTCCCAGGTCACACAGCGAGAGGTGGGAAGAGTCTGGTTTCAACTCTTAATCTGTGTGTACAGATATCATACTCTCAACCTTTCCCTGCTGCATATTCTACAATTTTATAGCAGGAAAAGAGATATACCCACGTCTTTATTCTATTAACTGTGTTGAGTTTCCTTAAAGCAAGTTCTCCTGCACTTAGCTAAGAGACACAGACTGAGTTGTTGTCATGAAGAGACCAGCAAGGGGCCACTTGGCTCACTGGCTTTATCATCTCTTTGTCACTGGCAATGGAAAGCACATTGAACAGTGAGGTTCTCAGAGACTCAGGACAAGAAATACCTACAGGAAACCTTCAGCTTTCTTTGATTGCCCCTTCGTCTTCCCCACCCCACCCCACCCCTCACATTTTCTTGATCAGTGCAAGGTTTGCTGAGTCGATCATGAAGCAGGGTCTGGCATGGAGGGTTCGCCTTTGTTTTCTGGAAGGCTGGATTTTAGAAGTTGGCACATGGTCCTGGAAGAGCTGAGGAAGACTGGTCTGACGGCAACTTCTAGAATAACTGAGAATGTGAAGCTGAGGAGTTGTTCTAGGACCTGGAGTGGGGTACATCTTAGTACAGGGGATATTCTGGCATGGAACAAGAAAAGGAAGCATAGAAAGAAAGGAGGGTCAGCATGTGAAATTCACTCCGGATCAGCCCGTCTAGGAGAGATCAAGGAAAACTGGCCATTATTAAAACTTTTGGTCCTGTCCAAAGTAAGTTAATAGTGTCTAAGATTTGTTTCAAATAGGGAGGGTGGAGACAAAAGAAGGGTGACCGTAATTAATGATTATCATAGGTGAGTTATGGGCTCATGCGGTCTTGCAGTGAGCTGTTCTCTTTTGTGTGGGTGTTTGAAATTTTCCAAAGTTAAAAATAAATTATTTGCCAGGCACAGTGGCTCACGCCTATAATCCCAGCACTTTGGGAGGCCGAGGCAGGCAGATCACCTGAGGTCAGGAGTTTGAGACCAGCCTGGGCAACATGGCAAAACCCCGTCTCTACTAAAAATACAAAAATTAGCTGGGCTGGGCATGGTGGCAGGTGCCTGTAATCCCAGCTACTTGGGAGGCTGAGGCAGGGAGAATCGCTTGAATCCGGGAGGCAGAGGTTGCAATGAGCTGAGATTGCGCTATTGCACTCCAGCCTGAGCGACAGAGTGAGTCTCAAAAAAATAAAATAAATTATGCATTTATTACTTTTTCTTTTTTTTTGAATAGAGATAAGGTCTTACTGTGTTGCCCAGGCTGGTCTCGAACTCCTAAGCTCAAGTGATCCTCCCACCGTGGCCTCCCAAAATGCTGGGATTACAGGTGTGAGCCACTGTGCCCAGTCAAAAATAAATTTTTTGAAAGTGAATCTTAAGTAGATGGTGACCTGAAGATGCGATAAGAGCAGAGTGGTTGTGGCTGACAGCCTGTGGTCCCGTGGGAATTAACCTTTTTCTTAATGTTATTAAATCTCAGATCCAAAAGGAAAGTCCTCGGCCGTAGAGATTCAGATGATGACCACTCCCGAAACCATTCTCCCTCCCCGCCCGTGACACCCACCGGCGCTGCCCCAAGCCTGGCCTCTCCAAAGCAAGTGGGGTCGATTCAGAGAAGCATCCGAAAGAGCAGCACCAGCAGTGACAACTTCAAAGCTCTGCTGCTGAAAAAGGGCAGTCGTTCAGACACCAGCGCCCGCATGTCTGCAGCAGAGATGCTCAAGAACACAGACCCTAGATTCCAGAGGTCGAGGTCAGAGCCTTCCCCAGATGCCCCCGAGAGCCCGTCAAGCTGCTCCCCAAGCAAGAACAGAAGGGCGCAGGAGGAGTGGGCCAAGAACGAAGGCTTGATGCCTCGGAGTCTGTCCTTTTCCGGCCCCAGGTACGGCCGCAGCCGAACGCCGCCTTCTGCCGCCAGCAGCAGGTACAGCATGCGGAACCGGATCCAGAGCAGCCCCATGACCGTCATCTCGGAGGGAGAAGGGGAAGCCGTGGAGCCTGTGGACAGCATAGCCCGCGGGGCTCTGGGCGCTGCGGAGGGATGTTCCCTGGACGGACTGGCGAGGGAGGAGATGGACGAGGGCGGCCTGCTCTGTGGGGAGGGGCCTGCCGCCTCCCTGCAGCCCCAGGCCCCCGGCCCTGTGGATGGGACAGCCAGTGCAGAGGGCAGAGAGCCCTCCCCACAGTGTGGCGGTTCTCTGAGCGAGGAGAGTTAGGGCCAAGAACGTAACTCTCCCAGGTGACACGGGGGGAGACGAGCAATGCAGCACTCTAGGAAGCCTGCTAGGCGCCCTTCCCTGGCTCACCCGGGGAGCCCACTCTGCTTCTGTGCTGTGGGCCCCGGGGTTGCCAGCCCTGCAGTGTGAGTGAACGGTTATTTAGGACTCACCTGGCACTTGCCCTGTGGCTTAAGAACAAGTAGAAGCTTAAACTTCTGAAAGTGCTTCCCGGGGAAGATTTTTTTTTTTTTTTTTTTTTTTTGCTAAATGCTGGGTGTGTATGTGTGCATTTTCCACACTTTTTAATTTTTAAAAAATACACATATACACAAACAACATGTACAGAAATAGAAGAAAGCAAGCCAGACTTAAGCTTGGTAGAGTAACGGAGTCCTCTGGTCTAGGCGGTAATTGCTTTCAGAGAATTACGTTTATAGAAATCAGCGAGTTTTGTAAGAAAGGAGAAGATGTTACTTCAAGAAAGAGGCAGTAGAGTTGCTGGTTCTTAATGCACAGAACACACAGATATATGCACACGTGTGCTGCTGAGGTGAGGCAGGTCTGGTGAGCACGGAGAGGCTGGGAAGGGGCTAAGTGACTAATTGGTTCAGGTACTTTTTTCTGGGGGAGGTAGACTTTGCTTCTTTTTTGTAAAAATGACAAACGTAGAAGTGGCAATGCTGTAACCTGGTGCCTGCTGCTGTGCAGCCACATACACACAATTGTAGCCTGATTTTTAGAAGTGTGGGTAATTTTTTAATGAATTTCCTCCTTGAGTAGCAGCTGAGGTCATTGACAACTGAAGTGATGGTGTGGACATAGAGAGAGGGGAAGGGTTGGAAAGGAGTAAGTGATACACTGCTGGAATTTGTTTCCTGCCTATGAAATAAAATTATTTTTCAGAATTAAATTTGAAAACTTGCACTACAGAACTATGGGTGGAGCTTTTCCTTTTACAACAGTTTTTTTTTTTTTTTTTTTTTAACCAGAGTTTAAACTTCCATTAGGCAATTTCCTGTCACTTGAAATGTCAACATTTGCTAACTTTTGGATATCCTTTTGGTTACACCAAAGAAAAAGTTATGGCTATTTTTTTTTCCTTGAACTGCCTACAGTATCATGTCCTAATTCAGAAAGATTTATCAAAATCTATTATATATTATCTTACTTTGAAGAAAATGCTGAATAGCTCTTGTTAGTCAAATAAACTGATAAAAATTGGTAGGGCCTGGCTATCAATTAGCCCTGGGAAATGAATTTTTAGATTAAAAAGGTTTTTTTGCATCATTTGGTTTGTGCATTTTTATATTTGTTTATAAATAATTGAGTTGCTAATTACTTCTAATCTTCTCCAATCAGATTTTCAACAATTTTAGACATGGGACACACGTGTGTGAAGTCTTTATTTTAATGTAATAATCTCATTACCCCCACCCTTACTCCCTTAACTTCCATGTACTTAGACTCCTTTATTTGTTAAATAAACTAGAGTATTGTCTTCTTCATTAGAAGGACCTAGGATGACAATGCGGAGAGTCTTGGTCTGAATCTAGTGCGACTACCACCTGCCAGCTTTTGGGGGGTATGGAAATACTATCTAAAAGTTGGACTGCATGGGTCAAATCATTATGAGACTTATAAACTAAAACTTTAGATACCCATATAGAAATGTCTTTGAGGCAAAAACAAACCTAAAGAATGAAGGCTCTTTCCCTTCTCTGAAAAAAACAAAACACTGCTCTTCACACAACCGGAAGTCAAGACCAGAGATTTGGAGCAATTGTCTACTAATTTGGCACAAAGATCGTTTCTTTAGAAAAGTGGCATTGGCTTTTGAATATGAAATCTTCTCATAGCTGCCTAAAAAAGACTAGAATGTATATGGATATCAGAAACCTTTAATAATACATAATTTATGCAAAGATAAGATAAAGCAACATAACACTAATTATAAAACTATTTTTAAATCCCCATTTTTAATGAAAAATATACATTTGTATTTAATTTCCTTTGAATAAAACAATTGTAAAGTAAATATTTGAAATATTTCTTTTTGTTTATACATGCATTTTTTTTGAATAATGAGATAGGTGTTCTTATACAGAATTGTTGAGTGTTTTGCTGGATACAAACAGAAAAGCAGTGAGACCAGAAGGTCTCTGGGGGAGGTGACAACCCAACAGAGGAGGTGGAACATCACAGACACTGGATGGCACCATCTACAAGGGCACGTGGAAAAACAAGTCCACATCGTGTCCTATGGACTTTGGAATAAAATACGAATAACCTATCGCCTGGCGGTTCAGATGACGTGGCATGTGGAGAGACGTGAGAACTTCTTACAGGCATGGATGAAATACAGGGAGAGAAGAATCGAGACTCATCCCTGAAACATGGCACCTTCCATGTGGCTACTCTACTCCTTGGGGCCCGCTTCTGTTATGGACCGCATCTTAAAAAGCTCCACAGGGGTAGATCTGATGGCTCTCATACCCTCATACTTTAAGTTCCAGATAATCACAGAAGCCCCAGCCCTAAATTATTTCCACTTTATTTTTACTATCAGTGGGGAGAGAAACAAATTACTGCTTGGTCTGTCAGTTGGAAACAACCTCAATGCGATCTGCTTTCTGCCATCCTACTATTTCTGAAGAATCTTGATTGAACTCTTGCTTTTCCTGTGGGGGTGACTGTATATTCCTTAGGAGAATCACAGTGAAAAGGAGACGTTTCTGTGTCTCCGTCTTTCTCCCCACCCACCACTGGCACCCTGCTCTGTGGTGGCATCTTAGGAGGAGAGGGGAAAGAGTGGCTTTCTTGGTTCTGCCGTAGTAGGGGTTCAGCCTGCATGCGATGCTGATTCCATCATCAAATGAGCACAGCAGCATAATTTGCTTTGGCAGATGTGAGGATGTTGTTGGGGGAATGGAGGGTCATTTGAATGAAACATGGACCTGATTGTTGCGCCACTTTCCTTAATAAGCCACTCGGTAACTGTAATACAGTTTCTCTCAGTTGCCTGCTCTGACCTACCTTCCACAGCGGCCAGCCTTTATTCACAGAACAAGAGGTAGAGCAATCTGTAGTCATTTGTTCAGCAATGGGGGAAAAAAAGTCCTAATAAATGCTTCTCATGTGCTAGGTAAAGACAAGGAGGCCCAAAGATAGAAAACGTGGTTGAGCTATCAGTGAGGGGCATGATCCTACTGCCAGTTTAGATTCTTCAAGAAGTAGACAGTTAGAATACCAAAGGATTTATTATTGGAGTAAGCACCTTTGAAAGGAAAAGAGGAAGCAGGACGAGGCAGGGAGAGCAGGCGAGCTGCCATCCCAGGGGAACTCTGGGAAAAAGGTCACTCATTGGAGGAGTCCTGTGTTGGACTGAAACAGTTAGGTCCTTGTACCATGGCCTTGCTTGGTCTTTGGCAAGAGGGCCCCCTCAGAAAAGCATGCTCTCAATTTCCATAATTTAGTGAAATCATTGGCCACCAACCCCTCCTGTCTTGAGAATAGCGTGACCTCAGCTTGAAAGCTAAGGTGGATCCTGGTGAAGTAGCAGCTGGTGGCTGCCAGCTACCCACACTCCTTGCAGCTGGATGGCATATCTTGTCTTGAAGGGGGATCTAAGTGGCACCGCTCTATGCCTGCCATGGTCCACCCCTTGCCTATGTGGATCCATTTTCCCAAAAACACGCAGAGAGTGACTGTTTCAGGGCGCCAATGGACCTCTCTTCCTGAGGATAAATGTTGAAAGAGGAGTTTGGTAGGACCAACTATAGCACCTTCCTGCAAATGGTTTTGGAACCACAACTGGTCCTCATTACTCCCTGCTTCATTCTAAATTCCCCTCACCCACAACTGTCATCTTTGCTGGTCTTGGTGGCTTTTTTGATAGTATAAACCAAGCTCTCATTCCTGAGGGTCCTGAGCTCCTGGGAGCCAAACCCTTCTCAGACCAGGGTTGCTGCACTAGTCCATTCAGTTACAACTGGGCAAGGAGTACAGAGGGTGCCTCCAGTGGGTCCGCTAAGTTCCACACACATTGCTCTCGCCACTATCCTCTGACAGCAGGCTTGCCTCCTCCTGCAGTTCAGGGTCAATTACCCTTGACTAGATGGTGACTTCTTGCCTACTGGTCCCTGAACACAGAGTCCAAAGTGCCCACATAGTAGCAGCAGACTGTAGTTCAATGGGATTCTTGCAATATTGCCTAGAGAAGGTATACAGTCTCTGAGAACTAGGACTTCTGATGCTGTAGAACCTGGAGTTGTGGGCATGGGAAGTACTAAGTCCCTCAGTGGTTCGTTGGGTGCGATGGTAAGTGGGGTCACTCCTGCCTCCACTCCTTGGTTCTGAAATCTATATATTCCTGTTGTAGACACAGCATCATACAGGCTTTCTGATTCAATAAGTATACTGTGTGCAGGAGACGGTGGCACATCTTGGCAGGGTATTGTCTCCCACCTGGCACTAAAGCAGGCCATGCCAACATTCCATCAGTCTAGCAGCTTCTAGGTGGCGCAGTATGTGATAGGAGCAGTGGATCCTATGACCGCTGGCGAACTCTCCCTGATTGGGTGTTAACATGTATAGATCACGTATTCAGCAAATCTACGCTGACAGTTCAGATGTTTTGTAAGTCCTTAGATTGTGTTCAGGACCCTGTAGGCCCGAAAGGAACCACATACCTAGAATAGGAAGTCTGTCCTTGTGTGAATAAACTGCTGGTGCTTCTAGGAAAGAATGAGCCTACCATAGTGAATTTGCTATCAAGCGACCAGTTGGTCTTCACAGCCTCATCAGGGTCTCAGCATTGGTATTTGTTGCAGGCAGGTTGGATAGTCACAGTGAGCAGTGTCTAAGTTGGCCTTGGTAAGTGGGAGCCCATGTTGGTGGGTTCCATCCATAGCCTCCATCTTTGCCACCACTGCCACTTTATGTGTGCATTTTACCAGCACTGAGGTGGGCACTGGCAAAAGCTAATAGAACAGGCTAAGTCATTTCATCTACTTGGTTGTTTAGTGCCTCTTCTCTGGTGGGTGCTATCTAGTGGGCATTAACATGTGATACAGTTTTTCAACTTCTGTGTTCACTCCATATGCCCATCCACATGCCTCTACCCCAGACCTCCTAATCCATGTTTTTTTCCTCCCAAACTCCTGATCAGCTGGCAGGCCATTTTCTGCCACTTCCATAAATATTTTACCTGTCCTCCCTCACAAGGTGAATGATCCAGTGTACCTCAAAAAATTCTGCCCAGTTTTTGCAGGAAGATTGCAATTTTTTTCCCGTTTTTCAATGTCACCTTTGAGTGAAGGTCCATTTTCAGCTTGCAACTACAGAAGATAACTAATCAATAAACCAAGCCCAAGCATTCCTCTTCCTTCAGTGGATCATACAGGTCCTCCAACAACCACAGGGAGGGGGGATGTAGGTGCCACTGTGCAGACATGGCGGTTGGAGTAATTGCTCTTGCAGTTTGCTTATGTCCTCTGGTCTGGCTTGGAACTGCTCCTGTACATATCATTTCCATCTTCCAATGGGCTGCTGCCGATCCTACTAGCTTATGACTTAGTGCTTCCCACAGGACCTAGTTAAGATGAGCAGTTCTGGATACAGCATCACTGGGTCTCAAAGTTCCGTGTCTACCAGGGCCCAGTAGCACAGCAGAGGCTGTTTTTCAAAAAGCATATGATCCTCTCCTGTGGTTAGAACCACCTTCCTTCAGGGCCCCAGGGACCTGCACTGTGATTCTCTCATTGGGCCTTGTCATCTATTCCACACTGCATCTTCTTTCCCCCTACCTCCAATACATAAGATCTGCCACATCACATAATTCAAGCTGCTAATTTCTTCATATCTGTCACTTCTGGTTCTACTTCTAATGATTACCCTTTTTTCCTAATTATGGGCCATAATTTATATTTCTCTGTTTCCAGTAATTTTTTACTGAATGTTGGTAATTATGAGTGTTATGTTGTTTGTTGATGGATTTTGTTATATTCCTATAAATGGTATTGGGTTTTATTCTGATTCACAGTTAAGTTTCTTGAAATTAGTTTGATCCTTCCAAGGCTTGTCTTTAAGCTTTGTTAGGGGAAGTCCAAAGAAGCCTTTGGTCTAGGGACAATTTGACCTCAGTACTAAGGCAACACCTGTTGGAGGACTCCACCTGATGACCCATGCATTATGAGTTATTTCTACTCTGGCTAGTGGAAACACAAACTTTTCCCAGCCCCATAGATGATCTGTAAATTATTTGCTCTACTAATTTCCAGTTACTCATTTCTTGGCTTAAGTAGTTTCTTCTAACACCTTCACTCAACCAAGGACTCCAGGGGACCCACTGCAGATCTACAGCACTCTCTGTCTGTGTGCTGCTGCCTCCTCTCCTCTCACTTACTCACCTTGGCCTCCGGTGACACTGATCTCCATCTCCTCAACACAGCAGGACCACTGGTCTCTGGCTTCCCTCTCCCTGCTTTGCTGCCTAGAAACTGCCTC
This sequence comes from Homo sapiens, assembly GCF_000001405.40. Classification (NCBI taxonomy): domain Eukaryota; kingdom Metazoa; phylum Chordata; class Mammalia; order Primates; family Hominidae; genus Homo; species Homo sapiens. The sequence continues at coordinate 138,417,573 of NC_000006.12, read as the reverse complement.
CAGGCCATTCGCCTGAGCAATCACTGGACTCACCTCATTATTCCCCCTTCTCGCAGAGATCACAGTCCTGTACTATGAACTTTCAGTGTCTGAAAACCATTGTTTCATATATTTTGTCTGGGCTTTTAGTTGTTTAAGAGGGACAGGTAAATTGGGTTCCCAATTCATCATCATGGCCAGAAGCAGATGTTCACCCGAGGTGCTTAAAAAATACTGTTCAAGGCAATATTTATTATGGTTTACTGCCCTGATTGGAGGAGAGGGAGTTTAGAAGCTTATACTCTTTCCCCACAGGTCAAGGAACAAATGTAGGGGTTATTCTGCCTGCCAAGGATGTCAGTCTCAATTATACATTCAGGGATTAGGCAGATAACCTGCAGGCCCAGGAGATCTGCTGTAAGCCAAACTTTGATTAGAACTACGTTTACTTTCTAACCTCTGTATGCTCCCATTTTAATGGGAGGAGGAGGAACTGTAATGACTCTTTGGGTTTCTGGGTATCAGACGTTAACTTGGACCCTGACGTATCCAGGTATTCCTCTTTCCCCAGGGTAGAGCCACCTGAGTAAATGGCCATAGATCCTTTAGAAAAAGAATGAGGGGATCATTACTGTGTACACCTGCTGAAATGTTGCAGGAAACTTTCCCCTAGGATACAGTCACCTCTGCAATTAATGAGCTCTAGGTCAGAAAACTGAACTAGAAACTGGCAAGGAATCATGTTTTTGTTTTTTAATTGGAGTGATCTCTCTCAGTCCCCTGCTCATCAATTCTTGCTCACTTTTGATTATATATAAAGCCTTACCCTTGTTGATTAGTCAGCTCTTTTGTCCCTAGGAATGCCTTGTTCTACCAACTATTTCCATGAGACTTTACAGGTCAGGACCCCTCGGCTGCCATTTGGAGCTTAGTGGTTAACAGGATACTGATGGCACCCTGGCTTCTGTGGCTGGCACTGCCACCTGGGCTCTTCAAGGTCTCATCATCATCCACATTGCTCTCAGCAAGTGAAGTTCCATCACAGCCCTTCCTGCCAGCCCCAGCCTGCCGAGGAGAGCCACCGCTGAGCTCCTTTATGATGCCCAAGCCCGCTTATCAGTGCATTCCCAGCAGCCTTGCTGAAGGATGGGTCCCCTGGGCCTTCCCGTGGAACATAATTGTCTGATGGGTCACCTTGCCTCATATATCCATGCTGGCATGCTCCCTTCCCTGAGCCTTCTCATTCCTTTCTCTATTGTTTGTCCCAGCCATTCAGGCATTTCAACATTTTGATCACTCTTTCTAGGCTTCTACCAAGCTGCCCTAGAGCAGTGAGTCTGTATTATCTCCTGGCATTTTTCTCATGGTGTGAAATCCTCTATCCTGAGAGCCCCAAGTCAATATACCCTCTCCTTTATCTAGTTGTATAAACCCAGCCCCTTTGACCAAGCACCCTCAGGATCCAGTCCCAAGAGTACGCCCCTGGCCCCTGCAGTACATGCTGCCAGGTTAGGTGGCTCCTCTGGCATAGATCCCATTTCTCCCTCATCAGACCCCTCAGCCGCAATCAGTTATGTTGTGACTTAAGTCTCGTTATAGGCCTGGTAGCCAGGAGAAGGGGAGGGACCAGTCCTGAGGGACACCTTTTGCTTCATGGGGAAAGACCTTGGACACTGTCTTCCCTTGTGTTAGGGAAGAGGCAGGAAGGGAGGGTAGTTCCAGCTCTTCATGGGGAAGGGTGGGCCTCTTCTGAAGGATGTGAATATTCAGGGAGTTTTCTAGGGAGGCAGATGGTTGGGGAGATCCACTAAATGCTCCCATCCCATGTTTTGGGATCCCAAGTTTGATTCCAACCTTGATCTAACAGACCTGGCTTGGTTGAGTATTTGTTGGCTGTTAGCTACTTTTACCATCAAATCCTGTGCTTGGCCTTCAGCTTGCTCTGCTTGGCTACAGCATGAGATGAGGATTGTTGGCAAGCTACCACAGAGACTCTGCGGCTCACACTTAGTTTTGTTTGTTAATTGACCTCAGCTTTTCATTATCCACTTGCAGGACGTCAATCCAACTCAGCAATAACCATGGAAGCCCACTGTCCTTGTCTCTTTTATCCACCCTTCCCATATTTGAGACACCCAAATCACCCACCAGTCATTGCGTTCCCCTGCACCAGCATGCCATTTCATCTGAAGTCTTCATCACTGGACAGCCTTCTTGTGCCAGGGACTGTCTGTGCCACCTATCCACCAGGGATGGGGGCCTCCGAGCCAGCCAGACAGTGAGTCACTCAGCCTGCAAATGCTGTCTTACCACCTACGTTCGTGGGCCACTGGTACCAATTGTGCCAATTTTAGGCTGAGATGGAGTTAGGAGTACAAAACTGGTGAAGTGACATCTCTGAAAGGAAAAGGGAAAAGCAGGATTGAGCAGAGGAACGGTAGGATCTAACAAAGTCTCTAGCAGCCCACCAAAAAGCTCCAGAGCAGAGACTGCTTATTAGAGGGCTTTCGAGTTGGTAGAAATGACTAGGACTTTTTTTTTTCTTTCTGAGACAGGATCTTGCTCTGTCACCCAGGCTGGAGTGCAGTGGCATGATCAGGACTCACTGCAACCTCCGCCTCCCGAGCTCAAGCAATCCTTTCACCTCAGGAGCTAGGAATACAGGCGTGTGCCACCACGCTTGGCTAATTTTTTATTTTTTGGACAGACAGTCTCACTAGGTTGCCATGACTCGTCTTGAACTTCTGGGCTCAAGCAATCCTCCCACCTTAGCCTCCCAAAGTGCTGGAATTACAGCTGTGAGCCACTGCACCTGGCCTAAATGGCTAGGTCTTATACCACCACCTTGCTCAGTTATTGGCTGGGAATTGCCAGAAAAAAGCATGCTGTCAGCTACCACTGCCTTGCTCAGTTGTAGACTAGGTCCCTCTCTCCCACAGAATAGTGTGTCCTTATCTTGAAATCTGGCGTGGACCCTGAAGACGGTAACGGGGAGACTGTCGGCGAACCACACCCCTCACAGCTGGGCGGCTGGTACTTTCTTGAAGGTGAATTTGAGTGGCACACCTCACGTTGTCTGCCACCACTTCAAATCCTGAATAAAACTGACCATCCTTTGGCCACAGTAGCAATTAAGTACCAGAAACAATCAATGACAATTTCCCATCAGTAACCTCACCTCCAAACTAGGCTTCTAAATCATGCTAATCAGCAGCGGCCTCACTCTGGTAACTGCATCCCCACAACTAAAGCTCCCTCGACTCCTAAATGCTTTTGAAAGTCTGTTAATCCTTCCTAAAACCCTGCATAAGGTCCGCAGTTTTCTTTATCCGAGAGACCGTGCCCTACAAGAGCAGTGCTCTCTTGCTCAGCAAGCAGTGTGTGCAGCTTTTTGTTCTGGGTACTGAACGTGGCCTCTCCCTTTAACACTGTCACCTCTGCCCAAGATGCTCCCCTCACCTCTGCCCCTGGCTTTCATCTGACTCATCCTCGTCATTCAAGTCTCAACTGTCTCTTGAGAGGCCTTTGCTGACCACCTTATGTGATGTCCACCACACCCTACCTAACCACACTCTACCCCACTGCCCTATTCTGTTCTTCATCACACTTGCCAATTTCAAGCATCTTATTTGTGTTGAACTCCCTCACCCTCTAGAATGTAAACTCCATGAGGCCAGGGGCCTTGTCTGTGGTGTTCACAGTGGGAGGGTGAATGAAATAGTTAAGGAGGTGGAAAGATGTTGTTGGAGTTAGTGAAGAGGAAGTCAGTGATGAGGGGCTTGGGACACAGGTTTTCTTACCACCACCTCCCAGTCCTTAGCAGAGTGCTTGGAACATAGCAGGGACTCCCTACAATGAGTTAAAGAATGAATGAAAATACGTGACAGTTCAGGGAAATGTTTAGGGGAAAAAGCAAGATTTTTAGGGGGTTAAGTGGAGACCAGAAAGAAAGGAATGAATTCATTACATTTAAATGGAGTTACATGGAGTATTCTTGTGCAGTGGGGCAGTGGGAGGATGCAGGAGGGAAAGTAATACATACAACAGAGAATGTAATGGTGGCAGCCACAAAAGACAATTTGATTTTTGTGTCCAGCTGAATTTCACCTCTCCGGGCCTGACAGCCTAGGGGTTCCACACAAGATAAATAATTTTAACATTTTATTGATACTATCTGGAGGGGATATCATCCAACTGACACAAATCCAAGAAAAAAAAAAGGGAATATGATTGTGATGCAGTGAAGGAGGGAAGTGACATGAAATTTCCCTAGATCCTCACAGAAATAAAGACCACGATAGTTATGACCGATTTATATGTTTACAGACTACTGTCCTCTGTTACCTGTGTATGTAGATAAAACTTCAAGCATTAAAAAGGCACATTGGAAATAAGCTTAATTAATAGTAGTACTCTCAATAGAAGACACTAGACACGCACTTTACTTATAGGTCATGTTGATGTCTATGATAAACAGATGTTTTGCCTCTGACAGCAGAACTTCCTTTCATTTTTCTCATTCGTTTTCTTTGGTGGGTTCATTTTTTTGAATCAACCACACTTCATTATTTCTATTAAGCAATTTGACAGGACTGTTGTAGCCTGCAGTGTAGTAAACCTTCTCATCGAAAACTTTTCCATCTTCCCTTAAAATGCTTGCTAATGTCAAAAGTTGTTCTTGATTCTTTTGGGCACTAGAAAATCCATCGAAAGACCTACAAAGGAGAAAGGAAATAACCGTGAATGATTTTAATACTGATGTGAATGTCAGTCTGAAGCAAAAAGCGGGCGCTAGTACCGTGAATGCTGAGTGAAGTGCAGCTCCAAAGTTACTCCCTCTCGGCCAGGCGAGGTGGCTCACACCTGTAATCCCAGGACTTTGGGAGGCCAAGGTGGGCGGATCACTTGAGGTCAGGAGTTCAAGACCAGCCTGGCCAACATGGTAAAACCCCATCTCTAATAAAAATACAAAACTTAGCCAGATGTGGTGGCGGATGCCTGTAGTCCCAGTTACTTGGGAGGCTGAAGCAGGAGAATCGCTTGAACCTGGGAGGTGGAGGTTGCAGTGAGCCAAGATCACGCCACTGCACTCCAGCCTGGGCGACAGAGTGCAAGACTCTTTCTCAAAAAATAAAAATAAAAAAAGCTACTCCCTCTCAGCAGATGAACTGACCACTCCTGCCTGTGATTCCCAGTCTCCATGTGACCTCAGAAGCACTGAGGAAACCCAGGAGGATGCATCCCCTCCTTCCATCTGTTGACAGGTGGATTTGGAACCTACACAATCTCAAGTGCTCTACCCTGTGCTTCTCAAACCTTTAACGTGCATACAGGTCACCTGGGGATTTTGCTACGATGCAGATTCAGGTCTGGGGTGGGGCCTGAGAGTGTATTTCCTCCGAGCTCCCACATCCATGCCGGTGCTGCTGATCAGAGAACTACACCAACACCCCTGTAGAAGCCCCTTTTCCAGACTCGATTTTCACTTGCACATTGCCCCTTTTTCCCTCTCCTAAGGAAAAGAATAAACACTGGATTACAGATGAATATGATACAGTTTTCACCTCTCTGAATTTATGATCCAATGGAAGAGATCAACGTTCTGGCAGCTCTCTCTATACATCCTGAGGTTTTTTTGTTTGTTTGTTTTTTTGAGACAGAGTCTCACTCTGTCTGTTGCCCAGGCTGGAATATGGTGGCAGAGCATCCTTGACCTCCTGGGCTCAAGCAGTCCTCCCACCTCAGCCTCCCAAGTTGCTGGAACCACAGGTGCACATCGGACTAATTTTTTAAAAAACCTGTAGAGACAGGGTCTTACTGTGTTACCTAGGCTGGTCTCAAACTCCTGAGCTCGAGTGATCCACCTGCCTTGGCCTCCCAAAGCAATGGGATTATAGGCATAAGCCACCACGCCCGGCCTCTGAGAAGGGTTTTAAACAGGGACAGGATCAAAGTGTTGTGGGAGCGTTGAGGACCTGATTAAATCTGGGGTAAGGAGAATCATCTGAGTTGGGCCTGAATGGAGGATGGTTTTGCTGAACAAAGAAAGGGGAGTGATAGGAAAGAGACCATAAATCTAAAAATACCAAGTGTTTTCATAGTGAGGCATAAAATGAGGTCAGGAAGGTGAGTCAGAACTAGAAGGAAGAACCCTGTGCATTAGCCTAAGGCCTTTTGAGGTTATTTCCAAGGATGTTGAGCTGAAATGTGCAACTTGATAAGATCTGGATTAGAATATAGGCAGACATATAATAGACTGGTGAGGAAGGATCCAGTCAGGAGGCTGCTGTGGGGAAGTGGAAGAAAAGACAGTCAAAAGATTAAAACAAAAAGTGGGAAAAGAGAATAAAAGTTTAAGTATACATTCTACAGTATATAAACAAAAACATCCTGAGATTAAATCATGACAGCACTGACCTAGCTGAGCTGCTGACATGCAAGCATGATGAATTTGATTTTGAGGGTTAAGAATAAGAAACACTGAGAAACAAAACTTTTCCTAATATGCCTTCTTTGGTATAAGTTCTGTTATCAATGTGCCAGTGCAAAAAATCAATCCTACCACGCTTCAGCTGAGGTGTCATCTCTTTTAAGGGTACAAACCATGTCTGCTTTATATAACAATGTCTACCCAGCACCCAGAACCATTCCTGGCATGCAGTTCCCTTTTAATCCTGTCAAGTGTAGGAATCTCTGCATGCACATGTATGCAAAATAAAACACTGCAGGTGAGTTGATATAACTCTTCCATTCTATCATTTTCATGTCGATTGAATATAATTCTGAACCATGGGTTAAGAAACATTTTGGGCCAGGCATGGTGGCTCACGCCTGTAGTCTCAACACTTTGAGAAGCCAAGGCGGGTGGATCACCTGAGGTCAGGAGTTCCAGACCAGCCTGGCCAAGATGGTGAAACCCCGTCTCTACTAAAAATATAAAAATTAGCCAGGCATAGTGAGGAGGGGTGACTGTAATCCCAGCTACTCGGGAGGTTGAGGCAGATGAATCACTTTGAACCTGGGAGGCGGACATTGCAGTGAGCTGAGATTGCGCCATTGTATTCCAGCTTGCGCAACAAGAGTGAAACTCCATCTCAGAAAAAAAAAAAAAAAAAGAAAGAAACATTTTGGCTCTTAAATGTATTATTTATTTCCTTGATGAATAACCAATGCTTAGCATGTTCTGCCTAAAAGGAATTTGTTTTCAAATTCATTTTCCCTTAAAATCAAATACTGAACCCTCTAATTAGAAATAAGCTTTTGTTCTCTGACTGTGTGTTGTTTCACAATGATCTATTCACTGTTTTATTCAGAACACAGACAACATATATGGTGCTTGCCTCCCTCACCCCCACGTGCCTGCCTTGCCAGGGGCTGGAATATATGGACATAGTAACATGCTGTCATATTCTTGAAGAAATTTCCGTCTATAAATAAGCCACTATTACTTAGAAGAAGAAGAATAGAAGGGCCCCAGGACAGAGTACCTAGCTAGGTGGAGAAATTGAAGAAGGCATCACAGAAAAGGTGTCATTTGTCCTGTAGGGTGGCAATGGGCTCTCCAGGAAGAGGAAAAAGAGAGTACTAGAGCTAGGAATGCTTGATGCTCATGTTCCAAGTGTTTTACATAAATTAACTCATCCGATCTTCATGGCAACCCTATGAGATAGTAAGTATTATGATCACACGCATTTTAAAACAGGGAAATTTTAGCAAGGAAAAGTGGACTAACGTGCCTGAGGTCAAAGGTAACAAGATGTGGAAGAACATGGCATGTTACATGAAGGGTGAGAAGCCCAAGTGGTGGGAAGGGGAGCTGCTGAGACAGGGCTGGGCCAGGTCATATGTGGCACTGTGCACCGTGTGAACAATCTGAGCTTCCCTGGGGAGGCAAGAGGAATCCAACGGAGATTTTGGGCTTTTGTCATTGTGGTAAGAAAGATGACAGTTCCAGTGTGGAAGAGGAAAGGAAAAGACTGGTGGCAGGGAAGACGGCTTGCAGGCTACTGAAGTGAAATAGTCAAGAAATAATTCAGTTAAGATCAATCAACATCCCAGTATCTATTGGGAATGTCAGGCTTGTGCCAAGAACTGGGGTACACAAAGATGACTTAGTGCGGTCCCTAGAAGAGGAAGACCCGAGTAAGTCACAATGGTGATAGAGAGGAGGGAACAAAACCCTGAATCATTTTTGAGGTGAATGGGCCAGATTTGACAATCAATTGTCAGGAACATTGTGCTGATGGTGACTGTAAATTCCTTGCTCAGGAAGCTGTCTTGACTGTGCATGGTGGCTCATGCTTGTAAACCCAATGCTTTGGGAGGCTGAGATAAGTAGACTGCTTGAGCCCAGGAGTTCAAGACGAGCCTGGGCAACATAGTGAGATCCTGTCCCTACAAAAAATAATAAATTAGCTGGGCATGGTGGTGGCACATGCTACTCAGGAGGCTGAAGTGGGAGGATCCCTTGAGCCCAGATGTTCCAGGCTGCAGTGAGCTATGATCATGCCACTGTACTCCAGCCTGGACAACAGAGCGAGACCCTGTCTCAGAAAAAAAGAAAAAAAAAAAGAGGAGCCTATCTGGCTGATGAGGCCCTCAACTGAGACAGGCACTATAAGATCAGAGATGTGGGAATTGGGCAAAGGCTCATTTTTAGGGTTGTTGAGTTTGATTCCCCCAACCCCAAAGAGAGATGTCCAACAAGTAGGGAAATCAGATCTGGAGACACTTAATAGATGGGAGAATCATTCGACTGAGGGAGTTGAAGCAATATGAATGGATTGCCCAGAACAAGTCGGCTATGAAATGAGGGTCTAAAACAGGCATCGACAGTGATCCTAGGGTAGGGAGCTGAGGAGCCAACGGAGGTAAAGAAATGGGACAGGAGAAATGACAAGAGAGTGACACTCTGAAAGTTAAAGGATAAGCAAGTATTAAGGGAACAGATTCGTCCACACATGACTGCTGTAAGGGTCATGTGGGAGAGGACAGTAACCACGTGGCAGATACAGAGGCACTGCTGAGGATGGCAACGGCAGTCTAAGGAGAGAGTGGGAGTCATACCAGATCATGGTGATTTGCGGTAAAGGCCATTCTCATAAGGTCTCGGATGGAAATGAGGAACATTTGTTGGAACTTGGAGGAAAGGTGACCCTTGTCATGACATGGCAAAGAAACTGTGTTTGTGTCCCAGTGTAATGTGGACAGTACAACTTGTGAGTTATGAAATAGGATATTTGGCTGAACATTTTCTAAGCAAAATGTGAATGGAAGATGTGGCTTCGCTTCTCTTGATAGTAAAATACAAGAAGAGAGAATTTAAAGAGTAAATTTTTAATCAAAAGGGAAGCAGAACTTAAACATCTGGAAAATTCTTAGCCTATCTACATTAAAAGAAATGAGAAAGCTTGTTCAAGAGAGAACAAGGGTAAGGCCAAGCAACCCTTTGATAAGGAGATGAATGTGGAACTGCCATCTAAACAGAAACCAGGACCTATTCTCCAGCATAATGGAAGAACGATGCCAAAGGCATTTTAGAAATTATGAGCTGCCTCTCCCATCACATGCCAAGTTTCAGTGCCTGGGGAGGGCAGAACAATTTCAAAGGAGGGTCTTTGGGCACCTGGGGGGCCTTGGAACTCACTGCCTAGCACTGCCTCACCAATCTGTTTCCTGCATTCCAGTGCAGCCCTCCTTGGATGCCCCAGGTTCAGCTCCAGTGGGCTGAGGTGTGGCCTGGGCTGTGATGTCTGTCCCTCCGGAAGGCACAGGCAGTTAACCTCAGCAGCATCCATGTGGTGCCGACCTCTGTCAGTACATGAGCTGTGGGGGTGTGGCTACCTCCACCTTGAAGGATGGAGCTGCCCAGGGCCTTGGGTATGTGACCCAAGCAGAGGGCCACAGTGAGACCAAGCTACTGCAGTGAGTCCCCAATAGGGAAATGGCTAACAGAGCCATGGGAGCCGGGCACACCAGACTGGGAGGGCCACCGGTGTGCAATTCGAGCCTGGTAGAGCTGCAGGGTGGGGTCCCTCCAACTGTGAGAGCTGCAGTGGGGTTGGGCCATCCAAAGCCATGGCCAGGGCCACTTGAAGCCTTGGGGGCCCAACCTCTGTTCAGCAGAGCTTCACAAGTGGGACCTTCATCCCAGTGGGCCCAGAGGGAAGAGCTTTGAGTCAAAGAAAATTAATCTGAAGATTTAGAACTTACTTGGAACCTGTTACCCATTTCTTTTTTCCCATTTCTTCCTTTGGAATGCAGTATTTATCCTATGTCTGTCCCACCATTGTATTTTGGAAGCATATAATATGTTTGATTTCACAGGTTCATAGATGGAGGGGAATCGGCCGCAGGATGAACTGTACCTTGAGCCTCAGATTTGATTTTGATGATCTTTAGATGAATTTAGGCTTTTGCTGGAATGAATTAAGACTTTTGAGGCTATTGGGATAGAATGAATGTATTCTGCATGTGAGATGATATGAATTTTACAGGATCAGGGCAGAATGCTATGAACTCTATGTTTGTGTCTCCCCAAAATTCATATATACATTTTTCTTTTTGTTGAGACAGGGTCTCAGTCACCCAGGCTGGAGTGCATTGGTGCAATTACGGCTCACTGCAGCCTCGACCTCCTGGGCCCAAGTGATCCTCCTACCTCAGCCTCCCAAGTAGCTGGGACCACAGGCATGTGCCACCAGGCCTGGCTAATATATATATATACATTTGGTAGAGATGGGGCCTTGCCATGTTGCCCAGGCTGGTCTCTAACTCCCAGGCTCAAGTGATCCACCTGCCTCAGCCTCCCAAAGTGCTGGGCCTCAAAATTCATATTTTGAAAACCTAATCACTAATGTGATAGTATTAGGAGATGAGGCCTTTGGAAAGTGATTAGGTCATGAGGGTAGAGCCTTGTAAAACATGTCCAATAAAGCTGCCTTGCCTCTTCCACCACATGAGGGCATTTCTGAGAAGGTTCCATCTATGAACCAGGAAACGGGCCCTCACCAGTCACTGAAACTGCCAGCACCTTAAACTTGAACTTCCTTGTCTCCAGAAATGTGAGAGAGAAATTTCTGTTTTTCATAAACTACCCAGCCTACGGTATTTTGTTACAACAGCCTGAACAAACTAAGACTTCTGTTTTAAGGTATTTTTGTTCAGGTCTAACTATATTGCAGTCTTTTGTTTTGGGAGCATATAATTTGCACCGTGTCTTATATGAAGGGCATGCAATAGACTCATTAAATGAAGTGATTATTATCTTGTGACAGACCTCAGTAACATATACAACAAAGCCAGTAGGAAAACATCACAAAATGCATTAGACCTGATTTTATGGAAGGGTGAAAAAGCCTTTTGAAATTGCATTGGAGCTAAACTGTGAGTGCACGCAAGTAAAACTAGCAGTCAGCAAGGCTATAAATTATCTACCACTTACCGTACAAACACAGTCATTTCGGCTCTATCTTCAATGAAGACATCTGACTCTAAAGGCCTGGGTGGATCAAATTGCTGTTCAGAGGGAATATACAGGGAAATGGTAATGGTAGACTCACTAAAAGGACCTGAACCAGGCTCCACGTAGCTTGTCACTGGAGCTGTCATCTTTATTTTCATCTCTGTGACATAAAAATGAAAGCAAATTTAGTGTATTTTTGACAGCTTTAAACATTTAACCTATTCTTTTTTGATCTGGGTTCCTTGATTTACTTCACATTGTTGACATATTTACCTTTAAGATAATTTTCATCTTAAAACAGTAAGGCCAAAATTACTCAATTGCTCACTGCCCACATTAAACCACTTTCTGTAATACTGATATTCTGGGTTAATAAATTCTTAATTTTTAGAGATAAAAGGGGAAATTAGAGATTACATGGTCAGTAAATTATTTTTTCTTACCATTCAGAAAATGAGGTCCCACAGGCTAAGAGACCTGCTAAAATATAAATAGCAGCAAAGCCAGACCAAAAGCTATGACTTGATGCTTCTAATCTTGGTACCTTCTTGCCTCCTGACGTCTCTGATCCTACCAGTCACCAAATTATCTTGAGGTGTTAGCCATAGAAAAGGACTTATCACGAGTTACACCAAACCCCAGTTCATCCAGCAAAATCAGAGAACAGAGGTTGAAAAGTAATACCCAGTGTAACCCTGGTCCTGAGGAGTCTTGTCTGAAAACAAGACAAGTCTTTGATGACTTGCTTATTTTTCCATTATAAAGGATATTTCTTTAATAAGCTAAAACTCAATAATAAGCCCGGGGACTCTTTCACAATATGCATAATTACAAGGAAAACTGCTTTTACCTTTCTCGTTTTTGCCTTGAATGTAGCTGTTCAGTTTCGTAAAGCCCGTCTGGATGGCTGAATCCCAGTCCATAGACTCCACGGACGTGCTGACCCACTTGGCTGGTCCATAGTGTCGGATCTCATAACTTCCGGGCTAAAGTGGAACAGAGAAAACTTCGAGAAGCAATTCTAAGAGGGTAGGAGTGAGATGCAAAAATACCGGTGCCATGATCTCGGGTCGACCTGGAGCCGTCCTGTCTAGGGGCTGCACCGCCCCGGGGTCCGGCCTGAGGTCCCCGCTCCTTAGGTCTGGGAGGTTCCCCTCCACGAGGTTCCCCTCCTTGCGATTAGGGACCGCAGCGGCCCCAACCCCACACGCTGGGGACTCGATTCACACTTTCAGACAAGCATCTATTACACCCCCTCGGTTCGGAGGGTTCCACCGCGCGTTCTGGGACGTAACCAGTTCCTCCCCGCCCCACCACCCCGCAAAGACAAGAAATTGAGATGGGACCTGCACTGGGGGTAGCGGGGAGGGTAGAGCTAAATGACCGGGGTTTCTCGTTTGCGTAGCATAGTGGGTAGGGACTGGGACCATTTAAAAAACTGTACTTTTTACTTAACTCTATGGGACCCGCTGGCCTCACTGCAAATCAGCCGGAAGGCGGGCCCAGCCCCTCCGCTCCCGAGTCGGCGCCTACCTGGGGGCCGGCGTCCTCCGGGGCCTTCCAGCCCGGCGTCTCCACAGCTTGGGCCGCCGCGTCCTCGGCCGCCCCGGGGTCTGGCTGGAGCGGCTCGGCCATGGGCGGCGCTGACGCTCTGGGAGCCTGGTCAGCCGCGCAGAGGCCCCGCACCCCGGGCCGCCCCGCCTGCGTGTGCGCGCCCCGCCGAGGCCCCGAGTCCCCGCTCCGCAGACCCGGTCCCTCCTCCCGGCCGGGCTGGAGACCCGAGCCCACCCGATGCGTCTGCCTCTGGACCGCGAGGGGGCGCCGCCACCAAGGCGGGGCCGGCTCACGACCCCGGACAGCTCCGGCCGGAGTTGCGCGTCCTGCCCCCGCCCCTCCGCGGCGACAGGGAGCCGCACCTCGCTTCGGCCCGCCTTCTTTTGAGGCACTTCCGCCCCCGCCCCGCCTTTGTTTTTGAAGGAAAGGCACACACAGGTGGCCCCGCGGGCAGTAGGGGGTGGCGCTGTTTCTGTGCAACCGGTTTGGGAACCTCTGCCGCGGCCCCGCCCGCGCTGGGAACCGCGGGCGCTGAGCCGCCTCGAGGGTGTCCCAGCGCACCGCAGGCAGAGAAAGGCAGGAGGTGGCGGCTGGCGACCCGACCCCCGCGGCCCCTGCCCGCACTCCTGGGGCTCAGCCAGGGCGAATGGCCGTACTCATCCCAAGAAGTTGTCCTAGGTCCCAGACAGCTTTCAGGGTCCCTTGCGGAGGAGGTGGTGGGACCACAGACACATGGAGAGAATCTGGAACTGTTCTGGTTTCTGAACTTTTCCCCGACAGGACCCCAGACCCTCTGAGTCATCCCCGCAGGCTTAACGAGACTCGGGGAGAGTTAGTGCCGAGGCCAGACACTAGTGCTTTTCAAGAATTTTGGTTACCAGGGCTTTCCCGAGCCGAGTGGGGTGCGGCTCTGTTCCCCAGCACCCCCTTTCCGCCGGCCAGGCCGACTCCGCGTTACTGTCCCCTGCGGCGGGGACCCGGCACGGCTCCGGCGCCCCCCAGAGGACTCCCATCGTGGGCAGCCAGAGCTCCGAGGCTCTCCGGGGCGACGTGACCGCCGCAGAGGCAGCAGGCACTCCCCACGCGAAAGCCAACGGACAGGAGGGTGGCCACGTGAAAAGCAATGGTGACATCCCCCAAGGGTGAAGGGGAGTAGGCCCCTGTGAACAGAAGAGGCAGCCGGGACCATTGGCAATGCCATGGAGCCAGCACCCCCTAGCCAGGGTGCTGAGGCCAAAGGGGAGGCTCCCTCCCTCGCAAGGAGACTTCCAAGAAGACGAAATTGCCTTTCAAGGCCAGGCACGGTGGCTCACGCCTGTAATCCCTTCATTTTGGGAGGCCAAGACAGGGGTGATCGCTTGAGCCCAGGAGTTCGAGACCAGACTGGGCAACATGGCGAAAACCCGTCTCTACAAAAATACAATAAAATAGCGTTGATAGTAGAGTGGAGAGCATAGCTGCCTTCCAAAAAAAAAAAAAAAAAAAAAAAAGCTGAGTGTGCTGGGGTTGTGATCTCAGCTACTCGGGAGGCTGAGGTGGGAGGATCGGCTTGAGCCTGGGGAGGTCGAAGCTGCAGTGAGCCGAGATTGCGCCACTGCACTCTAGCTTGGGTAACAGAGTGATACCCTGTCTAAAATAAATAAATAAATAAATAAATAAATAAATAAATAAATAAATAAATAATTATCTTTCAAGAAGGGTTTCTAAGAGCAGCTTGTCCTTCAAGAGAAATGGGAAGGAGGGTGGGGTGACTCTTCTGCCTCCTCACCTATGGAGGAAGAACAGGAGTGGGGGAAGATCAATGCCTGCAGCGACAAGGGCGCTGCCCAGGAAGGGAAGGCTGTTGCCACCCCTGAGAGCCAGGAGCCCCAGGCCAAGGGCGCAGAGGCAGTACTGCCTCAGAAGAAGAGGCAGGGCCCCAAGCTACAGAGCTGTCCACTCCCTCGGGGCGGAGAGTGGCCCTACACCAGCCCACGCTGAGCAGAATGAGTAGCTGGGTGGGCCAGGTGGGTGATCTCTAAGCTGCAAAAACTGCTGTTCTTGTGAGGTTACTGCCTGGACCTGGTGCCCTGGCTGCCCTCCTGTGCCCAGAAAGGAAGGGGCTATTGCATCCTACCAGCTACATTCCCTTTCCTTCTCTCCCTCCTGTGGATTCTCCAATCGGCCATGTGGCTTTCCTCGTAAGGCCAGTTGAAGACGGTCCCCCACAGCCTCCCAAGTTAGATTAGTGATATGAAATGTGCCTTTCCCTGGCCCTGCCTCCTTCCCTGTCCCCAGCCCTGCAGAAGGCAATTTTTGGTTTTCTTCCCCAATTCTTTTCCAAGTAGGTTTTGTTTACCCTACTCCCCAAATCCCTGAGCCAGAAGTTGGGTGCTTAAACTCCCAAACCTCGAGGGTCCGGCCTCCCCGCTGTTGAGTTTTTACTCTGGTGCTGTGCCTAGTGGCACCTGGGCCGGGCAGGGGGGCACTGCCCTGCCTAGGGTTCTATTCAAGTTCCAACCTTCAGCTTGTGAATCAACTGTGTCTCTTTTTTGACTCGGTAAGCACATGTTAGGCTTTGGGGCCAGGGAGAGGTCTGTAATGTGAAATAACTTCTTCTTGCCTTTTCTTCTCTCATTTTTATGAATAACTTTTAATGGCCAAACCCCAGATTTGTATTCTTTTTTTTTCTAACTGCTACAACCATTCTCTTCCACCTGGTTTTATTATAACAATTGGAAAAGGAATAAATATCCCTTAAATTTTTTTTTGTTAGATGTATTCTTTATTTTTTCCAAGAGATTTATTAAGATATAATTCATATACCATATAGTTCACCCATTTAAAGTGTACTAGTCAATGGTTTTTAGGATCTTTAGATCTGGGCAACCATCATCACAAGGACTGGGCAACCATCATCACAAGGTGAGAACATTTTCATCACTTCCCACCCTTAAAGAAACTCTATAACCTTTAGCCACCACCTCCCAATTCCCCATTCCCTATGCCTAGACAACTACTAATTTGTTCTCTGTCTCTATAGTTTTGTCTATTTGGAACATTTCATATGAATGGACTCATAATAGTACGTGGTCCTTTGTGACTGGTTTCTTTAACTTGGCAAAGTGTTTTCGAGGTTCATCTGTGTTGTGGCAGGTACTCCATTTCTTTTTATAGCTGATTAATAGTCCATTGGATAAACATTTTATCAACTTATCAGATGAGGGACATTTGGGCCATTTTCAACTTTTGGCTATTATAAATAAAGCTGCTCTACATGTTTATGTACATGTTTCTGTGTGCATGTATGTTTTCATGTCTCTTGGGTAAACATCTAGGAGTAGAAGTTCTGGGTCAAATGGTAACTCTATGTTTAACTTTCTGAGAAACTGCCAGACTGTTTTTTCGCCACTTCACATTCTCACTAACAAGGTGTGAGCATTCTATTTCTCCACATCCCCATCAACACGTGTTTTTATCTGGCTTTTGGATTATAATCATCCTAGTGGGTGTATGCTATGGTTTGAATGTTCATCTCTTCAGAAACTCATGTTGAAACTGAATCCCCAATAGGGCAGTATTGAAAGATGGGGCCTTAAGAGGTGATTGAGTGATGAGGGCTCTGAAATTAATCCATTCATGGGTTAATGGGTTAATGGATTATTGGGTTAGCACGAGAATGGGACTTGTGGTTTTATAAGAGGAAGAAGAGAGACCTGTGCTAGCACACTGAGCCCCGTCACCATGTAATGCTCTGTGCTGTCACGGAACTCTGAAGAGAGTCCCCACCAGCAGGAAGGCCCTCACCAGATGTGGCCCCTTGACCTTGAACTTCCCAACCTCCATAACCATAGGAAATAAATTCTTTTTATTTATAAATTACCCAGATTCAGATTTTCTGTTATCAGCAATAGAAAATAGACTAAAACAGTGCACCTGGTGCTTTAAAATATTTTTTGAGATATGATTCACATAGCATCAGTCACTATTTTAAAGTGTACAATTCAGTGGTTTTTAGTATATTCACTGTGTTGTACAAACATCATGACTACTATCTAATTCTAATTATAGAACATTCCGTCAGTCCAAACAGAAACTCCATGTAGCTTAGCAGTCACTCTTCATCTCCCTTGCCCCAACCCCTTGCAGCCACTAACCTACTTTCTGTCTCTATGGATTTGCCTCTTCTGGATATTTCGTACAAATGGAATCATGTATTATAATATGTGATATTTAGGCCAGGTGTTGTCACTCACGCCTGTAATTCCAGCACTTTGGGAGGCCGAGGAGGGCGGATCACCCGAGGTTGGGAGTTCGAGACCAGCCTGACCAACATGGAGAAACCCCATCTCTACTAAAAATACAAAATTAGCCAGGTGTGGTGGCGGACGCCTGTAGTCCCAGTTACTTGGGAGGCTGAAGCAGGAGAATCGCTTGAACCCGGGAGGCAGAGATTGCAGTGAGCCAAGATCCCGCCATTGCACTCCAGCCTGGGCAACAGGAGTGAAACTCTGTCTCAAAACAAACAAACAAACCAACAAAAGTAATATGCGATATTTTGTGACTGGCTGCTTGCTCTTAGTGTAATGTTTTCATCTATGTTGTAGCATGTACCAGTACTTAATTTTTTTTTAATTGCCAGAAATACCCCATTGTATGGGCCTAGTGCTTCTAAAGCAATTGATGTCTTCTCTTTTCCTTGCCCTTTCCTGCCCCAACAACTGTGCAGTGGCCTGAGGACTCATGGCACTTTCTAGTGGTTCTGTCAGATCTATTATTATGCAGAACTAAGTTCGATTTACTTAGTAAAGGCTAAATAATGAATTTTTAACTTATTTTAAAAAATAGCTTGTTTCGTTTAACTAGGTAACAGATGTGATCCATTGCTTAGGTGACTTTGCAAAGTTGAAAATATAACTTTATCACAGGTTTTTTTTAAAAAAAGAAAAAGGATGTAATTTACTTCATTGCTTAAGAAATCTGTTATTTTAATCTATAGAGTATCTTTTACATTTATCAATGTCTTTTTTGGAGGGCAATATTTTATTTGCAGAAAATCTAAGGCTAAATTTGGAGACGTTTATTTTTCAGGGTTTGGAGTATGCAATTAGTGAAGGTAACAGAGGTGACTACACTGCATTATCTGTATTTACAAGGCAGTAACTAGTCATATAAAAGAACAGAGGAAGGAAAGAAAGGGATTTATTTCAAAATAATAGGATTTCAGTTTAGAACAAGTTTAATAAAGTTTAGTAAAGTTTAATAAACTTTAAATTATTTAAATTATTTAAAGTTAATAAACTTCATTCAAGTTTTATATTGTTATTTCAAAATAATCGAGTTAGTTTGTTTTCTTGTTGATTAATTATAGTAATTTTTTATTTGCTTATATTTCATCAATGTTTATATGACACTATGAAGCAGATATTTTATTTAAGCTGTACAGCAAATTTTGAGATAAGTTCTATTTTCCACATTTTGAAATCTGTGAAGCTGATGGGGGAGGAGCAGAGTACTCAAATGTTTCTTCCTTTTGTCTTTCAAAAGTACTATTTATTTTCAGTTAACAAGCAATATTTTATTTTTGTATTTATTCATTTATTTATTTATTTAGAGACAAGGTCTTACTCCGTCACCCAAGCTGGAGTGCAGTGGTGCAATCACGGCTCATGCAGCCTCGGCCTCCCAAGGATCCAGCAATCCTCCTACTTCAGCCTCCTGAGTAACTGGGATTACAGGCGCATGCTACCACACCTGGCTAATTTTTTTGTTGGTTTTGTAGAGACAGGGTTTTGCCATGTTGCCCAGGCTGGTCTTGAACTCCTGGGCTCAAGCAATCCACCCACCTTGGCCTCAGAACATGCTAGGATTATAGGCATGAGCCACCATGCCTGGCCTTACAAGCGGTATTTTAGGAACAGATATTTAGTGGTGTGTTTGGTGAGGAAAGACTAAGTTGTGCTGTGGAAACAACCGCACATAGCACTGGCCATAAGCAACAGCTGATTCCTTGTTCATGCAGAGTCCTCTCTGGGTCTGAATGAGGATTTTGGACAGCCCCTTTCCATGAGACGGTACAGCCTGGCACCTTTATGTCAACAGATACCTCCACAATCACCCTGGCAAGGGAAGAGAGCACTGAGAGACCCACACCAGTAATACAGCTGGTTCTCATTATTTGTGGTAGTTACATTCCTTAAAGTAACCATCAACACCGATTTAGCAAATACTGAACCACTGCTCCTAGGGGAAATATAGAGTTAGGTTCCCGTAAGCCTCTGGTCACAGTATTTTCAGTAACCAGTCAATACATAACCTTGTTTTATGTGTGTTTCTGCATAAAGATATCTTATTTAACAGGTGTTGTTGATTCATTAACATTGAACTCGTGACCAGCAGCATTATAACTCATGCCTGAATGTCACATATATCTTCTCTGTAAGGCACATCACGGCCTTCTTGCACTGAGGAGCACTAGACAGCACTTCAGCCCTAAGCCTGGGGGCTGTTTTAAACAGCAAACAAAAAGCACAAAAATGCAAAAATGGTGGCACTCCATAGATTGTAAAATGGACATTGTCTACCGCATGAGAGCTAAAACAAACAGAGCTTGCCTTTTCCAACTTCAGCTGGGAATGTGTGCACTGGGCAACCTGCATTTTCCAAAGCTGTGTGCATGCATATGTCTGTGAGTGACCAGAAAATGCTGTGAGTATTGACTGTGGAGTTACAAAGACATTTTAGCAAGCAGGCAAATTTGCAAATATGGAATTTGTGAATAATGAGGATCAACTGTAAATGCTTCCTGCAGTAAGTTACATAAGTTGTTTCCATCCACTTTCATTGACCAAAGCAAGTCACCGGGCCTTGATTAACCTCAAGGGGGTGCAAAAATACTATTGATCTGTGTTTTTAAAGGAGAGCTCAAAATATTTGAGAAAAGCCCTGTCTGTAATATCATTGAGTCATACGTTGTTTATTTATTCCATACTTGTGGCAGATTTTTATTTCCCAAAGATGGTTGCAACATTATCTTCCATCCAATGTGCTGTTATTATAACGTGACTTTGACATATCTCTAATTAAGAGGTGGACATCTGTTCTCCCTTTCCTTGAAACTTGGCAGGCTTACGATGACAGTAGAAGGCTAGATCATTAAAGTTGTTCACCTAGTTTTCTTTGGGACACTTGCTCTTAGAATCCAACAGCCACGCTGAAGGGAACCCCAAGCAGCTCCATGGAGAGCTATGTTTAGTATATCCTAGCTGAGGACCTGGCTGACAGCTGGCATCAACCACTGCTCACGTTGAGTAAGCAAGTGTTCAGATGATTCCTGCCCACCATTGAGTCACCTCCAGACATCCTTGAGTCTTCCCCACCGAGGTCCCAGAAGTCATAGAGGAGATACAAGCTATCCCTGCAGTACCCACAGAAACTGTGAGGATAAGAAAATGGTTATTTTTTTAAATAACATTATGTTTGGGATAATGTTTTTCAGAAACAATAACTTGAAAAGTATTTATTCTATGCAGTATTGTAGTAGGTGTTGCTGGGTGATAGGGTTTGGCTCTGTGTCCCCACTCAAATCTCATTTTGAATTGTAATCCCCACATGTCCGGGGAAGGGCCTGGTGGGAGGTGATTGGATCATGGGAGTGGACTTGCCCCTTGCTGTTCTCGTGATACTAAGTGAGTTCTCACGAGATCTGGTTGTTTGAAAGTGTGTGGCACTTCCACCTTCACTATCTGTCTCCTATTCCGCCATGGTAAGACGTGCTTGCTTCCCCTTCACCTTTTGCCATGATTGTAAGTTTTCTGAGGCCTCCTAACCATGCTTCCTATAAAACCTGCAGATCTATGAGTCAATTAAACCTCTTTTCTTCACAAATTACCCAGTCCCAGGTAATTCTTCACAGCAGTGTGAGAACGGACTAATACAATGGGTTTTATCAACAAATAGTATTTGATTTTGGCCTTTCTGGGGTCATCCATGCACTCATAACATAGTTAAATATCTGGTCTTTTCTTTTTTTTAAAGACAGGGCCTCACTATGTTGCCCAAGTTGGAGTGCAAGCATAATGTTATTTTTAAAAATAACATTGTGATTGGCACAATCCCAGAGCACTACAGCCTTGAACTGCTGTGCTCAAGGGATCCTCCTACCTCAGCCTCCTGAGTAGCCAGGACTACAGCTGCATGCCACCGCTCTCAGCAGTTACCTGGTTATCTGGTCCCCCTATAGTTACCACTGTCTCATATGTGATAACTGTAAAATGGGTAGCAACTTGGTATTCTAACAAGAAATTTAGTCTTTTCTTTTGGCTGGCTTCTCCTTCAGTTTTGACGAGAATTAGAATACCCATTAATGATTTAGGCACAAAGCCACCTGTGAAGCGCCTCCTACACTGAGCACTTTACTCTGTGCCTGATCCATAATTGCATGATAAATGTTGAATGAATGCCAGTCATAGAATTTGGCAGACACATAGATAGGAATTGAGTGTTTTTAGGAACACCTGAGAACCACCTTTCTTATCTGCCACAGAAAATGAAGAGACACTGAGTTGTGGGGTTGAGGATAAAAAAGCTAAAGTCTAAACCTGGAAATGCTTTTAAAAATTAAAATACCAATTTTAATCAGAGTGAGGCTTGATATAACTTCTAAGTTTGTTGGAGGTGTTTATGAAAAAAGAGAGGCTCATCCATACTGATTTTAAAAGGTTTATGCTTTGAAGTTAAAAATAGATGACCAAATATATCACAACTAGATAGCTCACATTCTCAAAAGCACTTAAAAGGAACTAATCTTTGATGCAGCTAAGGTAAAATGTTTCTAATAGATCACTTGATGAAAGACCATTTCCCAAAAATTTAGGGCTGCTAAGATGTTTCTTTGAACTATTACATGTGGGGTTTTCACTGTTGCAGTAGAATTATTGTATTCTTCCTTTCTTTTTTCTTTTTCTTTTCTTTTCTTTTTGGAAATAGGGTCTTGCTGTATCACCCAGGCTGGAGTGCAGTGGCACGATCCTGGGCTCAAGCAATCCTCCCATATCAGCCTTCAGAGTAGCTGGGACTATAGGCACACACCACCATGGCTGGCAATTTCTTTAAAAATTTCTTTTAGCAATGGGGTCTTTAACTCCTGGGCTCAAGTGATCCTCCAGCCTCAGCCTCTCAAAGTGCTGGGATTACAGGTGTGAGCCACCATGCTTGGCCTGCATTATTTCTTTATTAAGATAAAGAATTAGTAGGAATTGGACTTGACTCCCTAATGACTGAGAACATAGGTGTTACAGAGGTTCAGTGTCCAACTTCCCAGAAGAGGAGTTCCTCTGCCTGCACCTTTAACAGATCTGCAAACTAGTCAGTTCTCAGCCTGCTCGTAAGTCCTGCATAATGGTCTCCCTAGGTTGTTCTACAGTTGAGTGTCTACATGTGCACAATGAGACCCAGGCACAGAAGAGATAAGTAACAGATTAAAAATTGCCTCCAAGCTCATGCGTGTTGGCTCACACCTGCAATCCCAGCACTTTAGGAGGCTGAGACAGGAGGGTCACTTGAGCCCAGGAGTTTGATACCAGCCTAAGCAACATAATGAGACCATGTCTCTACAAAAATTTTTTTTTTAAAAATTTAGCTGGGCATGGTGGCTGAGCCTATAGTCCCAGCTACTAGTGGGGCTGAGGTGGGAAGATCACTTGAGCCCTGGAGGTCAAAGATGCAGTGAGCCATGATCACACCACTCGAGCTTCGGTGATAGAGCAAGACCCTGTCAAAAAAAAAAAAAAAAAAAAAAATCCACTACCATGGAGAAAAGGTTTAGTAGTAATGCCTGAGTAATGAGACGAGTAACATCTCATCTTCTGGATCAGTGCCTCTCAAGCTATCTGCAATGAAAGATCCTTTATATATTTTTAAAATTTCCAGTTCATCTTAAACCAACATGAGTGTCTACTGCACAGGACCATGTGCAGCTCATACTATAGGCTACTGAACCCACAAGTTCTGTAGTAATTTAATTGGTCTATACCAATATCAGTGAGATGAGTCCACTGATCACATGCATGGATTTTGTAAAAAATAAGTTGCTATAAATGTCTCTAAA
This sequence comes from Homo sapiens, assembly GCF_000001405.40. Classification (NCBI taxonomy): domain Eukaryota; kingdom Metazoa; phylum Chordata; class Mammalia; order Primates; family Hominidae; genus Homo; species Homo sapiens. Next base: position 138,394,489 of record NC_000006.12, on the reverse strand, counting down.
CATGAAACCAGCCCAACTGTGCCATAGAACTGATGTTCATGGTTTCTTTTGAATAAACATAGAAATTGGCCCAGTCTTAAAACTTTAGAAAGTTATCTTTGTTTTATTTGAGTTCCTTTCTCAGGAAACCAACCGTCAGGCCTCCCAGATAGTATCAAGGAACTGAAACTTACAAGATCATTGCATCATTGCATCTGGCCAGTGAGGCCAGACCCCTTACCCTTCATGATTGTCTAACCGACCACTTGCCTCTTGTTAACCAACTCCTCTTCCTTACCCCTTCCTAACTCCTGTTTTCCCACACATAGTTATATTTCTTCCCTGCTATATACACCGCTAATTTTAGTTGGTTGGGGATTTGAGACAGATCTCTCATCTCTTCAGCTGCAGCAGCTGAGTAAAGACTTCTTCCCTGCCAATACTTGTCTCAGTGATTGGCTTTCTGTTTGGTGAGCCATGGGACTTAGATGGAACCCCTGGCATTTTAGTAACAAATGCTTACTCTCAACTTCTCTTATTATCTTATCTCAGACTGTCAACAAGTAGCCTGTGAGCCAGCATCAGTTCATGGACCATGCCTCGAAGAACACTAATTTAGATGACTATCCCTGTCTCCTGTCCAACTGAAACCTGATTCAGCCTTTCCAATCATTGCAGTACTTTTGGGGTTGATTCTCTGGATACTTAGCTTGTATTTATACTTAAGGAAGACTATTGTGTATTAACATGGATTATATGATATTATTTTATAGTCTATACTCATCATTTTCATTGCCATACATTTAAATATATAAAATTATATTTTACTTGGTTTTATTATTTGCTTATTTAATATTTAGAAATGTGTTTTTTTTCCAGGTTCACATGATGACCTGACATTATTAGCTTCTTCAGGCATTAGGACTTAATGGATGAGGTACAGATAGGCTGGAATCCATGAATGTTGCTTTCACAGCTAGAGTTTCTTTAGACATTCACTTAAAGTATAGGACAATCAAAGTCATACCCTTTTTTGTGGCTAGTACACAATTCATTCTACTTGTGAGAGTGTTAAGTGTTGGGATGTTGTTAATACCAGTGAACAGGAATTGGGCATCAGTTTCTGGACTGCCATGATTTTAGTCTCACCACAGTCATAAAATCTGTAGCCTGCGTCCTTCAACATGGGCAGCCACCCTCCACCAGGTCAGAAGAGGGTGCTCTGCTTGGCTTAAACCCACATGTAAGAATCTGGGTTTCCATCTGACCTCTGCCACTTTCTGGCCCTGGGCATGAGATTCAGCCTCACCAAATCTCTTTCTTCATTGGTACAAATGGCTGGTATTCATCACATACAATTTTGAGGATTCTAAGAGGAAATGCTCAGTTATCGCTTAGCCCAATATTTTGCATGTTGTGTCCCCATAAATGATAGTTGTGAGTATGATTTTTTGTGAATGAAAACTCTGGGCCATTTCATTAAGCCCTGAGATCCATTAATTGAACTCTCCTGGTCCTCTGCCCATTAGCTTCTCCAGGCATGAGAACTTTGTGGATGACGTACAGAAAGGTTGGAATCCATTTGTATTGCTCTCACAGCTAGAGTTCCCTTAGACCTTCACTTGACGTAGAGGACACTCCATTTGCAATAGTTGCTCTGTCCTTAAGGCAGATGTGTGTTTGAACACTGGATTGTCCCAATAAACCTCTGAAGTAGATCCTATTAGTATGATAAAGGAATAAATAAATAATGAATAATTTAGAGCCAAGAAGATTCAATGACATATGTTCTTATATGTTCTGCATATAGAAGAAAACTTATTAACATCACTTTATAACTTATTGTTATGATGGCATTAGCAAAATGGGAGAAAATAAGGGAATGAAAGTCTGGCTAGGACCACTGAATGTGTGTTGGGGAGGAAAGAGAAATTAATTCTTATTTTCTCTGAAAAAACATCCAATTTCTTGTTTCCTTGTCTGAATTTTGCTTACATTGAATCAGGATAACCTGCTTCCCAGGGCTACATTGTGACTATTGCAGGCCTAAGGCACTTTTGCCTTCGTGGTTTCCTTCCTCCACGTGAAACTTATAAAATATACAAATTACATTTTATGACTGTATTGGTGTAAAGATGAATATAATCTTTGATCCCAAGAGTTTTTTTTTCTTCTGATTTTAAAATAAATTAAAACATTTTCATGGGACCCTAAAGGTAAGGTGAGCTTTGGGGATGGTGCCTGGTGTGCCTGATTGGCCCTGGTCCTACCACAAGCAATTCGGATGTTTTAGTTTCCTTATGAGAGAGTGAGAGTGCTTGATGTATAACATGGGTTGGTAAATACAGATAGGAGCTGATACTTGCTCTGTCCTTAGGCAGATGTGTGTTTTAACATTGGATTGTCCCAACAACCCTCAGATCCTAGTAATATGATAAAGGAACCAATAAATAATGAACAATGTAGAGAAAGGAAGATTCAGCACTTCAAATCAGAATATTTAATTTTTTCTCCAATTTGTTCAGAATCCAGTAGACGAAGAATGCAAATATTGGCCCTTCAAAACATCCAACTATGTGCATTGTATAAAAACTTGGAGGGGCCGGGTGCAGTGGCCCATGCCTGTAATCCCGGCACTTTAGGCTGTAATCCCAGCCGAGGCAGGTGGATCATGAGGTCAAGAGATGGAGATCATCTTGGCCAACATGGTGAAACCCCATCTCTACTAAAAATATAAAAATTATCTGGCCATGGTGGCACATGCCTGTAGTCCCAGCTACTTGGGAGGCTGAGGCATGAGAATCCCTTGAATCCAGGAGGCAGAGGTTGCAGTGAGCCGAGATTGTGCCACTGCACTCCAGCCTGGGTGACAGAGCGAGACTCCATCTCAAAAACAAAATAGAACAAAACAAAACAAAACAAAACAAAACACCCAAACTTTGAGGAATTGAGGACATGAAGATATATTTTACCTGTAGGGCAGAGTCCTCCCCACCAGCAGCAAGAACACTGTGGGACTTAAGAGGTTTTCCACTCTGTTGCCCGGGTTGGAGTGCAGTGGCACGATCATGACTTAATGCAGCCTCAACCTCCTGGGCTCAAGCTCAAGTGATCCTCCCACCTCAGCCTCCTGAGTAGCTGGGACCACAGGTGTATACCACCATGCCTGGCTAATTTAAAAAAAAATTTTGTAGAGATGGTGTATCGCCTTGTTGCCCAGGCTGGTCTCAAACTCCTGGTCTCAAACTCCTGCCTCAGCCTCCCAAATTGCTGGGATTACAGGCATGAGCTACCATGCTAAGTCCTTTTGTGGTTTTCAATGAGCACTTTATATGGTTCTGTTTTCTCTGATTTCTTAACACATTGATTATTCTTATTTTTTAGTGGTTGGCCTAGAATTTGCAATATATATTTACAACTAATCCAAATCCTCTTTCAAATAATATTATACTGCTTCACAGATAGTGCAAGTACTTCATAATAATAAAATTCTCCCAATTCCTCCCTCCCGTCTCTTATATTATTGCTGTCATGTATTTCACTTATATATAAGCATAATCAAGCAGTTTGTTGCTGTTATTATTTAGAACAATTAAGACTTTTATCAATTAAGAATAGAACATATACAAAATTACTTTACCTTTATTTATTCCCTCTATAATCCTCTTCCTTTCTTTTTTGTTTTGTTTTTTGAGACAAGGTTTCACTTTGTTGCCCAGTCTGGAGTGCAGTGGTGCGATCATAGCTCACTGTAATTACCAGCTCCTGGGCTCAAGCGATCCTCTCACCTTAGCCTCTCGAGTAGCTGGGACTACAGGAGTGCACCACCATGCCAGGCTGTTTTTATTTTTTTTTAGATGGAGTTTTGCTCTTGTCACCCAGGCTGGAGTACAGTGGTGCAATCTTGGCTCACTGAAACCTCCACCTCCCAGGTTCAAGCCATCCTCTCACCTCAGCCTCCCCAGTAGCTGGGAATATAGGCACACAACACCACGCCAGGCTAATTTTTGTATTGTTTTTTTTAAGAGATGGGGTTTTGCTGGGTTGCCCAGGCTGGTCTCAAACTTGTGAGCTCAAGCCATCTGCCCGCCTCAGCCTCCCAAAGTGCTAGGATTATAGACATGAGCCACCGTGCCCAGCCAGAAAGAAGCATATTTCTGATGACCACGATTCAATTGTCATCTAAAACATGTTTTATACTATTCAAGTTCAGGGTACACCATTTTTTCCTCATCATCCTTAAATCATAAACTAAAACACTTTTCAGCCATAAATCGATCAATCCAGAGAGCATTTCCCAAGCAATGAATCATTTTTTATTTTTTATTAAAAAAAAATTTTTTTTTGAGATGTAGTTTTGCTCTCATTGCCCAGGCTGGAGTGCAGTGGTGCAATCTCAGCTCACTGCAACCTACACCTCCTGGGTTCAAGCAATTCTGCCTCAGCCTCTCAAGTAGCTGGGATTACAGGCGCCCACCACCATGCCTGGCTAGTTTTTGTAATTTTAGTAGAGATGGAGTTTCACCATTTTGACCACGCTGGTCCCAAACTCCTGACATCAGATGATCCGCCCGCCTTGGTCTCCCAAAGTGCTGGGATTGCAGGTGTGAGCCACCGCAACTGGCCTCATTTAAAAAATTTTTAGGTTTGTAGAGATGAGGTCTCACTTTGCTGCCCAGGCTGGTCTCAAACTCCTGGGCTCAAGTGATTCTCTTGCCTCAGGCTCCCAAAGTGCTGAGATTACAGCCGTGAGCCACCACGCCCTGCCCTCTTCCTCCCTTTATCCAAATTTCTGACCTGTGTCATTTTCCTTATCTCTGAAGAATTTATTTTAATACTTCTTACAAAGCAGATGGCTTGGCAACAAATTCCCTCAATTTTTGTTCCTGTGAGCAAGTTTTTCTTTATCCCTCACTTTTGAAGAATAATTTTGTAGAATACAGAATTCTAAGCTGGTGTTTTCTTCCTGTCAATACTTTAAATATTTCATTCTACTCCACTTGCTTGCATGGTTTCTGAGAAGTTGAATGTCATTCTTGTCTTTGCTTTTCTATGGGTAGTGTTTCTTTTTTCCCCCTGACTTCAAGATTTTTCCTTAAGTTTGATTTCCTGCAGTTTAAATATGATATGCCTACGTGTAGTTTTGGGACAATTATCCTACTTATTCTCAGGCTTCCCAGATCTGTGGTTTGGTATCTGACATTAATTTGGAGACATTTGCAGTCATTATTGCTTCAAATATTTTTTCTCTTCCTTTCTCCTTCAGGTATTCAAATGCGTATGTAACACCATTTGTAATTGTTCCAGAGTTCTCGGATGTTGTTCCTTTTTTCAGTTTTCTTTTCTTCTTCGCTTTTCCATTTTGGAAGTCTCTATTGACAAATCCTCATGCTCAGAGATTCTTTCTTCAGCTGTGTCTCGTCTACTAATAAGCCATCAAAGACATTCTTCATTTGTGTTACAGTGGTTTTGATCTCCAGCGTTTTTTGATTTTTTCTTGCAATGTCCATCTCTCTGCTTATGTTACTCATCTGTTCCTGCATGCGGTCTACTTTTTCCATTAGAGTCCTTAGCATATTAATCCTGGTTGTTTCACATTTTGGCCTGAGAATTTCAACATTCTGCCCTGAGTCTGCTTCCGATACATGCTCTGCCTCTTCAAACTGTGGTTTTGTTTTTGCTTTTGCTATTTAGTATGCCTTGTAATTTCTTGTTGAAAAGTGGACATGATGTAAAAGGAACTCTGATAATTAGGCCTTTAGTAATGTGGAGGTAAAGTGTGGGGAAGGGCGTATTCTACAGCCCTTTAATTAGGTCTCCTGTTTTGGCAAGCCTCTGCTCCTGGGCTGTAAGCTTCACAGGTGCTTCTCATTATTTCCTTCCCACTTTAGGTGGGACAGGATGTCGAGAGGGGCTAGAGGGGCTAGAGCAAGTAGTTCCCCTCTCCATGTGGAAGGCTAGTGGGAGCTGAAGCTGGGAATTTCCCTTCCCCCAGGTCAGTTAGGCTCTGGTAAAATAAATTCTCCTGAGGGCAGGCTGTGTTAAGAACAGAACGTTCTGGTGCATTTCAAAATGGTTGCTTCCTCCCATCCCTGCCAGAAGCACAAGGGGATTTTCTCTGATTTTCACTCTAAGAACCTAATAGGGCTCCTGGAGATAATACTCACAAAAGCGCGGGGGCCCTCCGTGAATGGCACCCCTAGAGTTTTTAATTCTCAGAGCTTCCAGCAATTCATCAATTACAGTTCAGGTTTTCTGCCCCCAGCTGGTTCCTGGAGGTTTCTGCTCAGGTAAGTTGTGATTCTCTGTGTCTGTCTGTCTGTCTCTCCAACTTTGGGGACAGTGGTTTGTCCTGTGACCTCAGTTCTTTAATGGACTTAAGAAGAGTTGATTTTTCTGTTTGTTCAGCTTTTTACTATTAGGATGACTCCCAAGTTCTTTACAAGTCAGGGTGGAAAGCAGACTTCATTTCCTTTTTATAAAATGATAAAGATATTTTCTGGTCCACTGTTGCATTTAGTGAAATGTCCACATTCTATTCACTAATTCTATTTCCCATTCTTAACTTTTTCTTGCTAAAGTTATTTTTTCCCAAACTACTTTTTAGTGGTTAACGGTTTAATTCCTCTATTTGCGAATTTTCTTCAACTCCACTTTTTCTTGGAGTGCTAACAACCAGATTACTTGTGTTTGCCAGTTGTGTCAACATTTAAACAAGGATGTACTGTTTACACTGTTGTTACCTATGTTCTGCCTGCAAATCCTGCTTTGTGAGTTGAATTGGCTGCAGCTGCATGTTTGGTTAATGGCGTCAGGAAACAATTTACAGAGAATGTTGGCTTATAAGTGAAGGCCCAAAACTGTATATACAGATCTCATTTTCTCTAAACCTGTTAACAAAAATCTGTCCGCGTTGAAACTCACCTGTATTTTGTGGCTCACTCATATTACCTAGAGTAATTGCTTTCAATCTTGGCTTCATATTAGAATCACTGGCTCTATTTCTTGTTTTTATTTTTTTTTAATTAAAATTTTTTTTTGGTAGAGATGGGTTCTCGCTATGTTGCCCAGGCTGGTCTCGAACTTCTGGGCTCAAGTCTTCCTCCTGCCTCAGCCTCCCAAAGTGCTGGGATTACAGGCATAAGCCACCGCACCTGGCCACTGCTGGCTCTATTTCTATGTAATTGGTCTGTGTGGGTCCTGGTATCAGAGTTCTAAAATTTCCTCCAAGTGATTTTACTATGCAATTAAAGTTACAATCCAAGAGCTAGCAAACTTTTTTTTTTTTTTTAATTTTTGTAGAGATGGTGGGGGGGCCTTGCTGTGTTGCCCAGGCTAGTCTTAAACTCCTGGCCTCAAGCAATCCTCCCTCCTCAGCCTCCCAAAGTGGTTACAGGCATGAGCCACTGTGTCCAGTCACCAGCAAACTTTTTCTCTGAAGGATCAGACAGTAAATGCTTTAGGCTTTGCGGGTCAAATAGTCTCTGTCGCAACTACTCAACTCTAACCTCATAGCATGAAAACAGCCACAGGCAAGTGAACATGGCTGCGTTTAATAAAACTTTATTTCTAGACACTGAGATTTGAATTTATGTAATTTTCATGTGTCATGAAATATTCTCCTTTCTATGTTTTTTCAACATTTAAAAATGCAAAAATCTGCAGGATATACAGAAACAGGTTGCAAGTGGGATTTGCTCTGCAGGCCAGATAGTCTGGCAACCCCTAGTTTATAGTTTATTTGCTTCACTGCTTCAGTTTGGTTCCATAAGATAAAATGTTTCTTTCCCTAAATCACTGATAACATTTTTAATGAGTCCTAGCATTGGTTACTTATTTTACATGTCTTATCAGAACATTTTAAAACATGGCAATGCATCTCCTTAGTTAGAAATTGTAGCAGCCGGGCGTGGGGGCTCATGCCTGTAATTCTAGCACTTTGGGAGGCTGAGGCAGGCGGTTCACTTGACGTCAGGAGTTGGAGACCAGCCTGGCCAACATGGTGAAACCCTGTCTCTACTAAAAATACAAAAATTAGCTGGGCGTGGTGACACGTTCCTGTAGTCCCAGCTACCTGGGAGGCTGAGGCAGGAGAATCGCTGGAACTTGGGAGGTGGAAGCTGCAGTGAGCCGAGATTGCACTACTGCACTCCAGCCCGGGTGACAAAGCGAGACTCTGTCTCAAAAAAACAAAAAAAAAAAAAAAAAAAGAGAAATTGTAGCAGTTGGGATGCTTTTGTCTTCAAGTAGCAAGCCTGGCTTAAATGGCTTAAACCAGTAGGAAAGGGCTGGGTATGGTGGCTCATGCCTGTAATACCAGCAGCACTTTGGGAGGCTGAGGTGAGTGGACCGCTTGAGCCAAGGTGTTCAAGACCATCCTCGGCAACGTGGCAAAACCCTATCTCTACAAAAAATACAAAAATTAGCCAGGTGTGGTGGCATATGCCTGTAGTCCCAGCTCCTCAGGGACCTGAGGCAGGAGGATGGCTTGAGCCGGGGAGTTTGAAGCTGCACTGAGCCAAGATTGTGCCACTGTACCCCAGCCTGGCAGACAGAGCAAGGCCCTGTCTCAAAAAACAAAAACAAAAAAACGCTAGGAAAGGTATTCTATCATTAAAATGTAGATAGTTGCAGGGTCAGTTCAGCTGCTCTACAACATCATCACAGACAGATGCGCATCCAGCAGAGAGCAAGGGAATTTCTTTCCATGTGTTTATTTTTAAATAGTGAGGCAAACTTTTCTAGAATGAGCCCCTTCTCCCTTGTAGGTATCCCCTTAGGTCCCAAAGACCAAATCAGTCCCTGGTGAGTGAATTAAAAATTGCCTAATTAAATGTCATGATGCACCCCCAGGGTTTTAGAAGGGCCCAGCCTGCCTTAAGCAGGTAGTCTCAGGATCCCAGAACCAAATTAGGGTTCTGTGAGCAAGGAGGAAGGAAGAATGGCAATTGGGAAACAATCAACTGGGTCTCTCACCGAACTAGATTCTTGGGATTAAAAAAAAATTGCGGGCCAGGCATGGTGGCTCATGCCTGTAATCCCAGCACTTTGGGAGGCTGAGGTGGGTGGTCAGGTCAGGAGTTTGAGACCAGCCTGGTCAACATGGTGAAACCCCGTCTCTACTAAAAATACAAAAATTAGCTAGGGGTGATGGCGCGTGCCTGTAATTCCAGCTACCTGGGAGGCTGAGGCAGGAGAATTACTTGAACCTGGGAGGCAGAGGTTGCTATAAGCCCAGCTCACACCACTGCACTCCAGCCTGGGTGACAGAGCGAGACTCTGTAACAAAAAAAAAAAAAAAAAAAAAAAAAATTCTGAAGAAGGCTGTGTGCTGAGCTTCTTGAATTTCCATTTGTTTATTTCCTTTAAAGAACACTAGAGAATTGGTCAGTACCATTTCCCTAAAAGAAAACCTATTGATTTTCACCTAAATAGATTATATTTTGCTTTAGTCTTCAAAACCACAACTATTATTTCTATGAGGTTACATTTTTAAAAGTATTCTATTTTTGCCTACTTCGTTGTTTTAAACTTTACCACATTGCATATCTAGTATTAAAATGTTCATGCTAAAATGACTTTTTTGAGACAGGGTCTAGTTCTGTCACCCACACTGGAGTGCAATGACACGATCACAGCCCACTGCAGCTTCAACATCCTGGGCCCAAGCAATCCTTCCACCTCAGCCTCTCAACTAGGTGAGACCACAGGTATGCACCACCACACCTGGCGAATTTTTTTTTTTTTTTTTGGAGAAATGGTGTCTCACTGTGTTGTCCAGGCAGAAGATCCTCCCACCTCAGCCTCCCCAAATGCCAGAATTACAGGCGTGAGCCACCATGCCTGGCCCCAAAATGATTTCTTTAAGCCACCATTTTTTGTTCATTTTGAACCATCAAACAATGTCTAGTTTTGAATTTTGCATTGTGAAAATAATAAAAATTGTTTTCAAAAATATTCTAGCATTGAATAAGAGTTTAAGACTATACATGTCACTTCCTGCTTTCCCTTGTCACCTCCATGGGTATTTTGATGTACCTCCCAAGTGGTAATACCCACCTATGTCTCCTTATTTGAAAAATCACTGAGGAGGCCAGGCTTGGTGGCTCGCACCTGTAATTCTAGCGCTTTGGGAGGCTGAGACGGGAGGACTGCTTGAGCCTAAGAGTTTAAGACTAGCCTGGGCAAGAAGGCAAGATCCTGTCTCTATAAAAAAAAATAAAATAAAAATTAGCTGGGCATGGTGGTGCACACCTATGGTCCCAGCCTCTCAGGGGGCTGAAGTGGGAGGATCACTTGAGCCCAGGAGGTCAAGGCAGCAGTTAGCCGTATTTGTGCCACTGCACTCCAGCCTGGGTGACAGAGCAAGACCCTGTCTCAAGAAAGAAAAAGAAAAATCTCAGAGGGAGATCTTGTATCAATATCAATTCCACTCTCAACTGTGCTAATCCTTCTGAGAGCCCTGATCCTCCAGGAGCCTGGGCTGAAATTCGACCTTTGCAATTTTCTGGGGATAACATCTGGCACAGTGGAAGATGCTTCTGCCCAGGACAGAGAGGCCAGGCTTCTGTTCTTGGCTCTGCCTCTTACAAGGTATGTTACGTTGGGCAAGTCACTTAACCTCTCTAAGCTCTAGCTTTGATGTCTATAAAGCAAGAATTTGAACTATGTGGCTATAAGGTCCCTATTGGAACTAATGGTTTTTTCTTTACCGTGTAATCCAAAATATTGACCTTTCCTTTCCAATGTTAACCTGATTTCTGCTGTCATTGTTGCTTGGTGAAGCCTACAAATTCAGTCACAGTGCTATACGTGACTTATTACATGGTAGTGTTATATAATAAAAGTGATGTCTAATAAGATAATGTGTTATAGCAGAAGCTCTCTCTTTTGCCACAGCACTGTCAGATGACCCATAATATCCTAGTGTGAGACAATCCCATGTCACTAAGCCACATCCCTCCCCCATTCAAGGAAGCAAATCAGAAGACAAATAAGCAAGGTGACACTACAAAGAAGATAACTTTGGACAGCTTTATTATTATTTTTTAACTAAAATGTTTGCGAATATCTATACTTTCATTGCTAATATTGTAATATATTTCACCATTATTTACAACACAACTATCCCCTGCAGTTCTAGAGATGTCTTTTACTCCTGCTAGAACTCTCTATATCTTGGAGCATTCATACAGAAGTGAAACAAACCATGAAACCCTGAAAAACTGGTGTGGGAAGAAAAGTTCTATTTGGTGGCAAAAGTAGTTACCTTTGGCTGGTCCAGAGTTTTTTTTCTTGCCCTTCAGAGCCTGTTCCTGTGCTCATTAGTAATTAAGTGTTTTTTTTTTTTTCAACTCACATAGAACTTTCCTTTTTTTCTCAGGAGTGTTATACATTTTAGGAGAGTGCAGTCATCTTTAGAAGAACCTGGGAAACTTTCCCCTAAGGAATGTGAAGATAGGTTAACCAGATTGGCATTTGCCAAGCTTTGCCCTCAGCCTGAAGTGCCCCATTGTCAGAGGTTGGCCAATGAATAGCAGCTTCTTGGGTCTAGGGGCCCTTCTCCCTCTTCTCATGGGTGCTGTATTAAAGGTGGAGAGCTGTGTTTTGTATGATTCCCAAGAGCAGTTTATTTTTGCTCTTCCAGTCCAGGTGAGCCCTTTTCATACTGAAGGACTGCATCCCTGGGCCTCCTCCCCAGGAGGATTTCTGGTGGCCTCTTCGTAGGAGGGCGGTAAACACTGGGAGGGGAGAGTGGCCTCCGGGGGCAGTGGGGAGTAGGGGAAGTCCTCACTGCTCCAGGCCAGGCCGGGCAGGAGGTCTGTCACCTCTCCTGCAGGTGGGTGCTCTGGTAGGTCAATGCTGAACACCTGCCCCTGGGGCGGTGGGGACTTGCAGCGGCGGTACAGGAACAGCAGCAGAAATGCCAGGAAGAGCAGGATGGTGGCCGGCAGAAGGATGCACAGGAAGGGCTCCACATCCTCCTGGGTGGAGCTCACCCCCTGGGTGCCCTGGAGTTAGGGAAGGAAGCCTAGTTAGGAAATGTGGAAAGAAGGCCTCGCATTTCTTTTTTTTTTTTTCTTTCTTTCTTTCTTTTTTTTTTTTTTTTTTTTTGAGACACAGTCTTGCTCCGTCACCCAGGCTGGAGTGCGATGGCGCAATCTTGGCTCACTGCAACCTCTGTCCCCAGGGTTCAAGCAATTCTCCTGCCTCAGCCTCCCGAGTAGCTGGCATTACAGGCATGCGCCACCACGCCCGGCTAATTTTTGTATTTTTAGTAGAGACAGGGTTTCATCATGTTGGCCAGACTGGTCTCAAACTCCTGACCTCAAGTGATTCACCTCCCTTGGCCTCCCAAAGTGCTGGGATTACAGGCGTGAGCCACAGCACCCGGCCAAGGCCTCACATTTCTAAGGCCCTGAAGTTCCCTCTCATCTTTCGTTCTTTTTTCCATTATTACTCATTCTAAAAAATCACTATCATTTACTTATGCCAGTGAGCTTAAGCCTATATGAAATAATATTAATTTACACAATAAAGTGTGAATTCAGAAAAGTATATGTCAAAAAGTATATGTTGATGAGATCTTACAAAATTTCCACGAAGTAAAAATATTGAAATAAATTTTAGTTAGTAGGTCCGCTGTTCATTTTCTTGAAAGAAAATTCTTACTATTTATGTACTTATTTTATTTAGAATGAGACCAATTATGATTTATTGCCACTAACAGATCATGTGGGACTCACTTAAGTTCTTTAATTCTGGAACAAAATCTCATTATGTGTTCATAGCACATGTAAATATTACATGCATGTCAAATGTAAATAACTGAATTTGGATTTGATGGTGCGTATGATGAATGAGATTTTTTAAATTCTTTAAATTTGTTTTTGTAAAACTTGTAGGATAAATATGAAAACATTTTACCTTTTTAAAGACAAAGAATTACAGATAAATTCTTGGGCAACCTAAAAGGTATCGATTTTATAATATTAGCTCACAGAAATTATAATGGCTCCTGATGGCATAAATAATACAATAGGCATGAAATGATGCTTAAACAGCAAAGTAGAAAAGCAACGTTAAAAAAAAATACTGTTCCTAATTGCACAGAGACTGCCTTTAATAAGGCTACTAAGAAATAACGAAGTATTAAAAAGTTTCTCTCTTTTATAAAGCATATAGTAACAAGTGTAAATGTTAGTATCTACTATGGAGGAAAATAAAATATTTTAAAGCCTTGTAATTATGTTTAAAATAAGCAAACAGAATATTAAGCTCCTTGCTTATTTAAAAGAAAACCTAGGCCAGGCTCAGTGGCTCATGCCTGTAATCCCAGGACTTCGGGAGGCTGAGGTGGGAGGATCACTGGAGGTCAGGAGTTTGGAACCAGCCTGGCCAACATGGTAAAACCCCGTCTCTACTAAAAGTACAAAAAAAATTAGCAGGGCGTGGTGGTGGGCACCTGTAATCCTAGCTACTGGGGAGGCTGAGGCAAGAGAATCATTTGAACCCAGGAGGCAGAGCTTGCAGTGAGCCGAGATTGTGCCACTTCACTCCGTCCTGGACAACAAAGTGAGACTCCGTCTCAAAAAAAAAAACACACACAAAAAAAACCCTCATAAACTATGAGAGATGAGGTTCACTCCTTGATTTTGGTGGAAAGGACACATGTTTTGCAGGTCATTACCTCTTAGGAGACTGGTTTATCTAGCCTGCATTTATTTATGTATTTATTTATTTAGAGACGGGGTCTCGCTCTGTCGCCCAGACTAGAGTGCAGTGGTGCGATCTCGGCTCACTGCAAGCTCTGCTTCCCAGGTTCACGCCATTCTCCTGCCTCAGCCTCCCAAGTAGCTGGGACTACAGGCACCCGCCACCACACCCGGCTAATTTTTTGTATTTTTAGTACAGACGGGGTTTCACCGTGTTAGCCAGGATGGTCTCGATCTCCTGACCTCATGATCCGCCCACCTCAGCCTCCCAAAGTGCTGGGATTACAGGCATGAGCCACTGCGCCCCGCCCTAGCCAGCATTTTATAATGCTAGATGTTTGTATAATCTTTTGTTATTCCCTAAAGACTTTATAACTATGTGTGTGGTTTTGACTTGAAATTAGATGGTTTATTTAATACTTATATTTCCAGATATTTTGTCCTTGGTAAGATATGAATTAAGATATTTTAGCTTAAAGAACATAAAAATAGTGTTCTTGAGAAGCAGAGCATCATCTTTGGGGGTTGACAGCTCTGTGTTTGAATTCCTATAATGTTCTAACACTGTGTGACTATGGACTGTTCACTTGCCTTCTCTGGGCCTAGGCTTTCTCTTCTATAAAATGGAATTAATAACATCCGTTTTCAAGGGTTAGCATGAGAAGTAAATGAATTAAAGTGTGTAAAGCACTTGGTGATAGTACTTATATATTTATATCTCAGTGACTCGAGCAGTCAAGTTTACTAAACCTAAAATACTAAAGATAATCAGAGAAATCTAGAAATTTATTGGTGCGGCTAGAAGATAAAATCTGGCATAACTAAATTTATATTTTAATAAATACATATTTTCAGAAAAAGTCTCTTATGTTTTATGTATGCGATTGTTAAATTTCTAAACTATAAATTCCTTCGGTTTTCTTACATAAAATCTAATTTGATATCAGAATTATTAACTTAAAATCTGTTGTGACATAATAAGGACTTTGATTACAAAGACTGTAAGAGTAGATGAACTCATAAATTTGCTATAATTATTAAGAAATCAAGTTGGAGTAAGAACATTTTAACTATAATTTGCTTTTTCTTTCTAGATGAATCACCAAAAAAGTTTTAACATTTTTAATGATTAAATAATAGCTTAATAGCTTATACTAGCTTAATAATTCAATAATAGCTTTGGCTATTATCTCTTTTAATACTTAAACCCTGATAAGCATGGACCATTTCTCATAATCTATTTTTATTTCATTCTCTATCAATAATATGGATGATAACAGTTTCTGATCAGTTGTGGCCATAAATTTTAAATTCTCTATTATATCATAGAAAGTCAGTATGCATAGAATATACAGATACTTAATGTTCTATTTAAAAGGTTTTATGTAATAGACCCTTTGTTTATAATTATGCTACTTAAGGTATTCTCAATACTAGTTGCAAAAATTTGAGAAAGGAGAAATACCACAGTCCCTGCTGTAATCAGTTATTCCGTTGGCTGAGTTAAATTTGTCCACATAGCAAGTGGCATTAGAAGACTTTTATACAGCAAACTAGTACAATTTCTTGAGACAAAGGAGTTTTCCAGTTAAGAGAGGCCCAGTGCTATCAGACAAATTCATTACAGTATCCTTAATTTGCTTATTTAATTATTTATGTTATATTACTTAGAATTGTTGGATTTTTTTTAAATGTGGAAAGGATGTCTTTTTTAGTCAAATATCCTAATTTGCTTACCCGCCTCAAAGTTATTTTTTAACTTTTAATGTTTTTCTGATGTTTATATTGGCTAAAGGCATTTGTTGTTCGGGGATGTTTTAAAGAAATGTCCAATTACAGGTGTAACTGCTAAAGGATTTCTCAATATCCACATCAATATATATTTATGTATTTTTTTCTGTAAAATGTGGTTTTGGAGAACTTAAATACTAATCTCACCAGTTGGTTTTCCAGAAAGCAAGAAAATAGTTTGATTTCCTTCTTTCTTGTGTTGTCGGCGGTGTCACTCATTTCTCCTCTGATTATAAAATTAATTCTTAGGTTTTAGGTTTGTACAAATATTTGTCCTTAGTGCTGCTTCCTACGGAGACTGCACTGGTGATTTGCCAGACAAAGCAAAAGCAGCTGCTGCATTTCTTAGTGAGAGACAAAATCTCTTTAACCCCCTGCTGTCTTACCTGAAGTAAGATGCATGGTTTCTGCTAACACTTAAAAACAGTGGTTAATACACAGCCAGGACCAAAGAGAGGCTCTTATTTTTGTATATGTAGACATTGCTTACTGAGCAAAGAGCGAAGTTATAACACTGAGGCATTTCTGTTGTAACACCTCTGTTGACTGCTGCTTTCAGGTGTTCTTCAACATATTTCAGATATCAAGTGTTCCTAGGATATAGTTGTGCCAAGTTTTACTTGAATGTATCCTTGTCCAAAAAATGCAACTTTCAATTTATCCCCTTTAGACCATGCCAATCAGTGAATTCCTATTTTTGTTATAGCTGTAAGACAAAATGCTGCCACTACATTTTATGATCCTAAAACCATAGATATTATGGATTTTAAAACTGATGAAGATGCTTTGGGGAAGAAAAGACTTAAGTCATAAGTACAGACCTGCAGCTGGGTCTCCAGGAGAGGCAGGCCGGGCTCGCTGGTTAACCACTCATATGTCCCCCGGCCAGCATGTCCAAACTTCTTCCAGCTGCTGCCCAGCAGTCCCCGCATGTTTTCATCCAGCTGATGCCCTGGCCACCCTTCCACCTTGCTGCCCAGATTTCAACAATGCTGCTTGCTCTTGGCCTGGATCCAGTTTGGATGTGCTTGGCTGATGGCTGTTGGTAAACTCGTCCTCTGATGAATGGCAACAGGGGAAAGAAACCAACCAGAGAGACCTCTCAGGACTGACTGTTTAGATTCGGTGCCTCTGGATTTGTGTCTGTGGCCTTTATCACTATAGGGGTTGGCATCAGATATCAGATATGGAATAGATTTCAGACAAGAGAGTTTTCTGCACCAGCATTACTACAGAGCAAAGAATGGCCTCAGTGAATAAAGAGCTGTTTATATTTAGGATGTAAACAAGACCCTTTCCCTTTGCTTACCACACCTCTCTCTAGAGACCTATCTGACCAAGGAAAACTATTCAAGCTGAATTTCCCACTAATTATTTCTGGATTCTGTTTTACAGAGAGAAGGGATATTTGGTAGAAAAGCAAAGACTCATTATTAATATTTTACTGAATTATTCAGATGAAAGATGCCTAGTGATAAAGTTGTACAGAAGACAGACCATAGCTTAGATTGTTTGGATGGAATGTTTGCCAATTTCAATTTTTTAAAAAATCGAATTACCAGTACCTAAATAGTCTTCCTTCTGATTATCTTGTGAACTTCATAATGTTATTGATATCAAGCTTAAAACAAGGAGTTTTCAATCTGAATGTTCACTGAGTTGATTTTGGGATACTTGATTCTACATATTATTTAAGATATGGTGGTTGAATTCTCTTTTAGTGGAATAAACTTCAGCTTCAAAGATTGCACAATTGTTATAGAGAATAGTCTGAGCAATTTAAAAAGAAAAAAAAACAAAGATCTATGCAAAATGTTATAACTCAATGTTACAATCACCCATATCCTTATCTAAGCATCATTTCTGTACAAGTGATTATCATGCTGAAATAATATTTCTTAACCAGGATTCTTTTTTTAATCTTGATTGAGATTCTTAATGACTGGCCTGTGGTGGTTCATGCATAGGTTTCAGGAGGTTGTAGACTCTCCAAACTTTGTAGATATGTGCAATTTTCTTGGGAGAAGCCGTAGTTTTCATTACTTTGTCAGATGAGATCCAGCACGTTCAGGGTGGTATGGCCATAGACTTCTTACCTTTTCAAAGACAGCTGCCCTCCCAAACAGAATTTAGTACTTTGTCAACTTTTTTATGGTGAAAGTTTTCATTAAGTGTCCCAGTACCTCAGTCAGTATCCTCGTGTGGAACTCTTTTCATTTCATTTCATCTTCTTCTTTCTTATTGTGGAGTAAGCTGATTTTGTGCTTTCCATTAAAATATTGCCTTGTTCCATTTATGTGTTCCTATTGTAAGTAGATCCTGTATCCCACCCTTGATACATCAGAAACACCTGGCATCCAGCGCACCATTTTGCTTTCTTGCATTTCAGTGGCTTTGTCAATACTGTGGCCTCAACATGAGCCATCCTTCTCCACCTTGTCTACTTATTTAAACACTGTACCTTCATTTCTTTAGAAGCAAATTGAGGTCTGCATTAAAAGCATTAAATACGTATCTGTAACATTGACTCTCTTCCAGTATTGAACAAATTAGAGAAAAATTCCTGCACTTATGAATACATTTTGGGGTCGAAAAAAATAACAAATGCACAAATAAAAAAAAGTATCAGAAGAAGAGATATATTATGGGAAAAAAGCAGAAAATGGACAGTAAGCATAGAAGGGAGGAGGCCCTTTGAAAAGAGGACATCACTTAGAACCTCAGAGGTAAAGTGGTATTTGAGCAAAGACCTGAAGGCAGCAAGGGACCAAGCTATGAAGATATTGGATGAAAAAACATTGCAGACACAGGGAACAGCCAGTGCAAAGGCCCTGAAGCAGGCACATGCATGGTTCCTTCACCAAATGGCTAGTAGGTCTGGGTGGGCTGGAGCAGTGAACTAGGAGAAAAAAGTAGAGGATGAAATCAGAGAGGATCTGTTGGGGGTCAGAAGGTAACATTGAGTTCAGGGTTTATAGAGCATTGGGAGAATTTTGGCTTTTACTCTAGGCGAAATGGAGGAGCTATACAGAGTTTTGAGCAGAGGAGTGGTAAGATCTGACTTCTTTTTTTTTTTTTTTTTTTTTTTTTGAGACAGAGTCTTGCTCTGTCATCCAGGCTGGAGTGCAGTGGCACAATCTCGGCTCACTGCAAGCTCCGCCTCCCAGGTTCACGCCATTCTCTTGCCTCAGGCTCTTGAGTAGCAGGGACTACAGGCACCTGCCACTATGCCTGGCTAATTTTTTTGTATTTTTAGTAGAGATGGGGTTTCACCGTGTTAGCCAGGATGGTCTCGATCTCCTGACTTCGTGATCTGTCCACCTCAGCCTCCCAAAGTGCTGGGATTACAGGCATGAGCCACCACATCCGGCCCTGACTTCCATTTTAAAAGGATCACTCAGGCCTCTGTGTTGTAACTAGATACAGGGATTAAGGGCACATGCAGGGAGACTAGTTAGGGGCTCTTAATAATTCAGGAAAGGAATACTAGACCAGAGTAGGAGCAGTAAAAGTGATGGAGACAGGAGGCAGAGAAACTAGGCAGACAGGGGTAGGTCCCTTGTAAAGCCCCAGCTTCAAGCCCAAAAACCTGAAACCCATCGCTCAAAGTGAGAACTTCTCTCCCTGTTTGCCTGCTCTCTCCTGATTGGTTCTTTCTGAAGAATGTCTTTTTACCAATCGAATATTGCCTTTTCCAAAACTACCTGTGGTCTGCTCCCCCTGATCCTGTGCCTATAAAGACCTGAGACTCAACTGGTAAAGAGGAGAAACAGCTGGACATTGAGAGGTCACTTGACTTCAGAGACAATGGCTGGATGTTAAGAGAGGCAACTTGACTTCAGGGGAGAGTGACCTGCCCTTCCCATTGCCTTTCCAGCTCCCCTCTTTACTAAGAACCACTTTCACTGCTCAATAAAATTCTTCACTTTCCCCATCCTTCATTTGGTCTGCATGACCTCATTCTTCTTGGGCACCAGACAAGAATTCGGGACCCACCAAGTGAAGGTACCCAAAAAGACTGTCACACTGGCCCTTTGCCCTTGCTGGTGAAAGGCAGCCACCCCATGTGACAAGGCAAAGGGGCCCACTGAGCTGATAACACACTGCTGTCTGCAGATGGTGGAGCTAAGAGATCATTGTAACACACCCTCTGGGGCCTTGAGGTTTGGTACTGCTGGCACTAAAGCGGCTGGCCAGTTCCTGCACTTGCTTGCCTACATGCTCCCTCCCACGAGGGACCAAATGGGATGGGCTGAGTAAATGGACACCCCTGTCATGAGTCCCGCAAAGGGGTCAAAAATCCTGCATCAAAAGTGGTGAGAGTCTAGATTCTAAATATGTTTTAGGGATAGAGACAATAAGATTTCTTGAAAAACTGAAGGTGGTGTAAGATAAAGAATGATTTAGAATAATTCTAAGGTCTTAGGCTTGAGCAGCTGCAGGGATGGCCATTGTTATTTACAGAGAAGGGAAAGATTGGGGTGGGGTTTTGTTTTTTAAAGCAGGAGGAATAAAGATCAGGAGTTGTTAATAGATATGGTAAGTTTTCAGTGTGTATGAGTTTGGATATTTGTGTTTTAGTTTAAGGGTGAGGACTAGACAAGAGACACTAGTTGGAACTTATAGGCAAGGAGATGGTTTTTAAAGCTAGGAGACTTAATGAGATCACCCAGATAATGTGGGTCAATAGGATGAGGAGGCAAAGTGAGTGTCCAGTGAGCTGAAAGGGAAACCAAGAGTGTGTGGTGTCCTGGAATCCAAGTGAGAAAATGTATCTGGAAGAGGAAAATGATCATCTATCTCAAAAGTTACTGTCTGATCAAGTAAGATGATGAATGAGATTTCATATTGGATTTGACACAATGTGAGTATGTGTATATATGTGGGGGGGGGGCATGATGGTTGGTTATTTGGACAAGAGGAGTTTTGATGGAGTGGCTGGGGGGAAAGCCTGATTAGAATGATTTTAAGAGAGAAAGGAGAAGAATTGGAGATTCTTTAAACACCTAGGGTTATTCTGCTTGAAAATGGAACAGAGAAATGGTGCAGTAGCTGGACAGTGACATGTCATGAAGAAGGTGATATAGTCGGAACAAGTTAATAGATTTTAGAGAAAAGAGAACATTGGTAACTCTGGTGTCAGCCCTCAGCAAATCCACTTCTAGGGATTCCTCCTAAAAGATAATCTGATAGGCCGGGCGCGGTGGCTCATGTCTGTAATCCCAGCACTTTGGGAGGCTGAGGTGGGCGGACCATGAGGTCAGGAGTTCGAGACCAGCCTGGCCAACATGATGAAACCCCATCTCTACTAAAAATACAAAAATTAGCCAGGCACGCCTGTAGTCCCATCTACTTGGGAGGCTGAGACAGGAGAATAGCTTGAACTTGGGAGGCAGAGGTTGCAGTGAGCCAAGATCACGCCACTGCACTCCAGCCTGGGCTACAGAGCAAGACTGTGTCTCAAATAAAATTAAAATAAAATAATAATAATAATGTGAATATTCAAAGATGTAATCTAAGTATTCAAAGATATATATTGTTGAAAGACATTTTAACACATCTTACATGTCTATACCAACAAACAACTGGAAAGAAAATGTCTACAAAATGAGATCTGGCTAATTTAAGATATAAACATATAAGGATATATTATCACCTGAAAGAAAGATGCAAACATGTTCACAACATATTATAAGAAATGTGTCAGGAAACTGCATATTTAGGCCAGGTGTGTTGCCTGGGCAATATAGTGAGATCCCATCTCTCTCTCTCTACATGCACACACACACACACAGAGAAAACTGCATGTTTATTATAAATTTGCATATCTGCATATAGAAGCACTTTTTTTTCTAAGTAGTGAAATTAGGGTTTTCCATAGGACTATGGATTTTATTTCTGAGGATCCACATTTTGTAATTTTTCTATGCATATGTGTTGCATAAGCAAGACAATAGTTGTCAGATTTGCCTATCTTTGAAGAACTGCATAAAAGCCACCCTGTGGTAATATTCTGTAATTTCCTGCCCTCCACCTGAATTAGAATGAATCACTATTTCCTCTGAATTCCCACAGCACATTGGTTAATCCAATATTACAGAGTTATTTGAATCAGCTTTGTGTTATTTCAAAAGTAAATTAGGAGATTGTTAGCTGACTTACAAAAGGACTCACTGAGGAGTGGCATGAAATAGTGGTCTCTGCTGTGACTTACAGCTGATGAAGACATGCTTAGCCTATAGAGCCAATAGCCTTTACCTGCTATAATGGCTTACAGAAATGCTGTCATATTTCAACTCTAGAAAGCTGTTGTATTTCAATTCTAAAATCTGTAGATTTTTAAGGATCACAGTCTTTTTTTTTAGATCTCCACAGCGTATGCTCATTTGTTTTTCATGAATTATTTATTTTTCACACTAAAAGACAGAACACTTCCTTTTATTTCCATGAGTTTTTAACCATCTCATATTCTCCTGTTCAGAACTTTTATAGACTGATGTTAATTACAAACACTGACTACAATTTCTGAAGATCAGATTAGCTATCTATAAAACTTCTTTAGGTATTTCAGAGCTGAGAATAGAATAGTATTTATATTTTCTACTTTATTCTTTTACTTCTTTCTTTTTTGAAAATGAATTGAGGTTTTCATCCATTTGGCTGCTCTGTTTTGTTTTGTTTTTTTTTTCTTCCTTAATTTCCTTGAACTTGACACAGTTGATTTGCTATTATGTTTTCAAGAACTACTGACACTTCTACATTTTTTGGTCTTATTGGTTGTGGGTTTGTTGGCTGTAGGGAAGTTTGTTGTTGTGTTATACGTTTCACCCTCTGGGCCAATAATAGAGAAAAATCCCCAGAAAACTAATGGTCAGAGATGATTCAAGTAAACCAGATGACTACAAAAAAGGTAGCTTTTCCCCCCTACATTCAATTTCCAGATTAGCAAATGCATTTGAATTTTAGTAAACTGGTCATTATACTATCTCAAGATGCTGTTATAAGAATTAAATAAGCTTATATTTGATTAGGGTGACAGAAAAACTAATCAGTAGACTGCAAGCAGTACTGTGACTAATCACCCTGCCTGGATCAGACTTCCACGGAGACCCAGGGTTCATCTAAGGGTCACAGATCTGGTCTTTGTTTTTCTTAAACTTTGGCCATGATAATCTAGAAGGAAAGCAACAAAGAGTTTGAGTAAATCCATTGGCAATATGGACGGAAAGAGGAAGATAAACGAGTGATTTTTTAAAAACCAACCAAGAATGATGATGAAAAAAGAAAAATGATTGATATAAAATTTACTTTGGAAAAGTATAGGCATCTATGAAATTGGAAGTTTGAACAGAAAATTTAAAAATATTTTTGTCTGTGGAGGAATAAATAATTAACCTAAAATACAAGGCAAAGGTCGTCTGCCTTAATTTTTTTTTTTTTTTTTTAAATGAGACAGCGTCTCCCTCTGTCACCCAGGCTGGAGTGCAGTGACAAAATCACAGCTCACTGCAGCCTTGACCTCCTGGGCTTAACCCATCCTCCCACTTCAGCGTCCCGAGTAGCTGGGACTACAGGCGTGTGCCACCGCATCTGGCTAATTTTCATATTTTTTGAAGAGACAGAGTTTTGTCATGCTGCCCAGGCTGCTCTCAAATTTCTGGACTCAAGCAGTCCTCTCACCTTGGCCCCAAAAGTTCTGAGATTACAGGTATGAGCCATGGTGCCTTGCCAGAAGTTTTATATATGCAAAAAATAAAGGGGAATCACTTTGTCTCTATTTCCGCATCAGTGTTTCTAAAAGTGTTATCAGGACTATACTATATAGACAGATTCAAGCAACCTGAGGATTTTCTTTTGGCACTATGTTACTCACATGTCAAGCTAACCAGAGAGGAGAAGTTTCTACATATGTAGACAAGTGATAACCAAGTTCTACGGAGCATAGCACAATTGTGGGTAGAATAAGGTGATACAAGAGATTGGAGGAAAAAAACAAAAAAGAAAAGATAGTCCCTAACCTCAAGGCATTTACCTCTTTTTTGTTTTATTGTATTCTATCACAATTAGTTTCCATCCATCGTTTATAATCAAAACAGAAGCACAAACAATGCACTGAGAACTCCCTTCTCAATCAAAACATAAACATGGGGAAACATTCAAAATAGTGCTGTGTCACTGGACTCTCTTTACTACTGGAATTGGGTATAAATGACACCTCGCCTGTCATCTGTGCATGGCCATTCCCCCAGAGGCCTCACAAGGCTACAACGTACCAGGAGAGCCTATGCATGGCCCACGTTACATTTCTCTTCCTGATCCTGCCCTCATTTTTGAGGTTTTAACCAGGAGGCAAAATAAAAGCTTAAAGAAACAACAATGAAAAAATTATTCAAAATCTGCTTTGAATCAGTTTTTGTGTAGCAAATGAAAACTAGTTTTCTTTCTGGATATTTATGAGAAATTGTATGGGGGAAGTTTAAAAAAGATCTGTAATACCACATTATTATTTTTCACAGCGTTGGCTGTACGTGCAAACTATCGGCAATAACCCGAATGCACATGTATAGGAGGGTGGTCGAATAAGCCGTGATGCATCCACATAGACGGCCGTGCTATGCAGCTGGAGAAAAGAATAAAGAATGTCTCTGTGAACCGGTATGGAATAATTTCCAGGATATATGAAATTTAAAAAGCAAAGGATAAAAGAGCATCTAGAACACTGGTTAGCTAACTTTTTTCTGGAAAGGGCCAGGTGGCAAATATTTTAGATTTTGTAGATCACATGTTCTTGGTGGAGACTACCCAATTGCAGTTGTAGTGTGAAAGCCATCACAGCCCATACTACCGGGAAGGGTACTGAGACTGGGTTCCAATCATACTTGGTTTACAAAACAGGCAGCAGGTTAGATACAGCCCTCAGGCTTTCATTTGCTGATCCCTAATTTGTTGATTCATGTAAGAAAGGGCTATAAGAAAACACAGGAAGGAAAAAAACAATGAGATTGATTAGCTACAGGGAGTAGAAGGGAATGAGGTAGAAAGAGTGCAGGAGTGGGGATATGGTCATAGGAATGAACGGGGAGCAATACTTTTTTGAGTAACTTTTTATGGAGCTCTGACTTTTAGAACCATGGTAATGTTCCCATATATCCAAAAAATTATACTTTTCTGGAAACTGGTCAGTTTTATATTTTCAAATTTATTGGTATCATTGATATGGTCTTTTACTCTCATGTGAATCTATGGCTATGCCCCTTTTTTCTTTCCCAATTTTATTTGTGCTTTTTAATCTTTTTTCTTCTTTGAGCAATAGTATATAGGCTTACCAATTTTATATATATATCGTATAGATACATTTGTACATTGTGTATATATGTATATATGTATGTGTGTATATATGTATATGTATACACACACACATTCTAAGAACCATATTTGGCTTTTTAATTTTGTCTTTGCTTTCTATTTTATTACTTTTTATTCTTATTTTTATCTTTTTTACTTTCTTTGACTTTATTATTCTGATCTAAATTTCTTGAGGTGAATGTTTACCTCAGGAAACTTTAGTCTTTTCTTTCTTACTAATATGAATATATAGTGCTATAAGCTGCATCTCCAAATTTTTGGTATGTAAAACTTTCATTATTCTGAATATCTTAACATTTTAATTTTGTTTTGACTCAAGGCTTATTTCCACGTGTAAGAGGATTTTTTCATTTACATTTGTTTT
This sequence comes from Homo sapiens, assembly GCF_000001405.40. Lineage (NCBI taxonomy): Eukaryota > Metazoa > Chordata > Mammalia > Primates > Hominidae > Homo > Homo sapiens. Next base: position 138,369,274 of record NC_000006.12, on the reverse strand, counting down.
TGATTTATTAATAAGTTCCATTGTTTTCAGATAACATATTGTTATGACATCAGCTCTTTAAATATTTTTTTCAAATTATACTTTAAGTTCTAGGGTACATGTGCACAATGTGCAGGTTAGTTACATAGGTATACATGTGCCATGTTGGTTTGCTGCACCCATTAACTCGTCATTTACACTAGGTATATCTCCTAATGCTATCCCTCCCCCCTGCCCCCACCCCAAGACAGGCCCCCATGCGTGATGTTCCCCGCCCTGTGTCCAAGTGTTCTCATTGATCAATTCCCACCTATGAGTGAGAACACGCCGTGTTTGGTTTTCTGTCCTTGTGATAGTTTGCTCAGAATGATGGTTTCCAGCTTCATCCACGTCCCTAGAAAAGACATGAACTCATCATTTTTTATGGCTGCATAGTATTCCGTGGTGTATATGTGCCACATTTTCTTAATCCAGTCTATCATTAATGGACATTTGGGTTGGTTCCAAGTTTTTGCTATTGTGAATAGTGCCGCAATAAACATACACGTGCATGTGTCTTTATAGTAGCATAATTTATAATCCTGTGTGTATACCCAGTAATGGGATCACTGGGTCAAATGGTATTTCTAGTTCTAAATCCTTGAGGAATCGCCACACTGTCTTCCACAATGGTTGAACTAATTTACACTCCCACCAACAGTGTAAAAGTGTTCCTATTTCTCCACCTCCTCTCTAGCATCTGTTGTTTCCTGACTTTTTAAAGATCGCCATTCTAACTGGTGTGAGATGGTATCTCATTGTGGTTTTGATTTGCATTTCTCTGATGGCCAGTGATGATGAGCATTTTTTCATGTGTCTGTTGGCTGCATAAATGTCTTCTTTTGAGAAGTGTCTGTTCATATCCTTTGCCCACTTTTTGATAGGGTTGTTTGATTTTTTCTTGTAAATTTAAGTTTTTTGTAGATTCTGGATATTAGCCCTTTGTCAGATGGGTAGATTGCAAAAATTTTCTCCCATTCTGTAGGTTGCCTGTTCACTCTGATGGTAGTTTCTTTTGCTGTGCAGAAGCTCTTTAGTTTAATTAGATCCCCTTTGTCAATTTTGGCTTTTGTTGCCATTGCTTTGGTGTTTTAGTCATAAAGTCCTTGCCCATGCCTATTTCCTGAATTTATTGCCTAGGTTTTCTTCTAGGGTTTTTATGGTTTTAGGTCTAACATGTAAGTCTTTAATCCATCTTGAATTAATTTTTGTATAAGGTGTAAGGAAGGGATCCAGTTTCAGCTTTCTACATATGGCTAGCCAGTTTTCTCAGCACCATTTATTAAATAGGGAATCATTGCCCCATTTCTTGTTTTTGTCAGATTTGTCACAAAAATCAGATGGTTGTAGACGTGTGGTGTTATTTCTGAGGCCTCTGTTCTGTTCCATTGCTCTATCTCTCTGTTTTGTTGCCGGTACCATGCTGTTTTGGTTACTGTAGCCTTGTAGTATAGTTTGAAGTCAGGTAGTATGATGCCTCCAGCTTTGTTCTTTTTGCTTAGGATTGTCTTGGCTGTGTGGGCTCTTTTTTGGTTCCATATGAACTTTAAAGTAGTTTTTTCCAATTCTGTGAAGAAAGTCATTGGTAGCTCGATGGGAATGGCATTGAGTCTATAAATTACCTTGGGCAGTATGGCCATTTTCATGATATTGATTCTTCCTACCCATGAGCATGGAATGTTCTTCCATTTGTTTGTATCCTCTTTTATGTCATTGAGCAGTGGTTCGTAGTTCTCCTTGAAGGGTCCTTCACATCCCTTGTAAGTTGGATTCCTAGGTATTTTATTTTCTTTGTAGCAATAGTGAATGGGAGTTCACTCATGATTTGGCTGTTTGTCTGTTATTGGTGTATAGGAATGCTTGTGATTTTTGCACATTGATTTTGTATCCTGAGACTTTGCTGAAGTTGTTTATCAGCTTAAGGAGATTTTGGGCTGAGATGATGGGGTTTTCTAAATATACAATCATGTCATCTGCAAATAGGGACAATTTGACTTCCTCTTTTCCTAATTGAATACCCTTTATTTCTTTCTCTTGCCTGATTGTCCTGCACAGAACTTCCAACACCATGTTGAATAAGAGTGGTGAGAGAGGTGTTGGACCTCTGAGCCCAAGCTAAGCCATCATGTCCCCTGTGACCTGCATGTGTACATCCAGATGGCCTGAAGTAACTGAAGAATCACAAAAGAAGTGAAAATGGCCTTTTCCTGCCTTAACTGATGACATTACCTTGTGAAATTCCTTCTCCTGGCTCATCCTGGCTCAAAAACTCCCACTGAACACCTTGTGACCCCCCAACCCCTGCCAGCCAGAGAACAACCCCCTTTGTAATTTTCCACTACCTACCCACATCCTATAAAACAGCCCCACCCCATTTCCCTTCCCTGACTCTCTTTTCGGACTCAGCCCACCTGCACCCAGGTGATTAAAAAGCTTTTTGCTCACACAAAGCCTGTTTGGTGGTCTCTTCACACAGACGTGCATGAAAAGAGGGCATCCCTGTCTTGTGCCAGTTTTCAAAGGGAATGCTTCCAGTTTTTGCCCATTCAGTATGATATTGGCTGTGGGTTTGTCTTAAATAGCTCTTATTATTTTGAGATACGTTCCATCAATACCTGGTTTGAGAGGTTTTAGCATGAAGGGCTGTTGAATTTTGTCAAAGGCCTTTTCTGCATCTATTGACATAATCATGTGGTTTTTGTTGTTGGTTCTGTTTATGTGATGGATTACGTTTATTAATTTGCGTATGTTGAACCAGCTTTGCGTCCCAGAGATGAAGCTGACTTGATTGTGGTGGATAAGCTTTTGGATGTGCTGCTGGATTCGGTTTGCCAGTATTTTATTGAGGATTTTCGCATCAATGTTCATCAGGGATATTGGTCTAAAATTCTCTTTTTTTGTTGTGTCTTTGCCAGGCTTTGGTATCAGGATGATGCTGGTCCATAAAATGAGTTAGGGAGGATTCCCTCTTTTTCTATTGATTGGAATAGTTTCAGAAGGAATGGTACCAGCTCCTCTTTGTACCTCTGGTAGAATTTGGCTGTGAATCCATCTGGTCCTGGGCTTTTTTTGGTTGGTAGGCTATTAATTATTGTCTCAATTTCAGAGCCTGTTATTGGTCTATTCAGGGATTCAGCTTCTTCCTGGTTTAGTCTTGGGAGGGTATATGTGTCGAGGAATTTATCCATTTCTTCTAGATTTTCTAGTTTGTTTGCATAGAGCTGTTTATAGTATTCTCTCATGGTAATTTGTTCTTTTGTGGGATTGGTGGTGATATCCCCTTTATCATTTTTTGTTGCGTCTCTTTGATTCTTCTCTTTTCTTCTTTATTAGTCTTGCTAGCGGTCTATCAGTTTTGTTGATCTTTTCAAAAAACCAGCTCCTGGATTCATTGATTTTTTTGAAGGGGTTTTTGTGTCTCTATCTCCTTCAGTTCTGCTCTGATCTTAGTTATTTCTTGCCTTCTGCTAGCTTTTGAATTTGTTTGCTCTTGCTTCTCTAGTTCTTTTAATTGTGATGTTAGGGTGTTGATTTTAGATCTTTCCTGCTTTCTTTTGTGGGCATTTAGTGCTATAAATTTCCCTCTACACACTGCTTTAAATGTGTCCCAGAGATTCGGGTACAGTGTGTCTTTGTTCTCATTGGTTTCAAAGAACATCTTTATTTCTGCCTTCATTTCTTTATTTACCCAGTAGTCGTTCTGGAGCAGGTTGTTGAGTTTCCATGTAGTTGTGCGGTTTTGAGTGAGTTTCTTAATCCTGAGTTCTAATTTGATTGCCCTGTGGTCTGAGAGACAGTTTGTTGTGATTTCTGTTCTTTTACATTTGCTGAGGAGTGCTTTACTACCAACTATGTGGTCAATTTTGGAATAAGTGCGATGTGGTGCTGACAAGAATGTATATTCTGTTGATTTGGGGTGGAGAGTTCTCTAGATGTCTATCAGGTCTTCTTGGGCCAGAGATGAGTTCAAATCTTGGATATCCTTGTTAACCTTCTGTCTCGTTGATCTGTCTAATATTGACATTGGGTGTTAAAGTCTCCCATTATTCTTGTGTGGGAGTCTCAGTCTCTTTGTAGGTCTCTAAGGACTTGCTTTATGAATCTGGGTGCTCCTGTATTGGGTGCATATATATTTAGGAGAGTTAGCTCTTCTTGTTGAATTGATCACTTTACCATTATGTAATGGCCTTCTTTGTCTCTTTTGATCTTTGTTGGTTTAAAGTCTGTTTTATCAGAGACTAGGATTGCAACCCCTGCTTTTTTTGCTTTCCATTTGCTTGGTAGATCTTCCTCCATCCCTTTATTTTGAGCCTATGTGTGTGTCTGCATGTGAGATGGAACTTCTGAATACAACACACTGATAATTTTGATTCTTTATCCAATTTGCCAGTCTGTGTCTTTTAATTGGGGCATTTAGCCCAATATTAACATTTAAGGTTAATATTGTTATGTGTGAATTTTGATTCTGTCATTATGATGTTAGTTGGTTATTTTGCCTGCCAGTTGATGAAGTTTCTTCTTAGTATTGATGGTCTTTACAATTTGGCATGCTTTTGCAGTGGCTGGTACCGATTGTTCCTTTCCATGTTTAGTGCTTCCTTCAGGAGCTCTTGTAAGGCAGGCCTTCATGACTAAAACACCAAAAGCAACGACAACGAAAGCCAAAATTGACAAATGAGATCTAATTAAACTAAAGAGTTTCTGCACAGCGAAAGAAACTACCATCAGAATGAACAGGCAACCTACAGAATGGGAGAAAATTTTTGCAATCTCCTCATCTGACAGAGGGCTAATATCCAGAATCTACAAAGAACTCAAACAAATTTACAAGAAAAAAACAACCCCATCAAAAAGTGGGCAAAGGATATGAACAGACACTTCTCAAAAGAAAACATTTATGCAGCCAACAGACACAAGAAAAAATGCTCATCATCACTGGTCATCAGAGAAATGCAAATCAAAACCACAATGAAATACCATCTCACACCAGTTAGAATGGCGATCATTAAAAAGTCAGGAAACAACAGGTGCTGGAGAGGATGTAGAGAAATAGGAACACTTTTACACTGTTGGTGGGAGTGTAAACTAGTTCAACCATTGTGGAAGACAGTGTGGCAATTCCTCAAGGATCTAGAACTAGAAATATCATTTGACCCAGCCATCCCATTACTGGGTATATACCCAAAGGATTATAAATCATGCTGCTATAAACACATGCACACGTATGTTTATTGTGGCACTATTCACAATAGCAAAGACTTGGAACCAACCTAAATGTTCATCAGTGATAGACTGGATTAAAAAAATGTGGCACATATACACCATGGAATACTATGCAGCCATATAAAATGATGAGTTCATGTCTTTTCTAAGGACGTGGTTGAAGCTGGAAACCATCATTCTGAGCAAACTATCACAAGGACAAAAAACCAAACACCACGTGTTCTCACTCATAGGTGGGAATTGAACAATGAGAACACTTGGACACAGGAAGGGGAACATCACACACCAGAGCCTGTCATGGGGTAGGGGGAGCAGGGAGCGATAGCATTAGGAGATACAGCTAATGTAAATGATGAGTTAATGGGTGCAGCACACCAACATGGCGCATGTATACATATGTAACAAAACTGCACGTTGTGCACATGTACTCTAGAACTTAAAGTATAATAAAAAAAAATGGGTGTTGCAGATTCAACATGTCAGACACCTTCAAGCTCCGTCTTCCAATTCCATGGTGGCAGGGGCAACTCTACATTACTGCTCTCTGTTTGGTTTCAGTTTTGCCTCACCCTGTCTGGAGAGCCCTCTACTCTCTCGTGTGCTCAACAGAGTATTGAAAATATTGTTGCAATATATCCAGGATCTAGCTATGTTCTAATGGAAGGACCATCTGCTTTCTAGTTCACCATATTGTCATATGATTAATTTTCTCCCATTAATGTCTCTTTCATTTACTTGGATATTTTAGCTTCCTATTGACTCACTTATCAAAGATTACAAACAGCTTAAAATACTAGTGCTTATTTAGGTCATGGTTTCTCCAAAGGTATCTCACATGTTGCTAGTACTTTAAGATTTTAATAAAGGTAAGGGGAGACAAAGATTATGTAGTCAAATAACTATGGGAAATCCCAGGTCATAGCCAGAAGATTTTCTTCATTGAAGGACCTGTCAGATTCTCAGGTACGAATGGTCTCTGACTTACGAGGGTTTGGCCTATAATGTTCCAACCTTGTGAAGATGCTGAAGTGATACACATATGGCAGTATAAAATAATTTATTCAATACGTTACGTGAGATAGCCAATACTTTATTGTCAAATAGGCTTTGTGTTAAATGATTTTGCCCAACTGTAGGCTAATTTAAGTGTTCTGAGCATGATTAAGGTAGGCGAGGGCTAAGCTATGATGTTCACTAGGTTAGGTGGGCTGGGCGTGGTGGCTCACGCTTGTAATCCTAGCACTGTAGGAGGCTGAGGTGGGAGGATTGCTTGAGGCCAGGAATTCAAGACCAGCCTGGTTAATACAATAAGACCTTGTCTTTACTAAAAATTAAAAAAAAAAAAAAATGAGCTGGGTGTGGTGGCACATGCCTGCAGTCCCAGCTACTTGATAAAGGGAGGCAGAAGAATAGCCTGAGACTGGGAATTTGAGGCTACAGTGAGCCATGACTGTGTCACTGCACGCTAGCCTGGGTGACAGAGTAAGACTCCATCTAAAAAAAAAGTAGGTGTATTAAATGCATTTTTGGCTTATGATCTGTTCAACTTACGACGGGTTTATTGGGACGTAGCCCCATTGTGAGTAGAGGAGCAGCTGGATCCTGCTGTGCATTGCTATAGTGAGAGCATTGCTTCATCTTATTTCACCATGGAGACTTTTTATTTTTCCTTTTTAGGACTGATTTTTAGATCTACTTTTTCAATGAACATTCCTTGAGGAATCCTGTTCTAGTTCAACCCCTTCATTTTAAAGGTGAGGAGACTGAAGCTCTGTGACCGTCACAATGAGCAGGTGTTAGAGTTACAGCAAAATCCTTTGCATTATAATTCCAGTGTACTTTCTACCACTGAACATTTCCGTAAGTGGAGGATCCATTTCTTCCCTGGCGAAAGTATTCCTACATGTGATGTGTCCTGCCGTTAGTCATGTGTGTTTCTAAGAATACTGACCATCTTGGGGCAGATTTATAGATTGTTGTTAAAATATGTATTGGATTTTAGAGTGAGAGCAGTGAGAGTGATATTATCAAAAGTAAAATGTATAGTTATTTTTCTTAGTTAGAGGTACAGTATATACTGTATGGGTTTCCAGTATTTAGTCGAGGTGATTTAGAAACGTATCTGTAGGCTGGGCGTGGTGGCTCATGCCTGTAATCTCAGCACTTTGGGAGGCCAAGACAGGCCGATTGCCTGAGCTCAGGAGTTCGAAACCAGCCTCAGCAACATGGTGACACCCTGTCTCTACTATAAATACAAAACATTAGCTGGGTGTGGTGGCAGGCGCCCGTAATCCCAGGTACTGGGGAAGCCGAGGCAGGAGAATCACTTGGACCCAGAGGCAGAGGTTGCAGTGAGCCAAGATTGTGCCACTGCACTCCAGCCTGGGTGACAGAGCGAGACTCTGTCTCAAAAAAGAAAAGAAAGAAAGAAAGAAACAAAGAAAGAAAGAAAGAAAGAAAGAAAAAAAGAAATGTATTTGTATACTCTAGGGCATTGCTGTTGAAATACAGATGAGCGAGGCATTAATAGTAAGTTCATGGCCCAATTTATCTGGATGAAAGCCTTTGAATTGAAATGTGCATTATTTAACAGTCCTGTTTTTTGACATGCAATTGACATACTAGTAATTTAATTTAGGGACATTGGTTTTAAAATGCCAACTTTAATCTACACTCCCATTTTAAGCCCCATTCTCTAAAACAAACAAACAAACAAAAAACCCAGTATTTATAACTCAAAATGTTGCTGAATTTATATTTCCCTTTCTTGCCTTTATTTACTTTGTTTATACTTTACAGGTGTCTTTAAGACTCCTGCTGGTAGTTCTCTGCAAGTAGATATTTGTTATTATTGTTAAGTCATGAGCAGTCAGTGGTAAATTAAAATTTGAGGACCTTTTATCCCTCATTCACTGAATTATAAAATACTGGAGTTTGGAAGTTTCTTAGATTGTGGAATAATCTAAGTTAGAGCCTCAAATTCTGAATTAACCACCAAGCAAGTGGTATAGAGCCTCTACTACCTGACAGTATTTTTCTATTGTTTATTAGGCAAACATATTTATTGGTACAAGTATATTAAGTTCTAGGCATTATGATGTGCACCTACAAAACAGTCCCTGACCAAAGAAGCTTGTAATCATGTAGGGGACAGACAAGTAAATTGATGATTAGATGTCAACATGAATCCCATTCACAATAGCAAAGACCAGGGAATCAACATAAGTGCTCATCAATGATGGGCTGGATAAAGATATATGTGGTATATATGCACCACGGAATACTATGCAGTCATAAAAAAGAATGAGGTCATGTCCTTTGCAGCAGCATAGAGGGAGCTGGAGGCCATGATCCTAAGAAGGATTAGAAATTAGAATTAACAAAGGAAGAGAAAACCAAACACTGCATGTTCTCACTTATAAGTGGTAGCTAAACACTGAGTACATATGGACACAAAGAAGGGAACAACAGACACTTGGGCCTACTTGAGGGTGGAGGGTAGGGGGAGAGTGAGGATTGAAAAATCTACCTATTGGTTCCCATGTTTATTACCTGAGTGGTGAAACAATCTGTACACCAAACCCCAGTGACATGTAATTTACCTGTGTAACAAACCAGCTCATGTACCCATGAACCTAAAATAAAAGTTAGAAAAAAAAAAAAGTCAACATGAGTGTTTGGGCAGTTGTATGCTCAAAGAGCCCCTGGAACCTTAGACAGGGCATCTGAATCAAATAGGGCTGTGAGGAATGGTCTTTTGGAAGGACTGTATAATCAGTTCTCCTTTCAAACATTCACCACTCTCTTTAAATCCCCTCCCAATCTCTCTTTTCTCTTAGAATTAATTTTTCCCTATGAAACAGCTATTAAGAGCTGTGTTCTCTGCTCACTTTTGTCAACTTTCCTCATCTTTTCTCATCCATCATTGTGGGAGTTGTGCTGAGGAAGAGCTGTCCTTTTTGTCCAACGCAAATTCTGCTCATCCAGGTCCCCCCAACCTATGACCCAACCTAGTCCCCTCCCTCCTGGGATCCTGTTCCCTTTCCCCATCATGCATGTGTGTGCGTACACACACCTCCAATACTCCCACCCCAAGATCCCCATCCTGTCCCCTTCTCAAACACCACAGGATGCCACATCTATCTCCTACTCTCCTGCCCTAGGGGATAGCAACACTCTTTTTCCAATATTTTCCCCTCAGCCCATAAACTTTAGAGATTATCTCCCATCTTGAAATAAACAAAGCAGGAATTTTGACCCTTTTCCTTGGCCCTCATTCCTTCTGTGTGTTACTTTCTTGCCACCTATACCCCCACAATTTAAAAATTGTCATTATTCCTGCCTTCCCTTCTCCCAATTGCTCTTCTCTCCATGGTTTGACTTCGGCCCTCACCCTTGCCCTGAAATTGGTCTGATGAAAGTCATCACGACCTTCACATGGACTATGGACTAGTTCCAGTGTTCATCTTACTTGATGTTCCTGTATCATTGGTCCCTGCTGAATGTTCTCTTCTAGAAGTACTCACTTGACTTTGGTAACACCCTGATTCTATTCTCCTGCAGTCTAATTGGTAGCTCTTTCTCAGTCTCCTCTGAGAGCAACTCCTCCCCAGCCTTCTGTCTTTGCCCAGTTAATTGGACCCAATGGTAAACCATCTCCAAAAACTCAACTTTAAATATCAATATAAAAATCCAAATAGTTTAAATGAAAAAGAAGGGAAAAAGTATACCGTGCAATCATTAAGCAAATGATTAATATCATTAATATTAGTATCAGATAGCTGGGCGTGGTGGCTCACGCCTGTAATCCCAGAACTTTGGGAGGCCCAGGTGGGCAGATCATGAGGTCAGGAGATCGAGACCATCCTGACCAACATGGTGAAACCCTGTCTTTACTAAAAATACAAAAATTAGCTGGGTGTGGTGGCAGGTGCCTGTAATCCCAGCTACTCAGGAGGCTGAGGCAGAAGAATCGCTTGAACCAGGGAGCTGGAGGTTGCAGTGAGCTGAGATCGTGCCATAGCACTCCAGCCTGGTGATAGAGTGAGACTCTGTCTCAAAAAACAAAAAATATATAAGAAATCTATAAGTATCAGACAAAAAGATATCAGCCCACAAATATTAGCTGGTATTTAAAAATACATAGTAATAAAGCAGTTTGTTGAGATGACATAACAGTACTAAATATATACATAATAACAGCTTCAATATGTGAAGCAGAAGAAACTAAAAGAAGAAATAGACTAACTCACAATTATAGTTGGAGATTGCAAGACTCCCTCCCAGAATAATTGACCTAGTCAATATTTATAGGACACTCTGTCCAATAACGGTAGAATATTCATTCTTTTCACATATGCATGCAACATTCAACAAGATGAACTATGTTATGGGCTATAAAAAGCCTTAATAAATTTAAAAGGTTTGAAATCACGTTCTCTGGGATTTAAATGGGAATCAACAGAAAGGTATCTGGAAAATCTCCAAATACTTGGAAAATGACAACACACTCTTCAGTAACATAAAGAATTAAAGAAGAAATCATAGGAAAAATTAAAAAATATTTTGACCTGAGCGTCATTTAAGAAACTTGAAAAAGGAGTGAATTAAACAGAGTAAGCAGTATAAGGGAAATGATAAAGATAGTAGCAGAAGATAAATAAAAGACGCACAAGAAAATAAAGAAAATTGATGAAATTAAAAACTGGTTACTTGAAAGCAATCTACACAATTAACATTCAAACACACTGATCAAGAAACAGAAGACAAAAATTGCCAACTTCAGGAATGACAGAGGAGCATTACTACAGATATTTAAAGGCTAGCTATAGGCCGCTAAGTTTGACAACTTAAATGAAATAGCTAAATAACTACTAAAGCTCAGTCAAGAAGAAATATACACCACATGACTCAGCAATTCCATTCCTGGTATCTATACAAGAGAAATGAAAGCATGTATACAAATGTTTATAGCAGCATTATTCATAATAATGAATATGAATTTGGATATGAATATGGATTTTAAAAGTTTAGAAGCTGGACTCTTCTTTGGTTCCACATGAACTTTAAAGTAGTTTTTTCCAATTCTGTGAAGAAAGTCATTGGTAGCTTGATGGGGATGGCATTGAATCTATAAATTACCTTGGGCAGTATGGCCATTTTCACGATATTGATTCTTCCTACCCATGAGCATGGAATGTTCTTCCCTTTGTTTGTATCCTCTTTTATTTCATTGAGCAGTGGTTTGTAGTTCTCCTTGAAGAGGTCCTTCATATCCCTTGTAAGTTGGATTCCTGGATATTTTATTCTCTTTGAAGCAATTGTGGATGGGAGTTCACTCATGATTTGGCTCTCTGTTTGTCTGTTATTGGTGTATAAGAATGCTTGTGATTTTTGCACACTGTTTTTGTATCCTGAGACTTTGCTGAAGTTGCTTATCAGCTTAAGGAGATTTTGGGCTGAGACGATGGGGTTTTCTAAATATACAATCATGTCATCTGCAAACATGGACAATTTGACTTCCTCTTTTCCTAATTGAATGCCCTTTATTTCCTTCTCCTGCCTGATTGCCCTGGCCAGAACTTCCAACATTATGTTGAATAGGAGTGGTGAGAGAGGGCATCCCTGTCTTGTGCCAGTTTTCAAAGGGAATGCTTCCAGTTTTTGTCCATTCAGTATGATATTGGCTGTGGGTTTGTCATAGATAGCTCTTATTATTTTGAGATACATCCCATCAATACCTAATTTATTGAGAGTTTTTGGCATGAAGGGCTGTTGAATTTTGTCAAAGGCCTTTTCTGCATCTATTGAGATAATCATGTGGTTTTTGTCTTTGGTTCTGTTTATGTGCTGGATTACGTTTATTGATTTTCATATGTTGAACCAGTCTTGCATCCCAGGGATGAAGCCCACTCGATCATGGCGGATAAGCAAAAAAGAGCCTGCATTGCCAAGTCAATCCTAAGCCAAAAGAACAAAGCTGGAGGCATCACGCTACCTGACTTCAAACTATACTACAAGACTACAGTAACCAAAACGGCATGGTACTGGTACCAAAACAGAGAGATAGACCAATGGAACAGAACAGAGCCCTCAGAAATAATGCCGCATATCTACAACTATCTGATCTTTGACAAACCTGACAAAAACAAGCAATGGGGAAAAGATTCCGTATTTAATAAGTGGTGCTGGGAAAACTGGCTAGCCATATGTAGAAAGCTGAAACTGGATCCCTTCCTTACACCTTATACAAAAATTAATTCAAGATGGATTAAAGACTTAAATGTTAGACCTAAAACCATAAAAACCCTAGAAGTAAACCTAGGCAATAAATTCAGGAAATAGGCATGGGCAAGGACTTTATGACTAAAACACCAAAAGCAATGGCAACAAAAGCCAAAATTGACAAATGGGATCTAATTAAACTAAAGAGCTTCTGCACAGCAAAAGAAACTACCATCAGAGTGAACAGGCAACCTACAGAATGGGAGAAAATTTTTGCAACCTACTCATTGGACAAAGGGCTAATATCCAGAATCTACAATGAACTCAAACAAATTTACAAGAAAAAAAAAACCCCATCAAAAAGTGGGCAAAGGATATGAACAGACACTTCTCAAAAGAAGACATTTATGCAGCCAAAAAACACATGAAAAAATGCTCATCATCACTGGCCATCAGAGAAATGCAAATCAAAACCACAATGAGATACCATCTCACACCAGTTAGAATGGTGATCATTAAAAAGTCAGGAAACAACAGATGCTGGAGAGGATGTGGAGAAATAGGAACACTTTTACACTGTTGGTGGGACCGTAAACTAGTTCAACCACTGTGGAAGTCAGTGTGGCGATTCCTCACGGATCTAGAACTAGAAATACCATTTGACCCAGTGATCTCATTACTGGGTATATACCCAAAGGATTATAAATCATGCTGCTATAAAGACACATGCACGTGTATGTTTATTGCGGCACTATTCACAATAGCAAAGACTTGGAACCAACCCAAATGTCCAACAATGATAGACTGGATTAAGAAAATGTGGCACATATACACCATGGAATACTATGCAGCCATAAAAAATGAGGAGTTCATGTCCTTTGTAGGGGCATGGATGAAGCTGGAAACCATCATTCTGAGCAAACCATCGCAAGGACAAAAGACCAAACACTGCATGTTCTCACTCATAGGTGGGTATTGAACAAAGAGAACACATGGACACAGGAAGGGGAACATCACACACTGGGGCCTGTTGTGGGGAGGGGGGAGGGATAACATTAGGAGATATACCTAATGCTAAATGACGAGTTAATGGGTGCAGCACACCAACATGGCACATGTATACATATGTAACAAACCTGCATGTTGTGCACATGTACCCTAAAACTTAAAGTATAAAATAATAAAATTTAAAAAAAAGTTTAGAAGTTGGAAAGCTGCAGTTTTAGGGGTGGTAAGTCGTTTCTGCTTTTTAGGATAGCACCTCCCTTTGTTTTAGAAGATATCCTTAATTCTGGTGAAAATCCTGAAGTGCAGGAATGAACCCAAGTATGGAGATTTCAGACTGAGATATGTGTTCTGTTTAGTAAAAATTTGATAATTGGTGGTAATGTAATTTTCCCCTTTAGACTTTAAGATATTTTTTACATGCAATTAAAAAAAAATTTTAAGACAAGGTCTTGCTTTGTTACCCAGCCTGGAGTGCAGTGGAATGATCTTGGCTCACTATAACCTCTGCCTCCCAGGCTAAAGCAATCCTCCCACCTCAGCCTCCTGAGTAGCTGGGACCACAGGTGTGAGGCACCTTGTCCAGCTGAATTTTTGTAGAGATGAAATTTCACCATGTTGCTCAGGCTGGTCTTGAATTCCTGGGCTCAAGCGATCCACCTGCCTCAGCTTCCCAAAGTGCTGGGATTACAGGTGTGAGCCACTACGCTCAGCCACACATTAAAATGTAAGCTCGTTATGCCTAACACAGCTTGGGGGCCATATTTGGGCATAGGCTTGGGCATTTGTCCATGGATTGCATTCAGGTGGAAAGGTTGCCCAGCTGTGTTGTCTATCAGTCAGTGTGACTTGTACTGAACCACAATCTTGGAAGATGTTTTCTGGATTCTTCTAACTGTCTTGGACTGAACCCTGAGGATTAGAACACAACCTAATTGCTGCTTACTTGGGGCAGAAAGTGGGATAAACATTAAATGAGGGAAGAGAAAGATGACCTCAACCTGGAGATCAAAGTGGGACAAGTTTCTAAGGAGAGGATTGATCATGTAAAAGAGTCAGAGCAATGGTCTGGGAACACGGTGGGAGCCTGGAGACTTTCTGTATTTCTTCTGACCTGACTCCCAGAAAATTTTAAGGAAGGTGGCATCATCAAGGAAAAACTGGTTTTCAAGCTGAGGGAGTGGAAGGAGTTATCTAGAAAAAAATTGCCGGAATCAGGAATTTATGGATAATAGAACACTTATAGATCACCACTTTAGAGGATAACTCAAGTCCCGTTTATTAGGTTTTGAATCTATGCATAAAATAGACTGTTTAATAGAAAACTCAAATTTGCTGCTATTCTGATAAATATGTATTTATTTATTTATTTTGAGACTGAGTCTCACCCTGTCACCCAGGCTGGAGTGCAATGGTGTGATCTCAGCTCACTGCAACCTCCACCTCCCGGGTTCAAATGATTCTCCTGCCTCAGCCTCCCAAGTAGCTAGGATTACAGGCACCCACCACCACACTCAGCTAATTTTTTTTTTTTTTGTATTTTTAGTAGAGACGGGGTTTCACAATGTTGGCCAGGCTGGTCTCAAACTCTTGACCTCGTGATCCGCCCACCTCAGCCTCCCAAAGTGCTGGGATAACAGGCGTGAGCCACCATGCCCGGCCTCTGATAAATATTTAGACCGTCTAGTGCCATTATGAGAATTAAATTTTTGATTAGTATGTTCTACTGAATTTTACCTATTCCTGATTAATATAAATTAAAAAAATAAACATAGAAGCTACTTGGGTGCAGTTGTTTAACAAGCTTTATAGTTTTTAAGGTGATTTTGTCCTGATGGGTTCATAGACAGACCTATAGGCTATTAGACAAAGGTACAGGCTCTAGAGCCAGATGGTTTGGTTTGGTTTGGATTCTACTTCTGCCATCTAAACATGAATGATTTGGGGTAAATTAGGTGATTTCTTTCAACCTGAGGTTCTCCCTCTGTAAAATAGGGATAATGCCTAGTTCAAAAGTGTTCTGAGGGTTATATGAAATAATTCTTGTAAAATGTTTTATACTTACAAAGTGCTTGATGTTAACTATTAACTAGTGTGATGGTAGGAAATGCTATTGTTATTAAAGGAGAATTGGTACACTTAACGGAAATTAACTCTGGGAACTCTTGAGTCACAAGCCTCTTCTTGATCTCAACTCTTTAGATAAGGATGTATTCTAAAGAGAGACTGGCCACCCCATATCCTTTCCTCTTCCCATGGGTGCTGAGGGACTCATATGGGATTGAGGGACACCTGCTTCATACGCTCTGGGTCATGCCACCAATTTTTGCCTCTGAACCGTTTGGGTAGAATGGACCTGAAACCCTGGGGTATCTGGTGCGGCGCTTGTATTGTGAAGAGTATTTGTGGGCAACGTATACTACTTACATTTTGGAGTTTGCTGAACCACATTTCTCTCGAGGGACTATTTTAATTACACGTGATTTATATGTTACTTACAAAAAGGCTTTAAGGTCATTTATAAATAAAAACACTACAAATCTAATAACCAAATGGGTGCTACTAGGGAGTTAGGATGAAATAATTTTTTCAACATGTTTGGAAAAGTTGAATTTTGGTTCAGACCTGGGCTTGAGTTCAGACCGTTTCCTAGCTGGGCAGCCTTGGGAGCTATCTCAGGATGTTTCCTTGTCATGAGAGAAAATGACTTGAAACCACCTTGTCTAATTCTTAGGAAGAGGAATATGGTGAGGTGCAGTAAGTTGCAAGGGGCATGTGTTTTATTTTTCCCTTGTTCCTAAACACTCTGCTTTACTTGAAACTAAATTTGGCTCTGAGTTTACTGGCAGCGAAGGCAAAATACAAATACAAAGGCAACAGGTTACTTCCCCCTCTCTCCCTTTTAAAGTTAGTATCTATTTACAAGATCAAATAGTTGTTATCAAAGCCCTTGGCTTTGAATTCTTGAAAAATGGTCTCATGTTTCCTTATATAAGAAATCAAGTGATGTAATGGGTATCTACTACTAATATAGATTTATGGAAGACAAATTCAGTGATTTTTTATATTGACCCTTTTTGAAAGCTGAGACATAACATTAAATTTTAATTTAGCACAGGCATTTCTAAAGGAAGCTGAGATAATTTGGCCTGAAACCATTGCTTCTCAACAGCATAGCGTAATGCAGGAATAAAATGAGAAATTCTAAAAATTGTGACTACTCAAAATGACCTTTAAGTTTGCCTCGAATATTAATGCTCTCAAGTTATCATATGGCAAATGCTAAATTGTCAGGTTGAATATGATCATCAGTTGTCTTGTGTGTTGCTTATTCCTATAGAATATGAATTTATTTTGTGTAACCTATGGTTATGAGACCAGACTCAGTTTCTCGCTGTGAGGACTAGTATAACACAATTATTTTGTGAGGACTGATTAAGAAAAAAAGGTTTGAATTCAAGTTTGTGGGTGATGTTCGATCGATTAAGGTTAGAGATGGTGCACTGGGAAAGACTCCAGCCTGGCTGTTAATTTCACTTACATCGTTACCTCAAGCTATCATGTCCTAGTGCTTAAGGTATGGCTTTGCAGTCAAGCTGAACTGGGTTTGAATTCTGGCTCTGCCAATTTCCAGCCATGTGACCATCAGTAAGTTATTTCTGTTCACTTCTCCGAGCCATTACTCTCTCTATCTGTAAAATGTGGTCTGGAAAACTTACCTTGCAGACTGTTGGTGAGAATAAAAGGACATATTTAAAATAAATTGTCCAACATAGTTCTGAGTATTGAGATAGTGAGAATGTGGACTTGGGGGCTTGTTTTGATTTATAATCTGATGCTCCATTCAGAGAGGAAATATGAGCACAAGGTCGGTCTTTCTTTCTTTTTTTTTTTTTTGAGACGGAGTCTCACTCTGTTGCCCAGGCTGGAGTGCAGTGGTGCCATCTCGGCTCACTGCAACCTCCACCTCCTGGGTTCAGATGATTCTCCTGCCTCAGCCTCCAGAGTAACTGGGACTACAGGCACGTGCCACCACGCCCAGCTAATTTTTGTATTTTTTGTAGAGCCTGTTGGCCAGGCTGATCCAGAACTCCTGACCTCAAATGATCTGTCCGCCTTGGCCTCCCAAAGTGGTGGGATTACAGGTGTGAGCCACCACGCCCGGCCATCTTTCTATGACAGAGTAAACACTGAGTAGCAGAGACCCCTATTCCTTTTGAAAGTGGTCCTCTCAGTCTCACTTTTCTTAAGAAAATGATTGCTTCAGTGGTTAAAAAATTTATTGTTAAAATGAAGATAATGAATGAAGAAATAATTATTAGTTAATATCAGTTTACCTGTTGGTGTTATATGTAAAATTTTTCTAGATTTATTTCATAATCTGATGGCTAATAATATAAGATCATGATGATAAATGAGTTTGGCCATTTGCATATTAGAGTTATTTGGTAAAATCATTGCCAATATTAGTTACTGAATAATTTAGAATAAACATTAGCTTAGTAATTAGCAGTCAGACTGGTTCCAGACATCTAAAGGGTTGGTATATTCATTAACAGGGGCCTAAATCTGGGTAGAAACTTAATGTATTTGACTTATAATTTATCCATCTCATCTTTAAATATTATTAGGTGTATTTTTATTTTTGAGATATTCCTAATTTGAATCAATTTTTAAAATTTACATGAAACAAATCATTTTTTAAACAAATTTTAAGAGATCAATCCTGACATTAACACACTGATTTTTTTTTTCATTTTTAAAAAATGGAGGTGAGGGGAAATTTTAGGCCATTCTATTTTTTTTTTTTTGACAATGCTTTAAAAACCCAACCAAACTGGAATTTTAAGTGAGTGAATTGCATGAATACGTACAGAACTGCCTTTTTAGTAAGCTTTACTTTACAGCCGGGAGACATTTCTTCTGAGTAGGAGAAAATCTGTGCATGGTAAGCTTTACAGCCGGGAGACATTTCTTCTGAGTGGGAGAAAATCTGTGCATAGTAACTTTACTCTACAGCCAGGAGACATTTCTTTTGAGTAGGAGAAAATCTGTGTATTGCCCCTCTTTTGAATGCCTCTAAAGCAGGTGCCTTCGTGAGAGCTTAGTGGAGCCGCTTTGCCATCAGAATACTGGTCAGGGAAAGGGAAACGGTAAGTTTTAAGGGATCTTGGCAATCACTTCACCAGCCCTGTCACATGGCAGATAAGGGAATGAGACTTGAGAAGTAATTTGCTCACAAACACACTGTGTTAATCTAGGACAGGGAGTTACGGCTCCTAATTCCCAAGTGATCCTAACAGACCGTAAGGTAACATGAGAGAAAAATGTACTTGTTCCAAATATAATTTGATGAGTTTGTCCCAGATTGACAGCCATCCCCTTCCTTATGATAACTCTAGGACAGAGTTCCTTTAACTGACAATTCAGTTTCTTTAACTGAAAAGTGGACTTCTTTGCAGTCTGGGGAGGTCTATGGAATTTCTTTTCTAAATAATGTTTCTAAATGCTTAAGATAAAATACAATTTGTTATAAAGGAAGCCAATGTACTTATCAAAATCCTCAACTTGTGGTAGAATAATATATATTCTTTCCCATGAATACATTAAATAACAAGATCCAGTAGTGGTTTCTAGTAACAACCACCATGTGTTCCAAGTCTGGGAATTTTTAGAGATCTGCAATAGGAAGGGACTTTTCTGGGTAACAAGCTGCAGGTCTTGCCAACATCGCTGTGGTTAGTTGTATGCATTCCAAATTAAAGGGCATGTTAAATTTCAGTTACGAGTCAGTGAAAATAGAGCTATAATTTTTCCCTTTCTTGTTTGTGGATCCCTTAATTATTCTTTCTCTTTTTTTTTTTTTTTTTTTTTTGAGACAGCATCTCGTTCTGTCACCCAGGCTGGAGTGGCACGATTTCGGCTCACTGCAACCTCCGCCTCCTGGGTTCAATCAATCCTCCTGCCTCAGCCTCCCGAGTAGCTGGGATTACAGGCATGTGCCACCATGCTGGCCAATGTTTTTATTTTTAGTAGAGACGGGGTTTCACTATATTGGTCAGGCTGGTCTTGAACACCTGATCTCCGGTGATCCACCTGCCTTGGCCTCCCAAAGTGCTGGGATTACAGAGATCCCTTAATTCTTTGCCTACCCCAAGTTACAAACTTCGTTCTAAAGTGAAACTACCTGGGGAATAGAGTGCTTGAACAATTTCCACCTATTTCTGCATTTTGAAACCTTGCCATCATGCAGATTCCTGAGCCCTGCACCATACTAACTGATTTCCTCTCTGAATGGAGCATCAGAGTATAAGGAATCAAAACAAGCCCCCAAGTCCACATTCTCACTATCTCAATGGATCAGAAGTTCTGCAAGAACACTTGCAGGTATCCAAGGCCCGGACACCGGCAAGTTCAACATTCAACAATTTTTAATTCTTAGGGACATTAGAATTTGAGATTGTCTAAGGTGGCTGAGCTAGTTCAGGTACCTAAGTGAGCTGGGGGGGAGGAGGCTGTTGTCAGTGGAGGGGAAGGATAGTTTTGATAGGGGTTGAGTCACTCAGTAAACTGGTTACATTGTCCTGCCATTTTCCTTAAGATTATATAGAGAAATTATTTGAATTTCTAAGGCCGAATTTGGCTGTAATTCGCAAGGGGTGGAAAGTTTCTTTTGCTGATTACCTAACCATGAAATTGGGCTATTGTAGCCCCAGTAGACATGGGGTGTCTACTTTACCTGGAAGTAAGCAGAATGAAGGCTACAAAATTGGGTGGGGGAACACATTTGGTTTATCCGCCCCAAATGGGTCCCTGCCCAGTGGATGGAATCAAATTCTATTCTGTTAAAATGGCTCACATATTCAAGAGGAGAGAGTTTGGGACCTCAGTAGAAGATGACTGGACAAGGCAGCCCCTTGTTCCCAAAGAGAGCAGACAGCTAGATTTCTGAGTCCCAGAGCCACTGGCTTTGAACTTAGGAGGTCTTGTTGATTGCCAACTCTGTTGGTACTTCCTTAGGGAATAACTTTGCATTTGTAATGAAAGCTGGATGGGTTTGTTTGTTTGCCATCCTAATTGCCTTAGAAAACCAGACATAAGGTTTTACAGTGATTTTTAGATTATTCACTACAAAAGCAGGTATAAATCTTAGTCCACAACTTTACATATTAAGTTTTCATTTTCTTTATTTTTCTCTAACTCAACTAAAAAGTGTTCTGTACCTCTGTTCTGCCAGGATAGCACAAACTTAACATATTTGTAAAGGGCTTAGGCTTTTAGAATACTAGAGCTGGAGACTCACAAGCAATTTTTGGCATTCAGTCACATCATGTCCCTCCCCTGAAATAATGAACTCCTAAGCCAACTATTTACTTGACTAGCAAGAAAGAAATGGGGAAAAATATTGAGAGACAAAAAATAGATTAATATCTCAAGAATACTTTTCAGCCAAGCATACTTAATGCTTTTGAGGAAAAACTTGTATTGAAGAAAGGTGGTCTGGTAGCATTCAGCTACAATTTTTGGATCAGGGATCTGGTCCTTTAAATCCATATCTGTGCCCATTTTTGAATTTTGGCTAGTTTACAATTTTATGAAAGACACACCCAGGTTCTGATAATTGCTGAATCCTGTGCATCCTTTCAAGAGCAGCCTTTGAAACAACTCTGTTATGTCAATCTGTTTCTGGTTGATGCCTAGGAGCAGCATGGGCAGGTCGCAGACAATGTATGGTGTGCTCAGCTGAGTGTTCAGGGATAGGGAGGCTACTGCTCCTGGCCAGGCAGAGCAGAGGGCTGAGAGAGAGACCCGGAGAGGAGGAGTTGTTTCTATTCCATGCCAGGCCATGCTCTAATCCCCCCCAAAATCACCAAAGGCTTACAGGGTTGGTTGTTTGTTTCCATAGCAATAAAAGCTATTAGGTTGGTGCAAAAGTAATTGTGGTTTTTGCATTAAAAGTAATGGCAAAGACTGGCCGGGTGTGGAGGTTCACGCCTGTAATCCCAGCATTTTGGGAGGCCGAGGTGGGTGGATCACCTGAGGTCAGTTTCAAGACCAGCCTGACCAACATGGTGAAACCCGGTCTCTACTAAAAGTACAAAGATTAGCCGGGTGTCATGGTAGGTGCCTGTAATCTCAGCTACTCGGGAGGCTGAGGCAGGAGAATTGCTTGAACCCGGGAGGCAGATGTTGCAGTGAGCCAAGATTGTGCCATCGTACTCCAGCCTGGGCGACAGAGAAAGACTGTGTCTCAAAAAGCAAAAAAAAAAAAAAGTAATGGCAAAACCTCAGTTACTTTTATACAAACCTAATAAATTTGCCAATTTAATAATCTAAAATTTAACTGTCTAAATGTATACTAATGTGTAACTGCCTGTGTCTTTAGTTTGTTGTCCTTAGAATAAAACATCAACTATGCTCAGTTAATTTTCCAAAATGTCCATTTATAAATGGTTTTGACCTGAGAGGTCTATTATAATATATTCTGCTTCTGCTTGAAAAAGAAATCTATTCTAGACTTTAGAAGAATATTATTTTTGTAACACATTGTTATATTTTAAAAGAGCTGTCAAATATTTACAGTCCACGGCCATTATTGGAGCAGATTAAAATGAACCTTGGAATAGCAAACTTTTATCTGTAATACAGGCAGCATATTTTTCCTTTATAATGGGTAAATTAGCTTCAATACTCAATTTTTCAAGTTGCTATAAATGGAGCCTTCTACTTCACAACATTTAACATCTGATTCATTTTCTTGAAGGCAAATCATTCTTGGCTAGAGACACCACTAGAGAATGTTGTTTTGAATTCTTTCTCTACTAGAGACAGTGCTAGAGAATGTTGTTTTACTTCCTTACATCATTTGTACTGGTTAGAACAATAGCTCAATGTAGTTTCCTTATATGCGGATATAAGAAGACTAGGTAACAATATCAAAGAGAATACAAGTTCAATATTTGAGTTCTCAGCTCTAAACTGTTGTGCATTTCATCTCTTCATGTTCAAATAGAAATAACCTAGCTTTTTTTAAAAAAAAAAAAATCATTTACAATCTGCTTATAAATGTCTGTGGGATTTAACTATGCCTTTATAATCTTTGAGTTTGAATGAGATTAAACTGGATAGTTTGTTTCTCTGACAACACAACATTTTGTACAAGCAGATTAAGTTAGCAAGGGAGACTCAGGGCACTAATGGCTTCATGTTGTAACTAGGAATCTATAAATAAAAACAAACAAGGAGAAGACCAAAGAGATGCTTACCATGCTCTTTCAAAGGCTTGAGATAAGAGGAATGCTGGTCAATATGTGAAAACCACAATTTTGCATTATGCTTTGATTTCATTTTCACTTGTATATTGAATCTAGCTTTAAGCTGTATGGGAAGGTGAATTTTTTCTAATGAGTGATATGAAATATACATCAAAGCTACATTATAATACACGTTTTGATCATAAGCCAAATAGTTGAAGTGTATCCTCTCTCTGTTTTAAGGAAATACATATAGATTTGTGCACATAGTATATTCATTGTTAGATATTAGTAACTAAAGAATTGGCCATTGACCTAGAATTCATTTCCAAAATGTTTGATTAAAGAGCTCTGCTTCTGAGCTGCTAACTTCATACTGGATTGGTATAAAGTGTTAAGCTTTCTGTGTTGGAGAACATTCATGAATATGAATATCAAGGATATGTACATATCCTCAAATGTAAATTAACTTGCAAAACAGCATGGTATTTATAAATAGTTATTCTCCTACACATAGTACTTACTGTCGATTAGGCACTAATGTTTGCAAAACACTGCAAGATTGAGCTTTCATATTACCTTAAGACAGCCCTTTGAGGTAAGAGTGTATTTTCATTTTTCAGAGCAGGACACTTGAGCTCTAAGTAGTCAAGTGTTGTCCAGGTTTCCCACTCCCAGGAAGGGACAAAGCATGGGATGTGAACTCTGCTTTTTTAGCTGAGGCTTCACTCTCAGCTGTCTCCATCCATAAACATGGTTGGCCCCTGTATTTGTGATGTTCTTATGCAAAGTATGTTGATGCCTATCTTAGTTTTATTTCATCCTTATGATGGAAGTGATTGAGTCTTGGTGGTGTAACTGAGACTACTAGTGTGTATGCATGATAGAATCATGACTTAAGCTTATAAGCAAAAATTCAATTTCCATAGCATTTTGAATGTCTTTTACCCCAAGCTTGGCTAAACGGCAGTTTTCTATGATTTGGGCAGGGTGATACCTAGGCTGATATATTATAGACTTACAATCTTTTTTTTAAAACGTTTTCTTTTTAAATATATATATATATATATATATATATATATATATATATATATATATAATTTTTTTTTTTTTTTTTTTTTTTTTTTGATGGAGTCTTGCTCTGTCGCCCAGGCTGGAGTGCAGTGGCGCAATCTTGGCTCACTGCAAGCTCCGCCTCCCAGGTTCACACCATTCTCCTGCCTCAGCCTCCCGAGTAGCTGGGACTACAGGTGCCTGCCACCACGCCTGGCTAATTTTTTGTATTTTTTTTTAGTAGAGATGGGGTTTCACTATGTTAGCCAGGTTGGTCTTGATCTCCTGACCTTGTGATCCGCCTGCCTCAGCCTCCCAAAGTGCTTGGATTACAGGTATGAGCCACCATGCAAAAAATTTTGTTTTTAATTGACATCACTAATTACATTAATTGTACATATTTATGGGGTATAGTGTGATATTTTGATATATGTGTATTTAAAACAATAATCTAGTAAGATCAGGAAGTTAAAAGTGGCTGTATTTTTTAATATTACTTTTAAATACTAATATTCTTATTAATTGGATTTTTGGTTGTTTATGAACAAAAGGTAATACTTTAATTTTTTAAATGAATGATCTACATCAATATCTACTGACAGTAGGAATTTGATATAAGTTCTTATGAGTAAAAGATAATATCATAGAATAAGCCCTTTTTTTAAACAAGGAAATGATATATTATTTCTACAAATTTGTTTTTTAGGCATATACCAAATTGTCAATAATGACTATCTCCATGTTACAGGATTTAAAATGGGCCTTTACATTTAGACTTATGAAATGCCATGAAAAGGGGCCTAATTCTTTTGACAGAATTCTGTAAACACAGGATATTTATATATATTTATTCAGTAAACACAATTGTTTCATGTACCAGATTTTTAATGCATTTGAATCTTTATTCTACAACACAAGCAACATAAATACAATATCTTTTAAAATATTTTCTCTTTAGAATTTTCATTTCCACCTCAGATAAAATGTACACAAAATACACTTGCAAGCTTGCTTACAGAGACCTGTTAAACAAAGAACAGACAGATTCTATAAAATCAGTTATATCAACATATAAAGGAGTGTGATTTTCAGTTTGTTTTTTTAAGTAAATATGACCAAACTGACTAAATAAGAAGGCAAAACAAAAAATTATGCTTCCTTGACAAGGCCTTTGGAGTAAACAAAATGCTTCAAGGCTCCTGGTGAATGGGGTTGCAAGGATGAATTTTGCATTTTATAGGTAAAATGGTATACTGACTCAAATCATTATGGCTATAACAAGCTTCATTTATTTATAATCTTCAATGAAAATAAGTTGATTCTTTGGCATAATACTATAAGGAATAAAAGGACCCATACCACCCACTGGCTTTATCTAGAGTGGGAGATAGTAGTAGGGGAACTGTTTATAATGTAATTTGTCTAAGTTTATTCCTCTTAGAAAAGCGGGAAAAGCATATTGAATAATAGTCTCTTAGCATGATTAGGGCAATAAACATCTTATTCTTATCTGTCCCATCCCCACAACACAACACTAAGAAACAAAAATAACTTTTCCCTCTAGGCACCTCCTCCTGCCCCATCATGCCACACCTGGATATTCTATCACATTGTTTCAACTGAAGTGAAACCCAACTTATCAAAAGCATTCATCTTTGTTCAGCTTTGCCTATTTTGTGGGAAATCAATTTTTATTAGAGAGAAGCACTCCCAATAAGAACCAGATGAAAGAAATGTAGGACAAAGCAGCTTGCACATAATCCCGAGGTAGCCAGGGATGCTCACTGGGGCTGGCAGTGTCAGGGCCCGAGCCTCCCTAACTTTAAGAAAAAACATAATCTTTTACACATTGGTTCAAAAGATTGGCTTTTGGATTCCCTCCTCTCCTTTTTGGCACTGGTTGGTAAAACAAAAATAAATTACTCTTAGAGATTGACTTTTGAAATTTAATTTTAAAATCAGTGTTACTAAAAGAACTAAATGCACACATAATTTCCAAAAATTATGGGAAACTAAAGTAAAAAAAAAACCAAAAAAAAACACCCTTATTTCCATCCACAGAGGCAAAAACTCTGTAGATTGTCTCCTTGATATCATCAACATTCTGATATGCTTTCTGATCTCACTAATTCTAGTAAATATAATCATTTCCTTCCATTCCTACAATAGTCTAAACTAATTTAAATGAAGTCAGCATATTTATTAAGCAGAAGTCTTTAGAGAAACCTCATTGAATCAATAAGCATTATGTGTAATTAATACAGTTTATAAATAGGTGATGATTTTTAAGTGACTTGTTTTTTCTTAAATCATTCTCTGTATGGTCCTTAATTTTTTTTAATGGTAAAAGAATTTCCAAAACTAATTAATTCAGTAAAGAAGAGATAAACTAAGGCCCCCTCTATATGAGTTAACATGATTTCACTGAATTCCCAAAGCACACTGATTCACTTTTATATTTTTCCCATTATTTGGAAGATGAAATAATGAATATGGTCTCCACCATGTAGATATGTGCACAAACAACATATTTACTGAAAAGTCAAAAACAGGCACACCTGCTGCTTAAAAGGGAATTAGTTCATTTTGCAAATTTCCGTGAAGCCTTTGGGTAGACTCTTTACAGATATATATGAAATTAAAATGTTAATTTACGCCAGAAAATTAAATGAAAGATGAAGGTACAACAAGTAGTCTCATCTCATCTCAAATGGCTAATATTTTGGTGGCCAATGAAAGATGTAAAACAACTGGCAAGCAAACAACTATTCAAAAATCTGTAAGCCAGGAGCCAAGGCTGTAAAGGAGCTGACATGGAAACATCTCATTAAAACGACATGGATGGAAGAAATTCAAACACTACATACTTAAATTTAAAATCACCTTCAGTACAAGTCAAAGGGTCAACATGATACAAATGATCATCCATAGAATCAATGTTTCTAAATACAAAGACAAGAAGCTTAGATTTATCTCACTGTTCCATAGAACTTATACATTCATTGTCTTCTAGCTTGTAAAAACCAATTGTTGGTATAATAAAACTGGAAACTGGGAAGATTGAGCAAGACTGCTGTATAGAATCCAATCCCAAGTCATCTGCCCAAGGGTAGATTCAGTTTTTCTCTAGCGTTTGATAAGTCAGGCTGATCTTAAAGGTAGAAGTTGGAAATTTTTTCAAGGCAGTGGTTCTCAAAGCATAGTTCCCAAAACAGCAGTATTGGCCTCACCTATAAACTTGTTAGAAATACAAATTTCCTGATTTACTTAACTGGGAACTCTGACCATGAGCCCAGCAATCTGTGTCTTATTTTAAAAAAAGGCCCTCCAGGTGATGCTGATGTGTACTAAAGTTTGAGAACCACTGTTCTAAAGACAGAAGATACTAGACAACCACTGGTTAAACCTTCAGGATAGGAATTAACAGTACGAACAGTTGTTGGTGGTTGAAAAGGGTGGAAGGACCATAATTAGATGGGATTCACCAGCAGTGGAGTGCTGTTTTGTCACTAAAGTGGTCAGCCACTCTCTCCTCCCTGGTACCCCTTTGTAGTATTGTACAAAGATACAGAGAAAAGGTTCTGTATGGTGCTAGTGGTGTGGTAGTGGTTTCTCTTCAATGATGGAGTGGTACCACAATTTATAAAGAAACCAATGATCTCAGGAGATATTTTTGGTCTGTCTTCCCTGAAATAAGAATTGTGTTTTGGAAATCTAAAGGGTGTTCTGTTCCAAAATCTTAAGTTATTAGTTATTTCCACATCAAATAGCAAACACTACAATACAGCCAGGGAAAGAGGATCTTCCAAACAAACAAAAAAGGTATGTTTTCTAGATTGCTCCACTACTAAATGAGAACTTTTTTTTTTGAGGCATAATTATAAATCAAGTTCTTGATCAATTTTACAAATCTTTCCCAGTGACAAGCTCATATTTCCAATAAAAAGTGCTCTTTTGCTTTCCTAAGGCCACACTAAATCTCCCTGGGGTCACCTAAGTGGTGCCCAAGCATATTGAAGTTTTGTCATCTGCTTACTGCAAGACTCTGGATTTTCCTTCTGCCTGTTACCTTGTCTGTAAAACAAGTGGAAATGTGTAGATGTTATGGCACATGGTTACTATGGATGTCGACCTGATGCCCTTAGCACCTGGCTCTTCAAGAAATCCTGTCCAACCAGCTGCTTCCTCTTCAGAGAATGTACATTTTGAAAAATGGTTATCCATTATTTTGCATATTCCCAAACTTTGTGCTACTAATTTAGTACCATGTATTTCCCAGAGAAGCAAGTAAAGAGGCACTGTTGGCTACAGGGCACTTTATTCTGAGTTGATTAAATGATATTTGAAAAAGGTTTACAAATTGTGCATGCCGTTCCAGACACACACTGCCATGTTCTTCTGTGTTAATAGCTGGCCATGAATAGTATTATTCCATCATTTCCACCTAATTCAGTGAGTTTTCTAAAGTAACACTGAATGTCTGCTTGAAGACTAAAGTTTAGATTTTGGTTTTATTTTCAAACACTTGAAATGTGTTACATGTGATTTTTTTATGTATAAACATGATTCATTTTCTTTTTTCAACTTTATTTTTAAAAACCTCCATAACATCCCAGACAGATCTGAGATGTCAAATAGTCTCATTTTCATGGCCTCGTTCCTTGAAACTTTTTTTCATACTAGAGTGCTTACTCTATGGACTTAGAGCATGTTGTCAGAGAGAGAGTATGGCCCTTGAATTCAGAAACACCTCTTTTGCAACCAACTTTGCCTTTTACTTGTTATCTTGGGCAAATTTCTTAACCTCTCTGGGTCTGTGTTCCCCTCTGAAAAAATGAGGAACACAACACTTGTCTCACAAGGTTGTTGTGAGGACTACGTGTGATAATACAGGTAAGGGTTTGCAATCACAGTGACATTCACTACTCGCCTCCTCCCTGCTATTTGTAACCTCTTGCTATTACTATCAAAGGTCTTCATTCTGTTTGGCTTGATGGGACTGATACTAATGGATTTTCCTTTCTGAGAAAACTTTCCTGTATAAGCAGTATTGTGATGAATCTGGCAAAGTCAAGGGTATCTATTATATAACTGCATTACCGTCTCACAGCGAAGGCTACTTGACTCTCAACTCACTCTGTATAAGCCTCATTTTAAAACAACAAGGACAAAAAGCCTAATGATCATTGCACAAATATGTTTCAATTTCAAGGTACTTCTGAATTATATTAACATTTTTGTCATGTTTGATTTAAAAATTTTAGTTTTATTTACTTGAGACGAAGTCTCACTTTGTCACCCATGCTGCAGAACAATCTTGGCTGACTGCAATCCCCACCTCCCAGGTTCAAGCAATTCTCCTGCCTCAGCTTCCCGAGTAGCTGGGATTACAGGCAGCTGCCACCATGCCCGGCTAATTTTGTATTTTTAGTAGAGACGGGGTTTCACCACGTTGGCCAGGTTGGTCTCGAACTCCTGACCTCAAGAGATCCACCCACCTTAGCCTCCCAAAGTGCTTGAGATTACAGGAATGAGCCATCACGCCTGATTTAAAGTATTTTAATGCGAGCTGTTAAGTATGTTAGCATCTGCCTGGGTTCTTATCGGTCAGTCATTACATAGACCCCAAATCATAAAGGTGTTCTAGTTTTATATCTATGGGGAAGGCTGGAAAATTACCACAAGGGGAGAGAGAGAAGGTGGTGTAAAAAGGCAGCCTAACTAACTATTTTTAAAAGCAGATCAGGAGATACAGGAGCTAGGTGAGATGCTGTGGACAGTGCATGAGGTTCAATTGTGAAAACCGATGTCCTCATTAATGACAGAGAGAACTCTGTCCCTCCATATACTTGGCTGGGCCATCATCAGTCCAGGGTCTCTTATACTTGGAGTTTTCCAGATGTTTGTTTCATGAAGCACACTTTACCAAAATTTAGGAAAAGAAGAGAAAGATCTCAACTTTAAGGTAATATACTTTTGGCTATAAATACAGGCAACTAAAAACAATGTATAAACTCTCATTCTGCTTAGGTCTGTAAATACATGCTAATAACTGTTCGTAACTTTAAAAGGCTGCCTTGAATTTTGTCTTACTGTTGCTGCAAAAGAGACTGTGAGGAGAGAAACACCTGACACTTTCAGAGACTGGGAGGGAGGGAAACAAAGTTGGGGGAGTGGGCAGCTGAGTCACAGGAACAGGGCAAGAGACTGAGCTGGGCAGCCTGGGAAGGTGCCACTCCCCTCTCAGTGTTCTTCATCTCCTCCCTTTCTTCTCCACCTGCTGGGAAGAACCACCTGAATGCCTACTCATTAGAGACTACTTTGCATCAAGCTGCAAATACCTCTGAGAAGTACTGCTGTCACTCAGTGATGGTTCTGGTTGAAATCTGATGTCAGTGTGGATGGCTGGTAACTCGAGTGCAGAGTATGTTAGGACTGAGTTATAGAGAAGACAATGGGAAGGTACCAAAACACTCTTAAAAAATTGTAGGTCAAGAGCTCTGTACACCTACTCATCCTTTTATTCTTGGGACCCATAATCAGGCTAGAACTAGAACAGTGTTTGGACACAGTACAGGGTAAACTTATGTTCAAGAATTTTGGATCCCATAATAGAGCATCGGGGAGAATGCTGATTTCCAAACAAACAACTAACATACTTTGGGATACAGTATTCACTTTTTTTTTTTTTTTTTTTTAGATGGAGTTTCACTCTTGTCACCCAGTCTGGAGTGCAATGGTGCAATCTTGGCTCACTGCAACGTCCGCCTCCTGGGTTCGAGCGATTCTCCTGTCTCGGCCTCCTAAGTAGCTGGGATTACAGGTGCATCCTACCACACCTGGCTAATTTTTGTATTTTTAGTAGAGACGAGGTTTCACCATGTTGTCCAGCCTGGTCTCAAACTCCTGACCGCAGGTTATCTGCCCACCTTGGCCTCCCAAAGTAAGTGCTGGGATTACAGGCGTGAGCCACCGTGCCCAGCTGGTATTCTCAAATTGAGACAGCTTCCTTTGAATTTTTCTACTTTATGAAAAGTTGCTATGTATAAATACTGTAATTCTAGCCTCTGCTTTACTGAAGCCTTTTCCCCCAGTAAACTGTGGAGTACTCACAGGTTCACAAAGAAGAACTGAACCTCAGGTAAGCTATAAAAAGAAACAAAGCAACTGTGGTGTTACTTCTGTTGGAAAATTTAAAAAAAGCAGTTATCCAACTTTCAATTCCATTTATAAAATGTAAAAATTCAAAAGTATACAACATAGTTCACTGATATCCCAACAATTCATTGCCTTTTAAGATCAAATAGCTGATTACCTGTTTCTAAACTTGAATTATTGTCTAGTGAGTAAAAACTGAAGGCAAACAGAGTGTTTTGTGGAACTGGGAAAAAAATGGATTCTGTGGTGATCTCTAGATGGTACACTGGATGATAAGGGTGTTTTTTTCAGATCACCTAAAGAAGTCAGAACACTGCCTTCCTCTTAACCTCTAAGGTAGTTCCATATTTCTCAAGGAGGGCAAAGTTTACAAATACCCCTTTAAATCCTTATTTCAATACTGTAGAATTTGTGTCTTATATTTAAAGGGTGACTTATTCATTATGAATGGGGCTGGGAGATTATAATGTATGCCTTAAATAACTCTGTAGAATGTGTGTAAGTAAGCTTGATTGAGGAGTTTTCAATCATTAGGATAATGTAAGAAATATAAAAATACTGTAAATAATAAGATAAAGCTTTCAAACGTATTTTCTAGTAATACTTAGAAATATCCACCTGAAATATTGGTCTGAATGCAAAGACATCAAACATAGGGTAACTTTACTTGGTAGATAGGAGAAATATTTTAAATCGACAAAATTTTCTAAATTTCAGTGTCTTTCTCCATTACTTTCATTTTGAGACTAGAGCTTGTGTAACTGACACCATAATTTTGCAAGATTGTTGTATTATATTTTAAGATTGAAAATGATTTCATCATAATCCATCCCCACCCCACACTCCCTGCTCCCTTCCCTGAGTCCCTTTCCTCCAAGCGTGTTGATATAAAATGAGTTGCGTCTTAATGTTTTGTTTTCTTAAAAACCAAATGCTATACCTTATGTTCAGACAATTGTGGGGCATGGAAATGGAAGTGCAACAAAGGACTAAGGCACCTTTTCTTCTTTCCTTTCCTTTCCTTGTTTGCCTTGGGGATGGAAACAAACACCACAAGAACAGCCAGGGTGGCTGGTCGGTCTTATGTCTCTTGACAATCTACGTACCAGCCACTTTCACTGGGTACTCTGTGTCACAGGCTGATAAGCCACAGACTTCAAACCCTGCTAGGAAAGAACTTTCTTCTTTTAGAAATACAGAAATAAAGGTACAACACAGTACCTTACATGGGGAAATTGGTGAATACCTGAAAATCTTAATGATTTAGGAATAATTTTGAAGTGTTCTGGATTATTTTACAACAGAAGTCACCTCTTTCTTGATTATGACACCCAAGAATATGTATTTATAGTTGTCTTCTTCCCAGCCAGACCCATAACCATAAATCTTCCTCCAATTAATAATCCCTGGTACTAGATGTCTGAGTGTTTATCAGCTTGACTTACCAGCAGATATTGCCTTAGGAATTGTATTTATTTTTTAAATGATGGATCAAATGGATCAATATAGTGTTTTCAAATGAGTAATCCTTGAAAATGACCCATTTGGGGACAACACTGTAAGCAAAAGCACTGGGAAATATACTTCAAGAGTTAGAAACATATCAAGGATTATAGATTCTTCTATAATAATGTGCAAAATCAGAATATCGTTTGTGTCATCTAGATACAAACCTTAGTATGGCCCCAATGCTGATCAGTGGTTGGAAAGGCTTTTTACATTAGGAAACACTGTTCTCTGAGACAGTAGTAGTAGTTTAAGTGGGGCTAGTGGTGGGGAAAATGCAACAGCTGTATTGGCAGGACTCTAACCCTCACTACTGTTATTTGGTGGGAGAGTAGAACAGGAGTCGGCTACACAATGATGTCATAGACACGGCCCACCCTGCCCAGCCACTCCCTCACAGCCTGGCGAACTCTGATGTCGGTCACGTGACAGGTCAGCTGACTGATGCACGGGAACACTGCGGGCTGGAGGGCCGTGAAGGTCTGGTCTGGGAGAATCTGAATCTGATTGAGAACTGTTAGCACCATGTTGGTCCATGCCTAAGAGAAAAGATTTAAGAAAATCAGTGGCTTTCCCCCCTGGTTTTATTTGAACACTTGAGAGTGGCCCTGCCAATGTGGAAATGGTTTTTTTCCAGGCTTTAGTTGCAATAAATTAGTTTTCACTCATTTAATATGCCTATAATAAATTGTAGGCGTATTAATTTATTATGCCTACATCATAACTTCACATACATAAAGATGGGCAGAGACTCGCCTTATTTTCAGCTTTCACAAACTACTAAACTCTTACTTATTCCTTAGATTTAAAAACAACAACAACAACAAACCTCCCTTGCCTTCTCACAGTGAGATCTCCACAGGCCGTTAATCTCAAACTCATTTTTTGATGCACCATAGAATTACACTCAAAGCCTCCCTGAAGAATGAGAATTTTTATGTGCACAGGATGGGCTAGAAAAACTTGAGATGAAAACAATTTGAAAAAAATTCATTGGCATAACCACACAATATTTACTTTGCTTTTTTCTTTTATATAATGCTTCATAACTACAGAATTTCTTCAGGGCCATTTTCGAATGACACACTAAGAACTCAATGCTAGTCAAAGCTTACTTGTTTTTAAAGACAGGGTCTCTCTATGTCATCCAAGCTGGAGTGCAGTGGCACCATCTCAGCTCACTGCAACCTCTGCCTCCTGGGATCACACAATCCTCCTTGCTCAGCCTCCCAAGTAGCTGGGATTACAGGCATGTGCCACCTCTCCCAGCTAATTTTTTTTTTTTTTTTGTAGAGATGATGGGTTTTGCCGTGTTGTCCAGACTGAAAAAGCTTACATGTTATAAGCTTTAGCCTCACCTTATTTATACAGGTAAGTTCCTAATTCTCAATAATATACATTACTATGGAGAAAAACAGTTCCTGAAATTACCTGAGAGTAAAATTCCAGCTTCATAATGACATACTGATCCTGGGAGATCCTGCACTTAGGTTCAGGCAGTCCTCTGACTTTGGAGGGAAATCGGTTCATACCCCCTACCTGTTTCTATAAATCTTAGCCTGTGTATGCCTGCTCTGCAAGGGGGGGCCCATCCAGTACTGGAAACCCAGCCTCCCGCCCACCTGCTGTGGCCACAGGGATGTACCTGGATCTGTGCTTCTGCGTCTCTCACCGAGACACTGAGGGAGCTCCCGGTGGAGCCTGAGCGGGGCCTCTTGTCCTGTCGC
Organism: Homo sapiens; assembly: GCF_000001405.40. Classification (NCBI taxonomy): domain Eukaryota; kingdom Metazoa; phylum Chordata; class Mammalia; order Primates; family Hominidae; genus Homo; species Homo sapiens. The sequence goes on along the minus strand of NC_000006.12, from coordinate 138,335,106 downwards.
AGCAGCTCGGGGCCTGCGCTGAAGGAATGCCGCATTTGCCCTTGGTCCATCAAGTGCTGGGGACGCTGAAGCAGCGGGGAGTCCTGGCCCCTGGGACCCAGTGGCTCTCCTTTCTTCTCCACTTTGACCTCTTTGGGGAACGCGGACAGGTTGTGCTGCTGTTTCCTCTTTTTGTATTCGGTCATCAACTTTGAAATGGTCTTGTCGGCTGCCATGGTGTAGATTTTGTTCCCCGCATTCTCCCACCACTCCTTCTTCCGGCTGGGATCCTTCTTCTCCACTTTGGGGCTGGGGGGCAGCAGCAGGTCCCCACCACCGGCCTTCAGGCTCAGGGACTCGCCCATGTGCTCCCGGGACTGGCTTCTGTCATCCTCGGAAGGGGTTTCTTTCCCAGAGAAGCCCCCGGTGGATGGGGTGGATGACTCGGACTGGAAGGAGGGCAGGATGAAGAACGGGTCGCCCTTGAAGATGGGAGGCTCCTCCATACAGTTCTCCAGGTCCAAGTGCATCTGGATGTAGTTGTTGCACAGTTCCATGCACAGCTTGTGCAGCCTCTTGACCAGCCACACCCAATCTGCGTTGCTGACAGGCTGGACGCTGAGCAAGGGCATCCGTGCCCGCCACTGTCTCTTCTCCTTGCCTCTCGGGGGGCTGACCTGGGCGGTTTCCTCAAAGATGTCTTCATCCTCAGATGAACACTGCTGGGAAGAATCCGTGCTTCTCTCGTCGTCCTCAAAAAGGACCTTCTTCACTTGCTCGGCCGTGATGGTTTCTTGATTGGTGAGAACAGCACACACCAGGGCGTGGAAATAAATGTTAAAGCTCATCGCAGACTGGCGGTAGAGGTTGGCGGCGCCCCCGATGCCAGACACTTTCTTCAGCAGGCACTTCAGCCCGGGGCTGGTGTCAAACTCCCTGGCAGTCCTATAAGAGTCCAGCAGCAGGTCGAATATGACTGCCAAGTTCTGCATAGAGATGTATCTGAGGAAGCCAGCCAGCTTGGCTTCTGGCACTTGTATCGTCTTTTCCTCTCCAGGAGAGGGGCCTTTGACAAACTCTTCTAACAAGATGTCATATAAGTTCTGGAGTAACACCTGATGAGACAGCAGGCTCACCACAATTTCCCTGAAAGACACGCTTCAAGTGAAAAGAGAGGGCTCGATTAATGGTTTTCTGCCCTATATCAGGTGTCTCAAAGCAATATAGACGTTACCCGTTTCAGAACGATCTATGCAAATTTACAAACTAAACTACCTCTACTCAAATGTCTTCCATGAAAGAAGGCATACTTTTTGGGCACTGTGTGATAACCATTTTAATCACAACTAGTGGAGTTCTTGACACTTAAAAAAATTCCTGAAGCTGGGCCGAGCGCGGTGGCTCAAGCCTGTAATCCCAGCACTTTGGAAGGCCGAGGTGGGCGGATCACGAGGTCAGGAGATCGAGACCATCCTGGCTAACATGGTGAAACCCCGTCTCTACTAAAAATACAAAAAATTAGCCGGGCATGGTGGCGGGCACCTGTAGTCCCAGCTTACTAGGGAGGCTGAAGCAGGAGAATGGCATGAACCCGGGAGGTGGAGCTTGCAGTGAGCTGAAATCGCGCCACTGCACTCCAGCCTGGGCAACAGAGCAAGACTCTGTCTCAAAAAGAAAAAAAATTCCCAAAGCTATAGAATATAAGTTATTATGCCAAATTAATAGTTGTCAAGATATCACAGATATCAGAGAGTTAACTGTGACATCAAAAGATATCACAGTTGAAGGGGGCTGGGAAGTCTTTTTGCCCTTGGGGACACAGAATATATTTTGGGTTTTCCTATTATGACCCATCACATGAGGTCAGATGTGGAATTTTCCATTTGTAGTGTCCTGTTGGCACTCAAAAAGTTGGGGTTAGGGATGCTCAACCTGTACTATGTTTGCCAAACTTTTTAATTTGCCAATGTGGTTTTGGTTTACAGTTTCATTTCTTTTCACTGCTCTTATAATTTTATGAAAATAGTTGTGGCCATTATATGGCCAATTAATGCCCCAAACTGGATAATTATAAAATTATGACAACCGTTATTAATTTCAAAGTTCTAGCCATGATGTTAATAACATTTTGCTTTATGTCTATGACTTTGAATGTAAAAATTTGTGTAAGTAGGAAAAAGTGCTTTTCTAACAGAAAATGACAAATCCTGCATAAATCTCAATGTTAACTTTGCCCTTTGTGTAGTCCTCACTGAGGGAAAACACATTACTCTCAAGATGAAATGAGTAACAAAGGACTGTCATTCGAAAACAGTAACCTTTTAAAATAAATCGCTTTAACTTTTTTTGTGGTAAAATATACATAAAAGTTACTACTTTAACTTTTTGATGTACACAATTCAGTGATATTAAGTATATTCATAATGTTGTGTAACCATCACTGCTATCTATTGCTAAAACTTTCTCATAATTTTTAACAGAAACTTACTTGGTACCCATTAAACAACAACTCTCCATTTTCCCAGCCCCAGCTCCTACTTAAGCTACCAGTAAACCTGAATACACACTCTTCTGAAAAAGAGGACTCCAAAAGCTTATAACAACTTGGCCCAAAAGCTACCACAGGATGCATACTAAAAAGGGAAATTTTTTACTGATCAAACAAGTCTGTCCCCCTGATAGCTATAACATCCTCAAGGGACAGGACACTACCTTATTCATCTTCTTGTCCCCAGTAACCAGGAAAATGGTGAGAGTAGCATTCAGTAAGTCTCCAAGTGGAAGAAAGAAAGAAAATGGTGAGAGTAGCATTCAGTAAGTCTCCAAGTGGAAGAAAGAAAGCAGGCTGGCTCTGACTGCAGGCTGCCTGAAGGAAATGCTCCCCCTGAGAAATGGTTCTGACATTTGAACCCCACTCCCCTAGGATTCTGGATCCTTGGCAGGAAGCACCACCAGAGGGGTGAGTTTAATCAGTCTGGTGAAGGCATGAAACCCTTCGCTCACAACACTGTTTTTTATTACCTTCCCTGAGAAATGGAAAGCCATTTTCCAGCCAACACCTAAAGTCAGGCCAATGCAAAGCCATGTCTGAATTGTGGAATATCTTCATCCACCGAGATCATTTTTTGGATGCTTTGAGAGATACAGCTGTTAACCATGCATGTAAAAAAGGACAGCAAATTCCCTTTACCTTAGGTGTGGGTTAAAGGGCGCAGTGACAAGAAAACAGAATGGGAGGGAAATGATACTGAAGAGATCAAAGTTTCAGAAAGATAAGTGAAACAATTTTATAGATATGCAATTCTTAATCATCTACGCTGACAGGAGACACAGATCTCAAACAAAATCAACAAATAACTTTCTAATTCAGCATACCCAAGGGTTTCAAGCTTTTTCTGAGCACACCTTTAAGAAGTCTGCCATCCTCCTGCTGCTTAAGGGCAAAGGAAAGCCAGCCTCCAGACTGGATAATTGAGAGTTAATTGCATAACAAGTGGTTGACTTAAAACATGCTAATATATATCTTAAAATGCTAATTAAGATTATGTGGATTGAGTAAAGCTTGGGGCTATCAATGTCAAGGCTATTAAAACAAACCCAAACAAACCAACCCAGGTTTCTCTATTTAAATGCTGTAATCTGGTTTTAGGATTACATCTAAAGGATGGACCTGGCTAGCATATAATTTTCCACAGGTCTAACTCATCTTCCACTACATCCTATGCTAAACTAAGAATTGCCCCTGCAAATAAGAGTCAAATCTAAGAATGCAAAGCATACAGATTTTGGCTAAGAGCTCTTAAAGAATGTTAAGGAATGTCTTTGACTCAGTGGGCAGTGGGATTGGTGAAAGAATTTAATATGCTTATTTTGTTTTGCTTAACTGCAGTGAGTGGGTAATTGCCTATTAAAAGTGCTAAGTAAATTTATGAGCCATGCTGGTATATTTTTAAACTGTAACCTTTTAAAACCAATAACATAAGGACATTAGGCTGTTCTATGTTTTATTTATAACTTGAATGCAGCCTATTATTCCTTTTTCCTACTTTTAAATCAAAAATATTTCAGCAAGAATAATTGGCTGAATGTGAATTAGAAATAGGAAAAAAGGAAGAAAAGAACTGAAATTCTGAAGTAAATCAATGCTTAAAGATGTCAAAGGATTGCACAATCTTTGGTATATAAAATAGATTAAAAATGGCCAACACTTCAAAATTAGTGACTGGTGGTTGAGGGAAACGGGCTAGAATTGGTAGAGTTCTATTCCTGAAGTTGGGTGACAGGTTCACATTTACTTTTTATTCCTGCTTCATAACTTTTGAACATTCCACATTTTTTTGGTATGTACCAATAATTGACCCCAAAAATTATTACCTAGAAATTTCACCCAAATGATTGATTGTTATATTAATCAAACTGACCTGCTAACCTGGCAAACTTTTTGTTTGTTGGTTTTTTGAGATGAAATCTTGCTCTGCCATCCAGGCTGGAGTGCAGTGGCGTGATCTCGGCTCACTGCAACCTCTGCCTCCTGGGTTCAAGCGATTCTCCTGCCTCAGCCTCCTGAGTAGCTGGGATTACAGGCATGAGCCAGCACGCCTGGCCCAGCTAACTTTGGACAAATCACCCAGAGGTTGTGAAACGATACCAATTATCTTTGTTTGGGCTGCCGTTAACAAATACCATAGACTGGGTGGCTTACAAACAACAGAAATTGGATTCCTATAGTTCTAGAGGTTGGATGCCTGAGATCAGACCTGGTGAAGGCCCTCTTCCAGAATACAGGTGACCATCTTCTCCATGAATCCTCACACGGCAGAAAGAGGGCAAGGGAGCTGTCTCTTAAGGGCATGATTCCCATTCATGAGGGCTCCACCCTCATGACCAAATTTCCTCCTGAAGGTGCCACTGTCAGGCCTCTGAGCCCAAGCTAAGCCATCATGTCCCCTGTGACCTGCACGTACACATCCAGATGGCTGGTTCCTGCCTTAACTGATGACATTCCACCACAAAAGAAGTGAAAATGGCCTGTTCCTGCCTTAACTATGACATTATCTTGTGAAATTCCTTCTCCTGGCTCATCCTGGCTCAAAAGCTCCCCTACTGAGCACCTTGTGACCCCCACTCCTGCCTGCCAGAGAACAACCCCCCTTTTTCCTTTACCTACCCAAATCCTATAAAACGGCCCCACCCCTATCTCCCTTCGCTGACTCTCTTTTCTGACTCAGCCCGCCTGCACCCAGGTGAAATAAACAGCCTTGTTGCTCACACAAAGCCTGTTTGGTGGTCTCTTCACACAGACGTGCATGAAAGCCACCTAACATCACATTGGGGGATAGGCGTAACCACATCAATGTGGGGGGACACATTCTGTCCACTGCAGCAACTCTGTCCTTGAAATGGGAAAGGGCAGAGGCCTTATGTTCAACCAAACCCAGTTTGTTTTTTTGTTTGTTTGGTTTTTGAGACAGAGTCTCACTCTATCACCCAGGCTGGAGTGCAGTGGCGTGATCTCAGCTCACTGCAGCCTCCGCCTTCTGGGTTCAAGCGATTCTCCTGCCTCAGTCTCCTGAGTAGCTGGGACTACAGGTGCATGCCATCATGCCTGGCTAATTTTTGTATTTTTAGCAGAGACGGGGTTTCACCATGTTGGCCAGGCTGGTCTGAAACTCCTGACCTCAGGTGATCTGTCTGCCTTGGGTCCTAAAGTGCTCGGATTATAGGTATGAGCCATTGCGCCCAGCCCAGAGCCAGTTTTGATTCTGACTCCACCTCTTTGCAGTTGTGTGTCCTTGGGCAAAGGACCCAAGCCTCTCTGTATGTGCCCTCAGGGGTGAAATGGGAGTAGGAATACCTATCCACTGTGTTTCATATACAGTGCTCAAATACTTGGTATTACTATTAACGTGTCAGAAGTTTAAAAGTGGGAAATGTTGGTCATTGCCTTCATCTTCAAGTCTAGGAACCATATTTTTAAGGGAGGATGATAGTGTTTAAAAAGGGCAAGTTTCTTGGGGCAGAGCATAGACCTTTTTGTCTCCCAATAGCCATCATTGTTCCTGGGGAGGTTTATGTGCTTCCCACTGAAACAATCAGAACCATGCCTCAATTTACTTTTTATTTTTTTAAATTAGGCAAGGTTTTGTTCTGTTGCCCAGGCTGGAGTGCAGTGGCATAATCGTGGCCCCCTACAGCCTTGGCCTCCTGGGCTCAAGTGATCCTCCCACCTCAGCTTCCTGAGTAGCTGGGACTACAGGCATGCGCCATCATGCTTGGCTAAATTTTTATTTTTTTACTTTTTTGTAGAGATGGCTCTTACTATGTTACTCAGACTAGTCTCAAACTTCTGAGCTTAAGTGATCCTCCTGCGGTTCTGGGATTACAGTTGTGAACAACCATGCCTGGCCTATTTTTTTTTAAGATTATAAGTGTATGACATCATGGGTTGGGCTGTGTTCCCCCAAATTCCTATGTTGAAGTCCTAACCCCTGGTACCTCAGAATGTGACTATATTTGGAGAAGAGGTCTTTTAAGAGGTAATTAAGTCAAAATGAGGTCGTGAGGGTTAGTTTTAATTAAATATGACTGGTGTCTCTATAAGAGGAGGAAATTGAGACATAGACCTGTACAGAGGAAGTCCATGTTAAGACACAGGAAGAAAATGGTCATCTACAGGTCAAGGAGATAGACCTCGGAGGAAACCTTCATATCTGACTTCTAGGCACCAGAAATGTGGGATATATGGTTCTGCTGTTTGAGTCACCCAGTCTGTGGTACTTTCTGTGGCAGCCCGGATAACCTAATATGTATGAAATGTGGGTAATTTGGTTACAAGGCTAACAGTTTTTATGAAAACCTTTGCTAAATGACTCCACAAATGTTTTCAGTATTTCTGGCCAAAGCTCAGATTACAATGTGTGAGAACTGGAAGTGAATGAACATTCTTATTTATAAGCACCCTATGAGTTGAGATTTAGGTACTTACCTTTTCTTGGTGTGTCCATTTGGTTTTTCATCAGGAGGCAGCTCAATAATGAGCTGGCAGGACTGAGCGTGGTCAAAGTTGTTTGGTGTCTTTGGTGAGCACTGGGTGTCCAGCATAAACACCTGTATGGGGGTGCAAAGGTACATTTCAGAACTCCAGTGTCCTCTGCTTGACCTGTCAGGGATCAGCTGGATGACCCTGGGCAAGTTGAGCCTCATCTATAAAATGAGGATAATGGTTTCCTATTTGATATGTTTGTTGAGAGAGTTAATTGATATGTGTGTATTACATATGCAAAGCATTAGAACAGAGGAGTAAATAATCAGGGTTAGCCGTTGACACTAATACCAGCAATGCTACTAGTTCTACCATGTGACAATTCATTATACCCCAAATAGCAGGTATTGACACTTAATATTAACTACAAGTAAATAAAGAGGGGCTTTGTAAAAGATTATCTCTGATTTTTGAGTCTTTGGTATCATATTCAACACAGGGATGAAAAAGGAGTTGGGACTTCTGTCAGGATTACTGATGGTTACTGATAGGGCCACAGTGTTCTACTAGGCATGGCAGATGTGACTAAGAAAATAGTGAGCACTTACTGGATCTCTGACCCAAATGATTTTCTTTTACATGACTTAAAATACTTTCACTACTTTCCTCTGGAAATATTAGAATATATATATTTTTTGAAACAGGGTCTCACTCTGTTGTCCAGGCTGGAGTGCAGTGGTATGATCATGGCTCACTGCAGCCTCAACGTCCCAGGCTCGAGTGATCCTCCCACCTTAAACCCTCGAGTAGCTGAGTAGCTGGGACCACAGGTGTGCACCACTATGCCCAGCTATTTTTAAAAATTTTTTCCTTTCTTTTTCAAGTTTTAAGTTTGGGGTCCATGTGCAGGATGTACAGGTTTCTTACATAGGTAAACATGTGTCATGGTGGCTTACTGCACAAGTCATCCCATCACCCAGGTATTAAGCCTAGCATGCATTAGCTGTTCTTGCTGATGCTCTCATGCTCTCCCTCCCCCGTTCCCCACAGGTGCCCAGTGTGTGTTGTTCTTTGCCATGTGTCCATGCATTCTCATCAATCAGCTCCCACTTATAAGTGAGAACATGCAGTGTTTGGTTTTCTGTCCCTGCGTTAGTTTGCTGAGGATAATGGCCTCCAACTCCATCCAGGTTCCTGCAAAGGACATGATCTCATTCCTTTTTATGACTGCATAGTATTCCGTGCACCACATTTTCTTTATCCAGTTTATCATTTATGGGCATTGGGGTTGATTCCATGTATTTGTTATTGTAAATAGTTCTGCAGTGAACATACATGTGCATGTATCTTTATAAGAGAATGATTTATATTCCTTTGGGTATATGCCCAGTAATGGGATTGCTGGGTCAAATGATATTTCTGCCTCTGGGTCTTTGAGGAATCACCACACTGTCTTCCACAATGGTTAAACTAATTTATACTCCCGCCAACAGTATAAAAGCGTTACTTTTTCTCTACGACCTCACCAGCACCTATTGTTTTTTGACTTTTTACTAATAGCCATTCTGAGTGAGATGGTATCTCATGGTGGTTTTGATTTGCATTTCTCTAATGCAGTGATGTTGAGCTTTTTTCATATGTTGGCCGCATGTATGTCTTCTTTTGAGAAGTGTCTGTTCAAGTCCTTTACCCACTTTTTAATGGAGTTGTTTTCTCCTTGTAAATTTAAGAGATGGAGTCTTATGGTATTGCCTAGGCTGGTCTTGCACTCCTGGGCTCAAGCAATCCTCCTGCCTTGGCTGCCCAAAGTGCTGGGATTACAGGCATGAGCCACCATGCCCGGCAAGACTAGAATACTTTAAAAATATTTTCTTTCAAAATCTTGTAAGAATTATCAGATTTTTGAATAATGAGTTATTTTAAGAGTGAATACATAAGGAAAATTTGGGATTGAGGAAGAAATAGAGAAGTATTAAGAAGTGAAAGATGGGCCAGGTGCAGTGGCTCATGCCTGTAATCCCAGCACTTTGGGAGGCTGAGGTGGGTGGATGACTTGAGGTCTGGAGTTTGAGACCAGCCTGGCCAACATGGCGAAACTCCGTCTCTGCTAAAAATGCAAAAATTAGCTGGGTGTGGTGGTGCACACCTGTAATCCCAGCTACTCAGGAGGCTGAGGCAGGAGAATCACTTGAACCTGGAGGTAGAGGTTGCTGTGAGCCGAGATCACACCCTGCACTCCAGCCTGGGTGATTGATAGAGCAAGTCTCAAAAAAGAAAAAACAAACAAACAACAACAACAACAAAAACAACAGAAAAACAGAAAAAGAAGTGAAAGATTCACTAAACAGCTCTTGCTGTTCTTCTCCATTGATGATCTATTTCAGAAGATCCCATTGACTTTTTCATATTTTTGTTGTATGATTGGACAGGGTTGCAGAGACCACTGTGTGCACACGTGCAAATGCTTTAGCCAGACGTAACAACTGCATATTTACAGAAGCTATCCCTTTGGAGGGCCACTTTCTTGGTTTCTCTGTTCTCACTTCTAGCTACACCATTGCTGCAGCAGCTCCAACTGCCATGCTGCTAGAAGTGGCTCTTCATTGCGGCCTTACAACCTTTCTTCTGTCCCAACTTCTTCAGACTGGCCACGGAGGCTTCAGTGGGATGTGCTCCCTTCCTTCAGAACCAGCAGAATCATGAAGTCCCAGATGTCAGGCATGTGTTCAGCAGAGATGTGAGAAACTGAAGGTAGAAGGTTCTTGTCCCACTACCTCAGGACAGCTGGGAAAAGCCCCAAAGAAGCCAGACCTGGCTAAGAAACTTCTCAACTGACTGAGTTCTTTACATGGGTAATCAGGGGATCCTAGATTATCAGTGTGCTAATAGAAAATTTTATTAAGAATTTAAACAGATCTGGTAGAGAAAAGGGGCCTTCCCTTTTGAGTATAACCTCCAACTCATTTCTTCAAATTTAACTCAAATGTGACAGTTCAATTACATTCATAAAACTTGTTTAATATTTTAAATACATACCATGCATACACATACATAGGCATATGCAAAATAGTTTCTTCATATGAAGACCCAATTCAGGCATGTCTGTTGCTATTACATGATGGAATATTTAGCCAGTCAATGGTTATTGGAAATTTATTCCATTTCCCTTTTTCACTACTGTGAACAGCATGGTTATGAATATATGTGAATTCGGGGATGGCATTTAGCAGGACTGCTGCTGAGAGTCACGTCCAGGGTTTCCTAGCGGCAGACTGCCATGTCACTTAAGAGCTTAGGGTATATCTGTAGCTCGTGATACTACTATATTCTTCTGATATTTCTGTGATTCAGTAACCTATTGATTCAACAAAGACATACTAAGCATCTTCTCTAGGCTTTGCTCTAAAAATACCAAGGTAAATATACAGAATGTGTTCTCTGCTCCTCAGGAGCTGACAACCAAATTTTGTGACTTCTTACACGTGTCTCAAGAAGGAAAAGCCATTGGTATATGATGATTCCTGCATGAGTGAATACACTTGAATTTTAATGTTACATTCAACTCAAATTTATTAAGCAACTTTTAAATGTTAAGTTCTGTGTTGTGAATGAAAGATATAAGAAAAAAGCCCAAATAAGTTTGCCATTGTTAGGCACTCATAGTCTAGCAGTAACAATAACAGTTAAGCAAATACTTACAGGTAGCTCAAGCAAGTTACCTATAAAGGACAGTGGCGAGGCTGCTGAAAGGGTTCTATTTGATCTGGGCACTGGAGGATGCAACAAATGAGATGATGGACAGGAGGTAATGCTGTTGATTGGGTTCATGTCATTTCTGGCAAAGAATGGTAGTGGCAAGAGTTGGGAGCTACAAGGTGTATGTCCCTCAGGGAATGAAAGGCAATTTGGTGATGCGAGACCTTCAAGGAAGGTCTCCCAACATGCACTTCGAGTTTCTAGAGCTCCTGAGATCAAAAGCCCCTGCCCTTACCTGCTGGGCCATGGCTCGGATGCGCCAGTACTCGGCCTCGGCACTTGGGGAGGAGGACGGGGCCGCCACTCGCACCTGGCAGCCTTCCCCGCTGAAGCTCTCCGTGCCGCTGTGGAAGCAGCCCAGCAGGTCCTGGGGAGAAACAGCAGATGCTCACTGAATGCATCCTGGTTCATGGGCCGGGCTCAGTCTTGGATCTGAGATCGTCACTGTGTCTGAGACAAAAGTACTGACCCAGCAACTTCTTTCTCACTCTCTGCAAGATCTAAAGTGAGACTGCCTGCTCAGAGGAGGCAGAACCCATGTGCCCAACATGGTAAGGGATCAGGAGCTAAAGATGGTTAGAACTGTGCCAGGGAGGGCTTCCTCCCAGTGATGTACCTTCACTGGCTTGAGTGTGGCAGAGAACGCATCTTGCAGGGCACAGCAGGCAAGCCTCCACATCTCCTCAGTGAACACAGGGCCCGCTGTCACAAGGACGTATCTGCCAAAAGAAACAAGTAAAGGAGTTTTTTTTTTGTTGTTGTTGTTGTTTGTTTTTTTCAGATGGAGTTTTGCTCTTGTTGCCCAGCCTGGAGTGCACTGGCATGATCTTGGCTCACTGCAACCTCCATCTCCCGGGTTCAAGCAATTCTCCTGCCTCAGCCTCCCGAGTAGCTGGGATTACAGGCATGCGCCTCCATGCCTGGCTAATTTTGTATTTTTAGTAGAGATGGGGTTTCTCCATGTTGGTCAGGCTGGCCTCGAACTCCCATCCTCAGGTGATCTACCCACCTCGGCCTCCCAACGTGCTGATATTATAGGTGTGGGACACCGCGCCCGGCCACAAAGGAGTCTTGAATTCCATTTTGTTGCCACAAAATTTAGGCCATATGGGCTCATGCACAGGTTTATTCTGCAGCTCCCTGCCAAGTCTCCTTGTCTCTCAACCATCCAGTATTCCATTGTCAAAATACTACTTCCTAAACCATTTTAATATAGAAATATCAACGGATCCCCTCTACAAATAGGCCAATCATTAAACGTAGACTTGTATGCAAGACTGCATATATTCTGTAGTGATTTTTGGATTCTAGTTCCATTTTCCATCACTCCTCTACAAGCAAAACCAAACCCCAAACTCTTATCTCAATGCTATTTTGTTCTTCTGCTTGGAAAGTCCCCACCTCCCCCATGCCTGTCCACCTTGGAGGATGTGACCAGTGTCACTGCTACAACGAGGTCCTTGCTTCACTGTCACCATTTTTCATGTGACCCGCCCTCCCATGTGCCTGGCTTATTTCACTTAGCATAATAACCTCCAGTTCCCTCTATGTTGTTGTAAATGACAGAATCCCTTTTTTTTTTTTTTTCTTTTTTTGAGACTGAATCTTGCTCTGTTGCCCAGGCTGGAGTGCAGTGGTGCCATCTCGTCTTACTGCAACCTCTGCCTCCCGGGTTCAAGCAATTCTCCTGCCTCAGCCTCCTGAGTAGCTGGGACTACAGGCGCCCGCCACCACACCCGGCTAATTTTTGTATTTTTAGTAGAGACAGGGTTTCATCATATTGGCCAGGCTAGTCTCGAACTCCTGACCTTGTGATCTGCCTGCCTCGGCCTCCCAAAGTGCTGAGAATCCCATTATTTTTTATGGCTGAATAGTACTCCATTTTGTGTATGTACCACATTTCCTTTATGCATTCATCTGTTGATGGACACTGATACAGTTTGGCTGTGTCCCTCCCCAAATCTCATCTTGAATTCCCATGTGTTGTGGGAGGGACCCCGTGAGAGGTAACTGAATCATCGGGCCGGGTCTTTCCCATGCTGTTATAGTGAATAAGTCTCATGAGATCTGATGGTTATAATGAGTTCTCCTTGAGCCAGTCGTATAGTTGCAGTCCAAGTCTGAAAGCCTGAGAACGGGGAGATGTAAGTACAGTCCAGGGGCAGGAGAAGATTGATGTTCCAGCTCAAACAGTCAGGCAGGCAAAGTACCCTCTTACTTGGCCTTTTTGTTCTATTCAGGTCTTCAACTGATTGGACGAGGCCCACCCACATTAGGGAGGGCCATCTGCTCTGCTATCTCCACCAATTCAAATGTTCTTCTCATCCAGAAACACCCCCAGAGACACACCCACAATAATGTTTGGCCAAATGTCTGGGTACCCTGTGGCCCTGAGCAAGCTCTCTCTTTGCCTGCCACCATCCATTAAGATGTGACTTGCTCCTCCTTGCCTTCCGCCATGATTGTGAGGCCTCCCCAGCCACGTGGAACTGTAAGTCCATTAAAGCTCTTTTTCTTCCCAGTCTTGGGTGTGTCTTTATCAGCAGCATGAAAATGGACTAATACTGATACTTATTAGGTTGCTTCCAAATTTTGACTATTGTGAACATGGGAGTACAGCTATCTCTTTGATATAATTATTTTCCTTCTTTGGAGTATATACCCAGCAATGGGATTGCTGATTGTATGATACCTCTATTTTTAGTTTGAAGAGCCTCCAAACTGTTCTCCATAGTGGTTGTACTAATTTACATTCCCACCAACAGTGTACGAGGGTTCCCTTTTCTCCACATCCTCTCCAGCATTTGTTATTACCTGTCTTTTGGATAAGCTATTTTAGGTGGGATGAGATGATATCTCATTGTACATTCAATTTGCGTTTCTCTTATGATCACTGATGCTGAGCACCTTTTCATATACCTGTTTGCCTTCTGTATGTCTTTGAGAAACTGAACCAGAATACTTTGTATAATGTCTTATACAATACACATTTGCTGACTGAACACTGAAATGAAGAATTATTAGCACAGTCATTTTTAATTACAAAAGTCTACTTACAGAAAGCAATCCAAAAAGTCGATTCCTACCACAAAGACAATTTAATTTCTTTAGATTTTTAAATAAAAACTCCAGCTTTGTGGAGAGTCAGGAAAGCATTTCCTCACCTAATACAGGAGCAGCCCACTCTGGAGATGGTTTCAGTGGGCTTGGCCACACAGGCGACCAGCAACTCAAAGAGGTCCTTCAGCATGGTATTGATCATGCTCTCGTACCTGATATCTATGGGAAACAGCAAAATCACAGTTTCACACAGCTCTAGTGTAAAGGGGTAGATTGAAATGGCCATCTATAGCAACAGAGGAAAGTCTGAATGATAAGCAAATATCTGGGAAAAAGAAATAGAACAATGAGAAAAATGGCCATATCCTCCTCCTGCCCCCCCCCGCCAAAACCCAGTAAAACAATAATTTTCTTGGATTTTTACCCAATTTCAGCATGTTTCATCCACTTCTACAGAAATAAAAATGAAATATGCAGTTCACTTTTATGTGTTGCAGTATCACAGTCTCACACTGTGCAAAGCAATGACCCAGCCAGGAACATGTGGCTACCCTTAGGGATATGGTTACCAGTTACCACCTACATGTGGAAAAACTCACTTGTTTTCTTTCACAATTGGTGTTCTTTTTTGGCAGGGTAAATTGTCCTTGCTAAACTTAATAGAGACACAGTTTCTTTTATTAGCTTTGTTAGTCTCCCCTGGGGTCAACATCCTCCTTAGTTTCTCTGTCCTCTCCAGCAAGGGAACCTCTTCCCTTACACCATGATATGCCAGTCCTTCGAGTTATAAGCTCTGTGGGTAGCAGCAATGTTTCTTCTGCTCCCGGACACCCACATCTTCACACATGTGGCTCCACTGGGACCACAGTGAACACATCCCCTGCCTCTAGGTCCCTCTCCATCTGCTGACTTCAGCATACTGTCCATCCCACACTTTCACAGCCTTTACAAAGTGCCATCAATATTAAGAAATTTCTCTTCATCCCTAGCCTGTTAAGCTACTTCTTGCCCACAATGGAAGCCTTTTCTAAAACCCTGCCTCCTCCATTTAGCCTCCCCAGATGAAGCAGGGTGACAGGCTATACCCGCTACCCCCCCACAGGCTACGGGGATATTGCTGCTTCTTCTTTTTTTCTTTTTTATATACTTGAATTCGCCTCCCTTCTCCTAATGCACAGGTACCCCAGACCTCTTATTAGGTATTTTATTTTCTACCACACATATATTTTGAGCATTCGGTTTGAAAATTTTGTAGAAGACACATGGGTATGAATTTTCTCTTTGAAAATCTATTAGAAGGCTGGCACTGACCATGTTGTTCTATTTTAATAATTCCCAGGACAAAAACCCTGCATTCGTATTTGCATTAGGTATTTACTACACCGTTTTAGCTGACGGTGCTGTCTACCAAAGAAATACCCAGAATGAACTGCTCTGGCACTTCAGATACCTGAATGTAGAAAGCTTTGAATGTGCTCCACCACCAGCTCACAGGACAGACCAATAGCGTGCTTGAAATTGGCAGAGGCCATATCCCAGTAGGAATGGTCTTTATGGCTCCGGCGGAGCCAAACGGACATCACAGGAAGGAGGAGGTGAACCACTGCATAGATACCAAACCCTGGTCCTGAAAAAGAAAAGTCAGCGTAGCAACAACCTGTAATAAAAGGGAAGCTCTTTGCCTCCACCTGGCATTGTTGATCTCTTTGGAAGGATCCCTACATTTGCTGAGAAAGTGCAGGGAAAAATAATTTACTGCTGATGGGGGAATATATGGTCTTCAGTGGCATTTTTCCTTTTTTTTTCTGCGGGGTTTTAGTTATGTGAGCAATATGTGAATATACTCCTAAAACATTCAAATATTGCTGGTAAAGCTAAAATATCACCTGCTCAACTCCTAGGACCTAAATGTAAACACACAAATACACATGTGTGTATAAGAAAATACCCTTTGAAATCATACATTTATGAAATCTAACTACATGGGGAAATATTTTATATAAAGGAGATAATGTAAACTTCGGTCTGCATACTCATTTTTTTTTTTTTTTAACTTAACAATAGTGTTTGTTAGAGCTGGCCACAGTAGTGTACACCTGTAATCTCACCTACTCTGCAGGCTGAGGCGTGAGGATTGCTTAATTAAGCCCAGTAGTTTAAGACTAGCTTGGGCGACATTGTGAAATCCCTTCTCAAAAAAAAAAAAAAAAATTAGCTGGGCATTGTGGAGTGCTGGTAGCCTCGGCAACTTGGGAGGCTGAGGTGGAAGGATCGCTTGAGCCCAGGAATTTGAGACTGCAGTGAGCTATGATCACACCACTTGCTCCAGCCTGGCAAGACCTCCATTTCGCAGAAAACCCCAAAAGTGTGAGATTATTCTTTGTCAGCAAATTTGCATATTCCTCATTTTTATTGCCACATACTATTTCTATTGTATTTACGTACAGCAGTTTACTTATCCATTTCCTTACTGATGAATATTTAAGGTGTTTCTAATTTTTTTGTTTTATAGACTATGCTATAATGAAAATCATTGTGCTTCTTTGTTCAACATTGTGGAAATGTTGATGAGTTTTTGAAGTTATGATTACAAAAGCAAAGCATCCATTTTATAATAAACATGGAAATTACATGAGAATACAAGAAAAAACTCATCTAGAGATAATCACATTTTGATGTATTTCCTTTTAGGACTTTTGGAATGCATGTGTGTTTGTATTTATAATTGCATAAAATTTCATATAGTTGAGATTGCACTCCATAGTATGTGCATTTTAACATAATGCTTTGTAAGTAATTATTCACGTCATTAAATATTATTCACAAATATTAATTTTAACGCCTGCAGAATATTTACATGCTTTTACCACAATTAACTGCTTCCCATTTAGGGTGTTCATAATTTTTGGTATTCAAGATGTTTCAGCAAACATCTTATATATACAATTTTGTCTTTATTATTGATAATTTCCTTAGATGACAGGCTCCTAGGAACAAAAGTGGATTAAATGCTCTTCACACACATTTAGTGGCAATCAATGTGAAAGCAGAAAATGGTACTGATGAGTAAAACAGATTTAGAAATAGTGGTTTGCAATTCTATAAAATACCTACTTATTCTTTGATGGAAGGCTTTTAACTTTTTAACGTGGCAGTATCTATGGTGTTTTTTAAAAAATAATATAAACTTTGCTATAGATTTTGAAACGGTATCAATTATCAAGTCTTCATTATAATGAGTACAGACCTCCTCTTAGTAAGAAAGTGGCTTCATTTAGGGTCTGATTGTTAGTAAAATACTTAAATTTCTATTAAAAAAGTTTCTTTGATCTTGAGAAATTGGCATGTATAAATGTATATACTAAAATTGATTAATTCACAACAAGAAATAAATTCCTAAAAGTCATTCTTTTCTCATACTCTCAGGGTCCTTGTACTAGGCAAGGACTATATGTCTTTTTCCAAATCTAATCACCTATGACCCTTACACAAACGGGGTGTTGCTGCCTTAATACCGCATATAGCTGAAAGTGGTTTATATTACTGGAAGACCCAGTAAGCCCAACCAACAGCCCAAGGGCCAAGAGCATGTGACTGTGAGATCCTGCCACAAAGGAAGGCTGTGACCATGGAAATAGCAAAGCCAAATGGTTCTTGGAGACGCTGATACCATAGCCTTGGTCTGATTAATGTGGAGCTCCTACACATCCAACTAACTGGCCACCACACGATACTTGTAACCAGACTTCTAGGAAGACATGTAAACAATACACAGGCCATACCTTAAGCATCACTACCATTCAACAAACATTTATTGAGCACCTCTTACGTGTGAGCTTTGTACTAAGTCTAGGAAACAGTGAAAACAGGCAGACACCTGCAGAAATACCCTCTTGAAAAGAGTTACATGTATAACCACTCCCCCAAAAGACGGACACAGAAATATTTACCTGGTGTTTTCGTCACATCTCTCAACAGCTCAAAGAGTAAATCCAGAGTTGGTGGTTGGTGCTGCCGTGGACAATTGGACACAGCCGCTGTCAGCTGCTCCAGCAGGATTATCCAGACTTCTATCAGACCTGGAAACCAAAAAGCAGACCTGTATGAAATCCAGTTAGACACAATGAATAATCATCTCAAGATCCAATTAAACATTGTATGTAAACTGCCAAGTGCTATACAGACGTGAGCCATCACCCAGTGTTGTTAGCCTTCAGTGGCCATAGACATGAACAGATGATGATTTATGTGGTCTGACAAAGTCAAGGGGAAAAATACTGCTCACATTTCCTTCTCCTTCCCCTTTAATAAAAAGGTGATAGGTTAAGGAAATTCTACCATCTTGAAATGGCTGTCAGGTTTCCTGGGAGCTGATGATACCAAATAAGCTATCCATCCAGTTCTATCACCTTCATCTATCTTTTTTTAAAAAATGATTTTATTGTGGTAAATATATAGAACAGAAAAAGCCATTTTAGCCATTTCTACGAGTACAATTCAGAGGTATTCATGACAACAATGTTGTGCGACTATCACTACTGTTTCCAAGATGTTTTCATCTCAAACAGAAACCCTGGAGCTATTAAACAGTTACTCTCCTTTCTTCCTCGCTCCAGTCCCTGGTACCTCTAATGTACTATAAATTATGATTGATTTTGGGTGTGATAGTGGTGTCATGTTTATGTTTGTTATCTTTAAAGAACACACACTGAAACATCTACAGATGAAATGCTATGTTGAGGATTTGCCTTAACCTATGGAGAAAGAGGAAGAGAGAGCAAAGATATACATGATCCAAGATTAGCCATAAATTGATAGTAGTTGAAGCTAGGTGATAAGTCTGTTATATTATTCTGTTTAGTTCTGTATATTCTACATATGTAT
This sequence comes from Homo sapiens, assembly GCF_000001405.40. Classification (NCBI taxonomy): domain Eukaryota; kingdom Metazoa; phylum Chordata; class Mammalia; order Primates; family Hominidae; genus Homo; species Homo sapiens. The sequence goes on along the minus strand of NC_000006.12, from coordinate 138,316,445 downwards.
ATCTGTATATGTATATATTTTGTATATTCAAAATATACAAGTTTTGTATATGTTTGAAATTTCTATAAGAGGAAAAATGTAATTATTTGCCTTTGAAAACCAGCGGAATAATATCTGATAATGTAATGTATCAATGTTGAGGATTAATTTTTTAAAACTAAAGCTATTACTGATTTTTGTTCTGATTTACTATGTCTACATAATGATAACTTTAAAGTCCTAGTTACATTGATTATGTAGAAAACTTAGATAGGTGCTGGATGGAACTGTATCCCTTAGAAGATGGGGTTCCTAGAAAAAAAAATCAAAGATTTGCACAAATGGGAAAGAGAATGCTCGACGTTACATACCCAACCGTTTACAACTGTTTAAAAGAATGTATTATAGATAAACAACATTAGCTTCTGCTTATAATTATCTGGGTTTGAGGTTTAAAATGCTAAGTAAAAATTGTTCTTATCTAATCATTAAACTGAAACCTCTATTAGATAATCTCTAGCCAACTTTCAATACTTTAATTGTTCTCTATATTAGATATTCTTTCCTGTAATTATTCCTCACAACTAATCTGAACTTGTGAGAATTTTTTTTTTTTTGAGATGCAGTCTCGCTTTGTCACCCAGTCTAGAGTGCAGTGGCGCAATCTCGGCTCACTGCAACCTCCACCTCCCGGGTTCAAGCGATTCTCTGCTTCAGCCTCCCAAGTAGCTGGGATTACAGGCGCCCCCCCACCACGCTTGACTAATTTTTGTATTTTTAGTAGATACTGGGTTTCACCATGTTGGCCAGGCTGGTCTTGAACTCCTGACCTCGTGATCCACCGGCCTCGGCCTCCCAAAGTGTTGGGATTAGAGGCATGAGCCACCGCGCCTGGCCTGAACTTGTGAGACTTTGTTGTTTATCATCTCCATCGAAAATTTTAAATCTCCTAGCCACCCCCACAAAATTTGTAACAGCAAAATAAAACAAAAAACCTTCCCCTCAAAAGTCCTTTTATAAAGGAGTTTGAAATAACCTATACCCAGAAGTTAGACCTATTTGAGGGTATGATATCCAATTCTAGATGTAGAACAGGACAGGGTCTTCTGAGACAGAAGACAGAAGGTGTGAGCATGAGTTAATCTATCTGAAAATGATCCACAGTTACTAGTTTGAACTCTGATTCACAGGAGATCACATGGGACCTAATTGGAAACAAATTCTTTAAAATCATTGTTTTGATGAGCCTTCAGCTTCAACAGTCACAAATAGAGTCTCTCTTTAGTAATGGCTTAATTTCCCCAGTCTCTAACCAAATAGTCCTGTAAGAAGTAATTATATAATGATTTGTTTTCTAAAAGATACTAAAAGACAATTATCAGCCAATTTAAGTACTTAGGCACCAATGGAACTTCATTCCAATTTGCTAAAGTCAAGAGAATTGAGAGTTAGAAACTACTTAAGTGGAATCTGCAAATTTGCAGTAGTTTTAGACAGAGGAATCCATTTTAAAAGGATGGGTATAGAGGCATCCATTGTAAAGTGATGTTTTTGGAAAGTCCATGGAAACTTTAAGCAGACTTATTGTGATAGAATTATAAAAAATAACTACAAAAATAGATGCTCATTCTTATGATCTATGCTACGGTTTGAATATTTCCCCCGAAGTTCACATGTTCATGGCAAGTGCAGTAAAAGATGATTCTGGAGTCTTACAATTTAATGTCTGCTCTGCTGTGTTTTTGGGCTCACCTGGGGCATGTTGCTCCTGTCTTGCCTATTTCTCCCCCTTTAGAACGTGAATGTCTATCCTATGCCTTCCTACCATTGTATTTTGGAAGCATGCAATTTGTTAATTTCACAGGCCCACAGCTGGAGAGGAATTTGCTTTGGAATGAATCATGCCTTTGGTCTCAACTGTACCTGATTTAGATGAGACTCTTGAGTTGGTGCTGAAACAAGTTAAGGCTTTGGGACTATTGGGATGGCATTAATGTATTCCGCATGTGAGAAGAACCTCAATTTTGGGGGCCAGAGTGGAATGCTATGGTTTGAATGTGTCCCCCAACATTCATGTGTTGGAAACTTTATCCATAATGCAACAGTGTTAACAGGTGGGACCTTTAAGAGGTGATTAGGTCATGAGGGCTCTGTACTCATGAATGGATTAATATTGTTATCATGAACGTGAGTTAGTATCTTGGGAGTGGGTTCCTGATCAAAGCATGACTTTGGTCCCCCTGCCTCTCCCCACCACCCTGAACTCCTTGAGTGCTCTCTTGCCCTTCCTCTTGGGATGATACAGCAAGAGGGCCCTCATCAGAGGCAAGCCCCTCAACTTTTGGCTTCTCAGCCTCCAGAACTGTAAGAAATAAATCTGCTATTTATCACTCTCAAGTATTCTCTTATAGCAGCACAAAATGGACTAAGACAATTCCCAGAAGCTTAAGGTACTTCATTTATGACTTAAGCTTCTGGGAATATGAACACAGCAAATAACCTAGTTTAGTCCAATCAATTAGCTTACCGGTGTCATCATCAAAATCAGACAGGACTGATTCAATTCCATCCTCACTGCTGGCTGACTGTTCCTGAAGTCTTCGAGGCAAGCCGGCAAGTCTCCCACTAAGGAATATTGGCTTCAAGGGCATTTTGTAGATTTTGGCCAATAACTAAATTAAAATAAAAAGACAAACTGCAATTATATGTTGGAAAAAGCTGCATTGTGGGTTTTAAAGAATAATGAAATTATACACTAGTACTAAAAGGAGATGGGAAACTAGACATTGAAAATTTGATTATTCGTGATTTGGATTTATAAGGGTAGCTTACAAGAGGCATCTATCCCATGAAGCAGATGAAATAGCATACAATGGCAACAAAAAAGTAGAGGGAAAAAGGATCCTATGGATAATTGTTCAGTATCTTAATTACATATGAGTTCTATAGACTTTTATAAACCTACCGAAGGAACCATGAAACATGTCCAGAATTTTTGCCTAAGCGAATAAGTGTTCTGTGGGGCTCACTGAGAAGACAGTCCACAGGCAAATGAGATACCAGACTCTGATTTCTCCTTCCCTTGACTCAACCTCTGAAGAAACACAGGGGCAAGAGCAGTTGGAGAAATGAAGGAGGCTGGGACCAGGAGGGAGAGAGGAAGGTCTCAGAAGCAGAGCCAGCAGAGTGGCCTGGGTTCTTTAGTCCCCTCTTGGGACTAGCGCCCAGGCACCCGTGAGCTCTCTGTTACTGGGACAGACTTCCAAAGATCCTTATGTCTTAATGAATTAATTAGAATCCTGCCATGCCCACATTGTTCAAGGAACCAGGGCTGTGAGCAAACAGACAAAATTCCTGTTCTGGTGGGTCTCACCAACTACAATCCTTTCTAAAATAATCAAATTCCAGACATAAATGCTACAGGAAAAACTAAACAGGTGGTACTAGAAATAGTGAAGGCTGGGCCTGGTGGGTTATGCCTGTCATCCTAGCACTTTGGGAGGCCGAGGCTGGCGGATCACTTGAGATCTGGAGTTCAAGACCAGCCTGGACAACATGGCGAAACCCCGTCTCTACTAAAAATACAAAAATTAGCTGGGTGTGGTGGCGCATGCCTGTAATCCCAGCTACTCGGGAGGCTGAAGCAGGAGAATCGCTTGAACCTGGGAGGCAGAGGTTGTAGTGAGCTGAGATCATGCCACTGCACACCAGCCTGGGCAACAGAGCAACTGTGCAAACAAACAAACAAACAAAAAAGTGGGGGATCTTGGCAGGAATTGGCAGATCCTTTAGCCCTGTGCTCTGAGGAGGTAACGTTTCAGATTAGATCTGGGAGATAAAGAGTGGCACCTAGAATCTGGGGAGAGAGTCCCAGCAGAGGAAGCAGAGATGGCCCTGCACAGCAGTGAGCAGGTGTATTTCCGGGAGGGCAGAAGCTCAGCGTAGCTATAGCACTGTGAGTAAGAGGGAAGGATGTGAGGGTGGAAAGGGAGCCGGGCAGGGGTCGCGTCATATGGGGCCTGGGGGAGGCAGCTGGATGGAGAAGCCAGGGCCGCATGTCCCTTTTAAAGCCATGGGCTCAATGCTATCACCCAGGAAGAGGTTGTACATAGATCCCCAAAGAGATCCAGGGACACCACCTGAGAAGACAGGTGAGAAAATATTGAGAGAGGGGTGTCACTGAAGCTTAGAGACAAACGGCCTCAGGGAGGGGGCATGGTGTCAGGCAGAGGATGGACCCAACGATGGTCACTGCTCACTTTGACAAGTGCTGTTTTATTCTCTTTACTAGATTAAAAAAAATTTTTTTTTGAGACAGAGTCTTGCTCTGTCACCCAGGCCGGAGTGCAATGGCATGATCTCAGTTCACTGCAACCTACACCTCCTGGGTTGAAGCAATTCTCCTGCCTCAGCCTCCCCAGTAGCTGAGATTACAGGCGCATGCCACCACGCCTAGCTAGTTTTTGTATTATTACTAGAGACGGGATTTTACCATGTTGTCCAGGCTGGTCTTGAACTCCTGACCTCAGGTAATCCACCCATCTCTGCTAGATGATCTTGACTGAGCATGTCTTTCTTTTATTAATGTCCCTCTTCACTGCTTGCACCCCTGTCCTCCACTTTTTGGTGCCCTCAGGAAGACTTCTCATGACCTAGTGACCCCTTCCCCTAAAACCTCATGCAAATATAGAGATTCCAGTAGTTCAGGCATCTGAGCGTGAGGGAAAAGTTTCAGAGACCTCAGCATCCAATTGTGGGTTCTAGTATGTTTTCATTATTTTCTTTCCTTCATGGAAAAAGGAGGGACAAAAATGTATACTCCACATCTGCGCCCCAATCTCCTCAGACGGCAAAGTGTCTCTCTCGGGCTTCAGCAAAAGACCCCCCACGCATGTTTTGGCAGCATGTTCCGAGGCAGGTTTCCAGGCCGGGAGCCCAGCTGGACCATTCCCCTACCTGAGAGCAGCGCCTGAGGTAATCCAGGGCCGGGAGGCACAGGTCTGTGGACGGGGCTCCGGGTGCTGGGGCACAGTCTCCAATCTCTTTACAGTCCACCTCCCCTAGGGGCGGCACGGGAGACAGAGACCAACAGTGTTACCCTTGCGTGCCCCCCTGTAACAGGAGACCTGTTTACTCACATAGCACTAGTACACCAAATATCTATTAAAAGAGAGTGGGAGAAAAGGAGAAAAATGACTCCAAATTGCACAACCCTGAGGAAAATCCTTTCAGCCATTCTCCCAGCTGCATGTGCACATGTTAAATACAGTTGGGACCATACCTTTCCTATCATTTTGTTGAGATTATATGGTTGGTAACTCACCCTTCCACTAAACAATCAACATTTCCTCTCTCTTCTACCACAGTACTTTCAGTGGCTGGATGGTGTTCCTTTGTACATGGGCACATGGTAAATGACATTTCTGGGACCTGCTGTTGGATGGAGTGACTTTTGATGACAAAGGACAATCCCAGAGACAAGTCCTGGATTGGGCTGGAATGAAGCGCTTCTCTCTCTCCATTTGGAAAAGGATTTCTTTCCCTGCCAGTGCGTGGCACTAAATGCTGATGATAAATGAGGTCTCTGGGAAGAGTCTAAACATCTGGGGTTTAGGGACAGAGACTACTTAATTGCATTTAAATGATTTTTCTATTTTTTGTACATATCTAGAGATTTAACATGTCTGTAGAGCGGTATCTAGGTTTTTCTGTAAGAGTGTAACTGAATTATTATAATTTTTCTTCTCGAATCTATTTCTATACATTTAATCAAATCATTTCATGTACTGTAATTGTTTCTAATTGTCTACAATTGTAAGAGCTAGAACCCTCCCATGTGAGTAAACAGACCTAATTACTAGGCATTAGTTAAAATTCAGAAGCAAAGAGGCATGTTTCTCCTTAAAAAAAACAAAAAACATTTCTTAGGTTTTCGAGCAAGGGTTAGCAAATGTTTTTGGCAAAGGGCCAGAGAGTAAATACTTCAGGCTTTGCAGGTCATACTGTCTTTATTGCAACCGCTCAACTCTGCCTGGTAGTATGGAAGCAGCCATCGACAAATGAACATGGCTATGTTTTAATAAAACTGTATTTATAAAAACTGTGGGCCATAGCTTGCCAAATCCTGGTTTAGATGAACACATTTTATAATATAAAAACACAGACCAGGTCAAATTCATGTTGAAATAAGCAGGTGGGAATTAACAATAAATTCATTTCCTATCCACGATTACAGCAGGCGTCCCAAAATTTAGACTGTGGCCGCTGTGTATTTGAACGCATCCAAGTCTATGTGAATGGCACTCCCTGGAGCCAGGCAGGACACAGGCACCATGACTATACAAGGGGCTCTGCCTTTTCCACTGATCCCAGGCCCCAAACAAATAATTCCACTTTAGAATTCACAGAAGAAAACACAGGCTGTTTTCAATGTCCTCTATGTGATGGTTTATTTTAGATGTCAACTTGGCTGGATTAGGGGAGACCCAGATCACTGATAGAGCATGATTTCTGGGTGTGTCTGTGAGGTTGGTTCTGGAAGAGGCTGGCATTTGAATCAGACTGAGTAAGGGAGCTCCACCCTCACCCAGTGTAGGCAGACACCATCTAATCAGCCAAGGCCCAGGAGAACAAAAGGCAGAGAAAAGGAGAATTCTCTGTGTCTCTGTCTCTGGAGCTGGGATATCCTTCTCTTGTCTTAGAACTACAGGTTCTCGAGCCTCTGGCTTTGGATTAAGAGTTACACCATCAGTGCCCCTCATTCTGAGGCCTTTGAACTTGAACTGAGCCATGTTATCGGCTTCCTTGGTTTTCCAGCTTGCAGATGGTCTATCGTGGGACTTCTCAGCCTCCATAATTGTAGGAATGTTCTAAGATTTCCAACCTTAGATTAGTCAATATTATATTAAATAATTGCCCTTATGCAGAAACCTATTCTCAGTGTCATATGATTAGCAGCTTGAGTTTGATTTCCCAACTTTTTAGCAAAAGTTAAGAATTCCTCCTACCCCAGGCTTAATTAATTATAAAATATATTTTCTAAGTATAGAAGTCCCCCTTCTTGAAAGCCTCGTGTATTTCAGAAACTACCCAGATGATTTTATACTTAATTTAGAAACACCTTAACAAAATATATTCTCACTATACAACATGACCTGCAATAGGAGATTTTTATATAGCACAGGTTTATGTAGGGTGAAATGAAAGGGAAGGACACTTAGTTAAACCAAAAGGTTTAGAAGAAACTTAAAATTTTGAGAGTTTCCATAGAGTGTGATTAGACCTGGAGCCCGAGAACCTTTTACAAAGGGAAAATACAAGGTTGATATTATTCTTTGACAATAAAGTTAGTATAAAATAATAAATAAATAGATTAAAAATATGCTATAAGATATTCCATGAATACAATGAAAAGTATCAACCTTACACAAAATTCAAGCTTCTTTCACAGTAAGTTTTTGCTTTTGAGTACACAACACCACCATCTGCTTGTACCCCAGGATGCGTGCTTGTTCCAGACAGTCAGTAGGCCCTGTCTCCAGCCACAGAGCCACCCTGGAAAGGGTCCTCAGCAGTTACAAGGCATGAGAGAAGGGTTCTGCTTACCCAGTCCTTTGACAAACTTCATAAGGCACATGATGTAGCTAGTGGCTGCATTAGCAAAGACCTGGATGTTGTCAGTATTGAGAAAAGCTTCAAATACATCAAACACTGGAGCTTGGCCTTTTCCTAAGGGAGGAAGATTATAGAATTGTAAGAAAGTAAGTTTCTGCCCTCGGGTTTGCCAGGGTTGCCCATATTCCCAGCACGTTCCACTGAGACAGATCTTGAGAAAGATCTACTGGGGAGATGCCTGGGTTTTTTATTGGGCCATTGGCTTGGCTCCAGCATGGTGCTCAGCTCTGCCGGCAGGGGAGCAGCTCGGCAGAGAGATGAGGGCTGAGCTGGCCGAGTGCAGAGCTGAGGCAATGTGCTGGTCTATAGAGCAGGGAACCATGTGGCCTCTGGAATGCTCCTGCACAGGTATTTGTAGATTATCTACAGGGCACAGCAGGGCAGGTTTAGATAGACCTTTGGTGGCATATATGAGTTTCTTTATATCTATGCAGAAAAAGAGCACAGAAGGCCTGAGACCACTTTTCTTTTAGAAAGCTTGCTTGCAAAATTGGCCTTTGGCGGGTGTCTGGGAACTCAGCTCTCAGAGTACTCCCAGGCCACAGTTAACTGATAAGAGTAGTTCACCGTGCCTAGACTGTTCATACAAACCATACGGTTTATGGTGAACACCTGCTTTCCTGTTGGGAGTCTGGGATTTTGGTAATGTGCTAGGCAAAGGGTATGTAAGTGGCCAGTCCCCAGCTAGATCTCTAATGGGCTTCAACAGGCAGAAACATTGCAAACATGTTGCTGTGTTTTCACTGCTGGGGGAAGAATGTCTTCTGTGTGATCCCTCCTGGGAGGGCGAGAGCACAGGGAAGCTGGTGCATAGATTCTTCCAGACTCTGTCTGTGTCATAACCTGTTGTGTCCTTCCTACGTTGCTAAAACTTAGTCACGAGCTGTGTAATAAATCTCAACATAACTATATGCTGGGTCCCATGAGTCTTTCTGGTGGGTTTCTGAGTTTAGGGGTGGTCTTGGGAACCTCTGAGACAACACCCCTGGGCCCTGGGCATGCTTTATGGGTACCCATCCATTTCCAGCAGACCGAATCTCCCTAATTCTGGTTACTCTGTGTTATGATACTTTTCTGCTTCTTACTAGCAAATGGATAACATTTTTCTTTTTGGCTTTAGACGTGAACTCAACACAGCAATGTGTAAGTGAAACAACAGAAGTCTCTCAGCCTTATTGTCCAATTGTCAGCAAGAACAGGGCCTGACAATGCTCAGGGCTCTCAGCCTGCTGGCAGAACTCAGGACTCATGTTCCTGCTACACCACATTCTTTCCTGCTGATAAAACATGGCTGACAATCTGTCTTCCCTATTGTTCAATTTTTTTTTTTTAATAGCATGAAACTTGGCACAGAGAATTAATGCTGAATAGCAAGAATCATCCAAACATTCTTACCCATGGAGTAGTCACCAACCAGGTACTCCTTCATCTCTGACTTGTTCCCGCCATGCACTGTTTCCAGGGCACTGAACAAGGGTCTCCATCCCGACTGGATCTGCGTGGAACACACTTCAACCAGCTCACCAATGGATGTGACAACCTGGTAGAGGCAAAGCAAGTGGCACTTAAAGCCCTCTCCTTAAAAGGAGCAGAATTTCTGGGAAGGGTGATGTATTTCTCTGTCCCCTATTTTGGAGTTAATTTTAGTGAAAAGGAAAAACCAGAATAGACAAACTCACTCAAAAATCTTCTGAATAATCAGCCGTATTGTATTAATTTGCATTTCACTAATGACTAATGCTGCAAAGCAACTTTTCACATCTTATTAGCCAAATATTTTGTTGTTTTTAAAAATTGGGTTCATGTCTTCTTGTTATTTTCTTTTTTTTTTTTTTTTTTAGAGTTCCTTATATATTCCCAAGATATAATTTGCAAATATTTTTCCACAGCTTTGGACTTTTTAAAAGTTTTACTTTTTAATGGTGTCTTTTCAAGATTAAAAGTTCTTAATTTTGGTGAAGTCCATTTCATCCATTTTTCTTTTAATGGATCACATCATGACCCATTTTGAATTTTTTTTTTAGCATGGTGAGAGGTAAAGGTGTAAGTTTATTTTTATCATATACATTCAAGCACAATTTGCTGAAAATATCCCCTCCCATGATTGAATTGCAATGGTATCTTCATCAAAAATCAATTGATTATAAACAGGATAATTTATTTCTATATTCTTCAGTTCCACTGAACTATAGGTCTGCCTTCAAACCAATACCACACTGTGTTTATTACTGGAATTTTGAAATCAGGTAGTGTAAATTTTCAAAATTTGTCCTTCTTTTTCAAGTTTGTTTTCTCTATTCTGTTCTTTGCAGTTTCATATAAATTTGAGAATCACTTTGATGATCTCTTCAAAAAGGTCTGCTTGGATTTTAATTGGAATTGCGCTGAATCTATACATCAATTTGGGGAGATTTGCTATTTTAAAAATATTGAGTCTTTCAATCCATGAATATGGCATATCTCATATTTATTTGAATCTTCTTTAATTTCTCTCAGCAATGTTTTGTAGCTTTTGTGTACAGGTCTTGAGCTTCTTTTGCTAAATTTACTCATAAATATTTTATCATATTTGATGTTATGAATGGAATTGTTCTTATTTATCTTTGGATAATTTATTTCTCATATATATAAATTCAGTTGATTTTAGTATGTTGATCTTGAATGCAGTGACCTTGCTCGACTAGAATTTTTTTGCAAATCCCATATAATGTTCTATATACAACCCTATGTTGTCTGTGAACTAAAACAGCTTTACTTTTCGTTTCAAACCTTGATGTCTTTAATTTCTTTATACAATGAGCAAAAGTTAATGTTGAGCAGAAATAGAGAAGACAGAAATCCTCATCTTATTACTGATTACAAGAGAAAAACACTGTCTTTCATCATTAAGTGTGATGTTAGATGTAGGATTCTCAAAGATGCCCCTTATCTCATGGAGGAAATCCCTCTAATTCCTCTTTTCTTAAAAGGTTTTGTCAAAAATGGGTGATGAATTTTGTTAAATGTTTTGTCTATATCTATTAAGATGATTGCGTGGTTTTAATCTTTTAGTCTACTAATTGTTAATTGATTTTGAGCTGTTAAACCACTCTTACATTGCTGGGATAAATTCCATATGCCACAATGTTTAATCTTCTTTATATGTTACTGGGTTTATTTGGCTTTTTTTTTTTTTTTTTTGAGACAGGGTCTCACTCTGTTGTCCAGGCTGGAATGTAGTGGCATGTGATCACGGCTCACTGCAGTCTCAACTTACTGGGTTCAAGGAATCTTCCCACCTCAGCCTCCTAAGCAGCTGGGACTACAGGCATGCATCACCACACCCAGCTATATGTATATATATACTTTTTTTTTGTAGAGATGGGGGTCTCACTGTGTTGCCTGGCATGGTCTCGAACTCCTAGACTCAAGCAAACCTTCTGCTGTGGCCTCCCAAAATTCTGGGATTACAGGTGTAAGCCACTGTGCCTGGCCAATAATTTTTAAAGGATTTTTTTTTTTTGTCTAATTTCATAAAGAATATTGGTCTATAGTTTTCCTTCTTGAGACTTTGGTATCACAGAAACGCAGGCCCCATAAAATGGGTTTGGAGGTGTTCCTTCCTGCTTTATTTTCTGGTAGAGCTTGAGTAGGGTTGATATTATTTCATCCTTAGTTTATAGATCCACCAGTGAAACCAACAGGGCTTGGGTTATTGTGGGAAGGTTTTTTTTTTTTTTAATTTATGAAACTTTGCTTTATTCAATTTGTTAAACAAGAACTGATTTAATTATTGCCCCCGCCATAACAGTCATGGAAAACATGTCACCTGTTTGAAAGAACAATACTATTAGTTGCAAAATTTAATTGTAAGGATCAAGCAGAGATTATTGGTCTAACCAATCCACATTGACAGCTTTGAAGTGTTCAGATGCTAGTTTTAAAATAAAGGTGACAAATACTAATCACATTCTCATATTACTGTTCAGGATCTACATAAGCTTGGTTCTGGAAATAGTTCAATACACAAAGGTATGAGAATAACACTGTAATCACCGGTGATCAAACCAAAGGTGTAATTTCACAAATCACTTATAGTAAGAATCAATTCTAACATTTTAAAAGTCTAAACCTACATAAAACTCAAAGCAATATATTTTTCTACTTGAGACCAAAATAAGTTTCCTTTTTCCTGTCTAAGCATAATTCTTTAAGATGAATCTGAATTCACGTGATATACCTTGTCAAACTTTTCCAAAGAATTTTAAGCGCTGCTTTAGAGACAAATTCTTACATTATGTATACATACATTTTTCTTTTACATATTTTTTCTTCAAAGACTAATGACAAGTTTATGAGGTTAATAGGCCTTTAATGTGCAAACATCACCACAATCTAATTTAAAAATAATTTTACTTACCCCCTCAAAAAACGCAGTACCCATTTGTAGTCATTGCCTACTCCACCACCCCACCCTCAGCCTGAGGCAACCACTAATGTACTTTTTGTCACTATAGATTTTCCTATTCTGACATTTCATATAAATGTAGTCATATAACATATGGTCTTTGGTGACTGGCTTTTCTCATTTAATGTAATGTTTTCAAGATTCATCCATGTCGTACATATATCAGTACTTCATTTTTATTGCAGAATAATATTTCATTCTGTGGACATAACCTAATTTAATGTATATATTCATTAGCTGTTGGAATCTGAGTTGTTTCTAACTTTCTGGCTATTATGAATAATGTTACTATGAACATTTGTGTACAGGATTTGTATAGATGTTTTCATTTCTCTCGGTTATATACCCCTTGAGGAACTGTCAGCCTGCAAAGCAGCCACACATTTTACCCTCTCACCAGTAGGGCATGAAGGTTCCAATGTCTCCACCTCCTCCCTCACCAACACTTGCTATTATCTTTTTTTTTTTTTTTTTTTTTTTTTTTTGAGACGGAGTCTCACTCTGTCTCCAGGCTGGGGCGCAATGGCACGATCTTGGCTCACTGCAACCTCTGCCTCCCAGATTCAAGTGATTCTCCTACCTCAGCTTCCCGAGTAGCTGGGACTACAGGTCTAGTCCTGGGTTCAAGTGATTCTCCTACCTCAGCTTCCCGAGTAGCTGGGACTACAGCGTGCGCCACCACACGCAGCTAATTTTTGTAATTTTAGTAGAGACAGGGTTTCACCATGTTAGCCAGGATGGTCTCCATCTCTTGACCTCGTGATCTGCCTGCCTTGGCCTCCCAAAGTGCTGGGATTACAGGAGTGAGCCACTGTGCCTGGCCGCTATTATCTATCTTTTTTATCCTAGTAGATGTGAAATAGTATCTCACGTGGTTTTGATTTACATATTCCTAATGACTAATGATGCTGACCATCCTTTCATTAGTGCATATTTAATGCCATTATTGACATGGTTCTATTTACATCTGGCATTTGCTATATGTTTTCTGCATATTTACATATCACATCCTTTTTGTTCCTCTGTTCCTCTTTTACTACCTTCTTTTATGTTAAACACATTTTTTTTGTGATCACTTTCATTCATGTTTATTTTTTAATCTTTTTGTGTTATTCTCTTGGTTGCTGCCCTAGGGATTATAACATGAATCTTCAATTGATCACATTTGTACCTCAAGTTAATACTGAGCTAATTCTGGCAAAATACAGCAACTTTGCTTCTATATAGCTCCATTTCCCATCCCTCCTTTCTGCTAATGTTATTTATATTACATCTTCATGTTTAATAAATCCAGCAATACAGTGTTAGAGTTATTGCTTTAAACGTTAGGTTTTTGAAATAAATTAGGAGAAAGGGAAAAATGCACACACTGTTTTATATTTTCCCACTTATGTACCATTTCTTCTTATGCAATAGATTTACCAGTCTGTGTTATTTCTTTCAGCTTAAAGGAATTTAGTATTTCTTGTAGAACAGGTCTACTGGCAAGATATTCTCCAAATTTGTGTTTATCTGAGAATGTTTTTATGTCATCTTCATTTTTGAAGAGTAATTTCTCTAGGATTATCCATTGACAGTTTTTCTTCCAGCACTTTAAATATGTCATTACATTGTCTTCTAGCCTTCATTCTTTCTGAAGAAGTCAGCATTAGTTAATCCTAGCATTAATCCTAGCATTAGTTCCTCTGTAGTAATGTAGTCTTTCTCTTGCAGCTTTTAAGGTTTTGTCATTGTCATCGAGCATTTTGACTATAACGTGTCTATTGTAGATATCTTTGTGTTGATCTTAATTGGGGTTCCACTATTTCTTTAAATATATTTTCCCATCTGTTTGTCTTTCTCTTTTCTACCTGGGACTCCCATTACAGGTATGTTGGTATGCTTGACATTGTTCTACAAATCTCTGAGGCTTTGTTTATTTTTGGTCAAACTTAGTTTTGTCTGATCTTCAGAATAGATAATCTCTATTAATCTATTTCCATGTTCACTGATCTTTCTTCTGCCATCTCTTTCTGGTAAGCCCGTATAGCTAATTTTTCATTTCAGTTATTGCCCTTCTCAACTCTAAAATTTACATTTTTATAGCTCCCATTTCTATATTTAGAGTCCTTATTTTTGAGTCATTGTCATATTTTCCCTTAATTTTTTCGAACATATTTAATAGCTACTTTGAAGGCTCTGGCTCCCAAATACATCTGGGCTTACTCTTAAGTCAGTTTCTAGTCACTGTTTTTTCCTCTGTGTTTCACTGTTTCCTGTTTCTTTGCATCACTCATATTTTTGAGAATTAGACATTTTAGATAATATATTGTAGCAGTGCTGGATTCTAATTTATTTTTGAGGGTTTTTTTCCCCCCAGACTAAGGTGCTTGGAATTCCACAGACTAAGTCTATGGAATCTGTCTCTTCCCATGGCGCTCATGTGTCTGCTCAGTTTTTGTTCTTCATTTTTATTTTTTAGCCTGACTCCCTAGTGTTCATCCTCATGTCTGCATAGCTTAGTAGTCAGCTGATCATGTGGGTGGAAACTATGCTCAAACACCTTGAGTCTTTAAGGTTCCTACCCTCTGGCAATCAATCTGTGTGAGAAGGTTGGCCAGAATATTCAAAGTTCAGCCAGTTTTTATCTCCCTTTTATTTTCTGATGAGATCTTTACAATCTCCCCTGTACATGCCCATGTTTCAGTCATCCAGGGATGTGTGAACAGACTATCTGGTCCCTCTATGAATCTCTGATATCCAGGATCTTATGTTAGATTTCTTGCTAGTACACTACTCACTACAAACTTTAGGCAAGCAAGATTGAGGATTCCCCTGTTCATTTCTCCATGAATTCATCACTTGTAATTGACAAGCCAATGGTCTTCTCCCCACTCTTCTCCATACCAAGTCTGTCCCTGATGGTAGAAAAGCTGATGATTGTCTCAGTCAGCCTCACGCTGGTCAAACTACTATTCTTGCCAATAGAGCTTGGGAGTAAAGGTGATGGCTTCAGTCTTTGTCAAGGAAGTCAGACTCCCACTATTCTTAACCAAAGTTCTAGCAAACACTGTTTTTAAGAATAAATGCTACTCAATTTGTTGTCTGCTTTTGGTCAATTTCCAGACCCCTCAGATGGTTGCTTTGGACAATTTTGTCCTGTCCTGTTTTATGCTTGATTTTTGCGGGGAAGGTTAACCTAACTTCTTCATGTTACCATAGCCAAAGCTGCTTCTGTCCTTAAGCTTCCTAAACACATTTAAGCACTGTTATTTTAAAATCTGTCTCTGATAACTCTGATATCTGGGTTCCTGTGTGTGTTTATTGTTTGTTTTTTAAACTTTTGTTTTCAATGACATGTTATTTCCTAATGAGCCTGGTTATTTTTTATTGAATGCAAACGTTGCACCTGCAAATCAAGAAATAATTTGAAGATTATTAATAGAATGATGTAATCTTCTGTCAGAAAGGCACTAGAAATCTCAGATTACCTTAATCTCATGTCAGGGATTGGGATTATTTGAAGTTGGGTTTATTTTCTCTTATGACTAATCTATTTAAGGTTCACCTTTCTTTCTAAGATGTCCCTTTTGCCTCAAGATCCTGACTCAAGATGCGAGGAAGTTACCAGACTTGGGAGGTCCCAGACTGCAATTTTGCTGAGCTTCCCCGTCTTTTATTATGTTGGTGCAAAAGTAATTGCGGTTTTTGCTGTGATGGCAAAAATCACAATTACTTTTACACCAACCCAATATCTTCCTTTTTTTAAATTAGTAGATTCTATTTTTAGGAAAAACAGCCTCAAATACCAGGAAGACTACTCTGGGTATTCTTTTTCTCCCAGATCTTGGCCTTGTAGTTCTTCACTGCCCTATAGTATGTCAGTGTCTTCGAGTGATTAAAATTTTTTTTATCCAACTTTTTTTAGTTGTTCCCTGTGAGAAAGTTGATCTGAATTACCTAGTTCACTCTTATTGGTATAAAGTCTTAGGTGTTAACCTATCTAGGTTAACTTATCTTAGATGTTAATGATCTAACGTTTAGGTGTTAACTTCTAGGTGTTAACTATCTAGGAGATAACTATAGGTGTTACCTAGGTGTTAACTTATCTTAAGTGTTAACAATCTAGTCTTTAGGTGTTAACTTATAATTTCAATCCTTTATTTCCTTAAACTTACTAGGCTTTGTGATTTAATATTTTGCATGGAAGATACCAATATTTCAATCCAATTCTTTATAGTTCTAGTTGTACTATCTGTTGTTTTATCAGTTCTCTCCGTTGCCTTGTTTTCTTGTGTGTTTTGTGACTTTTTTAAAAATACTGAGAGCTCACGTACCTTGAAACTTTATTTGTGGGATTCTTTTGTAGCCTGAGTTGACATGAGTTTCTCTCGGGGGAGTTTTGTTGCTTCTGTATGGTGCCTGTGTATTTTCTCAGATCCTGAGGTGGTGTAATTTCATATACAGATCACATAAAAGGGCTAGGTTGTAATAATAAATCCTGGAGTGCTCTTTTTAAAAAACTTTCCATTAAGAGCCAATGTTAGAAACAAGCTGATAGTATCCTCAGGAAGTTTGTTTTAATTCAACCTTGGCCTGATTGAACACCAGCTTTGTAAAGTTTGCGTTGAGATTTGTTTTCTGTTTCTGTGCACTCACGTCTGGGATGACCAGAACTTCTGCTCCACTTGCTAGCAAATTCCCTCGCGGGAAAACCAGCCTAAGGGCTCCGCTTACTTCTCTGGCTTCCCATTGGCACTCAGTTTTGGGGCTTCCTTACTTTCTTGCCAGTGTGTCAAGGTATTTAAAAGAAATGTTTAAACCTCTATTCAACGTTTTTGGTGGACTTCAGAGAGAGAGATCCTGTATTTCTAGCCCACCATCGTGTGAAATACGAAGTCTCCAGTTAGTTTCTTTACCTTGCCTTCAGTAGACAGTATGGCAGCAGTTAGGAATATAGGCCAGGTATAAAGAGATAGGCCAGCAGATTGCCTAGGTTCAAAGCCCAGCTCCACCAATCACTGATTATGTATCCTTAGTCAAATTGCTAAACTTTTCTGTTTTTTTTTTAATTGCCTAGTTTCAAATCCCAGCTCCACCAATCACTGATTATGTGTCTAGTCAAATTGCTTAACTTTTCTGTTTTTTTTTTTTTTTTTTTTTTTTTTACAGAGTCTCGCTCTGTCACTCAGGCTGGAGTGCAGTGGCGTGATTGATCTGGGCTCACTGCAACCTCTGCCTCCCTGGTTCAAGCGATTCTCCTGCCTTAGCCTCCTGAGTAGCTGGGGTTACAGGCGTGCAACACCACACCTGGCTAACTTTTGTATTTTTAGTAGAGACGGGGTTTCACCATGTTGGTCAGGCTGGCCTTGAACTCCTGACCTCGTGATCCGCCCACCTTGGCCTCCCAAAGTGCTGGGATTACAGGTGTGAGCCACCACGCCCAGCCCTGCTTAACTTCTCCGTTACAGATTCCACATAGGATTATTGGAAAGAGTAAGTGTGCGAAGCTCATAGAACCGTGCCTGCCACTGCACTCAGTAAGAGCCAGCTATGACGCTGATGACCATGTCACACTGACCTGGTCTTGGACGTCCTCATCACACAATTCCAGCTGCATAATGCGCTCGAAAGGTCGGAAGAGTGCTTCATTGAAGTGAAAATGAGGTGGCTCATTCCAGTCAGTGAGGACTTCTGTCAGTATGTCATGGATGAAGGAAACAGCCTTCTGAGACACATGTCTTTCCTTATGGCAAGCAGCCTGCAAAATTCACGAGAGAGTGGCTCACCATCAGGACAGCAGACAGTGAGAATGGTTTCTGAAGGCTTTCCTACCCCACCTCATTACAAGGAGGTGGAAGCAGCAATTCTGTTAAAATCAAAACATTCTAAGGGATAAGTCTAAACAAACTGCATACTAAATTGCATTTTTAACAATTCAACCAGCTTATCAGGTACAACCTCAATTTCATGTTAATGTTTCTAGAAAAAGGAAAGTTTCCGGTAATTTCTTTTTCTGTAACATGACAGTTTTCTTGAATGGTACAGAACATGCTCACTGTAAAGACACCAGAACCCAGTCTAGGAATGGCTCACAGTTTCATCTGAGCTGTGCCCCACATGTAGGAAGATCAGATGAGTCATTTGTCCCTCAGTGAGGTGAGGGACAAATTGCCACAGTAGCTCTAATTGGTTTACAGACCTCCTGGTATCCATGCTCTTGAGTAATCCTTTCCTGTACTGGCCCTGGGCTTGGATGTGTGAGTTGCTTTGGCCAGTGGAACACAAGCAAACATCATGTAAGAACAGAATTAAAAAGTACTTGTGATTTGGGGTTTGCCCTGTTGTTGCTCTTTGGAACCCTAAGAATGCCACGTGAACAAGCTGGGGCTGGTCTGCTGGAGTCTAGTCTACATGAGAGACCATGAAAAGAGAGACCTATTTGTCTAGCCTTCCCAGTTAAGGTCATCATGAACCATCTGGCCCCAGACTTTGCACCAGCTGACCATAGATACACAATTAAAGCCAGTGAGATCTGCCACCCCTGGCCAACACCAGAACTACCCAGAGAAGCCTACCTCAAATTTCTGACTCATGGAATCATGAGCTAAATAAATGGTTGTTGTTTTAAGCCACTAGATGTTGGGGAGGCCTTATTGTAGAGTAAAAGATAACTGATAGACTTTTTCCCCATGACTACATTGCTATTTTCTACCCATTTTGCTTACTAGAATGTTCTCAGGTTAGTAATTTAAGTTCCAAGAAATATTTTATGATTTATCTCTACCAGATAAAAGCAAAAGGGCTATTAAGAATAGTTATCACTGCAAAGCAGGGCAACAGTTTTCCCTGTCAACTTGGAAGTGGCCAGTCCTCATGTATTGAGATGCTTAGATGTAGAGCTGCCATAAAACTGATCACACGAACTGCTTTCCTTTGGAGAGTGAAAGGGTCTTAGTATTAATTTTGTTGGGAAAACCAAGACATAGGGTTCCCTGACTGAAAGGACACTGTCCTGAGTATATTTAGCTATTAGAAAACAGGGACTGGTAGGAACCAAAGACATTGTTATATTTATGTATAAAAATAAAGCTATTAGGAACCATCCACAGTCTTTCTGTTCCAGGCTCAGGTTGATACCAGATCATAAAAATGAAAACTAGCTGAGCTGTACAATTGCAAAGAAAGAGGGTCAGAGTGAGACTAGGGTAGTACTGCCCTTTGGGGTGATTCTTTAGATGCCATGAGGTATAACCAGAAAACAGTGATGTTTGTGACCAGGTGATAGGCAAGTTCCCACTGCCCAATGGCCACAGTGCTTTGCCCCCATACATGACTGCAGGCCCCCATGCTGGCTCTGCTGGTCACTGACTTAGCAGTTCCAGCCTCTTCCCACCTTCCCAGTGCTCACCTCCACCAGGTGTGGGGCCACAAGGCTCCAGCAGCGCATCACGTGGAGCAGGGGCCGTGCTTTGCTCCGCACAATCCTCAGCATGGCATTCCCCAGGCGGAACAGGTGGAGGGCGCTTTTTCGGTCTTGAGTGGATTTAACTTCTCCTACAGGAAGGCAAGAACATAAATGCCAGAAAGCCAAAACTCAGACATAGTCTGACCTATTCAAGCAAAGAGAGAGGTTGAAAATCTAGGTAGGACCAGTAGGGTAATTCGATATTGGCTAACCAAGGGAGGAGGGAGCCCTGGATTCAAGAAGGATGTGGTGGTTCACTTAGCAAGGCCTGCATCGTCCTCTCACTCACCACTGTAGCCCCGGTACCTGGGACGTGACAGGTATGATCAAAACTTGATGATAAGAGGGAATGAGGTAGCGGTTCAGTAGGAGGGCCGAGAAGTCCGACCGTCTGGATTCGAATCCTGGCACCATTTAGTAGTTGTGTTATACTGGGCCAAAGATTTTCCTCTTTAATGATCTCATCTGTAAACCTGGGGATAATACTGCCCACTCCTAAAATTGCTTTAAAGATTAAACGTGATAATACGCATAAAGTGCTCAGCATGGGCCCAGCACATAGTAACTGACCAACATTTTTAGCTATTATTATTACTCTTGTTACTGTCACCTTTCACTGTCATCATCTACTTTGCCAATCCTTAATAAACCTCTGCAGCCTTTGCCAAGCAGGCCTGGTCCCCCTGCTGCTCAGTAACATGCTGTCTGGCCTTCTCTGTCTTGTTTTAGTACCATCCTTGCCTACCCTGATCTTGGGCTACTTCTTTGCCAAGAGGGCGGGGCTCTCTTGGTGCCCTAATCTTGAACTAGGGTGAGAAACTATGGGGGGCGGGGTTTGCCACCTTCTTGGCAAAGAAGGTGACAACCTTCATCTTCCCCGCTCTCTCCCTGCTCATGTCCTATTGCCTCTCCTCTGCTTCCTACTGGGGATGTGACCCAAGTCTAAACACAAAATTCATTTCTGTTTCATATATACCTTTACACACAGCCTGAAGGCAATTTTTGTACCCCTTGGGGACCCTCAATAAACTGTGTTGCATGCCTGCATTTCCAGTGTGACCTATCACATGAGGTCAGGTGTGGAACTTTCCACTTGTGGCATCATGCCAGTGCTTAAAAAGTTTTGGATTTTGGATTTTTGGATTAGGGATACTCAACCTGTAATAATCATGGATGTTTACCCTGCATCAGACACTGTGTTGGTTCTGTAAGTCTTTAATAACTTTAATTTTTAAAGCAATTATATTTTCTTTCTTTCTTTTTTTTTTTTTGAGGGAGTCTCACTCTGTCGCCCAGGCTGGAGTGCAGTGGTGCAATCTCAGCTCACTGCAACCTCCACCTCCCGGGTTCAAGCAATTCTCCTGTCTCAGCCTCCCGAGTAGCTGGGGCTACAGGCACATGCCATGACACCCGGCTAATTTTTTTTTTTTTTTGCATTTTTAGTAGAGACAGGGTTTCACCATATTGGTCAGGCTTGTCTCGAACTCCTGACCTCAGGTGATCTGCCCGCCTCGGCCTCCTAAAGTGCTGGGATTATAGGCATGAGCTGCCACACCTGGCCTATATTTTCTTTTAAGAAGAAAATATAATTATTGCTATTTTACAGAGTAGAAAATTGAATGTCTGAAAGGTGATATGACTTGCCTCAGATGCTGTGGCTGGTGAGTGTTGGAGGCTGCATTTTATATTCCTACCTGATTGATTCCGAAGTAAGTCTCCCTCTTTCTAGATTTACCGACCCTTCCTGGCCCCTGCTCATTGTGTTCTTTGTAAGCTCAGAGTCTACTGTTTTCTCCAATGCGAAAGACTTTGAAGGTTACCCCCAGGCTCAGAGATTCTCTGAAAGTCTTATGGGCCTGGGAGGTTGGCTTTATATAGCTCAGGTTTTAAAGTCTATTAAAAACTAGTGGGGAAACAACTGTGGTTCTCAAATCTAAATCTGCAGCAAGGGTGAAAAAATCAAATATACTACACTTAGAACTTTAGATTCCTAAGGATAGAAGGGACCTCAGAGGTTATGCAGTCCAACATGTCACTAAGGTGCATCCCCAGCACATGGCTCCCGGTCTCTGCCTGAACTCATCTGGGACAAGGTGCTCACTGTTTCAGGACAACCACTTGTGCTCTTGATGAACAATTCCATCTATGAGCAACCTGCCAATGCTTTGGGACCCTTGGACAATTCAGAACAACTCTACTTTGTCTTCCACAAGACTGGCCTTCAAGAGGGCCTTATTTCTTCACCTGGCCTCATTGGAGACAACAGGGATACTGACCCATCATTAATGGGATATGCCTCTGAGATCAGTTTTGCAAGAGTGGTAGGCAGTTTCCTCTTTCACCACCCCTTTTGGAATTAGTGGTTGCTTCTGCATATCACAAACCACCTCTGTCCCACTGGCTGGACAGAGGTGTGTGGTGTGGTTTGTGATACGCAGAAAAGCTCCACCCTCATGTGAAGGAAGCTATCTGCACCCTAAGGAGCCACACAATTTCTACCACAAGCACAAAACTTAGCAGAACAACCTAGTCCAGCTCCAGTGGGAGTTCTTATAGATGTGGTAGCAGCAACGTTTCCATTCACAAAGAGTTACACCACCCCTCACACAGGATGCCTCAAAATCTGGAGACAAATCTATACTTGGGCTTAGCTTGTGTGAGTGTAAGCAATGGGAATGTGGAGTCAAATCTTCAGGCACGCTGCTGGTGATAGAGGCCTGGGCTGTTTCCTGCTAACTTCCTGGCATATGGTTTATTCAGGGAAAGAATTACCTGGCATTGCCAGAGAGTAATCAACTGTATCTGTAACAGAATGGAAAAGCTGAGACTGCGATGCTTTCTTCAGCTGGTAAAGAAAACCTCCCAAGGCCATGAGGTTCAACTTATCCGTAGCATCTTCAAAGAGCCTGGATGCAAACAGAAAGAGATGTGTTCTTTGGAAACAATTCAGCAAGGTCTTTATGGCAGAATGATTATGGTAATTTTGTTGATGTGATTAATGGAAATGCTGTGTAAACACTGTAGACAAATGTATGGTATTATTCTATCTATTCTAACTGTGTACAAGTCTGCTCTAACTGTGAGATTTTAATTCAAAGGCACAAAGAATATATTTAAAAATATCTTTGTGCCCTCATGGTCTAGCTCCGCTATGGTAGGCACTCATAAAATGCTTGGCAAGAAGCTGAAAGATGGCAAGGCGTTGTTCCCAGAAACTGAGTAACTGGGAATGGAATCTTCAGAATTAGCTTCAATTTCATAAATGATGTCAAAAAACCCCAGTAAATTAATGAATAAGGTTTTGTTTGTCTATAATTTATGAGTATAATGCTGGAAAAGATACAAAAACAGCTAAGAGTAGATCCTGTAAGCCCCCCTCCAGGGCGGGGACTGGCCTCATACACACCCAAAGGCCTGGATGTGATGGGAACTCAAGTATCTATTTGGAAGAAAGAATGTTCCCCAATATGATGGGTCTTACAGGTTCTTTTTCTTTCCCACTCAGCTGGGCACAGACCTTGCCAGCAGAAGGATTTAGGAAGGCGGGGAGCACAGTAGCAGAATTTAGGGGAGGATTTGAAGGTCACGGGAATGAAGAATGGTAAAGATCAAATATCTGTTTTATGAGGCCACAACGAGCAATGTGCCAGGTGAGCCTTCCATGGCTCTTGGGTCACCCTGCTATCTGCCCTCCAAGCCTAGTGACACCGCAGGGCAAACAGTGCTGTGGGGGCACCATGAGCTGCTTCAGGGAGAGGGTCTCTAATAGAAATGGAATCATGAGTCCTTCTTGAAAGAGGAAAATGAGACACGCAAGTTTTAAGATGGGAATTAGCGGATTAAACATTTATAAATTATTGAAACAAATATATTTTTCTTGCTATTTTGTAACTTCCAATTTTGATACCATTTGGTTTCTGGGTCCTATTGACCATTTCTCCTCCCTCCTTCCTAGTAAGAAAACAGTGATGAATATTATATTCCACCTGACACCTGTATATTACTTTCCAGATTCTAAAACATTTTCACAGCCAACTTGGATAAGCAGCAAAAAGCAATTATGGTAGTGGGT
Organism: Homo sapiens; assembly: GCF_000001405.40. Lineage (NCBI taxonomy): Eukaryota > Metazoa > Chordata > Mammalia > Primates > Hominidae > Homo > Homo sapiens. Next base: position 138,292,826 of record NC_000006.12, on the reverse strand, counting down.
TAGTAGTTGGAGAAATTGAGCCTCAGTGCAGCTATGTCTACAGACATGACCCGGCAGCTGGGGAGTGCAAAGTCAGGACAGGAACTCAGGTCAATCTGAGTCCTGGCCCAGGGAGTGCTCCTCCCACTCCTGTCCCCTTCCTGACGGTCCTCCCTGTGCCCGTGCCGGGGGTCTGGGACACAGTGACCAAACACTGAAGAGGTAAGTGAGGTGGAACTGTGTGTGATTGGTGACCAAAAGCACTTTCAACCTCAGGAAGTACCACCAAACAGTTGAGGCGATTGGTGATTTTCCCTCTTCACCCTCGCATGGTTGTTGGGCATCAATAAGTAACACATGCATGTGGGATTTTTGAAAACAGCCATAATCATAATAGAGGATTTTTACCATTTTCCAAGCTCCGCTCCAGGTGCATCAAGTTACTAATTAATTTACCCTCACAACTACACGGTGACAGAATTACTTTTAAAAAATGACCCTATTTTACCAATGGAGAAGCCAGGCAGGGCCCAGGGAGGTGAGGTTGCCTGAGATCCCAGAGTAAGCGCAGCGCTTTGACCCCAGGTGGCCTACCTCAGACCCTCCAGTGTTAGTAGAAAACGTTTCATTCCAAGTATGGATGTAATGGTAGAGAGAACTAAGCTTGAAAAAGATGGAAGAGATTTAAGTGATTGGCTAACAAATGGGTCGTCCCTGGCATGACTGAAACCAGATGGATGTGGGTGTCGCCTGGTAAGCAGGCTCCCGGGGCGTGGGAGGCCGGCGCCGCGCACCTGTCGGCTTGCGTGGAGAGGGTGAGCACCACCTTGGCCGCGCTGCTCCCGCTCATGAGGCTCCCGCCGCGGAAGTCGGAGGCCCGACCCCGGCTGCCTTCCCGGACGAGGTCCTGGATGGACAGGGGCTGGACGACAGGGGCCGTGCTCAGGGAGCGCCCCTGCTCCGGGCTGTGCTCGGGGGGCGAGCCCTCACACTCGGGGTCCCCAAGGAGGCCAGCGCTTCCAGTGGCCTTCTGGGGCTGGCTGATGGTCAGAGGGGGCTGCGAGGCACCATCGCTGAAGTGGTTGTGCTCCAGGGTGCCCACGTATTCACACACCCTAGAAAGAGCACAGACAAGCAGCTGTTAGGCGCTGCAGCTCACCCCGGCAGCTCCATAAACCCCACAGTGCCAGACAAAGGAAATGCAGCCAGCTCTGCAAGCTCCCCAGCTTTCCTCTTTCCTGTGATGACAGTCAGTCCTTCCCTCCTGTGTTCTCATGTCACACAGCATTATTATTAGTAGTATTTGAGTTGGACCAGACAGCCTTGAAATGGGTAAAGGATTATTTGGGTTCTCCCACCCCAGGCTGGGAGAAAGACGGGCAATGAAGCCCAGTTCATCCAGTCCCCCTGCCTCATCCGGCTTACTGGCTTATCTGCCCTCCTGCTGTTTGAGCCATTTTTCCCCAGGCACCCTCTTTCCCTCCATATAGTGCTCTGATTAGGAGTTGGGAAGCGTTTCCCTACGATGGGATCCCAGAATGGCTATACCTATGACGGAGAGGCCAACTAGCCACAGTGGGTTCTGCCCAGCCACGTCCTGCCTGGTCCCGACGGCGCCACATAACTCAAGTCTGGGTGGGGTGGGTGGCGGCCGGGTGGGAGGGCAGTCACCGAATTATGGCAGACACAGAGAAGGGTCACCACATGTGCTACAACTGCCAACTCCTAAATGGTTTGTTCCCAACAGAACCTGGGACGAAGATGGTTCGCAAGGTCCCTCATCTCGGAGTAAGTCTGTTTACTGGTAAAGAGCATCATGGATAATCCACTCTGATGTTCTAGAATCAAGGAATTTTTCAATCCCTTACCCGCTGCTTGTGTACCAGGAGAGCCTTTTTATTTTCTTTTTTCTTTTCTTTTCTTGTTAGAGCAATAAAGAGCAGCAGGTCAGCAGCCTTCATAATAGAACCATTTTGCTCAACAAACACTCATGGCTATATTTGCTTTGAAGACGTGAAACTGAACCCAGCTCTGGCTGGTGCCCTGGGCCATTGGCCATTGCCCTGGCCACTCTTGCCCCATGCCTGCTCTGCCTAGACCTGGGTTTGGAGTGAGTGTGAGGCATGTGCTGCAGAGAAGGAGAAGGAACAGTGTGGCCAGCCCCCGCCCTGTTCCATGGGCAGTGCTCCTTCCACGGTACTGGGTCTGTCCTGATGCAATGCTTGGGGAGACGTGCTTTCAGTCTTAGTTGTAAGAGGACTTGGACTCTGGAGCTATTGCTGGTTTTCATCTTACAGGCACTGTGCACTATATAACTCACTGGGAGTTTCTTTTCACTTTGATGCTACAATGCTTAGAGCTAAATTTTTGGCCTGTCTTTGGCAGAGGTGTACGATTTTTTGTTTTGTTTTGTTTTGTTTCAGTCTAGCTAAATTAAAAGTAGGTATCTTGTATTTTATGTATGCAAATAAGCTATCTGAAATCCTTCTTTAAGTAAAGAGGACATTGATAAACATATAGCAATGTAATATTGAGGAGACATGACCAGTTTTAGATTTGCACAGTATTCACTTAGTCATCTCAATCAATTATTTAATTGGTTTTTCTTCCTTCCTTCTCTCATAAAAATGTCAATAGAAAAGTCACAATTCCTCAGACCCAGTTCTGTCCCCTGTTCTTCAAAACATACATTCAGTTGGGCCCTTATTCCCTCTTCTCTTTTCACGTCTCATTTGAAGTTTAATCAAACTCTGTGAATTGTTATAATTGATTTACATGCTGGCAGGCTCTTAAGGCCACCCCTCTCCACCTGCCACAGCCCACTCCAGGTTTCCCAAGGCAGGGTTAGTGCCATCTGGGGGTGGGAGCCCGTCATGCACCTGAACACGTGTGGCCAGCAGTCCGGGTTGTGGCTTCCCATCTCCAGGCCTACGCTGAGGATGGCCTCCATGCACAAGACGTGGGCAGTGTGCAGCCACACCCCCTGCACCTTCCCAATCTGCTCCAGTTTCTGCTCCACTTTTAGTTTCACTGTGCCAGAAAGACATTTATTAAAATAACAGGTTGAGTAAGGGAGACAGAAAGAATGAAAATGAAAGAATGTGTGTCATGCAAGGGCAAAAGGGAAAGGACAGACTTCAGTGGCAGCAAGCACCTCCACAGTAGGTCCTTGCGGACCATCATGCAAACCACCCAGCCAGCAGGTCCCACGTGCTGGTGGCCCCAGCTCTCCAGCTCCAGAAGTGGGATGGATCCTGAGCTGGCAGGTGCCATTCCTTCCAGGCCCTTTCATGGGCTCTGGGTCAGGCACAGCAGTGTGGATGGGTTTCATGAGCCAATTCCAGCTAAAACCATCTGGGCCCAGACCTTTCACCCTTCCCAAAAATTGGTCAAATGGAAGAATTCCTGGCTTTCTGCAAGTTTTCTCTGAGATTATTGTAATGTTAGGCTCTCATTATGATCATCATCTCTAAAACAACTTATTTACGTATATTTTGAGCACCAGAATGACTGCTCTATCACTGAAAATGACCAATTTCATTTCATCCCTTGAGTTTGTATTTGTGAGCTCCAAATAATACTTTAAAAAATTGTAGCCTGGGTGTGGTGGCTCACATCTGTAATCCCAGCACATTGGGAGGCCAAGGCAGGTGGATCACCAGAGGTTGGGAGTTCGAGACCAGCCTGAACAACATGGAGAAACTCTGTCTCTACTGAAAATACAAAATTAGCCGGGCATGGTGGCACATGCCTGTAATCCCAGCTACTCAGGAGGCTGGGGCAGGAGAATAGCTTGAACCTGGGAGGCGGAGATTGCAGTAAGCCGAGATGGTGCCATTGCTCTCCAGCCTGGGCAACAAGAGTGAAACTCGGTCTCAAAAGAAAAAAAAAATTGTAGATGACTAATGAGAAAGAATGCAGAAGGTGACTTCAGATGTCAGTAATGCAAAATGCTAAGGCAAGGCCAAACCACAGTGTCCTCCTTGAACAAAGGTTTCAAGTCATTGCATGTGGTAGGATAACTAAGTGATGGTCCAGAACCCAGAAATATAGCAAGCCAACCTCAAAGGAATCCAAACCATCTCCTAATGTAAGGAGCAAAGTGATTTTTAGCAAAACATCATTTGTCTCATAAATGTGATACTAATTTTATTTATTTATTTGAGATGGTGTCTCACTCTGTTACCCAGGCTGGAGTGCAGTGGCTTCATCTTGGTTCACTGCAACCTCTCCCAGGTTCAAGCAATTGTCCTGCCTCAGCCTCTGAAGTAGCTGGGATTACAGGCACCCACCACCACGCCCAGCTAATTTTTGTATTTTTTAGTAGAGACGGGGTTTCTTTCACCATGTTGGCCAGGCTGGTCTCAAACTCCTGACCTCAAATGATCCGCCCACCTTAGCCTCCCAAAGTGCTGGGATTACAAGTGTAAGCCACTGCGCCTGGCTGTTTTATCTATTTTTTTGAGATAGGGTCTCACTCTGTCACCCAGGCTAGAGTGCAATGGAATGATTATTGCTCACTGCAGCCTGAACCTCCCCAGGCTCAGGTGATCCTCCCACCTCAGCCTCCCGAGTAGCTGGGACTACAGGCACATGCCACCATGCCTGGCTAATTTCTGTATTTTTAGTAGAGACAGGGTTTTGCTATGTTGCCCAGGCTGGTCTTGAACTCCTGGGCTCAAGTGATCCGCTTTCCTCGACCTCTCAAAGTACTGGGATTACAGGCGTAAGCCACTGTGCCCGGCCTTAATCTTATTTTTTATTTGTTTTTAATCTGAATATCGTGGTCTTGGTTTTGTGGTTTTTTTTTTAAAGAACTGTGAATGTAAGGATTTTTATGTAGTTCATGGTTGTAAAATACTTAAGTAAAATTGTGAGACTCCTTTTTCAGTTAACGCTGGGGATCTGTGAGAGCGATTTTGTTTTCAAATGGGTCTCTAAATTTTATTCAAGTCTGAGAAACACGGACCTAAATTGTGTTTCTCAGCTAAAAATGTACAGCTGACTCAGTGACTTGTTACTGTACATATCTGATAGTAGTTACACAATTTGGACCAAGCTGGCATTTTTCCTTTTGTTTGCTGCCTGCCTTGTATCTTCTGTTGCTACCAGGATGGTCATTCTTTTCCCTTAGATCCAGATAATCATCAGCTTCACCGACTCACTGATTTCATCAAGTTAAAAATCAGCCATTTCTCGAGTTCACAAAGCTCAGATTTTTCTCTGATAAGAGCCTCTTCTTCCTGAGCCTCCCCTCATGAATTTTCTTCGTCTGCTTAATTTCCCCTTTAGAAAACTGGCCAATCTGCCTTCCCCACTATAACCCGAAGGGTCTTCAAGTGTGCACTTGTGTGAAGTGCCAAAGCCAGTGACTAGATGACAGGTGTGAACAGTTCAGCCAGGTGGGTCCCCCTGGGCCTGCTGCACTTTCCTTGCCACCAGGGGTCAGTATGTCTCTCATTCTCCAGAGAGATCTTCTGTAGGTCACCTACATGGAAGAGACCCAAGCCTGTGGCTCAATGGGATCTCGTGATCAGTGGTGTATACATACCGGGCATCACACACAGAACAGGCACGAGTGTTGGCTGGCGTGTGTAGGCCTGTGCAGGTGTGTGCATACTGCACCCAAGGCACCAGGTGGGTTCTGGCCCTCCAGTTGTTACCTTGTGTGATGGCATCACTGGGTTCTTGGGCCTCCCTCTCTTCTTTTTCTTCTTGGACACAGGAGGCAGCTGCCATCTGGGCAAGGGCTGAGGCGCAGTTAGCAGCAACGCCTTCAGAGGAGACACACAATGACTTCTTGACTGAGTATATCCTCTAACCATTCACCTAGCAGAACCCCTTCTAAAGGGTCCCCCTGCCCCACCCTGCTGGGTCATTCCCAGTGAGTTCTGCAGGACCACGGCCAGGGAACACTACTCCCGCTGGTACCTAGAGCGCAGCTCAGCCGTGCGGCTTTCCGCAGCCCGTCGAGGCTCATGCAGATGGCGTCCCGCTCCTTCTGGTTCTGCTCTTTGATGCCTTCAGCTCCCAGAATGAAGGCCAGCCCTTTGGAGCTCCCCGCCATTCGACCAGTCAGTGGGGTTGATAAAGTATCGATCAAGTTCTTCCAGCAGCCCACCAGAATATAGCGAGCAAATGCCACGCCTGGAACATGGAGGGGTGTGTGTCATTTTCTAGAGACAAAAACAACCTGGCAATGAATGACATCACATTCTCTTGCTATCAAATGAGCAGTACTCAGTTGCATGCAATTCTACAACAGGAAATATAACAATGGATTATATGGGATTATGTTTCACTTTGTTCTTATAAATAATAAATGTTGCATTATCAGCTGAATGATGCTAAGTAACTTCCATCAATTACTTTTTCTTTTTCTTTTTTTTTTTTTTTTTGAGACGGAGTCTCGTTCTGTCACCCAGGCTGGAGTGCAGTGGCACAATCTCGGCTCACTGAAAGCTCCGCCTCCCGGGTTCATGCCATTCTCTTGCCTCAGCCTCCTGAGTAGCTGGGACTACAGGTGCCCACCACCACACCCGGCTAATTTTTTGTATTTTTAGTAGAGACGTGGTTTCACCGTGTTAGCCAGGATGGTCTGGATCTCCTGACCTCGTGATCTGCCCGCCTCGGCCTCCCAAAGTGCTGGGATTACAGGCGTGAGCCACCGGGCCCGGCCCAATTACTTTTTCTAACCAAGACAAAATCCTGATTCAAGTCACCACATAACAATGTAATTGCTGGTAACACATGCAGTGTATGGATGTTCATAAACTCAAGACCCAAGTCATTACCTGCCACTGTGGAGTCATCAATTCTCCTGCTCTGGGCGAAAGGAGACTCTGTAGCAGCCGAGGCCATCAGCTGGCCACCAATGGCACTGCTCTCTAAGCCGTCAATATCTGTCAAGGAAAAAGAAAGAAGTTTTCCCTAAATAAAACACTCCAGTCAAAAACAAGCAAATGGCCACCACAATATTCATTTTTAACAAATATCCCTTGTATCTTTTATGTTTCAAGCATGTAGCAACCTTTAATGAGACTATCATAAATTTTACTTTATTCCCTCAGTCTAGTTTTATTTCACTTTGGAGTATTTATTCTTCTGTTACATTGTTGCCTATCTTTATTTAAAAATAGATGTACATTATAAATTATTATTTCTCTGTTAGAAAATCTATTGATTTAGAATATTTTGATCTTAAATACTCTTTTTATTCAGAACCATGGATTATTCCCAAATTTTATATGTACAGGTTACCCAGATGTGAACTTTAGTTTCAGAGCTTCCTTACATGAATTAAGAGGAGAATAAGCCTCTTTGGTCAGATCATCACATAGTCAGATTGCAAAGTGCAATAAATAATACCTTATAATTTTTTTTTTTTTTTTTTGAGACGGGAGTCTCACTCTGTCGCCCAGGCTGGAGTGCAGTGGCGTGATCTCGGCTCACTGCTGCAAGTTCCGCCTCCTGGGTTCACGCCATTCTCCTGCCTCAGCCTCCCGAGTAGCTGGGACTACAGGTGCCCACCACCATGCCCGGCTAATTTTTTGTACAGGGGTTTCACCGTGTTAGCCAGGATGGTCTCGATCTCCTGACCTTGTGATCTGCCTGCCTCGGCCTCCCAAAGTGCTGGGATTACAGGCGTGAGCCACCGTGCCCTGCCAATAATACCTTATAATTTTCAAAGTGTTTTCACAAAACATTTTTTCACTTGATCATCGAAACAGCTAAAATTAGGTAAGTAGGTCAGTATTATTTTTATTTCACAGAGGAAGAGACAGAGTCCTGCACCACAAAATGATGTTTTGGTCAACCATGAACTGCATATAAGACATTGGTCCCATAAGATTATAATAGCATACTTTTATTGCACCTTTTCTATGTTTAGATACACAAATACTACTCTGTTATGACAGCTGCTTACAGTATTCAATACACACGGTGCAGGTATGTAGCCTTGGAGCAATAGGCTATACCATCTAGCCTAGGTGTGTAAGTACACTCTATGATGGTCACATAATGACAAAATTGCCTAACAATGCATTTCTCAGAACATGTTCCTGTCCTTGCTAAAGGATGCATGACCATGTTTAAAGTAGGTAAATGGTTCAAGGCCATGAGGCTGATGACAGAAATAATTAGTATTCATATCTTCTGACTCCCATCCAGGCCTCTCTATACCATTCCAGCTCTATACTGGATCCTCAGTTATCCTGTTTAAGTTTTTGTTGAAACAAATTCTTTTCTACAGAATTAGCTCAACAAACCACTCTTTAACGTTATGGCGAGGAAAGGACTGGAGTTGGGTTGAGAAGGCTAAGCTTTAGTCTTGGCTCTGAATTAAGCAGCCTTGTAGCCCTGAGTCAGGCTCGCCAAGGCCCCAAGTTCCTCAGTATAAAGGAAGTAATCACTGGAAAAGTGACTATGGAGTTGAAATATACATACTTGGATGCAACTAACATAGCTGAATGCAACACAGGGAGGGGATGAGAAAGGAGGGTAGTTGTGGGTTTTTTGTTTGTTTTTGTTTGTTTGTTTTTGAGACGGGGTCTCACTCTGTCACCCAGGCTGGGGTACAGTGGCACAATCTCAGCTCACTGCAACTTCCACCTCCCAGGTTCAAGCGATTCTCATACCTCAGCCTCCTGGATAGCTGGGATTACAGGTATGTGCCACCACACCTAGCTAATTTTTGTATTTTTAATAGAGACGGGGTTTCACCACGAAGGCCAAGCTGGCCTCTAACTCCTGACCTTAAGTGATCCTCCCGCCTCTGCCTTCCAAAGTGCTGGGGTTACAGGTGTGAGCCACTGCCTGTAATTATTAGTATTAATTCCGAGTTTAGGACTTCACCCTCACCCCAAGAGGATGAGACTTATTTGCATGGTGTTCCACTGTATCTTTGATTCTTACAGAAATTACAAAAAGCCTGGAGACTCCTCAGCAACTATCAGAACCAAAACAGGGACGAAATCTATATGGCTGCTAAGGTGGAAACAGACTGGTTTCTCTGAAATTAATTTGACGTCTGGTCAAATGGCCTAATGATATTTGCCAGAAATTTTCATTTATCAAAGTATAATGAATGTTTTCTATGTGCTAGGTAAAGGTCTGATGAATTCAAGTAATGCAAAGCTTATTTCTGTGCTAAAATTCCACAGTTCTATACAATACTCTGACATGACATCAGGAATGGCCACAGTTAGTACAGCGCTGATCATCAGATTGCTGGCACTGCTTCTCCTCATACATAATGAAAAGATCAAATAGAAGTCTCCAAACTCTAGGTTAACTGCTGCTCTGATTCACTTGTCACTTCATACCTGGAATTTAGAATCACAAAGAATCATAGATCCTTATTTTGTTGAATTCTTATGAAAAGCCCTTTTCTATCATTAAAGTTAAATAACTTTCCTATGGACATAGCAATTGAGCTTACTGTTCCATTAATAACAGCGATGGCTAATTAACAGTGATGACTGATGAATATGGGAACTGCGAATAGTCTGTTACTTATTCATTTTACATGTACTGAATGACTCCTTTTATTAAGGTCCGGGCAAGAGAGTCACAGAGATTACTTTTGGCAGAAACTATGGTCTTCTCAAATGAAAGCTGGAATGTTTAGGGTCCTCAACCAAATTCTCAGACTTATAAGCTCTGGGCAGTACCTGCCATCCCTACTGAAAGGAGTTTGTGAAAACAAACGGAAATCAAGCATTGCTTTAGGTAAACTAAATAAATGGCTCTCATACATTTGAATGATTACTTTTCTTTTCTTTTTTTTTTTTAAAAAGACAGAGTCTCGCTCTGTTGCTCAGGCTGAAGTGCAGTGACGCGATCTCAGCTCACTGCAACCTCTGTCTCCCAGGTTCAAGGGGTTCTTCCACCTTAGCCTCCCAAGTAGCTGGGACTACAAGTGCTGGTCAACATGCTCAGCTAATTTTTGTATTTTTTTTGTAGAGATGGGGTTTCACCATGTTGGCCAGGCTGGTCTTGAACTCCTGACCTCAAGTGATCCACCCGCCTCGGCCTCCCAAAGTCCTAGGATTATTGGCGTGAGCCACTGTGCTCGGCCTGAATGCTTATTTTTCAAATGGATGTAAATGTTATAATGATTAACAAAATACAAATTGATCACCTCTCCAGTGATCCTGATCCCCAAGTTTGAGACCCAATCTTACTTTCCCCAGTTCCATCCTAGTTCTTGAAGCAAGACTCCAAATGCCAATCAATGATGAGGACTCTGCCACCCATGGACAGACCTCACTGTATGTTCTGACCTTCTGCCTGATTCCTAAATAGTGCCTCGCCCCGAATTCTACATGGCTGGGTTCCACCTGCCAGTTTATTCTGACACCTTGTAAGAGCCCCCAGTGCCAACCATAGGCAACATAACATGCCCTTTGGACAACAGATTCTGTGCCCCAGTTGGACTGTCTTGCCCAGCCCTGTGCTGTTCCTGCTGGGCACAGAGCAATGCCGAGCTGTGTGAGGATACAGACACTCCAGAGAGGGCAGGGCCTTGCTCTGCACCTCCTTCTGCTGGAGCCAGGAGAGGATAACTGCAATCAGAAACCAGTCTGGGGAGGGTGGGTGCGGCGGCTCACGCCTGTAATCTCAGCACTTTGGGAGGCTGAGGCAGGCAGATCACCTGAGGTCAGGAGTTCAAGGCCAGCCTGGCCAACATGGTGAAACCCCATCTATACTCAAAATACAAAAATTAGCCGGGCATGGTGGTGGGCACCTGTAATTCCAGCTGCTCTGGAGGCTGAGGCAGAAGAATCGCTCGAACCTGGGAGGTGGAGGTTGCAGTGAGCTGAGATCACGCCACTGTACTCCAGCCTGGGGGACAGAGCTAGACTCTTAAGAAAACAACCAAACAAAAAAACCAACCAACCAACCAAACAAAAAACCCAGTCTGGGGACTCAGAGCCAATCCAGGGCAAGGCTGGAGCTCTAACTTACTAAGGCAAGCGATGACCAGACTAAACTTTTGCAGACTCCCCAATCTTTGGCATTATGGCCGAGCCACAATAAGCCATGAAAAGTGGCTTTTGCCAAAAAATACTGCACCACAACAATATGGCATACTGCTCTCTACACTCTCATGTGAAATTTCTAATAGTTAAATAGGATTTTAAAAGTTCTTGTGGTCCATATACACCACGGAACACTACACAACCATAAAAAAGAACAAAATCATGTCCTTTGTTGCAACATGGACATAGCTGAAGGCTATTATCCCAAACGAGTTAATGCAGGAACAGAAAACCAAATGCCATATGTTCTCACTTGTAAGCGGGAGCTAAACACTGGGTACTCATGGACGTCCAGACGGTAACAACAGATACTGGGGACTGCAAGGCAGGAGAGGGAGGGAAGGTAAAGGGTTGAAAACTGTTGGCTACTATACTCAGTACCCGGGTGATGGGATCAGTTGACCCCAAACCTCAGCATCATGCAATATGCCCAGGTAACAAACCTGCACATGTACCCCTTTAGTCTAAAGTAATAGTTGAAATTATATATAGAGAGAGAACTATCACATGAGACTCTGCAAAAGGCACCAACTTGTTCACAAGCCATTGCAACTCACAAGCCATTGCAACCTTACACAAAATAGTACTCCTGTGAGGACATCTGCCCAGCCCCTGCTTGCCTGTCTAACTTAAACTGGCACCGCCCTTGTTACTGATCCTTTACTCAAGGATCATTGTCTCAAAACAATGATGAAATCCTCCTCATTTTTCCTTTAAACACCTTTGTCATCCTTTACCTCCCTGTATACGCACATAGTTTACTATGGCGGGCATATTCCCATTGCAATGTCTATTCCTGAATAAATATTTTCTTAAAAAAGATAAAAGCTCTGGACACTGAAGACAAGGATGCTGGTAAGTATTTGGCATTATTATTAATTCTGGTACAGCTGGGAAGGGAAGGGAGGGCCTCTGATATGGATAAACGGAAGGAAACCAACTTTTTGTTTTGAGACAGGGTCTTGCTCCTGTTGCCCAGGCTGGAGTACAGTGGTGTAATCTCGGTTCACTGCAACCTCTGCCTCCCGGGTTCAAATGATTCTTCTGCCTTAGCCTCCCAAGTAGCTGGGATTACAGGCACCTGCCACCATGCCCAGCTAATTTTTGTATTTTTAGTAGAGACGGAGTTTTGCCATGTTGGCCAGGCTGGTCTCGAACTCCTGACCTCAGGTGATCCACCCACCTCAGCCTCCCAAAGTGCTAGGATTATAGGCATGAGCCACGGCACTTGGCCAGGAAGCCAACTTTAAAATCAGTCATTTTACATTTATTGGTAAACCCCAAGAACACTGAATGATATGGGCAACTATTAGCATGTGAGAACTTCCAGGAATAATCCTAGGCCTACACATCCTATAGATATGGCCTACGGTTTTACACCAACAGACAAAGGTGCTAAGTTAGTCCTCATCTAATGGGGCACAGTGAACCCTACAGACTCCCACATGGAAAAGGGACAGAAAACTCCTGTGAAGTGAACTCATGACACTTCCCTGGAACTGTCACCATTGCCAGGGAAGCTTTGTGGGTGCTGTTTCAAAGTCTGCTCCAAGCACCAACACTTCTCTGAAAGAGGCTTTAAAGCGTGAGCCGTCCCACCCTACCACGTGCCCCAAGGCCTTGCAACGAACCACTGACCGGTCAGCATTGTGATGAGGGGAAGGCTGTTATCTTCTGGGCTGCCCCAATAGCCAGCCTCTCCAAGCATGTTCCTGTCGAGCACCTGATGGTAGAGCTCCTCAATCCAGGCCTGAGAGAAGACCATCAGCACGCCGCTGGTCTGCACCTGCTTCATGAAGTCCTTCTACAGAGAGATCGCATGAGAAGGTGACCACATAACACCCTGCTCACTAACAGGCTCCTAAGTGCCTCTGCTGCCTCTTCACGTCACAGAGCCCTGAACTAAACCAAGGCTTGTGTATTGGGTAAGGGGGCGGCAAGTGGGGAGAAGTAGAGATGGAGGATTCCCAAATGTGCTGAGGTTTCCTTCACTGATGACACCTTTTGACAGATACCTTGCAGAAGGATTAGAGAGACTGCACTTTACATTCTTACTCTTGGATGTGTGGAAAGGTTTGCAATTGCACAGATGTCTTTAATAGCGTACGAGCTTCCTTTTCTAGGAGCCCCAACAGAAGCAGAGGTGGAACGTGCTCCTGCAGGAATGTGCACATCTCCAGAGACACTTCACTTATGCTCATGAAGCAATCACTTATCTTTGGGAATTTACAATTTATCAAGCAAGCAAATGATTATTGATTTCCTTCATGTAGATCCATGGATTTAGGCTCAGGAACTGATAATAGGGCACACCATGGAGTGGCTTGCTCCATCACAGGAGCTAACCACAGGACAACCAACACTCTCATTGTATCCCTTACAGGAAGTGCTTATGAGCAACAGCCAGTGAGCTTAGTTCTGGGTCAACAGTAGGTCTGGGAACATGTTGGAATACGGTGAAGAGTTTTTATAAGTGCACACCTTCAGCCAGGCCTGGTGGCTCATGCCTGTAATCCCAACGCTTTGGGAGGGCAAGGTGGGAGGATTGCTTGAGCCCAGGAGTTCAAGGCTGGCATGGGCAACATAGCGAGACCCTGTCTTTACAAAAAATAATTAAAAAATTAGCCAGGCTTGGTGGTGCACACCTGTAGTCCCAGCTACTTGGGAGTTGAGGTGGGAGGACTGCTTGAGCCCAGGAGTTTGAGGTTGCAGTGAGCCATGCCATGCTCACACCACTGCACTCTAGCCTGGACAACAAAGCGGGGCTCTGTCTCAAAAAAAAGAAAAACACAACTCATTTTCAGCAAATTTCTTGCACATCTTCTGATCTCCCTTAACACGTCAATGATGTGGTTTTGAACAGGTTTTATACACATGTTTAATAATGACATGAGATGAAACTACTGGGTTATCCCTGGGCAGCCATTTCCAGAGCCTCACGTCCATACACTCTTCACTGGAGCCCAGTGGGCAGCTCTGTGCTCACGGTGCTGGGCAACTGTATATCTGTGCCCTTATATATATGTCATCTCCTTCCATCCCCCAAAGTCCCACTGGCATTACCAACCTAGAGCAGTCTGGAACAAAACACGCTGTGCCATCCCACTCAGGGCACTGAGGCTAGGCTGTACACCAGGAAGTTACAGCCTGCCCTCTGCCAGTCCAATGAGGGACGGCACACTCACCATCACGCCTGGCGCCAGGGTCGGCCGCTTCCTGTAGTAGTCACCGTGGGAGAGCTTCAGGTTGAGGAGCAGGGCGCAGTGTGCAGCTGTGTAGAGGCTGTCTGCGTTCATCAGCATCTGGAAGCTGAGGCTGCTATTCCCGTCAAAGCCAGGAGAGTGCATCATGCCTAAGGGAGACAATGAAGGGACTTTTGGGGGTGTGAACAGTGTGCTTGGCAAGGCTGGCTTCCAGAGAGCTGCGAACCCATCGTGAGAGATACTGCATCAATAGGATATTTCTGTATAGCACTGACAGCTAGCCAGGAATATCCTTAGGGCCAGATACACACCCCAGCCTGGTGGCAAAGAGCATGCGCTCAGGAGTGGATCTGCCTGGGCCTGGATCCTGATCTCTTACTTAGCAGCTAGAACTTTGATAAACTCATGTAAACCCTGTAAGTCTCACCTTCTTTTCCTATAATAAGAAGAATTGACTGCATTCTATCCCTAGCTTGAGCCCTCCGGTGGCTCCCTATCACAATGTAATAAAACTCCAACCTCACCCTCCTCTCTCCCTCTCATTCCCCGCAGCCACCCTGACTGCCTGCTGTCCCTCAGCCACACCAGGCCTGGACCTGCCGCAGGGCCTTTGCATTTGTTTTTGTCACTCCTAGAATGATCTCAGGATCTCTGGATGCTGCGCTCCCTCAATTCTGCCAAGTCTCTGCTCAAGTGACAGAGAGACCTTCCCTTTTAATTCCATTATTAAATAGCAAATCCACTCCTGCCCCTCACCAATATGCCGCTTACCCGGCTTTTAAAAAATGGCCTCGATGGCATTTATTCTACCCAGTTTTATATTAACATATACTTGTTTATCATCTGCCATCACCACTATAAAATCAATGAGAGGGTGACATTTCATTCATTTTGTTCACTACAGAATCCCCAATGCCTAGAACAGCATTTGGTACATAGTAGACCCTTAAAAACATTTGCCGAATGAGTAAGAATTAATGGATATGATTGCATGGGAATTAGATGCAATAATGCATGTAAGATGTTTAGAAAAGTTATTAATACAACTTTTCAAAAGGAATAATGTTTCTCGAAAAGCTAAACATAGAATCACTATATGACCCAGCAATTCTACTCCGATATAACCAGAAGGACTGAAAGCAGGGATTTGAACAGACGTTTGTACATCAGTGTTCACTGCAGCATTACTCACAACAGCCAAAAGGTGGAAACAACTGAAGCGCCCATCAACAGATGAATGGATAAGCAAATTGTGGTATGTATATAAAATGGGTATTACTCAGCCATGAAAAGGAATGGCGTTCTGATATATGCCACAACATAGAGGCGCCTTGAAAACATTATGCTAAGTGTCAGGCACAAAATAACAAATATATATGATGCACTCTATGAAGCACCTAGAATAAATTAGAAGAAATAGAAAATAGATTGGAGGTTACCAGGGACCAGGGACCAGGGGCAGAGTACCTTCTATTTGGAATGTTAAAAAAGTTCTGGAAATGCTTGCACAACACTGTGAATACAATTAGTACCACTGAATTGTATACTTAAAATTTATTAAAATAGCAAATTTTGTTACATCTATTTTTACCATGATGAAAACAAATAATAATGTAATACATCAAAACACGTTAGGCCAGGTGCAGTGGCTCACACCTGTAATCCCAGCACTTTTGGAGGCCAAGGCAGGCAGATCACTTGAGTCTAAGAGTTCCAGACCATCCTGCCCAAGAGGGTGAAACCCCATCTCTACTAAAAATACAAAAATTAGCCCGGCATGGTGGCGCATGCCTGTAGTCCCAGCCATTTGGTAGGCTGAGGAATGAGAATTGCTGGAACCCGGGAGGCGGAGGCTGTAGTTAGCTGAGATCACACCACTACATTCCAGCCTGGGCAACAGAAAGATACTCTGCCTCAAAAAACAAAAAAACGAAAAACAAAAAGCACGTTAAATTGTGCACTTTAAGCAGGTAAACTGTGTGGTATGTGAGTTATCTCACAATCAAACTGTTAAAAAAATAAATGAGGAAATAAAGAGTTTCAAAAAAAAAACCATTAAATAATAGCTATTGACTTTCTCCCCACTATCTTTTCTTTTAAAAGACATTTTATACTTACTAAAGTTTTCATTTTGAAGATCCCTTTGAGCTTTATATAAATTAACTGAAAAAACAAACAACTATATCTCATGCTCTGAAGATGGGTTCATTCAGTCAGAGTTGTTGGTATCATGGCTCAAACTTTCACAGGGAGCTTGGGGTGAAAACATTACTGAAGTCAGCTTCTCTGCATCTATTAGTATGCTGGTCCTAAGGCCATCTGCAGACAGGCATTTCCAGGCCTTCAGGGTTCCTGACTATCTGGAGCCTGGTGGTCAGCTCGCAGCTTTGCAGCCCACAGACAACTGCACATCTGTGTCCTTACACTGTCATCTCCTCTTACCCTCCAAAGCCCCACAGGCAATACCAGCCAAGTGTGGAACAAAACACACCGAGCCACTCCTCTCAGAGCACCTTGAGAGATTTTCAATGAATGCGCCATTTGTTCCTGCAAATACTTGGAGGCTGAAATCTAGGGATGTGTGGGAAACAGTTCATCTCTACATTTGTGCATGCAAATTACACATGTCCATACACTCTGCAAATCATGTGTAAAATTATTCTTTAATAAAAAATATGGCTCATATGAAATGTAAGCGTTTTCTAGAATTAACAGTCAAAGAAATGAGAGATACAAATTTACAGCTAGAATGTTTATTCAGTGATGTTGTCCCTATGAAAATGAGAGATACAAATTTACAGCTAGAATGTTTATCCAGTGATGTTGTCCCTGTGAATTTTTTTTTTTTTTTTTCCTGAGTCAGAGTCTTGTTCTGTCACCCAGGCTGGAGTGCAGTGGTGCGATCTTGGCTCACAGCAACCTCTGCCTCCCGGGTTCAAGCAATTCTCCTGCCTCAGCCTCCCAAGTAGCTGGGATCACAGGCATGCACCACCACATGCAGCTAATTTTTGTATTTTTAGTAAAGACAGGGTTTCACCATGTTGGCCAGGCTGGTCTCGAAGACCTCGTGACCCACCTGCCTCAGCCTCCCAAAGTGCTGGGATTACAGGTGTGAGCCACCATGCCCGGCCATCCCTATGAATTTTAATAAATAGGTAAGTAAGAAGATGTGGACCAGAGAAAGCTTTCAAAGTGGAAAATAATTCAAGATCTCTGCCATATTTGAGGGCAGTATAAACATTTTTTTGGTGGGACTAAGCATATATATTATTCCCACAAAACCACCTTATATTATTCCCACAAAACCACCTCAGACAATCAAAGAGTGGGCATTACCTCTGCCTTATGAAACAAGGCAGGGGAAATAAAAAACTGCAGAAATTTTGATGTTGCCTCAAGACGTTTTCTACCAAGAGCACTTTGTGATCATGGGCTGAGGTGCATTTTATTATTATTTTTTAAAATTTATTTTATTTATTTATTATTTTTTTTGAGATGGAGTCTTGCTCTTGTTGTCCAGGCTGGAGTGCAATGGCACAATCTCAGCTCACTGCAACCTCTGCCTCCCGGGTTCAAGCAATTCTCCTGCCTCAGCCTCCCGAGTAGCTGGGATTACAGGCATGTGCCACCGCACCCAGCTAATTTTGTATTTTTAGTAGAGACGGGGTTTCTCCGTGTTGGTCAGGTTGGTCTAGAATTCCCGACCTCAGGTGATCTGCCCGCCTCAGCCTCCCAAAGTGCTGGGATCACAGGTGTGAGCCACCATGCCTGGCAAGGCTGAGGTGCATTTTTTTTTTTTTTTTTGAGACGGAGTTTCGCTTTTGTTGCCCAGGCTGGAGTGCAGTGGCGCGATCTTGGCTCACCGCAACCTCTGCCTCCCAGGTTCAAGCAATTCTCCTGCCTCAGCCTCCCGAGTAGCTGGGATTACAGGCATGCACCACCATGCCTGGCTAATTTTGTATTTTTAGTAGAGATGGGGTTTCTCCATGTTGAGTCTGGTCTCGAACTCCTGACCTCAGGGGATCCACCCGCCTTGGCCTCCCAAATGTTGGGATTACAGGTGTGAGCCACCACGCCTTGCTAGGCTGAGGTGCATTTTAAAAGGAAGATCAGACTGCAAGTGAGATCTGAAAACTACATCCTTGGTTAGAACATGAGCAGTGTATCTCAGCCCTGATGGTCCATGGGAACCCCTGGCACTCTCAAGGTGCTAGTGGGGCTGATTCCAGTTATCTGGAGGAGACATAGGGCACAAGACCAGTCTCCTTCCATGGTAAAACAGAAAGTAGCATTCAGGATTGGGTGTTTAACTACCCTGGATCATAGATGAAAGGTACAATTGAGTCTATCAACAAGAAAAAAAAATGAATCTGTAAATGGCTTTCATTTTAGACATCAGTAATAATTCCTTTCAAAATGTTGAAACCAACTACTAATTACCTTGGGATGTTTTGGAAAACTGAGCACTTGCTCAGATGCTGAAAGTGAAAAAGGCCACTAATGTGAGTGTTGACATGGAGATCAAAATCAGCAGAGAAGTGAGGAAGCCCTGGCAGGCACTGCTGGTGGAGACACCCAATAGGAAAGACTTTGTCAGGTTACCTTTGTTGCAGGTAATCTGTTGGTACCAGCCTACATCTGCAGGCAGACTAATTTCTTAAATTACAAAGAGCTGGCAAATTTGTAAATAAAACAAAATAAGGTCTATTTTGTCAACTTAAAGAAAACAGCCATTTTCTTGCTATGTCAGATATAGTTTACTGGTGATATTGATAATAATGGAAACATGATAAGAATAATTTATTAAATGCTTTCTATTGCCTAGAACCAGTCTCTCCTCATATATCATTTTCTAATCCTGCCCTATTGTTTACCAGTAAGGAAAGTGCCCCAGAGACAGTAATTTGCCCAAAGTTACACGGCTCAAAATCGGCAAAGGTCTTTTGGGCCCACACTTCAGGTTTTTGCACTAGCCACGCTCTACTTGCTTCGAATGTCATGAAAAGATTCTGCCATATCCTGTACCTCTCTAGTAGATACTCTATTTTCCATTCTTCCCTCTGATTGGCCTCACTGACGTGCTATCCAATTTAGAGTAAGAAACTATAAGAACTATGACCTTTAACATATTCTGACTCTTTGCATTGCCCAGTGTTCAGTAACTAAAGTTCATTCTCTCTCTCTATAATTAAGATGTGCTTTACTGTGGAAACAGGAGGATGGATCACCTACTTGACTGCTTACCAGGGAAAGATTAGATACAAGAGTAGCACAAGAGACCTCTTAAAATCTCTTCTGTGTCTAAGAGAATTTGGTACTTCTTTTTTGGATAAACATTAATTTAGAACATTTAATAGTACTGAAGAGTATAAAAAATAAGAACAGTAGTCCCCGCTTCTCTCAAGGCCCAATGATACCTCTAACAGCAAGACTCACTTCCTTGTGTGTATGAAAATACCACAAAGCGAGATCACACTACATATGTCAAACTGTAACTTGACGTTTTCTAAAAATATGTGTTAGATGTGTCTCGATATTGACACTTCTGGGTCTGTTTCATTCTTTTTTAATGACTGTGCATATACCACTGCATAGTTACATTGTGGTTTGATTTATTTGATCTTAATGCTCTATTGGTGGACATTTATGTTGTTTCAATTATGAAAAATACTGAAATGATGAAATTAATGTTAGTACTTCTGCAAGCGTACTAAAAGCAGAATAAGTATATTAAGTTTAATAGATACATACAAACTATTTTCCAAATAGATTTATACCAATTTTCCCACCTACCAACTGTGCACAAGAGCACTCTTACACCCACTCTCAGCAACGCTGGGCATTATCAGCTTTCTAAACCTTCGTGATAAGATTACACAACTTTGCTTAGTCACAGATTTATTTAAGTCTACGGCTCTAATTTTTACATAACATTACTGCTTTATCTTCTGATAGAGGTTGCAAGAAATTCTTTTAGAGATTTGGAAAAGGCACAAAGAAGAAAATAATCTGTGATAACACCAGGCTGAGATAAGCAGTATTAACATTTTAATGTGAATTTTAAATCCTTCTTTTTAAAATTACATGATATTTTTTCATATCATTAAATATTACTGGAAAACATCATTGTAAATGGCTATATAGGCCAGGTGCAGTGGCCCATGCCTGTAATCCCAGCACTTTGGGAGGCCAAGGTGAATGGATTACCTGATGTCAGGAGTTCAAGACCAGCCTGACCAACATGGTGAAACCACGTCTCTACTCAAAATACAAAAAATTAGCCAGGCGTGGTGGCGGACGCCTGTAATCCCAGCTTCTCAGGAGGCTGAGGCAGGAGAATCGCTTGAACCCAGGAGGCGGAGGTTGCAGTGAGCCGAGATCGTGCCACTGCACTCCAGCCTGGGTGACAGAGCGAGACTCTTGTCTCATAAATAAATAAATAAATAAATAAATAAATGGCATCTGCTAGTATGCTATAAATCTCTGCCTGAGTTTCTGTTCCTTTAGCGTAGGTTCCCAGGAGCCAGTGAGATGCCAGGTATCCACTGGTATTTTCAAGTCTATCAGGATTAAAAAACTCACACATTTGCTGGGCTACAGTTTTTCAGCCACCATGGTTTCCCCAACCCCCTGCAACCAGAGCTAATCAGCTCCAGAGGTTTCTGTGTTCTTGAACAGCATCTCCTAGATAATTAAAAATCCTCTAAGAGAAGCATGTGAAGAACAGCTTAAAGATCCACCAAAAGGAGAAATTGAGTACATTGTGGTAAGTTAGCAGGAATGGGTATCATAGAGGCATCCTAAGTCATATTTGCAAAGAATACTTAAAGACACAAGGGACATGGCAACAAAATATTAACTAGAAAGTAAGTTACAAAATTACACATATGACATATTCATTCCCCTTATCCTGGTACTGTGCAGTGTAATGAGCATGCTGTCTGGAGCCAGGTTCATATGCTGGTATCACCGCTTCCTAGCTATGTACATACCTTGGATGACTTATTACTTAACCTGTGTCTCAGTTTTCTCATCTGTAAAATGAGGATAATAGTGCTATCTACTTTATGGGGTTGTTATGAGTATTAAATGAGTTAATATCAGTAAAACCTTTAGACAATGCAGGGCATATAGGAAGTGCCATGTTAGATTAGCTATTATTATCATCATTATTATTGTAGATACATGTAAATAAGTACATTCATATGATGAAAAATGACTGCAAAGAAAGATGCCAAGATATTTCAGAGTCAGCTTCTAGGTGGTATGATTATTTATTTTGTGTTTTCTTTTTTTGTAGAGACGAGGTCTTACTACGTTGCCCACTATGTCCTCCCACCCTGGCCTCCCAAAGTGCTGAGACTATAGGAGTGATATCTTGTGTGGTTTTTATATTATTGTATTCTCTAAGTTTTATATTCCACAATGCCAGGTGTTGGTAGAGGATTTTGTTAGACTACTTATTCTCCATTCCTGCTTCTAGAATACTTCTCTTCCTCCATTTATTAAAGCAAGCAAGCAAACTCTCAGCCTTTGAGGCGCCTATCATCTGGCCAAATCTTCCACCCATCCTTGAAACTCTCCTTCATGATATGCCAGACATGGCCACATTCACTGACCACCCTGGCTTGGAGTCTGTGGCTTCCTCTTCACCCCAATGCCTCCTGCCCTTCCTGCCATTATCCTGCACGACTTCAGCCTCTAGATGGCCAAATCATCCAATGCCAGGTCCTTTTAGAGTCTTGACAGCCATGCCATCCATCATTCCCTCTATTCCGCCTCTTCCCACCCATAGGCTCCTACAGTAACACTCAATCAATTCACCCCACTCCAGTGTTCTTCCTGCAACATCACTGATTTAGATGGCCCACTCTGACCAGAATCTTTCTGCTGGCTTGCTCAGGCACTCACACTACAGCAGATTTTGGATGAATCCTCACCTTTCACCTACTGTACTACTGCATTTAATCTGCAGAATAGATAAAGTAAGTACTACTGTTTATCATACTTACATTACAGGTAGGCAATGTGATGCAGGGAGAGGGTCAGTAACTTGCCCATGGTCACAGCTGTTCAGTGCTAGAGCTGGGATCTGAAGTTAGATCTCAGAAATGGCTAGAGCCCAGATATATATATGTGTGTGTGTGTGTGTGTGTGTGTGTGTGTGTGTGTCTACGTAAAATTCCTGAAGTTAGAGCTCAGACATATTTATGTCTATATAAACTCCTGAAAATTGGTTTCATTCTCCCCTTTTCTGTCTGAGACAACATTCAAGAATGGAATTCACCAATGACATTACAATAAGGATAACTCTGAATCCATAGTTGGTTTTTACAACAAAATATGGTGCTGTATTAGAAACTGCTTGTTACTATATAAAACCATTTTCTTCTTACTTGGTAATAGAATCATGACTTTACTTGGGCTTGCAATGTGCCCTGTCTCCTAGGAGGGGTCAGTGAACTTGAGGTTGTTGTGTGGCGCTTCCAGAGAGCTCCTGAAAGCAGCCGTATTTAGCTCTCAGGTGGCTCCTTTGCTAGCCTTGCCCCCTTCCTTCTTGCTCAGACTATAGATGAGAAGCCAGCAGCTCCGCCAGCACCAGCTGTCTCAGTTCATGAGGAAACCTGAGGATGACAGTCACCTATTAACAAGAGTAGAGCAGAAAGACAGGAGCACCTGGGTCCCTGATCATCATGGAGCTCTGGAGATCAGACCTCAGACTCAATTTAGAGGAAAGGAAATGAATCTCTTTCCTTTTGTAGTAATATTGCCTTTTTTTTTCTTCTTTTTTTGAGATAGGGTTTGGCTCTTATTGCCCGGGCTGGAGTGCAGTGGCACGATCTCAGCTCACCGCCACCTCCGCCTCCTGGGTTCAAGCGATTCTACTGCCTCAGCCTCCCGAGTAGCTGGGCTACAGGCACGCACCACCATGCCCGGCTAATTTTGTATTTTTAGTACAGACGGGGTTTCTCCATGTTGGTCAGGCTGGTCTTGAAGTCCTGACCTCAGGTGATCTGCCACCCCTGCCTCCCAAAGTGCTGGGATTACAGGCATGAGCCACAGCGCCAGGCCGTCATCTGCATTTTCTATAGATGCAAAGAAACCTAATCCTAACTGACAGAGGCAGCATAACATACTCATTTATTTATTTGAGGTTTTCTTCCTGTAATTTTACCTTCTGTATTATATAAAGATAGCAAGGTAAACTTGTATTTGCCATCTTTTGAGGTGTTTAAACCACAGAGCCAAAAACTGAGGCTGGTAACGGCATAAATGCCTTCCTGGTTGTGTAGTCACAAAGCTAGAGCTCCTTCCAGAGACTTCAGCCCATTCCTTAGAGGGTGAAGAGACAGGGGAAGAAGCGGTGAGGCAGAGAAGGGAGAGCCCAGGCTGGGCAGAGGTTGCAGGTCTGTGGCTGCCCACCGCCTGGTAGTACCTGCAGGGTTGGCGGGACACCCGAGGAGGGAGGATAATGGTAGCAAAATCACGGGACCCTTAGGGAGCCTATGACTGGAGATAATGGGGGCTCCCTGGTGATATAAGAGGTGAGGGGGCCTCCCCTTACAGATACCACACAAGCTCCAGCTTCTGGTTTGACCCTGGGATGAGAAATAAAGGGAGGGCAGAGACCAAGTGTTCTCCCTGCTAGGCAGGCTGAGGGGCTACAGTCAGCTTTGTTTTAATGTGAAGAAATAGATATATCTTGTACAACTGAGATTTATACTTGCTACACTATCTTTTAGGAAATCTGGTACTTTATAAAATATTGCTTGCAGCGAACCTTACATTTGGTCAAAGTAAGTCACAAGACTGCAACTGAAAACCGCTACTCTAAGGAACAGCAATCCAAAGTCAGTGCCGATGACCCTTGATCAATTGCCGTGCAAGGCTGGGACCTTCCTTTAGTGCTGAGGAACCACCTTACACAGACGTCACTTTGTTCTATCCAGGATCAAAGAGGCATTTCTGCAGCAATCGCAGCTCATGTCAAGCACTGTCTTTATAAAAAACGTACTTTATTTGCCCGAACATTTTCAAACTCCCCTACCATATGAAACTTTAATTGCTTTGAAAAGAAAGGCTCTCCTGAATCCTGTAGAATTAAGGAGGCTCATTTCAATGGCATATTAGCTGTCTGAAGATAGGAGTCACTGAGAAACACTGAGTGACTGTGATTCAGCCGAGAAAGCAGCCCCCTGATAACAGGGTAGGGATGAAGGCTTGATGGACGTTTATGACAAAGTGAGGTTTGAAGCTTTTGACATCAAAATAAATAATGAGTCAAAGAAAGGGTTTATAACTCAGGGAGTTTTTCCCTTCTCCCACTCTTCTGTTTTTACTTTCATAACTTTCTCTTAGAGGAACAAAGGAAATCTGCCATCTCCCTGTCTCAGTGGAGCATAATGTTTTCTCTTTTGTTAATTTTTAATCATGGAAGTGGCACTTGCAAGGGGGCAAGAGGACATGCCTCAGTCCAGAGATGGATACAGGCCAGCACCCAGTGGCTGAAGGGGTAGCCAAAGCAACGATCAGTGCCACCAGTTGAACCACAGCAGTGATGGAAGAGAGTTAGCTGTTGGTAACAGGACCACAGAGTGATGGGTCTGTAATTTGGAAAGAGAGTCCAACTCCTGAATAGAAAAATACTGTGATGTCACTAGAATTAAATAGACCTACAACTAAATTACAGTCAATAAAAATGATATTTGAAAACAACCAAACATTTGTGAAGTCTCTTTTCAATGTATTGATTTTTACGTTTAAAAAATAATTTCATAAAACATGTTTGGTCTGATGGGAAATTTACGGAACTCTAAAATTTGGGCAGTCTGCAACATTTATTGGGCCATATTCTGACCACATAAAAAATTCACACAAGCCCTGTTTTGCATGTACTATAAATAAGTATTGATTTGAAAGGTACAAAGACACAAAACTGAAGACCTGCTTTAGCCTCAAATTTTAAAAAGACTTTGCTAGGATTATATTTCTTAATTCTTATAAGAAATGAGGGTGGTCCCTTGGAAGTCAGTCCTCACCACTGTGACAATTCATTCATCTGGAATTACTGGGGATGTGTTGATAAAGAAGTTATCTGAGAGCTAAATTTTATATATTGTGCTGAAACTTCGGCAGTGGAGTTATTTTGTATGGATAATTTTAATTTTTTTTTCTTTGAGGCGGAGTAGCTCTGTTGCCTAGGCTGGAGTGCAGTGGTGCAATCTCGGCTCACTGCAACCTCCGCCTCCTGGGTTCAAGAGATTCTCCTGCCTCAGCCTCCTGAGTAACTGGGATTACAGGCATGCACCACCATGCCTGGCTAATTTTTTGTCTTTTTAGTAGAGGCGGGGTTTTGCCATGTTGGCCAGGCTGGTCTCAAACTCCTGGCCTCAAGTGATCCATCTGCCTCCTGGATAATTTTAATTTTAAATAGAAGACCCTGACTATAATTTTACTGTTTCTTGATGGCTCAAGGCCATCATTATTACTGCAACCAGTGGCCATGCTGCACTCTAATACACAGCTATTCTGGGGACTAACAATGTTTGCTGGGCTCTCTGCCTTGGCACAAGGGACACCAAGCTGGTCAGAGTAGCCAAGGCTGCCAAACGTCTCCATATGAATATTCCCAGCTGGGAAGAGGCAGAGACTCAAAGGATCCACCAATCGCTTCCAAAGAACAACTTGAGAGGCTTTATGTACAACTCCCTTAGCTCATGAACTATTGCACATCTTTTTTTTTTTTTTTTTGAGATGGAGTCTTGCTCTGTCACCAAGGCTGGAGTGCAGTGGTGCGATCTTGGCTCACTACAAGCTCTGCCTCCCGGGTTCACACCATTCTCCTGCCTCAGCCTCCCAAGTAGCTGGGACTACAGGCGCCTGCCACCACGCCCAGCTAATTTTTTGTATTTTTAGTAGAGACGGGGTTTCACCATATTAGCCAGGATGGTCTCGATCTCCTAACCTCATGATCCGCCTGCCTCGGCCTCCCAAAGTGGTGGGATTGCAGGTGTGAGCCACCGCACCCAGCCGAACTATGGCACATCTTAAGAGACCAAAAGGCTTGGTGTAGTGGCTCATGCCTGTAATCCTAGCACTTTGGGAGACAAAGGCAGGAGGATTGTTTGAGCCCAGGAGTTTGAGACCAGCCAGAACAACATAGTGAGGCCTCATCTCTTCTTTATTTCCTTCTTTCCAACACAGTGAGACCCTTTCCCTTCTCCTTTCCCTTTTCCCTTCCGTTTTCCCTTCCCTTCTGCCTTCCCTTCTTTCTCTCTGCCTTGCCTTGCCCTGCCCTGCCCTGCCCTCCCTTGCCTTCCCTTCCCTTCCTTTCCTTTCTTCTCTTTCTCTTTCTTTTGTTTCTTCTCTTTCTCTCTTTCTCTTTCTTTGACAGGGTCTTGCTCGGTTGCCCAGGCTGAAGGGCAGTGGTGGAAACATGGCTAACTGGAGCCTCAACCTCCCAGGCCCAAGTGATCCCCCCGCCTCAGCCTCCCAAGTGGCTGGGACAAAGGTGCACTACCATGCTTGGCTAATTTTTGTATTTTTTGTAGAGAAAGGTTCTCCCTATGTTGCCTAGGCTGGTCTCAAACTCCTGAGCTCAAGCAATCCACCCGTCTCAGCCTCCTAAAGTGCTGGGATGGCAGGTGTGAGCCATCATGCCTGGCCAATACCCTGTATCTATAAAATTAAAAAAAAAATTGCTGGGTGTGGTGGTGCGTATAGTCTCAGCTACTTGGGAGGCTGAGCCACTGCACTTCAGCCTGGGCAACAGAGTCAGACCCTGTTACAAAATAAAAGAGAGAGAGACCGAAGTACAACTTCATCAATTTACAATCAATAAATATTTATTGAGAATAAGCTGTACATATCTTGGGACCTTAGCATATAGCACAATTCGGCTTCTCTATAAATGTTGGTTGAAGGAGGATTTGGGTGGGTGTGTCTGAGAGAGAGAGAGACAAAAAGACAGACAGACAGACACAAACATGCACAAAACACACCCCTAGAATGTTCAATAAGAGAATGTCAAATTTAATGACAGTGATATAAAAGATCTTAGGGAGAAAAATAATTTTTTAGGAAGAGTATACATTTTCCTAGTCTTCCAATAAAACGTGAATTTTGTTACACACACAAATAAAAAAATCCAAAATTTGTTATATTTAACTCCAAAAGAAAAAATATTGAGGAAAAAAATATGTTAGGTAGCCTTAAAAATTGATGTGAAATTAGGAAATAAGGTATGAAATTCTTAGGAAATAAGAATTAGGAAAGTTGAGAAATCATGTCTCTTTACATCCTTTTCTAGGTCATGTGAAAATTTCTGGAGTAAAAATTCTGTGTCTCCTTTGGTGCTTGCTACAACTTTGGATAATTCTCTTATTAAAAAATGTTCCAGCCGGGCGCAGTGGCTCATGCCTGTAATCCCAGCACTTTGGGAGGCCAAGGCGGGCGGATCACAAGGTCAGGAGATCGAGACCATCCTGGCTAACACAGCGAAACCCTGTCTCTACTAAAAATACAAAAAATTAGCCCGGTGTGGTGGTGGGCGCCTGTAGTCCCAGCTACTTGGGAGGCTGAGGCAGGAGAATGGCATGAACCCGGGAGGCGGAGCTTGCAGTGAGCCGAGATTGCACCACTGGACTCCAGCCTGGGTGACAGAGTGAGACTTTCTCTCAGAAAAAAAAAAAAAAAAGGAAAAAAAAATTTGTTCCTTCTTATATATACAGAGATTTAAGTGTCTTTTTCTTGTCCTCTTGAAAAAGGACAATTTGGTCAGCTTCTTAAAGATACTTGTTAAGTTACACATCAGTCAGCTTCTAACCAAGTTCCAGTAACTGGGCTACAATTTTTTCATGTATGTGTGTGAAGTTTTGTTAGAAAATAAAAAGGAAGTGAGACAAGGTCTCAGCCCTCAAAGAGCAGGGAGTCTAGAGAGGGGAGGGTAGAAGGGATGGTGGATGCATTAACACATGACTGTGATAAATGCACCAAGCACAATGACAAACACAAGTTCAAGGTTAAGTGGTAGAAGAGCAAGTGGTGATCATGGCTTTTTAGCAGTTCTGTGTCAGTTCCCAGGGTCAGCCCTTTGGATCTGAGCACAGGCTTAGGGAGATTCATTTGCCCCAGTATTCTGTGGTCAAGAGACCCTTGTACTTGAGGGAAAGGCACAGATGACCTCCCTGGTACCATACCAACATTTATTCCCACCATAAATTTTATGTACCCATTAATTTATTTCTTTCTGTATTATCTTTCAAGAACACTATCTTAAAAATAATTATTTACTATGTGAAATGCTACTACTTCCCTGTATTCTTTATCTGCTTCCTCCACCAAAACTCTAAGTGATTCTCTTCTGCCCTTCAATAATACCAGCATTATTTTCTGATGTGATTTGCCCACTATTCCCCCCAGCACCACTGTTTACGGTCTGAGTCACAATTCAACAGATGGAAGGATCTGAGATGGGAGAATGCAACGTTACCAAGCTATACTAGACTATCACACATTGTTCGAATGTTCACTAGAATTCAGAATATATTGGGAGGACTTGGCGTGCAACTGATCCAAGACAGCATTCAAAATTGTTTACATTTTGATACACCAAAAGTACATTGCTCTATGAATTTTAGACACCAAGACATAGAAGCATACTGGGAATTCAATGTTTTAAGAATTACAGATTGTCATCTTGTTTCAATCAGTAGCACCTTTCTAGAATGCAGCTACTTCTCATTCTTTACTTTACATCCTATACATTTATCAGCCTCATAGTATATTCCAGCCATCGACTGCTGTAGAATTCAAATAAACCACCACTAATAGGTCTTAGATTTCTTCGCCCTCTTTAAACTGGGGAAACCCAAAGATACATTAATATGCTTTGAGCACGTCAAACTATAAGCATGATAGTAATTGCCCATTAAGGCAAACTGCTCTGAATAATCTTGTTGACTATACAGCAGAGAATTGTTTACAAACCTGAGCAGAAAGTAGAGGCAAAGTTCTGCAGAGCGGTGTCCACCTCCTCTACATTGGAGAGAGACAGGAGCCGAGGGAGGAGGCCTTCCAGGGACTGTATGAACAGCCTGGCGCTGTGCTGATCCGCCTCCTGGTTCTTCAGCAGTTTTAGAGACAGGGCGGCAGTTCGCAGGGACCGGTGGCCTAGGCAGTCCCGGGGTGTCTGCTCTTCATCGGCTAGTGAACAGTTGTCCGACCCAATGTCTGACACGTCGGACCTGCCCGAGTCCTTTTCTGCTGCCATAGAGTACTGATCACAGGAATCAAACTCTGTCCTAGAAAGGTCTTGGTCATCAACGCTAAAATTGCTCTCACTATACCTAGATCCATAGGACCTTGTCCTGCAGTCTACTGACAGGAAGTTAGTTATGTCAGGGTAAGGGACCGTGTGGCTTCTCTGCACGACATCTGGCTGGTCTACCGCCTCTGTTTCCAATACTTTGCTCAGCGTCTCCTTACCCTCTGGGATGGCTGGCGACTTGAGACTGTTCTTGTGGTTTCCCGAATGGTCCTCGGGTGTAGTCTGACCCAACTCTCCCTCGAGAGTGGTCTGGCCTGTGTCTGTGGTGACACTGATGCTGATGTCAAGGCTCCTCTCGTTCCCTGACTCCCACGGCGTGTGTTCTGAGGACAGCACTCGCCGCTGCCAGCGGAAGTCAGCCTCATTGATCTCCATGGAATCTCGGCTCCACTCAGCCCCATCCTTCAGCTCCTCAAGGCGCAGAAGCAGCAGTTGCACCTGACCTTCGCTCAAGCCCTTCCCCTGGCTGAGCTCATCCAGGGCACCCAGCAAGGTGCAGACACAGGACACGGCTGCATAGCAAGCTTCGATGCCACCCTTGATGCATGCTTCGGTCATGCCATCCATGATGCTAAACAGTGTTCAAAAGAGAAAATGGAATAAATGCATAAAATGTAGAAAATATCTCTGAAAGGAACAAGAGTGTTAGCCTGGCAAACAGCAAAGTATTCAAAACAGATAGTCTGATTTGAATAAAACAAAATGGTCTGGGCAATGAATAAAAGAAACAAACATGCCTAGGTGGGCAGAGGAAGATCTTCAGATAAAGTGGCCTGCATTGGCCGGGCACAGTGGCTCACGCCTGTAATCCCAGCACTTTGGGACGCTGAGGTGGGCGGATCACTTGAGGTCAGGAGTTTGAGACTAGCCTGGCCAACATGGTGAAACCACGTCTCTACTAAAAATACAAAAAATTAGCCAGGTGTGGTTGGTATGTGCCTGTAATCCCAGCTACTCAGGAAGCTGAGACAGGAGAATCATTTGAACCTGGAAGGCAGAGGTTGCAGTGAGCCGAGATCGTGCCACTGCACTCCAGCCTGGGTGACAGAGCAAGACTCTGTCAAAAAAAAAAAAAAAAAAAAAAGTGGTCTGCATTGAATCACACTCCTTCTTGGCTCACTGGTTTTTTGGGTACAAATAGAAGCTCCTGATGAGTATTTATGACTTTCCCGAACAACCTCACTTTTGTATTATGCTCAGTGTTTCAAATAGAAAATAGTTATAATGGTTATATAATGTGGACCTTCCTCTATAAAGTAAACATATTCCTGAACAGATGTATGTGAATACAACTATTACAAGCCCTATAATATTCAGTTTTCTAGGGGGGCTACATATGAAGAAATCCTATAGTTACAGTATTGCAAATCAAAAATTCTCTAAAATAATCCCAATGAATAATTATTGTATATTTCACTTGGTACATCTGGTTTTAAGTCAATATGAAAATATAAAAAGTTCCATGATTATAATAAATTGAGATATGTCTTCTCATGTAGCTTGTGGGTAAATTATTAAATAGACACATTTCATATAATGTAGAATTTTTTAAAATTTCAGGGACTTGTAAGCAAGGTTAAAAGTCTTCAGAAAAGCAGCCTCAATAAAGACTTAAAAGGATAAACATCATACAGTTTGAGGAGATCCAGATGAGACTTTCTTTTTGAAATTGATCTTTTTCTGGACTCTGATTCAGTGGAGCTGGGTCCTGCCAAGTCACAGAGACGCTGTGGGCTCCCAAGTATCTTAAAGAAAAAGGTAAAAGAGTAACAGAAAAGTGAATATCACAAAAAAGCACAAGGTTTTTAAATTGTGAGATCAAAAAAACATGTACTTTCCCTACTGAGTGATATAGTATAAGGAGAAACAGAATTATTTGGAACTTCCAATCTTAGTAAAGCTGATTTAGGTTTTCTTCTTGACATATGGTGTGTATCAGGCTCCTGGCTCTTCAGCTCAGGGCTGGCTTAGACAAAGAAAATGATCAGAGGGATTGTTGAAAAATCTTTTCTAGCACAGAACTAGAAAACACTTGGATCTCTGTTCTTTAGTAATATTGGCCTATAATATAACCTTCCTGGACTCTTTTTGTCTTATTTTGGTATCAAGTCGGCTAGCTTCATAAACTAGGTGGAGAAGTATGCCCTCTTTCTTATTGCTGAAAAAGTTCATGGAAGATTGGAATTCCCTGTTCCTTGAATGCTTGTATAGCTTGTTTCTAAAGCTACATGGAGCCAGAATTTTAATGGGAATCCTCTAACTAGTTCCTCCATTTCTCTAAAGATTATAGGACTATTCAGGTCCTTAATTTCTTCTTGAACCAACTTTTTAAAAGTTGCATTATTTCCTAGGGACTTATCCATTTTACCTGGTTTTCAAATAGAGTGTTCTAAAGATGCCTTAATACCCTCTTTTATTTCTTTAATGTGTGTAATATCTATAGTTAGGTACTTTTTTCATTTTTATTTCTGTTTATTTGTACCTGTTTTGAAATTTTTATTGCTCTTGAGAACAGTTTTTCAATTTTCTTAATCTGTTCAGTCCTAACATTTTCTGCTTTTTAAAATCCCCTATATTTCCTTGTCATAATTACTTTCTTCTTTTATCCTTATTTTTCCTCCTTTCTACTTTTTTTGAATTTATTCTATTCTTTTTTTCTAACTAAGCTGGAGAATTAGGACATTAAGGCTTTCTGCTTTTTAATACAAGGAGTTAAAGCTATACATATCCTCCCATTTATTTCTTCTCACAAGTTTTCATATGTAGACTGTTCATAATTGTTCATTTCTAACACATTTTTATATACATACGGTAGAAGTCTATAGAAAATGTCAAGTTGAGGCTAAATTGATTCAAGGAAAGAAGGTTAATGCAGTGTGTCTGCAGTAGACGTCCTAGCGTATGTCCATTCATCTTCAAAGTGATTGATACTCCAAGCAAAGCAGGAAAAGGTCCATTACATAGAAGAAGTTGTATTTTAAGTAGCTCTCCTCTTTTCCTCTTTCCATATTTCTTTCATACCACAGAAATTGAACACTTCTGCTCTCTGGAAGGAACATAAACGAAGCTTCCACTTTTTGTTGACATCAAAAAAAGAGTGACAAGGCTGGGGCTAAAGTCAGGCAGGCTCTCTCTTTCCCTCTCTCTCTCTCGCCCCCTCTCTACAGGCCTGCAGCCCCGTGGCTGGACCCTCTGAGCCTCAGGATGCTCCATCTCTTGCTGGAAGGATAAGTGTATTCCCAAAAGATGGAGTGGAAAACCTCACTGTCTCCTGGCATCCC
This sequence comes from Homo sapiens, assembly GCF_000001405.40. NCBI lineage: Eukaryota > Metazoa > Chordata > Mammalia > Primates > Hominidae > Homo > Homo sapiens. The sequence goes on along the minus strand of NC_000006.12, from coordinate 138,259,990 downwards.
ACCACAATTTAAAATTCAGCTTCACTGGTAATAAATTAGATATTCACTGGTAATAAATTCGATAATTTTTTTTTTTAAAGATGGAATCTCGCTCTGTCACCCAGACTGGAGTACAGCAGCACAATCTTGGCTCACTGCAACCTCCGCCTCCTGGGTTCAAGCGATTCTCCTGTCTCAGCCTCCCAAGTAGCTGGGACCACAGGTGTGCGCCACCATGCCAAGCTAATTTTTTTGTATTTTTAGTAGAGATGGGGTTTCACCATGTTGGCCAGCCTGATCTTGAACTCCTGACCTCAGATGATCCGCCCAACTTGGCCTCCCAAGATAATCTATTTTAATTCCCACATTAATCTTGTACTTATTTCTCAATTGCTTCAGAATCTGGAGGGAAAGGGATGGATTGGTAAGGTTTCTGGAGAACCCTCAACAAAAACTAAAACGAAAGATGTTTTAATCTCAGCTTCTTCAGGTGGGAATGAGAGTTGTGGGATCAGTGGCTGGGGGGCCAGAGGTCTGATAAAGACTAGGGGGCTTCTAAAGCTGAGCCATAGGAGAGAAAAGGAAGCAAAGTGTACTTTTTCGTTACTGTTCATTTTAAGGGGAAATCAGAAGCAGAAAAGGGGCTGTGCTTTGAAAAACAAAAATGTCCTGTATGTCCTTGATCAACAGGCACACAGTGCATATGGCAGAGTGACAAAGTAAAACGAGAACAGGGAAATAACATACCAAGCCTTCAAACTCCAAAAGGCTAAACAAACATCCTGGGTACCCAGTGGTTTTCTTTGTGTGCACAAGCCCTGCACATTTTGGTATCTAGGTTACCAACTTTCCCAAACGATTGGTTTTGTCGTATAAAGTGGAGGCACCACTTTTCAGAACATCCTGGCCCCAATCAGTCTGCTGAGCTCCTTGGGGCAGCACCGCCTGGACGTGCTACTTGGGTGCTACCATCAAATTCGAGCCTCATCTCTGCAAAATGACCTTGGGAAGCTAGAACATCTACGATGAACAGATAAACATAACTAACTTCCTTTTGCAGTACAAAGGAAATTATTTAAAACACATTTAGAGACCTATGGATGCCATATGCAAAGTATCTACTTAGCATCCAGGTACCAAGTGGCTCTACTGTGGGCAGTGACTGCTGTAGTGCCTGTCATTTCTGAGGGGAAAAGAAAGGTTGCTGCTGCTTATAAAATAGCCTCTTTGTAGACATTTTGTCTTCAGGTCCACATGTCGGTCAGTCAAAAGTTACTAAACACTTATTCTGATTCAAGCATTATAGTGTTAAATACTAGGGGAAAACATACAGAAGCAATCTATATACAAAAGTATAGTTGAGGAGTCAAGAAGCTTGTTCCCCATTCTATTGTGAAACAATCAGTGTTATGGGACGTATAATCAATTGTTAAATGGCGGGATGGAATTTCAAGAAGAACCCGATCAGTGGTCTGAGGAAGCCCAACCATGAAGGACAAGGATTTTGATAGCAAAGAAGCAGCCATACTTAGAACACCAGGCTTCACTGTCTTAGCCTTACGACTCACAACATGAAGGACTTTGGGCAAGTCACTTCTCCCCCCAGAGCCTCAGCTTTCCCATCTGGAAAATGGGCATAATATTATCTTCTTAAGGGAGTTTGTAAATAAGCTAATGTGAAGTGGCAGCGGTATCTAGCCTGTTGCAATTAACCACTCAATTCTGTGAAGGGGGAGTGACCCACAGGAATAAGGGACAGAAAACCCTGAAGAGGCGGGGAGGTGGGAATTGAACAAAGCAGATCAGTCACATGGGATGAAGGTGCATCCAGGGAAGTGATGGAAAATGCAAATGATGGAAGAAGGCTCTGGAAGCTGGGCACAGTAACTCGGCCTTGATGGGAGAGTCAATGAAGAGCCATTAGAGAGCCCTGGGCAATGGGAAAATTGTTAACAGTGGTGATTTATGGACATAAATCCAGTAAGACAAAAGGAATAAAACAGGCAGGAGAGGGAGGCCAGCTAGAATTGAACCAGCTATTTTCAGCCTCCATGTGTTTTCTCTTCCTTAGAATAGCAATAAGTACACCACATATTTGTTTAGCACTTGATATTTACAAAGTACTTAAGCAAACTTTAGTGCATTTTGAACTTGCAACCTTTGGAATATTATAACAATGTACAGATGAGAAAACTCTTAAGTTCAGAGTTAAATGATTTACCTATATCACAAAGCCAGTGTGTGGTAGAGAGAGGATTTGAACCCTGACTCTTAAACTCAGGCTCCTGAAATGGGCAGCTGTTCCAACACCAAGAAAAAGGGGCTGCTGGGGGTCATTTGCGCTGCAATGTGAGAGTCATGTCCAGTGATAAGGATGATACAGGAAAAGACCGTGGGATTAGGGTCAGCTGGACCAGGGTTTGCACCTTTTCTTTTTCTTTGGGACTTTGGGCAAACCATTTGACCTCCTAAAGCCTAAGTGTCTTTGTGGGAGGAAATTTCCTTTTCCTTTGGCATCACACTTCTATGAGGAGGAACATCCATCCAGTGCAGTAAAATTCTAGGCCTCTCTTCTCCCTTCCTCTCATTTCTTCCAGGTACAGGAAGAGCCCCTGATCGGACTGGTGAATTTAGGATAAGGAGCTGAGCATGCCTCACTAGCACCTTTCTCTCCCATCTTCCCGGGGATCTGCCAATCAGAGGAAGCCCACGCTTGCCCCTCCAGGATGCAAGTTGAACAGTAGTAGGGGAGGACCCTGGGGAAGGGCCACTGCTGTCTGAGTGGTGAAGTGTGGTCTAGTCTCACTGGCCTCCAAAGCTGTATTTTATCTGCCCATCTAGTGAAGATCAATTCTTAAAGCTGGCCTTTTGACCTCCATTGCCTGAAGCTCTGGTGGGGAAAAGAAGTAACATTCTTAACTGAAAAAATAAAGTTGATGGTTGGGCATGGTGGCTCACACCTGTAATGCTAGCACTTTGGAAGGCTGAGGCGGGCGGATTGCTTGAGCTCAGGAGTTTGAGACCAGCCTGGGCAACACGTCTCTACAAAAAATACAAAAATTAGCCAGGTGTGGTGTCATGCAGCTGTGGTCCCAGCTACTCAGGAGACTGAGGTAGGAGGAACACTTGAACATAGGAGGTCCATGCTGCATTGAGCCATGATTGTGCCACTGCACTCCAGCCTGGGCAACAGAGTGAGACTCTGTCTCAAAATAAATAAATAAATAAATAAAAGTTGATATACAACCTCACAAATTTATTATGAATTAAAAAAATATATGTGAAGTGCCTGGCATATAGTAGGCAAGAAAAAGAATGGTAATTATTATCGTGGGCTCATAGATTTTCTTAACAGTCATTAAATCTGGGCTACTCCTTAATTTCTAGAAATAGTGGGTCAGAACTTTCCAATACTCATTACAATAAAATCTCATTAAAACACCAAGAAAGAATTCAAATTTAACTTCTAGATATTGGTTGGCAGCAATGATTGCTTAAAATAAATTAATCATCAACAAGGGAATTTTGCTACTCTGGTTTTTTGGAGGGGTGGGGGTTGAGATAACAAAAGGAAATGCAATTTGACCTTTATGAACATATTCACAAATACAAAAACACTGATGACTTTTCTGTTTGGTTCTTTGAGAGAAGGCAGAGGAATCTTTGTTTGAAGCACCTTCAGAATAACCCTAATTCTGCCTCAAAACCATGAAGTAGCACACTGGGATGGCTATTGCAATCTGGACAACCTGTATGTTCTTGCTGGGGTCATGACATTTGGGAGAAATGAGGCAAAAGAATGGGACAAAGGGATTCCTCTTAGCAATCAGAGACTGGCAGAGCTCTTTTGTTGGATAATGTGCAACCTGAGTATAAAATCATTTTGAAATCTAATGTTGGCAAAGGCGAATAAACACATATATCTGCACAAACAGCACGTAAGGTAGAAGAATGAAATCTCAGCATGGGCCTGGTCTGGTGCACATCTAACAGAGTCTTAACAAGCACTAGCTCGATTCTCAAACGGTTTTGCATCAGTGGGCATCACTGACCCCTCCTACCCCAGCTCGCAATACATGTACACACGCACTGACTCTAGAGACAGCATTCGCTACTGGACACCATGAGGCAGTAATGAAGTTCCGGCAAGTGATTGGCAAGCCTTTTCTGAGCGCTTCTTGTATGCGAAACGCTGGTCAGGCCCCCTTGTAAACCTGGTGGCGATCTCCAGTGCCTCCTCACCTCTTTCATTATTTTGATGGCTTCCACCCGGTGCTGGGGTGGGGGGTAGAGCAGCACTCGGTGGTAGAGGGACTGGAGCACGGGCTTCATGGAGTCCACAGACCCCACCAGCCGGACCAGCTCGGCTGCGATGTAATAGATAGTCCGAGCCACAGGTCCGCTCAGGGCCGGCGCAGTGCAGGAGCAGCCTGATCCTCGGCCGTGGTCAGACACTCCCGGAGACGCAGAGTCCGACTCCAGGCTGGTACTGGTGCTGCTGGTGTGAGCAGAGGTGATGGTTTTGTCATGAATTGGATTCCCCAAGATCACGATGAGAGCAGGGCAGAGGTTTTTCCTGGGAAGAGATGGTGAGAAAAGTAACTTTCCCCACGAGCCAAATGATAAAATTTACTCTGCGAGTAAACAGATGCCATAGAAATGACAAGAGTGCGGCTCTTTACTTCTTCTTCTTTTGGCTACATTTTGCCTGTTTTCTAAGTCTCTTTAACATTTCTAGGTATTTCAACAATACTTTTCCTCATAAATTGAGCTAGCATGAATGAAATAAAATATAAGAGAAGCATTAAGAAACCATCATAAGTGAAGAAATGGACTCAAAATGCTAAATGGCTGTTATAAAGTTTCATATTACTACAAATAACAAAATGATTTCTCATTTGAGAAGTTAATTGCAAATTCCATACTGACACCTATCATTTGGCTTCCTTCCTGTCGATAAGCCCAGGGACCCAGAACAACCAGCTGGCTGCCTGTGGGGCCTGTCACTTCTGGGAATCTCTGACTATGATTAAGAGACTGGTATTCGTGTTGAGATGGAGCTAGGGCTAGGAGTAAAGCTCAGTATCTCTTGCCCCCTGCATAAGTTACATGCTTTTTGAACGAGCTGAAAACACAGAAAAATTTTCTGGTTCTGGTCTCTCATGATCCTATGATATAAACCAAAGACGGCCCTGGAAGCATATTCTGCCATAATCATCATCAGTTTTTCTGCGGAGTTTGGTCTGATGGATGTCAACAAAGCAATTTATCTGCTTTATTATTATTATATATTTTTGAGACAGAGTCTAGCTCTGTTGCCCAGGCACGATCTCGGCTCACTGCAACCTCCGCCTCCCGGGTTCAAGTGATTCTCCTGCCTCAGCCTCCCGAGTAGCTGGGATTACAGGCACCCGCCACCATGCCCAGCTAATTTTTGTATTTTTAGCAGAGACAGGGTTTCACTGTGTTGGCCAGGCTAGTCTTGAACTCCTGACCTTGTGATCCGCCCACCTAGGTCTCCCAAAGTGCAGGGAGCGTGAGCCATTGGGCCCGGCCTATTATTATTATTATTATTTAATTTTTTTTTTTTTTTGGGACAGAGTCTTGCTCTGTCACCCAGGCTGGAGTGCAGTGGCTTTATCTCCGCTCGCTGCAACCTTCACCTCTCAGGTTGAAGCAATTCTCATGCCTCTGCCTTCCAAGAAGCTGGGATTACAGGTGCCCACAACTGCCATGCCCAGCTATTTTTGTATTTTTAGGAGAGACGAGGTTTCATCATGTTGCCCAGGCTGGTCTCGAGCTCCTGGCCTCAAGCAATATGCCTGCCTCGGCCTCCCAAAGTGCGGAGATTACAGGTGTGAACAACTGCACCTGGCCACAATTTCCCTGCTTTCCCTCTAAGACATTTACGCACAGATGAAACTACTACTGGTGGGTCATGGACTTCATGGAGAGGGACCCAGAGACACAGTCAGCAGCAGCCCTTGGGTTGGCATCAGCGTCGGGGCGTCAGGAGTGGGTGCTCACCAGATCAGGTCCGTGAAGCGCCTGTGCAGGTGCATGGAGGAGGAGGAGCTGCTGAGCACAGACAGGATGCACTCCAGGTAGAGAAGCTGCAGCTGCTGGCTGTCACTGCAGAAGAGCAGAACCGACACAAATGCAGACAAAAGACAAGGCAAAATTAAAGAGGTGATGTGTGGAAACACGCTCGGAAAAATGGTAGGCGTTACTAAAGTGCTAGTTTTAGGGGGACGGTTAGTGTTATGGGTTGAACTGTGTCTCTCTCCCCAAATTCATAGGTTGGAGTCCTAATCTCCAGCACCTCCGAATGTGACTTTATTTGGAGATAGGTCCTTGCAGAGGTGATCAAGTCAGACTCAGTTCACTAGGGGGGATGCTAATCCAACATGACTCTGTCCTTAAAGAAATGGAAATTTGGACACAGAGACATTCACTGAGGGAAGACAGTGTGAAGAGACACGGGGAGAAGACAGCCATCTACAAGGCGCGGAGAGAAGCCTGAGGAGATCCTTCTCTCTCACCTCTCAGGAGGAACCAACCCCACTGACGCCTTGATCTTGAATGTACAGGCTCCAGAACTGTAATACAATAAACTCTTGTTTAAGGTACTCAGTTTATGGCACTTTGTTACAGCAGCCTCAGCAAGATAATACAGTTGGGGTGATTTTTTTTTTTTAACTAATAAACTTTACTTTTTAGAGCACTTGGAGATTTATAGAAAAACTGACCATGAAACATTTATCATATTGAACCTATTGTTAAATCTTACATTGGTATAGTACACTTGCCACAATTAATAAAAAATTGATATATTAACTAAAGTCCATAGTTTATGGCAGAAATGCTAATTTTTATATTATCTAAACCTTTCAAGAGACCATTTACCACATTATCTTTTCATTGGTGAACACTTTGTGAACTTGCATTAGACTTTTCTTCTTTACTGAGGAAACATGATTTTTCAGTGGAGAAATTATTTTGTGTCCAAGTTATCATTATGGGGTTCCTCATAGAGGAACAGAGCCAGATGAAGAGAACAGACAGCTTTATGGGGAACACATTCCTAATATCCAGATTAACTTCTCTGCCCAGCCTACCAGAAAGTATTAAAATCCAGGCAGGTGACAAGAGTGACAGATAGGGCTAAGGAAGAATTTAATTTTCAGGGACATGTTTATTGCAAATATATAATAAATCCTTTTTTAGAGAGTTCACTCAGTAATGTGGGATGGGAATACTCAGAAAAAGGAAAAACTTGCTTATAAAAATAATTTTTGGTTATGTCTCTTTCTCCTAATTTAAAATAAATGTCCAAAGGAAGTCAGGAAGTCTAGTGTCTTTAACAGTTCAAATTACCCCCAGGAGAAGGGGGTGGAAGGAACAGAAAGGCTCATGCAGGCCAACTAGAAACTTGAAGAGATAGGAAGGAAGTAAAGAAAAGTTAACAGTAGACAGTGCTAAGGCCAGAGGTTACATCCACACAACTGCCAAATTGAGAAAGACCACACAATTGTAAGACAGAGGATAGTGAGGGGGTGGAGTCCTTTATGTGCCATTTAATACACTGACATTGATATTAGTATTTATGTGCCATTAAATACACTGACATTGATATTATGCTCTAAAGCCCTTTGTCAAAATTCTTCCATGGTCTGTCCACTAAAAATACTGTTTTTATTTTCTTTTAAGGTTTATAGAACTAAACAAAAACAAAGAGACAGTTTGTAGCCCTTTATAGAAAAAGGTTCCTGACCCATATTCTAAAATCTCCCTTGTCCAAAGAAAGCTGTATAGTGATTAAATAATGTTATTATTCTGTAGAAGGGAATGCCACTTATATTTGGATATACTCTGTCTACCACGCCCTTTGAGGGTGGAAGAAGAAATGGGGAAAGGCTGAGTCTCCACAAAAGTTATTACTATTTGCCAAGAGGAAGGTGATGGATGGAGGAAGAGTAAGAAATGATGAGCCATTCTTGAGCCAGGTAAGGACTTCACATTTCTAGGCTTCTAGTCCTACAAGCTTCCCTATGCTTTTGACCAAGACGTAGCTCCTGACATGAAACAGCATGTTTCTTCACTCTTACGGGACTGGACAGACATATAAGCAAGTAGATAAAGCACTGGTAGGAAGGGCTGTGAATGAATACCTTAACGCAAGGTTCTATGAGACCATATGGCAGGAGCAACTTCTTAGAAAGAATGTCCACAGGACATGCTGTCTTAGTAGATCCTAAAGTTCAAGTAGGAGACTGTGGCATGGTGAAGCAGAGGAAAAGGTGTGACAAAATATCAGGGTGGAGGAGGAAGGGATTTGGGCTGAGAGGTTTGTGGCTAAAGCACAGGGTGTGAGGGTGGTATCAGCCCAAGAGGTGGACAGAGGCCCGATCAGGAAGGGTCCTGTAGGCCACACTAAGATGTCTGGAACTTTATCTGGAGGTAAAAGAGTGATATGACCAGATCTGTATTTCAGAATGTTCAATTTGTTTGCTTTACGAGGAAGAGAGTGGACAGGACAAATCAGAGGGCCATGGTGTCAATTGTAAGCCATATTTAAAAAATCACTTCTGGAAGGATTGCCTTCACTGTAGTCTCAGTTAATCATTCTGACCAATCACTTGACCTGTTATTAAGAAGAAAAATTATGAAATGCTCCAATTCAAAAATTTCTCTTTTTCTTTCAAACTGTCAGTCTAGCATCACAAAACGAAAACAACTATAGACAGGAAAGACTCTCAATTTCTGAAATCATTGGAAATAAGTCCATAGAAAAGCTATGAGTCATCAAGCTATTGGCAAAGTGTGCCATGGTGAATACTTCAACCCCCAGGTTATCAGACTCGCTGACAGGGAACACATTGCCAAGGTAACTGGCCTGAGAGTCTCCTTGGAGACTGAACGCAGCAGCTTTTCCGTGGGTTGCGGCAGTCTGGAAAACAGATGATCGTGCCCATGCATGAGTCACACCATTAAAGGAGCTGTTTAAAACGTAAGCACCTTCCACTAGATACACACACGCACGTACGCAGCATGTATGCGTGTAAAAGCTGTCCTTGTACAAACAAGTAAGTAGAATGCACAAGGCAAAAAGTAACCTAGAAACCAGCCAACTCTTTCAAAACACATGAGGGAAAAATCTGTCTACTTAGGAGGGCTGTAAGTCACTTTTCTTGGTCTTTTCTGTGAGCATTTCATGGTTGGCAGGCTTAGTATCTGCTGGTCTCATTCTCTGCTCATCACTGAACTTCTTCCCAGGTGCACGATCTGTGGAGAACAACGCTCAGGCGTGGACCCGCAGGCCGTGAAGGCAAAGCAGCCACCCCTCCTGGCAAGGCTACTGGGAGGGCAGCCTAGCACGTTTTGTATCTCTGGAGCTCTTAGAGTTTTGTTTTGAACCATTTTGACTTTGCTTTCCTTAGAAATAGATTTGAATTTAGTTAAAGAAAGGAGAGAAGAAATTAAGTGTGTAAGGAGTGAAATGGAATTAAGACAGACAGTGGGAATGCTTTGGCAGGCCCCATCTATTCCAAGCCTGCGTTGGTATAGGTTTCGCTCTAACATTCTCTGTTCTAGGAGGAGAGAGAAGCAGGGAAAGAGTGGTGGGAAACAGGCAGAGAATAAGTAAGTATCTTTCTAAGTCCAATTATCCTTCCAGAAATTCTTGGATTTAAAAAGCATCATGTAACTCAACTTGCCTAACATAGGATTCTATTAATACCACATCTCCAAGGCATGCGAGGGAGTGTTCTGCGTACCTGAATACATTTTCTGAATCCTCCCAAGAGTCCAAGCATATCATGAACACACACCCCTACAGAGCTAAAGCCCTAAGAGGCACTGATTTTGGAAATGGCTGTTGAGGTTAGTAAATACTGATTCTGGTGTGATTTCAGAGGAATCGCCTATTCAGAGAGTAGAAGAGGCATCCAGTTTAGCTAATAGAAATAAAGGAATTAAGTTAGTAAAATCAGAAGCAATGGTACACAAGTAAAAACTTAGCAAGGAGAATGAACAGAAGCACCAGACTGAGAGCAGCTGGTGCACGGGACTATCTTACCAGGTGGACATAAAGGTCTTCCCTTACAGCTATGCTAAGCATCCTGTGCCCCCAGCATCTTTAGCAAAAGGCCCCCATTTTAGGGTAATGGAGTCGTGATGGCAAATACCAAAATCATACAAAGCAATCAATTTCTAGAGGCAGAACTATGACCAGGGGAATTGTACTGGAAAATCAAACAAGACTGAGAATCCTATAAAATCATTAAGCTCTAAAATAACATGCCTAAAGCCATCTTTGATCCAATGTACAATGAGAAATCCTAGAAACATATGCACATGAATTCTTTTCTCCATTTAAAACCTATTCTCAAACTCCTGACCTCAAGTGATCCACCCACCTGGGCCTCCCAAAGTGCTGGGATTACAGAAGTTAGCCACCAAGAGACCAGCCTAGCCAACATGGTGAAACCTCGCCTCTACCAAAAATATAAAAAATTAGCTGGGTGTGGTGGCGCATGCCTGTAGTCCCAGCTACTCAGGAGGCTGAAGCAGGAGAATTGTTTGAACCCAGGAGGTGGAAGTTGCAGTGAGCCCAGATCACGCCTCTGCACTCCAGCCTGGGCGACAGAGTGAGACTGTCTCAAAAAATAAAAATAATAATAACAAAACAAAAACAAAATACCTATTCTTAAGTCATGTGGTTAAGAAATGCTTTGTTTTTCAGTGACTGATTGAAATCTACAACCTTTAGTTTCTAATATGTATGTGTGTGCATTTGCAGTGTTTGTTTGTACAATGCATTTTCCTAACAATCTACAGTCAAATTTCTGATGTACACAGCCCAGTGTTCTTAACTGTGTGATGACTAGAATTAGCAGCAACTATTCTAAAAGCAAACAAACCAGTTTAAAGCAAATGTATGTCAAATATTTACTACATGAGAGGGATTCCTGGAGCTGATGGGGGTTCCTGGGTGGCTGGAACCATCCAGGTTTAAAGAACCATGAACTTGAACCCCAGAATGCCAGGCATTCACTGGACCTACTCTAAGACTCTTTTCTGACTAAGGAACAATGGTATGTTTTAAGCCTATCCGTGTTGGGCCTACAGACTCATTCTGCCTTATCTTGCTGGCTAGGGGACTTATTTATTTTATTTATTTATTTATTTCGGAGTTTTGCTCTTGTTGCCTAGGCTGGAGTGCAATGGCGCAGTCTCAGCTCATGCAACCTCTGCCTCCCTGGTTCAAGCGATTCTCCTGCCTCAGCCCCCCTAGTAGCTGGGATTACAGGCACCTGCAACCACGCCTGGTTAATTTTTTGTATTTTTAGTAGAGATGGGGTTTCACCATGTTGGCCAGGCTGGTCTCGAACTCCTGACCTCTAGCTAGGTTTTAATTACTAACTGGCATAACTACCATGAGCCTCTCCCACGTTTCTAGCACTTAAAAACTCCAGATTTTTCCCTTAGAAAACTACTCAGAAAAAAAGTTTAGCTAATTAGTTTTCCCTTGCTTGTGAAGTAACAAATGCAGTCTTTATATTTTTTGTAGTTCTGGTGGTCTTCGTTCTATTCCCTGCCAATGCTAGGACCTGGGGGTGGAGCAGGGGTAAGGGAGAAGCACCCCCGACAGCTGGAAGTACCTGGCTGCCACCGGCGAGGCTGTGGTGTCCCCTGGTGAACACAAACAAGTTCACAGGGTTAAGATCAGATGAGGACTCACCATGACTGCGCTGGAACAGGATGAAAGCCAATCAGCGGCCATGCCTGAACAGAGGTCTTCTTTTTTAAAAGGGCTCTATATGACCACAAAAATGAACAAATGTCCCTCTCCCCTATGACTGACTCCCACTTCTTCTTCTATGACAACTCTAGCTCCCATCTGTTCATCCTGTCTGCTAGAAAAACTTAAGATGCCCAGTGCTAGAATTGCGCCTACTTTCTGACAGCACCCAATCTTTGAACAGAACGCTCAATTTTTAACCCATTCTAAGTCACCTAACTCATGTTAAAATCCTATAACAACCCTTCCTAACACCCTTTTACTGTCCTGTGGTTTCCCGTGGTGGACAGGCTCCCTCATATAAGAAGTTACTAAAATGAATCCTGTTAACTTCAGGTGTTCCTGGAGCTCTTTGGCTGATGGGCATTCCCAGTCTTTTAAGTGAATTTTCTCACTCAATCTTACAAAAACATGAATGCGTTTTATATGACTGATATTATATTCTATACAATATTATAGTAATTATCATAAGAAATAGTCTATTAATTATTTTATAGGATACACAGACTTAGGGTGGTTCAGATCTTTGTCCAAAGTCACATGCCAGTAAGGGGCAAAGCGTGGGTTTTAACCCAGGTAATCCAACAAAGATAATGTAGTTGAGCCAATAGTGATTAAACACCACTCTTGATTGGGTCTCAGGAGAAAATATGCCAATAGAAACATATTCCAACTCTGCTATACCAGCTGTCTGTGTTATGATGGAGGGGAACTGGACGGGGATGAGGACTTAGCACTAGAACAGATCAGACCTCTGGTCATTGATGGGTAGAGTGAACACATGACCTATCCAAACCAGAACACCTTTGAGAGTGAAGGAGGGTAATTATAATTATTACACAACAGGTAAAATCTGGGACTGTCCCAAGCAAAGCAGGTGGCATAGGGGCCTTACAGATGGGGTCGCTGCAGTTGGTGCTAGAGCCCTCAGTTAGGATGGTAATCTGAGTGCCAGCTCCACTGTTCCAACACGCCATGGTCAGGAAAGATGGGCACCTAAGCAGGGTACAGCAGGAACTATTTACATCCATCTGCTGTAGGACTCAGCCCTCCTGAGCAAGGGGAAGCCCAGACCTGCTGTCTGCCTAGCCTGCCAGGGTCCAGGGATGGGAGAAATTTGAGGGTGGGGGTAGGGAAAAAGTTAAGTGCTATTTCTTTTTGGTTTATGCTATCCATGTATTATATAGGCTTTTTCATTTTTAAAAATAAACTTTATTGTGCATATTTAAGGTTTACAACATGATGTTATAGGATTTATATATATAGTAAAATGGTTACTATAGTGAAACAAATTAACATATCCATCATCTCACACAGTTACTCATTTCCTCCCACTACCCATCCACATCCCAGTGGCAAGAGCAGCTGTAAGCTACTCATTTAGCAAAAATCCTGAATACAATACACTATTAATAACTATAATCCCCAAGTTGTACATTTGATCTTTAGACTTATTCAACTACACATTTGCTACTTTGAATCCTTTGCCTTATATCTCCCCGTTTCCTCTCCCCTACCCCAACCCTGGTACCACTATTTTATTTTCTATTTGTGCCTTGAAGTGCCTCAATAAAGAGAGCTTACTTTGGTCAAAATATAGAGGTGACTTACAGGAACAACAGAAGAATTGACGAAGAAACCATTTGGCAACAACTTTTAAGAGTAATTCCATGTTTAGCTTTAAAAAATCCTAAATTTCTGAGAAACCAAAAGCAAAACAAATAACAAAATGAGTTTCTGCAATGTTTCCAGCAAAGTGAGAGTCCTCATTCTTGCCTACAACTAGACTATTTCTCCCAACTCATTACTGCATTTAAAATTCAACAAGTGAGTTTTCTGCATTATCAGATGTCCTAGTTACCAATGAATGATAGTTTAATGTCTTTCATGATTCAAAGGACACTTCAGAATTGTAATGTGTTGTAGAATTTTGCAATTCATGGCATATGTAGCTGGTGGAGACTTTTCGCCCCATGTTGAAAGTCTGGTGTTTTATGATTTGGCTTTACTACAGGTGCATAGGTTGTCTTGTTAATGACTGCACGGAAAGATGGAGCAGCAGGCATCACCTAAGTGAACTCAGATATTGATTAAGCTGATACGCAAAACAAAACAAAAAAAAGTAAAAGAGTAACATGCTCTTTTTAAAGACAGTTGTGTGAGCTCATAGGCTCTGGAATGTTAGAAGAAATAGAGCACAGTCCAACGCTGTCATTTGGTAGAGGAAGAAAGGGCAGCATGGTTTGATGAGAAGAGTCAGGCACCGGGACACAGCTGAGATCTGGCTGAGACAGGACTGGCTCTCATACCAACCAGCACTCAGCCCAGGATTCTTCCCACTCAGCTTCATGCTCCATGAAGCAATTGTTCTCTGTAAGGTATCATCTTCCCATTGTCACATCAGAAAGTTATATACTCTAGTAATGGTATTTGGTTATTTGAACTGCACCAACTTTCAGAATATATTCCTTAGTAAATAACAGCGTTTAGGGTGTGGAGGGGGGAAACTATTGTCCCTATAATCTTACAATCCATAATTTGAAGTGATGCTGCAGACAAAGGTTATTTCAGAAGTAGACCACTGGTAAAGAAAAGCGGCAGTGGTTAGGGCACTTACTTTATGGCGGCTTGCAGCTTCTCACACAGGACGGTGAGTACAGAGACAACATCATCACAGAGGGACTCTACTGTTGACCCTTCAAAACAGAGGAGGTTACAGGCATGAGACATCGACAGGGGGCACGACGAGCTCCCTGAACCATCCTTCCCATCCTCCACTTTAGATGGTTTTTGAGACTGAAAAGATGATTTTCAGATGTGGAGAAGCCCTTAGGCCACCAAAGTGATGATCACAGAAATGATAAGAATTAAGTGTGATTATTCTTTTGTTTGTTTGTTTATTTTTTGGAGACAGAGCCTCACTCCGTCACCCAGGCTGGAGTGCAGTGGCGCAATCTTGGCTCACTGCAACCTCCGCCTCCCAAATTCAAGTGATTCTCCTGCCTCAGCCTCCTAAGTAGCTGGGATTACAGGCGCCTGCCACCACACCCAGCTAATTTTTTGTATTTTTAGTCGAGACAGGTTTCACTATGTTGGCCAGGCTAGTCTTGAACTCCTGACCTCAGGTGATCCACCCACCTCGGCCTCCCAAAGTGTTGGGATTACAGACATGAACCACCGCGCCTGGCTTATAATTATTCTTTCTAAAGCAAAACACGCAAAAGATAGTCCAGAAAGAAAATAGATTGTTTCTTATTAATAAAAATCACTCACACTTAACAAAGAGAAATTTAGTAATTTCAAAAACATCTTGATGGACAAGAATTTTCTTAATATTTAGGCCAGTGGTCTATGTGTGTATTCCTTATTCTGACCCTTGAATTTCTGGGTCTTCTGAGCTGTTTAGAATGGTATCACAGAGAGATAAAATAAGGTAGCATGGGAAAAGATGGGCTTTGGAACTAAGAAATCAGAGAAAAATGGGGTGAAATAATTTAGCCAAATCTTTACCTACTTTATTTGTTGAGTATCTGCAGGGCACATGGTCTTTGTTGATACTGAAGCAACAGTCAATGTCAGAAAAATAAAATTTCCCTCTAAATGTGTTCTAGTTTCCAGCAACTAGAACCAAAACTCCCACAGAAGCAGAGTGGGAAAAAGGCTGAAATCTGGAATCTGTTCAACTACATATCGAAAACTGCTGATTGTGTGAGCTTGGGCAAACTTCAGTTTTTCTTCTGGCAAAAATGGGATAAATAATACCAATTTCACAGAATTGTCAGGCTACATGAAATAGTAAGTGGAAGCATTTGTTTTCTAAAATAAAAAACCTGTAAACGTCTTTACAAATGTGGCTCTAAGTATCTGATGAATGTATAAATGAATGATGACGGTACGTCAAGGAAGATGGAGAGAAAATGGCAAATGTGTAAGAGAGAAAGTAAGGTTGGAGGAAGGCAGGGAAAGAGAAATAAATGCCTGGTCCTCAGAATTAAGATCTTAAGTGCAGCAATAAAAAAGAAGAAATAAGCTACAATGATAAAACATAGTTTAATAAAACCCACACAAGTAGTCCTTAAGCTCAATTTTAGACAAACGCCAAATGAGTCCTCTGTCAATTTTTTACTACTATATTTTTTAGAGATGTATCCTTGACCAAGAAGTCGCAGACCCCCTTTTTTTAGTTTATAAAATCATCCTACATTAAAGTGAAGCCTTTATGAGAACACCATAGCCAAAAAGAGGAAAGGAAGATGGAACATCTTAGCGCACGTCACTGAGAGCATCCAACTGAAAAGGGCACCTTCCAGTCCGCGGCCCAAGAATGTGGCATCATGGGACTGAAACAATACTCTAGTGAAACAACTCTAGTGATGCTTTAGAATGTGACTTAAGGCGTGTCTCTTCCTCATTTCTTTCAAATACTCTTCCTCTCCTAATTGTGGCTATTAAGCTGTTTCTCTCCTTTTCATTCTCTCCCTTTTTTTTTCCCTCCTCCTCACCTCCATCTCCTTCTCACTATTATTAACTGGCACATATAATAGAAAAGCAGATTTTTGCAGTATTTAAAAAATTACTGAACAAAGTCTAAATTTCAATTTTTTAATCAGATATTTTTGCATACTTTCAGAAAACAATATTATCAAACCTGTTTTTAAAAATTAAATTGCTGGTTAATTATATATGTGGACTTCTATATTTTTTCTTTTCCTGTGGGTCAGAATGAAAGTTCCTTAACTTGATTTCAGCTGATCTTTAAATTGGGCTGTCTGCAAGAGGCCCTGTGAGATGACTCATCATTCATGTCAAAAAATTGGTATTTGACAAACACAATTCTGGTGCAATAACACTGTATGCCAATCAGGTTTCTATAATCTTCTATCTAGTTATTCTCATTTTAGCAATTAAACCTGACTTCATGGAGAATGAAGTAACTAACAAAGCCCGCCTCCAAATGAGAGGTATGTGAAGCGTTAATTTCCCTCAGGTAGTTAGATCAGGAACAGGTGTGGTTGGCATAAGTGAACGTAGGAACAGAAGGAAGACAACAGCTGATTAAATAATGCCACCTAAGGCAAAGCCAAGCACAACCTCCAAGAGAATGGTAAAACAACCGAGAGCTCCTAGACATCTTTGTACCCCTCACTCCAAGCACACAGTAGGCATTCTCACACCTGCTTTAAAAACTGAACTAGTACAAATCAAATGCCATACCTTGATTCCCGAAATCCTGTGGGACATCTGGGTTTTCAATTATCTAGTAAGGGAGATACACACACACAATTAGGAGATTCAGGCAAGAAAAATCTTGACTCTTTGACAATGGGAAAATTCTAGGAAACAAAATGGCTTCCGGGGTGCCCTGGGCTCGGCTACCTTGCCTGAGCCCACCCCTACCCACCAGCTCTTGAGAGCGTTTCATTATTCACGGTGTTTATGAGACAGATTATGATCTCTGGAATTGAGCTTATCAGTTCCCAAAATAATTCAGTCACGTTTGTGTGGACACTCTGGCGTGGATACTTCCTGGAAGTTTAAACCCTGTGGTGCACTTAAACTCGCAGGATTCCAAGATGCTGGGCTGTGACCTGGGGCAATGCCTACCTGAAGAGGTGAGTTAATTTCGCACAGAGAACAACCTATTCCAAGGCTACAGCTGATACTGTGCGTGGCCCCTAATAAACACAGACTCTTGGCCATAAGAAGGATTAGGTTCCTGGACTTCAAAATACAGGTCCAAAGATAACCACTGGTCAGAATCTCCATCTTTGTATTTGATGGGGAGCATTTTAACTGTACCTAGCCAGCTGCTCTTGGCTAGGTACATCCAGAACTATGAGGGCAGAGACAGAACTGTGAGGGAAGGGAAAATAGGAAGGAAAAGACATTTACAAATAATCAGACTTACTTCCCATTGCAGGGATAACTCAGTGACTACTGAGAAGAGACTAGGAAGGTGGCACTTTATTCTCCTTACCTCTTTGCACCAAGAGATAATCCGGAAGTATTTTCATGCCAACTAATTACCGGACACGTAACTCATCCCATGGTGCTGATTTAATTTTTAAACTTGCTACAGGCACGCATTTCTACCATTCTCTGCTCATTAATTTGCAAGCTCAGCTGCTTCCACAACAACTTTTGCGAAATGTTATGTCAGTATCTACAGCTCAGAATGGCTAAAGTCAAGTTGAGAACAACATTCCGGAGGAAGCACATTTAAGTCATATTTAAGGGTAGGAGAATCCTTCAACCTTTCAGCCCCAAATATTTAAATGTAGCAACTTTACTTTTTGAAATTAGTAACTTACAACTTAACAATAGCTTAGGTTACCTAAAATAATTCAATAATAAAGCTGGATAATATGTAGGATTTGTGACGATACAAAATCAAAATTATCGTCTGTCCTGGCATGCAGCTGGGGATAAACATTTATTAGGTTGAAGATACACATCCTGCTAGTGATTTTGGCATTCTACATTATTTATTTTCTTTCCACTGCATTTAACCTTCCTAATTTTGAGGTGGCCCATGATGTCTTTCCAGTTGATAACTGAAATGAGTGACTGAGGCAAGTATCTCAATCAATTGAGTTTTATTAAGCCAGCTTTAGGGCACGCCCGGGAAAAGTGTGAGCTGCTGACACACCTGTGGCTGTCTGCACCTGTGGCTGTTTTTCTGAAGAGGCTTTCAGGAGGTTTTACATTTCAGGAGGTTTCTACATTTCCTTAAAGGAAGGGGGAAGGCATGTAGGAAGAAGGGCAGGTAGGCAGTAACACGAATGGTTACATGCTTGTGAGATTTTACTTAGTGCCCAGTAAATCTAAATTTTACATAAGGTGAATGTTTGAAGAAAAAAATGGGAGTAACGGAAGAATCAATTATGCAGATATCTCTGGGTAGACAGAGGAGTGATGGATCTTGCCTTTATTCTGCACCTGGGAAGATGGGCTTGTAATCAACTTTATCAGTGTGGAATCAAACAGATTTTAGTTTTAGGCGCTAGACCTAGATTGCGGATCTAAAGTTACAATAGGCATGTCCTTGTTTACGGGAGGCCAGCAAAGATTTGACTTGAGTGATCTGTGGGGGCAGTCATTTGGATATACTTGAGGCCTTTTACCCTTCTGAGGTGGTCTGGCTAATGCATAACGCTAGTAGCAGCATCTCATTCGGAAGAGGGTGTTACATGACTCAGCCTCCAGGCTTAACCTTCCCTTTGGCATAAAAAATTTGGGGGTCCTGAGATTTTAAAAATTTTCTTTTGCACAGTGATAGGCCGTGCTAGAAAATATACGCATCTTCCCCAGGTAATGCTCAGTGTTTCCCAGGGGAATACGTGGCCTCTTTAGAGCAAACCCCTCCATTCCTATAGATGATTCCACTTTAAGAGCTTTAAAAAAAATACGTAAATTCTTATGCGGCAAAACTTATGTCTCCCTCCATTGGACATCACAAATGCTTCAAATACCAGCAACCTGAGACCTATGTTTTCTGGGACATGGAATCACATCTCCAGGGACCGCATGAGTAATAGAAAGGAAATAACAGGAAACACCAATTTTCCACCTAATTTGAGATCTTGCCTCCGGTTGGGGTGAGTCCAGATGGTCCGTGATGAGCAGGACCAGAAGGCTGTTTAGCCACATAATACCCAGGATGGAGACAGACAGCCTCTACAGTATCACCTGCACCTCCACAGCCATACCTTTGCCATTCTTATGGAAGAGCAGTATGAGCTAAAAGGCTGGGATATTTGACTGGAAACCTAATACTCTCCTACTTAAAAATTTTAAAATAAGATTAAATGAACTCATATAATTGAAAGCACTTTGAAATTACAAAGTTTGATTTAAATGATGTAAAATATTAGGATATTATTAATATAGTGTTTGATCATATTGTCATTTAGCATGGATGAAATATGAGTGTATATTATAAGATTTCTCAACATCTTAGATTTATCTCAATTAAAATTTTTTTCTCTTATTTTCTATTTATGTATTTTAATTTCTTTTAAACTAAATATTCCCATACTAGCTATATCCAAAATCCTACTATAAATAAAATTGTTTTTAGCAAGCTGTAAGCTAAAGTAATAAAAATATCTCAAGTTAAAACAATTTTTAATAGAAACTGGGGCTTTGGATACAGCAAACAGAAAAGAAAAAAAATCAATATTTGTTTTTTCAGATTAGTGTTGTTTTCAACACTGGCTGCCAGAGCACATATTAACTGAGAACTTGCACTGGCAGTCAGCTAGAGACCAGGGGTTTACTTCTGGCTCCTTCATTGATAAGCTCATTCATTTTAGATTTCGATTTCATCTTTCTGAGTTTCACCTTCTCATCTATAAATGAGGAAAAAAGAATTTGACTAGATCATCTCTAAGGCTCTCCTCAATTCCATGATTTTCTAAAAATTAGAAAATAATTGAAATTAAAAATAATTACAAATAGTTGAGGTTAAATAAGAAATCCTAATTTTTATAAAATTAATTTCAGAGATATCTGGGACTGTAACTGAGATTTTCTTTCTTTTTTTTTTTTTTTTTTCCTGAGACAGAGTTTCACTCAGTCACCCAGGCTAGAGTGCAGTGGGCATGATCTCAGCTCACTGCAACCTCCACCTCCTGAGTTCAAGCGATTCTCCTGCCTCAGCCTCCCAAGTAGCTGGGATTACAGGTGTGCACCACCACACCCGGCTAATTTTTTGGATTTTTAATAGAGACGGGGTTTCGCTATGTTGGCCAGGCTGGTCTCAAACTCCTAACCTCAGGTGATCCACCTGCCTCGGCCTCCCAAAGTGCTGAGATTACAGGTGTGAGCCACCACGTCCAGCTGTAACTGAGATTTTCCATTTGAACAAATAACTAATGTCATTTCAGAACACTCCTTGCAGATTTCAAAAGGATTTTAATCTAAATTATGACAGAGGCAGATTTTAAAACAACACAAAACACCAATTTTGAAGAGGAATCACTCTCTCATTAACATTCCCAGAAGATAATATATACAAGGAGCCAATTACGTTTACATTTTCCCCTGGAATGCTCACTTTAGACAATCTGTTCAAGTTTAGAGCAAAAAGCTCTAGTGGGCTTTGATGATAGAGAGAAGACAAGTTTAGTTTCACCCTGAAGGCCCCAGCAGGTGAAGGAGGCCTCCTGCCACCATCTTTTAGTTAACAAAGGGAAACATACCCAACCTCAAAGCATGTAATAAATTCTATTCATTTTTCTTAATTTCAAATTTACTTCCAATATTTGTTAGTGTATCGCAATGTTTCTAATAAAAATTTTCAGTATGAGAAGTTTTAAAACAATGATTAAAAAATAAGTTTTAAAATAACTCAAAAAATCACGGAAACTGCAAGGAAAAGCAATTCTCAAAGCTTTAGGGTGAAATAGGCAAACATCTAAAGAGCTTAATGTGTACAAATAAATGTTCTGTTAAAACAAGCAAGCTCTTCCTACTGTTTTCAGGAGGCAGGCAGCCCTGGCAGTGGGGGCCCCGGGGCATGGGATACACAGACACCACCAGGAAGGTGATGAACATGGGGGTGTCACAGACTCACCGTATTCTCCTGCCTCTGTCGTAACTGTAAAGTCAAGTCACTCAGCATTTGACTGAGAGTTGCCCGCACAGCAGTGTTTATGCTACGCTGGTGACAGCTGCTTATGTACGTCTCAATGCACACCTGTTAAAGAAATAAGACAGCAACACACATGTCTGCAGGTATCAGCTTATTACCAACATTCTTTGGGATTGACCAGAGAGGATATCAAATCCCTCTTAAACAGAAAGTCAGCCTGATTTAGGACTGGTTATTACTAAATATAACTAAATATATTTTAAATCCCTGGAAATTTGTTTTTAAGCATATAGGAAAAGTAATATTTCCCTAAGGAACCATTCTTACAACCTGTTCCTCTGAGCATCATAGGGGAACGCAAATTAGCGATTTTTAGATGTGCCAAATAATTCTATCTAGAATCAACTCAGGTGGCTGGAAATTAATCAGAAAAAGCTCCCTTCGTAGTGAAATAGAACAGAATTTATTAACTCCCAGGTTGTGCAGTGTGGGAAAAGGGTTAGCAAAACGCTTTCTCCTGCTCTATGAATGAGTTTGACCTTGGGTCAACCCTCTAGCTGTGTTCTTCTGGAAATTTCATAAAGGCAGGACATCAGCTGTGTTACTAGGTAGCATGGCTTATGGCAAAAATGTTTCCAAATTCCTACACTACATCTGAATTGGGAGAACTGTGAATCAACTATAAATACCTGGTGGGTAGCCACAGGTTTGGGCTTCCCTAGGTTTACTGACTCTTCGAATTGACACGTCCTCTGCAGGAACTCTGCAAACTCTGCTAATAGAGTTGTTTCAGAAATATTGGTCCTATTTGGGACATGGGGCTTCTAGACCAAGGTGACTGCACTCACCGAGATGGCTCTCATCTCCTTGCACCTACGCTGTCATTTGAGAGCCAGAGGTTCTTCTCTAGGCTGCTGTGAGGAACCCCAGGAATAACAATGCCTAACACTGTCCTGCTTCTGTTTCCTGTCCTGTGTCCTGCAAAGTGAATATAACACCAAGGGTGGCCTATTTGGGTCTTACCAGTCTCCATGTCTAGTTGAGCCTAAAAAGACCTGGTGGTGGCTACTACATGGAGAAATCTCAATTAGAAAAAAAAATCCCTCATTTGATAATATGCTGCTAAAAGTCATGACTTTTCAGATTTTACTGCCTCTAATTCTTCTGGAAGCTACAGGATGGGCACGAAAATGCATGCTGTAAATTTGCCTACTTTTTTTCTCTCCATAAGGCATTCAATTTTACAAAGCATATTTAGAGACACGAAAACAAAAAGAGGAGTTTAATTTCCTAAATTATTTTTCTAGGAAGAGCTCCAAGATTATCTACAATGAAAATCCAGGATTCTCACCTACATGGCAAATTTAATTTGATGATTGACAACTGAGATGGGCAAGAGACTACATTTTAATCTTTGTTGCTGCTTCTGCTTAAGCTGGAGAATTTTCTGCCAGGCCTCATGTTATCTTTTTCTTTCTGCCATGCCTCACTATGTTTACCTAGCAGAATTAACTAGGTGAACATAATTTTTTTTAAGTTTAATTTATCTCCTATTGAATGTTAATATTTCAAAGGAGCATTTGAAACTGAAAACTGTATTTGAAAAAAAAAAAAGGCAGTCTTCTCAACCTCGACAAAACCCAACAACTCCCAAACCTACATTTGAAAGTTGGCTTAGATTAATTAATTTCATAGTTAAAAAGCAAAAGCAAGTTATAAAGTATTTATTTTTCATAAAAGTATTTAGGGCACGTGACTTTTAATTCATTTTCTCAAATAACCATGGATATAGTGGATTTGAAGATACAATAATTTATGCATGCTTAGAAAAGAAAAGGTGTTTTAGGCTAGATGTGGTGGCTCACACCTGTAATCCTAGCACTTTGGGAGGCTGAGGTGGCTGGATCGCTTGAGCCCAAGAGTTTGAGATCTGCCTGGGCGCAACGGGGCAAAACCCCATCTCTACAAAAAATACACAAATTAGCCGGGCATGGTGGTGCACGCCTATAGTCCCAGCTCCAGGCATGGGAGGATCACCTCAGCCTGGGAAGGTAGAGGCTACAAGGAGCCGTGATATTGTGCCACTCCAGTCTGGGTGACAGAGACCCTACCTACCCCCTGAAAGGTGTTTTAACCCTGAAATGCTTCTACTTTTGCATGCGATGAAATGGTTTTAAAACTTTGAAGATACATCTAAATGAGTGCAGTGATTCACTTTGATGAAGCCAAACTCTCCATTGTGTATCATTTGTACTTCATAATTTAACAGTTTTCTTTAAATCTTACATTTTCCCCAGAAATCTTTATAACTGTTGATCTTCAAGATCTATAAGCTCTGCCATTTTAAATTTATGGGGGAGTTTTAAGCCTTAAAAGCATTACAGATGAAAGAGGAGCTATTTTGAGAGCTGAACTACACACTTAATATAAACTCTCTTGAATACTGAGAAACATACCACTATGCAATCTCTGTTAAAAAATTACATCATTCACTTTAGACTCATGAAAGAAAGTGCATGCATGAGGAACTGGATTTTATATAACGCAGTGCTGTAAACAGACAAGAACTTTCCAAATATCTAATGTATTCTTTTTTTAGTTTTAATGCCAGCACTGTTTTTAGTGTTTAGTTGCTAATACTATACATATACTACTGGATATGACTTATTGCAGTAAGCATTTTATTCAGGGAAAAGGTAAGCATGCTTACTCAGCTAAAAAAAGTATTAATTTAAGAAGCCCATTTGGCTGAAGTTGGGAGTGTAAAGACTGAATATGACAAAAAGGTATCCCATTAAATATAAAAATTACCATGTATTTGATGACATGGTTATCTTTAGGTACCCAGAAAGAAATGCTTTCTCAGCTATCTTGACATCTTCTAAAGGAAAGTTTCTTACACTTCCTGTAATAATATATTGGTAAACTAGTAAGATTCATAGAACTAGAGCTTCCATTTTTAAACCTGTTCATTGTATTCAAGACCAACTATTTTTAATGTTTTTCTTCCTCTACCTCAGGGCAGTACTAAATGAGCACACTGAATCATAGCAGCTAAGAGAATACCATGTCCAAAAGCAGGCTGAATTTCTGGGACAGAGCTCATCAGTTTCTTCTTTTATTCTGCCCATTATTGGTTCTACCTGCCCATGCTCTTTGCTTTCATTATGCAGAATCAACACTGGGAAAGCCTAAGTCCTGCACCTCTGCCAGAGGCTCAAAGGGCCAAGTCAAATACCCTGTGAAAAGCCCTATAGGCACCTGATCACAGGGAACACACAAAGATGCAGGGCAGTGAGGAGATTATAAGGGACACTTTGTGATCATTTCACTGATTTGTAAGCATCCAGCTTTATAACATGCTAAACAGAACTGAGAGCAAACACAAACGGTTAATGATACAAAATAAACCCCAAAAGTAGAAGGAAAAAGAACAAGAAAACACAAGTCTGCAGGCCATACATAAGAAATAAAAGCTTTACATCACTGAGTAAGTAGACTGATAGATAACAATACTAGGTTAAACCCAGGGAGAAATCACTAAAGTATTTATTATGAAGCAGCACAGTGGAACGTAGCTATATATATACATATATTTTTCAATATATGTTGGCCAAAGGGATCACAAATATTAAAGAAGATGCCACAATAAAAATGTGCTTAGTTTTATAAAATACATATGACCTTCACTTTGTTGAACTGTGCAATTACCTTCTCTTTCCCATCTGAATGGGGTTATTGGCACTGCTTTGTTAAAATCGTATATAATACTAGTAAGTTCCATAAAGAGGTGAGCTAGTATATTTTCAACTGGGAAACTTTTATAAGGATGAAAAATAATTTACAGTGATTAAAAATAGAAAGGATCAGAGATTAAGCTATAAAAAAGCAGAAGGAATGTCTTCTATGTAGGGAAGACTATAAATGCTTCTTGAACACATTAGAACCAGAGAAAATCTTGGCTCTCACTGTAAGTCTAAGTTTCATGATTAATCATGCTGACAACTCAGTTGCCAGGCTATTCCTTATTCTCTCCTTCCTAAGACAGGTCAACAGGTAGGTATGTGGCAAGAGGCATCTCATCAAATGGGTCCTGCTGATGCAAACACACACCACACACACACACACACACACACACGGGGTGAACTGAAGTTGTTTTATTATTTCTAGGAAACAGCTGTCTAAGTCTGATCACCACGTTAGGTAGGGAAGTTTGCTAGTTTTCCTTTTGGATGTCAACTCAAAAATAAATTCTAAAAGTGCCAGGCATACCCGGAGAAATCTGATTGTGACTTGCCTCTTCCTCCTCTATGGTCTTCTTGGCTTAAGTTGGCATATTAAAATGGCTTAAGACACCTTAACCCATCGATTCGTGCACCTTCCCAGGTGCCATCTACTTGGTCTACAGAAGGTTGGCTGAGAACCAGTCCAAACTGAAGCAGAGACACTGGTCTGTGTGTCTTCTAACTCCAAACAACTTCTTCACAAGCCATGCAAGTAAGAGGTTTAAGGGAGGTATGGAAATTCCTTGCCAAAGAAGCACGTGCTCAAAGCCCATCTAGCAGTAACTAGCTAAAGAACAGACTCCTCAGAGGAGTCAAACCAGAATCAATAGAGACTGGCACACAGGAAAGAAAGGGTTTCAGGAAGGAAAAGTGAAGCTCCTTGAACTGCAATTTCCTCACTCTAGTGGTCTCAACTGGTTTGAGGCCGTGGTCCTGCTTCCATGGCTAGTTTTCTTGCCAGGAGGTGGGGTTACTCCTCCCAGTCTTGCAGAGAATATAACATAACAAGGTGCTTCCGAGATAAATAGATCAAGGCATCTGTGTACTTTTCTGCAGGATTATATCTGAGACTATCTGTTCCTTAATTGTAGAACATTTTATTTCAGGTATGTCTCAGAAATAATGCTATCATATCAGAGTAAAAGAAGTATTGGCCGGGTACGGTGGCTCATACCTGTAATCCCAGCACTTTGGGAGGCCGAGGCGGGTGGATCACGAGGTCAGGAGTTAGAGACCAGCCTGGCCAATAAGGCGAAATCCCAACTCTACTAAAAATACAAAAAAACTAGCCAGGTGTGGTGGCATGCGCCTGTAATCCCAGCTACTCGGGAGGCTGAGGCAGGAGAATCGCTTGAACCCAGGAGGCGTAGGTTGCAGTGAGCTGAGATTGTGCCACTGCAGTCCAGCCTGGGCAACAGAGTGAGACTCCATCTCCCCCCACCCCCCAAAAAAGTATCACTGAACATTTCAAGAGCTATAAACCAGCCCAATCTAAAAAATACTTTAGTGACAACTAGAACTGTTAAATTAGAACTGTTGGTGGCAGGTGTTGAGCGTCAATGTTTTTTCAAGCTCCCCAGGGCAACAAGTGAAACTATTACAAACCTCCCATCCTCTGATGTGTTATATATAATGCTCAGAAAAGATACACTATCCATATGGAAATATACTGGAAAAAGTGACATATTCCCTATGGCCACTTGAATCTATGGTCACAAAAAAATGAAATGAATAAACACTTGAGCTTTATATATATAAAACACCATAGAACAATTATCTAACTAAATGCCTCGGTAAAGGTCCAAGGGTGGAAGACTCCTAAGCACTTCAGTTGGTTGCCAATATTATTATGGCAAGATTCTGCTAACATTCTCTAAGACTGAGGGGGAGCCAGGGAGCAATATAGCAGAGTGATTAACAGTACATGTTTGCAATATTAGAAGTTTGGATTTGAATATCTAGCTGTAGAAACTTGAGCAAGCAAACTTCACTTTGCTTGTATTCTTTATCTAGTTGTGGCAGAAATTAAAGGAGAATACATGTAAAATGCCACTTATTGCCATGCCTTAGGCACTCAGTGACTAGTAGCTATTATTATTAACCAGTATATTAGAATGGAGGGCTGGCTGGATGGAAGGAATAACAATAAAAAAGGTGTTTTTCATGCCCTGAAATTATGAACCTTAGAGGAAAAAACAATGGCCTTTGAGACAGATTTTGCTTGACCCTGATAGCAAGCTACAGAATCAAAGACTGGAAGTTTCCATAAGTCAATAAGATCAAACCAGCAAACACTCATTTATGAAACAGGCTTTCTGCTTTTGAGAAATCCCACAGAGAAGCCTTCCGCAGGTATAAAAAACCTTTCCAATGGAACAGGCTCACTGCAGCCTCCGCCTCCCAGGTTTAACCAATTCTGCCTCAGCCTCCCGAGTAGCTGGGATTACAGGCATGCACCACCACGCCTGGCTAATTTGTATTTTTAGTAGAGATGGGGTTTCCCCATGTTGGTTAGGCTGGTCTCGAACTCTCAACCTCAGGTGATCCGCCTGTCTCGGCCTCCCAAAGTGCTGGGATTACAGGCATGAGCCACCGTGCCCAGCCCCACCTTTTTCTTTTACTCCAAGACCTTGGCAATTTCTGCTCCCACAGCTTTTTCCTATATGAAGGTAACTTTCCTTGGAAAACTCAACATATCTGCTACCCTGGGGTTAATATTAACAGAAATCGGGCTCAGCTTTCAATCAATGAAGAGAAGGGCTATGCATCCACATGGAGTTTTAGTAATGATTTCATGAAATTGAACAGAAAGCACTTGGATATTTCATAATTGTCCATTTTTATATTTGGTAATATTTCTTATGCTTCCTGTCACAGAGGATGCTGTTCTAAGAACTTTTCATTATTGCAGTTTAATTAAGCAAGTTAAATTTAGATACACAAATGAAGGGTGCCCTCTTATTTACATTTTGAGAGCTTAATGATCCTTTTATAGTTTCAGAACCTTGGGGAAATAGCCTCATTTTTCATGCTTAAGTACACATCCCACTTCCTGATCAGCAGGTTTCAGGATAAACACTATTCATGAGTAATAGTCAATGTATACAAAAGTAAGCAGGAAGAGAACATCTAGATTCCTTCTTTACATTTCCACAGGAGTTTTAAATGGTTTATTTTAAGGTGCTTTTATAAATTGCTTCCCGATTTCAAACGTGGCAATGGCAAACATTTCACATTTACCATGTGGCTGGACTTGCACTAAAAGCTTTTTATATGGATTGTATTTTTCTTGTCTAATCAGCACAACCACACTATGAGCTCAGTATCACTTATCATTTCATCTACAGAGAGCAAACATGAGGCTGGGACAGGTATCCGAGGCAACACCACTAGGCAGTGTAGAGCCGGCTTCATATCTAAGCAGTATGACTCCAGAGCCCATTTTTCTCTCCCACCAAGCTCAAATGCCTTTATCATTATATTGTTCTTTGGCTATGATCTGTTGTTGTTGTTTTTCCTTTCCTCATTTTGGAAGAGGCCACAGTGTTTCAATGTTGCATCCTATCTGGACGGGCCTGCTGAGTCTTTTTATTTTGGCTTCCAGATACTCTCAGTGAACACCCTTCACTCGTGCCGAACTTGGTGGTGTGTGCCTATTATTCAGGAATTATATTTTCAATCATTCTGACTCTCATTCAAAACCTGGTTGTTGTTGATACTAACAGCCTCAATCCCTGGCAGCCCTCTCCTCCTGAAGACCCTCTGCTCCTTGTCTCCCCTTCCCCCCAGTTCCATCAGCAGGGGCAGTGGCTTGACACCTCCCCTCTCTTCCTTCACATGGCAAAGGGCTAACAAGCCTCTTACACACCAATCCTGCTTCTTGCTATTTTCAGAAACAACACTGTCTTTTGAAAAGTGAACCTGCAGATAATGAAAGAGCTCACAGGGCTCTCTTAAAATTCAATTAAAAACAAATGCAAATAAAACAAATACAGAGTATACATACAAATGTGTTAAAGGAAAGTGTTCTTTCCATCTGTATCAATCCATATTTTAAAAGTGACTTGTATTGTAATGAGAGGTCAGCTGATTGGCTGCTGCTTTCTCTTTTGACAGTCACATAAAAATTTTCTACACGCTCAAAAATAATTTTCTCTTAATTTTCACTGTTTAATACCACATGATACCATAAAAAGCACATGTATCTGCTAATATAAGTACTCTCCATGAGTGCTGATAATTAGCCTTTTTCTCCATCATTTCAGAACTCAGAAAATCATTCCTCTTTGTGGTTTGAATGTATACTCTTATCAGAACATACAAATCCTGTAGATATTCTTTTCAAGAAATGGAAGGGAAATTATTCCAAGCATATTAAAGTTCAGCTTTGAAATGATAGTGTTTCCAAAAGCCAAAGACATATGCCAGGCATTCAAGAAGCCAAGTTTTCTGTTGGACATATTCTTGGGCATGCTGGAAGGCACACATTACTCTGGGCTGCAATACAGATTGAAATGAGAAGGCTTTTCAATGATCATTTCAATAGGCATTCTTCAGGGTTTTGAAGATGGGGAGGGGATTTAATCTATAAACATCTCTCTAAATCTCCTACTTGGTTTCTTAAAAACTATTTTTTTAAATCAAATGCTTTTCAATGAATTGTGGGCAAATTAGACCGAGAAAGCAATACGCCTGGGTGGAGCAGGGTAAGGGGAACCAGTACTGTTATTTACATAGTGAAGGCCTCAAGTGAAGCAAACGTAAGCATGCAGGGCTCTGAGACACATGGCATTACAACTAAGGATGGCGCACCACACAGCACGCTTCCCACAGATCAATTCCTTAGCGGAAATTCCCCACGGTAGTAATCAGAGAAGGATTCACTCCAGTGCTGGGGCTTAGTTCCACCCCAATATTTATCCCAGTCAGAGATAAAGCAGCTGTGAACAGGAGGCACAGACACAAGCAGTACTCACCTCCGCGATCTTCAGCACGGCACTCCCATTCAGATCAAATGTTGGCGTGTAGGTGATGCATAGTAAAACCTTTAACAAGGTGAGAGATGAAAGAAGAGACAAGGGGTTAACAGTATGGAAATTCACTGTTGTTTCATATGCCATTTGTGCAGTCCTGTTTTTATGATTCCTTTGCTATTTGCTTTACCTAATATTTCTTTATATCCCACCCACTGCTTTCTCATTAGTGGCCACATGTTGCCTAACAAAGTAGAGACCATCCTGTAAAAAATAAAGGCTGCTAATCTCTCCCCATGGAAAGGGCTTGCAAGACTGGCCAGAAACAGCATCTCTCAACAGCTCCAGGAGGTGTGTCCAGTAACAGCAAAAACCTCAAAAGAGTTGTTTAGTAGCAGTCATTTTAAAAATGCCAGGCTTAATGCTAGGCACTTCACATGAATTATCTAGGTTGACCTTCTAAATAAGTGTCATTATTATTGCCCCCGTTTTACTGGTGAGAAAACTAGAACTCCATGATTAAATATGTTACCTAAGGTCATACAGGTGGCAAGTGTTGAACTCAAGTAATCCGACTCCATGTGCTCACTCACGAGGCAAAGCCATCTCCACCTCTTCTGAAACTCAAATGTCAGTGTCATTTTCTATTCCTATCCCTTTCCCAAATCCACACGGAATTAGAAATTCTTTTATTGCATTTTCCTCTTCCCTCTTGCAATTTCCTCCAGAATGTTACATGGTGTTTACTTACTCCCCTTATTTTCCAAGATACATAGACAATAGGTCAATGACATTTGCAAGATCTTTAAGGACCACTAAAAACTTCACTTTCTACTTGTAGAGCCTTTAGGGAACAGATCAATAAAAGCCTGTGGCATTTTAAGAACTGCTTCTCAATTTGTAGGTAAGAGGCTACTCTCTCCCTCTTCACTTAGCTCTGACTTTTCTTGCTGCAGAAAACAGACACAAAGGTGCTGGTGTCTGCTCCTTGATCTCAAACCCCACAGCCATGCCCTGCCTGCAGCTTAGCCTGCCAGGGGCAGTCTTCTGAGCATTTTTCTCATCTGTTCAATTCATGAAGGAGCATGGAAGCCTA
The DNA here is from genome assembly GCF_000001405.40 of Homo sapiens. NCBI lineage: Eukaryota > Metazoa > Chordata > Mammalia > Primates > Hominidae > Homo > Homo sapiens. The sequence goes on along the minus strand of NC_000006.12, from coordinate 138,228,759 downwards.
GCAAATTTACTTAATACAGGAAACTGCAATTGTCAGATGTGACAAGAAATCTCTCCCCATCTCTCAGTCTTAGCTGTCAGCTAGGCCGGCCCTAGGAACAGTCGCTCCTTCAGAGAAAGCAAGTATGTATGCAATTAAAGGGGGGTAAAAAAGATTTTTTTTTGCCATATTTAGTCACAAGGGTGGGTATTAATTGCAGGTGTGCTCCTCAGTCTTTTGATTCTTAAAGGGACTTAATCCAAGAATCAACACCAAATAAAAATCAGCTCAGTTGGCTGGGCACAGTGGCTCACACCTGTAATCCCAGCACTTTGCAAAGCTGAGGTGGGCGGATCACTTGAGATTAGGAGTTCGAGACCAGCCTGGGCAACATGGCAAAACCCCATCTCTACTAAAAATACAAAAAAAAAAAAAAATTATCCAGGTGTGGTGGTGGTTGCCTGTAATCCCAGCTATCCGGGAGGCTGAGGCAGGAGAATCACTTGAACCCGGGAGGCGGAGGTTGCAGTGAACCGAGATCACACTGTTTCACTCCAGCCTGGGTGACAGAGTGAGACTCCATCTCAAAAAAAAAAAAAAAAAAAAAATTGTCTCAGTGCCATGGCGATTGAGAAAAAGGGATTGGGTAGCAACTGCCTCTTGGCCTCATGGGAAATAGCTTTCTTTTGTTTCATGACAATCTTTGGGAACTGGGATTTGGTAGGTAGGGAGGGATGAAAGCTGAGGACAGTGGGGTCACCAGGACCTACCCTGGGCTTGGAGGGAGGCTATGTCTTCCAGGCCCCTGTAAGTACACAGTGGTGGTCCCATGGCTGAAAAGCCCTGTCCTTGGCTCCTCCTCTATTTGTTTTGCCACGTGGCTTGATTGGCTTCTTTCCAGTCTTAGATGTCGCCCCCTCAGACAGACATTCCCAGATCCCCCTCTCTAAAGTACTCAGTATCACATCTCCTTGTTTCATTTACTTCAGAGCAGACATCAGTCTCATAAATGACTTGTTTGCTTATTTGCAATCTTCTCATTAGACTATACCATCCGTGGAGCCTGTGAAAGGCCCTCAGGACATTGTCACATGATGCTTTCTTACTCTGAGGTTTTTTATTTTTAGTGCCATGTTTCATGGCGGGGGGCGGGGAGTCTGAGTTGGTGGTGGCCAGCAGAGGCCACTTGGTCCCTCTGGGCTCTTGATTTTTTAAGTATTGACAATAAAGACTGGCACCACTTTACGATATGAAAATAATGATGGCAAATATTTGTCCTCACTGGTTAATTATTAACATTGCTTATAGGACTGACGATCAACTTTCTGCCTTCCGTGGCTCTGTGAGTTCATATAAGGTACACAAAGGTAGGTTTAGGAAGAAGTGTTTGAAACTTGACCCAGTTTTCTGTGAGCAAGAGCTGCTTTTCGGAGCAGCGGTTGGAAGCAGGAGCAGTTCCCATGGTGAGGTCTTCGTAAGGGTGTTGAGTTAGCAGTATTGGTAATCAAGATTCTCAGGGGAATGCAGGAAGCTTGACTCCCTGTGTTTCAGGGAAGCCCAGCATATGTAGAGGGAGACCTCCCTGCAACAACAGTCCACAGAAGCTGAGGATACCTGCACCCAGGCCCCCAGCCAATGCTGACCATGTTCACAAGATGTTGGAAGGAAGGCTTTCCACACCTAATGTCTGGCCACCAATAGTCAAAGACTCACTGAGCTATATGGAAAAAAAAAAAACAAAATCAACCCTGAAAACAGCAGGAAATAATGAAAGGAAAGTAAAGCACATTAACGGAGCCAGTTCCTTAAGCTCATGCAGTTTGTTGCATGAAAAGCACAGCAGATTTTAATTACAGGGCTGATGGTGTCCATGCCCTCCTGGGACTCACAAGATGTATTAAGGGCAGAGCATCTAGCCAGGATGATGCAGCAGATAAAAATGACTTATTGAAATTGTTGATGCTCCCAATGCTTAGCATGTATTAATTCGCCGGATTAAAACACAGACTAGGGGTAGAAAATTTAGGGCAATAACAAATTGAAATCATCTGACTTCCATTGCATAATGAGAGGGCAACAAGTTTAGATTAACATTCTGAGCACGCTGGCCCCATGGAAAACAGAAGCAGCTAAATATTGAGGGCAATTTTATTAAAAATATATCCTTCACAGGGTCATTAAAGCATATTGACTAAATTACCATGGAACAGCAGGAACTTGAGTGATGGGCAGCGTCCTGCAATCTACACCAGCTTGCAGAAACTGCCTCCATAAATGAGCCACAAGGAAAATAGGGAAAACAGGGGCAAAGCTTTCCATGAAAAGGGAAAAATCATTACAATGGCTAATAAAAGTCCCAGATAATTGAATAGCTACTATATGCAAGAAGCAATCCCTCAATTTAAAATGTGTACAGAAACCCTGGGTTTAGGGAAAAAAAATTAGAATTAGACTTGAAAGGAGAAAGCAAAGCTGATTTATTGCAAGATTTTGGCACAAGTGACAACAATCCAGAAAATGTGGTCACGTTAATATGAGAGAGGGATGGATGTGGACAGATAATGATGATGAGCACAGAATCGCAGATGTGCTCTTTTAAGAACATCCTGAATTAATCCTCTCCCAAGGACATGTCCTGGTCATGATCGGGGGTTTCTCTGTCAGGCACACCCTGTCCAGCGACCATGATCAGGGCAGAGCAGAGGCTGTGATGTCAGGGCCACAAATGAGACATGATCATGCATGTGATTTGGTGTTTAATTGGTGTGTGACTTTGTCTATGTCCTCTAGCCCTTTACCTTTAAAATTCCCATCCCACCTCCCAAGGATAGTTACAGGAACAAATAAATTAAATGAATGTTTAAAGAAATAGTGCAGATGAGACAGACCTTTAAGCCTGTCTTCTCACAGAAGCTACACAAGTCTCATTTGATGTAGTTCATGGTAGCTATTCCAACATAGATGATTAGGCTTATTTCAAGTAAAAAAAAATATTAGAAATATCAGATAATCCACATTGAAAAGCATAGAACCTTTGGTTTTTCACTCCATGTCTTATCAATGCCACAAGTTCTCATTTTTCTGATCCAGCTCCACTTTCTTCCTTCTGTCCTCCCTTTTAGGCTACGATTCAATTCCAGTCATTATTCACTAAGGTTCTAATTGTGGGATTACAAACATAAAGGAAGCACAGTCTTTGACATCAAAAAAACTCGCACCGTCTATTGGAGAAATGAATGCCTGCAACTGTTCTTCAAGGCTGACTGTGATAAGTGCTTTTGCAATTGTGAGGTATATAATAATTTAGAAGGCTAGAAGACACAATAACTTTGGAGAAGACAGACTTTGCAGATAAGAGGACATGTGAACAAAGCGCCAACACTGGAGAGAAAAGGGAGGGAAAGATGCACCAACCTAAGGAAGTGTCATGAGCAAGGCATGGAAGTGTGAAAGCAGAGGCCAGGGATGATGCTGGAAAGATCAGTTGGAACTTTACTGGATGTCAATTTAAATGCCTTATGTTAAGTGTTTCACACATATTAGGGCTGGTCAGGCCAATAAATTATAACTAAAAGGAGATAAACTAGGGCAAATTGGAAGTCAGAGAGAGAAAACAGGCACTTAATAAGATCTAGATGATGTCGAAGACAGATCCTAGTTGTTCCCGTGGCAATGAATTGACTGTTGCGCATTTGGAAAAAAGATGCAGGGAGAGTGGAAGGCAATGGTCACCTGTGTTTGAAACCTGGGTACCATCCTACCACTGCCCTCCCACCAACCCCTACTGTCCTAGTCAACCTGGCTGAAATCTCTCATACCCCACCATTCCCACATATTTTACAAAGCTTTATATTATATATTAATGAAGTAACATGCTTTGGAGAACAGAAATATAATTTGCTCAAATTGCATAATATAAAATATTTAATGCTACAGAATGGGCAGACAACTCAAAACACTTATTCCTATAGCACTTATTTGGAACAGTTTAGATACACTACTTAAATCTGTATACTTACACACATACACGCACACACACACACCATTGGATTTCTCAGCTTCTTAGTAGTAAGATTTACCTTTTGTGATGCCTGCCATGTTTACAGCACCTTGCTGGGCCCTGGGAGGTGCTAGGAGCAGCTGGGCCTTGGCCCATGCTCAATACCTTCTATAAGATGTCCAGATGAATGGTCAGCCTCACAGTTTCAGTGGAACTGTGCATCTATGTGCCTACTCATTATTGTAAAATGTGTAGACAATGTAGTAAAACAGCCCTGGTGGTATGGAAGAAAACTGTTCTGGGCACCTGAATGTCAGATCCAGGTGGCCTGACTGGTGAAAGGCAGTTTTTGTAACCAAGTAAGGTAACACTGGAGTTTCAGGTGATCTAGTTAGGGAAATTATAATTTGGTAATCCTGAATGAGGGATTACCAAATTACACTAATCTGGCAGGACCTCGCTGTGGATGGGGAGAAAATCATCTCTAGTTTAACCAGAAAGCATCTCCCATGAGACATTTCTGATATTTCCCATTATGCTCTGCTGAGAACCTATCTATCTTCTGCACTCTCCATCATAAATGGTAACTTGTATAGGATTTATGAGTTGAAGAGCTCATTTCTATCAAGGTTCCAACAGAGCCCTCTGCAGGACCATTTCCAGGGGATTCAGGAGTAAAGAAGTGATTCCTAAAGTGATGAGAGAGCAGCTCCATGGCCACACTACACCTACCTGTGTGCTGGATTATTCAGGCTCCTATTCATTCACTCAACAAATATCTGCTGAGGTGTTGCTAGAGGCCACATCCAGCGTAGTTGTTGGACACACAGCAGTGAACAAATAAGATAATCTCTTATCTTGCAGAGCTAACATCTGGTATGAAGATGGTCATAAAATAAAAAATTACAATAAGCTGTAATGAACATTCTGAATGGGAAAATGCAGTGTCCTCTGGGAAGTCATGCCATGGTCCAACACATGATACACAAGGTGTAATGCTGTATTCATCCTTTCATGGAACTCTAAATTTCACGTTATAACACATATAATAAATTAAACCTAGGGGAAAAGAAAAGGGTACCATCAAAATGTGAGCTGATTTTGGGGAGTCAACCTACCCCTATGCCATATGGTGGGCATGAGGGCATATTGAATGAACAAGAAATTATTTTTCCTTTTTCTTAAACTGTTAAAAATTATCTTAATTAACACACAACTCCTTCTTGGGGGGAACTGTGGTTTCATTTTTCAAAATATCAGATGTTATTTATAAATCAAACCAAACAAAATAAGCTAGTTAGGGCTCCAAAAAGTACAGCCCACAGAAGGCCTTGCATTTTTCTCTCTTGGTGTATGGTGAAAACCTTAATGCCAGGCGCATTTCAAAGCCAGACTCTGGCTCTGGCTGAGAATTTAGCTTTGTTGCTTAACACACATTTCCTTCTGGCCTCTCATGTAGATTGGCTTTAAACTTCATAAAGTTAAAAATTATTGCATAATTCCTTCTCTTTAGAAACACTCCAGTTCTTTTTTTACTGTCAAATTCGGCAGCAAGAACAGAAAATTCAGTGACAAGCACAGGAATACTGAGACACCAAATGCCCTTCTATGGGGTGAAGGGTGTGCTGCCTTCCACATGCCCAGCCAAATGGAGTGTTCATTGCTGAAAGTGTACCTCGACCATGAAATGTCAACAGAGATTTTTTTCCCTCATGGTTCAGGCACAAACAACAAAGCAGACTTAGTCTTCTGAAGTTCGCAAAATGGCAGAATGTTTGTCTTTGGAGTGAGGGAGGGATGGAGTCACAGAGTAAACAAGGAATTTTCAGAGGACATTTTCTTACTTCAATTTAAATTATGGATGTCACAGAGTGGTATAATAGACACTGGAGACTCAGAATGGGGGAGGGAGGAGGATGAGGGATAAAAAACTATATATGAGGTACAAGGTACACTCCCCAAGCGACATGTTCACTAAATCTCATACTTTACCACTACACAATTTGTCCATGCAACCAAAAGCCACTTGTACCCCTAAAGCTATTGAAGTTTTTTAAAAAAATAAAATGTTGATGACAAAGACAAACCTTTTTTCTTACTTTGATCAAGGTTTTTCAATCTCAGCACTATTCGCATGTTAGACAAAATAATTCCTTTTGTCGGCAGGACTGTCCTGCTCATTGTAGGATATGTAGCAGCATCCTTGGCTTCTACCCAATAGATGGCAGTGGCAATACCCCCATTCCCCCAGCTCCTCCTTCCCACTGCCAGTTGTGACAAGTGAAGATGCCTCCAGGAATTGCTAAACGTCCCCTGAGGACAAAATTGCTCCCACCTGAGAACTACTGTTTCATTCATTTCTGTCCCACATGCCTTGTAGACATAACTCAGAACTTCTACCAACAAGCTTGTCCAACCCTGCGGCCCACGGGGCACATGTAGGCCAGGACAGCTTTGAATGTGGCCCAACACAAATTCGTAAACTTTCTTAAAACATTATAAGTTTGTTTTGCAATTTTTTTTTAAGCTCATCAGCTATCGGTAGTGTTAGTGTATTTTATGTGTGGCCTGAGACAATTCTTCTTCCGATGTGGCTCAGGGAAGCTAAAAGATTGGAAGCCCCTGCTCTACAACACTGTTCCAACTCCAAAAGGCTGACAGCTAGAATCTAGGACTTCCAGAGAAGAACTAGGATGAGCCACTGATCCTTCCCTTTGCTTCAGAGACTGTGGATTAGAGGTCACAACAAGTAGCTGGGCTACAACCTCAATCTTTATTTTTGACCCTAAGAAAATGCATTGTTATTTTATTTCATAAAACATCTACCACTATTAGCAGGTTATCAACCAAATCACTCTCTGGCTCAACTTGCCAAATTTCTGGCAAACAGCTATTCTGAGAGATTTTTTAGTCAACAGATTTTGCTAGAGCTCCTAAATACTCAAGGTGGAAAATCTTTCAAATTCCTCATTGGTTTATGGTCATGTCACGGGTTCTTTTCTGGCCTTTATTGATTGCCACTAGAAATAAGTTATTGATATTCATCAGATATGCCCTTAGCACTGAATTCTAGGAAATACTGTAACAGTGATAGTCACAGAAAAAATATATAAATATTAGTTATAATTAATTTAGCTAATTCACTTGAACAAATAATCTGTTCATTATTTATATTTTCTTCTCCCTTCTAAACCTTCTCCCCTGGCCAAGTCTTATAACTGTCATCTCTAACTAGAGGACTCACAAATCTATTTCTAGAGTCAACATTTTCCCCAGGTTGTAATCCTTAATTTCAGTTTCTAAACATCACAAATAAATATTGACATATTAGACCAAATAATTTCTTTTGTTCAATTCCATGAAAATCACATCAACCTCACTAAGGCTGTAATATGGTAAACAGCTAAACATTTCTTGTTCTAAAATTCTTAATTACCCCTGTAGATATCCCCATCAAGAAACAGAATCTATTTCCCCACCTTTTAAATATGAGGTGTGGAGTGACCATTAGCTTGAAATGACCAATGGGACATCAGCAAGCAAACAAACCAAACCCCCAAAACACTTGGGGCCTCTGAGTTCCTCAATTTTCCCTGCCACTGCCACCATGTAGATAACCTGCCATGCTAGAAAATGAAAGACCTTATAGAAAGAGGTACCAATCTTCCCACCTGGACCTGATGCAGCAATTGTAAGTCAGCCAGCCCCAGCCAAGCCACCAACTGACCGAAGATGTATGAGCAAGCACAGCTGGGATCAGCAAAAGAACAGGACAGCCGAGCCCAGCCTGAACTGCCTACTGCATTTTGGGGTGGTTTCCGATACATGAGGCATAGTCTCAACCATATTTATTTTAGAATATGAACTTGCTTTACTATTTCAAGTGAATTCTAGGAGATTCAGCTGTGTTTATATGGCAAGGCAATTTAGTTGGTCAAGATGAGATCTACTAATTCCAACCCTTATGGAGAACAAACTGGATTGGTCAGTTACGTGTTGATTACTGCTGGATGATAATATGTGATTAAGATGGGAAAAAGAAATTACTGTGGAAGGGCTGAGTCGATGTCCTTCTAGCAAGTATATTAGACATGAAGACCAGCAAGTGTATTAGAACTTGCACCCAAAGGTTGAGTGGAAAAGACTTATTTTTTTGTTCCATTGTACAAGTAGTTCATGTTTTAGAAATAGACTCTAGCCTAAAATTTCAGTAGAATGCAGGATGCATTTTCTCATAGAAGTAAAGATATAAATTACAGATAGTTGCTTAGGGCAGCCTACAGATTTCTCTTTCATCCAGAACATACAGGAAGTATTCTGTATTGGCAATAAATACAATGGAAATAATAGAAAAATAAAAATAAAAAATTCTTAATTATGCTAACATTAAAACTGTACTTAAAGGACTACATATATATAGATATATAGAGAGAACCATGTGGAAAATGCTTATGATTTAAAGTATAAAGCAAGAAATAGGTTGGCTGCAGTGGCTCACACCTATAATCCTAGCACTTCGGGAGGCCAAGGCAGATAGATTGTTTGAACACAGGAGTTCGAGACCAGCCTGGGAAACATGGCAAAACCTTGTCTCTACAAAAGAAATACAAAAATTGGTTGAGCATAGTGGCGCACCCAGTAGGCTGAGGTTGGAGGATCACCTGAGACCTGGAGGTCAAGGCTGCAGTGAGCTGTGATTGCGTGATTGCATCACTGAGCTCTAGCCTGGGTGACAGTGAAACCCTGCAGAAAAAAAGAAAGGAAAAGGAAAAGAAAAGAGAAGATAAAAGAAAAAAAATCCTATACACACAATGAATATAACTATAAACACATAAGTAGATATGATGAGAAATCAGTATACAAGAATCAGTCAACATGATGGGATTTACAATTAACTTTTTCTCTTTTGGAATGCCCATAATGTTAAACTACTAGCACTTCTTTAAATTCATCTTTTAAAATATTCTACACACACACACACACACACGCACATCTATGTCAAAATTTAAATATAAATATTGAGACCTGATAATATGAACTCAGTCTCTATCTCTTAAATTAGTCCCGTAAGACCATCACTCAACCAGAAACTCTGGCTGTGAGTCCTGCAGGCAACTTGGGCTTTCCCTCTCCTACCTACTCACTGCCCATGTCACTGCCAGTCACCAGCTGCTCCTTATTCTGCAAACCAGGTCAGTGCACTCAGCCACACCTTTCTGCATTCAGCCCAGGTGGCCCCTTCCTACTGCCACCTACCTGGATTAAGTCCTGGTACCTCTGGCTCAGCCTCTTCCAATAAGATATTTCACGATGCCAAAGACTTGGTTCTGCTGATTCCTGAATCATCCTGCAAACCCATCCTCCCCCTCCTCACCTTCCATGTTTAACACCCAGCTCTGTCTGGATCACTTGCCTGCTTACAGAGAGCAGGCCCTCTAGAGCCTCTTCAACCACCCTTTCAGGCTCATCGTCCACTATCCCTCACTAATCTCAGTTTCCATCCCCAGGACTTTTTTTCTCTACCAAGAATGCCCTCTCTCCCAACATAATTATCTGAATCCCACCTACCTTTCAAAGTCCAACTCAAATAGTATCCCCTCCTTAAAAGGATGTTCTGCCCTGCTAAACATGCTTCTTCCTCCTGAATGTGCCTCCTGAACTCTTCTCCTGATTAAACATACACAGCTACCTTGAATTGTGGTAATTGGCTGCCTCTTTATTGCTTTCCTACTGAATTATAAACCCTTGCCTTTGAATATTTTGTTTTTAATCCTATATAGTTTTATGCACTGTTGGCAACAAAAATATATTTCCTTAATAAATCAATAAAAAAAGGTCTAAAAAAGCAACAAATTTAAAAGTTCCACGACTTATTTTTTCAAGTTTAATCTGTAACAAGCAGATTTTGACTTAATCTCACAGCTGGGTTTTTAAGAAGTCAAATTTCATTGGTATGCCCCAGATAACACCCTCACTCCTTCCTTTTCTCTTTCCCTCTCAGACTCTCTGCAGAATGAGAGCCTCATCTCAAATTGTCTCTGCCCATACAAACACAGAACTTTTGATAGTTTTATTGTTTATACTTATAGACCTGACCAAGCAAGCTCCTCAAGATAGGGTTGTTAAAGGGCTACAGCCAACCTGATTCTCTACATCTGAAACAATAATTACAGAGCTCTTCTGGAATAATCAAATCATAAAACTCTACCTCGTAGGATGGAACAGAAACATTGGCTCAGCTAAAGAGTGGGTGTTTTCCTTAGATTGTGGAATCATGGCTGATGGTTAGGACCTTAAATATATCGAGGTGGCTAATTGATGTATAATAATTTACAAAATTATTCTTCTATGCTACAGAGCTACAATTCAATTTACAGTAGTAAATATGAGGGCCTTCTTAAGGAACCAGAAATATGAGGATATGCACAATATTATTCACATTTTACAGATCAGAAAATTGAGGCACAGATTAAGTAACTTCCCAAGGCTACCAGGCATTCTAGCTCCAGAAACTGTGCTCTTACCATTCTGCTACAAGGTATTTCGAAAAAAAGAAAAAGTAAAAAGAAGTCAAAAGGCAACAGAGTTCATTGATTATTCCATAGAACAGTCACACCATGCAATTCTCACACCCTTGCAGACACACTTGACCATGAAAGGTTCCTCAATGAAATGTTCCTCATTATCTTCAGAAGCCATATTATTCACATTGACTTTGCAGTTAACTCAGACCCTAGGTCTGGAATGCTGTCTTCTCTACTTATCCAAAACTATACATCCACAGATCATATAAACTCTCAGCCCTGCTGCAAAGCCTTTCCAGAAAAATAAAAATGGTTGAAAAGGCAATTCTGCTACCAATGACTGTTTAAGCCCAGCCAAGTAACTGAACCATTCCAACTTCAATTTACTTATGAAAAGAATTTGATGATGTAGGAGGTTATTTCAATTCTAAAATACAAACCCATGTTGATCTTTCTCAATCTTGAACTCATAGATTATTATCTATTATCTCAATTTAGTTTGTTATTTATCCTAGTGGGCCATTAAAAACTACCACATGTGTTTCTGTCTCTCCATTAGTCAATAACTAAACTAACGAGCAATTAGTAAGCCATGTGCCAGATGCTCCGCTAGGCACCAGAGGGATAAAAACAATACTTATAGTATACCACTAATTTTCGCTTAGTAACTAGTGAAATGTTCAAGTCATGCCTGAGTCAAGAGTTGAGGAGACATTACAATGTGTAATGGAAACCAAGGAAAGTGAAACTTTGGATAAGTGGGGACTAGTGTATTTATATATTTAATTGATTTCTGACTCTATCATTGGCCTCCAAACACAGATTGTGTTTTTCTTTGGTTTTGTTTTCTTCACTATGGGATCTTCTGTGCCCAGCACAGTGCCTGACACATAGAAAACAATCAAATATTTGCTGAATAAATGATTAAAAAATCAGAGAACTTTCCCATTCTGTTTGGATCTATAGAACATCCAGAGTAAGTGATGAGGGCCTCTGCATTTATATGCGCTTAAATTAAGATTATGTGAGAAAAGTTTAAAGACACTTAGTAGAGTGATTTTGAAATATAGTAAACACTTGGAAATGGTGGTGCTTTAAAAAGATATTAATAGATAATATGAAAATCTCCATCTCAAAAATAATGCATAAACTATTTAAAGGAAAATCACATCTCCAGGCTTTCAATGTTTGTTCATTACTTTTTCATATATTTTTACCATCTGCTGAAGGCAGTCATATCAAAGGGTAAAGAAAGATGGGAGGAAAACTCAGTAAGAATTATATTAGTCTGTTTGCAAAGTAGAAAAAGATTCTCATCACTCAACCTTATGAGCAGGAAGAGGGAAGGCTGTTTGAGAACCATTTACTTAGCAGAACCACATATTTTAGACACTTCCCTGCATTAACTGCACAAACAATATGTTTGCAAACTTGTTAGATCAACCTCCAACAACGACACATTCAGGAGTTAAATATTTTTCATCAAACATTGGATTTTTCCTTAACGCTAGAGATTGCTACAAATCTTCTGAAGGGTCTCAATGGCTTCAGGCTAAGAAGAGATTTCTCCCTGTTATAAGCAGCAAGACAAATTAGCCATTTCACTCTCAAACTTCACTAATGATCACATTCTTTCCAAAAGGAACTCTAGAAGACCAAATGCCCCGAGTTAAGAACATCAAAACTAACCATCTGAAGAAACTTCCCAAGTGTAAGACTCTGCCATTAAAACATTACCGAGAGGGGACTCAAACAGTCTTTCTTCCTTTGTCGTGTTTCTTGCTCCCAGACCAAGGCACTGACGACAGTACTGATACATAATTTAAAAGCACACTCCCTTCCACTTTGTAATACCAGAACTCTAATTGGACACCCTGAAGCTTAGGACTACCAGCCATACAAATAGTAAACTCTGTCCACGATTCACTCATCTGTGTATTTTCTATAGATGTTTACTAGGCGTTTGTTATATAAAAATACCCCGGCCAGGCACGGTGGCTCACGCCTGTAATCCCAGCACTTTGGGAGGTGGGTGGATCACCTGAGGTCGGGAGTTCGAGACCAGCCTGACCAGCATGGTGGAACCCCCATCTCTACTAAAAACACAAAAAATTAGCCGGGCGTGGTGGCACATGCCTGTAATCCCAGCTACTCAGGAGGCTGAGGCGGAGAATTGCTTGAACCCGGAAGGTGGAGGTTGCGGTGAGCTGAGATTGCACTATTGCACTCCAGCCTGGGCAACAGGAGTAAAACTCCCCCCCACCCAAAAAAAAAAACAACAACAACAAAAAACCAAAAAACCAAAAAACCAATGGTAAATTACACTCTTTCCCTTTCCCCAACACTCTCTCTCTCTCTCTCTCTCTTTCACACACACACACACACACACACACACACACACACACACACACACACCAGACCGATTAGCTAACTTAGTGGAAAAGACACTTAGATTCCTTCTTCATATGTGAATTTAGCTCACAGGACTAGTGAGGGAATATCATTATCACGGGAAGACACAGAAACCACACAGGACTCTGAGCCACTCCTAGTTTTACCCCTCCTTAGCCTGTGACTTGGCTTTTCTGCTCCATCATCTACACAAGAAGAATAGCAGTGACTAGCACCCACAAGCCTCTCAGGATAGACTTGGCAGGCAAGGTAACCCACCACTTAAGAGCACAGGTTTAACTCCAGGCTGAATACTGCCCTGGTCATTTCACTAGCTGTGTGACCTTAGTATCAATATGTCTGGTGCATAAAAAATGTTAAATGATAAGCCCCTGTCATTTCTCCTTTAAAAATTGCAAAGCACTCTACGAATATTCACTTCTATTATCTAAAAATGCACATAAAAAAGACACCCAGTAATAGAATATTCATCAAATGCTCTCTCAGTGTCCAGCATCATCTCCTTCCTTATCGCCAAAGCCAGCCTGCCCTCCCCAGATAGGATGCCCACATCTCCCACATGCTTACAGAGGCGAACAGCCAGCCATAATTCCATTCGGCAGCCTTTGAAGACTCAGCCAGCTGTATCAGTTAATAACCTCACTAAAGGTTATCCATCAGAAAGAAGGGAAACAAGTCCTAACTACTCTCGTCAGAGAAGTCATTAGATCCGTACATGGCTCCTATACAATCTGCCTGGCATTTATGGAAATAGCACACACCATAGGAAAATGTTGCCAAAGCAGACAAGTATTTAACCTAAATATTCAATAGTCTACTAATCCATTTCCAAGGTAATCTATCTTCAGAGCCTCTTTCTGATTCTGTACAGTTCTGACCATTTATTGTTTGCTCAAGCTGTAAAACTTTTCTTTGGGTTCCATAGCCATTTCAATAAATCAAACTTGCCTTTTCTCCCCTTCCTGTTAAATAGTAAAACCATGTAGAATAGTTCCTAGACTAAGTGATTTAACCTCATTCCTATTTGTCAGAAGCAGGCTTCACTGATTTTTTTTAACCCTCTGATTGAAAGTCTTCTTTCTAAATGAGAATACTATCCTTGGAATATTGGATTTCATTATTGGCCCGTTTCTGTTTAATCTTGGAGAAATCTCTACAAAAAGGAAACTATATTATTTTCTTTCCAGAAATTTAATACAATTGTTCCATACACTTTAGAGTGTGACATGGTTCAATCTTCCATGTTTATAAGCACTAACAGATACCAATATGTGAATAAAACGCATGATCTAACTTCTAAAAAATAACACCTAGGATCCGTTATAACAACGTGCTATGCTGTGGTCGGACAGACAAATAAAAACTGCATGGTGTGGCCTTATCCCTCCTGAATAGCATATCCAGACCAACATTTGAAGATGTCCACCATATCTTGTTTTAAAAGGTTTTCTGTGCCTACAAAATACTTATATAAAATGACTGGAAGATTTTTATAGGAAATTTCTTAAATAATTTATCATCAGAATGAGTCATGTAGAAGTGCCAAGACTAAATTAACATACCCTTCAGATGTAATGGAAATCCAGTCTTTTCTCTGGGGACTCATCTAATTCTCTCTTCTATAATTTTTGGGAGAATACAGTAAAAGCATTTAATACAGTAATGGTATTAGCAAAACAAGGACTTATTTAAGAGGCTTTACCTGGATCATTACAAGTATTACCGAATTATAAGATAAAGGGTGTTGGCTTCTGGAGATTATTAAAAAGTTGATATAGAAATTCCTCATTCAGAGAGAAGAGGGATAAAACTTATTATTCTAAGCCAGAAAGTCTACACTGTGAACCAATCTCTATACCAAAACAAGTATTTTCAATCTCAGAAATAGCAAATGATTATGGAGCCCTCACTTGTGACCTATCAAAGTCAGGTTACCATCAAGTTTTATTTGATGTTAATAACAACATTACCCAAAGTATAGTTATCTTGTCATTAATTTTCTAGCAGCTTGGCCAAAATGTTTATCAAAAAGTATACTTCAAAAAATTAACTTCAGGCTAGGTTTGTTGTGAACTGAAATATTTTTCCCCAATCCTAATATTTAAATAGTTAAAAATAATGGTATGTTTCCTATCATCTCCCCATCACCCCTCCCTTCTAAGCACCCCAGTCTCCAGCAATCATTATCTTACTCTCTACTTCCGTGAGATCAACTTTTTTCGATTCCACATGTGAGTGAAATCATGGTATTTGTCTTTCTGTGCCTGGTTTATTTTATTTAACATAATATCTTTTGGGTTCATCCACAGTTATAGTTAAGTTGGAGGAATAAATTTTAGGAGCTCTACTGTATAGCAAGATGACTATATTTAGTGACAATATTTTTTTTTTTGAGACAGGGTCTTACTCTGCTGGCTACAGAGCAGTGGTACGATCTCGGCTCACGGCAACATCTGCCTCCTAGGTTCAAGCAATTTTCCAGCCTCAGCAACCCAAGCAGCTGGCACTACAGGCTCACACCACCAATGCCCTGCTAAATTTTTTTTTTTTTTTTTTTGAGATGGAGTCTCGCTCTGTCGCCCAGGCTGGAGTGCAGTGGCACGATCTCAGCTCACTATAAGCTCTGCCTCCCGGATTCATGCCATTCTCCTGCCTCAGCCTCCTGAGTAGCTGGGACCACAGGCACCCGCCACCATGCCCGGCTAATTTTTTGTATTTTTAGTAGAGAAGGGGTTTCACCATGTTAGCCAGGATGGTCTCAATCTCCTGACCTCGTGAGCCCCCCACCTCGACCTCCCAAAGTGCTGGGATTACAGGCGTGCGGTATTTTTTTAATTATACTTTAAGTTCTAGGGTACACGTACACAATTGAAGGTTTCTTACATAGGTATACATGTGCCATGTTGGTTTGCTGCACCCATCAACTCATCATTTACATTAGTTATTTCTCCTAATGCTATCCCTCCCCACAACAGGCCCTGGTGTGTGATGTTCCCCGCCTTGTGTCCAAGTGTTCTCATTGTTCAATTCCCACCTATAAGTGAGAACATGTGGTGTTTGGTTTTCTGTCCTTGTGATAGTTTGCTGAGAATGATGGTTTTCAGCTTCATCCATGTCCCTGCAAAGGACATGAACTCATCCTTTTTTATGGCTGCATAGTATTCCATAGTGTATATGTGCCATATTTTCTTAATCCAGTCTATCATTGATGGACATATGGGTTGGTTCCAAGTCTTTGCTATTGTGAATAGTGCCGCAATAAACATATGTGTGCATGTGTCTTTATAGTAGCATGATTTATAATCCTTTGGGTATATATCCAGTAATGGGATAATGGGATAGCTGGGTCAAATGGTATTTCTGGTTCTAGGTCCTTGAGGAATTGCCACACTGTCTTCCACAATGGTTGAACTAATTTACACTCCCACCAACAGTGTAAAAGCGTTCCTATTTCTCTACATTAACTTTTTTTATTTTTTTGTAGAGATGTGGTTTCGCCATGTTGCCCAGGCTGGTCTCAAACTTCTGGGCTCAAGCCATCCCCCTGCCTTGGCCTCCCAAATTGCGGGGATTACAGGCATGAGTCAAATGCCCAGCTGACAATATATTCTTGAAAAATGTAAACAGTGGCTATTATGTGCTGTCACCACAAAAGTGATAACTATGTGACATAATGCATTTGTTAATTAGCTAGATTTAAGCATTCCACAATGTATACAGACTTCAAAATCATGTTGTACATGATAAAGCATACTATGTTATCTGTCAATTAAAAAAATAATAGCATGTAACAAAGGCCCTTATCTTTTTAAGCATTTTGGAAATCTCATTGTAAAGACTGACAGATTCATTGTTTTTCTTTTTTCTGACAGTGTCTGACTTTCCTCCCAGACATTAACTAAAAGTATCAAGGTTTATAATGGTGTCATTGGAGAGTCCATTAAGAGGCTTTCCACGATTTCTGGTGGAGTTAACCTGTGTCAACTCCTATCTTCGGCAAGGCTAGCAGAAGGCACTGCTGGGCGGGATGGAATCAGAAAGCAAGTACAAGTTTTCAAAATAGGTGCGACTGTTGACATAACCATTAAACGTTCTGCTTGTGCATAGCTCCTAGAAGAATGGGTACTTCCTCATTTTAATTTTTAATACAAATTTCTGTATTCCACAAAAACTATTCCTGGGAGAATTTCCAGAATAATATGTAATCTGACTTGCATCTCTTAGTATGACACCAAAGCTCACTCTCCAGTATTTGGAGCCCTAATAGAAGAAGAAAGATTCACAGGTTGCACTTTGAAGTTACAAAAGTGATTAGCGTGGCAGTTGGTCTTGCCTCTTTTTCAGGAGTGGCACAGATACAGTGGAGAAGTCAAACAAAGCTAGAAGGGGTCACTCTGTGGTTCCTAAGAATGCACAGCTGCCAAACTGAAAGGATAAGGCAAAACTGTACATCCCAGAATCAAAGAGAGTTAAAGATGAATGAGATCCTAAAGATCAGCTAGCTCAGGCATCATCATGTTCATTGTGTTTAAGAATCAGTTGGGATGCTAGTGAAAGCTGCACATTCCTACTCCCATCCGCTGAGATTCTGATTCAGCAGCAGGAGGCAGTAGTGGTACAAGTAGTGATATATAACATTTCTAAAGCACTAGCTTTGTGCCAGATACTGTGCTATGTTCTTTACAAATGTCACCTTATTTAATTCTCAAAACAATCCTATTGGGTGGGTCCTACTATTGCCCCCATTTTACACACAAGGAAATCAAGGTAGAGTGACTGAGGCATCTGTCCAAGGACATTCTGCTAGGAAGTGGAAGAATAAGAATTGAAACCCAGACAGGCTGGCTTCAGAGTTTGAGCTCTTAATCATCACCTGAACTACCCACCAACAGGGTTAGGGTGAGGCCCAGGACATCAAGAGAATGTCATGACTGCAGTCAATCTTTTCTGAATGGAGAAACTGAAACCAGGAGAAGTGTAGTCTCTTATCCAAGACAAAAATCCTTCAGTGCATTTCCAGGAAGAAATCCACCATGGGATGACACCAACTATTCCTGAATATTTCTCAACATATGTTCCCCGAGAGAGGAAAAGGACAGAATACATTATTAAAAGCTTTCTTGTTGGTTCCTGCTGTGTTACCATGACCAAGGTGCTGTTACGGGGCAGAGTTTCTGTCCTTTCTGCCCAACTCACCATTCACTCAGAGAATATGACACACTCTGGTCAGCATAACGGACCCCCAATCATGGTGATTCTTAAAAGAAAGGGAAAGCAGGAGGGAGAGATGCTATCCCTAAAAGGAAGGCGGTACTTGGAATGAAAGAGGTAAGTTTCATATAATTTGAAGGAGAAAAAAAAAAAGATGTGTATTCTGACATGCCTCCCAACTGTGGTCTTTCTGTCCCTAAACTGACCATTCTGAAATCTCAGTATATATCAAAACATTATTATTATTGCTTTGTTTTAACATATGCGAGCAGGCAGAATACCCAGAATAATCAGATCTACCCCACGCTGGAACTACTCACATACATTCTCTTAAAAGATTACAAATACACTTTCTAATGGCCTTTAATGCAGAACAAGGCCAAATATCTCAAGGATTGATTGAAATTGTCCCTTTTGATGTTAAACCATCAGGGTAATTTAGGGGGACCATGAGCAAGAATAACAAGCATCCGTTCCAAATGAAGATGAGCTAGCATGACCACAACGCAGAGGCATTTTCAGATAACAAGTGCAGGGGATCAGGATGTGTTCCTGTCCCAGTGACGCACACTCTTGGCCACGTCAAACCAACCTTCATCACTTCCACCTGCAGGTCCTCGTTGAGCGAAGGCGTCACTTTCACGGCATTCAGTATCTGATTGAGCAGCTGCTTCTCATCAGAATCTGTTTCCATGGATACAAACCTCTCTTCCGACAGAAGCTTCTGTAAAGAGGCACAAGGCAGTGATCACAGATAGGCTCTCCCCTGCTGCCTTATTTGGTTGTATCTTATTATGGATTGATGATCAGTTTTCTTACTGGGGAGGCGTGTAGCTGGAGGCCATTAAGAAAGAACTTACGCTATGTGCCGTTAAAAAGAAAAATGCGGCCAGGGCAGTGGCTCATGCCTGTAATCCCAGCACTTTGGGAGGCTGAGGTGGGCGGGTCATGAGGTCAGGGGTTGGAGATCAGCCTGGCCAACATGGTGAAACTCCGTTTCTACTAAAAACACAAAAATTAGCCAGGCGTGGTGGCGGGTGCCTGCAATCCCAGCTACTCGGGAGGCTGAGGCAGGAGAATTGCTTGAACCCGGGAGGCGGAGGTTGCAGTGAGCCAAGATCACACCACTGCACTCCAGCCTGGGAGACAGAGCAAGACTCTGTCTCTAAAGAAAATAAAACTGCATGCAACCTTGAATAAACCGTTTTTGGCAAAGACCTTTTCCTGCTATTGGATTATTCATTCTAAGTTCCATCAAGTGAAACCCTAATGTGCCGGCCATACAAAGTATTTAGGTGGTGGGAATGGAGAATGATCGTGCTAAGAGGAAGCTAGCCCTACCCACTAGTCACACACACACATATGCTTTCTAAATGTGGCTTCGTCACAGGAAAGAAGGTCTTGTAGACAAGATCATTTTTCAGGTTTTTATCTTTTTACTTCCTAATGTGAGCTGTCATTTATCCAGGAATTATTTAGGAATCCAGAAATCTTCATGTATGTCCCCATCAGAAAATGCATCCCCCCCAAAACCTCAACAAGAAGACATTCATTGTTATGAGGACTTCCAGGAGTCTACCTCACAGGATAGGCTTTTTCTATCTCTTTCTCATTTTCATAAAATTCTTTTTCAGATTGTACCAAAATCCACCTGCCCACAACTTCTACTCCTTCATCTTCCCCCAGAGACAAACAGATTAAGCTTCTAAAATATCTGAAACCAGCTATCAGGTCCACCTAAGTCTTGTCTTCTCCACACTAAACCTCCTCAGGCTCCTCCAAATGTTCTCTCCAAATGAAACCAGATAAGGTTTCACTTGTGCTTAGAATGTGGCCTCAAGAGTGGTCTGATATTAACATACATAATTTGGATCACATTCTCTGGTCAAATGAGCTTAGTTGGTTGTCACAGCACATTCTATGCCTGTGAATGAGGCATACAATTTCACCCTGAAACCCCTAATTCTCATTCACAAGGACTGCAATTAAGCTATTTTCCTCCATGCTGTCTTGGTGCAATTGATTTTTGAGACCCCAGTATAGACCTTTATATTTATCCCTATTCAATTTGTTCTTTTCCAAAGGGGCTTCGAGTTGCAGCCTGTGAAGAACTTTGAGAATTCTGATCCATCCAGTGTAATAACTCCCTCTTTTACCTTCACACCACTGAAGACCTTGAAAATAATATTTCAAACCTTTTTACTTAAGACTCCCTGAAATTTTGCCTATATTCTTTCAAAAGGATTTTTTTTTTCAGAATCATGTGGTATACTCAGGAAAGCTCAGAATTAGAGTTTACATACAATTTATTTTTACTTAAAGTGATAAAAACTGAGACGCTCTAAAAATATGCCTAAAGTTAAGAGGAGGTAGCAGGGGATGGTAAAGGGAAGACTCACAGCCCACCAAGTTGCTTCAGTTAACACGATTCAGTAAGCCCTTGAAAATATGGCACTGCAATTTAGAATATTCCAGGGTTAAAGAAAAAAGAGAGAGAAGCTAAATGCAAAATCTACACAACATTAGAGAAAAAGGAACAAAAGTGACAGATCAAAACAAATTCTCAACCATTTTTATGGTTGGCCCAATTACCTTGGAGAAAAGCAAAAGGTTTTTAATAACATTATTGCTAATGTTTAAAATATTCAAATGCTGCTGTGTATAAAAATATACATTAATTCCAATCTGCTGGGGGAAAAAGAACTGTTTTCTCACTATTTCATAGGTTTTATCTCTTAAAAGGTATTGGGAACCTCTCTGAACTCAAAAAGCTAACTATGAAGCAGTTGATACTGACATAAAAAAAATCTGACAAATGCCACCATGGTTTATCCATCGCCACACTGAACAAACTCCTGCAGGCTTCAACTTCACAGTGCTTTTCTCTTAGAGGCCAACCACTTTAAAAAGTATGTATATTTACATAGTCATCACCTTTTTACCATCAGAATTAGATCCATTATGTTTGGTGTAAAACACAAACCAAAAAAATGTATTCAAGCAAATCTGGCTTTTCTTGTTAAACCAAATTTCTTTTTTCTTCCTAGTCTTGCTCTGGACATAAAAGATAATAATCCATTCATCAATCTAACCGTGGAATAAAAAACAAAACAAAATCTTTCCAGTTTACCATCAATTTTTATTATATAGAACCATAGATGTTGAAAGTATACAAGATTTGAATTGGTATGAACTTGTCGTCTCTTTTTTGGGATCCCTTACTCTCCTGAAAGATGTCACACACAAAAAAAATCCCTATCTGTGTGGGCTTAGCTAGGTCCACATGAATCAGTGTCTGATCACAAAGGTTCAACGAAATAATGCTGTGTACAGAGAAATTCTGGTGAATATAAGAAAATCCTGTTATTCTCTATAGTTATTTCCTAGTTCAATCAAATTTCTGCCTGAGTCTTTAAACAGCCAGTATTTAAAATGTTAACTATTTGCCCTTTCAATGCCAAAGTGGCCTGTCAATTTCTATCATCCCATTGCATTCAGTCAAAGCCATACCTGCATCCCTGCCAAAGCATGTTGGGCCAGCTTCACATTCTTGGATTCCAAAGCCAACTGGAGAGGCAGCAGGCATTTCTCCCTGGCAAACACAAAAATAAGGACAACATGTGAGCTCAGTAAAGCTGGCAGTCAAGTGATGTAAGCCTTATGTACACCCACCCCCAAATGCCACTACACACATACACAAAAACTATAACCAATAATAAAAATGCACATGGGCTTAAGAGAAAACACAGCAAAGAAGCTGTGCAGAAATGATAGCCCATCAACCCCTTGCCTTCTTGGTATGGCTACAGGAAGAGCAAACACAAAGACTTTCACTAATTATTACCTGGTACACTCATTAGTACACATTGGGACCCCGGCCAGTCTGTGAACATGCTTTGTTCTTTCCCAAATTAACAGCACTGCTCACACCCAGCACACCTGGGGGTGAACAACTCTAGGAAGCATCATTAAGTAGATTTCTATGCCTTGCTTCTACCTCTTCCTTACCTGGAAATTATATGCATCACCATCAGCACTCTGTCTCATCAATATACATCAAAATTCTATTAGTTTGTCAATTCCTCCTCAACTCAAAGAATTCAACAATTTATAAATTTAACATTTGCTTTATAGTCTCCATCAAGAAGTAGATCTGAGTCTTGTGACAGGTTCTTAATGAACATGTTTCCAAGACAGAAATACAAATGAACCATCAATAGCATTGGCCGATAAGAGGTGCCTAGATGCAACATTATCTAGTGTCAGGGGAGAGACAAAAAAAAAAAAAAAGGAGAGATATTTGGATATTTTAAAGGTTAGGGAAAACAAGGGCATTAAAATATTTTAGGAATAAACCTAAAGAGTTACAAAGACAAAAATGTCTGTTAGAAGCATCTACTCTAAATAATTAAACGACAGACCAAGAATTTTAATCAACCCATTATTTCCCTATGGAGTTACACTGGCACAAAAATAAAATGTGACTTCATTTTACCAGGTTTCTCCACCCCCACTTAAACCAGAGTAGGCCCACTCTTATCTGTTTTATATTTTCAGCATAAACTGAAAGATATATTGATTTTTAGAGTGTGAAAGCTACCACATTAGACTATAGGATTTCATCATTGGAGAAATAAGGGTTACTGCTGTAGAACACAATGAAATACAAAGTTAATTATAGCTCTGATTTCTCCCTGTCCACTCTGCAGCTCTGCTGCTTTTCCATGGAATCCTTCCATCAGCAGCTTCATAACCGATGAAGCGAGAGTCACACACTCCTTAATATAATGCCAGCCACACAGACTACAAAAACAGACCATCAGGAAAAATGTTTGCCTTCCTAACCCTCACCGTGCCCCTCAACAACCCAATGTTACAGTATCCATTTTTATATGACAGTTAACACTACAGCCATTTTTCATTAGATTCATCCTTTGACAGATGGATAAATTACCCAACTCTGTTACATCCAGTTGGGTGGCTGTAACTTTGTCACTGTTATCTTACTGTCGGCTTGTCACAATTACAAGGCAAACACTGTAGTGCACTCAATTAGTGCAGGAATAGCTGATTTTTTTCCAATTTTGTTTCCTTTATGCAATGATAACCAGTTTAAGAGCTTAGAAAAATTAAACGGAGGTATGAAGATAGAGTGAGAAGTAGGAACCAAGGGCAGATGGTAGGCTAACAGAAGCAGCACAGAACTTCATCTGTAAACCCCTGAAACAATCAAATTTCCACCAGGATTAATCCACTGTGAAAGAACTTTCCACTTGAAGTTGGAGTCAGATTGGCCAATGAAAGGGCATAATAGCAGGGAACAAGCATGGGGGTCCAAAAGTCTTACAGCCTAATAGCCCAGGGAAGAGGAAATATATCCCGTAGCTATGAGCTAAAAATGTACAAATATTTACACATTACTCACCAAGGGCACCCAACAAGATTGGATGCCATGTCCAGCAGCAACAAAGACCCTTTTGGAAATCCTCAATGTGTTGACCCTTGGAAAGCAGCAATATGTTCGCCTATCTATATTACTCTGCCATCTGTGGATTACTGCCATCTGCAGTATTAGCCCTTGAAATCCTTATTCCACTCTCTCACCTGCTTATACATTCACACGAGTGATACTGTTGACCTGAGCCAGGTTGTTGACAAATGCTAGGATCTCCAGGTTGCACCACCACCAGGAGACATCACTGAACTGTTCCCCATGCAAGCCATGGTCACAAGGCAGGACTGGTAGATGAAGGTGGTTCAACTAGGTTTTGGCTGAGTTGAAAGATATGAGTGTTTAGTAGAAAGAACATGGGCTGTGGAATCACACAGACGTGAATCCAAATGCTAGGCATTGATAAGTTTTGCAGTCTCAATTGAAATACTAAACTCTGTGGGTCTTAGCTCCCTTATCCATAAAAAGGGCATTTGAAGACCAATCCTGCAGAGTTGGAGTATAATATGTAGATAATATGTAAATAATATATGTATCAGAGGTTGTCAAACTTCTTTGGTAAAGAGCCCCATAATAAATATTTTAGACCATGCATTCCAAATGGTCTCTGTCTTAACTATTCAACTCTGCTAAAGCACAAAAGCAATCACAGACCATTAGTAAATCAATGAATGTGACTATGTTCTAATAAAACTTTATTTACAACAACAGGCAAAAAGCCAGATTTGACCTACAGGCTGTAGTTTGTCCAGCATTGATATAGACAAAGTGCCCAATGCAGATCATGATCTTCAGCATGGGATAGGCAAATCAAATCTTTTTTTTTTTTTTTTTTTTTTTTTGGAGATGGAGTTTCATTCCTGTTGCCCAGGCTGGAGTGCAATGGCGCGATCTCGGCTCACTGCAATCTTTGCCTCCCAGGTTCAAGCAACTCTCCTGCCTCAGCCTCCCAAGTAGCTGGGTTACAGGTGCCCACCACCATGCCCAACTAATTTTTTGTATTTTTAGTAGAGATGGGTTTCACCATGTTGGCCAGGCTGGTCTTGAACTCCTTACCTCAGGTGATCCGCCCACCTTGGCCTCCCAAAGCGCTGGGATTATAGGCGTGAGCCACCGCGCCTGGCCTCGAATCTTTTTATGTACCCAGAAAGATTTTGCACAGAACAGGGGCTAACTGTCCTGGGAAGGTCATAGCAGAGGCAAGCATGGCATCAAGATCTCCCTTAGAAAATAAATGCATTGGCCGGGTATGGTGGCTCACACCTGTAATCCCAGCATTTTGGGAGTCCAAGGAGGGCGGATCACGAAGTCAAGCAATAGAGACCATCCTAGCCAACATGGTGAAACCCCGTCTCTACTAAAAATGCAAAAAAATCAGCTGGGCATGGTGGCGTGGGCCTGTAGTCCCAGCTACTCAAGAGGCTGAGGCAGGAGAATCATTGAACCTGGGAGGCAGGCGTTGCAGTGAGCCAAGATCGTGCCACTGCACTCCAGCCTGGCAACAGAGTGAGACTTGGTCTTAAAAAAAAAGAAGATAAATGATTTGGGGAAATATCACTATAGACAAAGATTTCATCTGGATATTAAACCAAGGCACTCCATCATTCAACCATCCATCCGATCATCCATTCAATATTTGAGTGCCTCCTGTGTGCCAGGCAGCATGCTGAGAGCTAGGGAAGAGCCAGCAAGAACAGGTCACAACAGGCACCTGCTTTCATTAGTATTCATGGGACAAAGAAAGAAAAATGAAGATTAGCACTTATTATTTATCTCATCTTAACTTTCACTACAACCTTCTTGCCCTTATTCTAAATTTGAGAAAATTGAGGTTCAGAAAGGTTTTGTAGCCTGCCCAAGGCCACACAGTTAAAATGTGTTGGAGACAACTCAAACCCAAATTCATCTGACTCCCAAGACCAAGTTCCTTCCAACCTCCTTTGGTCTCATAAGATCAGAGCAAAACTAGAATAGATGTGCTTCTTAACCCATTTTAGTTCTTAAACACACACACACACACACATACACACAATCTGGCAAAGGACCCTCTTCCTAGAGGAGGGTGCCTATCATTTCAGGGAATCCACAGGTCCCCAAACCTCGACTCTACATGGATCCCAAGTTAGGAGTCCCTATCCTTAGGGTAAAGAGCTCTGCTCAACATTCAAGGTCTGTATCAGAGAAGAGGGCAGTGTAACCTGGCTGGGGTTCTGCTAGGACTGCCTTTGAAGAGATGCTACACTGAGCCCTGGGTAGCTATGTGTGTGTGTGTGTGTGGGTGTGTGTGCATGTGTGTGTGTGTGTAGGTGTATGTGTAGGCTACTATAATTTTATAGTAAATAAAATTCTATTGTTGAAATTGAGGACCAATATTTTAAGAAAATGTCTACGTCAATAGTGCTATTTATTGCAAAGTAGTTGCTTCTGACCGTATCTGCAACAACAAAACAGATATTTACTTAAAATGAAATGCTTAAAAACAGGGTTTTTTTTTTTTTTTGCTAGTAAATACTAGTAAGAACAAAAGTGTACCCACCAGTCTAATGCTCTTAAACAGCTAACAAAAATCAACGTGAATGAAAACAGTTTACTGTAGTAGTAACATGGTTGGCAGCAGGGCCATAATAATCTGTATCCAAGGCCTCTCATCCCCTCAGACCCAGCAGCCCCTAGAGTAGTATCACAAGCCTCAGACCCTGACTTCAATTGGAAATGAACCCATATGCAAAAGAAGGAAATTCATGGGGCATAACTAATTTTGCTGCTTGCTCTGTGATATCATAAAAACCCTCCTACCTTCATTTTTTTTCTAAAAGTGATTTTAATGAAAGAGAAAACAGGCCTGTTAATTGGGTCTCAGGACGAAATTTATAATGAAAATGCAACATGGCACACACTCAATCCCCTTTGCACACACTGTACTGGAATAAATCATCTTTTGATCTTTCTAGATGCTGCCTCATTGGGAAAAGGGCATAGCAAAAACCAACATTCGATTACATTAGGCGATTATTTTTTATGCACAGGCACGTGCAAATTTATTCTTGCCTAACTAAATAAAGGCAGTGGCCCCCAGGTTTCATGTCCTGACATGCCATTATTTCTTAAAGAAGAATAATTAGCAGTGCTGCATATGCATGAGGAAGGCATCATCCGCACTGTGATGCTGCATCTGGTCATGTCAAGGAGACTGAACCTATTTCCTTAACTGCATAGTCATGGTTAACAGACCAGCTTTATTAGGCTAACAGGTAACAATGGACAAAGGGAAATTAAAATAGGGAACAAAGGAAGAGTTAGGATTTACCAATAATTATCTTTCAATACAAGCACCAATGTGAACTTTTTAAAAAAAAATTTGTTCGTAAGTTATTGGGGTACAGGTGGTATTGGGTTACAAGAGCAAGTTCTTTAGCGGTGATTTGTGAGATCCTGGTGCACCCATCACCCCAGCAGTATACACTGCACCATATTTGTTGTCTTTTATCCCTCGACCCCCTTCCACTCTTCCCCTCAAGTCCCCAAAAAGCCCATTGTATCATTCTTATGCCTTTGCGTCTTCATAGCTTAGCTCCCACATATCAGTGGGAACATACGATGTGTGGTTTTCCATTCCTGAGTTACTTCACTTAGAATAATAGTCTCCAATCTTATCCAGGTCATTGCAAATGCTGTTAATTCATTCCTTTTTATGTCTGAGTAGTATTCCATTGTATGTATATACCACAGTTTCTTTATCCACTCATTGACTGATGGGCATTTGAGTTGGTTCCACGATTTTGCAATTGTGAATTGTGGTGCTATAAACATGTGTGTGCAAGTATCTTTTCTGAATAATGACTTCTTTTCCTCTGAGTAGATATCCAGTAGTGGGATTGCTGGATCAAATGATAGATCTACTTTTAGTTCCTCAAGGAATATCCACACTGTTTTCCATAGTGGCTGTACGAGTTTACATTCCCACCAGCAGTGTAGAAGTGTTCCCTGATAACCACATCCACAAAAAACATCTACTTTTTAAAATTTTTTGATTATGGCCATTCTTGCAGGAGTAAGGTGGTATTGCAATGTGGTTTTGATTTGCATTTCCTTGATTAGTGATGGTGAGCATTTTTTTGTATGTTTGTCGGCCATTTGTATGTCTTCTTTTGAGAACTGTCTATTCATGTCCTTAGCCCACTTTTTCATGGGATTGTTTTTTTCTTACTGATTTGTTTGAGTTCATTGTAGATTCTGGATATTAGTCCTTTGTCAGATGTATAGATTGTGAAGATTTTCTCCCACTCTGTGGGTTGTCTGTTTACTCTGCTGACTATTCCTTTTGCCATGCAAAAGCTCTTTAGTTTAATTAGGTCCCAGCTATTTTTCTTTGTTTTTATTGCATTTGCTTTTGGGTTTTTGGTCATGAAATCCTTGCCTAAGCCTATGTCTAGAAGGGTTTTTCCAATGTTATCTTCTAGAATTTTTATAGTTTCAGGTCTTAGGTTTAAGTCCTTAATCTATCTTGAGTTGATTTTTGTATAAGGTGAGAGATGAGGATCCAGTTTCATTCTCCTACATGTGGCTAGCCAATTATCCCAGCACCATTTGTTGAAAAGGGTGTCCTTTCCCCACTTTATGTTTTTGTTTGCTTTGTTGAAGATCAGTTGGCTGCAAGTACTTGGGTTTATTTCTGGGTTCTCTATTCTGTTCCATTGGTCTATGTGCCTATTTTTATACCAGTACCACACTGTTTTAGTGACTATGGCCTTATAGTATAGTTTGAAATCAGGTAGTGTGATGCCTCCAGATTTGTTCTTTTTGCTTAGTGTTGCTTTGGCTATGCGGGCTCTTTTTTGGTTCCATATGAATTTTAGAATTGTTTCTTGTAACTCTGTGAAGAATGATGGTGGTGTTTTTATGGGGATTGTGTTGAATTTATAGATTGTTTTTGGCAGCATGGTCATGATCAAGTGGGTTTCATACCAGGGATACAGGGATGATTTAACACATGCAAATCAATAAATGTGATATACCATATAAACAGAATTAAAAACAAAAATCACATGATCATCTCAATAGATGCAGAAAAAGCATTTGACAAAATCCAGCATCCCTTTATGATTAAAACCCTCAGCAAAATTGGCATACAGGGGACATACCTTAATGTAATAAAAGCCATCTATGACAAACTCACAGCCAACATAATGCTGAATGGCTAAAAGTTGAAAGCATTCCCTCTGAGAGCTGGAACAAGATAAGGATGCCCACTCTCACCACTCCTCTTCAACATAGTACTGGAAATCCTAGCCAGAGCTATCAGACAAGAGGAAGAAATAAAGGGCGTCCAAATCAGTAAAGAGGAAGTCAAACTGTCCCTGTTTGCTGATGGTATGATCGTTTACCTCGAAAACCCTAAGGACTCCTCCAGAAAGCTCCTAGAACTGATAAAAGAATTCAGCAAAGTTTCTGGATAAAAGATTAATGTACACAAATCAGTAGCTCTTCTATAAACCAACAGTGACCAAGTGGAGAATCAAATCAAGAACTCAATCCTTTTTAAAATAGCTGCAAAAAAATAAAATATTTAGGAATATACCTAACAAAGGAGTTGAAAGATCTCTACAAGGGAAACTACAAAACACTACTGAAAGAAATCATAGACGACACAAACAAATGGAAACACATCCCATGCTCATGGATGGGTAGAATCAATATTGGGAAAATGCGAACTTTAAGTAACCCCAAATACATTCCTGAATGTTAGGCTGATTCCTCTTTGATGCTCTGGGTGAGAAGAGGCACAAAGATATCTTACATTTCTGAGGTCTGCTTATACTCTAAAATTCTAGGATTCTGTGATCTAAGCCATTTATCAAATAACTGTCTGAATTTCTTCACATCATAATCATAGGTCTGGTTGAAATGGCTTAGATGTGGCTTACAAAGTAACATGCTACACATGTCCCTATTTACTATTTAATTATAACTTTTGAAGGTAGACATTTAATTTTCAACCAAACTGAAACTAAGAGAGATTAGGTTACTTGTACAAGGTCATACGTTTGCAAATGACAGAGTGTGATGCAGACTTAGACCATCTCTTTTCTTTTAAAAAAATATTAAATAGACACAGGGTTTCACTATGTTGCCCAGGCTGGTCTCAAACTCCTGGCCTCAAATGATCTTCCCACCTCAGCCTTCCAAAGTGCTGGGATTACAGGCATGTGCTGCCATGCCTAGGCTAGGCCAATTTGTTTTGAAAATCTATGTCCTCAAGCCTACGCCATAACGTCTACACGGAGAGTCAGCTCCCACCAACTATGCGTAGGGCACACTGCTTTAAAGTGGTAATTCAAAGGTCCACTATGTTAAGAATGGGGACAGGCATCAAACAAATAATGTGAACTTTCTTATTTCGAGTGATAATTCATGAAGCAATGCATTATGTTGACAGTTGGTGTGTAGTTATGAGAAGGTGTAGGCAGTTTGGATATGTGGAAAAAAATCTGGCTTTGGAACTAGCTGCTGAGTTCAAGCCACAGCCAGCACCTTTCCTGGTAGTCATGCCGTTTCCTAATTTGCATATGAAAGGTTTCTACCCTCACTGTGGTGACACTCAAGTTGTTATTATTCATGTTAATGAATATGGGTCCTTTACATTTAAACAGTTTACACCAACATTGATGAATTTTCATTGATTAAGCTTTTGCCAGGGCCAATTCCATTGAGCCAACTGGAACTAAATTGGTTCCTTAATTGATTTTCTCTACAGTGCAGTTAAAATGTTTCCATTTCATTTCTATTTTAATGAAATTATTTTTATCAGTATCAATGCTTTTCTATTTCAAAACAAAGATTGGATTCACCCATCAGGCACTGTTTCAGGCCCTAGGGATATAGCTGTGAACACAAAATCCCTTTTCTCCTGCAGGCTTTCAAGGTTTTTTAGCAAGCCTATTGCAATTATTAAGTTGAGCATATGAAATTGGCATTTGTGTAGGTCAGAAGAGGTTGAATATTGGCAATTTCATGATTCAATCTAGTAGAAATAATTCTAAATAATATAAAATGGTTATGCCTATACTTTACCTCAAGACATCAACTTTTATTGTCCATGATTTTCTCATAAAAAGCACACATGTATATAAGAAAAATCCAAACAAGCAGAAAAACAAACATAAATATACACCAATGCAAATCAATTAGGGCATTAGTTAAGAAAGAGCTCAGCTCAATGTTGGCAGTGGGTATTTCCAGATAGTGGCATGGGAGAATTTTTTCTTTTTTTATACTTTCCATTTGTACCGATTTTAATACAATAACTCTAGAGTATACTTGCATAATCTGAAGAAAATACTTCTTAAGCTTGACTGATGTAAGGAGAGTGGCAGTTGAGTCACGGAAGTGCCATCATTAAAACCTCCAGCATGCCAGTCACCGTGCTGAGAGCTCAGGCACTTGATCCCAACAACTCTCACAACCACTCAATAAGGATGGACAAATACAGTCATGTGCCGCACAATGGTGTTTCCGTCAATGACGGACCACGGTGGTCCCATAAGATGATCATGGAGTTAAAAATTTCCTATCACCTGGGAAATTTCCTATCATAGCTGTCCTAACATCATGCAACACTATACTCACATGTTTGTGGTGATGCCAGTGTAAACAAATCAACTGTGCCGCCAGTTGTATAAAAGCATAGCACATACAATTAGGTACAGTACATCACATTTGATAATAATAAACAACCATGTTACTCATTTATGTATTTTCTATATTCTTATCATTATTTTAGAGCATACTCCTTCTACTTATAAAGAAAAAAGTTAACTGTAAAACAGCCTCAGGCAGGTCCTTCAGGAGGCATTCCAGAAGAAGCCATTGGTATCATAGGAGATGACAGCTCCATGCATTTTACTGACCCTGAAGACCTTCCAGTGGGACAAGATATGGAGGTGGAAGACAGTGACATTGATGATCCTGACCCTGTGTAGGTCTAGGCTAATGTGTGTTTGTGTCCTGGTTCTTAACAAAAAGTTTAAAAATTAAAAAATAAAGCTTAAAGGCCGGGCATGGCGGCTCATGCCTGTAATCCCAGCACTTTGGGAGGCTGAGGCAGGTGGATCACCTGAGGTCAGGAGTTTGAGACCAGTCTGACCAACATGGAGAAACCCCATCTCTACTAAAAATACAAAATTAGCCGGGCGTGGTGGTGCCTGCCAGTAATCCCAGCTACTTGGGAGGCTGAGGCAGGAGAATCGTTTGAACCCGGGAGGCGGAGGTTGCGGTGAGCCGAGATCACACCACTGCACTCCAGCCTGGGCCACAAGAGCGAAACTCCGTCTCAAAATAAATAAATAAATAAAAAGAAAAAGAAAATAAAGCTTATAGAATAAGGATATAAAGTATTTTTGTACAACTGACAATCTGTGTCTTAAGCAAAGTGTTACTTCAAAGAATCAAAAAGTTAAAAAATTAAAAAGTTTAAAGGATCAAAAAAGTCACAGTAAGCCACAGTTAACTTACTATTGAAGAAACAACATTTTAAAAATAAATTTAGTGTAGCCTAAGTGTACAGTGTTTATAAAGGCTAGAGCAGTGTACAATAATGTCCTCAGCATTCCCATTCACTCACTGCTCTCTCACGGACTCACCCAGAGCAACGTCCAGTCCTGCAAACTCTATTCATAAGTGCCCTATACAGGTGTACCATTTTTTATCTTCCGTATTTCATTTTTACTGTACCTTTTCTATGTTTAGTTACACAAACACTTTCCATTGTGTTACAACTGCCTACAGTATTCATGCAGTAACATGCTGTACAGGTTGCCTGGGAGCAATAGGCCTACAGCCTAGGTGTATAGTAGACTGTATCATCTAGGTTTGTGTAAGCACACTCTATGATGTTTGCATAATAATGAACTTGCCTAATGACATATTTCTTAGGACCTATCCCCATCATTAAGTCATGCATGACTGTATTATTGGCATTTACTGATGAGGGACAGAGGGAAAGAGAAAAAAATCACTCCTGGACAAGAGGCAGGGCAGGCACCAGACCCCTGAGCTCATGCCTTAGCACATGAGACCTTAATGGTTACCATTTGTCAATCTCAAACTACATTCCAAGAATGAGGTTAAACATTTTACATACAGCAAGCCAGTGAAGATCTTTTTTTTTCTTTTCTTTTTTTTTTTTTTTACCAAGACACTCCTTTCTTTCTGTCCATTGTCAATCCATTTTAACATTTCCTCACATTATCTCCCACATGTCAATTTTACAACTTCCTGCCGTGAAATGCTGTAAGCTGCTCCTCAGCCCCACAGACACACTTAATTCCTCACACAGCCACTTCTCATGGCACCGTGGAAAGCGTCTGCTCTTTAAGGTTTTCGTAAGAAGCTCTTTGTCAATATATATAAAGAAATTAAAATATTGGTATGCCTTGAACTAGGGTTTCCTCTTCTAGGAGCCTTTTCTAAGAAAATAGTCACAGATAATAGCAAAGTTTTCTATGTAAAGATGTTTACTGTATCTTTATGTATAATGTAACTGAGGTTAAACAAATCACAGTACATCTATAGAACAGAATAATACATAATCACTAAAAGTATTCTAAAGTTTTTTTGACACAGGAAAATACTTTGAAAATGTTATACAAAAATATGAGACTATCATGCAGATTATATACCGTACATGGTTGTCCTCTTGAATAAAACCTTGCACACACATACAGCATAGGCAGAGGAGAGGGGGAGAGATTGGAAAGAACTTTCCCCCAACACTTTGCCTTTTGGGAATGTGGATGATTTTGGTTTTATTATTTACATGTTTCTACATTTTAAATATCTTCAAGAATAAAACATGTTACCTTCAGAATTAGGAAAAAGGTTGCCAGGTGCGGTGGCTCACACCTGTAATCCTGGCACTTTGGGAGGCCGAGGAGGGCAGATCATCTGAGGTCAGGAGTTCAAGACCAGCCTGGTCAACATGGTGAGACCCCATCTCTACTAAAAAATACAAAAATTGGCTGCATGTGGTGGTGTGCACCTGTAGTCCCAGCTACTCGGGAGGCTGAGGCAGAAACATCGCTTGAACCTGGGAGGCAGAGGTTGCAGTAAGCCGAGATCACGCCACTGCACTCCAGCCTGGGAGACAGAGTGAGACTCCATCTCAAAAAAAAAAAAAAAAAAAAAAAAAAAAAAATTAGGGAAAAGGTGAAGTTAGTTTGAGCCTACAAGTACATGCACATGCTCTACCTTTCCTTCAAAGCTTTATGGCCTGAACACTGAATGCCTGTTTCCCTTAATGGCCTCAATGTCATCCTTCCTGAATTCCTCCATGCTAACTTCATCTCCTCTATCCAGTCACCACCCTTTCCAATTTATCAATAACTGAGCAATATTCCTGGAATAGCTTCTCTTTTTCTTCTCCCTAGAGAAATGTCCTTACCATCTTTCAAACATTTCCTGAATTGTTTCCTCTCCCTAAAGCCTTCTTGACTGAAGTGAGGCTTGTGATCCTAAAATACAGTTACCTTAGCCAAATACGTCATTTAAAATCAGTCTACTTAACCTTGCTTCTTTCCTTTCTGTGACATGTTTTCCTACAATCAAGCTTTCAGCCTTAGAGTGTGGATATACTGACAGTATGAAACATGCCTATGGAAATTGCTCTGCCCTGCCCTGGATCACAGAACACATGCATTTTGTTACTTAATGATTTTTTTCATGATGAAAATGCTCCAGCTGGCAATCTGGAGTTAGCACCCTGCCCGGAATCTCCAGCAGGAGCAGCGCCCTTCCGCCAAGGAGTGGCAAATGCAAACAGCAGCAGCAGCAGGTTCCTAACACAAACACTTTAATTTTATGGAACAAGAGAAAAGTAGTGGGAAAATACCATCACTATCTTTTTTTTTTTTTTTTTTGGAGACGGAGTCTTGCTCTGTCACCCAGGCTGGAGTGCAGTAGCATGATCTTGGCTCACCGCAACCTCTGCCTCCTGGGTTCAAGTGATTCTCCTGCCTCAGCCTCCTGAGTAGCTGGGATTACAGGCGCCCGCCACCACGCCTGGCTAATTTCTGTATTTTTAGTAGAGACGGGGTTTCATCATGTTGTTCAGGCTGGTCTCGAACTCCTGACCTCAGGTGATCCACCCACTTCCCAAAATACTGGGATTACAGGCGTGAGCCACCGCGTCCGGCTCCATCGTCTTTTTTATATGCTGATAACCTTATGCAACTGTAGAGCTACCTCTTAAAAAAATGACAACTCTATGGCATAAATATCTTTCAGAAACATCTATGCTACAAAAGACAGGTAACTTAAAAGCAAAACAAAACTAATAATTTTGAGAAAAAAAGACTGACTTCATATTCTCTTCAAGACTCACTGGCCTATTAAAGCTCACAAATAATGTATAAATAGATGTATTATAATTTCTTATAAATTAAGTACCATGACTGCAAAATGGTCAACTAAAGTAACAGTTTTCTAGGAAATAAAAATTTCCAGGTATGGTGTCAAAATGCCTTATGAAACCAATCCATTACCAGTTAACACAACAGTCAGAACTAAAATTGGCATTCCTAAATGACTAATAATCCATTTGTGAGAAGTACATAAGAGTTTTAGTAATAAATAGAGCATTTCTTTAATAAATATTTATTTAGCCTACTACATGTCCAGGCGCTGTGTGAAATGTTAGACACATAACGATGAATGAGACACACGGTTCCTGCCTATATGGAACCCATAGTCTAGAGGAAGTAACAGACATGTGATAATATGGAAACATAGGTACAAGGTAATGACACTTGTATGAAGGTATACACAACCAACTATAGAAGTATAATGAGAGTGGGAGAGATTTTGTCTAGAAAAATGCAAGTGTCTTCATAAAAAGGTGATACTCATTAGGCCTTGAACTGCAGGAGACAATGGAACTTGGTCAGCTCAGTGAAGAAGAAAAGGACATTCCCAAATGAGATTGTAAATGCAAAGGTACAGAGGGGGTTCGTGGAGCAGCCAAAGTCCCATTGTGACCTGATAGGGAAGTCACAGTGGGAAGACTGGTGTGAAATGATTTCACAAAGGAGCTTTGAGCCAGCTTTTGAAGGGTCTTGCATACCATTCAGAGAAACTAACCTTTAGCCAGTTGAAAATGAGGAGCTAATGAAAGATTTTTAATCAAAGGAATAATGTAATCTTAGACATTTTCTACCAAATGGAACTCTGGCTACAATGTAGCAAATGGATAGAAAACAGACTATCATAAAAAAAAAATGTTTGGAGTCAAACTACTCTTGGTCAAATTCAGGCCCTGACAATGGCAACCTGTGTGCTAAGCATTTCACCTCTTCAACCCTTACTTTCTTCATCTAAAAATATGGAACTAATATTACCTATCTCAAGCAGTGTTAGAATGATCTGATAAGAAGCTATGTTAGTCAAAGTCCTGACTGCCCAGGGCCAGCCTAACATTTACAGTGCTCTGGAGCGCCCCAGCTCTGTCTTGTCCTGCAAGGGGTCTCAGCAACATGGACACCTCAGCCTGCAGACCAATCCCAACCCACAATCACTGCAGTTAACTGCTTCATGGCCAGCCCTTAGGCCTAGGGATGCACACACTTGTGGCACCATTTGCCTTCTGAAAGATAGAGCCAGGGAAGAGACCTCATAGCTGAGTTTGTTTGGTTAGTTTTTTTTTGAGACAGAGTTTTTGCTCTGTTGCCCAGGCTGGAGTGCAATGGTGCGATCTTGGCTCACTGCAACCTCCACCTCCCGGGTTCAAGCTATTCTCCTGCCTCAGCCTCCCAAGTAGCTGGGATTACAGGTGCCTGCCATCATACTTGGCAAATTTTTGTATTTTTAGTAGACGATGTTTCGTCATGTTAGCCAGGCTGGTCTTGAACTCCTGACCTCAGGTGAGCCACCTGCCTCGACCTCCCAAAGTGCTAGGATTACAGGCGTGAACCACCTTGCCTGGCCCCGACAGCTGATTTCTGTAAAGAGGCTCAACACAGACAGAGCAGGGAATTCTGAAGTCTTCAGTACCCAGAGAGAAAAGGGCAGGCTTTGGGTGGGAACATTTCCATTGCCCTGAGGAGACTGAAAATAAAGCCTCTACAACACGGGTCCAAGGCAGGGTCCTGCCTCACCTAGGACTCAGCGTAGCACCGACAGTATCTAGCACATTGTACACGCTCAACAAATGCTTGTGATTATGGTGCTCTTTCTGATTATCACAGTTGCCTTATGATAACTTCATTGTTGTCATCATTATTAACCAGAGGCATGAGAGCCTGGAGGAAGGGCTCCACTCTAATAGAAGGACCCAGCGCTGAAAGTGCATTTAGGTGTCTGCATTCAGGAATGGAAAAAAGGAAAAAGAACCTACAGACAGCATGCAAACGAAGTAGAGAAGACTACCTGAAAGAACAGTTTTGAGGAAGTAAGTGGGAAAGATAGCAGCTATATTTTTGTATATTTTGAGTTCAAAGTGCCTTTGGGCATCTAAGTGCTAATACATAACAAATTGGACGTACTAACCTGGAGCTAAGGAAAAATTTAGAAGTTATCAATCTATAACTAGTAGCTGAAAACTTGGAAGTGGATGAAACTTCCAAGGAAATGTACAAGGTGCAGAACAGAAGGATAGGGCTCTGAGAAACCCCCACAGCCAGCGAGTAGAGAGAATTAATGATGCTGACAAAGAAGTAGTAGCCAGAAGAGGCTGTGATGCTCAGGAAGATGCCAGAAGGAAGGCTGTCCTTCTAAGATATGTCCATTTCGTGCCAGTACCCTTCAGTCACTGACTGCCCACTCTGTGCCAGGCATTCTGACTTGGTATACATTATCTCATTTAATTTGATCATTAACACGCTATGTGATATGTAATTATTTCCATGTTATCAATGGGCAGACAGGCTCAGAGATGGTAAGTAACTTGTCCCACGTCACCTAACTACTATGAATTATCAGTTCCCACTAGAAACCTAACTCTACTGTGAAAGTTAGAAAAAACTTGCTCAAGAGGAAGCGGCATGGAAAGGATGAGAAGTGATGTGAGCTAGGAACTTTCTCAGTGAGCTAGGAACTTTCTCAGTGAGTTAGCTCATTTAATCCTCACAGGAATTGGGGCAGTGGCTATTATCCTGTCCATTTCACAGTCCAAGACATGAAGCTCCTGGAGTCATGGATCCATGAATACAGTTGGTAAATGGATGAGTCCAGACTCAAATATAAGGATTATAGGACACAAAAGCCTACACCCTTTAAATAGCAACATGTTCTCTCTCCACCACAGGGAACAAAGACTAAAGGGGAAAAAGAAAGAACCCCACAACATGGAAACAAGCACCAGCATCCCTGCAGATTAGCCAAAGTATTGAAAAGGTTTAATCTTCCAGTTTTCCTATGTTCTTCACACAAACCACCCAGCACATGGCACCACTGCAATAATCCCCACTTTTCCCAGGAAACACAGCACTGAGAACTGTTCCTGTTCGAATCGCACACTCAGCTATAAAATGGGCAGGAACGTGGGCTCCAGAAGATAGAAAAATCTGTACCCTTCACTCTTTTATTGACTTTTTATCTACAGTGATAAAACTTTCAGCATTACACCATTAAATTTAGCCTCAGATATAGTAAAAGCTAAGCATCAGACTAGTTTAAATACATGGCAAGGCCAACGACCCTACCTCAAAGCTTCATCTCTGGTTCTGAGATCAACTGTACCATTTAAGGCTCAGAATCACACGCTGCTCATCAAACACATGCTCGGCTCATATCCACTTGACACATCCATCCATCCTTCCAAATGCCACCCTGCTCCACACTTCTGCTTGCCCTGTTAGCATTCCCAGAGCCCCTCCTGGCAAGGTTAGTGCTTCCTCCACCCCCATGACACAGGATATGGTAGCTGGTTACATATGGGTGGTTTTAGTAATAGCATTAAATAACTGTGGGGGAACATGTTTATCCTGCTTGGTTCACAATCAACTAGCAACAAACATCCTTGCGAAATCCTCTACCAAGCAAGTGAACTGCCTTTCTAGTATCATGATGGCATGCTACTCTTTTTATTTTTATTTTATTTTATTTTTTTTGAGACAGAATCTTGTCCTGTTGCCCAGGTTAGAGTGCAGTGGCTCAATCATGGTTCACTGCAGCCTCAACCTCCCAGGCTCAAGTGATCCTCCCACCTCAGTCTCCCAGGTACCTGAGACTACAGGGATGTGCCACCATGGCTGGCTAATTTTTTAAAAAGTTGTTTGTAGAGACGGGATTTTTGCAATGTTGCCCAGCTGGTCTTGAACCCCTGGGCTCAAGCGATCCTCCCTCCTCGGCCTCCTAAAGTGCTGAGATTACAGGCATGAGTCACCATTCCTGACCATATACATTTTAAAAACTGAGACCAAAGCTTCAAAGAGGAGAAGATATCTAGCATTTCATGTTAATTTTTGACCAATTGTTAAAATCATTCCTATAATAAAGGAGACAGTAAAACGACTTTCCTTCCTGCCATGGCGCATCAATTTGATGGAATTTTAATGGCCTTAAAATGTTTTTAAAGAACACTTAACGACATTGGAAAAACGTGTTTGATATACTAAGTGAAAATCGCAAGCTTCAAAATATTACATACTATATATCCTAATTTCATTGTATACTCTCAGAAGAAAATAAACCAAATATTAAGATTCATCTTTAGGTCATATGACTTTTGCACCCAGCAGTCACAGGTTAGAGTTTAGATTTTAACAGTTGTTACTGGGTAATCCTGGGCAAGTTATCCTCACAAAGCCTCAGTCTCCTCTCTATAAAGTAGGGATGTCGTAAAACCTTCCGCATGGTTCAAGTGACATGATGTGTCAATACTTATGTTTCCTAGGCTTTTGAATTTTCTACACTGAGAACATACTCAGTTCACGCCCTGACATTACCTTTTTTCACAAGTGTGTCAGTTGTGTATTCTCTTACTTTCTAAATCATTTAAAACAGGTGTTTCCCTAGGTCAGACTGAAACCTTTTTACCTTCTGAAGTTACAGCTCCTGTCCTCTGCTAAAAGCTTTGCAGTACCTTCTCCATAGGCATCGAACATCACTTTCATGCATCCATGTATGAAATAACTCCCCTTAAGTAATTCATTTTGGCAACAAGCATCACGCAGAGAACAATGAGGTAAAATTTTATTTTCCCATAAACAGCAACTTCTCCCAGCAGTAATATGTTTGTGGTATTTCAACTACTGAACATCCCCATCGATCCTGTACTGCAAGCACTCTTTAAAAATAGGCCTTGGGCAGGAGCCAAAAAGGTTGGGCTGGTTCCTTACTAGCTGCCTGCTTTAAACATATCACAGACCCTATACCTCCCTCTTCCAGCCTGCAGGTCAGCTGACTAAGATCTGCATTAACCTGCCCAACAAGTAGCCTCAGGTCTGGCACTATGTGATGTGAAGACAAGACTGTTTCTCAGGATAAATGTTGTGTTAAAGGTTGGGTTTGTGTGTGGGCACAACAGGTGCCCTTCAGCCTGTCTGTAACTGCCTTATAGCCTAGTCACCCCGAAGGCAGCTGTATGTATAGCAATACATTGGCAATTGGCTGCTTTACTGCAGTCAGGGTAATAGCAAGTCTACCATATAAATGCATGACCTTTCCAAACGAGACATGTGCTGGAAGAAAAACAAATATGCCCAGTATTTTTTTTTTAACACACTGAAGACAGAAAACAGTAGCAGATTGTTCTCTTAGTGCAATGATTCAAGAGCAAAAGACAGTCAAACTAAGACAGTAAAAGCTGCCTGACAACTATCCCAGCCGAGGGCATGACAAAGTGACTGTGGAGGACAGGACAGATCCTCATTACCGGAGGGGGGGAACCTAAGTCTGCCTGACATGATTATTCTCGCCATTCATATCTACCAGAGACCACAAAGAGCACATACAGCACTGTCATTTGCAGCAGGAGTGGTTGTAAATGCCCTGCATCCAGATAGAGACTTAGTAAGCTTGCAAAAGTACACATATGGGTGCCCACAAAAATCTGCGAAAACCAGCTAGGATCCTGGAGGCTGATAAAGATGTTCACATGGAGAAAAAGGGAATTTCTCAATAAACAAATACTCAAGTATTATAAACACTATATCCTACTCTATTATTTTATAGCAAAAGCTTATCATGTAGTCGCCTTTAGCTCAAGACAGGTGTTTTTCCTTTCCCTAGATTAAACCCCCCCACACACACTCATTTCCTATCCTAGTATAATTGGGAGAGGTTCCTAAGTTGAGGAAAATTAAGAGTGCTTGACTCCCCCACCTACACATACTGCTGGCTCCACCCGATGCCTTTTTAGTAGGGTGACTTGACACACTGTTCACATCAGGTGGATGCTGAGGTGGGCTACAGTGTTTCTCCCAATATGTGGGAAAGCACCAAGGCACTCTCTGTCCCAGCCTGGGAAGGCAGAAACATGCCACAGAGGACTGAACCAGGAACTGCACTGAAAGACAGGGTCAAACCAACCTGGGAGAGAAACATTTGGACTCAAGTTTATGGGGCATCACCACTCTTCATGGCCATACCAGGTGGCATTCTCCCCTCCCCAGGCACACACATGGACCCAATATTCTTATGCAGGCTGGGCGCTACCCAATTGTCCCTTGAGAGCCGGAGCCTTCCTTGCTGGGATGTCAAGGCAGCTATGCCTACCCACCTGAAAGCCCAGGGTGTCTGAGCAAGGAGCCTCACTGCTCCAGGCTAAGGAGAAAGACCATAAAGGGAGGTCACAGTATCATGAAGGACAATGGGGTCTGTGAAAAGGACTCTGGTCCAACTCCCTCCCACTGTTTAGCTCTGAACAAACAGAGGGGATAATCCTGGGCATGCTACTTGGCTTTCTCCAAAGCTTTGTTTCTATCCACAAGGCTCTAGGAAGTTTGACTTTCCCAGCCTCCTTCAAAAGGATGAGAGGGCCGGGAGCTGTGGCTCATGCCTGTAATCCCAGCATTTTGGGAGGCCGAGGCAGGTGGATCACCTGAGGTCAGGAATTCGAGACCAACCTGATCAACATGGAGAAACCCTATCTCTACGAAAAATACAACATTAGCTGGGTGTGGTGGCGCATGCCTGTAATCCCAGCTACTCAGGAGGCTGAGGCAGGAGAATCTCTTGAACCCAGGAGGTGGAGGTTGCAGTGAGCCAAGATCGCACCATTGCACTCCTGCCTGGGCAACAAGAGTGAAACTCTGTCTCAAAAAAAAAAAAAAAAAAAAAAAAAAAAAAGAAAAAGGATGAGAGGAATAACTCGTGGAGGAGATATGTAAAAGCTTTGAAAGGGACAGTGCAGTGAGAAGAGCAGCAGAGTCTAAGGAAACAGGCCCTTTTCTTTTATCCTGGCTCAGACACTTGTGTTCCCTACAAGTCTCAGTTGTTTTGCTTGCGGGACGGGGATATCTCCAGCACCTCTTCAAATTCTAACAGCCTCCACTTTCAGATGTGTGGCTGACAGTGTGAGCAGCCTTCTCCTCAGTGACAAGAGTCTAACTTTATTTTGCCCAACAGCATGGTCAGCTCCAAGTAGTAGATCAGGACTGGCGTGAGCCTTTCCCAACAATCCTGTTTTCCACTTCTCCTGCCTCCCGTGTAACCCTGGAAAACTTTTGCTTTACCGACAAAAAGGACCAGACCTGCTTAGTTGGCTGTGCCCTTCTGCCTTTTGTCTTTGACTTCTTTCTGGATGGGGATGTGAGATCTGAAGCTGCAACAGCCATTTTGTGCATGAAGAGTCACATATAATGGAAGGCCAAGAGAATCCTGGAGATATCAGTGCTGAAAGCCGACCTCCAGACAGCCTGTTACATGAGGAAAATAGCCCCATCTCATTTAAACCACTGCTAGTTAGGCTTTCCCTTACTGACCACTGAATGTATTTGTAAGTCACATACTCCACTAAGGCCTATTTCCAGAGAAGAGCCAATATTCAGGTAGTGGCATATGTGTCTTCTGTCCCAGTACATTTCCCAAGGGTGAAAGCTGCAATCAATAGGAACAACAATTCCCATTCTAACACATCTAAACGACAGATATTCAACAAATATGCATTGAAGAAACAGAATAATTAAAAACAATTTTCGAGTCAGACCTATATTTGAACCTCTATCATCTATTAGCTGTGGGACCTCAAGCAAGTGATTTTATCACTCAAGCCTCAGTGCCCTTATCATTAGAATGCAGATTATGTTCGTACCTATTGTACTTGTTGTAAACGATAAGACAATGCATGCCAAGCCATTAGTATAATTCCTGGCATAGAACAATACGCCATAATTGGTAACTCTCATTACTGGGGGTCACTCATGTAGCACCAGCAGCCATGGGTATAAGGATGATGGAGTTCAAGGTCTGGATGGGAGATTCTACAAGTAAATCAGTAATTTATGGAGAAAGGTCGAGGCTCTAATATGCATCTGCATGCTCAAGGGGTGGAAAGAAACCCAAAGCCCTACCTCTAAGGTCCCATACCTTGTAAACACCACAGATGTCTCAGCTCTCCTCCATATTTTATCAAAGTTACCAACCATTTAATTTAAAACTTCAACTATTTATCTTACAAAATAACAGGACAACAAAATGGTCAAAAGACAGCCAGACATGAAGAAAAGAATCCTACCAGCAGCTCTTCAGATTGGTTATGGCAGCTGCACATGCCGGGGCTATCCTCCCTTCTCTGGATCCCTACGGGTCATGATCATTCCTTTAGGGAGGGTGCATCAGTTAGGGTGCGTTCAGCTGCAAGTAACAAAGTCCAATTCCCTCCGTGTCCTAAACAAGGAGGCAGATTAGCTCCAGGTTCAGGTGATTCAGTGCCCCCTTAACACAGCCAGGAGGCCCTTTCTATCTTTCTTCAGATCCACCATGTGTCAGCTTCATTCCCTGGCTGGCTCCTTTCACAGCTGCAAACAGCTATAGCTGCTCCAAGCATCATTTGAAGGTGAAACGTTTTGGAGGAAGAAAGAACTTCACTTTCACAAGACTGAGAGGGTACCCCTCTCATATTCTGATGCAGGGCAAGCCCGTGGCCAGCCTCCTTGGAAGCACAGGGCTGATAATAAGAGCAGATCCTATACCTAGTCAGGTTCATTGAGGATAAGGAGCAGTTGGATGTTGGGTAGGCAAGCAATGGTTTCTCCATTGGAAAATAATGGAAGGCCTAGAGAATTTACAAATGCAAATAATTACCCCCTAAACTAAGAATACCCTTGTGTATTTTCTGGTTAAAAACAAAACCAAAGCATCATCTTCAGGTAAGTATGTGTTGCAGTACTACTGGAAATGTGATGTCCTCCGTCCCACCCATAGCTCCATCAACAGCCACCCTCATCCATGGACTGCCATGAGAGAGGCCAGCTCAAAGAAATTTCTTTAAGTCTGTAAGTAAAAATGGAAACAGAACACACTGATAGAGCAACATTAGATTCCAATTCTCTTATTTCAGACACCAGAATTTATTTTAAAGAACACTTAAGACTGCCATAGTCAAGTTTACCAAATCTTGCCTGCTCAGGCAGATTTGTTTATAATTCCCAAGGACAAGCTGGGCCCTTTTATATTCACAGGACGAGGAAATAATGCTACTTAAATCCATAGTCTCATCTGCCCTTTCTTCCCGGTACCCTTGTTTTCCTATCTAACATCACACTTTGAAACCCAGCACAGGAGCGGGGAAACCTTAATCACACTGCAAACTGCCAGAAAACTGCAAGCCTGTTTACTAGTGACATTTCATTCACTTGTTGTGAATGTTAATTCATTTGTTGTACATTCTGCAAACTGCTGTCTTATGAAGATTACATCTTATGTAATCTTCATAAGAACCCAGTAAGGACTACATTGTTTGGGGGAATATTAATTCCACAGCTATGAGGATGGTAGAAGTATAATAAAAGTAGTTATTTTTCATTAAAATTATATCATTTATATTAACATCAAATGGGTTTGCTATTATTTTTAATGAATAATTTTAAAAATTTTGTTTTAGTTTCTAATATGGTAAATAGATACAATCCAAA
Source organism: Homo sapiens (assembly GCF_000001405.40). NCBI lineage: Eukaryota > Metazoa > Chordata > Mammalia > Primates > Hominidae > Homo > Homo sapiens. The sequence continues at coordinate 138,184,116 of NC_000006.12, read as the reverse complement.
TTTTAAATAGAAGCTATGTGGGATAATTTTTAAAAATGTACAGGGTCTTGAGACCAAAGAGTTTGAGAAGTGCTGCCTCAGTCCACATCAGTAACGCACAGAGGGTTCTGAGAGCGAGCCCTGTGGGTGGAAGCTGCCCTTCTGCCCCAATATGGGGGAGATACAAAGGGGCAATGCCCTCCTCTGGACAGACCCAGCGTGGACACATGCTGAGCACTCACAGGGGAGGTTGAGGCCACTTCTGTGGCCTGCAATGGGATCTCTTCAGACCTGTCACACTGGGGAAACAGAGGCACCTCCCTACCTTCCCGTTTCCATCTCCATTTACGGAAACTGACAGGCAAAATGACCAGCTCGAGGTCCCAAAAGGCATATGTAGGAGAACCAGGACTTGCATCTGTATTATGATGATCTATTTGCTTTCCCTTCAGCAAATGACAAGCTCTTTGAGAGAAGAGAGCTTGTGTCCTGTTCCTCATTGCATTTCCGGCATGCACCATGCTGTGTGTTTGGCTCTGACTCCAAACCCAGGCCACCTGCTCCCCCTTCCCAACTGCCTGATCCACATGAGCCCAGTCCCCACCCTGTCTTCCCACTCTGCATCACTCTCTCCAGACCCCTCCGATACAGACGTTAACATGTAGAACTGAACACAGCGAGGCAATCATCTCAAGCAAACATTCATAAAAACATCCTCTGTACTGAATGCCTGGGCATGCACACCTTTAACAATTGTTTTCTTTCTTAATCAAATCCTCCTGTTGACTTTAAATTACATCTTTATTTTTACTACCTCTGAAATGCATGAATGCTACCCTCCCCATTTTCAGCAAAGGTCGTGTTGCTGGCCTTGTCTTCCACATACAGCTTTATTTCAGAGTTGGGGGTAAATCCAGCAGCCCTCCCACCTGCTCAGTCCTGGGTGTCCTCTGTGTTCAGCCCTCTCCCTCTGCCCTTCCCAGTCACGGGATCTCTCCTTCTCCCAACCCCCAAGCACAGCTGGACCCAGTTTCCTGGCTTCTGTCCTACCAACAGCCTCTGAAATAAGCTTACAAAACCCCTTTTGTTTTTGAAGGTTTTTCTCCCAGCTGGTAAATACAGAAAAACAAAATAGGATTTATAAAATAAAGCACACCATGGGGCAGTTATAGTTTCAGGAAAAAAAACCCATTATTTTACATAGAACAATTCTCTCTGGAGTTCATTAAACTGAAAATTAGCATAGGTCTGCTCTCACTTAAAATATTCTAGAAGGATTCCTTTAGGCCTAAAAATGAGCCCTATCCTAAATCTTCTCTCAGTAATTCTTCAGTTTTGCTCACCTTAACCCTCATTAAAAAACCATATCAATTGTTACCTAGCCTCTTCCCTTGGTCAAGTTAGCAGAAGGTGGAGAGGTAAGAGTTAGTTATTTAATTACATAATTACTCAGGTTTCCCCAGTGGGTATTCACATCAATTCCAGACTAGAGTCTCTTTTATCTTAAAGTTTCCTTCTTCCTTAGAGAGAGGTAAAGTCAATTTAAGTCATTTCCTGGCAAAGCTAGGTATACGTGCTAATCTTAATAGCTCTAATAATTCATGACACTCCCCTCAGTCTGAATATAGGACAACTGTCTTTTAAAAGCACTGGCTCCTTGGAAATTGCATTTGAAGCTGTTTTGATACAAGGTGGTCTAATCCATAATCCTTTATTGGTAAGTTGCACTTGTGAGTGGGCAATGGCGAAATATAGCAGGTTTTCTAGGAGGTTTTTTCAACAATGGTGCTTCATCAAGTGATTTACTGCACAAAATTTAATTGTATATATCTCAGCTCTTCCCATAAATTGCAAATAATAATAAAAAATCTTCTGTATTAAGTCAAATAATTGGAGAGCTAATACCCCATAGTGAGTTAGGAAGGTGATTTTTGGAGTCCAGCAGCCCTGGCTCTGCCCTGGACTGGCTCAAGGAGCTTGGCCAGCTACATAGCCCCTCCAACCTCAGTGTGTCCACTGTCTCACACAGGAGTGCTGTCAAGATTAAGTGGGACCAGCACTTGGAAACAAAGGTTTCCAAGAAAACAACACATGATTCTAGTCTGCACCCACCCTTCTCCCAGAAGAAAAGTCCTACAGGGTGAAAAAGAAAGATGTAAATAACTCTATGGAGCTACTGACATCACTAAATTGATGAGCTCGGGTCCCTATCCATCATTTGGGATCCATTTTTAAAATCCATCAATATAAACAATTTCTCAGAGGCACAGTTTGAAACGAAAGCAGGAAATTTGGGACTAAATTGCCTTAAAGGCACAGTTTAATGATGAAAACAATTCACAGAATAATGCACACAGCAAAAATCCTACCTTCATTCCATTCAAAAGGGATGAAGAGGCTGGATGCAGTGGCTCACACATAATCCCAGCACTTTGGGAGGCCAAGATGGGAGGATCACTTGAGGCCAGGAGTTCGAAACCAGCCTGGCCAACACGGTAAAACCCGGTCTCTACTAAAAACACAAAAATTAGCTGGGCATGGTGGTGGATGCCTGTAACTCCAGCTACTCTGGAGGCCAAGGCAGGAGAATTGCTTGAACCCGGGAGACAGAGGTTGCAGTGAGCCCAAATCACACCACTGTACTCCAGCCTGAGTGACAGAGTGAGTGAGACTCTGTCTCAAAAACAAAACAAAACAAAAAGGAATGAAGAAGCCTAAGAAACAAAAATTCATAATTGGATTGTTATTTTTTTCAGTGGATTTATGTTTAAAGCCCAGAGTTATAAAGTCATCAACTATTGGTCATAAAGAGAGGATGAGTGGCCATGGCTTGTTTCTGAAGATTAATAATTCGTGCACATCCTAAAATATCACTCAAGTCAACATCCCCTACACACTAACTTGGGTGACTTATGCACTCATTTTTTAAGTGGTGACTTCTTTAAGTGATGACTGCATCACTTAAAAAGTGCTTTTAGGTCAGAGCTATTAACAAGGACAGGCCTTGTAATGGAGAGCTAATTGTAGGTCTTCCTTATTAATGGGAATAGAACATGGAAACCATTAGGACTGGCTTACAACTGGCAGATAGCCCACAGACGCAGCTGGTTGTAAGTTAGGAAATAGAATGGTATTATCACTTATACTATGTTAAAAGGAGACAAGAATATTCTTTGTCTTCTATGGCAGCAGGGAAAGGAAAAAGAGAAACTAGATCTTCAGAGCACCTTGATTTCTAACACAGATTTCAGCAACCTCCACTGCTAAACGCTAGTCCATGTGCCACTCTCTCCTTGCAAACAGATTTTTCTGGTCACCTGTTTATGGCAAGCCTGATCTCAGGAAGCTAGAAAAGTTCAGTTCTCCTCTAGAACAAGCCCTTGCTCACTTACAAGGTTCCCACTGAGCCCAGAAAGGCTGACAATGTCTTCCCCACATTGCCTTTCACAGCTTGCTGGGATAAAGAATTCGCTAAATCTGAAAATGAGCCAGGCTTGGACTAACCAAAGTGTCTTAAAGCTCCCCCAACCTGCCCGCCTTTTTTTTTATGGTAACCAGCAAAACTCAACAGAGTTTGACTCAACAGGGCCAAAACTCAGTTACATTTGTATGACTCTGCAAAGAGAAGTCAGCTATAGTAGGGAGAAAAGGAAGAAGGCAAGAAAAGGAGACTCGAGATGAGTTTACATCCAAGAGAAGCACAGATGTTTGTAATCTACCTAGAATAATGTGAAGTACCTGTCCAGCATGTATGCTCAGATCCTCCATTCATTAGCACAAGCTGAAAACATGAACTGCAAATTCTACACCAGCATCCTTTGCTTCCTCCATGGCAGTGGGAGGTAGCAAGGGGAGTCCAACACTTCTCCATGACGTAAGAAAGGCAGGAAAAATACTGATGAGAATCAAACTGTGTGCCAAAAACAGCTATTGGGGTATTTGCTGTCCTCATCATGTTAAATCATACAAAGTTCTTCCCAGTTGATGCAGATATGTTTCTTTCTTCACATTAAAGCCAAAAAACTGATAGGCATTGGTGGTTCACACCTGTAACTCCAACACTTTGGGAGGCTAAGGTGGGAGGATCGCTTGAAGCCAGGAATTTGAGATCAGCATGGGCAACATAGCAAAACTCCATCTCTACAAAAAATTTTAAAAAAATTAACTGGGCATGGTGCCATACACCTGTAGTCCTAGCTACTTGGGAGGCTGAGGCAGGAGGGTTGCTTGAATCCAGGAGTTTGAGTGTGCAATGAGCTATGATTGTGCTCCTGCACTCCAGCCTGAACAACAGAGTGAGACTGTCTCTAAAAAACAAAACAAACAAAACAACCAAAAAAACTTGCATATCTTGCAGAAGTCGCTCCAGGGTTCATAGCACAGAATTAAAGCACTAAAATAGATCAATGCAGCATAAAGGCAATTAAAGTAAAACCATATGAGAAATGGGAAGCTGTTATGGATGGTTCTCTCCAAGTATAAACACTGATGAATGTGCTCACACCCTGCATGAAAAATCAGTAGGTCCCCACGTCAAGACGAGGAGGAATATGTCATTATCTAGACTGAATGAAGTGTCTGGACAAGGCAGGCAAAATGAAGCAAAGGGCCAGGCAGAGGGTCAGCTAGGGAGGAGAGGTGGTGGGACACATACAAAGACAAATGGGAAAAAAAAAAGCTGTTAGAATCTTTTTGGAAAGTACAACTGGCAAGAGAAAGCAATTAGGCTGAGGTTGGCTCTGAAAAATCATGGAGCAGGTAAGCAAAATGGCTGGGTTATGGCTAGGGTAATCACTGGGATTGTTCCCAAAGGGGCACTGAGTAATGCCAACAAGAGGTTTGCTGCCAATGGCTGCCTTTTGACAAAATAGCTCCAGGATTCCCTTGACAGTTTTATTTCATCTGGACCAGTACTGTTGCAAGTGACCTGGAAGGAAGAAAGAGACAATCCTGAATTGGGACAGGATAGGAGTGGAGGTTCTTCAGTCCTTTAGAACATAAATACTCCAAGTCAAATTCATGTTGGAGGTGGAGGTAGGACAGGCAGTATGCCTCTTCCAGGGTGGCCAAGGACTTTTCATGGAAATCTACTGAGAACTGAAAACTTTGTATCTTTAGCATCCTTTGGCATAGAATATTGGTCAGAGTCCTGATTACTACCACCACCATCCCCCACCCCTTATCTAATATACATTAGGTGGGGCAGGGCTTTAGTTGAGTAGAGGGCACAGGATTTAAGTCTACACTAGCTGAGGTCAATGAATTGAGTGTTGGGCTTCTGGGTATACTCTTTAGACCGACCTTCTCAGTCAGTAAGATATTAGAAGTCCTATTGCCAAAGCTGAGATTCCATTTTGGCACAGATTCTTTCAAATACTGCATTTTCTAAGAATCTAGGAGATGAAGGCAGTGGCTTTCTGGGACATGTGATGTAAAGCTGGAGAAGCAGTTTCATCCCACAAACATTTATAAGGCACTGACATAAGAGATACAAAGATGAGTAATTTGTCTAGATGAGCTCCTTGAGGCTAGGGTCTGAGAATAGAACCTGCAAACAACTGCCAACGTGGTTGATGAGCTTCACGACAGGATTATGTAAGAAGAACGGTGAGGACACAAGGGAGAGAAATATAATTTCTACCTAGGAAATTAAGGAAGGACTTCAGGACATCTCAGCACAGTCTTCAAGGATAAGTAGGATAAGGAAGTGAGAAAGGCTGCATGTTATAAGACACACACTGGGCAATTTTGATGAAGAGAGCAGCCCAGAACATGTTCCCCTAACATTTTAGTGCTCAACATGCAGGGGAGCTATCGGGCTACTTATTCAAACACCTCTAGACCTGTGGTTTTGGTCTTGGCTTTGGCATGTGGAAGGAAGAGGAGCCATGACAAGTATGCTATATTTCATTATATGAGATGGCCTAGGACATAAGAATGGTGAGGATTAGGGAATGCCTTCAGTAAAACCCTAGCCGACCAACATCATAGTCACATCTTCGAGAGAAAAAGTCCCCCTGCCCAACAAAAACAAATTCAGAAAGAGGAAGCTACCCTTGCTCCAAATGCATTTAAATCAACACAAAGATAAAGGAAGCATACAAAAGTAAGGTAATGTGACACCCTCAAAAGAACACAGTAATTCTCCGCCAATAAATCCTAACCAAAAAGATATCCTTGAAATGTCAGATAAAAAATTCAAAATATTTATTTTAAACACGCTCAATGAGATGCAAGAAAAATCTGAAAACGAATATAAGGAAATCAGAAAATCAATTCATGATATGAATGAAAAATTTACCAAGGAGATAGACATCTTAAAAATATTCTGGAACTGAAAAATTCATTGAAGGAATTACAAAATATATTCAAAAGCTTCAGTAATAGACTAGACCAAGCAGAAGAAGGAATCTCAGAACTTGAAGGCAGGTCTTTTGAAATAATACAGTGAGGCAAAATATAAGGAAAAAAGAATGAACAAAGCCTTTGAGATATTTGGGACTATATAAAGCAATCAAACTTACAAATTATCAGTATTCCTGAGGGAAGAGAAAGACCAAAGATCTCTTTAAGGAAATAATTGATGAAAATTTCCCAAGTCTGGCAAGAAATTTGGACAGATCCTCCAGATACAGGAGGCCCAGCAATTCCCAGAAAAATGCATTGCAAAAAGGACTTCACTGCAGCATATTATAATTAGACTGTCTAAAGTAAAAGTGAGCCAGGTGCAGTAGCTCATGCCTGTAATCCCAGCATTTTGGGAAGCTGAGGCAGGTGAATCACTTGAGTCAAGGAGTCTGAGACCAGCCTGGGCAACATGATGAAACCCAATCTCTACCAAAACAAACAAATAAACAAACAAACAAACAAAAAATACAGAAATTAGCTGGGTGTGGTGACATATGCCTGTAGTCCTAGCTACAGGGAGGCTGAGGTGGGAGGATTGCTTGAATCTGGGAGGCAGAGGTTGCAGTGAGCTGAGATTGCTCCACTGCACTCCAGCCTGGGTGACAGAGCATGACCGTGTCTCAAAAAAAATATAAATAAATAAATAAATAAATAAATAAATAAATAAATAAAGTAAAAGTGAAAGAATTTTAAAATCAGCAAGAGAAAAGCATCTAGTCACCTATAAAGAAAACCCCATTAGACTAACAGTGGATTTCTCAGCAGAAACCTCTTAGATAGAAGAAAATTGAATGACATTTTCAAAATGCTGAAAAACAAAGAAAAGAAAATGTCGACCAAGAATTTTATATCCAGAAAGAATAAGCTTCATAAATGAAGGAGAAATAAATTCTTTCCCAGACAAGCAAATGCTAAGAGAATTTATCATCCCTAGACTGGCCTACCAGCAATGCTCAAAGGAGTCTTAAACATGGAAATAAAAGGCTGATATTCACCATTATGAAAACACAAAAGCTCACAGGTCTTATAAAGCAATCAAAGGATTAAGAGAAGAGAAAGGAATGAATGGCAACAAGAGAGAATTCCACCAAACCACAGAGACAGAGAAAAAGAAAAAAACAAAGAATCTAAATGACAACGTGACAGGAACAAAACCTCACATACCAATATTAACCTTGAATGTAAATGCATTAAATGCTCCACTTAAAATATATAGATTGTCATAAAGGATTTAAAAAAGATCCAACTAGGCTGGGTGCAGTGGCTCAGGCCTGTAATCCCAGCACTTTGGGAGGCCGAGGCGGGTGGATCACGAGGTCAGGCATTCGAGACCAGCCTGGCCAATATGGTGAAACTCCGTCTCTACTAAAAACACAAAAATTGGCCGGGTGTGGTGGCGCTGTGCCTGTAGTCCCAGCTATTTGGGAGGCTGAGGCAGGAGAATCACTTGAACTCAGGAGGTGGAGGTTGCAGTGAGCTGAGATTGCACCACTGCACTTCAGCCTGGGTGACACAGCAAGACTCCGTCTAAAAAAAAAAAAAAAAAAATCCAACTACCAACTATACGCTGCTTATAAGAAACTCACTTTACTTGTAGAGACATGTGTAGACTGAAAGTACAGAGGTGGGAAAAGATATTCCATGCAAACGGAAATCAAAAGTAAGCAGGAATCACTATACTTATGTCAGATAAAACAGACTTTAAATCAAAAACAATAAAGACAAAGAAGGTCATTATATAATGATAAAGGGATCAATTCAACAAGAGACTATAACAATTTTAATATATATGTACCCAACACTGGAGCACCCAGATTCATAAAACAAATATTACTGGACCTAAAGAAAGAGATAGACACCAATACAATAATAGTAGGGGACTTCAACATCCCACTCACAGCATTAGACACGTTGTCAGGACAGAAAATCAACAAAGAGACATTGGACTTAAGTTGGACTTTAAGCCAAATGGACCTAACAGACATTTACACAATATTCTACTCAACAACTGCAGAATATTCTAATTGTTCTTGATCGGTAGCCTCCAAGTCTTATGATATTACTTGGTTGAAAAACCAGTGGATAGCTATGATGGAATCAGTGACTATCAGTGGCAACTGTACTTGGTCATATTTTTCACCAAATCTGTCACTATTAGGGAACATCCTGAGTGGGCTTTTGCTTATGAAGCAAAAAGGACATGGGGAGGATGATTCTAATCTAAGACATAACCTGAGCTATCGATGGCTTCTTCGGTGTAGGGATACCTGAGTAGCCCACTAATTCATAGATTTATTCAACCCTGCAAAGATGCATGTAAGGAGACCTTGAAGTTTAAGAAAAGGGAAAAGAGAAGCAAAGATAGCAAGGGTGCAGTCTCCTCATGGAGGAAGATAAGGACCCTTAAAACTCACCCCCAAATCAAAAGCAAGACTAAGGGCAGGAAGGTGGAAAGATTTTCACATGACTAGCCACTAATAAAGTCATGAAATATTCCATAGTACATATTCCCTGGACCTGCCTCCCTCCCTGGCATTGAATATCAATAGGCTCTGCATTAATTCCTACCCTTGTTGCTCACCACATCAACAATAAGAGTGAGCATTTCATCAGTGACAGAGCCTTGAGCACAAATAAGTAATGTCTCTTGACCTCCTTAATTCCATCTAATATGTTTGATCATCAATATCTCTCTTAGAATGCTTTATGCATAACTGAATCCAGTCACCAGTCACTTAAATCATTCAAAAGTCCTTAGAGCAATCAATGGCAAAAGGAAAAATAATACAACATAGGTCTCTCAAGGATTCAATTTCAACACAGGCTCTTCAAGGGTTCTTCTGATTTAAGCTACCACTACTAACGTACACAACTGACCAAAACAATATTAGTAATTATGAGAATGGGACTATATTTAACATGAAATTAACAAATAAGTGGCAAAAGAAAAAAATAGGAAAAAGCAGAGCAAAGGTATTCAAGATTATGAATGATCCCTGTAGCCCTTTCCAAAACAAACAATTTTAAAAATCTGCAAATAATCACCTGGAGGTGATTATGTAACAGAAATGAAAACTAAATCTGAATTCAAAATCAGAAGAATGCAAGAGATAGTTTATAAACTTGGTTTCTTTCCCATATATTAAATGTAAGCATAATGGAAGAAAAAATAACATATCCAAATTCTCCTCAATGAGCAGACAAATATTTACAGTGCCTGGATTTTTTTTTTTTTTTTTTTTTTTTTTTTTTTTTTTTTTAGCAGATGCTCAAATAGAAGGATGCCATGTTAAACATAATGATTTAACAGAGTAAATGCTCTCCTGGTTTAAAGTGCCTGGAAGAGGAATCAAAGGATTAAAGAAGGACTGATTTACAACACAGGGGGAAAAGCCCATTACTGTATGTCTCCTCTTTATATCATTTCCCTAATGATAACATGGAATAGTAAATCAGACTAGTATTGATTCAATCTCTTTTCTGCTCTAATTATGGCTTCTTCTTGTATCTTAGAAGAGGCTTTGAGAAGTTCCCCACTATTGTGAATCACAAACTGAAACCTCCTTAAATGTATAAAAGTCTATAATAAATTTACATTTGCTACCACATCACAATGTTTTCTGTTTTGTATATCTTCATTCTCTTCCTTCCAAATTGTTTTTAAAAAAACACCTTTGAATGCAAGGCTCACATCTGCTGTGTCTCATTCATATGGTTCAATTCTCTGTACAAGAATGCTTGATAGATCTCATTGTGCATCTGAAACATAATAATGTCCATTCTTTTGAATAGTAAGATGATGTATCTTTGTACATTAGGATAATCTTTGTCATTAGGGGAAATACTCTGAGTTGAATTTCTAATAATGGTGAAAATATGTAAAGACATGTACATATGCGTATATTCATCCATAGTCTCTCATCTGGCACCCCTCCCACCAATGTTGTGAACAGCTCCTGTAGGTGCACAAGATAGGTAGCTGGCTCTGGGGTAAAGCAAAAGATCGTTGAATAAAATAAAGCCAAATGAGTAAAAGGAGAACCAAAAATATGTCCTTGGACACATTGAAACCATATTCTCTCCAGCTCTTCTAGCCACACACATACACATGAACACTAGACAAAGAAGGTCATTATATAATGATAAAGGGATCAATTAAGCAAGAGACTATAACAATTCTAAATATATGTATGCGCCCAACAATTTTAAACATTCCCAGCCAGTGGAGCAGAAACCTCTTCTGTTGCTCCTCACACTGAACCACATACCTTTTATCACAAACCCAGAACCACAGAAAACCTCACTGCTAAGTTAAACAACACTTTGGATGAGGAAACAACCTTTAGAGCAGAGTTTATCAAACTCTTTTACTTATGTAGTCACTAAGAAAATGTTAAGATTCTGTTTTTCTCGTACTTTAAGTTAGCATTCAAATTTTTTCATCATAATTTTAATTGTGAAGGCTGTAATTCTGGAATACTTGAATTATTAAAATTTTTAATTAAAACATATCACTTTTGAAATGTATCTTGTGAATACGACAGCAAGTTGAAAAACACCTTCATCCATCAAAAAAAAAGGTGAACTCTTCTTTAACAGTAAAATAATGCTGTATTGTTATTTTTCTCCTTGAACTTATTGTATTTCCATTCCATTTTCCCCAAACATTTTTCTCCAATATATTTTAATGCTAGAAAGGCTTTTATTAACCTCCCTACTATACTTCTCTGTTAAGATAAAGTATGTTTAAAGTAATTTTTAAAATATTTCCTGTAACCATAAGGCTTTAAAATGTTCAATTGTAAGCAATCATTACTAATGCACAAAATTGGTCCAAAGAACATTAATAATTATTTATCAAAATGTCAATATGGTTAGCATGGAAAATACACTTTTATTAAAAATACATTTCTACAGAAATGGAGTTTGTTTATATTTCTCCCAGTTAGTTCATATGCCTATGAAGAAGTATTTTCTGTTGCTATATAATAAGGTAGAATTTAGCACCAATTCCATATCAATTCTTTTTTACCTTTATAGTTGTAAGCAGTAAGACACCTTGTTTACATAAATAATAAGGGAATGAAGGAGACATCATCAAAAACATATTTTCATCTATCATCTTATAGCTCCTTCAATATTGCTGAAAGCCAAGAAGTTAAAACTACATAACTTGAAAAATGATATGTTTCCCGGTCCTTATAATCACTCCCTTTACCAGTATGGACACTAGTATGTTCATAGTTCTTTGTGGGTGGAACAAGATCTCTGTACCCCAGGACAACACACTACTGTAAGACACAGGTGGGTAACAGGTGTGGTTTTCTCTGACAAGTAGGAGCAGAGTGACAGTTAAAGGTGCGGTGGAAAAGGAGACGTGGCAACGTCAGTTTTGAAGCAAATCAGTTTTAAGAAAGGAGACTTATAGAAGTTGGGGGCCAGGAAATTGACTTCTTTAAACTATCCATGCCTTCACAGCTCATAGAAAGTCCTCACATCCTCCTATGTGCTGGACATCCCAGCTGCACCACCTCTCCGCTAGACAAACATGTTGTTGCCAGACATTCTGTTCATGTATAAGCTTTGCACACACAAAAATGCACTTAGTTTAAAACATGGATTCCCTTACAATATGTAAACCTGTAGCAGTTACTACAGGAAAAGTAATGAATTTTTTAAAAAGATAGAAACATAAATTTTGTTCAATCTACTTAAAAAGAGAGAAAATATCTAATCACAGTATCCTGAGAACATAGAAACCATACTCAACAAAGGGTTATAGTCCAATATACTTTATAATCTCAAAGAAAACCCTGGAAACAGCCCAAGTGTTATTAAACAATAGGAAAACTGCTAAATGAATTATGCTACAGCCATATAATGGAAGTATATGTAACATTTTAATTTGAAGAACATATACTGGCATTAGAAAATATTCTTCATATGGTTTTGAGTAAAAAAAAATCAAGCAGGCAACAAAGTCGTGAATAAAATTTTATATTAATTTATAAAAATATATGTGTATAGAAAAAGACATTTAAGAAAATCTATTAAACTGTTATCAGTGGTTATCCTTAGGTGATGTAGTTATGGACAACTTTCTTTTTTGTTGTATTGTTCTTTCCAATTTTTCTACAGAGGCAGGCATTTCTCTCCCAGTGAGGGTTGGGGGAAGTTATAGTGGGAGGGGAAGAAGGTGGGGAAATAGGCTTCCTATCTCTGGGCTGCTACATGTGGCTGTGGACTTCACAACCAGTCAGATGATGTCCAGCCAGGGTTGCCAATCAGAGCTTAAATCCACACTACCTAGTGTAGGGGTGCATGCCCATCAGAGGGAGTGCAATTTTCTTTCTACTCCTTCACATAAGTTTTGATCATGTCTCTCCTTGACCAATTTGATCCTTTTACCATGGACTTCCATGGCTGGTTCCTTTAGGTCACTGATTTCATTCCCTCTACAGACAGGGGGAGCGAATGCAATCAGGTTCACATCATGGTAACCTCATGAAATATCCCAGCTCATGGGTGCAAGAAAGCCTTTAGTCAGCAAGTAAAATGCTATGCTATCATATGAACGTGTCCCCACCAAAAGTAAGTGTTGGAAACGTAATCCCCAATGCAACAGTATTGGGAGGTCAGGCCTAATGAGAGGTGATCTGGCCATGAGGGCTCTGCTCCATGAATGGATGAATGCTGTTATCACAGGAGTGGGGCTTTGTTAGAAAAGGGTGCATTCAGTCCCCTTCTCTCTTCTCTGTTCCACCCTCTTTTTGTCCTTCTACCTTTGGGATGACGCAGCAAGAAGGCCCTTGCTAGATGTGGCCCCTTGATCTTGGACTTCTCAGCCTCCAGAACCATGAACTAATAAATCTCTGTTCATTATAAATCACCCAGTCTGTAGTATTCTGTTATAGCAGCACAAAACAAACTAAGACACACTGTAAACCAATGTGGTTATCTGGGCCTTCAGTGGGTAATATTGACTTCTGTGATATTATACAATGTCCATCTCCTACCTCAGTACATGTGGAGGGATCTTGACAATGGTATCCAGACCACCTAGAGTTTCTGCAAAAGAAAAATTACAAAGTTAAAATAAATATTTAAACACTGAGAATATACATTGTACATGAATTTCTCTGTTAGTTTCTCTTTTCAGGAATTCCTCTAATTATAAACTAGTCAATTCTCAACTATCTGCATGCAAGTCCTTCATATTTTAAAATCCTTTTCCCTTGAGAGCCCCAGAGATTTCCCTGGACCTTGCAAACTAGGAGGGGAAAGTTAAAAGTTAGGGCACATTTCCCTAAACAGATAAAGAACGAATAGTTAAATTCCTAGTCTGAACCACTGAATCTAGTTACAACTAAGATACAATATTCTTGTAATAAAAATAAAGAAAAGCTGTTTCCTTGAAAATACTGTTTCAATATCCTTACACAATAATTCATACTTGTGAAAGACTTTCAAGTTCACAAAGCACTTACACAACATCTTATTATTCTCATACACATTTGTGACACAGTAGATTAAACTTTTTTTAAAAAATTACAGTATAGTTAGGATATTGATTGGAAGGCTCACATCCAAATCTTGTTAATCCAACCTGGATGTTCAATACTTTGCCATTGTTTGTGGATTTTTCACACTATTGCTGCCTCCAATTTTAGAGATAATGAAAAGCTCACCAGTCTCTTCCCCAAAAAACTGTACTACTTCAATCCTTCCAACTTGTCTCCAGTCTTGCAGCTGAAATTGTGTTGACCCCTTTCTTCACTCCTTGGAGTCAACAAGCCCTGTCTATCTGAACTATTTTCATTGGGGAAGGAGAAATGTCTCTTCCCACCTTGCTCAGAGATCAGAGAGAATAACAAATGTGAAATATATACATATATCAGAGACTCAAGGCTAAGAACAGGCCTGATAGGATCTGGGCTTGATATGGCCAGTGGGGCAAAAGAGTGGATTTCAGAAAGACAATTAATCAGCAAAACAGAAAGATGAGTTCAGCAGGGTTCTTGGTTCTGTGAAGACAAGGCCAATGGAGGAAGATGAAGGACTGAAGTCAATGCTTAAGATGAGACAGGATGACAAGAAAGGGAAGCCCTGAGATGCAGGTACAGGAAGCAGCTCAAAGGCCACACAGGCCAGTGCAGCCCACCAGTTAGCACAGCAGGGACTGGCACCCAGGATGAGCCGATGCTGCTCCCCAAGGAAAGGCAGTGACAGTGAACAACCAGATCAGCATGGTTTTCCCGCAGGACAGAGGGATATATAGTCAACCAAGGCTGGGTAACAGTGCCCAGCTCTATAAGGCTAAGAGCAAGCTAGAAGAAAAGGAAAAGAGAAAAGGCTGTCACACAGCAGCCACCATGAAACTACAGCTCTAAGTGCAGTGAGACTCCCAGGCACATGGGATCAGTGTGGAACCCAAGGCGAAGAGCATCCAAAGGTCAAGGAGAAAATGGCCTGCAGCTTTGCTGTAAGCACCCAGGACAGAATGGTAGCTGGGGAGAGGGCACCATGGAAGCATCAAGAAGGAAAGCAAAGAGAACCAGGTTCCACTCCCAGCTCCACTCCAGCTTGTGACACTGTGGGATGGGGGCAGGTCACTTATCCTCTGTAAGTTTCAGTTCCCTCATCTTTAGAAAGAAGACAATGACACCTTCCTCCCGGGATGCTTGTGAGGAGCTGATAGGATCATGATCATAAAGGGCCTGACACAGTCCTTAGACGCCAGTGCCAATTCCTGTCTCCCTTCTTTGATCTCTCACTAAACACTGAACCAGGTCCTGGGCTAGGGACCCAGTGGTGAGAACAGACACGATCCATGAATTCATGGAGTGCACATTCTCATTTCAAAGCATGATAAACGCCAGGAAGGAAAATACAGGGAATTAGGCAAAAGTGGAACAGGAGGTCCTACTGTGGACTGTGAGGTCAGGGCTTCCTGCTGGGGGTAATGAGACCACAAATGATTTATTTAAAGTAGATAAGGAGAGGTCACTCCGAGTGGAGGGAATAATAAGTTTGAAATGCTTGGAGAATCTCAACATCTTCCCTGACTCTGTCCTGCCACTTTGGTCCAAGCTGTCACCTTCTCTCACTTGGATGACTGTACCAGCCTCTGTTCTAGGCTTTTAGCTTTTGGGCTTGCCCCTGAAGCTGCAGTCTCTGCTTAACACAGTATCCTGAGAGACCCTGTCAAGACCCAGATGAGAGCATTTCCTCCACCCCAAATGACTCCCCATCTCATCCTTAGAGAGCCCAACAAGGACTTTCATGATCTGGTCCTCACTTCCTACTTCTCTCCCGTCGCTCCAGCCCCCTGGCTCCTTGCTCTTTCCCAAAGCCATCAGATGTTTTCCCAACTAGGAGCCTCCCTTTTAGTAAGGTTTTCCGTGAATACCCTATTTAAATGGCAACTCCCTCTTTATTCCAAGTACCTCCTATCTTCTTCACTATTTTATGTTTTCCCTTTCTTAGCTCTTATCACTCTCTTTGCTGTCATGTGTATTTTATTTATTTATCTTGATTACTGGCTGTCATCTCTCCAAGAATCTGTAAACTCTTGGATCTTTTTGCATGTTTTGCTCACCATGTTATCCCTAACACTTGGAACAGTACCTGGCACATAGTAGGTACTCACTAAATATTTGCTGAATTAATGAAGTAAGAGGGAGCACAGTGTAGCTGAGTAACTGAAAGAAGATCAGTGTGGCTGAAATTCAGAGAGCAAGGACCCCTCTCTCTCATGAGGGTCTCAGAGGGGGATGACCCTCTGTCTCATGAGGGTGGCATAGCACAAGGCTGTGGGGCAGGTAGGAGCCAGGCCATGTACGGCTGGACAGAACACACCAAGGACTTTTGTTTTTATCCTAATGGGATGCTATTCAGTGTTTTAACATGGCATGTCATGAAAAGATTGGGGTTTCCAAGGTGACACTACTTGGGAAAAAGAACTAGAGCAGACAAGGAAGGAGCAGTTAAGAGGGTGTTGCAGAAGTTCAGATAAAAAGAGAAGGCAGCTTATTCTGGAGAGCTGGCAACAGAGGTAGAAAGAAGTGAACAGGCTTGACATATATTTAGGAGGTAAAAATGAGCAGAGCTTGGGTGACGGACTAGGTAAGATGGCAAATTACAGAAATGTATCAAGGATGACTCTAGATTTCAGGTCAATGCAACTGGACAGGTGATGACATCAACTGATCATTTAGAAACACCAGAGGTGAGTGAGGTTGGGCAGTGAGGTAGAGGTGGGGAAGAACACACAGTCACTTTGAGCCTTGTTGAGCTGAGTGCCTGCAAGCCATTCAGGTGGAGATGTTCAGCAGGTAGCTAAGTTGCGGGGTGTGCGTTTCAGAGCACTGGTGTCGACTAGTGATATAAACACGGGCATCACATTCTCAGAAATGGAGCTGAAGCTGTGGGTATGTGTGTGTTCAACTCCAGAAGAGCTGGGAGTAAGAGATGAGGGCTCAAAGCTAACCCTTGAGAAACTCAAATATTTACAGCTGGGGACAGAATCTGGCACTAGCAAAGGAGACAGAATGGCTCAAGAACCAAGATGGAGCTGGTAGGGTGTGATCATAGAAGTCAAGGTAAAGCAGGTGCCCAGTTGTGTCCAGTGTCACCAGGAGGACCTCTGAGATGGGAATGAGAATGGTCTGCCAGCCGAATGGCTGTATGTTACTGTTCTTCAGTAACTGTGAGTTGGTGGGATGATGGAGGTGAAAGGCAGATGACAAAAAGATGAAGACAGAGTAGAAGGTGAGAACACAGATACAATTTCTACACTTTTTAAGAAGTTTGGCTGTGAAGTAATCACCTGTGGCTGGAAGAAAAAGCAGATGGGTAGATAGAGAGAAGGGTGCTGGTTGGATAGATGTTCCCTCTTCCCCTACTTGGCCTTCGTACCTCTAGTTTCTTTCCCCGCTCCTCCATTTTCCACATTCATTCTGTATAAGGCCCCTGATAGATATAAAATACTAAAAGTAGGGCTTGGTTGCTTCCAGCTCTCCTGTTCTGCAATTCTATTTCATCCCACCACAGCCTAGCTTGCAAGCCCCCAGGACTGCCAGTTTCTGAAGTTCTTTCTGCCTTTCCCCAAGCCAACCCTTCATCCAATTCATTCCTTTCTACTCCCTGGCCACGCCATTCCTCACTAACAAAAACAACCAACCAGATAACACTAAATAAAGAGAAGATACATACATATGCCTTATTAGTTATTCTGCAGCCATTAACACTGATTTTCAGAGAAGTGTCATGACAAAGTAGACAGAGTAGAAGAAGATGCTAAAGTTAAAAAACACATGACAATATGCCATATGCGGTATGACCTTTTGCAAAGGGAAAGACTCCAAAATGTCAACAGTGTTATCTCCGGATAGGGAGACTGAAGATTATTTTAATTTTTTCTTTATGTTGTTCCATTATTTGCAACATTCTAAAGTGAACATATATAACTCTTATAAATAGAAAAAGATGAATATTATTTAAAACTCAAACAAGTAGTTAAAGTATTGATTTACTTATTGAACATCTGCCTTCCACTATAGGTGCAGAAGCAACCAAAGAAGCATAAACGGCAGTCCCTGTGCTAAAGAGCTCACTACTCTGCTGACATGTATTGTTTTGATTGACGAGTATCCATTCCCCTGGCTTTTGAAGAAGCATCTTAATTTTACTTCCAGGAAGCCATTTTTCCCCAGCTCTGGATTTCAGTGGAACTTGTAGCCTAGGCCTAAACCAGTTATTCTACTTCATTCTTTGACTAGAGGACTGGTTCAAGGATACACTCATGAACCATCAGGACAAAGAGAACAAGGGAAACCAAGGATCAGGCAGGAGTGACTGGAGAAGTCCAGCTTTCTTGATATGGTCTAAATATGGTGATGATCACCTATCTCAAAATGATCTGAGTGAGGAATGATGCCTCTCTCCTTTGAGGGTCTCAGAGTCGGATGACCCTCTCTCCTATGGGGGTCTCAGTCTCAGTCTCTCATGAGTGTCTCAGTGGGGAGTGACCCTCTCTCTCCTGAGGGTCTAAGTAAGGGATGACCCCTCTCCCATGAGGGTCTCAGAGGAAAATGACCCCTCTCTCCCATGAGGGTCTCAGTGGGGAATGACTCCTCCCTCCCATAAGGGTCTCAGTCTCAGTGAGGGATGACCCCTCTCTCTCATGAGGGTCTCAGAGGGAGATGCCCCTCTCCCCCATGTGGGTCTCAGAGGGGGATGACCCCCTCTCTCCCATGAGGGTCTCAGTGGGGAATGACCCTCTCTCCCATGAGCGTCTAAGTGAGGATGACCCCTCTCTCCCATGATGGTCTAAGTAGGGGATGACCCCTTGCTCCTATGAGGGTCTCAGAGGGGGATGATCCCTGTCTCTCACAAGGGTCTCAGTGTCGGATGCCCCTCTCTCTTATGAGGGTCTAAATCAAGGATGATCTCTCTCCCATGAGGGTCTCAGAGGGGGATATCCCCTCTCTCCCATGAGGGTCTAAGTGGGGGATGACCCCTGTCTCGCACAATGGTCTCAGAGGGGGATGCCCTCTCTCTCTCATGAGGGTCTCAGACGGGGATGCCCCCTCTCTCTCATGAGGGTCTCAGAGGGGGATGACCTCTCTCTCCTAGGAGGGTCTCAGTGGGGGATGCTTCCTCTCTCCCATGAGGGTCTAAGTGAGGATGACCCCTCTCTCCCATGATGGTCTAAGTAGGGGATGGCCCCTTGCTCCTATGAGGGTCTAAGTGGGGGATGACCCCTCTCTCATGAGGGTCTACGTGAGAGGTAACCCCCCTTTCCCATGATGACCTAAGTAGCGGTTGACCTCCCCATCACATGATGGTCTAAGTGGGGGATGAGACGTGTTTTCCTGAGATGGTCTAAGTTTATTGTTGCCTCTTTTCATGAGATGGTCTAAATGTGTTGATTCATGAGCCCAAAACTGTGGAGACCCACGCAGAGCATGTCAGTCAACCCACAAAGAGCAGGACAAGATCCCTGAAACAGTGTCTAATTCCTAAATCACAGCTATTCTTGTAAGGGGTATTTTAGTTAAAGGAGTAAATAAATCCCGTTTTGTATAGCTCAGCTTAAACTAGCTTTTTTGTCTCTTGCACCCAACATATTTGTCAATTACACTGCCCGTAAGAGCCTACCTGTGCACACAATCAACTATTATCCAAAATAGTAGGTACTCTAAGAGAGTCATCAAGGCAAGGATCTGAACCCAGACAAACAACTTATCCTATTGAGGAGCTCAGGGAATGTTTCCTAAACAAGATGGACCTTGCCAAGTCTGAAAAGGGAATTCCCTACAGAAGGACTAGCAAGAGCAAAGGCAAAGAGAGAAGTGTGCCACACAGCATGTTCAACAAAGTGCTGCAGCTGACTGCCACTAGATTGTTGAATCTTGGTTGGGGAGTGACAAGAACAGAGGCTGGGGCTAGATTCTGAAGAGCATTCTGAGGAATTTACACATTAATCTAGAAATAAATTGGGGGGTTGAAGAGTGACAGGTGTTTTGTAATCTAAACAGTGACGGGCAGTGGAAATGGACTGGAGTGGGAAAGGCAACAGGAAAACCTATCCCTATAGGCCTTTGTTCATGTCTCCAGCATGCCCTTCTAACAAATTCCTTACAGGGAACATTTTATTCATCCATATATCCCATTGCTCATTACCAGGGAGGTCTTAATAAATGTTTCCTAAATAAAGAAGCGACGGAAAGAAGGAACCCATAGCTTCCCCATTCTTCAAGTGAAATCTACTTCAAAAGCCCCACCAGCTCACACCAATTCTCCCCCAATCCATGGACAACACATTTATCCTCCCTTCTTTGACTTGTTTTCCTGGTTTGCCCAATCCAACTGCACAATGAATGCCCTGCACTATTATTTAACTATTTCATGCACTTCTGTCTTGTCTTGCTAATGACAGAACAATCACTGGGAAAGGAAGTACATCCACTCAGGCTGGTTTCTTTCAGATTTGACTCGAAAAATTTACCTGCCTCAATGCTCAGCCTCCCCAGTGGCTTTAAAGGACCTAAACTCAGCAACGTTGTGGTTTCACTTAATAAGATGTTGATGTCAGTATTTAAACTTATTAAAATACTAGATTAATCTCCTCCTCCCTGTTTATCTAAATCTGCTTAATTTGCAGCAAAATAATAACGAATACTAGGAATGGCATGTTTAAAGCACAATTGGGCCCTGCTTTATCATGTTACCCAGCCATCTGTGACCCTTCATTAGAGGCATTTTGGAATCTAGCTTCGAATCACGCTGCTGAATGACAATGGCAACGGCAAAAATAGTACTGTGGCTTTAAGAGCCTTGCTGTTCTCTCAGATTTCTGGTCCATTTTTCTTTAACAGTAAGCTAGAATGGTCAAGTGCTGGTTCTACCTACAAGACAAACTTCCTAGACAATATTCTAGACAATTTTGTGATGATAGGCACAGGTTTAAAAAAAGATGCTGCTATAATTACCTGTACACACACCCAAACATATGTGAATTAAGACCATCTACATATTAAGAGTCACCTAAACCACTCTCAAAATTTTACATTTAGTGGAAAACCTGCTAAAGGCTCTTCTCTATCTCAGGCTGCATCAAAGCACACACAGTGTCATGACAGACAGTGATGGTTCTTGGTTGCAAGGGAAAGGGAGTCAATTTCATTTTTCAATTGAGTGGCAACTGAGGCATCACATCAGGCTCCAGCAAGGCAGAGAGAGGAGCCCATAGAGCTAGCTGCGCTGGCTTCTTCTTGGCCTTTCCTTTCTAAAAAGCATCACCATCACCCAAAGTATGCTTCTGATCTATTTGCATTACCATCCTGACCATTTTGATTGCCCAAACCCCGCCTAACTGAAATGTCTTTCCGTTTTTTTCCGCTGCTGAGTTCTGCAACCTGAGTCTGATGAGAAACACAAATTTGCTCCCTGGAACTTACTTCAACGCTAGCACAGCTCACAGCCCTAAAATCCCACCTGTCTGAAGGGCAGACCACAACAGAATTGCAGAGGTAACATGATCCCCGCCCGTATGTTATTTTTCATGTGCAATAACCAGGAAAGCTAACACTAAGCAAGCTGACCTCTATCAGGAAAATCAAATTAAACAAGCCTTTCCTTCCTGGTTCCACTCGCCAAGGATTCGACATCGGGGTTGTTGGTTTAACTTCCCTTTTCCCCAGAGGCGCTTCGCTGTCAGGCCCCAGGATTCGCACCGGCTCCGGGTCCTGCCTAACTCGGCGATGGGGAAGCATCGTCCCCAGCGCCGGGACCAGGAGAAGGGGGCCGCCAGGCAGGGAGGACAGCGGTTCCCGAGGAAGGTTTCGGAGAGTGAAAGAGACCGGAGGGGAGGCGGCTGATGTCCACGCCCGAGCCAAGACTCTCAAATCCCACATCAATTTCCCGAGGCGACTCTCGCAATCGCCAGAACGGCACCCATGACCGACGCTCCGCGAAAGCCCCACGCGCGGAGGCGCGGGTTCAGCCCCGGCCGCGCGGCCCTCCCGCCGCGGCGAGCAGGTGCCGGACGCTTACCCAGGGCCCAGGTGCAGCTCTCCTTGATGGCTTTGTACTTGCTCCCGGACGCCTCCTTCTGCAGCTTCCTCAGGATTTCTTCCATCTTGACCTTCCAGGCGCCGGGCCGCCGCCCACAGGGAGAGAAGCGCGGGCGAGCCGGGCCGGGGAAGCCGCCGCTGCCTGGCCCTGGGCGCCTAGGCGGCCGCCGCGCGCGCCCCCATGCCGCCCCGGCGCGGATGCTGATGAATCACGCCCGCTCCATGCCGCGGGCCACGTCAGCCCCGCGCCCCGCCCGCCGCCCCGCCCCGCCCGCCTGGGTCAGGTGCGCTCCGCTCGGCGGCGGCTGCGGGCTGGGGCCGGAGAGTGAGGCTGGAGGCCGCTGACCTGACCGCCGAGGCAGGCCCCGCGGGCGCCGCGCTTAGCGGAAAGGTGGGGACGGATGTCCGGAGCTGGCTCGCCAGCCGCCGGGAGGGAGCGCCTGGTCCGCGGCGGGCGGCGGGAGGCAGGCGGGGAGGGGCCTCGCCGCGGTCTTCGCACCCCCTGAGCCGACGGTGGCCGCGGGCGGAGTCGGAGCGGCCCAGCCCGGACACCGGGACCCCCAGCGTGGTGCAGGCGCCGCGCCCGCTGCATCCCGTCGTCTGCTAACCGGAAAATTCTTGCGTTCAGTCACTAACAGCTTTTTTGGGCCACTCCCTGTGCCAGGCTCGGGCGATGCAGCGTTGCACACACTGTGCCCCTGCCTGCAGGGAAACTCCAGTCAAGCTTTCAACACGCGGCGGGCGGTGGGCTGCGGTGGGGCTGGGGTAGAGCTTGATATGCCCAAGGAAACCAGGCCCAGAGAGGCTGGGTTACTTCCCAGACCAACAAGAGTTAGACTCCAAACACGTCCTGAATCCAAAGCCCCTTCTAAAAACCCCTATCTCCTCCCCTTCCCATCCTCTCTTGCGCTGAATTGCTGCCCTGTGAAAAATGTGGTGCACAAGGGCCGCCGCAGCAGAGGGCTTCTCATTGGGGTGAAAAGGGGGAGCCCCAGGAGACTCACGCGGGCGGTGGGGAAGGCAGTGTGACAGGGCACCCCGTGTTTCCTTTTTCTTTGAAAATGTTCCTGTGGTGGAAGTGAGGATGATGGACTGCAGAGGGGCAGACTGGCAGCTGGGAGAACAAAGGTTCTGCAGGAATCTAGAAACCAATTAGGCCAAGGGTGGGTAGAAGGGGAATAAAGGAAAGTATGTCAAGAGATATTGAAGGGTAGAAACAATAGGATTTAATGACACAATAGGGGAGAGACGGTGTATATGGGATGGCTTCCAGGTTACTTGTTTAGGAAATTGGGAGGATGGTGGCCCCATTCTTTAAAGAAGAGAAGATAAAAAGGGTTTGGATTAGGGGGGATATATGAGTTCAGTTTTGAACATGTTCAGATTGAAATGATAATGAGATACTTGTAGATTTTTTTTATGGACAGGAACTCAGGATAGAGCTCTGGGAGGGATGCCAGTATTTGAAGGGTGGTAAATATAGGAGTTGTTGATGCCTCGAGTTTGACAAAGGTTGCACAAGAGAGGGAGTGACGGCCCCCCTAATTCTCAAATCATGGGTACAGGAGCAAGGGCCCAGGGAGGAGGCTGAGAGGAGCAGTCCGAAATCCGAGGTGTAGGGGGTCAGCCAGGGGAGGGACTGCCATTGGAGGGTGTCCAACACATGGGGATGTCAGACTACTCCTTCGGCGCTCTTGGTACTGAGGAGGCAAAACCTACAAAGTCCCAGCCCCCAAGGATGCTTCTACCGCTACCCTCACGCCCAGTGAAGCCATCATTTAAAGAAAGGTTTAAAAAAAAAAAAGTAAAAACGCCGCAGCAGATAATGTACTTGGGTTAAAGAAAATTGTTAACTATTTGGAAAAATATATAGATCACAACTTTATATCGTGTAGCAAAATAAATTACAAATGTATTAAAAATTAAATTTAAGAATTAAATGATGAAAAGTTTAGAAGAAAGCATAAGTGAATATACTTATCTTAATGCATTAAGATTATTTCTAACAAACTAAGGCAGAAACTGAAGGAAAAAAGGTCAATAGATTTGACTATTTGAATATTTAAGACCTTTATGCCAAAAGTTTCATACAAAATTAAAAAGCAAATGATACTCTGAGGGATGGATTGAAGGAAGAAAAGATGATACCTCTAAATCTTAATTATATGTGGATTTATATTTTTGAATCTATTTTAAAGTATTTACTAGTTTTACAATTAAAAACAATTTCGTTTAAGCTGCAAACTAGGAAAATGTTTATATTAATGTCAGACATATAAAGTTTGAATAGCTTTGTTAAAAAAAAAAAGCTTTAACAAAGAATTAAAAAACAAATGCTCCTTCTTTTTTAAAAAAGCCAATATATATAAAGTCAGTTTACAGAGGAGAGAATACATATGACCCCATAAACTTATAAAAAATGTTCAAGTGCCTAATAAAGAGAACAAACTTTTAAATAAGATGCTATTTTCTATTAATCAAATTGACTGAGAGATTTTTTAAATGTTATTGAAGGAGCTGAACAACAAGGTCCTCTCATGTCTTGGGTGCTGGTCAGAGTGTAACTTGGTACTACATTCCTGGAGGGAGGGAGCCTGGATGTGTATGTGGCATAGGTATAGCTTTGACCTAACAATTCCACTTCTGGGAATTCATCCTAAGAAAGTGATTATGGAAATGGATAAGGATCTTTCTACAAGCATTTCAGTGTGTCTTTCAATTCTAAAAAAAGAGAAAACTAAATATGCAACAAGGATATGGATAGATAACCCATGATATATTCATAAAGCATCATATTATATAGCCTTTGAGAATAATGTGGGGGACTAGGCATGTTGGCTCATGCCTGTAATCCCAGCACTTTCGGAGGCTGAGGCAGGCAGATTGGTTCAGCCGAGGAGTTTGAGAGCAGCCTGGGCAACATGGCAAGACCTCATCTCTACTAAAAAAAAAAATTGTTTTTAATTTAAAAAGAATAATGTGGGAGAGAAATATTGAATAATATGAAAAGTGGTGTCGGGGGCAGTGGCTCACACCTGTAATCCCAGCACTTTGAGATGCCAAGGCAGGTGGATCGCCTGAGGTCAGGAGTTGGAGACCAGCCTGGCCAACATGGTGAGAACCCCCCTGCCTCTACTAAAAATACAAAAATTAGCCGGGTGTGGTGGCACATGCCTGTAATCCCAGCTACTCAAGAGGCTGAGGCACAAGAAGTGCTTGAACCCTGAGGCAGAGGTTGCAGTGAGCTGAGATCTCGCCACTGCGCTCCAGCCTGGGCGACAGAGCAAGACACTGTCTCAAAAAAAAAAAAAAAAAAAAAAAAAAAAAAAAAAAGACAGAGAAAGAAAAAAAAAAAGAAAAGTGGCTTATACTATATACTTAAGTAAGCAAATTGTAAAATGCTATGTACTTTTGTATACTACATGATTCCAATTTTATTTAAATATTTGATGTAGATGTATATATAAGTTCAAAAATACATGCATATATGTACATACATATCTATCAAAAGTACATACAAAATATTAAGTGATTATCTTTGATGGGCTTATAGGTGAGTTTATTTTTCATTAAATATTTTTACTTTTATAATCAGAAGTGTTATTCTAAAAAAAAAAGTGGCACAAAAATGAAATAAAAGTAGTATCCAGGCAACAAGGTCAACATCCAGAGAAAGGACAAAGATAAACACAGAAAATGATGTAATGAATGTGAGAGAGTTAGGATCCCGTGGAAGCCAGACCCGGGAGAAATGATGACTGCAGCCTGGTTGCAGTGGATTAAGAGCTGGTGAAATCACACGGATAAACAACCCAGTGGATGGCTATGAAGGAAAGTAAACACCTTTCTACTTTTTTTCTATAACTCACAGTAGAAAATATGCTTTACATTATCATCCAGTGTTTACATACATGTATAGATATGTTAAAAAACTGAAACAACAGTTTTAGGTATAAAACAGTACATACTGTTAACTAGAATAGTTACTACTAAGCATGATTTCATTCACTGCAGCAGGCATACTTGCCTGTTCCTAAATTCATTCTGGGTTGCGGGCATGAGGACAATCACAGTGGTTTGCTCTGTGATGCCTATTTCTTTCCAATGTTTTTAGTTTTGTTGCTTAAAAATTCTGGCTCACACAAATAAGTTGCTGTGAATGCTATTAATAACAACAGTGAACTCTGTTTAGCAATGGAAAGTCTTCTTTAATCTTAATCTAAAATGGCTATAAACTTATAATCATTCTTCAATGTATTAAAGTATTAGAGATTAGCTTTCTTCTTTGAGTATCAACTTTAATATGGATTCAGGATTTTGGAAAACAGATCTTTTATCAATTTTTTCCTCAATATTTCAAATTTCTCTTTTTGAAATTATTAAAGTTTATAACAGAGACGTAATATAACTAATATCATTTTTCTATTCAAAATGTCTTCATTAATTTTCTCTTTATGTGTTACAAAATTGTGCACACATAGTAACCACAGTGATTACTTAAAATGTATTGGTTAGTGTTGGATATATTAAACATCTTGAAATATATTGTTACTTTTTCCCTGTAGATCCAAATTCAGTTAGTTTAAAATGTCAAAAAAATTAGTCCTATATGCAGATTCTTCTGGTGAAATATCATCTTCAAAATGCCAAATGAGATTGCTTTTCAAATAGGAAAATATGAATCCTGTTCCTGAGTTCATATAATTTAATGAGTACTTTCCTCGTAACAATCAATAACTTCAGTACGATGCAACATGTACATGTTATTTGATGGAAAGGCTAAGTTGTTTTAACAAAGACCCAACAATACAGTGGTTTACAAAGCATAGACACTTACTTCTCTCTTCAATTAAACCCTGAGTCAGTGGTTGAGGTTGGTGCAGCAGGTCCCAGGAGATTAAGTGACCATATACCTTAAATGTTACTGTTTCCTCATCCCATAGGGGGTTGTTCTCATTTGTGTGTCTCAAAGATATGTACCAGGCACATTGTGTTCTAGCCCATAGGAAGAGGAAAAGAGAGTAGAGGAGTCCATGCCTCAGAGGCAGAAGTTACACAAATCTCATATATTGCATTGGTGAAGACAGAGTTGCAGAGATATACCTGAGTAATCACAGCTCTCTTCCTATGGCATAGGGAGGGGAATCATTAGCCACAGATCCAATTTCTGAACAAAACATATCAAAAATTGAAGGTTCCCTTAATAAAATTAAACAACTATCGTTACTTTTGTTTTCAAGTCCAAAAGATTTAGTGCAATTGTTAGGATGCAAAATCTTTGTAATGTATAAAACACAGATTTTAAATAATGTACAGAGTAGCTTCTAACAATATTTTAAATTATCTTTCCATGTCTCCTGGTCGTATTTACTTCTGAATCACTCACAATTCCGTTACAATTTTCCAGTTGAACTTATGTTTCTCAAGTAGTTTTGTGTTAGGTTAAATGGAAACAACACAATAAATCCTTTATAAAAATCATATTTTCATACATATTTGGCATAAACTAAAGTCTAAGTAATGTGAAATATTAGTGTTCTCATTAAGTGGAATTATACAACCTGTGTCTGCCTGTATGTGCCTAATAAGTATAAATTCTATTCTGTATATTCTTTAGAACTATAATATGACTTAGAAGTATAATTTTAAATTTCTCTGCTGATTTATCAAGAATCATATTCACTATAACCATGTATGCTGAGAACAACTTTTTTAGGAGCTGTTTAATTTTTTTCCTTTTGCTGCATACATGTGACTAATTATGATAGTAATGCTTTTTCATTAAAACCAATGTGAAATCATGTTGACAAATTTACATCTTTTTTTCTTTGAAAATATTTGAAGGCCTTATGAACAAATTTGGCTTGCTATATTTCAAGTGATTTTTTTGGAAGATCTTAAGCTTTTATTTACAAGAATGTCATTACAAATAATACATTTTCAGTGAGTTTTGAGTAATCGACAAGCTATACTTTATCATTATTAAAATGATTTGCACTTCTTTGGCTTATAGTTCAAATAATAGAATTTATTAATTTAAAAAGACATTTTTCTTAATGTTGTCACTATGTACATGTCCAAATCTGGTAGTTCTGCCAGAACATGCCTCTGTGTTTTTCACACGACTGTTTTTATTTCTTCTAATAATAAAATAAACTGTGTTAAGGATAGTTGGTATAACTTTGATTAAAATGTACAATTATCACAAGGTTGAAAAATGCCTGACAGTTATGCCTAATTCAAAAAGCACACTGAAATCTTCTAACTCATAGCCAAACCTTGGTGGAAAGTCTTCCTGCCTTTGCCAAGACTAGATAAAGTTCTTCTAAACCTCACTTTATAATTAGCTATAAATTACATTGACATAAAATGAAACTATAAAACATGAACTCTCCTGATACAATTATGATCAATTCCAAAAAATCAGCTGAGACACCAGTGAGCAGAAGAGTGACTGGCTGGCAGTTCCCAGCCAATGCATATATTCATTACCTCTCATTCTCCAGCTGTCACTCAACTCAGTTGTCTGCAGGATTTGTGGCAATGTGGACACCTCCTGCTAGGAATATACGTGTTGCATTCTGATATTGTAGGTTCCATACTAATTCATTTCTTAATATATTTTTATGAAACAGACTCATTAATTTCACAACCCACTCATGGGGAGAAGCATGAAATTTGGAAAACACCAGACCAGAGGAAAATTTGTGATTAAACAGCCTAGTGGTGGGGAGTATATTTATACAGTGAAAGAAAAAAAGACATAAAAGCAGGGTTGAAAAAAGGCAGGAGGATGCCAGCCTAATGGGGGAAACAAGTATGCTAAGAAGATGGGAAAGAGGGTACCTAGAGTATAGACAGAGTCATTGCCCAGTTAGGGGATGAAGGCCAATTTACGGATATGAGTGGGGCATGAAGATAGAAAGCTGATTTTTTATATTGTTTAGTTGTTGATGTAGAGACAGGAATTTGTGGGAGCTACACCTGGTGACTTCTGTTTTGCTTATGAAACAAGAAGACATATGCTGAATGTAAGAGGAGAAATGAACAGGTAGAGGACCCAAAATTCGAAAATAAGAAAGAGAGCTGACTAAGGATGTGTAGAAGGCTTCTATGAAGTGTGGAGGACCCAGGTAGTTCCCCATTTGTGAATGCTTGGGAAGCAGTCTCAATCCCACAAAATTTTCATATCTGATAATATCTACTGAATTTGCCATTGCTTCAGATCTTGACCACCTAGGTTCATGATGCTAAATCTGTACTTCCAGCTCAAATCTCTGTTATGCTTGTTTTACCTGATATTCAAATCGTCAATCTTTTCACTTACTCTAATGCTTGATTCACAGAATACAGTAGTAAAGAAACTTGTTTGCAATATAAAATTATACCCAAATATGCAGCAGTATAATCAGAAAATAAAATAAGCATATTTTTGGATTACATTCAATTTTGAATTAAATTTAGATGAGTGAAAAAGTATTTAATTTGAATATGGTTTATACAACTATTTATGATCAGCATTTTTAAAAGATTATATTTAATACTTTTAAGTAACTTCTATAAAATATTGTATACCTTTCTTCAAGGAAAAATTTTAAATACCCACAAAACAGGTAATACTAAAAATTATTCACATTAAAAATTATCTCTTTACTTACAAAATAATTTCCTATTTTAGCAATAATTAATATGCCCTTAAATATGAGACAATTGGACTTTTGCTTCTGGCTATGATACAGCAGCTTGTATCAGAACCACTTACTGTTGAAAGCAGTTATAAATCTGGATTAAAAAATTAAGAGGAGCTGTTTGAAGGCATCTAAACAACCAGGGCAGCCAGGACTTGAAGGAACAAGATCTTAGAGAGACAGAGAATGTACAGAAGTGAGCCTGATGTTATTTGCTACTTTCTTTCTTTGAAGCATTTGCTAGTTCACTTCATAGTGCACAGAAGTCAAGCTAAATATGGTGACCTAGAGATATTTGGGAAGACAAAAATTGGAGTAAGACAATTAGAATTGAGGAACTAAGGTGACGGGGAAAAGGAAATCACAACAGTAGTAAGGCTATATAAAATTATACATAACATTATAAACAATAACCTCACAATGCCTGCCACCTGCTTGTTAATAAAATTTAAATGTTTTGATAGCCATATCTGTATATGTAGACGTATATGTATTTGTACATATGGTAACTTTTATATAAATGATGTAAATGGTCTTATACATTCTGCTTCCTTTCACTCTATGGTTTGTCACAGGCAATTTTTCCTTTTAAATGGCTGCTTATTATTCTGTTGTATAACTCTAGAAAACTATTTAATCCATCTATATTGTTGGATTCCAGCTTTTACTATTATAAACAAGACTTCAGTAAACATTGCTGTGGTTATTGTATTACCTACCTATTAGAATATATTCCTAGAGTAAACTCCTAGAAGGGGGAAGTGCTGAGTCAAAAAGGATGCACGCTATGAGGCCACATTACCAAAACCAGACAAGGACACAACAAAAAAGAAAACTACAGGCCAATATCCTTGATGAACACATGTGCAAAAACCCTCCATGTAATACTAGCAAACCAAATCCAACAGCACATCAAAAAGATTATATATCATGATCAAGTGGGATTTATCCCAGTCATGCAAGGATGGTTCAACATATGCAAATGATTGTGTGATACATCACATTAACAGAATGAAGAACAAAATCCATATGATCACTTCAATAGATGCAGAAAAAATATTTGATAAAATTCAACATTCCTTCATGATAAAAACTCTTAACAAATTAGGTATAGAAGAAACATACCTCAATAAAACAAGGGCCATAAATTACAAACCCACAGCTAACATCACATTGAATGGGGGAAAACTTGAAAGCTTTTCCTCTAAGAACTGGAACAAGACAAGGATGCCCATTTTCACCACTTTTATTCAACATGGTACTAGAAATCCTAGCTAGAGCAATTAGGCCAGAGAAAGAAATAAACAGCATCCAAATTGAAAAAGAAGTCAGATTATCACTATTTGCAAATAACATGATTTTATATATAAAAATACCTAAATACTTTACAAAAAAACTTTCAGAACTGATAAATGAATTCAACAAATTTGCAGAATACAAAACAAACATACAATAATCAATAGCACTCTTGTACACTAATAATAAACTAGCTGAAAAAGAAATCAAGAAAGCAACCCCCTTTACAATAGCTGCCAAAAATATTTAAATACCTAGGAATAAATTTAACCAAGGAGGCATAAGATCTTTACAATAAAATCTGTAAAACACTGATTAAAGAAATTGATGAAGACACAAACAAATGGAAAGACATCCCATGTTCATAGATTGGAAGAATGGATATTGTCAAAGTGACCATATTACCCAGAACAATCTACAGATTTAATGCAATCTCTATCAAGATACAAATGATATTCTTTGAAGAAATAGAAAAAAATTCTGAAATTTGTATAGAACCACAAAAGACTCACAATAGCCAAAACAATGCTGACCAAAAAGAACAAAACTGGAGGCATCATGCTACCTGATTCAAAACATATTACAAAGCTGTAGTAACCAAAACAGCATAGCACTGGTATAAAAACACACACATAGACCAATGGAACAAAATAGAGAACCCAGAAATAAATCCAGATATTCACAGCCAACTGATTTTTGACAAAGGTTCCAAGAACACACACTGGGGAAAGCACATCCTCTTTAATGAATGGTGCTGGGAAAACAGAATATCCATATGAAGAAGAATGAAACTAGATCCCTGTTTCTCCACTTGATCTTAGCCAAAAGGCTGAGAAGCAATTAGATCCCTATTTCTCACCATATACGTAAATCAACTCAAAATGGATTAAAGACTTAAATGTAAAACTCAAAACTGTAAAACTACTAGAAGATAACATAGAGGAAACGATTTGGGCAAAGATTTTATGGGTAAGACTTCAAAAGCATAGTCAACAAATGCAAAAATATACAAATGGGATTATATAAAACTAAAAAGCTTCCGCATAGCAAAGGAAACAACTAACAGAGTGAAGAGACAACCTGTGGAATGGGAGAAGATATTTGCAAACTATTCATCTGACAAGAGATTCAGAATATATGAGAAACTCAACAGCAGAAAAAGATCTGATTTAAAAAAATGGGCAAACAACCTGAATAGACATTTTTCAAAAGAAGACACACAAATGGCCACCAAGTCTATAAAAAAAGAAACCCAATATTAGTAATCATTAGGGAAATGCAAATCAAACCACAGTACGATATCATATCACCCTCGTTAGAATAGCTATTATCAAAAAGACAAAAAGTGAGGATGCAGAGAAATGGAAACTCATCTACTGTTGGTGGTATTGTAAATTAGTACAGCCATTATGGAAAACAACATAGAGGTTCCTCAGAAAACTAAAATTAGAACTACCATATGATCCAGTATTCCCAGTACTGGGTATTTATCAAAATGAAAGGATTATTGCAGCACTATTGTGGCTAAGATATGGAATCAATGTAAGTGTTCATCAATGGATGAATGGATAAAGAAAATGTGATATATGTAGAAAACAAAATACGATTCACCCATAAACAAGAATGAAATCCTATCATTCTTGGCAACACAAATGAGACTAGAGGACATTATGTTAAGTGAAATAAGTTAGGCACAGAAAGATAAACACGGCATGTTCTCACACATATGTGGGAGCTAAAAAAGTTGAGCTCATAGGAATATAGAGTAGAATTGTGATTACTAGAGGGTGAGGGGATAGGGAACATGTGGTTAAGGGTTACAAAATTACAGCTAGATAGAAGGAATAAGTTCCAGTGTTCTATAGCACTGTGGGGTGACTGACTATAGTTAGCAGTAATTTATTTTATATTTTCACATAGCTAGAAGAGAGGATTTTAAATGTTCCCAACACAAAGACATGATAAATATTTGAGGTGACGAATATGCAAGTTACCATGATTTGATCATTACACACTGCATACGTGTATCAAAATATCACTCTGTACCCCATAAATATGTATAATTATTACATGTCAGTTAGAACATTTTAAGAGAATTCTAAGTGATAAAAAGGATTGTGCTATAGTTTGACATTTTTTTCTTCCATAGTAGTACATAGAATAATGATACATCTTATGATCAATGCTATGTTAGGTTTGTTGAAGTATCGATTATTAATAATTGAATATAGAAAGACTGCTTACATTCTTAAAGCTTATTTTGTTTTGTTTTTAATAGAATAAACTCATGAAATAAGAAAAAAAGTTTACATGGTTAAAGGGTTTGGCAACATACTGTCAGACTCAGCTCAAGGAACATCAATGTTTGCGTCTACCAACAGTGCACAGAGAGCCTGTATTCTCTCTTCAGCATCACCATGTACTGAAGATCTTTTTCCCCTTGGCCAGTTTATTGGTCGAAAAAAATATATTTAATTTTTGTTTTAGTTCATAACTAAACCTAAAAGATGAAGTTGAACATCTTATTTTTATTGTTTATTCTCTGACTGTTTATGTCCTTGGCCCATTAAAAAATCAGATAGCTCTTTTATCAGTTTATAAGAACTATATGTATATTACGGATAGTAACTTTTGTCATATAAATGTTGCAATTTTTTGTCATTTTTAAAAAACTTTGTCATGACTGTCTACATAGAAATGTTAAATTCTGTGTGTGTGTGTGTGTGTGTGTGTGTGTGCGTGTGTCTCAATTATGTGGCAGAATGCTCTTTATTAAATTGCTTTTTATTATTGCTAGCAGTAATCCTCTAGAAAACCATAAAAGAACATGAACTTCTTCACAGACGTGAAAGTAAAGGAGCTGGGAGATTGTGATCTACTTAGCAGTAACTTAGGCAGAAGAAAACATGGATACAGCTATAGATAATGACATTGGAAACATAAGAATATAAACCTGTGAAAGAAGAGGGAGGGAATAACTGAGGATATGACTCAGAAAAGTCACCTCAGAGGTTTTATGCTGACAAGAAATTCTCATTCTTTAGAATGCTCCGTACTTCATCCCCATTCATTCCCCAGGTTTTCCCTTCTTAAAGACTCCACAATAGGCCACAGGAACTTCCATAAATAATTTGGAACAGGGAGAATCTCCAGTTCTGATATTATGTACACAGTAAAGGGAGATATATTCTTAGAGTTCCAATTTGAAGTGAAGAATAAATTCTCCCATAGGCACGTTATTCACGGAGATTAGTTTGATTACATAGATTCTTACTGTGCATAAAGGCAAGTATACAGGTAATTACAAGTTGCTCTCCATTCTCAGGCATTTGAATGCCCTTCTCATTTTGGAGAAATTCCTAGAAAAGTTCGAGAAAGAGCCCTATATCATACTATGGCATATGTTTTCCTTCTTCTTCTTCTTCTTTTTCCTTTGGCAGTTAGAAAAGCCTGTGACTTAAGCTTGGCCAAGCAAATGTGCCCATTTGGGACTCTGATTCTGTACCAAATGCCTAAAGAAAAAAAAAGGGAGAAAGAGACATAAGTCCTGGATAAGAATGCTCCCAGAATAGAAGAATCACCACTTCTATTCAATACTGTATTGGCTAAAATTCTTAGCCAGCACAATGAAACAAGAAAAAGGTACAAGAATTAGGAAAGGAATAAATGAAACAGTCATTTACAGATGATGTAATTTCAACATGGAAAAATCAAAATAATCTGCAGATAAATGGAATCTACAGGTAAAATATCAGATTCCATGAGTTCAACAAGATTTCTAGATGTAATATCAATATAAAAAGAAAAGTGCATTTCTATTCAACAGTAGAAAGTGTTTTAATAGTATAAAATAATATAAAGCACCCAGGAATAAATGTAAGAAAAATGTGCAGGTCCCTGGTGCAGAATTACTAAAGTTTTTATTGAGGAACTTTAAGGAGGTCCAAGTATATGGAGAGACATATACAGCTCAATAGAGAAATGGGTAAAAGATATGAACAGTTATCTCATAGAAGTGCAAATGTGTTTGGCTTATAAACATAGGAAAACACCCAAACTTGGTAGTAATCAGGGAAACCTAACTTAAGACCACACTGAGCTACTCTGTTGCACCCACTAGCTTGACAAAGATAATAAAGTTGGATACTACCCGATGTTGATGGAGATGTGGGAACGTGAAAAAAGTCATCAGTGCTGGTGGGAATATAATTATTACAGCCATTTTGGAAAATAATTTGCTGTCACCTAGTAAAGTTAAATATTCACATTCCTTATTACTTAGAAATTCTACTTTTGGCTGGATGCAGTGGCTCATGCCTGTAATCCCACCACTTTGGGAGGCCAAGGTGGGTGGATCACGAGGTCAAGAGATCGAGACCATTCTGGCCAACATGGTAAAACCCCATCTCTACTAAGAATACAAAAATTAGCTGAGCATGGTGGCACACGCCTGTAGTCCCAGCTACTTGAGAGGCTGAGGCAGGAGAATCCCCTGAACCCAGGAGGTGGAGGTTGCAGTGAGCCAAGATCGCACCATTGCCCTCCAGCCTGGCAACAGAGTGAGACTCCGTCTCAAAAAAAAAAAAAAAAAAAAAAGAAAAGAAAAGAAATTCTACTTTCACTATAGACCTCAATGAATTATTTAATATGTACACCAGGAGGTGTGTGTATATAATTAGCAGCATTGTTGACTGGGAAAAAAAAAAAAAACTCCTTACTTCATTAACAGTAGACAGGATAAAGTAGTTCTGGTATATTAATACAATAAAGCAGTGGATGTGAACAAACAGTAGCTATTTCACACCAACATTGAAAATACATAGTGAGCAGAAAGCATGTTACAGAGGAATGCATACAGTGTGATTTTATTTATATAAAGTACAAAAACAGGCAAAAGTAACAATGCTAGGGACACAAATCTGTGATAAAACTATAAAGAAAAGCAAATCCAGGGATTGGCCACAGTGGCTCATGACTGTGATCTCAGCACTTTGGGAGGTTGAGGTGGGAGGATCACTTGAGCCCAGGAGTTAAAGACCAAGCTGGGCAACATAGGGAGACCCCCATCGCTGCTGGAAAAAAAAAAACAACATTAGCCGAGCATGGTGGCAGGTGCCTGTGGTCCCAGCTACTTGGAAGGCTGAGGTGGGAGGATCGCTTGAGCCCAAGAGGAGGTCGAGGCTGCTGTGAGCCATGATCACACCATTGCACTCCAGCCTGGGTGACAAGAATGAGACTTTGTCACACACACACACACACACACACACACACACACAATAGCGCAAATCCAGAAAACTTAGTTACCCACGCGATGAGGGCAATGAGGGGAAAATAATGAGAAGAATGCTAAAGGGCTTCAGAAGAATAGCTTAGCAGTAGTTACAGAAGTGCTCACTATGCTTTAAACTGTACCTAAATGTTAAATCCCCTCATTATTTATTTTTATTTTATTTTTTTGAGACAGTGTCTCACCCTGTTACCCAGGCTGGAGTGCAATGGCTCGATCTCAGCTCACTGCAACCTCCACCTCCCGTGTTCAAGCGATTCTCCTGCCTCATCCCCGTGAATAGCTGGGATTACAGACGTGTGCCCCCACGCCCAGCTAATTTTTTTTTTTTTTTTTGAAACAGAGTCTCGCTCTGTCGCCCAGGCTGGAGTGCAATGGCACGATCTCAGCTCACTGCAACCTCCTCTTCCTGGGTTCAAGCAAATCTCCTGTCTCAGCCTCCCGAGTAGCTGGGACTACAGGGGCCCACCATCGCGCGGGTAATTTTTGTCTTTTTAGTAGAGACAGGGTTTCACCATGTTGCCCAGGCTGGTCTCAAACTCCTAAGCTCAAGCAATCAGTTTGCCTCGGCCTCCCAAAGTGTTGGGATTACAGGTGTGAGCCACTGCGCCTGACCAAATCCCCTCTTTGATATGTACTTTTTTTTTTTTTTCTTGCCACAACTTAATAAACCAAAGAAGAAGGGGACAGTTTGGAACTCATTCTCTTGGTGGTATGATGGCAGCGGCACCCAGCATCTGGGAATAGTGGTGATGAGGCCAGTTGTGAGCTGGGTGAGGTCGCCTGGTTAACTCATCAGCACACCTGGAGATGTAACCTGGTCTGTATCACAATTGCTTGATCTTCTTTGGATTTGGCCTGTTTTCTAAGCCTAGTTCTTACATTAAAATTCTGCAAAGTCCCAAACGGCCTTCCAAAAAATTGTCTTTTCTACTTCAGTTTATCAGAGATGGTTGCTGCTGTTTACAATCAAGAAAAAATA
Organism: Homo sapiens; assembly: GCF_000001405.40. Lineage (NCBI taxonomy): Eukaryota > Metazoa > Chordata > Mammalia > Primates > Hominidae > Homo > Homo sapiens. Next base: position 138,146,898 of record NC_000006.12, on the reverse strand, counting down.
TAATTGCAATGAAGGGAAGTAAACAGTGCTTACAGAAGCATACAGGGGGACACCTAGTCAAGACTTGTGGCTTGGGAGTCTCCCCACAAGTAGCAATATCTAAGCCCTGACCTGAATGAAGAGTGGAAGAGAGCTCGGTGGCGGGAGAAGAGCACGAGGGTTCCAGGCTCCCCAGCGCCTCCCCTGCCACATGGTTCCAGTTACACCAGGTCCCAGCCCTTCCTCTCCATTAAAGCTCTTTTCTTTAAATAACTAAGACAAGCCCTCCATTTTATTTTATCTCTTAGCAGCATTTGCTATCACGGACCACTCTTTCCTTGAAACCATGCTCCTTTATTGGATTCTGCAAAGCCACATTTGCTTTGTTTTCTTTTGACTTGTCTTGTACTTTATTAGGCTTCATTTCTGGCTCTCTATTTGCTCAAACTCGAAAGATTAGTCTCACGCGTCAGTCCTAGCCCTCTTTTTCGCCTTTCTCATGGTCTCTTTCTCCTTCCCTCTCTCTGTCCTCTTCCTCTCTGTCTCCCTGTCACCACCCCAACACCCCGTATATGATCAAATCCACTCTCAGAGCCTTTGAGGCTATCACTATGCTGATCATGCTCCAGGTCTGGTATCTCTTCCCGGTGCAAGTAGTATCAAAGCCAAGAAGGAAGGAACCATGTCTGTTTTGCTACATACGCAATACCTAACATTGTGCCTGGTATATAGTGGTCACTCAATTAAAATGTTCATGAACGACTAAGTGAACAATTATACTTACATTACTCCAGGTGTCTGGAAACATCTATTTATATTCTTTTTGTATCTTCTGTCTTATATTTAAGCCTTAATTTTCCATTTACTATGAAAATAAATAAGCTGTTTCTAACTTTTGGAGGTGGGTATACTTTTAGATAAAGAATTGTGTTTTGTTGGCAAATTCCAGTAGACCCATGGACTCAATAATTTATTCCTATTAGATATTCTGTCTTATATTTTAACCTTTACTTTCCATTTACTGTGGAAAAAGATAAGCTATTTCTAATCCTTTTGAAGTAGGTATACTTTTAGATGAATTGCAGTTTGACGGTAAATTCTGATAGACCCACAGACTCAATAATTTAGTGGTTGAGAGAAATGCGATTTTGTCTTGGAACTAAATAGTGGATTCGAGAACCAAACAGAACGAACTTCACCTCTCTCAATCTTAAATGGCTCTGACCTGTGCCTGGGTATAGAAGTCAGAGGGAAGTGAAAGAGAACTAGAATCAACACACAAACCTGACCTGTAGGAACTTGGGTGAAACTGAAACAAGTAATGTCTACTCCTCTGATTACAACTCTGATGTGTGGGGCTTAGACTCTAGGGTCCCTGCACATGGTGTAATAATGCATGCACTCTAAATGGCTGGCTGAGCTCCTCTGGCTATAGGGTAAGATGGGTGATGAAAGTGAAGCACTCTAATCCTGGGCCTGCTTTTTGGAGAAGGAACTTTTGGTTGTAAGAATAGAAGGAAATGAAAATTTCATCTTGGCCAGTAAAGCTATCTGGGCATCTTCTCTAGAGCGCTGACTGCTCTGATCCACTTTTCTCACACATGGAAATTTATTCTGCAAAAATGTTCTGTCTTAACCAAAACTAAAGACATTTTTAAGGAATTTCAGAATGAGGAAGACTGAGTTTCTCCTCCTGTGATCAGTTATTTTTTTTTTAATTTGAGGAGGACAAAAAAATGTATTGTTTTATAAGTACAGACCATGCCCCACAGTAGCTTAAGATTTTAATGACAAACAAAATGGAAGTGATTGGGCAAACCATGTGTATTTGTATTTGTCCATCTTCACGCTGCTGATAAAGACACACTTGAGACTGGGGAATTTATAAAGAAAAAGAGGTTTAATGGACTCAGTTCCACGTGGCTGGGGAGGCCTCACAATCATGGTGGAAGGTGAAAAGCACATCTTACATGGTGGCAGGCAAGAGAGAATGAGAGCCTAGAAAAAGGGGAAAACCCTTATAAAACCATCAGGTCTCATGAGGCTTATCCACCACCACGAGAACAGTATAGGGGAAACCGCCCCCATGATTCAATTATCTTCCACTGGGTCCCTCCCACAACATGTGGGAATATGGGAGCTACAATTTAAAATGAGATGTGGGTGTGGACACAGCCAAATCAGATCATCATGTGTTTGAAGGAGAAAGAAATGCTGCTTGCCTTCATTGCTGGTAGATCCCTTGAGTTAGCTGCAGGGATTCCCAGAAAGGAACAGTTCCCTTTTCATCCTTACAATTGGACCGGGCTTTAATATTAAAGGGAAAAATGTGCATCTGATTTAATATTTTGTCAAGTAAAAAGAAAAATTAATTTACCATAAATATTAATGTTCTCTCTACAAGTAATCACCAATTTCAGAAGGTATTAAGTCTATGTTTAGGAGCATTATAAATGGTGGCTACATTCTCAAGCAAACTTAAATAAATTAAATCTTATTTAATTTATCATGGCGCTGAAATATTCCTGAGTGTAGTTTGTAGTATTTCCAGAAAGAAACACCTGAGCATCACCACCTTACATGCTGAGTCCCAAGCCCTAAGACTCTTGCATCCTGAGGCTCGTAGATTTCTGATGCTTTGGCAATAGGGGTACAGGTGCCACTGGCCTGAGAGGTCCGAAAGCAAGGCAAGGAAGGAGGTGGAGAGTGCCCAGACAGAGGATCCTGGTGCTTTCCACAGTAATGGTAGGGAAGGGCTCCATGGATCCAGATGTCAATGACAGAGGAAGGTTCCTGGAGAACAGGACATCAGTGATAGCTATGGGAGGACTTTGTGGGCAAGTGGTAGTGGTCATTCATTTGTAAGTATTGTTAAGCCAAGAGTTTATAAGTCAGGGGATGTTTGTACATATAACCATTTCTAAACATTTTATTCTAAGTATTTTATTATTTTATTTTATTTTGAGACAGGGTCTCACTTTGTCACCTAGGATGGAGTGCAGTAGCCTGATCTTGACTCACTGCAGTCTCAGCCTCCTGGGGCTCAAGTGATCCTCCCAACTCAGCCTCCCAAGCAGTTAGAGCTACAGGCACGTGCCATCATTCCTGGCTAATTTTATATATTTTTTGTAGAGACGAGATCTCACTATGTTGCCCAAGCTAGTCTTGAACTCTGGGGCTCAAGCAATCCTCCTGCCTCCCAAAGTGCTGGGATTACAGATGTGAGCCAGTGTACCTAGACTTCTAAGTATTTTAATTGAAAATGTTTTGTTAATTCATTCAACAGGTACCGTGTTAAGCCTTAGAGTTGCAAAGATGAAAAGGCATATATGACCTTCAGAATCATCTATGGAATATACACCACTTCTCTCAAATATCAGTATTTGACAGGGGCTGTAGAGCAGATACTAAGACTCTAAAGAATTTAGTAAGTGCCTGATTTGGAAGACTAGAAGAGTTTTAAATTTTTCATTCTGAAGTGATCCATATATATTAAATACCACATGAAGAAATGACAATGTTGACATTTGTCATAAAAATTCAATTTCTAGAACATCTTATACAAAGTTATTCGTATCTTCATTTAGGTGAGCTCTTTTTTTCTATCTATACAAAGAGGATGATTAAAATATGAATCTTGGGGTGAAAACTCTGATTGATTGGTAATTAAAATTAAATTTTCCGTGATGTCCATAGCTTAATTTCAAAAATTAAAAGGCAAAACACAAATTTATAATATTTAGATTTCATAAAATATCAACTCTTCTACAGAAAATAATAAAATTAACAGCAAATAACCAAAAAAGGAAATGACAAATTGAGAAAAACATTTGCAACATATATGAAAATGGTTTATTATCCCTAGTAATGGGGTGTTTTATGAGAGGAAAAGAGCAATGCCAAAGGAAATTGCACAATAGGCGGTACATATAAGAAATACAAATGACCAATAACGAAAAGTGTTTAAGTTTCATGATCAAAGCTGAACACATCATTCTCCTAAAAGTGGTCCTCTTCGGGAATACCCTAGGATTGTACCAATACCAGCCCTACAGCCAGGAACCTCGAAGTCTTCCTTGCCCCTAGTACCCAACATTTCTCCAAGTCTTGTCTCCATAGGGCTCGCAAATCCATTCTCTTTTTAGCTTCGCTGACACCACCTTGATCTAAGCCAGCACCATCTTTCTCCTAGATGCTGTGGTAGCCTTGGAAGGAGGCTACCCACGTCCACCCTGCCCCCAACTTAAACATTTTCCAACCTGAAACCAGGTGATTTTTTTCAAAATGTAAATTTTATTATGTGACTCTCTTGCTTAAAATATTTTAATGACTTCCATCGTTCTGCAGATGAAGATCAGAATCCTTCAACAGATGTGGCCAGTGGAATATATGAATATGAACTTAACATGAACGATAAGATCCTGAGTGATGTGGTGACTCCTCCCTCTCCAGCTCCATCGCAGCACTGTGCTGGCCCTGGCTTGTCACTTACCATCCATGTTGGCTTTCTTTCTGTTCCTAGAACATACACAGTGCCTTTGCACCTGCTATTTCCTCTTTCTGAAATTCTCTGTATGCCTGCTCTAGCTCTCATCTGTGCTCCCTTGATTAGCTGATGACTACATCACTCAGTCATCATTATAACGGGGAAGTTTTCCCTGACTTCTTAAGATCCCAACTAATTTATCATGTCAATCTCTGCTTATATACTCATTGCATTGACTCACTGTCATAACACTTATTACAGTTGTAAATTTATATTTATATTTATCTGTGACCTTTGATTAATGTCTGTCTCCCTCACTAGAGTGTAAGCTCCTAGTAATCAAAAAAATACAAATTATAACAAATTTTCCTCCTTTCAGATAGTAAAAGATTAACAAAATTAATAACAATCTTTCTTTCTGGAAGGCAATTTGTGTGTTCTCTCTTTCTCTCTCTCTCAGGAATATAGCCAAACCAAATAATTTTGGAAGCATCCAAAAATGTTCAATGTTCATTAACAGAAAACTGACTAAACAAATCATAGTACCTCCACACAACATGTTATTCAATTTAAGTAATGTCAATCTGTCTCTGTTGATATAGAAAGATCCCCATAATACATTTTAAGAGAGAGAAAGCCATGTAAAAAGAGACTGTACGATACAATGACATTTTGGGAAAAATATGTGCATGTTCCACTCTCTATGGTGTATAGATACATAGGAAAAATCTGGAAGGAGAGTAACAAAATGTTAATGATGCTCATCTCTGGGTGGCGAGATTATGAATTTTTTTTACTTCCTTCTATGCAACTTAACCATTTGAAATATAATGCATGTGCTTTATATTCATAATCAGAAAAGCACATATTTTTAATACAAAAATAAAACTAAAAATGTCAAATCTTTCCTTTTTATCAAATCTATCTATCTATCTTTTTTTTTTTTTTTTTTTTTTTTTGAGGCAGAGTCTCTCTCTGTTGCCCAGGCTGGAGTGCAGTGGTACAGTCTTGGCTCACTGCAACCTCTGCCTCCCAGGTTCAAGTGATTGTCGTGCCTCAGCCTCCTGAGTAGCTGGGACTACAGGCATGTGCCACCATGCCCAGCTAATTTTTGTATTTTTAGTAGAGATGGGGTTTCACCATGTTGGCCAGGTTGGTCTCAAACTCCTGACCTCAAGTGATCCACCCACCTCGGCCTCCCAAAGTGCTGGGATTAGAGACGTGAACCACTGTGCCTGGACTCAAATCTATATTAAATATTTTTTGTTTCACACAACTCCATCTGAACCTAATTTGGAAAGGAAATTCAGAGGTAACCTGTCTTCCAACACAGAAGAAACCACTCTTATCCCTGGTGACTGGGAATGCAGTCTTTAGTCACACAGATGGAGATGCCCTACTTCTTTTGCAAAGACTCATTTTTTTTTTGCAACTATAATTGTTAGAATGTTCTTCTTTTTATTGAACCAAAATCTGTCTCCATATAACAGCAAAAATTTCTTCTGTTTATTCATCATAAGATTAATGCCTAGGATAATGCCTGCAGGATGGCAGGGACTTAAATACTTAATGAATTATGAGTTCTTTAAGATAATTAAAATTTTCCCCTGCAGATTTATTTCATGATTCAACAAATCCCCTCAGCTCCCTAAATTGTCTTAATTCAGTGGGGGTTGAAGATCGAAACACATCCAGCTTCTCCTACTCTGATGTTCTTTAGTCATGAATGTCCCTCTTTATAAAAGACCCACAGCACTCCAGATATGGGTTGATTAGTAAGAGAAAAGACAGGCTATTATACTGTTTGTAAAATTAATATTGCCTGAAGTTTTATCACCTTTTAAAATAAGCATGTCATATTGTAAGCCCATATTAAGTATGGTAAATTAACACTCATTCAGAAATCTTCTTCCACAGAAACTATTCCCAAATAAAGCCTCCTCCACTGTGACCTGATATAATTATTTTTTTTAAATTTTAAATTGACTTTATTGAGGTAAAATTTGCATATAACAAAATTCACTGATTTAATTGTACATTGAGTTCTGGCAAGTATATATAGTCAGTAGTCATGACCACGATCAAAATATGGAATAGATCAATTGCTGAAAAAGTTCTCTCATGCCCCTAGGCAGTCAATCCTTTTTCCTTTCCTTTATTCCTGCATCATTGTTAAAAAGACTGTCTTTTTCTCCACTGAATGGCCTTGATACCTTTGCCAAATATCAATGAACTATATTTGTGTTGGTCTATGTCAACTTGACTGGGTTAAGGAATGCCCAGATAGCTGGTAAAACATTATTTTTGGGTGTCTGTGCAGATGTTTCCAGAAGAGATTAGTGTTTGAATCAGTAGATGGGGTAGAGAAGATCTGCCCTCATCAATGTGGACAAATGATGATGCCTGTCCACATTTCTCCTAAAGGAATCATACAATATATAGTCTTTTGTGACAGATTTCTTTTATCTAGCAGAATGTTTTAAAGGTCCATTCATGTTGTAGCATGTCTCAGTACTCCATTCCTTTTTATGACAAAATAATATGCCATTGTCAGGATATACTAAATTTTATTTATCTATTATCAGTTGATAGACATTTGAGTTATTTCCACTTTTTGGCTACTTTGGATAATGTTGCTATAAATGTAAGCATACAAGTTTTTGTTTTTATATGTCTTAGGTGTATAACTAGATATGGAAGTGCTGGGTCATATGGTAACTATGTTTAGCCTTTTAAGGAACTACCAGACTGTTTTCCTAAGTGGTGCATCATTTCACATTCCTAAGCAGTATATGAGGGATCCAATTTCTCTACATCCTCATCAGCATTTCTTATCTGTCTCTTTATTATAGTAATCCTAGTGGTATAGAATGGTATCATATTGTGGTTTTGACTTGATTTCCCTAATAATTAAAGATGTTGAACATTTCGTCATGTGCTTATTGGCCATTTGTATGTCTTCTTTGGAGAAATGTCTATTCAGAGCCTTTGCCATTTTTAATATTGGGCATTTGCCTGCTTATTATTGAGTTGTAAGAGTTCTTTTTATATTTTAGATAAAAGTATGCTATCAAATATGAGTTGCAAATATTTTCTTCCATTCTATGGGTCGTCTGTCACTTCCGTGGGTGTTGTAACTCATTTGGATAATAAATAGATGGATTTTAATTTCTCTCTGGCATTATATCCAGTAGATTTTAACTGAGAGTTTCTTTATTTTGACATAATTTTGAATAAATTTTGTCATTTGATACACTTGTTCTTTCTAAGCTTTATGTCAACCATAGATTTTAATGAATAAAATATTAACAAGGCAAAGCCTGTGGCATGTCATAAACATGTTCCTCCAGATTGACGTCAAACAATGGTCAAGCAACTAATGAAAACTAGGCCCTATAATAATGAGTCCGGCTTCATGATTTTTCCCACTTCTTGGTATCCTCTAAGTTCAATCTGTGGACTCAGCTCCATTTATATGACAAAATCAGAACAGAGATGAAGGCTGATGGAGAGGAACAGAGCTAGTTTGGATGCTACATTGTAGGATCTTCTCATTAGCACAGAGTCTATCACTTATCCCTTGCTATCGTGCTTAACACCCTTCTGTTGCTTTCCATTATACTTAGGGTGAAGTCCCAACTCCTGAACATAACCTACAAGTCCTGTTGATTTGGCTCCTGCCTAATTCTTTTCATCTTGGGTCGCTCATCGCCCCTGTCTCTCTGCTTAGGCTGCACAATCCCCTTCTAGTTTTTCCTAGCCTCAAAGATTTTCATACACATACACTCCCAACACTCTTCCCATTTGAGGTTAACTATCACTTTCTAAAGAAGTTTACCTGACACACCCATATAATCATGTTCTCGTGTTATTCTCTCTCAGACCACCTTGAGCTTTTCCTTCCTAGTATGGATTACAGTTTGCAATTAAGTATTTCTTTTCATAATTACATTTCTCCTTCAGCAGATTGCAAGCTCCTTGCAAGAACAGCTTGTATTTGTTTTGCCTTCCTATATCTCTACTGTCTATCCCAGCACCTGGCACAAAGGAGGTGTCTTATAAATATTTGTTGAATGAATACATTGCAGGAGACAAAAAACATGTATTCTCACCTCCTTGTGTTATCAGAAAGGAGAGGAAATTTTTACCCCACTTTCTAGAAGGGAGAAACATGGGTGGAACCCGCCTATCTTCTCTACTTCCTCCCTCCTCCCTGTGGCAAGAGGAGGACCTAAGTGGTGGTTAGTATATGTAGAAAAAGGGACTTGGTGTTTTGGCTCAGCCCTTTATGGGCTTCTGTTCCTTTTGGAGTCAGTCCCTCTGCAGGACACATCCATTCTCTGTCCCTTCATATGTTAAGAACTTGTGGGAAGGCCCAAGGTATCCAGCTGGGTCAGTGACCCAGGTGATAGATATCAAGGGGGCCCATTGCTGCAGCTCATGTGAGCTACCTTCACCAACTCACCTTCCATCATCATCAGTAATCAAGCCCATATTTCACTCTCCATCTGTCAGACTCCAGCATCCATTGCTCAATTATTTCCCAACTCAGAAAGGGATTCCAGGGAGAATGAGTGAGAAAAGTCCAAAGGGAGGTTCAGCTGGAATTTGGGGGCAAGGAGGCACACTTTGAAAATGATGAACTGGCTGGGTGCGGTGGCTCACGCCTGTAATTCCAGCACTTTGGGAGGCCGAGGCGGGTGGATCACGAGGTCAAGAGATCAAGACCATCCTGGCCAACATGGTGAAACCCCTTCTCTACTAAGAATACGAAAATTAGCTGAATGTGGTGGCGCATGCCTGTAGTCCCAGCTACTCGGGAGGCTGAGGCAGGAGAATTGCTTGAACCCGGGAGGCAGAGATTGCAGTGAGCCAAGATCGCACCACTGCACTCCAGCCTGGCAACAGAGCGGGACTCCATCTTAAAAAAAAAAAAAAAAAAAGATGAACTGTGTTGATTATATTTATTTTACAGAAAAGACTCACAAGGCACAAACATTTGAAAAGTTTTCATGTTTACATGATTAGTTACATGAGAGTTGGGGTGAGAACCCAGGTATCCTCACTTTCTGAATCAGTGTTTTTACCCAGGCAAGCTTCATTATTGTCATCTCTCCGAAGCTGAATACACACAGGCCCAAAGTTTATACGAACTCTCCTTTGTGCAGTTGTCCTTTCTTCAAAAAATATTTGGGAAAGGAATGTTATTGCCACATAAAAGACAGAAAAGCCTTTATGAAGTTACATGTATATTTCTCATGTATGTTTTGAAATTATTTTAACAAAAGTCTTTACAAATTCAATTCTGAAAACCATGGCTTAGTTCATATCTACAAAAAATGTTTAGAAAGTCCTCAGACTTGATCTGTTTATCCCGTGACTCACATAAAAATATGTCAAAATGAGCTATTATAATGTCTTTATATAAAGTTAAATCAACTGTGATTTAGTGAACATTTTCATTCCACACATTAAAGAAAGTATCTTTTACAATCTTGAATAAACTGCCAATGTACTGATTGATAGGTTGAAAGAAACTGTATCCTAGTCATTCAGTAAACTATAAAGCGCAATGTTATGCAAAGACCCAAGGCTATTGAGACGAGCGTCGCCTCTCTCTAAGCTTGCAGAGGTGCCTTCCTGCACTTCCCTCTCACTCCTTTCTCCACTGACCTTTCTCCTTTTCTGGCCCTTACACCTCATCTTCTCACATCTCTGGTCACAGACTCTGTGCCTCCGACTTCTGTCTCTGAATCCCCATAGATGGCCTGGGGATGCCCCCAGCAAATTCCTGGATCTTGTTCTCCAGGGACTCCCTGTTAAGGGCTATTTGTTCCTGCCTCCCAAAATATAGGACTCCCATGTTTATGAGGTTCCCTGAACCTTGGGCTCCCTTCCTCCACTACTCTGTATTAGGTAGTGAGGGCTTTGGCATCAAGCTGTGTAGGGGAGGCCTTGACCAACAGTTTATGCTCCAGTCAGTTGGGAGCTGGGGAAAGGAGAGCAGGTGTCCACTGTGGGATGGGTGGGCAGGTTTGAGTGCTGGGGTGGCGGCTTGTTTAAAGACTCTTTGTGACCCAGGTTGGGAGAAGAATGGACAGCCTCACTAAGGCCTGTGCTGAGAATATGGTGGTTTGAACAAAGAAAGGCAGACCACTATGTTACCTGCCAGGGAAACAAGACCAACAAATACCTCCATTCCTGTGCTTTTACTAACCTTTGCCCTCCTGAGATAAAGCACTTGAGCTAATAGTAACCAATCTCTGCTCTCTGAGAGAGTCTTGGCAGTAAATGCATTCATGAGAACTGAGACCCTTCTTCTGTGAAAACAATCTGGAGAAAAGAAATCAATAAGAAACTGGGTCTAATAATGCCTATTTCACAGAGTTATTGTGATGATTACATGAAGTAGTACATGGGAAGTACTTAGTGAGTTAAATCCGTAATAAATATTACTTCCATTCTGTATTGGTCCATTTTGTGTTCCCACAGAGGAATACCTGAGGCTGGGTAATTCATAAAGAAAAGAGGTTTACTTGGCCCATGGTTTTGCAGGCTGTGCAAGCATGGCACCAGCACCTGCTCCTGGTGAGGCCTTAGGAAGCTTCCAATCATGACAGAAGGCAAAGGGGGAGCATGCATGTCACATGGCGAGATGGGGAACAAAAGAGAGAGGAGGAAGTGCCAGGCTCTTTTAAACAACCAGCTCTTGCACGAACTAATAGAGTGAGAACTGACTCACTCCTGTGAGGTGCGCACCAAGCCATTCATGAGGGATCCACCCCAACGACAAAAACACCTCCCACCAGGCCCCACCTCCAACATTGGGGACCACATTTCTCTATAGTTTTAAAATTTTTGTGGGTACATAATAGGTGTATATATTTATGAGGTACACAAGCTATTATGATATAGGCATAAAATGCATAATAATCAGATTAGAGGAAATGAGTGTGTCCATCACTTCAGGCATTTATCCTTTCTTTATGTTAGAAACAATCCAATTATACTCTTGGAGTCTTTTTATTTTATTCTATTTATTCATTTATTTTGAGACGGAGTCTCACTCTGTTGCCCAGGCTGGAGTGCAGTGGCACGATCTCGGCTCACTGCAAGCTCCACCTCCCAGGTTCACGCCACTCTCCTGCCTCAGCCTCCCGAGTAGCTGGAAATACAGGCGACCGCCACCATGCCCAGCTAATTTTTTGTATTTTTAGTAAAGATGGGGTTTCACCGTGTTAGCCAGGATGGTCTCGATCACCTGACCTCGTGATCCGTCTGCCTCAGCCTCCCAAAGTGCTGGGATTACAGGCATGAGCCACCACGCTTAAATATTCAAGAAATTATTGTTGACTGTACTCACGTGCCATGCTATCAAATGCTAGATCTTATTCATTCTATCTAACTATATTTTTGTACTTATTAACCATCTCTACATCCTCCTACCCCCAGTACCCATTCCAGCCTTCTATTCTTTGCTGGGAAAACTCTATATCCATATGCAGAAGATCATCCATGAGTTTGAGTGTGTTAATTTTTAGTTCCCACAAGTAAGTGAGAACATGTGAAGTTTGTCTTTCTGCATATGGTTTATTTCACTTAACATAATGACCTCTAGTTCCATCTATGTTGCTGCAAATGACAAGATCTTATTCTGTTTTATGGCTGAATAATACTTTATTGTGTTTATGTACTATATTTTCTTTATCCATACAACTGTTGATGAATACTTAGATTGCTTCCAAATCTTGGCTGTTGTGAAGAGTGCTATAATAAACATAAGAGTGCAGATACCTCTTTGATATTATTGATTTATTTTCTTCTGGGTATATACCTAGCCATGGAATTGCTGGACCATAAGGTAGCTCTATTTTAGTTTTTTGAGGAACCTCCAAGATGTTCTCCATAGTGATTGTCCTAATTCACATTTCCACCAATAGTGTACAAGGAATCCTTTTTCTCCACATTTTTGCCAACATTTGTTATTGCCTGTGTTTTGGATAAAAGCTATTTTAACTAGGGTGAGATAATATCTCATTGTAATTTTGATTTTCATTTCTCTGATGATCAATGATGTTGACCACCTGTTTGCCATCTGTATGTCTTCTTTCAGGAAAAGTCTATTCAGATCTTTTGCCCATTTTAAACTGGATTTTTAGTTTTTTTCTATACAGTTATTTGAGCTCTTTATATATTCTAGTTACTAATCCCTTGTCAGATGGGTAGTTTGCAAACATTTTCTCCCATGCTATGGGTTGTCTCTTCACTTTGTTGATATTTTCATTTACTGTACAGAAGCTTTTAAACTTGATGTGATTCCATTTGTCTATTTTTGCTTTCATTGCTTCCTGTGCTTATGGGGCATTGCTCAAGAAATCTTTGCCCAGACCAATATCCTGGAGAGTTTCCTCAATGTTTTCTTGTAGTAGTTTCATAGTTTGATGTCTTAGATTTGTCTTTAATCCATTCTGATTTAATTTCTGTATATGGTCTATTTTCATTCTTCTGCATATGGATATAGAGTTTTCCCAGCACCATTTATTGAAGAGACTCTCCTTTTCCCAACATATGTTTCTGGCACCTTTGTTGGAAATGAGTTCACTGTAGATGTGTGGGTTTGTTTCTGGGTTCTCTACTTGGTTCCGTTGGTCTATGTTTCTGTTTTAATGCCAGTACCATGCTGTTTTGGTATAGCTTTGTAGTATAATTTAAAGTCAGTTACTATCTAATGGTGTAAAACTCACTGGTAATAGTAAGTACACAGAAAAACACAGAATATTATAATACTGTGATTGTGGTATGCAAACTATTCATATATTGAGTAGAAAGATTAAAGATGAACCAATCAAAAATAACAACTACAACAACATTTCAAGACATAGACAGCACAATAAGATATAAATAGATACACTATAAAGCTAAAAAGCATAGGACAAAGTTAAAGTATAGAGCTTTTATTAGATTTCTCTGTGCTTGTTTGTGCTATTGGTGGTAAGTTGTCATCAGTTTAAAATAATGGGTTATAAGTTATTATTTGGCAGCCTCATGGAAACATCAAATAAAAAATTACAACAGATACACACACACAAAAAGCAAGAAATTTAAAAAATCACCAGAGAAAATAACCTTCAGTAAAAGGAAGACAGGAAGGAAGGAGAGAAGGAAGAGAAGACCACAAAACAACCAAAAACAAATAACAAAATGGCAAGAAAAAGTTCTTATTTATCAATAATAACATTGAATGTTTGTGTACCAAACTCCCTAATCAAAAGACACAGAGTGTTTGAATGGATTTAAAAAACCAAGACTCAACAATCTATTACCTACAAGAAACACATTTTGCCTATAAAGACACACATAGACTAAAAATAAAGGGATGGAAAAAGATACCCCACGCCAGTGGAAGCCAAAAGAGAGGAGGAGTAGCTATACTTATATCAGACAAAATAGATTTCAAGACAAAAACTATTTAAAAAGACAACAGAAGGTCATTATATAGTGATAAAGGGGTTGATTCAGCAAGAGGATATAACAATTCTAAATATATGTGCACCCAACACTGGAGCACCCACATATATAAAGCAACTATTAAAGAGAGAGATAGACCCCCCCAATACAAAAATAACTATAGACTTCAACACCCTACTTTCATCATTGGACAGATCACCCCAACAGAAAATCAACAAAGAAACATCAGACTTAATTTGCACTGTAGACAAAATGGACCTAATAGATATTTACAGAACATTTCGTTCAATGGCTGCAGAATATACATTCTTCTCCTCAGCATATGGATCATTCTGAAGAATAGACCATGTGTTAGGCCATAAAACAATTCACAAAAATTGAAATTATGTCAACTATCTTCTCTGATCATAATGGAATAAAACCAGAAATCAATAACGAGGAATTATGGAAATTAATCAAACACATGGAAATTAAACAATATGCTCCTGAATGACCAGGGGGCCAATGAAGAAATTAAGAAGGAAATTTAAAATTCTTGAAACAAAAGACAGTGGAAACGCAATATACCAAAACCTATGGGATACCGTGAAAGCAGTACTAAGACTAAGACGGAAGTTTATAACTATATGCGCCTACATCAAAAAAGTAGAAACTTCAAATAAACAACCTAACGATATATCTTAAAGAACTAGAAAAGCAAAAGCAAACCAAACCCAAAAGTAGAAAAAGAAAGGAAATAATAAAGATCAGAGTACAAATAAACGAAATACAAATGAAAACAATACAGAAGGTCAACAAAACAAAAGGTTTTCTTTTGAAAAGATAAATAAAATCAACAAAACTTTAGCCAGACTAAGAAAAAAAGAGAGAAAATCAATGTAAATAAAATCAGAGATGAAAAAAGAAACATTAAAACTAATATTACAGAAATTTAAAGGATCATTAGAGGCTATTTTGAGCAATGAAATGTCAATAAATTGGAAAACCTAGAAGTGGACAAATTCCTAGACACGTACAATCTACCAAGACTGAAACATGAAGAAATCAAAAACCTGAACAGATCAATAACAAGTAGTAAGATCAAAGTCATAATGAAAAATATCTCCCAGCAAGAAAAGCCCAGGACCTGGTGGCTTTACTGCTAAATTTTACCAAACATTTAAAGAACTAATACCAATCCTACTCAAACAATTTCAAAAAATAGAGGAGGGCCAGGCGTGGTAGGCTGGGCACGGTGGCTCATGCCTGTAATCCCAGCACTTTGGGAGGCTGAGGTGGGCGGATCACCTGAGGTCAGGAGTTCGAGACCAGCCTGGCCAACATGGTGAAAACCCATCTCTACGAAAAATATAAAAATTAGCTGGGTATGGTGGCTCACACCTGTAATCCCAGCTACTCAGGAGGCTGAGGTAGGAGAACTGCTTGAACCCGGGAGGCAGAGGTTGCAGTGAGTCGAGATCGTGCCACTGCACTCCAGCATGGGAGACAGAGCAAGACTGTGTCTCAAAAAAAAAAAAAAAAAAAAAAAGAAGAGGAGAAGGGAATACTTCCAAACTCATCCCATGAGGCCAGAATTACCCTGATACCAAAACTAGACACAGACATATCAAAAAAAGAAAACTAGAGACCAATATCCCTGATGAACATTGATGCAAAAATCCTCAAATAAATATTAGCACACCAAATTCAACAACATATTAAAAAGATCATTCACCATGACCAAGTAGCATTTATCCCAGGAATGCAAGGATGATTCAACATTTGCAAATCAATCAATGTGATATCGACAGAAGGAAGGACAAAAACCATGTAATCATTTCAATTGATGCTGAATAATCATTTGATAAAATTCAACATTCCTTCATGATAAAAACCCTCAAAATACTGGATATAGAAGGAACATACCTCAATACAATAAAAGCCATGTACAACAGATGCACAGCTAGTATCATACTGAATGGGGAAAAACTGAAAGGCTTTCCTGTAAGATCTGGAACACAACAAAGGATGCCCACTGATATTGTTTGGATCTGTGTCCCCACCAAATCTCTTGTTGAATTGTAATCCTCAGTGTTGGAGGTGGGACCTGGTGAAAGGTGATTGGGTCATGGGGATGGATTTCTCATGAATGGTTTATCACCATCTTCTTGGTGCTGTTCTCATGATAGTGAGTGAGTTCTCATGAGATCTGGTCGTTTAAAAGTGTGTGGCACCTTCCCAGTCTCTCTCTTGCACTTGCTTTCACCATGTGATGTGCAAGCTCCTGCTTTACATTCTGCCATGATTGTAACTTTGCAGAGACCTCCCTAGAAGCAGAAGCTAGTCTTATGCTTCTGTACAGCCTGCAGAACTGTGAGCTAATTAAACTTCTTTTCTTATAAATTGCCCGGTCTCAGGTATTTCTTTGTAGCAATGCAAGAATGGCTTAATACAGAAAATTGGTACCAATGAGTGGGGCATTGCTATAAAGATACCTGAAAACATGGAAGCAGATTTGGAATTAAGTAACTGGCAGATATTGGAAGAGTTTGGAGGGCTCGGAAGAAGAAAGGAAGATGAGGGAAAGTTTCCAACTTCCTAGAGACTGGTTGAATGGTTGTGACCCAAATGCCGATAGTGATGTGGCCAGTGAAGTCCAGGCTGCCAAAGTCTTAGATGGAAACAAGGAACTTACTGGGAACTGGAGTAAAGGTCACTTTTGTTATGTCTTAGCAAAGAACTTGGCTGCTTTATGTCCATGCCCTAGGGATCTGTGGAAGTTTGAACTTGAGAGTGATGACCTAGGGTATCTGGTGGAAGAGATTTCTAAACAGCAAAGTGGCCTGGAACTGGGGACCCCCAGGAGCCTGCTTGGTGCTCTACCCCACTGTGGCCAAGCTGGTATCCAAGATGCAAGAGAAATTCCCCTTTAGTCTTCCCTCACCTTTTCTCAGGCAGAAGGAGTCTCTCCCTATAGCCACCACAGCTGGGAACATGCTGGGTCACATCTGAAATTAGCGTGGCTCTGAGTCTCACCCAAGGCCCATGGCAAATACTGCCTGGCTACCCCTGCTGCTTATTCAGGGACCAAGGGCTCTTTACTCAGCAGATGATGAATTGTGCCACACTGGGTCCTTCCATTCAAGGCAGTAGGTTCCAGGGTTTGTCTAGAAATGTCATCCGGGAGCTAGGGCCTGGAATGTGGGCCTCATGAGTCAGCCTGGCACCCTATCCTACTGTGGCTGAGCTGGTATCCAAGTTGCAAGACAAGGTCCTCTTTACTGTCCCCTCTCCTCAAATGGAAGGAAGGAGTCTCTCCCAGAGCTACAAGCTACACTGCCTGGAGTTGGGGAGGGGTGGTGTAAGCACTGTCTTGATAATCCTTGCTGGTGTCTCAGTAGGTTGCATGACCTCCAAGTCCACTGGCTCCGAGCCCAGCGTAGCAGCTAGACTTGACCAGAAATGACAGTCCTTTTGGCCTAGACTGCCTTTCAGGTTTGTTTATGACTCCAAAGCACATTAGCCTGTGGTGACAAGGCTTGCTGGAACTCAGGTTCTGGCGGCTTGGATGGGTGACTGCCCTCTGGCTACTGCTGGTCTAAATGGCACCCTCCATCGGTGTCAGCTGACTTCTTCCTGGTGTTGCTCTCCACTGTGACGGGGCAGCACTGAGTTCCACTGCAAAGCCCCAAAACTACTGCGCTCTCCCTCCTCTAAGCACACAGATTCTCTCTCCACCCCACGTAGCCACTGCCAGGGAATGCGGCAGGGGTGATGCTGGCAATTCAAGACTGACTTTCCTACCCTCTTCAGTGCCTCTTTCCTTGATATGAAGTTAAAACCAGGTACTGTGATCACTCACCTGAGTTTTGGTTCTTATGAAGGGGTTTTTTTTGTGTGGATAGTTGTTCAATTTGTTGTTTCTGTAGGGAGGACAATGGGTGGAGGCCTCTATCTGGCCATCTTGCTCCGCTTCCTCTCTGGGGTGTCACATTTCAACGTGAGATTTGGAGGGGCGAATATCCAAACCATATCACATTTTATTTGTACCTCTTAAACTCAAAAAAACACACATGGAATGGTCCAGTTGCATTTTTCTTCTGTATACATGTTTTTGTTGATGTTTGAGGACCTACTCAGAAGGTCCTGAAAGGCAAAACTCTGTAAGTGCACAATGTTGCTGAGAATCCTAACATTTCTGATGGTGACACTGTTTCCCAGTTACCCATGTCTTTGAGTGCAACTGAAGAGAGGTGGTGGGGTGGGGGTGGGGGTGGTGATGTTTGTCTTTCCAGAATTTTGAGCTTGTGGGACAGGAATGTTATTAATAAATGTGGACCACAGGGTAAATTAGAGATTTACTAATCTCCTACATAGGAACACTATGTAATGGATTTCCAAACAAAGAGGACGATATGAACCATCTTTTAGGATAGTTTTCTCCCCATTAACATAGCTTATATACCCAGTGTCCCCGACCCCAAATTCATGTCCTCCAGAACCTCAGAATGTGACCTTATTTGGAAATGGGTCTTTGCAGATGTAATTAGCTAAGCTGAAGTAATACTAAAGTTAGGCCCACCCTAAATGCAATGACTGATATCTTTATAAGAGAAAGGAGAGAGAGATTTGTAGACACACAGACACCCACAGGGAAGAAGTCCGTGTGATGACGGAGCAGAGATTGGAGTGATGCAACTACCAGCCAAGGAATGTCCAAAATGCCTGGCAGTTACTAGAAGCCAGAAACAGGCAAAGAAGTATTCTCCCCGTAGCCCTCAGATGGCTCTGCCAACACCTTGATTTTAGACTTTCAGGCTTCAGGACTGTGAGAGAATACATTTCTGTTAATTTAAGGCACCCAGTTCATGGAAGTTTGTTATGGCAGCCCTAGGGAACTAATATATTCACTTAGGAATTTGTATGTGTTTTTGGATAGAAATAATTCCACTCCTGTGAGAATTCCCAGCTTTCTTTCTAACTTCTCATTGACTTCTCCCATTCTCAAGTCTCTAGAAAAGCCACTTTGCCTGGTTCCCAATGACAGGGCAACCAACTTGTCCCAGTTTTAGCACTAAAAATCCCATGTCCTGGGAATTCTTGAAGTTTCAGACAAACCTGGATATTTGCCCACGCACCTGAAAGGCCCTTCCTTATTACACAGCAGATGACTCCTTTCAAGTAGAAACTCCTCCTAGATGTGCTGTAGGTCCTGAGTGGGGAGATTAACTCCTTCAGGAGGATTCTCATTCCCTCTCCACAAGAGTCACATGGAGTTCTTGGTAAAATACACACCTAGACCCATACAGCCTGGTTGAACCAGGACATTTCCTGTCACCCCAGCACACCATTTGGAAGATAAATTTTATCCACCACCCTCCCAGCACACACTACAGAAGCATATTCTGCAGGCGCAGAGTCTAGAAACTTGTGGTTTTAATACGCACCCAGATGATTCTTATTAGCAAAGTAGAGGGTTAGCACAGAATCTACTATACCAGTATTTGACTTACCAGCATATAGCAATGATTGTCCAAAAGTAGGGGACTTTCACTTGCCTAAGCAGGAACAGTGTGAATATGATGAAACTATGTCTTTAGTTGGGGCTTAAATTCATTGTTTACAGTAGGATTTATTCTACTACAGTGGGGTATGCTATTATTCTGATTATGCAAATCTGCAGAGTTGATATAAATCCCTTTCTTTCTGACAATTCCTTTTATCTCAAAACCCAGATTCCCACAAAGTGAATGCGGCTGAAACTATTTACCTTTGTGTCATCAACGCTGCCAAAAGCATCATCCCTTAATCCACTTTCTGTTGTGCCTTAATGCTGAAGATGCCATGCACTTTTCAATGGAGTCATCCCCTAGTATCATATCAACTTCAGGAAATGTTTAGCCCAGGAAACAAATTATTCTGTTGTGTACGACCAGTTCACCTTGTAATTTGTGCATGAACCATAAATAATAATGAATTCTTAGCAGCATTTTTTAAATAAAAGAAGCACATATAGGGATTTTTAAATCATTTTTATCTCTTAAATGTTTGTGAGCCATTCACCTGTCATTTAAAATTAGTGACCAGGGCAGATGGCAAAAAGCTAGGCATTAGGTAATATAATCATAAAACACCCCCTCCTCCTAAAAAAGCAGAAATATTTAAATTGGAGACATTTCATATATTGAAGGATTTTTTTCCTCTGCTGGAATATGTTGCAACAAATTATGACATTAGATAAAAAGATATTTCCACATCAAGAAGTTCAAAAGATTAAGATGCTACTGAAATGTAAGTTAAAGGAATTCATGAATGTGTCAGGAAACATTATAGTAGAATTATTACTATAATTTGAGAAAGGCAGGCTCTGCAATAAAGTGAGATTCATTACAATGTTAACATTATTTTTCAAACTTCTGACATATTTAGAAAGAATTTTCATGCCAAGTCAAATAATTATGAAATTTAAAAATTGCTTGAAGAAATGTGTGGAATTTTATACTAATAAGGACTTAACTTTAGAGGCCTATTTTGCCCTATTAAAATGTTATGTCTTATAACTTCCTTCTAAGCTCTCAAGGTATGTATGATAAAATTCTTGTAAAAGCTGAGGTAAAAGGAACATTGTAAATACTTATTCAAAGCTGTCTTCCAGGGATTTTATAGTTTTGGGTTTTACACTTAAGTCTTTAATCCATCTTGAGTTGATTTTTGTATATGGTATAAGGAAAGGGTCCAGCTTCACTCTTCTGCATATGGCTAGCCAGTTATCCCAGCACCATTTATTGAATAGGGAGTCTTTTCCCCATTGCTTGTTTTTGTCAGCTTTATCAAAGTTCATATGGTTGTAGGTTTGTGGCCTTATTTATGGGCTCTCCATTCTGTTCCATTGGTCTTTGTGCCTATTTTTGTACAGTACCTTGCTGTTTTGGTTACTGTATCCCTGTAATATAGTTTGAGGTTGGATAATGTGATGCCTCCAGCTTTGTTCTTTTTGCTTATGATTGCCTGGGCTATTCAGACTCTTTTTTGGTTCCATATGAATTTAAAATAGTTTTTTCTAGTTCTGTGAAGAATGTTATTGGTAGTTTGACAGGAATAGCATTAAATCTGTAAATTGCTTTTGGTAGTATGGCCATTTTAATGGTGTTGATTTTTCATATCCATAAACGTGGGATGTTTTTCTGTTTGTTTCTATCTCCTGTGATTTCTTTGAGTAGTGTTTTGTAATTCTCATTGTAGAGATCTTTCACCTCCCTGGTTAGCTGTGTTCCTAGGTGTTTTATTCTTTTTGTGACAATTGTGAATGGGATTGCTCTCCTGATTTGGCTCTCGGCTTGGCTGTTGTTGTTGTATAGGAATACTAGTGATTTTTGTACATTGATTTTGTATCCCGAAGCTTGGCTGAAGTTGTTTATCAGCTGAAGGAGCTTTGGGCCAAGACTAGGGAGGTTTCTAGGTACAGAATCATATTGTCTGCAGATAGAGATAGTTTGACTTCCTCTCTTCCCATTTGGATGCCCTTTATTTCTTTCTCTTGCCTGATTGCTCTGGCTAGGACTTCCAATACTATGTTGAATAGGAGTGGTAAGGGAGGGCATCCTTGTCTTGTGCTGGTTTGCAAAAGTAATGTTTCCAGCTTTTGCCCATTCAGTATTATGTTGGCTGTGGGTTTGTCATAAATAGCTCTTATTATTTTGAGTTATGTTCCTTCAATATCTAGTTTATTGAGAGTTTTTAACATGAAGGGGATTTGAATGTTATTGAAAGGTTTTTCTGCATCTATTGAGATAATCATGGGGTTTTTGTCTTTAGTTCTGTTTATGTGATTAATCGCATTTATTGATTTGCATATGTTGAACCAAACTTGCATCCCAGAGATTAAGCCTATTTGATTGTGGTGGATTAGCTTTTTGATGTGCTGCTGGATTCAGCTTGCCAGTATTTTGTTGAGGATTTTTGCATCAATGTTCATCAAGGATATTGGCCTGAAGTTTTTTGTTGTTGTATCTCTGTCAGGTTTTGGTATCAGGATGATGCTGGCCTCAATGAGTTGGGGAGCTTCTACACAGCAAAAGAAACTATCAACAGAGTGAACAGAAAACCTACAGAATGGGAGAAAATACTTGCAAACTATGCATCTGACAAAGGTCTAATATCCAGCATCCATAAGGTACTTAAACAAATTTACAAGAGAAAAACAAACAACCCCATTACAAGGTGGGCAAAGGACATGAACAGACACTTTTCAAAAGAAAACATACATGTGGCCAACAAGCATATGAGAAAAAGCTCAATATCACTGATCAATAGAGGAATGCATATCAAAACCACAATAAGACACCATCTCATACCAGTAAGGATGGCTATTATTAAAAAATCAAAATATAACAGATGCTGGTGAGCGTATACACTGTTAGTGGCAGTGTAAATTAGTTCAACCATTGTGGAAAGCAGTACGGCAATTCCTCAATGAGCTAAAAGAGAATTACCATTTGACTCAGTAATCTCATTACTGGGTACATACCCAGAGGAATGTAAATCATTCTACCATAGAGATACATGCATGCAAATGTTCACTGCAGCACTATTTACAATAGCAAAGACATGGAATCAACCTAAATGCCCATCAATGACAGATTGGATAAAGAAAATGTGGCGCATAAACACCATGGAATAGTATACAGCCATAAAAAAGAACGAGATTATGTCTTTGTGGGAACATAGACGGAGCTGGAGGCTATTATCTTTAACAAACTAATTCAGGAACAGAAAACTAAATACCACATGTTCTCACTTATATGTGGCAGCGAAATGATTAGAACTCATGAGCACAAAGAAGGAAACAATAAGCCCTGGGGTCTACTTGAGGGGGGAAAGTGGGAAGAGAGAGAAAAGCAGAAAAGGTAACTAATGGGTCTTGGGCGTAATACCTGGGTGATAAAATAATCTGTACAATAAACTTCCATGACATGAGTTTACAAACCTTCAGATGTACCCCAGAACCTAAAAGTTTTTTAAAAAATTGATACATTCATTATAAAATATCTAGAAAAATACAGCTGAATTCAAAAGTGGAAATAAAAATTACCTGTAATTTACCTCCCATAAAAAACCATGCTAACATATATCCTATATCTTTCCAGTCTTGTCTCACTCATATAAAGATATATGCTTTGCTTTGAATTAAAAATAAACAAAACCCAAAAACTTCCCCAGACAAAACTGAATGATACAATTAAGTAATGGTGGCGGAACAGACTTCCTGAAATAAGGGAAGGGGCAAGTAAGTTAATATTGCTCCTCACAGAGTTGAGCAGAGAAGATGGAGAGGGATGGGGACAGCACAGGCAGGCAGGGGGCACCATGAGCCTCTCAGATGACATTTCTCTTGAGGGCAGTGGGGCTCAAAAGGGCATGGCTGGAGGTTCCCATTGTGTCCACAAGAGAAATAGGTGCTCTGATGTCAATCCTCGGGGGTAGTGCTGCCTGCTGTCTGTTGCAAAGCTTTGCATGCCCAGGACACAGGAGGCCCCTGGCCTGGCCTGGGTTTAGAGGGAGCTATGCTGGCCTTCCTCTGACTGTGCCCTCCCCAGAGGGCAAGAAGTCCTTAGGCCAAGGGACATGACCACCCAGTGCCCTCATTAGTCCTCTCATGACCACACTGACTACCCATGTCCCACAGATACCCTACCTAACCAACTGCAACCTCGGTCCATCCACTCATGGTCCAAATGCTCTGCTGGTGTGTGCACCCCAAGTCCTCCATGGTAGCCAAGGGGCGGCTATTTAGGGAATTTGGACAGAGTGTGGCATGTGAACTGGGGTGTGTACACCTGGGGTGCATGACATCCCGGCAGTGCAGAAAGGAGCCAGGGGGAGGGAAACAGTGAAGTTTTTTGTTGTTGTTGTTGTATCTCTGCCAGGTTTTGGTATCAGGGTGATGCTGGCCTCAATGAGTTGGGGAGCTTCTGCACAGCAAAAGAAACTATCAACAGAGTAAACAGACAACCTACAGAATGGGAGAAAATATTTGCAAACTCTGCATCTGACAAAGGTCTAATATCCAGCAAGTTCCATGGTTTCTCAATTCAAACCTGACCTTCCAGGTTGTTAGGAGGTAGCCTTGTCAAGATAAGAGGATGGAACATATTTCATTTCTGAGTTTGTTGTCTTGACTTATAACTTTTAAATACTTAGACATATGGTATTTGGCCTCCATTCCTATTCTCAGCCCAGGCTCCACAAATGTTCAGGGACAGGTCTGTCTAGTGTCATATATTTTTTTCATCAACAAAATTTTTACTGTATATTGATTGTAATATAAACGTGTAAGATAAAGAGGTGAATGTATGCATTTATCTAGAAAAGTCTTAGGAATCATCTCCACCATATTTGCCCTGATTTTCTTGATATCTCAGGGGGAAGCTGTTTTTCAGGTTAAGATTACGTGGAGAATTTATTGCTCTTTATATTCCATTTTTCATTTTTATAGCTCTCTGTTAGCTAGTTCAACTTCTGCATTTTACAGATGAGGAAAATTAATTCCAGAGAGACTTAGTATCTTCCAAAGTTGTATAATTAGTTGCAAAGTCAAGACCAAAACTCTAGTGTTTTCCAGTCTGATTCCCTTTCCATAATGCTGGTTCAGAAATAACTTGAGAAGGACAAAACCTGGGATATTGCTCTGAGACTCTGGGACAGGGCTAAATATGGTGCATAAGCTGCATTTAAGGCAGCTGGTGTCATCAGACTCTCAGAGGGGCAATTAAATCCACTCTATCATTGCTTACCTGACATACTGAGAGAGTGTTCCTTTCTCCACTTCCCTCCTCTTGGCTTATCTCTGCTGTCTAGGCTCCCTTTCTTTCTTCTCCCTCTCATTCCTTGGTTTCCAGTTCTTTCCTATGCAGAGAGATGCCCTGGGATGTCAGTGATTACACAAGCTGAGCACTGAGCAGTTTTCTCAGAAGATGTCAAGTCTGTACCCACTCTAGTTCTGACGCACCATGGGTAGCTGTTGTTCAGGTCCCAGACCTTCCCAAATATTCTGGCTGGGACTGTTTGATGACCAGTGTGCCTGAAACCCAACTGGACTATATCCCAGATTGCATACGTGATCCAACGCTTGGCTCCTGGTTTTGCAAGACACAATATAGTCTTAAGCCCTGAATTTCTTCAGCGTCATTCTCTCTGACATTCTCTCCCATTGGAATTGTCCTTTTCACTCAAAGTTACTTATGTTATGCTCTGATTAATAAATTAATCTCAAACCATGCCATCAAGGCAACTAACATAGAGCATGTGCTATTTCGTAAGTTTTTAGACATCCTGAAAAATTAGAATAAAAAGCCCATTTCATCCTTTTTAAAGCATGATCTCAAGAGACAGTGGTGTTTAATTTAAAGAGCACAGACTTTGCTGGATAGACCCAGTGCAGAGTCCTGGCAACCAACCCTTTGGATGAGAAATACCAAGCCTTGGTCCAAGGCTACCAAGACCTTGGACATGTTGTTTAACTTCTCTGATCCTCAGTTTTCTTTTCTGCAATAGGGGAGGTATAGTATCTGTCTCTCATGGTTTTTGGAAAGACTGCAGACAATGTACAAGAATTGCTTGCCACAATTCCTGACCCAATGTGAACACTAAATAAATAGTAGCTGTCAATAAATATCCAATTCCTTATATTTTGTAGTTCCCCAGGGAAAGTATGCAACAGACACTAAGTGTATTTGCTTAAAACCTTTATTTCTTTGAAGCCGAAGAGGAGTCATAATCTGCCAGAACAAGTTGCTGGATCTTGACAGCCTAAGGAAATTCTCTTCTTGCAGCTACTGCAAGCTCTCTCCATGTCTCCTCTCAGTGCACTAATCCCATTCATGAAGATTCCGCTTTCATGACCTACCTACCTTCCAAAAGCCCCGCCTCCTAGTACCATTGCATTAGGGGTTCAGTGTCAACATATGAATTTTGGGGAGATACAAACAGTTCATAGCACCGGACTACCCCATAATTCTTTTTCCAGCTCTCCTCTGAATGTTCACTCAGTATGTCTCCACTGGGCACTTAATAGATACTTTTTAATGCTATTTGTTTTCAAATATATTCCATTATGAACTGTCCTCCAAATTAAACTGAAAACTCAAAAGAAATAGACGTGGGAGGGTCTATATTCCTTTCTAGTTGCCACAAATCCAACTGAAAAAGTGCTTGATTAACTCATCTAATTTTAAAAGAAACACTCATTTAAATCTTTCAAAGTGTAAAAAGCTGATTCTCTTGTAATAGAATAACCATATTTAATTTGTGTGTTTTGCCATTTGAGATTTCAACTTTTAAAAAACATCTCTTAGGCCCGCTGGTGCTAACTATACACCAAGATCATATGTAGTAAATGCAAATTTCTATAAATGTAATAAATGAGATTCATATATTTATTAGATTTCTCAGATCAGAAATTTATTGCCATTTTCCAAAACAAAAGCATTTGGTTTCACATATTGAATGTGTATATGCATAGTGCATATGCATGTATACAGAACACTAGGATGAGAAAAAGAAAGACTTAGAGCTTTTGCTTCATTTACAGAAATCTTCATCTGAGTCCAATTAATGAAAATGGTGACAGCACTACAATAACAGACAAGAAATGTTGTAATCTAAGTTCATCTTCAGAGAAATGAAGCAGGATATTTGTCAAAAGACTTGAAGGTATCCCTGTATCCTACTTAATATTCTATGTGAGTTCTAAGAGTCAGCATAGCTCTTTCAACATTCTCTAATTGAACATTAATAAATTAATAAGCCTCCTGGCTGCTGCTCCACTTTGTCTCTCTACATGACAATGTCAGCTGACTCCAAACTGATGGAGGGATGGGTCTCACTGGCAGATGCAGATTTCCTGAATGAGTTTAGGAATTACTTTTTTTTTTAAACAGAGGTGTTAGATATTATAGGATATTTATATATTTTAGAATATTTTCCTCTTTCTCATTTTGAAAACTATGCATCTGACAAAGGTCTAATATCTAGCATCTGTAAGGAACTTAAACAAATTTACAAGGAAAAACAAACAACCCCATTAAAAAGTGGGCAAAGGGACATGACATGCATGTGGCCAACAAGTATATGAAAGGTAGCTCAACATCACTGATCATTAGAGCAGTGCAAATTAAACCACAGTGAAATATCATCTCACACCAGACAGAATGGCTATTATGAAAAAGTCAAAAAATAACATGCTGGCTAGGTTGTGGAGAAAAAGGAATGCTTTACTCCGTTGGGAAGAATGTAAATTAGTTCAACCATTGTGGAAGACTCTGGCGATTCCTAAAGACCTAAAGAAAGAAATACCATTTGACTCAGCAATCCCATTGCTGGGTGTATTAGTTCTGTTTTCATGCTGCTGATAAAGACATAGCCAAGATTGGGCAATTTACAAAAGAAAGAGATTTAATAGACTTACCATTCCACATGGCTGGTGAGGCCTCACAATCATGGTGGAAGGCAAGGAGGAGCAAGTCACATCTTACATGGATGGTGGCAGGCAAAGAGAGAGCTTGTGCAGAGAAACTCCCATTTTAAAAACCATCAGATCTCGTGAGACTTATTCACTAGCACAAGAACAGCACAGAAAAGACCCACCCCCATGATTCAATTACCTCCCACCAGGTCCCTCCCCCAACATGTGGGAACTCAAGAAGAGATTTGGGTGGGGACACAGCCAAACCATATCACTGGTATATACCCAAAGGAATATAAGTCATTCTGTCATAAAGACACATGCACACATATGTTCATCGCAACACTATGCACACTAGCAAAGACATGGAATGAAGCTAAATGCCCATCAATGGTAGACTGGATAAAGAAAGTGTGGAACGTATAGACCATGGAATACTCTGCAGCCATAAAAAGGAACAAGATCATGTTCTTTACAAGAACACAGATGGAGCTGGAGGCCATTTGCCTTAGCAAACTAATGCAGGAACAGAAAACCAAATATTGTATGTTCTCACTTATAAGTGGGAGCTACGTGATGAGAACACATGGACACACAGAGGGAAGCAATACACACTGGAGTCTATCAGAGAGTGGAGCCATGGGAGAAGAAAGAGGATCAGGAAAAACAACCAACGGGTACTAGGCTTAATACCTGGGTGATGAAATAATCTGTGCAACAAACCCCCATGACATACGTTTACCTATGTAACAAACCTGCACATGTACCTGGAACTTGAAAATAAAAGTTAAAAAAAAAGAAAACCAGAAAAAAAAGAGAACATTTTTCTCATTCTCATCTCTATCCACATAGCAAACCTCTTTATTATGTGGCAGTTCTATCTCTTTTTTATTTTCTTTTTAATTTTTTTTGAGGCAGAGTCTTGCTCTGTCACCCAGGCTGGAGTGCTCTTGCTCTGTCACCCAGGCTGGAGTGTAGTGGTACGATTTCAGCTCACTACAACCCCCACCTCCCAGGTTCAAGCGATTCTCCTGCCTCAGCCTCCCAAGTAGCTGGGACTACAGGTGCACGCCACCACACCTGGCTAATTTTTTGTTTTTTTTGTATTTTTAGTAGATACAGCGTTTCACCATGTTGGGGCTGGTTTCGAACTCTTGACCTCAGGATCTGCCCAACTCAGCCTCCCAAAGTGCTAAGATCAGTTCTATTTCTTGAAATGAAGGAATATTGATCCTGGCCGTTGAAGTGGACATTGTAGGAATGCAGAGGAGTGGAAACCTCTGCTTCGAGGTGTTTCAGATCTGTTTGGGGATAAGACAAAGACCTGTGTACAGGCAGGAGACAAGGCCAAGTGGTCTCTGAGAGGTTATTATGGGCTGGGCTAAGGTGGCCTTATTTCCAGGAAGGGACTCACTGAGAGATGCAAACATGTTTCTAAAGCTCCAAATGAAACAAAATGTCAATATAAGAAACAGACTGAAATGTGTGACTTTTAAATACAAAAAGCCCCACAAACATTGATGGCTCCTTCAACTTGTTCAAGAAACAAGTCCAGGTAATTTTAAACACAGCTCAGCTCAGTGTGGGCCTGTGTTTTCTCATTCCCTTCCCCCTGTCTGGTGAGAATATTTGTAAAAAGTATATTTTAAGGGCATGAATAATTTAGGCCTGAGCTGAATATTTATTGGAAATTTTCCAGGCTGAAATAACCCTGGGATGTACAACCGGCATTTTTGTGATAGACCCAGAAGCATAATAATAATTTTTATACTGTAACGAGAGAGACTGCATATGTGTGAGAAAGAATGAGTAGTCTGGAATTGGTTTGGAGAGATAAGTAGAGTCTTAAAATACATGCAGACAACTGGGTATGCTCTACAAATTTCAAATGTGTTCCAATAAATTTAAGAATATGCACATTGAAATGGAAAGTTTTAGAAGTTAATTGCGCAGCTTTGTAAAGATCTGGGCGTGCGGCCCAGTTCTGCCACTTACTAGCTGTGCTATCCAGGAAAACTCATTTAGCTTCCCCATGCCTCAGTTTCCTCATCTGTAACGTAGAAGCAATACTTGTACAAACCTCATAGAGAAGTTGTAAGGATAAGAGAAATTAATGTGTGATTAAAACAGAGACCGGCACGTCACACTATATAAGGGCTGATTGCCATTATTATTATTACTATAACTAATTGTGTGGTGGTTAGGTGCTGAGGCCTTAGAGCCAGAGGGTTGGTCTGGGCTCTAACACTGACCTGTTGAGTAGCCTTAAACAAGTAATTTAAATGATCTGTGGCTCTGTATCCTTATCTGCAAAGTAGGTGTAATCATTGTACCTACCTCACCAGATGAATCTGAAATTAAAGAAATTAATACGTATCTTAGAATAGTGCCACGTGCCTTGAAGCGTTCAATTAACGTTAGCCTTTGTTATTTCTAACTATATTTCTGGGCTGCAGATGACATTGTTTGAGCTCAGCATTTCACTCTCCACTTACCTAGTGACTTTCAAGCTTGGGACTGGTGTTGATAATTTAACTATTTTCAGTAGACAGTATATGTCTATACTGACAACTCATTAACTCCATCTACTTGTTTGTTCCAAATGCTATGCTTAAGTCACAGCTTTTAGCTCAATTAAGAGAATATGACATCAACGTGATAGGTTGCACATATTGTGGCAAGCAGGTCGGAGTTTGAATCCCCTTATTTACCAAGCTAATTTACTTAGTCTCAGTGTTTTCATCTGTAAAATGGGCCTGACAGCATCTAACTCACAGTTAGTTATGAGAATTCAAAAATACATTATTTGTAAAGTAGCTTAGGGTATTCTTAGAACGTGGTTTTAAACAAATGCTTCTTGCTAAACAAATGCTCTTTGCTCCCATTCACTGAAAGGCTGTCAACAATTCCTTTTGGAATGCTGCCACACTGGTTCCAGGGAGGAGGTTAAAACTGGAATTTAGTTAGAATTAAGTCACAGAGAGCAAATGCGTCTGAAACCACCCTTAACTTCTGACTCCTAATAATTATGTTGACTTGGCCAGTTGTGGAGCCTTACACCTGTAATCCCAGGGAGGCTGAGGCTGAACTCCCTTGAGCTCAGGAGTTCAAAAACAGCTCTGGCAACATGGAAAAACCCAGTCTCTACAAAAAAAATATAAAAATTAGCAGGACGTGGTGGTGCACACCTGTAGTCCCAGCTACTCAGGAGGCTGAGAAGGGAGGATCACTTGAGCCCTAGGAGGTCGAGGCTGCAGTCACTGCAGTCAGCCGTGATTGCACCACTGCACTCCAGCCTGGGTAAGAAAGTGAGACCCTGTCTCAAAAAAAAAAAAAAAAAAAATTATGCTGATTGCTCCAGGCCCAAAAGTGACGTGCCTTTTTCTCTGCTCTTGTAGCCCGCAGACATGGCCACGCGTTAGGACAGCTGAATGCACAGCGAATGCTATGCTGAAATATGATGTGCTACTGCCATCTAGTGTTCCAAAGAAATACTTCCTTTTCAATTTTGATTCTCAGAAGTTTTTCATTTATCTCTACTTCCACAGCATTTTCGAGCGATTCATTTCCTTGTGGTTCATTTTTTAACCATCTCAACAGATAGATGACTACGCAGAAGTTCAGAGAAGCCAAGTTTCACGAGTGGTTGTTGACAAAACCAATCATTTATTCACACATTTATCAAGCAATTATGTAACACCTGCATTATGACAGGTGCTGGGGGCATAAAGACGAATAAAATCAGGTCCCTTTCCTCAAGGAGCTCACGGCCCAATAGGGACATAAAAGAGATGACTCGGAACAGTGTGATTAGTCCACATGCTTCCAGGGTTTGGGAGCACTGAGGAAGAGCACGTAGTTACATTAGTTTGGAGGAGGTGACAGAGGGCATAGGCCAGGATTCAGGGACGATTTCTTGGGGGATGTGGTCTGAAGCTGATCTTAAAAGACCAGCAGGAAGTAAATAGGGAGGGGACTGGGAGGAAAGGTATTCCATAAATAGCATCAAGAGAAAAGCAAGAATAGCATCGTGTATCTGAGAAGCGAAAACAGTGGGAAGTGTAAGGCAAGCAGAAGTGACAGGTGCAGCTGGAGAGGCAAACAGACACCAGATCATGGGGAAGGGGTGGGTTTCATATGTCACTTTCAGGAAGCTCAGACTTAATCAAAGACGTGATGGAGAACCAGTGAGCGACGCATGGAGTGTCAGGGGCAGATTCACGTTTAGCTGTCCTTTTAGTGATCTTGTAGGAGGTGGGCTTCGGAGAGGGTGGGGGCTCAGTTAGGGGGCAGCTGCAGCAGTAAAACAATGAGCTAGGGGAGGAGCATTGGGATGGAGCAGAGAGCCTGGATGGCAGAAATATTTAGGAGGTAGAGTAGGCGGCTCATTTCTAAATTACTAAATATAGAGTGAGAGATAAAGAGTCAAGGATGGTCTTGGAGTTTTAATGTTGGTGATCAAGATGATGGAGGTGCTGCAGAGGCTACAGAAAGAAGATGCTGGTTTAGAAGAAGAAAGGGCAGTTTGAACTCTGCACTGGTTGAGGTTAAAGTGTTTGAGTGAGGACCCGGGTGGTGCCATCTGGCTGGAAGTTGGATATAAAACTTTGAAGCATAAAGGAAAGGTGTGAGCTAAAGGTATATATTTGCAAGCCATGAGTACACAGGCAGGGGTTGAAATCACAAAAGTTGATGATGTAACACAAAGAACATGTTTAGAAGGACAAGCAGAATGGTGAAAATGTTTAGAAGGAATTCTAGAGAATACAATACTGGCAGGTGGCGAGGGCAGAGAGAGACTAGCGTGTTAAGGAGAAAGGGAAGGGATGGAGAACCAGCAAGAAAGGAAAAAAAAAATCCCTGGCAGCGGCTAGTTGGCTTGGGAAACTGTAGCTAGGCTATAAGAATCCTATGCTGAACATAAATAGTTTCACACAATAGCAGCATTAGACAGGGTCACTCTGTAATTGTGATGGAGCAAGACAAAAAGTAGACCACTCCCTAATCAGATCTCAACATGGGAAAAACAAAACACCATGGACCCACAAAACAAGATACCCCTCTTCCAGGCATGAGAGATCTCAGAATAAAACATCCACCTCTTGAGCCCTCACCAAGATCACCTAACATCAGCCTCAATCTCACCCCTCCTGTGTGAGGAGACATCCTAACCAAGACATCCCCAGAGTTCCCCATGGTGTGCAACCTCCCTTGCTGCAGCAAGTTAATGAGTTTAATTTTATTTGACTATTGGTGTGTTCTGGGTGGTCTTTGATCAATGGGATTTAATATTTTTATAGGTTCCAAGAGAGCCGAATTTTGTGGAGGAAGACATCAGATTGTCTAGTACAACAAAGAGAAAAGTGATATCCATTGAGTTTTGCAAATCTGAACTAACCAGTGACCTTTGTGATAGCAGGTTCAGTAGAATATGGGGAATATAGGTCTCACTCTCGGACAGATCCTCTATCACCCAACAGGGTGGGTGTAGAAGCTGCCAGCCTGTAGGAGGAGACAGCATCCATTTCCCATGTATCCTATTGAGAGACAGCCTTCAGTGCTCAGTGTCTGGGGCCCTGGCACCCTTAGTGGTGTGTTCCTACTAGCTTAGACAGCTCATTATGCATATTTCTTCCTAACTCTGTTCAGTGGCATCAAGTTGGTATTAGGTTGGCACAAACTTAGTTGCGGGTTTTGTCATTAAAAAAAAAAAAAAAAAAGGGAAAAACCGCAATAACTTTTGCACCATCCTAATAGCTTGAAATCAGCCATAGGGGCAATATTTACACCATGAAAATTGGTAAATGTTATAAATCAATACTTTTTTCTTTTCTTCAGGAAGTTGATTGTTAAACTTTTTTTTTTTTTTTAAATAGAGTCTCACTCTGTCACCCAGGCTGGAGTGCAGTATCATAATCTTGGCTCACTGCAACCTCCGCCTCCTGGGTTCCAGCAATTCTTCTGCCTCAGCCTCCCAAGTAGCTGGGATTGCAAGCACCCGCCACCATGCCTGGTTAATTTTTGTATTTTTAGTAGAGACGGGTTTTCATCATATTGGCCAGGCCAGTCTCGAACTCCTGACCTCAGGTGATCCACCCGTCTCAGCCTCCCAAAGTGCTGGGATTACAGGTGTGAGCCACCACGCCCGGCCTGATGGTTAAAACTTTCTCCATCTCTCCACTGAAGTGAAGAGAGATTACTGAAGGCTGAGGAAGGAATAGGAGGTGACAGAGTGGAGATAATTAAAAGTTTGTATGAGCAGAGGAGAAGAGAGATCAAGCAGGGAGACACAGGGTCAGTGGGAACTAGAACTCAGGTTGCCTGATGTTCTGATCACGGCTTGTTCTGCATCGTGCACTGCTAGGAGGGAAACCGTGTCTTCTTAATGACAGACACCAAATGAAGTCAGTTACTCTGTGTGTGTATATGCAGGGGTGCATGTGTACACACATTTGTGCACATACACACCCGTGTGGAGGGGAGGTTGAAAGAGAGACAGTGGAGTGGCTACAAGTAGGGCCTAGTCCCTCTTATAGAACCACCTCTCACAGCAGTAGATGGAGAAATGAATCTCTTGGGACAATACTATGACCATTTATTTTGAAATCAGCTGTTTGAATCATTGACCCTTTAAATGATCAGCCTTTAAGTGTTTTCCTGCAGAGTGTCTTTAGCTGTTTTAGGAACACAACTAAACCAAAATGCCTGTAAGTTTTGTGTTCAAGCAGTCTTGTTAGGAAAGAATGCTACTGCTTTGTTTACTAGGACAGTTTGTACAGAATTAATGTTTACATTTACAGTTCTTTTTTCTTTTCTTTTTTTTTTTTTGAGACAGGGTCTCACTCTGTTGCACAGACTGGAGTATAGTGGTGAAATTCTCGGCTCACTGCTGCCTTAACCTCCGGGGGTCAAGCGGCCCTCCCACCTCAGCCTCCCAAGTAGTGTATAACACCCTGCCTGGCTAGTTTTTGTATTTTTTTATAGAGATGGGGTTTTGCCATGTTGCCCAGGCTGTTTTCAAACTTCTGGGCTCAAGCAATCTGCCTGCCTATGCCTCCCAAAGTACTGGGACTACAGGCACGAGCCATCACGTTCAGCCGACAGTTCCATTATTTATGGAAAGACTTAATATTTGAAAAATGATTTTAACCTGAAACTGGTATTAGCATGTTGAATTTCCTCAAGGCAGAATTTTAAGTCTTTTATCCAGGGGTCTTTATCTTGCTTTAGAGGAACCCCAGAATAAAGTAGAGCTGCCTTTAACACACACACAATTGTCCTGAAGCAAGGAACTGCAGCAGTTTGTAGGATCTAACTTACTCTAAAAGAAGGAAACTGTGTAACTTCAAAAGTCATATTAATTTGTATAAAATAACTGGCTCTGCCATAAAAAATGCAATGCTTTTATTTGGTATTCCAATAATATTTTTGCATTGAAAGTTATCACTGAATTGATATATGATGGAAAAAAAACATGATAATATATTGCGTTACAGAACACTGAATTGATTTGCCAGCAGTTTGCAATCTGGCTAAAGGTATTACCCTCCTTAGATTTGCATTTCTAAAAGTCTCCATAATTTAGAATGCTAAATTACAGGCTGGTTATGTTCACTGGTAAAGTCATTATCTGAAAAGAAAAATAGAACACCTTAAAAATACTTACAGCCATTCCCAAACCCATGCCTTCACCCAAGGTGGCCACTTAATCTGGAAAGTCGTCCTCCTCCTTTCTGTCTTGTGCAAAACTGAAGTCCCACCTCCTCAGAGAAGCCTTCTACTGCCTTCTGTGGCTCACCCTGGCTTCACAGGTGTTTACTTTATGTCCCCAAACAGGAGTGTTGTCCAACAGTGAGAGTTGTCTATGTGCAATGAAGTGTCAAATAATGAGCTATGAATCCTGGTCCTTTTTACAATACAATGGCATCAGTGACTTGTATGAGTATATATGGAAGACATGTCCACAAAACAAGCAGCAGCAATAAGGAGCAAATGTCCTAAAGGAACAAAGATTGATGGAGATGCTGGCAGGCCAGCATCATGGTCATTCTAGGGATGACATATGACAGCGATAAAAACAATTGTATCATAAGAAAAGCACTAATCTACAATATGAACTGCACAAGTAATCACATCTGTGAGGTTTTAGTTAAGCACAAGTTTACTATGACGGATATCTGTGTAGACCAACAAAAAAACATGCATACCTGGACTCTATTACTAGAGGTGTCATATCTGCTCTGAGGGAGACAAAAGCTCTCTCTCTTCACCACTGCTGAAATCACACCCTGAGTGCTAGGTTTAATTCTGGGCACCACATATTATGAGAGAAATTAAAATCTAGGAGTTGTTCAGAGAAGAGCCAAGACATTGACAAAGAAACTGAAAAAGTTAAAATAACATGAGATGTTCAGCCAGCCAAAGAGAAGAAATGCCAGAGATGAGTGATGGAGGAATGAAAGAAAGGTGATCTCCGCTTAATGTTAGAAGACTTATTATCTGTCAATGATTTCAAGGGGAAAAAATCATAGGATATTATGCTGAGATAGAATAAGGATGACAGTTTTAAAAATAAGACCCTCTAAAAGGAAGAGTGCTCAGAGACCCTCTGAGTTATTTTGAGACTAGACAGATTCTCATGTTCATTTGACAAGTGTTTCTTGGAATTTTATCATGTTCCAGGCACTGGGTACTGTGCACACAGTGGTGAGAGGTAACATGTGACACTTTTGTCAACATCTAATTTACATTGCAGTGGGAGTGGATACAAATTATTCAGAATAAATATATAATTAAAATTGTGAGAAAAGTTTTGAAGGAAAGACATACAGGGCTTTGAGGATGTGTAACGGGAACTTAATCTAGTTGGGGGCTTTCTGTGGAAGTGAAGTTTTGCTGAGGTCAAGGGGTCAGTAGGTGTTCATCAGGTCAGAGGAGCAGGACTGGGTGGGTGAGGTCGAAGAATCCTGGGTTGACGTTTACTGTGTATTCACAGTCACTGTTAATTTACATAAGATACTCTTGGTTTTCTGGATCATGGCTATTGGTTCTAACTCAGGCTATGCTATTATTAAGGACTCTCAATGGTCCACACCTATCACGTGATCTCATCAATGTTCAATGTGAAAAATAAGGCCCTGCATCTTTGCCAAATGGTTGACAGTGGGAGCATTTGCCACATCCAGAGGAAACTCAATCACTCCATATCTACTGGAGGGTACTTCATCCATGGACTCAACTGGACAGCCACAAGAGAACCATGTCAAAGGCCCAATGGTCCTACAGAGATGCCCAGAACGGTGGCAGGGAGATCATGTCACTGCAGCTTGGGAGATAACTAGGAGTAGTTTGGGTGTTTACAAGGACCAAAGAAGGGAAGAAAGGAGACATTTGGATACATCCATAAACTCTT
Source organism: Homo sapiens (assembly GCF_000001405.40). Lineage (NCBI taxonomy): Eukaryota > Metazoa > Chordata > Mammalia > Primates > Hominidae > Homo > Homo sapiens. Next base: position 138,110,112 of record NC_000006.12, on the reverse strand, counting down.
ACGAGTGCTTACTGTGATGAATAGCACTATCTCTGCTGTCAGGCTGCCTAGGTTGAAGCCTGGCTTTGCCACTCCGTGACTGCATGGTCTTGGGCAAGTTACTTAACTTCGTTGTGCCTCAGTCCCTTGTGTAAATGAAGGAGATGCTGGTACATGCCTCATAAGGTAGATGTGAAACACCCACTGGGACATAGTAAACTCCAGCAGATGTTTGTTAGCTGCTATTATTATTATTACTATTACTTTCTACCAATTTTTATTTTTAAAATTATTTATTTATATATTTTTGTTGGTAACAGTCATTGGTTTTATAACCATAACCCCAAATTAGAAAAATAAAACCTTTTTGTTTATGGTGATAGTTTCATGGGTATGTACTTATCTTCAAATTCGTCAAGTTGTATATATTAAATATCACTTTTTTGTATGTCAGTCAAGCCTCAATTAAAAAAAAACTTTCTGTAGGTGCAATTTACATTTTTGCCAAGTGCTCAGTGCTCAGGCGCAATCCCTACATTGTCCAGCAGGGGGAACTATCCAACTGCCTACTGTTCTCTATGAGCCATCATTTTATGAATATGGCTAGGATGAATGATTGCATTGTCTCAAATAACTTAGTCACTTACAGTTGGTATTCACCTATAGAATTTGCCCTTTAGAAACATGGACATTCCCCTCTTTCAATGTTCAAAAGTGGAAAACCTATATGAAAAATCATCATCATCATCATCAACCCTTACTATATGCAGGAACTATCTTGAGCACTTTAGATGAATTTGCTCTTTTAACAATCATTAAAACACTGAGGTTAGCACTGTCTGTCTTACAGATGAGGAAATGGAGGCACAAAAAACTGAACTAACCTGCCCAGTGTCACACAGCGAATATGAGAAAGCGTGTAAACCTGAACCATCCGGTTCCAGAGTCTGTACCACATGTTGGGTATATTATTGTTGGAAACCCACCAGGGTCAATGTGGTCTCTTCCAGAAATTGTGAAGAGCTAATCTCTTTGTGTTCACCTCGGCATTAATGAGCTCTTTTCCTCAAGCCCATCGGAAATGGTTTCATTGAATAACGAAAATAAATTATATATATCAAGTCCAAAATTATCCAGAGATATTAAGATGCCTGCAAAACTCTCATTTTGTCTGAAGCCACTTTGCTTCTGGTCAGTATTTGACTTATAAGAATTTTTTTTTCTCACAAATATATTATACATAGCTAATTAAACAAATATCTTCATTACTTTTGAAAACCCTGAGAACATAAATATCACCATTTTCTTCACACAGCTTCCACGATACAAAATTAACTTTTGGCAGAACACCCTCTTGTGTTCTTTGAAAGTGAAAATATTTTCCTGTAATAAAAATATATGACGTGGTTTATGTAAAACTTGAATTATGTAAAATGAAGGCTAGGGAAATTATTTCATGTATTTTCAGATACTTTCTCCATGCTTTTATTCGTCCTCAAGAATTGCCAGAAAATGGCATAAGTCAAAAGAGTATTCTGTTTCTATTGAGAATATCAAATTGGAATACAATTTAAAATATTTTTAAGTAGTTCCCACTTTTATATTAAATTAACAGAAAAAATAGGGGATTCAGAAGAAATCTTTGGAGGTACAGGGTTAAGACATGACCCCCATACGATGTTTCAGTGATTTTCCCAAGGCCACCGAGGTGCCTGACACTGAGAACTCCTTTGTCCTCAGCGGCACACCTGGCTGCCACCCCACCCTTCCTGTCACATCTTAGGAGTCAGAACTGCGACGGGAGCTAGCCCAGGACACCGAAGGGGGGATCCTAAATGCAGGTTGCATGCTGACGTATGATTTTTATTTGGAAAAACCTCAAAATAGTAAATGAAGAGTAGAGAGAGTGCAGTTTAAATAGGTAGAGATTCGTGATAGGAAGTGGACTGCAGCAGAGGCGACATGAAATTATCTGGGGAAGCCAGATGAAGCCTTTCCGAAAGGAAGCGAGCATTTGTTAAATTACATGTTCATTCATCAAATTCACTGAGCTCCCCTTGAGATCCAAACACGGTGCCGGACACTAAGGATACACAGATAAATTCAGCATCGCCTCCGCTTTCCAAAATCTGGCAACCCAGCAGGAAAGAACAGCATGCAAAGAGATAAGAGTACCCGGGGAGCCACGGTCCAAGGTGCAAAGGCGGAGCCTAGGAGGAAGGGATCACCTGTGTCAGCAGGGGTCAGGGACGGGCTTCTGGGTTTGGGTGCACGCGTCCAAAGGAGTGCAGCCTTTATCCACAGGTGCAATTAGAACACCCATCTCACACTGCTGAAAACTCAGATATGGCACTGCTGACCACCGCCCCACGATGCGACATCAGGGGTCAGATATTAGGCTGGCGCTGTGCAGATAAACAAGTGTATATGTTGGTGCGCCAGGAAGACAAAACACGCGCCTGGAGAGGCCAGGAGAGCGGGACTGGAGGGTTGTGGGACGCGCGGGACCCTCGGGCCGCCTTCCGCCGCCGCCCGGTGTCACCAGAACCCAGCCTGTTTACCAGCGGCCCCGCCCGCCCCGGCCCGGCAGGGCAGGTCGGGGCGGGCGCGCTCTGAGTCACCGGAATCTAGGTGGGGCCGCCCGGAGCGGCGTCCTCGGGAGCCGCCTCCCCGCGGCCTCTTCGCTTTTGTGGCGGCGCCCGCGCTCGCAGGCCACTCTCTGCTGTCGCCCGTCCCGCGCGCTCCTCCGACCCGCTCCGCTCCGCTCCGCTCGGCCCCGCGCCGCCCGTCAACATGATCCGCTGCGGCCTGGCCTGCGAGCGCTGCCGCTGGATCCTGCCCCTGCTCCTACTCAGCGCCATCGCCTTCGACATCATCGCGCTGGCCGGCCGCGGCTGGTTGCAGTCTAGCGACCACGGCCAGACGTCCTCGCTGTGGTGGAAATGCTCCCAAGAGGGCGGCGGCAGCGGGTCCTACGAGGAGGGCTGTCAGAGCCTCATGGAGTACGGTGAGTGCCCGCCGCCGCCGCCGTCGCCGCCTCCAGGAAGCCCTCGGGGCCGCGGCCTGCAAAAGCCGCCGCGCGTGATGGGCCCTCACAGGGTCGGGGGAGCCAGTGCTTTTCAGAATGCCTGTTTAGGACGAGCTCGGGCTCATGCATCCGACCTGAACCAAATGCAGCAGCAGTAGCTTTGGGTGGCCAACACCAAGCTCAGAAACAGAAAAAAAAAAAAGGCCGTAGTTCAAACTGTATAGTTTTTTTCCTGGGTTTTGTCGGTTACGTACGAAAGATTATTTCAAGCATTGCAAGTTTAGATGAGTAAATATAATGAACAAAGTTTCTTGGAGACCTGAAATTTCTTCCCATTTCTCTTCCTTCTCGTTTCTTCTTATGATTAAAATATAAATATTGAAATAACGTGCCTTCCCTAATATCAGTGGATTCGTTCAACTTGATATAGCTGAAAAAACTTTCTCATTTAAAAAAGCCCTTTCAGGCAGTTTTAGCAGTTAACGTTTTCAATAGATATTTCAGTCTACTTTACCGGTCAGGCTAGTTCTTGTTAGCTCTTGTTCTAGGGCGTGTCCTTTGGTTTAAGCATGGCATTGTTGTTTAGAAAACTTAATTATTTTAATCCGATTTGAAATCTAAAAAGCAAACACATTCCCTACACTCGCGACGTGAAGCAGAGTTGACAAATTTAATGTACCTAGCAGGTGAAGTACTGTATGCCATTTTCCCAGCATGGAGGAAGCTCCCTGCTTGCCTTGCTGAAAGTCAGGACTGGAGCATAGTTCTTGTCTGAGAAGGCATTTTCTTTCACAGTGGGAAGCCCCCTCTCCTTTCCTGGGGGTGGATGGGAATCACAGCTGGGGTCTACTGTGATTAGCAATGTGTGTGGGGGTGGAGATGGGGTCTGTGAGAGCCTAATAAAACCTTAAAGCCAAATGGGCTTTACCTACCGGGTTTAATAGTTTTAAACACAGACAGCAAGCTACCCTGCCTGTTTTCATTTCTTACTATTACCATTGACTTGATTTTTTTCTTTGAAGTGGCCCAGGGCTTCCAACCCAATCCTGTTTATTTGTGTTTCCGGGGGACTATATCAGCAACTTGGTGCCCTTTCTTTTGTGTAATCCTTTGGACGTCACTTCCCCACAAAAGGAAGCATGGTCCCCATTAGCCAGGTAATAAAATGTAAACACTGCAGAAAATTCCAGCTTTCTTTGCAGTTTGTGTGTTTTCTTCTCTGAAAACCCATACACTGTGCCAGCTCAGGTTTGTATCATCTCCAGTGTTTTAGGTTTTTAAAGCGAATTAATTGTTTTTTGAAATAATGTACCTCTATCTTCTAGTTAAAATGCATCTGAACTCAGTCTCTTCTAGGGGACCTAACAGATCTGCGTGTGTGTTTTTAAACATACTTTGATAATTATACCCTACTCCAAAGACTAATGCAGACCCAAAGTATATGCAGTAATCCTCCACATATAAAGTAAGACTAGCGTGCCTTTGACTGGTGGCGGGGATATTGGCAGAACTATGATCAGTGCTACTGACGGGACATGATTTGACCTGCAGGGCTCTGGCTGTGACCACAGCCCTCTTGTGAAACATGCACAATGCCATTTTTATTTTTCTTGACTTGCAGGATGAGCTCACCTTTTTAGGGTGTGGTGTTCCACCTTAGACTGATACAGTGCTTTGTATATGGAAGGCAATAAGCAGGTTTTTTTTCTTAGTTTGGTTGAATTTTTAATTAGAAGTCTAAATGTTAATTTTTTTCATTGTAAAGAAAACACTAACCAGTGTATAGTTTATAATTCAGTTTGACATAGAAATTGGTCCTTGGAAAAGCTCGATTTTCTAAGTGGATCTCGAAAAATCTGTTTATGATGCAGCATGACTGATTTTCGTAAATGGTAATAGCTTTAACAACTCAGTTTAGTTATTCCTGCTACCTTTGCAAAGTTAATTAAGTGCCAGTAATGCATTACACACGGCTCTTGCTCAAGATCTGGAATCAAATCATGAATCTGGGATCCGCTGTCATGAAGTGGCTGTGGGAAGAAGACAGCAGATATGGAGCTACCTCTGGCCGTTGTAGCCAAAGATGAGTTTAAGTGCTTATTATACGTCTGTCTCATCGCCTGCATGCACATTGTCTAGTTTTGCCTCACAATTGTAGAAGCTGTGTATAACGACACTGTAAGGCGATTATCTAGGCATCTATGAACTCTGGATTTTCAGATAGCCTTAGTAAGGCCTTACTGAAAACCATATATTTACATGAGCTTGTACTTTATCTAAAATGAAGTAAGCAGTTTACACACACTCCCACGTATGCACAAACACACAGTATCTTGTGCAACAAGGAATAAGGTTGATGGCTCTGATTAAAATGAGATCTCCGTATAGAGAATTGAGTGTGTACATCCACTTTGAAAAACTTCTTGATATGTACTAGGCAATAAATATTTTGATTTACCGTTGTAACTATTAAGAAAATCTTGTTATTACAAAGTGTTTCAACACCTCTCTTATTAGTTGATAATCATAACAATATGTTCATTTTGGTAGTAAAGACACAGGTTATTCCTGGCAAGTATTGACAATAATCCGAATGAATATGGATGTTTTTATAAAGATAAATAATTCCTTAGAACTATATAAAAAGCAGAATATTATATTTTTCACTGTTACTGACAGTTTAAGAATTTCAGATGACCAAATCACCTCATTTTTCCTTGTGAAGGAGCCAAATTATTCGCTGAATATTTTCTTTGACCAGCTAAATTAACACCCAGCTAAAAACATTCTTATTTGAATTTTTTAAAAATCATGGTTTATATTTGTCAAAACAGGAAAAGAAAATCTATAGATTAATGATTGAAATCATTCAAATTTCACCTATAAATAAAATGTGAAATTTAAATGCATGTTCACTCATACTAGTTTTGCACCGCTGGCACCATCTTTTCTAGTTTTTAAGAAAGAATACATCAGGAGGATATTTTCAGCCGCAGCTGTGTAGATTTCAAATCACAGGCAAGCTCCAGCTTGTTCAAGGGGAGAATAATGGTGATAAGTTTGTGCACCAGAGTGAAACAGGGAGTCAGTGAGGATTGACGAGCATTTGCCTTGAATCCAAACTGGGAAGTACAAAGCCTCCGGTTTTTTGTTGTTTTTTAACCAAAGACACCCTTTGCATACTGTAAATGCATCAATATTTTGTTTGTTTTTAACATGAAATCGCTGTTGGCCAAGTCAAAGAATCAGTATTACATGAAATAGTTTTAGGTCAGTTAGCCCTGTGGCTCTCCAATGTACAAGAAATAAGAAAAGTAAGTACAAGTTAATAGTTCACATTAGTCTAAATTCCTCTTAAAGCAGGGATCCCCAACCCTGAGGCCACAGACTGTTACTCCCACTGATTCTACATTATGGTGAGTTGTGTAATTATTTCATTATATATTATACAGTGTAATAATACTAGAAATAAAGTGTGTAATAAAGGTAATGCACTTGAATCATCCCAAAACCAAGGAAAATTTTCTTCCTTGAAACTGGTCCCTGGTGCCAAAAATGTTGGGGACCACTGATTGAAAGGACTTCATTTTGAGATTATGCCCTTGTGGTTTTTTCAGTGGGGAGTGGGGTAGGGAAAGGTATTAAACTGTTCCTGGCCGGGTGTGGTGGCTCACGCCTATAATCCTAGCACTTAGGGAGGCCGAGGCGGGCAGATCACTTGAGGTCAGGAGTTTGAAACCAGCCTGGCCAACATGGTAAAACCCCGTCTCTACTAAAAATACAAAAAAATTAGCCCGGCATGGTGACAGGCACCTGTAATCTCAGCTACTCAGGAGGCTGAGGTAGGAGAATTGCTTGAACCCGGGAGGCGGAGGTTGCAGTGAGCCAAGATTGGGCCACTACACTCCAGCCTGGGTGACAGAGCGAGACTCAGTCTCCAAAAAAATACAAAACTGTACCTAATTTATGAAATTAGGCATTAGCAGACAGATTACTCTTTTTTTTTTGAGACGGAGTCTCGGTCTGTCGCGCAGGCTGGAGTGCAGTGGCACAATCTCTGCTCACTGCAAGCTCCGCCTCCCGGGTTCACACCATTCTCCTGCCTGAGCCTCCCGAGTAGCTCGGACTACAGGCGCCCGCCACCACGCCCGGCTAATTTTTTGTATTTTTAGTAGAGACGGGGTTTCACCATGTTAACCAGGATGGTCTGGATCTCCTGACCTCGTGATCCGCCCACCTCGGCCTCCCAAAGTGCTGAGATTACAGGCGTGAGCCACCGCGCCTGGCCGCAGACAGATTACTCTTTGCACGAGCATGTATGCATTCAAGTTCTTACACAGCAAAAAATAAAAAGTTGGCCACTCTATTGATTTAATAATTTTTAAAAGTACGTATGATTTATAACATCTAGAACGTTTAAGACCCAGTAATCTAGTCCAGGCCATTCATTCCACATGTGCCTCACTCAGCAGTAGCCACCCCAGAGAGCCTCGGTTCCTTTCTCAGTGTCCCCTAACTCGTGTTTGTCCTGTAAAGGGACGCAGACTACTGGGATGTTATAATTAGAAGGGAATTAAAGTACACCAGATTCAAGCTTTCACCAAAGCCTGCACCCATCCATAGCACCCCTGACTAAGCTTCGTCCCTTATTCAACAACTTAGTTCTGTTGCCTGGATGATAGTTTGTTTCCAAGTCCTTCTCTTAAACTGACAGAGCTGTGTAATTCCTACTTTCCAGCTTTCTTTCATTGACACATGTTCAAATATTTGAGGGTAGACCCCAAATTCACTGCTAGTTGTCTTTAGATTGACTTTTCCTGTTTTCACCCTGTCCTGTATAGAATGGCTTCTCCCCTCGTTGATTAGATAAATCGTCTAAAAGAAGGTTATTAAGGGTTAAAGTAACAGAGAGCAATGGAGTAGTCAGTTTCATGAGACCATGCAGAGCATGTAAAGAATCTCACACCATCTGTGGAATGCTCTCCCGTGTATTCTCCCTGCCATCTCTCTGTTGAGCCATTTAACTGCCTTCCTGAACTTCTGCAGAATGGTGTCTTTTTATGTATTTTTTGGGGGGGACTGCTATGAGTTGTCCTCTAGATTTTTGCTGCTCTAAGTGTCGCAAACCAGGACAGCAGAATTATCTGGGTGGTTGTTGGACGTCCAGTGTCTCATGCTGGCCTAAGGATCGGAATCGGCATTTTAACTACTTCCCGGAGGAGGTAAGCACTTTTAAGTTTCAGAAGCACTGGCCAAATCACTGCAGATTACCTCCTCATTGACTATGCAAAACTATATTTTTGAATATATCATTCTCCTATGCTTACATTTAGTTGTAGGCAGGATCTTTTTAATTTTTTGAACTGTGGTTTTATCCAGTTTTCAGTTCTGCCTGTGTTTGGCTTAAAGAGCCTTATAGAAACAATATGAAGAATCTGACAAAATCTTGGATGATACAGAATCTTTGGTATTATTGACAGATGAATCCTGTATTCTGGAAAGGGACTGGACTCTGGTTGGGTGCCACATTAGTGTCATAAGGGCGTCGTTTAAAACTACCAAAGAATGCAGCAGATTCATGAAGAGGAGGACTACCTTTGGGGGGAAACTTAGTGATCGTCTCCAAAGTATCACCAACAATTTAAAAAATATTAATGATGTTCTTCTTGTCTTAAAATAAAAGTTTATTTTATTTTCTCAAGCTTCAGTTTATCATTTCTAGCTTGACTTTTTTTTGAGACAGAGTCTCCCTCTGTTGCTCAGGCTAGAGTGCAGTGGCGCAATCTTGGCTCACTGCAACCTCTGCCTCCCAGGTGCAAGCGATTCTCATGCCTCAGCCTCCTGAATAGCTGGGACTACAGGCGTGTGCCACCACACGCAGTTAATTTTTGTATTTTTAGTAGAGATGGGGATTTCACCATGTTGGCCAGGCTGGTCTCGAACTCCCGACCTCACGTGACCTTTCTCGGCCTCCTAAAGTGCTGGGCTTACAGGCTTGAGCCACCGCGGCTGGCCTATTTCTAGCTTGACATTTAAAGTATTTATTTATTTTTACTTTTTTGCTCTTATTAGTTGATCTTACTAGCCTTGTAACATTTTGCGTTTTTGTATGTAATTTCTGGAAAAAAATACAGCATGCTTTGTCATACAGAAACCTTAAAAACACGTCCTAGGAAAAACTCAGTTTTGTTGGTGATCGTTAAATGGTTTCCGTGTTCTTGATTTAATGTTGAATCTTTGCGAGGGCTAGGAAACTTTGAGAAGCTGTTGTTCATCTAATGAATATCACTTAAATTGGATTTATAATGCTGCTGGTTTCTTTGATTACATGAGCTTTTCTAAATGGTACTTAGAAAATAAAGTTAGGACACCAAATTGGTCTTCCCTTAAGAAAATAAAACAAACAAACAAAAACTTTCCTACACAGAAACGCAGCATCTATTTACCTGGAGTACTGAATGCTTTTGTGGTCTCAATCCAGAGAATGAGAGTTGACAATAAGAATCCTTTCTACTCTCTCCCATACACTTACACACACACACACACACACACACACACACACAAATCTGGTATATAAAATAGTAATGAAAGACAAACTTGTGTTCGTATTAGATAAAGATGGACAGTCTGCCTTTGAAAAACTGAGGACCATCTATTGAATCATGAAAGATGTAGCTTTAGGACAAGTTCTAAAAATTGATGTTTTCCAGTGGGGTCGGGAAATAGGGTAGAATTTAGACCATGATATAATATAAAAATATAAACAGCTCCTAAAGGGTTTGGTCAATTTGTAGAAAGTAGGCTCATTCTAGGTAACTAAGTGAGACCACAGCTACCTAGGGCATAAAGTTATTAACTTTTCAAAATGTAGGTCATCGAGAATACCCATGTCCTAAGTCTCTACATCTGAAAGGCTCCTTCTCAGACAGAACGGTGGGCTGGGAGGACCCTGCTCAGACCTGGTATGGTCTAAATGGTCACTGACATGAGAAGGCAGATTGCTTTACTTGAAGACGTCTGTTATTCATCAGTCAGGATCTTTAGAACTGTGCCAAGTTTTCTGTCTTAAATGATAGTTAAGTGATTCAATGTGGGTGTTTCTGTGATGCAAGGAGCAGGTTTTACACGTTCTATTTCCAAGGCAGTCTTTCTCAAGACAAAATGTGGTTTAATTTTCCATTTTGATTTTCTTTAGACTCAGCACTTTAAATAAGCAAGACATGAACTGAGTCGTGTTAAGATAGCATGGGAAAAGTTCTTAAAATATTCCTATATTTATGTTCACGTCTTGGCTTTAGGTTAGGTGAATTGGCTTACCATTTCTTTGGTTTAATTCCTTCCAAGCACTTGAAACTAAGCATAAATTATACTTCAGCTATAATGTTAGAGGAAGTATAATAGTAATAATCTTTTTATGTTAATTTTCCTCAAATAGGTAAAATTGTTAATATTACTCTTTACAGAAATATCATACATAATTTATTTGGCTAGATTTTTCAAACCTTTATCTGTGATTGTAAAAGTTTAGTTATTGAAATAGATTCCTTGTTAGGAGGTTTTGCCTGTTTTTATGGAAAACTCACATTCTCCTATGCAATGATTTTTATTATGTTTGCGTTCTTTTACATGCATATATAGATATGTTTCCTTTCATTGCAGTTTCAAACTTCTGAACTCATAAAATTAAAAAAAAGTTTTTGCTTATTTGATTTAACTATTGGACTTAATTGAACTTAACAATTACCAGTGGCCATTTAAAAAAAACTAAAGAAATGAGACTGTAATTGACAATGGGTCACATACTTAAAGTTATATGATCCTTTTTGGTAGTGCTGCATCTGTTTTAATAAGGACTTTAATCATCTAAGTTGTTCTCAAACTTTATGGATATAAGAAACACTAATAACATGCAGATTCTTGGGTGCTACCACTCAAGCTCTGATTCCATAGGTCTGGAGGGAGGCACAGGAATCAGTATCATTTTAAGGAGCACTACTGCTTATTTTGCCTTTGTGGTCTATGGGCTGTACTTTGAGAGGTCTGATTAATTAATGTTCTTTCCAAAGCATGGTCCCTCTTCTCTTAAAAGTTATCTTACTTGAAGAACAAGGCAAAAGTGAGAAAAAGAGACTTACTAAGTTTTAACATTTTGGCTTTATTCCTTTCTATTTTAAAATAAAACATTCCCATTTTAACCTTATCTCTCAAGTCTCTCAGTGGTCTGACAGGAAGAGCTAGAAGATTTGGAGGAAAGTAATAAAAATTGTCCGTATAAAACTAGGCCAAATCAGGTACAGTCTCAGCCCCATCCTGACCTAATTTGTGTGAAAACAGTGTTTCTAGGACAGAAAAATGTTTTATCTCCTTAATAATCTATTGTGCCCCAGTCACTCATGAATCTAGAGGAAGACCTGGAAGGTGCATGGGAGTTGGAGAAGGGCATGTGGAGCCTTAGCTCAGGTTTGTCTCTAACAGATGAAAAGAGAAAAATGCATCAGATGATTGAGAAACAATCTTTAAGGGATGGTGCAGAACCTTGCGAATGTAGAAGAAAATAAAAACATGAGGTACTAGAGAAAAGTCACAGGGACACAGGAGGAACATTTTGAGTAGTGAGGGCTGGGGAGTTAGTCACTGATACTACAGGAGTGTGCTTCCATCATCTTGGAATAGGTGTTTTTAGCCTTGGCTAACAGATGCAAAGACTGGAGTATGGCCAACAGGGGCAGAGGCAGGGTCCAAACGAGGTCCAGCAGCTCCAACACCCTTGCTCTTTCTGCCAGCCCCATCTTTGTTTCACCTTGACCAGTCAAACAACCTAGAATTAAGTGAGGACAAATACTGTCAGCTGTGCTGCGTCACAGAGTAAGAGTAACGCCAAGATGGAGGACAGGTGACTCATGACTCTCCTTTTCAAATGTAGTGAAGACTAATAGGTTAAGTGTGCACGATCTTCCAAGAGCAAATGAACGGATAGACTAAAGTCTATCCATACCATAGAATATTAATCAGCCACAAAAAGAATGAAGTATTGATTGATGCTATAACATGACAAACCGCATCATACCATACTCAGTGAAAGAAGCCAGTCACAAAAGGCCACATAGTGTATGATATTCCATTTATATGAAAAGTCCAAAATCGGCAAAGGTATAGAGACAGAAAGTAGATTTGTGGTTGCCAGAAGCTGGAGGAAGAGGGGATGGAGGGTGACTGCTAATGGGCACGGGGTTTCTTTGCGGGGCGATAAAAATATTCTGGATTGTTAGTGGAGATGGTTGTACAACACTGTGAATATAGTAAAAACCACTGAATTATACACTTTAAAAGGGCGAACTTTATAGTGTGTAAATTATATCTTTAAAAAAGTCATGTTTTGGATTCAAACAGGCTGAAATCAAACTCTGTCTAAACCATTTACCAGCTGTGTGGCTATGGGCAGGTTATTTGAACTCTAAGTATATCCTTCATTTCTAAAATAGAAACAATAGCAGTGTGTACCTTAAGAAGTTATTAGGAGATTTACACTACTCAGGTAATGGGTGCACTAAAGTCTTCACCATCATACAATTCAGCCATGTAACCAAAAACCACTTGTACCCCAAAAACTACTGAAATTAAAAAATATATATAAAAATAAAAAATAACCTGGGAAAAAAAAGTTGTTGTGAGGATTCAGTGAGCTCATGCATGTCCTGAATGTTATTAGGTGTTACCACTAGAGGAAAGGTTGTGTGTGAAGGGGTTTTAGCAATGAGGGCAGGTTGAACAATAGGTGTTGTTGACTGGAATCATTCGTGTGGATAGCATGGATCTCTGTATTTCCTCAGTGTAGAATAGAATGACCCAGGGCTGGAGGTACCCATGTAGGTCTTCAAACCTAGAAGTTGATTGCCATCAAATCCTGATTCTTTTTTAGGGCAAAGGTAAATAATTAAAATCTCTTGTGCAATACATTTTGAATACTTAAGAAATTAAAATTTAGGCAGAAATTTAGGAAAGTGGTTTGCTCCCAAGCTTGTTATAAGATCTTGTTATAAGCTAGTTATAAGCTTGTTATAAGATCAGAGCTACTTCTCCACACTTAAATTGTTTTATTTAACACCTCTGCCTAGTCATAAATATATTTTTTCAATGATTATTTTTGCATAGAACCAAACATTAATATGAAACAAAGATCCCTTAAAGGTATTTAAAAACATTTCCTAGAGTTTATAATCTGGATTGCTCAGTACCAAAAATGTTGTTTATTATGATCACGTTGTGTCAGAACTTGGGTGAACCTTATAAATATACCCGTTATGTGGCAAACTTATCACACGAGAAACAGATTAATGAAGTTTGACTTTCATTTCAGAGATGTAAACTTTTGCCAAAAACTGAGGGGGAAAAGGCATTTCTGAGTCTCAGTATATTAATGTCCTACATATGAATTGCCTGTTCTTCCCTTAAAATATGGAGATGCTCAAGTATTGTCAAAAGAAAAACTGTCCCTCCATCCAAATGTAACTAGTAGGGAAAAAAAGCCCAAAACCATGTTGATACTGTGATAAGTAATTTTTAAACTTGGTATGTCTGTCTTGTTAATTGCTGTTTCTTTTTTTCTTGCAGCGTGGGGTAGAGCAGCGGCTGCCATGCTCTTCTGTGGCTTCATCATCCTGGTGATCTGTTTCATCCTCTCCTTCTTCGCCCTCTGTGGACCCCAGATGCTTGTCTTCCTGAGAGTGATTGGAGGTCTCCTTGCCTTGGCTGGTAAGACTGTGTGTCAGCAATTCTTCATTTATGCCTTCAGTGGGCATCGACTTAGTAATGGTCAATTCCACAAAGAAGACCCGTGACTGTTACAGTTTCTAATCTGTTCTCGGAAAATGTATCACCAGGGCAGAAGTAACAGAGGAGAGATGTGTTTTAAGATCTGGTTCCCTTTCCTCTTGTGGCTCACGCAGTGTTCTGTAGTCCCCATCCGAGTGACAGGGATTGTCACTCTACATGCCCCTATCTCTCTTAGGGGGCCCTATCCACTGACTCCTCTACCCGAGAAACTAGGCTATGTCAGCCCTGGAAAAGCAGTGCTCTCCGTTGTGGTCCCCAGCCCTGGCCTGCTGTGAGCCCCCTGCTGAGGGGACCTGAATGCCCCTGAACTATTTCCCTTGTTGAAAGAGGCTTGTGATCTTATGATGTGGGTCCTGAAATGGTGTTCTGCCGTGGGATGGAAGACCCTGGGAGGGGCCAGAACTGGAATCTGCAGCATGGTGCCTGTGTGGGGGGAATAGTGGTCCAGACACAGGTGATGTGAAGAAATTTAGTTATTCAGGTGTGCAGGGCCCAGTGTGAATATTTATTGATGGAATACAAGAACTAGGATTTTAGGAGAAGAATTATTGGAAATTTTAGTCAGGTCTGTGGCACTAAGGAAATCTGTCAAAGGGGCAGGACCCTAGCCACGGAGTTAGATTCAGAAGTAAAACTGGACTTTCTGAGCAGGGAAAAAAGAGAAGGTGCTGACAGCGGCAAAGCGAGGCCTCAGGTCATTTCTTACCAGTTTAGGCTTATGGGACCAAAGCAGAAATTCAAGCTACAGACCCGAGGTACAAATACAAAGTGAGCAGATGGTCTTGGAAACAGGTCAGAAGCCTTATGACTCTAAGGGGTCTATATGATCATGCATGAGCCAGGAGGAAGGCCACTTTGCGCCGGTTCCCTGAGCTTAGAAGAGTTAAGTTCGCAGAGCTGTGGGCAACACAGGCGAGGCAGGAGGAGTGCCTCAAAGAACCAGCTGGTACATGCACAGTCCTGGCCTTCTTCACGGCACATTTGACAGTTTCTGTTGATTAAAAATAAAGTTTCTGATCCTCATATTTTCAAAGTTTGCTTTTTGAATAATATTTTAAAATCAGAAGTGACTTGGAATCACAAAAGATATAAAGAACCTGGTTGATGCCCACTTTCATTTCTACTTGATTATTTTTGTAGTTCACATTTATGAGACTCTAGCAAAGAAACACATTTGATGTGTCTTCCTTTCATGTGTCGTAGAAAACTCCATAGATGCCAGTTTAAATCACCATTAGAAATAACACACTAAGGCCAGGTGTGGTGGCTCATGCCTATAATCCTAGCACTTTGGGAAGCTGAGGCAGGCAGATCACTTGAGGTCAGGAGTTCGAGACCAGCCTGGCCAACATGGTGAAACCCCATCTCTACTAAAAATACAAAAATTAGCTGGGCTTGATGGTGCACACCTATAATCCCAGCTACATGGGAGGCTGAGGCAGGAGAATCACTTGAACCTGGGAGGTGGAGGTTGCAGTGAGCCAAGATGCATTGCTGTACTCCAGCCTGGGTGACAGAGCAAGACTCCATCTCAATAAATAAATAAATAATAAATAACACACTGAGACATTAATGTTAGTTGAAAAATCCTAGTAAATACTATATGACCCAGCATTCCACTCCTAAGTGTATATCCAAAAGAATTAAAAACAAGAACTTGAAGATACTTGTAACCCATGTTCATAGCAACACTATTCACAACAGCCAAAAGGTGGAAACAACCAAAGTGTCCATCAACAGATGCATGGACAAACAAAATGCGTATATACATACAGTGGAATATTATTCAGCCATAAAAAGGAATGAAATTTTGATATATGCTACAACATGATGGACCTTGAAAACATTATGCTAAGTGAAATAAGCCAGGCACAGAAGGACAAATATATTATTCCATTTACATGAGCTACCTGGAATAGGCAAATTTACAGAGACAGGGAGTAGAATAAAAGTTACCAGGGGCTGGGGGGAGGGAAGAATGGGGAGTTATTTTTTAAGAGATACTGAGTTTATGTACAGATGAAAAAGTTTTGGGTATAGATAGTGGTAATGGTTATACAACATTGTGAATTCATTTAATACCACTGAATTGTACACTTAGAGTGAACAATTGAAAGTGAAAATGATAAATGTTATATATATTTTACCAGAATAAAAAATATCCTAGTAAAACTCTTTTATCCATTGCTTTCTTGTAGCATTAAAACAAAAAGATCTAGCAATGGCCATCCACAGTGACGGGGTAGCAGAGTTATTGTTGTAAAGAAAATTAGTTCAGTGAGCTTCAACAGATTTACAGCTTAACAGTCGGCTTAACCTAGTGTTTTCATTTTGTAATTTAATACTCATCCTTTCCTTTAAAGAGTATGAAAAATAGAACAGAAAATGTATTTAGAAGAATAAAAAGCCTAGAAATCTCAACACACTTTTAGTAGTAATGCTGAATAAGGCCTATTTGACTTTTAAGGTATGTTTCATAGAAACTGTTATTTTAAATTTTATATATATTCTTACATTAAACATCAGAAAAATTGAACACTGATACAATTTAAATTTGGCAGAAATTAATCCAAACTGTTATAAGGACTTCATATATGATGAGCCAGAATCGATAAATAGCAATATTTAATATTTATTACTAAGAAAATTAGAAGTCAACATAGAAAAGCATTGCTTTTGTATCTTACACAGTATGTGGTAGCAAATGACAAACTTAAATAGTAAGAGATTGCTATTTAAAGTATACCAGAAGTAGATAAATGTTTAAGATTTGCCCTAAGATTGTCCTTTGTAAATTGCAAGAGAAGAGGAATGTTTAGTTAAGAATTAGAAGCAACAAATGAAGACACAGAAACATCTATAGCCTTTCTAGCAGTGAAAAAAAAAAATGAAGAAGAAAAAGAAAACTACTTCAAGGTACATCTGTGGAGCTGTAGACAAGAATTAAGATGGTAGAAAAAATGGTGGTGAGGACTACAGATTCCCTGATACCTTCCTGGAGGGCACAGCTACTTGGTCCCTCCTTGTGGAGAGTAGTGTCTTATGGTGAAAGAGCTAAAATCAGACCCTTTGACATGGCAATGTACATATAAAGTTAAAATGATGCAGAACACACATGTATATACTCATTGTAGCTTTATAAAATCATGCATGTCCATTGAAAAAGACCACGAAAGTAGACTCAATAATGTTCATTTTGTTTGAAATTGCTTAAATACTATTACAAAGATTAATAATTGTAATAATGTGACTATTATGCCAGAGAGTTTAGAAATCTTCATGTGTTTCTTTCCACATCTTAACTCACACCTCCCTAAGCACTGTGATCATTTGCTGCTTTTGTTTTTTCTGTCCCCACCACACTTCCCCATGCCCTTCCCCCTGCCCTCCCTCCACGTCTGTTTCCTCTTCAGATTTCCGCGTCCTCTGCAGGCTTCTCTGCGGATTCTCCCCTTGATCATTCTCAATATTAGTTCATTGTTTCATTTAGTCATTTACTTATTGAATGAATATTCCAGTGATGTGTTATTGAATATCAATATTGAGTCATGTGTGCATGCCTGTGTGTATATATACATATATATATGTAATTTTTGCTAACACTGAACATATTGAATATGTGTTTGGTATAGGAAACACAAAGATGAAAAAAATAGGTTGTTCTTTACTGTCCTGCTTTCTATTGTATGCCACAGTTTTGCACTTTTTTGCTTTAGTATATATAATGCTTATGTAATATAGAATGGATCTCCAATGATTTTTTTGTGTGTTTTTCACATATTTGGCATATGTGTGTGATGCTGCTCAGTGCCAGGCATCTCTTACACACAGTAGTCAAGAATCTTTTTTGGCCTCTGCCTAACCAGATTCCTCCTGCCTCCAGGTAGATTTTATACTTATTTCAAGGCAGAAACTTGGTGGAAGGAGGTAATCTGTCGCTAATGTGTATTTATTCCTTCATGCATGTATGCATTCATACCCTGGGATTTTTTTCTTCCCTTTAGCTGTGTTCCAGATCATCTCCCTGGTAATTTACCCCGTGAAGTACACCCAGACCTTCACCCTTCATGCCAACCCTGCTGTCACTTACATCTATAACTGGGCCTACGGCTTTGGGTGGGCAGCCACGATTATCCTGATTGGCTGTGCCTTCTTCTTCTGCTGCCTCCCCAACTACGAAGATGACCTTCTGGGCAATGCCAAGCCCAGGTACTTCTACACATCTGCCTAACTTGGGAATGAATGTGGGAGAAAATCGCTGCTGCTGAGATGGACTCCAGAAGAAGAAACTGTTTCTCCAGGCGACTTTGAACCCATTTTTTGGCAGTGTTCATATTATTAAACTAGTCAAAAATGCTAAAATAATTTGGGAGAAAATATTTTTTAAGTAGTGTTATAGTTTCATGTTTATCTTTTATTATGTTTTGTGAAGTTGTGTCTTTTCACTAATTACCTATACTATGCCAATATTTCCTTATATCTATCCATAACATTTATACTACATTTGTAAGAGAATATGCACGTGAAACTTAACACTTTATAAGGTAAAAATGAGGTTTCCAAGATTTAATAATCTGATCAAGTTCTTGTTATTTCCAAATAGAATGGACTCGGTCTGTTAAGGGCTAAGGAGAAGAGGAAGATAAGGTTAAAAGTTGTTAATGACCAAACATTCTAAAAGAAATGCAAAAAAAAAGTTTATTTTCAAGCCTTCGAACTATTTAAGGAAAGCAAAATCATTTCCTAAATGCATATCATTTGTGAGAATTTCTCATTAATATCCTGAATCATTCATTTTAGCTAAGGCTTCATGTTGACTCGATATGTCATCTAGGAAAGTACTATTTCATGGTCCAAACCTGTTGCCATAGTTGGTAAGGCTTTCCTTTAAGTGTGAAATATTTAGATGAAATTTTCTCTTTTAAAGTTCTTTATAGGGTTAGGGTGTGGGAAAATGCTATATTAATAAATCTGTAGTGTTTTGTGTTTATATGTTCAGAACCAGAGTAGACTGGATTGAAAGATGGACTGGGTCTAATTTATCATGACTGATAGATCTGGTTAAGTTGTGTAGTAAAGCATTAGGAGGGTCATTCTTGTCACAAAAGTGCCACTAAAACAGCCTCAGGAGAATAAATGACTTGCTTTTCTAAATCTCAGGTTTATCTGGGCTCTATCATATAGACAGGCTTCTGATAGTTTGCAACTGTAAGCAGAAACCTACATATAGTTAAAATCCTGGTCTTTCTTGGTAAACAGATTTTAAATGTCTGATATAAAACATGCCACAGGAGAATTCGGGGATTTGAGTTTCTCTGAATAGCATATATATGATGCATCGGATAGGTCATTATGATTTTTTACCATTTCGACTTACATAATGAAAACCAATTCATTTTAAATATCAGATTATTATTTTGTAAGTTGTGGAAAAAGCTAATTGTAGTTTTCATTATGAAGTTTTCCCAATAAACCAGGTATTCTAAACTTGTTTCCAGTTTGTAGTTTTTCCATTTTTCAAATCTGGGGAAAGGAATTAAAAAAAAAATGGGTAATAAGAACATGGGATATAATGAAAAGTGGTTTTTGTTTGTTTTTTTGTTTGAAGTTTTAAGGGCCTTGCTCATTTTAGGTGTCCAAAACCAATTTTTGAGTGGAGATTAATGAATTCTAATAGTCTATTCCCTGAACTTTTCCTCAATGAACAATACCCTAGACACACATTAAACAATTTCTCTGCAGTGCTATCAACCAGAGGAAAATGGACTAAGAGATTTCTGGCAGGTTCAGACACCCGGGGGACATGTGTGCAGTGTAGCTGAAGCCTCCTCCTTGTGCTGGGGTCCCCTTCCATTCAGGTGGTGGGGTAGCAGTCTCTCTATTTTCCCCTTGCCCTCCTTCCCATTTTATCATTTGTTATTTTTTTTCCCACCATAAGTCATATGTTACTTCCACTATGGTGTATGTCATTGTGAGGATGGGTGCAGAGAGGCTGGGTGGGAGAACGGAAATATATCTCCCTAGGGCTACTGTTGGCCAGCTAGTCCTTGGCAGTGAATTTTTCTATGCTTTTCAAAATGCGAGGTGAATGTTTCTCATAGAGAAATGTAATCTGGGTGATTATACCAAAATTGAAAAGAAAAACCCACACAACTATGCCGTGGCTGGTGGAGAATTTGAAGTGGTCATTAAAAATGTTAAAAATCCCATCTTTTAAAGTGATACCACAGCTCATTCAAGAAGATACTGGATATCTAGAGATTAAGAAACGTGGTCTCCTGTTAAACATGAAAATGACTCCGTTTATAAGCTTCTCTACCACATGCACTTGTCTTTGCATGATTTCCCATCCAGCCTTCTTCCCCTCCTCAATCACACAATACCTTAACGGCGCACATTTAGGAAAAATGCAACCTCCTGGGACCAACGAGCCTGATATAATAGAACCATGTCAACCTAAAGTATTTATGACAAAGATAAACTCTTATTTTGCAGAAATGGTCTGCTTCCTTCAGCCTTGTTCTAGTATAGAGATCTGCCATTCCTTGTTGATCCAGATTCACCAAGACAGATACCTTTATGTCATAACAGAAGGGAAGTTCCAGAGGATTCTGGAGAGTAATGAAGAATTGGGCTGAGAAACCACCTGAAGGCTAACAGTGCATTGCATGAGATTTCCCACAGTAAAGCTGAGGTGCTTTTTGGTTCAGTAATTAAATATTGAGTTCCCACCCTTTAAATAAGCAGTTCTAGGTTCCTAAGCAATTATTTCACTCTGTAAGTAGCCAGACATGCTAAGTGGCACTTACTGCTGATTGTAACAAAGAAGTAATATATCAAGGTCTTTCCATGTTCACACAAGGTAGCTTGTGTGTAATAACTTAGCTTCAAAACCATAGACTGCAGAACTCACAAGTTCAACAGCCTTTCCTTTTTTAAGGAAATGAAAACAATGGAAAATATAGTCATCATAACTTAATTCGGTTTATTTTTTTTTTCTGTAAACTCCCCCTGAAAGACATTCCTATTAATACAGTAAATGTGAACACTGACTTGTTTTTATAAGCACATCTGAAAGGGCATATTTGAGTCTCATCCCAACTTTGGTCCTTGCTATCTGTGCAGGCTTGGGCAGGTCATCTCCCTGCTGGTCTCAATATCCTCACCTGTAAAATGATTGTAAATGATCCCCCTACCTTCAAGATTCTCTGATTGATAGAATTTTTTCTTTAATTAAAAAATTTTAAATATTCCTTGAGTTGGAAGCACTGATCAATAAGTGGATTGCTTAGGGAGGTTGGAACGAATAGATTCAGTCCCAACTTCCTCTTTTAAATTCCCTCTTCCTCACTCTTCCTGCAACACTTATTTTTACAGTTGAGTTTTAAAAATAAGTAATATATAAAATAATTTCTGTAGTGTGGTTTCAGATTTAAAAATTCCTGCAGACAGGCTGGGCTTGCAACCCCATCAGTCGATGGTCAGAGCCCTTTGCTTTTTGAGACCATTTTTAGGTGAGCTTGGCTTGCCTGGATACAGTGTGCAGTGCATTCTTCCTGAATTTTGCAATTCTGGTATCTGGGTGTATTTTCTAGGTGTGTCAGGGTGAGTGTAATCCACCTAGGGTGTGGAAAAAGCCAAGAAAGGGAAATTAAAAGAGGTTCCTATCCAGTCATGTTAATGATCTTCCACTTGTACTATCCTGTGCTTCGTTGTTAACCTCGAAAACATACTTTGTTGGCTGCAAAAATAAACAAAGGGAAACTCAGAAGTGTGTGAGCATGCGTGTGTGTATTTAGAGATAGTTCTCTGGTGAAGAAATGGAATCCTGCTGATTTAAATGGCACAAGATTGTCTTCGTGATAATGAGTCATCATATAATCATAATAGATGGTTGTGTAATGGGGTGACCCAGCCAGTTTTTCCAGTGCAAAGACTCAAGGTAATTAACCTGCTATTATCAACTGCTTTTGATTAAGTTACTTTCAAGAGGAAATACTTAGATTTGAAACATAAACTCTGAATTTCATCAATAAAAGTAAATTGCCAAGTGAGACTTTGAAAGCAAGTTCCATGTGGATACCCTCTGTTTCCCTATTCTATCCTTTCTATCGAGTTGAAATGCTTCAGTGAAAATTTGCATTTCCAAATGCCACCCCACCCAATTTCCAAAGTCAAGCAACACCTCAATGCTTAATCCTTTCCCAATGAAAAAACAACAATAACAACACTAAAGAAAAACTGATTTCAGCGCAGATGTAGAAGACTGTGAGAAATGGACACAAAGGACACTGGCATCTGCATGATCGATTTCATGTTGATAGAATTGTCATTGGAATAATATCCTCTTCTGAAGATGTGTAGGTGATAAGAAGTGGGACACATCATGACTGGAGACATCAACATGATTACATGAATTCCTGGCAGATCCCAAACAAAGACAACCGCCTTTGTCTCAGAACAGTATATGAGTCATGCAGGACACCTAGGGGCTCTCACTCTGGAGTGATTTAGGGAGCTACTGTAATTTAGGGAGAGGTGACCCTTCCTCTGGGCTGACACAGCCTCCTCCCACCAAGAGCACCCTGGGCTGGGTGCCCTTGTGCAACAGGGCACAGCTGCACCATCCTCCCAGGAGAACTGGCTATGAGATTAGGGCATCCAGACACCACGGTGGAACAGTCTCTAATCCAAAGACAAACCCCAGGAGGGATGAAAATTACTGCCAGGGGTGTTTAAAGAAGTCAGTCAAGCCTTGTTCCTCTTCCCCCCACTCCATATATCCCCACATTTACCTCTCCAAAATTGTCTTTTATTGGGCTCAGAAACACAGAGGCATCTTTTTCCATCAATGTCAGGGATTTAAGTACAAGGGTGAATAGACCTTTCCCTGCATTCTCCAATTTATGACTTTGAAGGGTAAATTCAACATTCAGAAACATCACAAATTCTAAGCTAAGTCAAATGATGTTTGTCTTTTTCTGCTGCAAATACACAGTGCCTTAAATGAAACTACGATACATTTTTTTTAAAAAAAGTACTATGTTGAAGTTTCTCAGTTCAGAATGCAACCTTCATGCTTCCTGATTGCAAAGACTAACAATAAGCTTCTAGTTGCAACTGGCTAATTATTAGCCTAATTGCCCTAGAGGGGCTCGCTGGGAATCTCTGAGTGAGTTGTCTCTTTCACTCTTGGGTAGAGTGGTGCTATCCTTGGACTATAGCAAAGCTGAGCTGTTAAAGGAAAGCCATGTCAAGAAGAGAACCTGCTTCTACGCCATTGTCTGAGTCATCCCAGTTTCAGCTTGTTTGGTACTAAGGAGCTTATGTATCAAACATGCCTGGTTGTTCATGTTCTTCCACTCAACAGTTTTTTTGTTCTAAGAAGACATTAGAAGAATTTTCAGAATATGTAGCTCTGTAATCCAAGGGATGCATTTGGAAAAAAAGACAGCTCTACATGTTCTCACCAAGGGAGCGTGTTTGCATAGCCTGTCCGTTAGCAGGTGATCAATGAAAAAGGCACTACTTAGGCCCTAGTGTTTACTTTGGTAACAGAGCAGCCCAATCTTTCCTCTCAACCTGGGGGTGAGTGAGTCATCACAGCATGGGTTAGGACTAGCAGACAAGGTATAAACAACTTCGGCATTCTAAAACACAGATACATTCTCCTGAAAAACCATTTGCATGGAATGAAGAAGTTTCAAAAACAGGCAAACTAATTATCTTCAAAGAAGCTTTGTGAGCTTATATTCAGTGCTGAGCTGAGATTTAACTTAGGTTCTTATTTGCAGGAGTTAACTGATAGCAACCCTTTTTTTCTTTGGAATTCTACAAATGTCTTTAAGATTTCTGTTAAAAAAAAAAAAAAGCCACCATTAGAATCATAATCTAGATTTTCCCTAGAGAAATGCATACCAATAATTCAAAAAAATCCATGTTCCATATATATATATATTTATTATTATTATTATTATTTTTTTTTGAGAAAAGATCTTACTCTGTCACCCAGGCTGGAGTACAGTGGCATGATCAGGTTCACTGTAGCCTTGACTTCCCAGGCTCAGGTGGTCTTCCCATCTCAGCCTCCCCAGTAGCTGAGACTACAGGTGCACACCACCACACCCAACTTTTTTTTTACTGTATTTTTTTGTAGATATATTATGATCCCCATTTTAGAGTTAGGGATACTGAGCCTTGGAGTGGTTACTGACTTTCAAAGTAAATAATGAAGTTATAATTCGAAGCCAGGTTGGTTTAAATACAAAGTCCATCCTCTTAACCACTACGCAAATACATTTGGGAAATACAGAGGTAGACAGGGTTTAAGGGTTTTTATTTTTGCTTTTTGTTTCTTATTACTGTACAAATTGCAGAACCATTAATATGCTGAAATGAATTATAATCATCAAGCAGAACCCTTCCTGTTTTTTAACAGTACATTGCTTTAATTTGGATTCCTGAACAGGGACTTGGGAGTAGGTGATTTATACAGGAGGTGATCCCCGGACGTACAAATGAAGGGATGAGGAGAGTAGGGCAGTTTAAGAGAAAAAAGAATCAAATGTGTGTGTTTATAATCAGATCACTGCCATGGGCTCCTGGGTACCTCTAAAGAGCTCTGTAGAATGTACCTCAAAATAGTTCTGCTTGAAGACAGGGAGACTGGATTTTTATCCAACGGCTGCTGGGTTTTTTGTTTGTTTTTTATGAGACAGAATCTCCCTCTGTTGCCCAGGCTGGAGTGCAGTGGCACAATCTTGGCTCACTGCAACCTCTGCCTCCTGGGTTCAAGCGATTCTCATGCCTCAGCCTCCCAAGTAGCTGGGATGACAGGTGCAAGCCACCACACCAGGCTAGTTTTTGTATTTTTAGTAGAGATGGGGTTCCACCATGTTGGCCAGGCTGGTCTTGAACTCCTAGCCTCAAGTGATCCACCCACCTTGGCCTCTCAAAGTATTGGGATTACAGGTATGAGCCACTGCACTCGGCCATGACTGCTATTTTTCATTGTTAAATTTGCTCACAAGGGTTTAAATTCCCAGCACATCTGGGTTGCCCTGTGTGCAGGATGAGATAGCGCCTATGACGCCAGGTAAAGCTCTCAGGCCAAGAAGCAAAAAGACAGCTGCTTGGGGTGGGAAGTTGTCAGTATGCATGGGAACTCTACTGTAGTTGCAGGTTAAATTAGACATAGGTCAAGGACGCATGGATGGAACATCAACATTGTCTGCCACAGTCCACCACTCCTGGATGTGCATAGATCAGCTCTGGCTTACACTGAGTAGGCTCTGATGTTGATGTTGCAACGTATTATAGTCACGGGCCATAGTCTCTAAAGTACAGTTAAATGGCAGGAGGGTTGGTGAAACAAATTGCAGTCCCCATAGCTACAGCAGTTGCTGAGGCTTTAATTAATCTTTTGTACAGCAACTATATCCCCTTGTGATAATCAAGATTAATTAACCCACCAGAATATTAACTCTGATTTTTGACCAGTTGGTCTGCCTTCATAAGGAATTTCAAATGACAAGTGGCAGTAGCTTTAGGTTCAGTGGAATCTTTATTATGTTTCCTGGTAGAAGCATTTCTACCACTCTTGGGGATGTAGACCTCTAATTCTGCAGAGCCTAAATGTTCTATTAGAGTGGTCATAAGTTCCCTCAAATAAGACAGTGGAAGCGATGGTACAAGGGGTAGATCTTCAGCTCTGAAGGGTGTTGTCTGTGAGCTGGTACCTCTGTTGAGCCTGTAAAAGGCTGTTTTAATGTTTTATCAGTCTGACAGTTTCTGGGAGATGCAGTATATGAAAAAGCCAGTGGATCCCATGGTCATGTGCCCATTGTCATAATACAGGATCTCATGTCAATAACTCAAGGACTCCATTAGTCCTCATATAGTGGGGCTTACATATGTAAGAGAAGCAACTCTCTTAAAGTCCCTGGCTGAGCCTGAGAATTAAATTGACATAAGATAGATTAACAGGGAAAAAGCATACAGATTTAATGAATGTTTTACATGTCATGGGAGTCCCCATAAGGAAATGAAGACCCATAAACTGGCAAAGCCTAAAAGCTTTTGTACGAGGTTGGACAAAGTGAGGCAATTGTGGAGGAGTAACTAAACTATGTGGGGAGGCTAAAGAAATATAAGTATTATTTTAATAACATTTGTTTGTACAGAATTCTCTCAGTTAGGACTCCCCCTTGAAGGATATTTCTTTTCTCCTGGTACAAGGACATCTTTCACATGGCAGTTTTTTTTTTTTTAATCTCCTGTTTTGGGGAAGAAAAGAAGAAGTTAGCATGTCCTTGCATCTGCTTTTTTTCAAGTGCCTTTAGCTCAAAATAATCCTTATGTCAAAGTGGCATATTATGGGGTGGCAGAGGGGAAATTGAAATAAACATCAACCCCATAGGATGAATTACTGCCCCCTCCAGGATGGAAGGGTCTGATGTAATCAACTTGTCTGTAAGTGGGTAGTTTATTTATTTAGTTATTTTGAGGGGTGGTTTATTTTACCAACCCATCCCCCAATCCAATTTCCTCAAGATCCACTTCCACGTATGTTCTCTTCGTTCCTACTGGACATGTTATCCAGCTCTTCCTGCTGGATATATTATCCAGCTCTTCCTGCTGGATATATTATCCAGCTCTTTCTATTTATCCAGAAATAGATAATCTATTTCTTCCTGTAGCATGGACTCTACTTCTCCATCCAGGATATTCTGGGACCTCAGCCTAGCTACGGATCTAGAAGCAATAAGGGAAGGAGCAATGAGGAGGACACAGATTACCTTGTGGAACATCAGCCCCAGGTCAGGCCATGGCATGGTTTCAGGCAATGGGAGTTTGCTCTCTTTTACTAACGAGGAGGAAGCCATTTAGCCAGCCTGGAGCTTTCCACCCAGATGTCCCCATCCCAGGTTGTAGCATTTAACTCTTTCCCTATTAAGGCCTGATTTTTAATGTGGAAGACCTCCTGAGACTGTGCATTCAGCCTCTTTTGTAGGTCTATTATCCTTATATCAAGTCCTATACCTGATTACCAGCATTCTTCCCTACAGCTGCAGGAGGTAATGGTCTGTTTAAATGCATCCATGGAGGACCTCTGCCTTTCACAGTGTGCCACAGTGAGCTGATGGTTGGTTGACCTGAGTCTTTTATTCACTTTTATAGCAACTCCACAGTTCTTACCATTACCATTGCCCCCATATCTTTCAAGTGCTATGGAGATCATATAAGCTGGTGCTTCCTTTTCTACCCCAATCCAACCCTGGTGAGCATTTCAGTGATTGTGATGCTACAGCCTACAGGAGTTTTCACAGCTACATTCACCAGCAAGAGTGCAGCTCGTGTTAGCATCTGACTGGAGTGAGCCAACTGCAGGATCAATCCTGAGATTACTTCTGGAACCACTTGTCTATATTGGATTTTCTCCCAAAGCAGAACCTGAGGCAAGGATAGTATGTGGGCACAGGCAATATTGGGAGGTAATCCCAGGAATTCAGATGAGAGGTGAGGAAATTGATTGATATAGGAAAAGGGGAAAAACCAATACAGTGTATGTTAATGAGCTGATTGCTCCTGTGGACAACTGGGGCTCAATCCTGCTAGGGAGTCCCTGAGCAACCATGTAGAACTGTCTCATGAGACATGCAGAAGCTGGAGCCCTTATCAACTGCCCTCTGTCCCGTAATGGTTTAACTTTCTTAGGGCATCAAATTCTCAGCACTTCAGAGGGGTCTCATGCATGGGCTGAGCAAGGTGCTCAAATCCCGTAGGCAAAGAGTCAGAGTCACAGTTGCCTGGAGAGTGTGTAGGAGCTGTCCACTACGGCCATGGGGTCTCAGACGTGGGCCAAGAGGTTTAGGAGGATAAGAGGAGGCCAGGCACGGTGGCTTACGCCTGTAGTCCCAGCACTTTGGGAGGCCGAGGTGGGCGGATCACAAGTTCAGGAGTTCGAGACCAGCCAGCCCAATATGGTGAAACCCCATCCTTACTAAAAATACAAAAATTAGCCGGGTGTAGTGGCACGCGCCTGTAGTCCCAGCTACTCAGGAGGCTGAGGCGGAAGAATCGCTTGAACCTGGGAGGCGGAGGTTGCAGTGAGTCGAGATGGTGCCACTGCACTCCAGCCTGGGAGACAGAGTGAGACTCCATCTCAAAAAAAAAAAAAAGATAAGAGGATAAAATTACAACTCAGTAATGTGGCTTACAAACCCTCCATGACCTGACCCCATGTGCTTTTCTAGACCCATTTGTTCAAATTCTCACTCCTCTCCCAACCACTGCCTTGTCCTCCACACACACACATACACACACAGAGTCATGCACACATGCAATTACTGCATTCTACATTCTGCCTATAGCCAACGTTTTGCATTTGCTTGATATTTCATTTCTCCATGCTTCCTCTTTTTTTCTGCCAAGAATGACCTTCCATGTACTGTTTTTGCCTATCAAAAACTTTCTGGGATAGTGGTGATGGTTGCACATTACTGTGAGTATACTTGATGCCACTGGAAATGACTTAAAAGTGGTTAAAATGGTAAATTTTAGCTTATTTATATTTTACCACAATAAAGATATTAAATCATTTAACATTAAAAATAAAATAATATTTAAAACAGAATTATTTTTTATTTCTATATTTATATATAAATATTAATCTTTTTCCATGAGGGTATAGGAAACAGGTTTTTTTTTTTTTTTTTCCAACTTTTAAGTCCAGGGCTACATGTGCAGGATGTGCAGGTTTGTTACATAGGTAAATGTGTGTCATGGTGGTTTGCTGCACAGATCATCCCATCACCTAGGTATTAAGCCCAGCATCCATTAGCTATTCTTCCTGATGCTCTCCCTCCCCCCTTCCCCTGACCCCGACAGACCCCAGTGTGTGTTGCTCCCTGCCATTTGTTCATGTGTTGTCAACATTCAACTCCCACTTATAAATGAGATCACGCAGTTTTTGGTTTTCTGTTCCTGCATTAGTTTGCTGAGGATAATGGCTTCCAACTCTGTCCATGTCCCTGCAAAGGACATGATCTCATTCCTTTTTATGGCTGCATAGTATTCCATGTCATGTATACGTACCACATTTTGTTTATCTAGTTTATCATTGATGGGCATTTCAGTTGATTCCATGTCTTTGCTATTGTGAATAGTGCTGCAAGGAATATACACTTGTTTGTATCTTTATAATGATTTATATCCCTTTGGGTATATATCCAATAATGGGATTACTGAGTCAAATTGTATTTCTGCCTCTAGGTCTTTTTTTTTTGAGACAGAGTCTCACTCTGCCACCCAGGCTGGAGTGCAGTAGCATGATCTCAGCTCACTGCAACCTCCATTTCTGGGGTTCAAGCAATTCTCCTGCCTGAGACTCCTGAGTACCTGGTTTTCCCAGCACTGTTTATTAAGCAGGGATCCCTTTTCTCATTGTTTGTTTTTGTCAGGTTTGTTGAAGATCAGATGGTTGTAGGTGTGTGGTCTTATTTCGGAGGTCTCTTTCCTGTTCCATTGATCTATGTGTCTGTTATACCAGTACCATGCTGTTTTGGTTACTGTAACCTTGTGGTATAGTTTGAAGTTGGATTGCATGATGTCTCCAGCTTTGTTCTTTTTGCTTAGGATTGTCTTGGCTATTCAGCCTCTTTCTTGCTTCCATATGAATTTTAAAATAGTTTTTCTAATTCTGTGAAGAATGTTAATGGTAGTTTAATAGGAACAGCATTGAATCTATAAATTACTTTGGGCAGTATGGCCATTTTCACAATATTGATTTTTCCTATCCATGAGCATGGAATGTTTTCCCATTTGTTTATATCCTCTCTGATTTCCTCAAGCAGTGACTTGTAGCTCTCCTTGAAGAGATCCTTCACTTCCCTTGTTAGGTCTATTCCTAGGTATTTTATTCTTTTTGTAGCAACTGTGAATGGGAGTTCATTCATGATTTGGCTCTCTGCTTGCCTGTTGTTGGTGTATAGGAATGCTAGTGATTTTTGCACTTGCTTTTTGTATCCTGAGACTGCTGAAGTTGTTTATCAGCTTAAGAAGCTTTTGGGCTGAGACTATAGGGTTTTCTAGATACAGGATCATGTCATCTGCAAATAAAGGTTTGATTTCCTCCTTTCCTATTTGAATATGCTTTATATCTTTCTCTTGCCTGACTGCCCTGGCCAGAACTTCCAATGCTGTGTTGAATAGGAGTGGTGAGAGAGGGCATCCTTTTCTTGTGCTTATTTTTAAAGGGAATGCTTCCAGCTTTTGACCATTCGATATGACATTGGCTGTGGGTTTGTCATAGATGGCTCTTACTATTTTGAGGTATGTTCCTTCAATACCTAGTTTATTGAGAATTTTTAACATGAAAGAATGTTGAATTTTATCAGAGGTCTTTTCTGCATCTATTGAGATAATCATGTGGTTTTTGTCTTTAGTTCTGTTTATGTGATGAATCACATTTATTGATGTGTGTTTGTTGAATCAACCTTGCATCCTGGGATGAAGCCAACTTGATTGTGGTGGATAAGCTTTTTGATGTGCTGCTGGATTCAGTTTGCTAGTATTTTATTGAAGATTTTTGCATAGATATTCATCAAGGATATTGGCCTGAATTTTGTTGTTGTTGTATCTCTGCTAGGTTTTAGTATCAGGATGATGCTGGCCCCATAGAATAAGTTAGGGAGGAGTCCCTCCATTTCCATTGTTTGGAATAGCTCCAGTAGAAATGGTACCAGCTCTTCTTTGTACCTCTGGTAGAATTCAGCTGTAAATCCATCTGGTCCTGGGCTTTTTTTTTCGGTTTGTAGGCTATTTATTACTGCCTCAATTTCAGAATTCATTATTGATGTATTCAGGGATTCAGTTGCTTCCTGATTCAGTCTTGGGAGGGTGTTATGTGTCCAGGACTTTATCCATTTATTCTAGATTTTCTAGTTTATGTGCATAGAGGTGTTTATCGTATTCTCTGATGGTTATCTGTATTTCTGTGGGATCACTGGCGATACCCCATCATTATCATTTCTGATTGTGTCTATTTGATTCGTCTCTCCTTTATTAGTCTAGTTACTGGCCTATCTCATTTATTATTTTTTTCCAAAAAGCCAGCTCCTGGATTCATTGATTTTTTTTAAAAGGGTTTTTTGTGTGTCTGTCTCCTTCATTTCAGCTCTGATCTTGATTCTTTCTTGTCTTCTGCTAGCTTTGGTGTTTGTTTTCTCTTAGTTCTGTAGTTATTTTTGTTGAGATATTAGGTTGTTAACCTGAGATCTTTCTAACTTTTTGATGTGAGCATTTAGTGCCATAAGTTTCCCTCTTAACACTGTTAGCTGCATCCCAGAGATTCTGGTATGTTGTCTCTTTGTTCTCATTAGTTCCAAAGAATTTCTTGATTTCTGCCTTAATTTCATTGTTTACCCAAGCGTCATTCAGGAGCAGGATGTTCAATTTCTATGCAGTTGTGTGCTTTTGAGTACATTTCTTAATCTTGAGTTCTAATTTGATTGTGCTGTGGTCTGAGAGACTGTTATGATTTCAATTCCCTTGCATTTGCTGAGGAGTTTTACTTTTGATTATGTCATCAATTTTAGAGTAAGTGCCATATGGCGATGAGAAGAATGTATATTCTCTTGTTTTTGGATAGAGAGTTCTGTAGATATCTATCAGGTATACTTGATCCAGAGTTGAGTTCAGGTCCTGAATATCTTTGGAAATTTTCTGTCTCAATGATCTGTCTCCCACTATTATTGTATGGGAGTCTAAGTCTCTCTAAGAACTTGCTTTATGAATCTGGGTGATCCAGCATTGAGTACATATATATTTAGCATAGTTAGCGCTCCTTGTTGAATTGAACCCATTACCATTATATAATGTCCTTCCTTGTGTTCTTTGACTTTTTGTTGGTTTAAAGTCTGTTTTGCCAGAAAGTAGGATTGCAACCTCTGGTTTTTTCTGTTTTCCATTTGCTTGGTAAATTTTCCTCCATCCATTTATTTTGAGCCTATGTGTATCTTTGCACATGAGATGAGTCTCTTAAAGATGACATACGGATGGGTTTTGGCTCTTTATCCAGCTTGCCATTCTGTGTCTTTTAATTTGGGCATTTAGCTCATTTACATTTCAGGTTAGTATTGTTATGTGTGAATTTGATCCTATCATCATGATGCTAGCTGGTTATTTTGCAGACTTGTTCATGTGGTTGCTTCATAGTGTCACTGGTCTATGTATCTCTGTGTTTTTGTAATGGCTTATAATGGTTTTTTCTTTCCATATTTAGCACTTCCTCCAGGAGCTCTGGCAAGGCAGTCCTGGTGGTGATGAATTTCATCAGCATTTGCTTGTCTAAAAAAGATCTTATTTCGCCTTTGCTTATGAAGCTTAGTTTGGCTGGATATGCAATTCTGGGTTGGAAATTCTTTTTTTCTTTGAGAATGTTGATATTGGCCCCCAGTCTTTTCTGGTTTATAGGGTTTCCACTGAGAGTTCTGCTGTTAGTCTGATGGGCTTCCCTTTGTAGGTGACCTGGCCTTTCTCTCTGGCTTCTCTTAACATTTTTTCTTTCATTTCAACCTTGGAGACTCTGATGATTGTGTGTCTTGGGGTTGATTTTTCATAAAGTATCTTAGTGGTGATCTTTGCATTTCCTGAATTTGAATGTTGGCCTGTCTTGCTAGGTTGGGAAAGTTCTCCTGGATGATACCCTGAAGTATGTTTTCCAACTTGGTTCCATACTCTGTCTCTTTCAGTTACCTCAATCAGTCATAGGTTGTCTCTTTACATAATCCCATATTTCTTGGAGGTTTTGTTCATTCCTTTTCATTCTTTTTTCTCTATTCTTCTGTGCCTTGTCTTTTTCAGAAAGATAGTCTTCAAGCTCTGAGATTCTTTCCTCCACTTGGTCTATTTAGCTATTGATACTTGTGATTGTGAAGTTGTGAAGTTCTCAAGTTATATTTTTCAGCTCTATCAGGTCTTTTATGTTCCTCTCAAAACTGGTTGTTCTGGTATCAGCTATTGTATTATTTTATTATGATTCTTAGCTTCTTTGTATTGGGTTATAACATGCTCCTTTAGCTCAGCAAAGTTCATTATTACCCACCTTCTGAAGCCTACTTCTGTCAACTCAGCTATCTCAGCCTCAGCACAGTTCAGTGCCCTTGCTAAAAAATGTGTTGCAGTCATTTGGAGAAGAAGCACTCTGGTTTTTTGTGTTTTCAGTGTTTTTGCATTGTTTGTTTCTCATCTTTGTGGGCTTATCTACCTTCAGTTTTTGAGGTTGTTGACCTTTGGGTTTTTTTTTTGTGTGGGATCTTTTTTGTTGATGTTGTTGATATTTTCTGATTTTTTTTTTTTAACAGTCAGGCCTCTCTACTGTAGGGGTGCTGTGGTTTGCTGTGGGTCTACTCCAGACCTCAGTTGCCTCGGTTTTCTTGTACCTGGAGGTATCACCAGTGAAGACTGCAAAACAGCAAAGACAGCAGCCTGCTCCTTCCTCTGGAAGCTCCATCTTAGGGTGGTACTGACCTGTTGCTGTCCTGAACATTCCTGTAGAAGGTTGCTGGAGACCCTGTTGGGAAGTCTTACCCACTCAGGAGGAACAGGATCAGGGACCTGCTTAAAGAAACAGTCTGGCTGGTTTTTAATAGAGCAGGTGTACTCAATTTGGAAGAACTCTTCCTTGTCAGGACTGTTTGTATTCTCCAAAACCAGCAGGTTGGAACAGCTGAGTCTACTGAACCACAGAGATGGTGGCTATCCCTCTACCCAGGAACTCTATCCCAGGGAGAGATCAGAGCTCTGTCCATAGAACCTGTATTAGTCTGTTCCTATGCTGCTGATAAAGACATACCTGAGACTGGGTAATTTATAAAGAAAAAGAGGTTTAATGGACTCACAGTTCCACGTGGCTGAGGAGGCCTCACAATCATGGTGAAAGGCGAAAGTCACCTCTTAAATGGCAGCAGGCAAGACAGAATGAGAGCCAAGAGAAAGGGAAACCCCTTATAAAAACATCAGATCTCAGCTGGGTGTGGTGGCTTATGCCTGCAATCCCAGCATTTTGGGAGGCCAAGATGGGAGGATCACCTGAGGCCAGAAGTTCAAGACCAGCCTGGCCAACATAGTGAAACCCTGTCTCTACTAAAAATACAAAAAAAATTAGCCAGGCGTCATAGTGGGTGCCTGTAATCCCAGCTACTCAGGAGGCTGAGACAGGAGAATAGCTTGAACCTAGGAGGCAGATGTTGCAGTGAGCCAAGAGCGCATCATTGCACTCCAGCCTGGGCAACAAGAGTGAAACTGTCTAAAAAAAAAAAAAAATCGTATTTCATGAGACTTATTTACTACCAGGAGAACAGTATGGGGAACTGCCCCCATGATTCAATTATCTCCCACCAGTTCCCTCCCACAGCATGTAAGAATTATAGGAGCCACAATTCAAAATGATATTTGGGTGCGGACACATCCAAACCATATCATTCCACCCCTGGGCCCTCTCAAATCTCATGTCTTCACATTTCAAAACCAAT
Source organism: Homo sapiens (assembly GCF_000001405.40). NCBI lineage: Eukaryota > Metazoa > Chordata > Mammalia > Primates > Hominidae > Homo > Homo sapiens. The sequence continues at coordinate 138,075,738 of NC_000006.12, read as the reverse complement.
CATGCCTTCCCAACAGTCCCCCAAAGTCTTAACTCATTTCAGCATTAACTCAAATGTCCACAGTCCAAAGTTTCATCCGAGACAAGGCAAGTCCCTTCTGCCTATGAGCCTGTAAAATCAAAAGCAAGTCAGTTACTTCCTAGATACAATGGAGGTACAAGCATTGGATAAATACACCCATTCCAAATGGGAGAAATGAGCCAAAATGAAGGGGCTAAAGGCCCCATGCAAGTCCAAAATCCAGTGGGGCAGTCAAATCTTAAAACTCCAAAATGATCTCCTTTGCCTCTATGTTTCACATCCAGGTCATGCTGATGCAAGAGGTGGGTTCCCATGGTCTTGGGCAGCTCTGCCCCTGTGGCTTTGCAAGGTACAGCCTCCCTTCTGGCTGCTTTCGTGAGCTGGCATTGAGTGTCTGCAGCTTTTCCAGGTGCACAATGCAAGCTGCTGGTGGTTCTACCATTCTGGGGTCTGGAGGACGGTGATCCTCTTCTCACAGCTCCATTAGGCAGTACCCCAGTGAAGACTCTGTGTGGGGCCTTCAATCCCACATTTCCCTTCTACACTGCCCTAGCAGAGCTTCTCTATGAGGGTACTGCCGCTGCAGCAAACTTGTGCCTAGACATCCAGGCATTTCCATACATCCTCTGAAATCTAGGCAAATGTTCCCAAACCCCAACTCTTGACTTCTGTGCATTCGCGGGCCCAACACCACATGGAAGCTGCCAAGGCTTGTGGCTTGCACCCTCTGAAGCCACAACCTGAGCTATACCTTGGCCCCCCTTTATTTGTATTTTTATATTTTTTTGAGATGGAGTCTTGCTCTGTCACCAGGCTGGAGTGCAATGGCATGATCTTAGCTCACCCCAACCTCTACCTCCTGAGTTCAAGCGACTCTCCTGCCTCAGCCTCCCGAGTAGCTGGGATTACAGGCACATGCCATCATGCCTGGCTAATTTTTGTATTTTTAGTAGAGACGAGGTTTCACCATGTTGGCCAGCCTGGTCTCGAACTCCTGACCTCAGGTGATCCACCTGCCTCGGCCTCCCAAAGTGCTGGGATTACAGGTGTGAGCCACTGCACCCAGTCTACTTTGACCGCTTTTAGCCATGGCTAGAGTGGCTGGGACGTAAGGCACCAAGTCACTAGACTGCACATAGCAGGGGGGCCCTGGGCCAGCCCATGAAACCATTTTTTCCTCCTAGACCTCTGGGCTTGTGATGGGAGGGGCTGCTGCAAATGTCTCTGACATGCCCTGGAGACATTTTCCCCTTTGTCTTGGTGATTAATATTTGGCTTTTTGTTACTTATGCAAATTTCTGCAGCTGGCTTGAATTTCTCCTTAGAAAATGTTTTTTTTGTTTTTCTACCACATATTCAGGCTGCACATTTTCCAAACTTTTATGCTGTTTTCCTTTTAAAACTTAGTGCCTTTAACAGCACCCAAGTCACCTCTTGAATGCTTTGCTCCTTAGAAATTTCTTCTGCCAGATACCCTGAATCATCTCCCTCAAGTTCAAAGTTCCACAAATCTCTAGGGCAGGGGCAAAATGCCACCAGTCTCTTTGCTAAAACATAACAAGAGTCACCTTTATTCCAGTTCCCAACAAGTTTCTCATCTCCCTCTGAGGTCACCTCAGCCTGGATTTTATTGTCCATATTACTATCAGCATTTTGGTCAAAGCCATTCAACAAGCCTCTAGGAAGTTCCAAACTTTCCCACATTTTCCTGTTTTCTTCTGAGCCCACCAAACTGTTCCAGCCTCTGCCTGTTACCCAGTTCCAAAGTCACTTCCACATTTTTGGGTATCTTTACAGCAGCACTCCACTCTACCGGTACCAATTTACTGTATTAGTCTGTTTTCATGCTGCTGTTAAAGACATACCTGAGACTGGGTTATTTATAAAGAAAAAGAGGCTTAATGGACTTACAGTACTGGGGAGGCCTCACAATCATGGTAGAAGGTGAAAGGCACATCTTACATGGCGGCAGACAAGAGAGAATGAGAGCCAAGTGAAAGGGGAACCCCTTATAAACACATCAGATCTTGTGAGACTTATTTACTACCATGAGAACAGTATGGGGGGAAACTGCCCCCATAATTCAGTTATCTCCCACCGGGTTCCTCCCACAACCTGTAGGAGTTATGGGAGCTACAATTCAAGATGAGATTTGGGTGGGGACACAGAACCCTTGCTGAAGTTCTCAATAAAAATAGAAAAATATAAAATAATTAAATTAAAATATTAAAATAATATTGAAATATTTTTCACAATAAAATATTAAGTTATTTAACATTAAAAATAAAATATTTAAAACAAGTATTTTATATTTTATCTTTATAGTTAAATATTAATTATTTATAACCCTTAATATTAGATATAAATATAATATATAAATTTTAACATTAAAATATTTAAAAAATAAAAATACATATCTTGGACTCTCTCCCTCCCCCAACCTAAATATTCCCAGCTGTCATTATTTAGATAATGCATCATACTTCCTAACCTGCTAGGAAAACATCTCAACTGAATGAGCCCTTTTTTCTATGTCTTAAATATGAGCAAGATACAATTTTGGGGTTCCCTATCACAAAAGCTAATTTTATGTGTCAGCTTCACTGGGTCATGGGGGTACCCAGATAGTTGGTGAAACATTTTTTCTGAACTTGTCTGTGAGGGTGTTTCTGGGTGAGATTTACATTTGAATTGATGGACTGAGTAAAGCAGATTGCTCTGCTCAATGTGAGTGAGCCTCATCCAAACCATTGAAGGCCTGAATAGAACAAAAAAGGTAGAGTGAGGAAGAATTTACTTCTCTGCCTTACTGTCTTTGAGCTGAGACATCGTTCTTCTCCTCCCATAGACTCAGACTTGAACTTACAGCATGGGTTCTGCTGGGTCTCCAGCTTGCTGACTGCAGATCTTGGAACTTCTGTGCCCCCATAAACACATGATTCAATTTCTTACAATAAATGCCTTTATATATAAACCCTATTTATTTATAAGATTTAAAATTTGTTATAATAAATTATGAATATATAAAATCACAGATAATATATAATAATATAATTATTATATAACAAATTTTATATATGAGTCATAGTTTATTATAAGAAATCTATGTATCTCTCTATATACATGTATATATTCCATGCTGTTGGTTCTGTTTCTCTGGAGAATTCAGACTAATACATCATCCCTTGTATTTTAGGTGAAATTTTCTTAAGAAGACAAATTCAAAGGCTGGATACGGCTCATAGCAATGTTCCCCCAGATTTTGTCAAAAACCCTTGGACTTACAGTTTCCATTTTCCCTCTGTCTCCACAACTATTTGACTCCTGTTTTGTTCCCACATGCACCTGAGTGCAGGACTCAACAGCTTTTAATGTTTTTACAAGATCTCAGAGAGCACAAGCATTTCTCAATGTTTGTGACTTTCACTGTTGATTTAGGGAAGAGGTGGGTCACAGTGAACAGTGGTCATCTTACCATCCACTTACCCTTTCCCATTCTTTCTCTTCTGAAGTCTCTCAAAATACTCAAATTCTTTACCTTATGTTATCCAGAATTGTTTCCACCTCTCCCGGAAGCACTGACACTAGCTAGCCACTAAGCTCTGGCCCAAGCAGGCCCATCAAATCATTCTTACACTGCATCATTGCATCTGTATGAAACAAAATAGCACCGTGATTGCAAGCAGACTCTGCTGTCACACATCTTCACTCATAACTAGTGGTGTGACATTCAGCAAATATTTATTATCTTTAATGCTCATTTGATTTACCTATAACATGGGGATAATTGTAGTTGTGAGAATAGATTGAAAGAAAAGAGCTCAGCGCAATGCCTGGCACACAGGAAGTGTTCAAGGAATTTATAATTTGTATAATTTGTTATAATTTGTATATATTTACATATAATGGGTGTAGTGTTTGAAACATTTTTTCTTTTCTTTTTTTTTTTTTTTTTTAGGGATGGGTTCTCACACTGTTGCCCAGGCTGGAGTGCAGCGGCATGATCATCACTCATTGTAGCCTTGACCTCCCGGGCTCAAGCAATCCTGCCACCTCAGCCTCCAGAGTAGCTGGGATTATAGGTGGGTGCCACCACACCAAGATAATTTTTGCATTTTTTGTAGAGATGGGGTCTTGCTATGTTGTCCAGGCTGGTCTTGAACTCCTGGACTCAAGCAATCCTCCTGCCTCGGCCTCTCAAAGTGCTAAGATTACAGGTGTGAACCACCATGCACAGCCACATTTTCTAACATCATTTCCTCCATAATCCTATGGTGCTGTGGTTCTCTCTGGGTTGAGAAGAGCAATCAAAGAGAGGCAGAAATCACAGAGAAGAGGAGAGGGAAGAGGGAAGCTAATAACGTATAGGGGTGTGTATAGCATTTCCCCCTTCAGAGAGAGGATATAAAACACAAAAATAAAGAGATAATTGACCAGATGTGAGTCTCCAAGCTGACTTGAGTCTCCTGAGGTTTTTTCCTTTCTTTTTTAAAAAATTTAATCTTGAATTGGTACTCAAATCCATTAGGAAACTTAATTAGAAAAACAGTAAAAAACATCAACTCTGATAATATCGGTGAAACAGTTCTTTAAAGAGATTGAAAAAATGAAAACCACATGGATGTACGTGTCAGTATGTAGCTTTAAAATCTTCATTTCATCCTATTTCAGAGGACACATTGATTTTTGAGTGTCATCCTTGAGGTAATTGTCGAGATCAGGAGACACAGCACAGTACGCTCACCATGGGAAGGGAGGTTCATGGGATGATTAAAGAGCAAATTGCACTGAGAAAACTGCGTACTCTGTCAAAGTTAGACCATTCTATGGAAATAGCGATCTGTCTCCTTGTCTGTCTGTCTGATTCTCTTTTTAAAAAAATTTCAAATCTTTAAAATGATTTTTAAAAATTATTTTGAGTACCTAATAATTGTATTACTTATGGGGTACATGTGGTGTTTTGATACAGACATATATACTGTAATGATCAAATCAGGGTAATTGTTTTGATATAGGCATACAATGTGTAATGATCAAGTCAGGGTAATTGGGATATCCATCACCTCAAGCATTTGTCATTTCTTTGTGTTAGGTGGAGTCTCCTGCGTTTTGAAGTCAGTCTAATTGGAAGAGAAAAGGATTTCTATATTCTAAACATCCTTGAGTTATCTGGTAAGAGCAAAGCATGGCAGTATGCTTTGCTCTTGCCAGGTAACAACAAAGTTTTGCTCTAAGCCATAGGTAGAGAACTCGGGATATGATTTATGCAAAGTTCCCACTAAACAGAAAGACCCAGAAAGCTTTCCGCTTGAAAGGAGGAATTACGGGTGGAAGTCTCGAGGGTAGACCAAGGCAAAAGGTCAGGCTTAAAAATCGTACGTCCCCAAGGTCCGGGTTGAGAAGAGGAATTAGAGTAGAAATTACAAAGCAATAGAGGGGGAAGCTAATAATACGTAGGGGTGTGTGTGGTGTCTTGCATCCTGCTTCCCACTGAGAATTTTAGAAAGAAGCCACCTCTCTCAGGTGGCATGGAAGGGATTTAGATCTTCCCCTACACACACACACACGCACACACACGCACACACACACACACCATTATGTCAGGCGGTGCTGCTGAAGAAAGATGAATGGGGCTATCAAATCACCTGATGAGTTCAGAGGCTAGAAACGTAGTTCATATTTATTTAGCACATATAATATTGCAGATATTGCTCTATGCCTGTTTATATGCATTATCTCGTTTAATTTTCCTGATCACCCAACAAGATGGATATTTAAAAAATTATTTCATTGCACAGATGAAGAAACTAAGGCATAGGGAAGAAGTAACTTTGCTAAAATCACAGAGGTAGTTAATGGCAGGGCTGAGGCTCAACCTCAGGCCATCTAGCAAGACAGCCAATCTTGTAGCCTTTCTGACATCTCACCACCTAGGAGCTACAGGTTCCTATAGCACCAGCTAAGGCCAAGGAGTGGCCATGCCAGCAGCTGTTCGTGGCCAAGGGCCCTGAAAATTCAACTCCATGCCTTTCTAGAATCAAGAAAGCAGAGCAGTCTTCATCTCAGGAATGGGCCTTTGACAGTAAATTATCGATGATGATAATCAGTTATGAGGATTATGATTCATCGATTGTGAAGACCACCTCTTTCCCACAGACAGGTAAATGCTCCCTGCTTACAGGTGTCTCCCGGGGAAGCAGGACATAGATGGGGACCCTTGAGGAAAGGACAAAGAAGTTTGGAGTTTGGGTAATGAAATATTTACCTCTAAAGGAATTAAGGTCACCTAAATGAGACTGTTAAACAAGAACAAGCTAAATTGCCTTTCACTGGCAAGTTTAAGTCTAGCTCCAACTTCCCCCACTGCCCCACCATTACCCAAGGGCAAGCTGGTATTGGTATGGAAAATACAAGAGCTATGTTTTGCTTGTCACAGTGTGTAAATGTTGACCCCTCAACATTGATGTTTTTGTTTCATCATGCTATATGCAAATTCCTTAAGGCTGATGGGCATGTCTTTGTATTTTATCACCTGCATAGAGCATAATGTCTGTGCCTACTGGTGCTTATTACTGCTGCTGAATGAATGAATGAATGAATGAATCCCTTACAGTATTTGCCTCTGTGGCCCACAGAATGTCACTTCAAGCAACTACGAACTCATCTGCCACCACAATGGATTGTCTTCATCACTAAAGAATTATTTGCTTGTTACCCAGTAACAGATGTAGCAAGGACTCTCCTTGACAGGACGTGGTTATTAATTCCTCAGACTGCATTAGCAGAGGTGTCTTACTAAGTCATTCCCTTATGCGGAGGGATTCGATTTTTATAGTATTTTTGCCACTAGCCATAAATGCTGCAATAAACATTTGCATTTATCTATTAGATTTCTTTCTTTGGGAATAGATTTTTAGGCGTGGAACTGGTAGGTTATAAAGAATCAATATTTTAATGAGAGCCAGTGTAGTGTTGTGAAAAAATAGTAACTTCGTTTATCAAAGAGAATCGTGCCTCTTTCACGAGTTAATGGCATGGCCCAAGCAGTGGGTTTGACTTCACTGAACTTCAGCTTACTTATGTGCAAAGTGGAAAAATATATCAATCTCACAGGTTTGCTAAAATGATTAAATGAGATATTCCAGTACTTAGCATGTAATAAGTGCTTTCCTTCATCTTACAGTTTTTCAAATATACTGCAATATTGCTTTCTAAGGCCTTTATGGTGCTATTAGTTCTAGGTGTTTTTAAATTTTTAGTCATGCAGTCATTTAGAAAACCAAGATAGATATATATATACATATATTTTATATAATATATGTATGTGTACAGACACATACATATATGTGTGTATGTGTATATGTGTGTGTGTATATATGTGTGTGTATATATATGTATATATGTATATATGTATATATGTGTATATATATGTATATATGTATATATATGTATATGTGTATATATGTATATATATGTATATATGTATATATGTGTATATATGTGTGTATATATATGTGTGTATATATATGTGTGTGTGTGTGTGTGTATATATATATATATATATATATATATATATATACACATATACACACACAGGCATACCCGAATGATATTGTAGGTTTCGTTCTTGACCACCACACATGCAAGAAAACAAATATTGCAATAAATTGTGTCACAGAAATTTTATTGTTTCCTAGTGCATATAAAAGTTACATTTACACTATACTGTAGTCTATTAAGTGTGTGGTACCATTGTGTTTAAAAAAGTACACACCTTAATTAAAAATACATTATTGCTAAAAAAAAAAAAAACTGCTAACAATCATTTGAGGTTCCAGTGAGCTATGATCTTTTTGTTGTGGAGGGTCTTGCCTTGATGCTGATACCTGCCAACTAATCAGAGTGTGGTTGCTGAAGATTGGCATGGCTCTGGCAATTTAAAAAAATAAGACAACAGTGGAGTTTGCCACATCAATGGACTCATCTTTTCACAAAGGATTTCTCTGTAGCATGCAGTGCTCATTGGTAGTGTTTTACTCATAATAAAGCTTCTTTTAAAATTCGAGTCAATCCTCTCACACCCTGCTGCTACTTTATCCATTACATTTATATACTATTCTAAATCCTTCGTTGTTGTTTCAACAATGTTCACAGCGTCTTCTCCAGGAGTACATACCATTCCAAGAAAGCACTTTCTTTGCTCACCCATAGGAAATAACTCCTTATCTGTTCAAGTTAGATTGTGAGATTGCAGCAATTCAGTCACATCTTCAGGTGCCACTTTTAATTCTAGTTCTCTTGCTCTTTCCACTACATCTGGAGTTACTTTCTTCACTGAAGCCTTGGACCTCTAAAAGTCATCCATAACAGTTGAAATCAACTCCTTTCAAACTTCTGTTAGTGTTGATATTTTGACCTCCTCCCATGACCCATAAATCTTCCTAATGGGATCTAGAATGGTGAGTTCTTTCCAGAAGGTTTTCAATCTACTTTGCTAAGATCAATCAGAGGAATCCATATCTATGGCATTGATGACCTTATAAAATGTATTTCTCCAATGATAAGACTTAAAAAGTCAAAATTACTCGTTGATCGGTGGGCTGCAGAATGGATGTTGTGTTAAGAGGTATGAAAACAACATTATCTCCTTGTACATCTCCATAAGAGTTCTTGAGTGACTAGGCATATTGTCAATGAGCAGTAATATTTTGAGAGGAATCTTTTTTCCTTAGCAATAGGTCTCAAAAGTGCACTTAAAATATCCAGTAAAGCATTCTGTAAACAGATGTGCTGTCATCCAGGTTTTGTTTTTCCATTTATAGAGCACCGGCAGAATAGATTTAGCATAATTCTTAAGGGCCCTAGGATTTTTGGAATGGTCAGTGAGCATTTGGCTTCAACTTAGTCACTACCTGCATTAGCCCCTAACATGAGAGTCAGCCTAACCTTTGAAGCCAGGCATTTACCTCTCCTCTCCAGCAATGAAAAGTCCTAGATGGCAACTTCTTCCAATAGAAAGCTGTTTCACCTTCATTGAATATCTGTTATTTCATGTGTCCACCTTCATCAATGATCTTAGCTAGATCTTCTGGATAACTTGCTGCAGATTCTCCATCAGCACTTGCTGCTTTGCTTGCACTTTTATATTATGGAGATGACTTCTTTCCTTAAACCTCATGAACCAACCTGTGCTAGCTTCAAACTGTTCTTCTGCAGCTTCCTTACCTCTCTCAGGCTCTATGGAATTGAAGAGAGCTATGGCCTTGCTCTGGATTAGGCCTTGGCTTAAAGAAATCTATTCAGACCACTCAAACTTTCTCTATATGAGCAATAAGGCTGTTTTGCTTTCTTATCATTCATGTGTTCAATGGAGTAGCATTTTTAATTTCTTTCAATAACTTTTCCTTTGCAGTCACAGCTTGGCTGTGCAAGAGGCCTAGGCTTTGGCTTATATTGGCTTTCCACATGTCCTCTTCACAAAACTCAATCATTTCTAGCTTTCAATTTAAAATGAGACATATGACTATTCTTTTCACTTGATCACTTAGAGGCCATTGTAGGGTTATTAATTGGCCTCATTTCAATATTGTTGTGTCTCAGGGAACAAGAAAGCCCAAGAAGAGAAAGAGAGACTTGGGAATGGCTGGTTGGTGGAACAGTCAGAATACTATATAACATTTATCAATTAAGATTGCTGTCTTACGTGGGTGCAGTTTGTGGCACTCCAAAAAGAATGACAATAGTAGCATCAAAGATCACTGATCATAGATCACCATAATATATATAAAAATAATAAAAAAGTTTAAAATATTGAGAGTATTACCAAAATGACAGAGACATGAGGTAAGCACATGCTGTTGGAAAATGGTGCTAATAGACTTGCATAAAGCAGGGTTGCCACAAACTTTCAATTTGTAAGAAAAGTAATATCTGCAAAGTTGAATAAAGTGAAGCACAGTAAATTGAGGTATGCTTTTGTGTGTGTGTATGTGTGTGTGTATAAATTAGTGTCCAGAATTTAAAAGGTTTCTATAAAGAAGTTAGAAACAGAAACTAACCCAAGAGAAAAATAGGCAAAGAATATGAACAGGCAATTCACAAACCAGGAACCTGAACAGCCAAGAAACATAAGAAAAGATGGTTAACTTCACTAAATTTCAGATAAAAGGTACTTAAAATAATAATGTACTATTTCATAACTACTAGACTGGCAAAGTGAGATACCTTGGTAATACTTCAGTAACTCCATGGGATTACTTAAGCTGCCCATAAGCTGCTCGTGAGAGTGTACATTACCTAAATGATTTGGAAGAACAATTTTGTAAGATTGAGAAAAGTTGAAAATGTGCATAACCTGTGACCAGAAATTCAACTTCTGTGTTTACATGCCAGAGGAAGTTTTAATATGTGTACTAGGAGATAGTTACAGATATCTTCATTGAAGTAATTTTTAATAGTAAAAAATTGGAAGCAATCTAAATGTCCATGAATGGGAGATTAGATAAATTTTAGATAAATAAATTTGGGTGACAGAGCAAGACTCTGTCTCAAAAAAAAAAAACACAAAAAACTGAAACCATGGAATACTATAGAGCAGTTAAAACCAATATACTAGATCTATATGTATTAACATAGATACATTTAAAGAATTTTAGATGACAGATGCAGTTGCCAACTAATTTACACCATATGAATATATTTACAAAATACTAAAAACAGTGCAAGAATATATTACATGGTTTATGAGAATATTTCCATATGTAATGAAAGCATAAAATGTGGACTGGAAATGTATGCACCAAATTCGTAATGAGAATTGCCTTCAGAGGTGGTGAAAGGGAATGAGACTAGAGGAGAATGAAAAAGACTTCAAATTTGTCCATAACATTCTATTTCTTTGATACAAAAAACTGAAGGGAAATGATAAAATTATCATTTGTTTTTTACTTTGGTTGGTGGGTACAGAAATGTGTATATTGGACCCTTTATACTTTTCTAAATGTTTAAAATGTTTCCAAATAAAAAATGTGTTTCTATAACAGACAAAATCAAAATTTTGTTAAGGTGTTCGCAATCATTCTCACTTGAAAAAACTGTAAAACCCTTTTTACAACAGCATTGTAAATACTACTAAATATAATTAGAGGTATTTCTTTTAAAACCTAATGACTATTAACTCATTTGCAGAAACATGGCAAATATTTTCCCAAGCTTTTTCTGTTCTTTTTAAAAACAAATCAAAATATTACGTATGCTGACTTAAAAAGTCAAATGCTACAAAGAGCTTAGCATGAAAACAGGAAGCCCTACCCATTCTCTCCTCACCATTTGTGTCCAGGCTCCTGAACTAATTACTGACAACTATTCTAGTTGCTTCTTCTGATATTCACCTCCATAATTCAAAGTAATGTGCCTTTTTTTTCTTGAGTTTTTGATTTTATATTGACTTCATACCACGGGAGATAAGGATGTAACTTTGACATCCATCTCACTCACCCAACTTATGCAAACACTCACACGCATGACCTGCACACGTGTGCACATGGCCAAGCATACATGCACACGTAGACACTTCTCTTCTTCTCAACTTCCCAATGGTGTTCTGTCACTCTTTCTGGCTATATCAATATTCACATTTTACAATATGATAACTATCTGTATTGTTCTCACCTGTGTCTTATAGTAAATGATTTCATTTTCTTTTATAGCTTTTTGTTTTTATTGGAATTAATTCTTGGCTCACTTTTTATTTCCTTATTTGTCTATGTACTGAGCAACAATTCATCTGGAAGCCCTTCAACAGACCTGAAAATCTCCTGTGGTTATATTAAAATGCATCAGGTCTTCCATGCGTTTATTTTTCTTATGAAAACATTCTTCTCAGAAGCCTCATCCTCTTGCTCTTATTTCTCTTTCTTGCTTCCTTTTTGCTCTCTTTCTTTCTCTTTCTTTCTTTCTTTTTTTTTTTTGAGACGGAGTCTTGCTCTGTTGCCCAGGCTGGAGTGCAGTGGCACAATCTCTGCTCATGCAAGCTCCGCCTCCCAGGTTCACGCCATTCTCCTGCCTCAGCCTCCCAAGTAGCTGGGACTACAGGCGCCTGCCACCAAGCCCAGCTGGTTTTTTTTCGTATTTTTAGTAGAGACGGGGTTTCACCTTGTTAGCCAGGATGGACTCGATCTCCTGACCTCGTGATCCACCCGCCTTGGCCTCCCAAAGTGCTGGGATTACAGGCGTGAGCCACTGCGCCCGGCCTCTTTCTTTCTTTCTTTCTTTCTCTTTCTTTCTTCCTCTTTCTTTCTCTCTCTTTCTTTCTCTCTCTCTCTCTCTCTCTCTCTTTCTTTCTCTCTCTTTTTTCTTTTTCTTTTTCTTCCCTCCCTCCCTCCCTTCCTCCCTCCCTTCCTTCCTTCCCCTCTCTCTTTCTTTCTTTTTTCTTTTCCTTTCTTTCCTTCTTTTCCTGTTGAATGCATTGAACATGTAGACTCCTGCTCCAGTTTGACCTGGCTGCCCTCTGCTGCTGTGCAGCTGTCCTTCTGGGAATTCCTTTCACCATCATCCTAGGAATTTATTTTGTTTTTCTCTTGATTGGATTTCTTGTTTCTTCAGGCCTTTATATTTTATATTCTTGCTTTCTCCCCTCATTAGAGTAAAGCACTTTATCAAGTAGCTAAGAATGGTTATATGTGATGTAAATAGATCCTCTGTTAATTTTTGTCCCCCCCCACCAAAAGATATGTTGTCATCTTAACTTCTGGTACATGTATGTGACCTTCTTTGGAAACAGGGTCTTTGCAGACGTAATTAAGATGAAAATTAAGATGTAAGGAGTAGGGCAGGTCCTTAATTCAACATGACTGGTATCCTTATAAGAACGAGAAAAGAAAGCACAGAGACACATCAGAGGAGAGAATGCCATGTGAAGACACAGACACACAGAGGAGAGACAGCTGTGTGATGGAGGAGGCAGAGATTGTTAATTATGTAGCTACAAGTCAAGGAGTGTCCAGTATTGTTGTCAATCACTAGAAGCTAAGAGAGAGAACATGCCCTCACAATAGCATAATTAAAGACTTACAGTTCCCAGAACTGTGAGAGAATATATTTTTGTTGTTTAAAGCTACACAGTTTGTGATACTTTGTTACTGCAGCTACAGGAAACTAATACATCTTCCATTATTTCCAAACTAATAAACTAATACATTTATTCTACCCTTATACTTGATTGATAGTTTGTCTACATATAGAATTTCACGCTGGAGATCATTTTTTCTCAGAATTTGAAGGCTCTGCTACATTCCTAATTTTTGTATTGCACTTGAGAGGTCAGATGCCATTCTGATTTCCAATCTTTTGCTTGTAAGTCACCTTTTCATCATGTGAAGATTTTAGTATTTTCTTTTCATTTCTGTGTTCTCAAATTTATGATGTGTCTTAGTGCAAGGTTGTATTTGCTTTTTAATCCACTTTTATCCAAGGGCTCCATTTTTCTGTTCTCTCTTTCTGTACTGCCTATTCGTCATATATTGGACCTGTTAGTTACTCTTCTAATTTTCTGTCCCTTTCCTCCATTTTCCATCTATTTCCTTTTTGTTTTACCTTCTCTTCCGTTTTCCGTTTCTTTTCTTTTTTCTTTTTTCCTTTTTTTTGAAATGGAGTCTTGCTTTATCGCCCAGGCTCAAGTGCAGTGGCACAATTGCAGCTCACTTCAACTTCTGCCTCCCAGGTTCAAGCAATTCTCCTGCCTCACCTTGCGGGTAGCTGGGACTACCGGCACACACCACAACACCCAGCTAATTTTTGTATTTTTAGTAGAGATGGGGTTTCACCATGTTAACCAGGCTCGTCTCAAACTCCTGACTCCAACTGATCCACCCACCTCAGCCTCCCAAAGTTCTGGGGTTATGGGCATGAGTCACTATGCCCAGCCCATTTTTCGTTTCTTTGTTTTTTTGTTCTTCCTTTTCAGTGATTTTGTCAATATTAAATTTTCAATCTTTTGGTTGAGTCTAAAAATTTTTCTTCTATCATATATGAGGGGACTTCAAGAATTTTGTGGGAAAATTGAGTTAAAAGATAAAAATGAGCCAGGCATGGTGGCTCACGCCTTTAATCCCAGCACTTTGGGAGGCCAAGGTGGGCAGATCAGGAGGTCAGGAGTTCTAGACTAGCCTGGCCAATATGGTGAAACCCTGTCTCTACTAAAAATAAAAAAAATAAAAAATAAAAAATTAACCAGGCGTCATGGTGCACGTCTGTAGTCCCAGCTACTCAGGAGGTTGAGGCAGTAGAATCACTTGAACCTGGGAGGCGGGGGGGTTGGGGTGAGCCGAGATCGTGTCACTGGACTCCAGCCTGGGTGACAGCGAGACTCCGTCTCAAAAAAAAAAAAAAGATAAAAATGAAACATATGAACTTTATTTCTTAACATAAGCTCCATCAGGATGAAGACACTTTTGTAAGCAATGATACCAACCATTCAGTTCCTCCATAATGCACTAGAGTCCTAGGAATTTAACCATGTCAAGACAATCTTTTTTACATTACTAATTGAAGAAAAATGAATACTCTTCAAATATTTTTTAAGATTAGGAAACAAAAATAAGTCATAAGAAACCAAATCAGGATTGTAAGGTGGAAGCCTAATGAGTTCCCGTAGAAACTCTTGCAAAATTTTCCTTGTTTGAATAGAGAAATGAGCAGAAGCATTGTTGTGGTGGAGAAGCCTCTTTGATGAAGCTTTCCCGAATATTTTTCTGGTAAAGCTTTGGCTAGCTTTCTCAAAACACTCTCATAATAAGCAGATGTTTGTAGGGATTCAATCAGTCTGGTGTTGCCCGTGTACTTCATTCATCCATCGCTGGGTCAGGGGTCTGCAAGGGACAGACCCCCACAGCTGGTGCTCCCGTGTGAGGAGCGCTACCACAGATGTTATCATTCTTTGGCTCTCCAGATAGTCAACAAGCAAAATGCCTTGAGTATTCCCAAAGAACTGTTGCCATGTCTCTTGCTCTTGACTGGTTCACTTGTGCTTTGACGGGACCACTTCCACTCTTGGTAGACATTGCTTTGCTTGTGCTTTTTCATCAGGATCACACTGGTAAAGCCATATTTCATCTTCTATTAGAATTCTTTGGAGAAATGCTTCAGGATCTTGATCCTACTTGTTTAAACTTTCCACTGAAAGCTCCTATCTGCAGCTAATCTGGATGCAACAGATTTGGTACACATTGAGTGAAAAGTTTTGCTCAACTTTAATTTTTCAGTCAGAATTGTGTAAGGTGAACCAATTGAGATATCTATAATATGGGCTATTGTTTCTGCTGTTAATTGTTGGTCTTCTTCAATTAAGGCATGAACAAGATAAATTTCTTCCTCTCAAATTGTGGTGGATGGTCTGCCGCTGTGGGCTTCATATTCACCATCATCTTGTGCCTTCTTAATACAAGTTATCCATTTGTAAATTGCTGATTTCTTTGGGGCATTGTTCCCATAAACTTTTTGTAAAGCATCAAGTATTTCACCATTCTTCCACCTAAGCTTCATCACAAATTTGATGTTTGTTTAATTTTAGCAGAATTCATGTTACACTGATACAGGCTCTTTTCAAACTGTGTCCTAGCTTTCTTTTTCTTTTCTTTTGTTTTGTTTTTTTTTTTGTTTTCTGTTTTTTTTTGAGACGGAGTCTCATTCTGTTGCCGAGGCTGGAGTGCAGTGGCACGATCTTGGCTCACTGCAACCTCTGCCTCCCAGGTTCAAGCGATCCTCCTGCCTCAGCCTCCTGAGTAGCTGGGACTATAAGCATGCACCACCATGCTCAGCTAATTTTTTGTATTTTTAGTAGAGACAGGGTTTTACCATGTTGGCCAGGCTGGTCTTGAATTCTTGACCTCATGATCCATCCACCTCAGCCTCCCAAAGTGTTGAGATTACAGGCATGAGCCACTGAGCCTGGCCTGTCCTATCTTTCTTAATGCCACAAACCAGATCCTGTTCAGAAGTTATAACCAGTTAGTATGAGTTTATGATGGTTCAAAAGATTTTGA
The DNA here is from genome assembly GCF_000001405.40 of Homo sapiens. Lineage (NCBI taxonomy): Eukaryota > Metazoa > Chordata > Mammalia > Primates > Hominidae > Homo > Homo sapiens. The sequence continues at coordinate 138,059,677 of NC_000006.12, read as the reverse complement.
AGTCTATGCATAGTTTTCTTTTATAATATGCATTTCCCATGAACTTTGAAAATATCTGTCATATTTAATTCCAAGAGCTTTTTCTTACTTATTAATTAGTAAGTAATTAAATAATAGTTACTTATTGTTTAAATAATTAAATAATAATTACTTATTGTTTAAAAAAATCATAATCCTATCTTAGTTTATGGAAGAGAAATTAGTAAGCTTTTGAAGTGTACTTCTGGTCTTTTCTTTCTTAACATTTTTAAAAAAAAAACTACAATAGTTTTTGGGGAACAGGTGGTGTTTGGTTACATGTATAAGTTATTTAGTGGTTATTTCTGAGATTCTGGTGCACCCACCACCCAAGCAACATACACTGTACCCGATGTGTAATATTTTATTCCTCACCCTCCTCCCAACATTACCTCCAAGTCCCCATAGTCCATTGTATCATTCTTATGCCGTTGCGTCCTCAGAGCTTAGCTCCCTCATAGAAGTGAGAACACACAACATTTGGTTTTCCATTCCCGAGATAATTCACTTAGAATAATGGTTTCCAACTCCATCCAGGTTGCTGCAAATGCCATTATTTTGTTCTTTGTATGGCTGAATAGTATTCCATGGTATATATATCTACCACATTTTCTTTATCCACTCGTTGATTCATGGGTATTTGGGCTGGTTCCATACTTCTGCAATTGCAAATTGTGCTGCTATAAACATGCGTGTCCAAGTGTCTTTTTCATATAATGACTTCTTTTCCTCTAGGTAGATACTCAGTAGTGGGATTGCCAGATCAAATGGTAGATCTACTCTTAGTTCTTTAAGAAATCTCCACGCTGTTTTCCAGTGTTTGTACTAGTTTACATTCCCACCAGCAGCATGAAAGTGTTCCCTTTTCACCACACCTATGCCAACATCTATTATTTTTTGATTTTTTTGATTATGGTCATCCTTGCAGGAGTAAGGTGGTATCTCATTGTGGTTTTGATTTGCATTTTCCTGATCATTAGTGATGTTGAGCATTTTTTTCATGTGTTTCTTGGGCATTTGTATAACTTATTTTGAGAATTGTCTATTCATGTCCTTAGCCCACTTTTTAAAAGGGTATTATTGGCCGGGCGCGGTGGCTCACGCCTGTAATCCCAGCACTTTGGGAGGCCGAGGCGGGCAGATCACGAGGTCAGGAGATCGAGACCATCCTGGCTAACATGGTGAAACCCCATCTCTACTAAAAGAACAACAACAACAAAAAAATTAGCCGGGTGCAGCGGCAGGCGCCTGTAGTCCCAGCTACTCAGGAGGCTGAGGCAGGAGAATGGCGTGAACCCGCGAGGCGGAGCTTGCATTGAGCCGAGATCTCCCCACTGCACTCCAGCCTGGGCGACAGAGCGAGACTCTGTCTCAAAAAAAAAAAAAAAAAAAAGGGGGGGGGATTATTTGTTTTGTTCTTGCTTATTTGTTTAAGTAGATTCTGGAAATTTGTCCTTTGTCAGATGTATAGTTTGTGAAAATTTTCTCCACTCTGTGAGTTGTCTGTTTATTCTGCTGGTTATTTCTTTTGCTGTGCAGGAGCTTTTTAATTTAATTAAGTCCCATCTATTTATTTTTGTTTTTGTTGCATTTGCTTTTGGGTTCTTGGTTATAAAGTCTTTGCCCAGGCCAATGGCTAGAAGAGTTTTTCCAATGCTATCTTCTAAAATTTTTATGGTTTCAGGTCCTAGATTTAAGTCTTCGATCCATCTCGAGTTGATTTTTTTTATAAGGTGAGAGATCCAGTTTCATTCTTCTACATGTGGCTTGCCAATTATCCCAGTACCATTTGTTGAATAAGGTGTCCTTTCCCCAGGTTATGTTTTTGTTTTCTTTGTTGAAGAGCAGTTTGCTGTAAGTATTTAGGTTTATTTCTGGGTTCTCTATTCTGTTCCATTGGTCTATGTGCCTATTTTTATACCAGGACCATGCTGTTTTGGTGACTATAGCTTTATAGTATAATTTGAAGTCAGGTAATGTGATGCCTCCAGATTTGTTCTTTTGCTTAGTCTTGCTTTGGCTATACGGGCTCTTTTTTGGTTTCACATGAATTTTAGGATTTTTTTTTGTTGTTGTTCTATGAAGAGTGATGGTGGTATTTTGATGGGAATTGCAATGAATTTGTAGATTACTTGTGGCATTATGGTCATTTTCACAATATTGATTCTACCCATCCATGAGCATGGGATGTGCTTCCATTTGTTTGTGTCATCTATGATTTCTTTCAGTAGTGTTTTGTAGTTTTCCTTGCAGAGGTCTTTCACCTCCTGGGTTAGATATATTCCTACGTATTTTATTTATTTATTTTTTGCAGCTATTGTAAAAGGGGTTGAGTTCTTGATTTTATTTTCAGCTTGGCCTCTGTTGGTGTATAGCAGTGCTATTAATTTGTGTACATTGATTTTGTATTCTGAAAGTTTACTGAATTCATTTATCAGACCTAGGAGCTTTTTGAATTAGTCTTTCAGGTTTTCTAGGTATAGAATCATATCATCAGCAAACAGGGACAATTTGACTTCCTCTTTACCGATTTGGATGCCCTTTATTTCTTTTTCTTGTCTGATTGCTCTGGTGGGGACTTGCAGTACTATGTTGAATAGAAGTGGTGAGAGTGGGCATCCTTGTCTTGTTCCAGTTCTCAGGGGAAATGCTTTCAACTTTTCCCCATTCAGTATAATATTGGCTGTGGATTTGGCATAGATGGCTTTTGTTACCTTAAGGTGTGTCCCTTCTATGCCGATTTTGCTGAGGGTCTTAATCATAAAGGGATACTGGATTTTTTTGTTGCATGTTTTTCTGCATCTATTGAGATGATCATATGATTTTTGTTTTTAATTCTGTTTATGTGGTGTATCACATTCATTGACTTGTCTATGTTAAACAATCTTTGCATCCCTGGTATTAAACACACTTGCTCGTGGTGGATCATCTTTTTGATATGCTATTGGATTTGGTTAGTTAGTATTTTGTTGAGGATTTTTGCATCAGGGATACTGTAGTTTTCTTTTTTTGTTATGTCTTTTCCTAGTTTTGGTATTGAAGTGACAGTGGCTTAATAGAGTAAGGAGAATTCCCTCTTTCCCTATCTTTTGGAATAGTTTTAGTAGGATGGGTATTGGTTCTTCTTTGAACGTCTGATATAATTCAGTTGTGAATCCATCTGGTCCTGGACTTTTTTTTGTTGGCAATTTTTATTACCATTGCAATCTCACTGCTTGTTATTGGTCTGTTCAGAGTTTCTATTGCTTCCTGGTTTAGTCTAGGAGGGTTATATATTTCCAGGAATTTATCCATCTCCTCTAGGTTTTCTACTTTGTGTGTGCAAATGTGTTCATAATAGCTTTGAATGATTTATTGTATTTCTGTGCTATTGGTTGTAATATCGCCTGCTTCATTTCTAATTGAGCTTATTTGGATCTTCTCTCTTCTTTTCTTGGTTAATCTTCCTAATGGTCTATCAATTTTGTTTAGCTTTTCAAAGATCCAGCTTTTCGTTTCATTTATCTTTTGTATTTTTGTTTGTTTGTTTCAATTTCATTTACTTCTGCTCTGATTTTTGTTACTTATTTTCTTCTGCTGGATTTAGGTTTGGTTTGCTCTTGTTTCTCTGGTTCCTTGAGGTGTGACCTTAGATTGTCTATTTGTGATCTTTCAGACTTTTTTATGTAGGCATTTAAGGCTATGGACTTTCCTCTTAGCACTGCTTCTGCTGTATTCCAGAGGTTATGATAGGTTGTGTCACTATTATCACTCAGTTCAAAGAATTTTTAAATTTTCCTCTTGATTTAATTGTTTACCCAGCGATCATTCAGGAACAGATTATTTAATTTCCATGCATTTGCATGATTTTGAGGGTTCCTTTTGGAGCTGATTTTCAATTTTATTCCACTGTGGTCTGAGAGTGTACCTACTATAATTTTGATTTTTTTAAAATTTGTTAAGACTTGTTTTATGGCCTATCATATGATCCATCTTGGAGAATGTTCCATGTGCTGATGGATAGAATGTATATTCTGCAGTTGTTGAGTAGAATGTTCTGTAAATATCTGTTACTCCATTTGTTCCAGGGTATAGTTTAAGCCCATTGTTTCTTTGTTGACTTTCTGTCTTGATGATCTCTCTAGTGCTGTCATGGAGTATTGAGTACCCCACTATCACTGTGTTGCTGTCGATCCTGTTTCTTAGGTCTAGAGGTAATTGTTTGATAAATTTGGTAGTTCCAGTGTTATGTACTTATGTATGTAGGATTGTGATATTTTTCTGTTGGAATAATTCCTTTAGTATTATACCATGTCCCTCTTTGTCTTTTTTAAGTGTTGTTGCTTTACAGTTTATTTTGTCTGATATAAGAATAGCTACTCCTGCTCGTTTTGGTGTCAATTTGCATGGAATATCTTTCTCCATCCCTTTACCTTGAATTTACAAGAGTCCTTATGTGTTAGGTGAGTCTCTTGAAGGCAGCAGATACTTGGTTGGTGAATTCTTATCCATCCATATTTTAAGTGGAAAATTTATGTCATTTACATTTAATGTTAGTATTAAGATGTGAGGTACTATTCTATGCATCATGCTAGTTGTTGCCTGAATACCTTGCTTTTTTTTATTGTGTTATTATTTTATAGGCCCTGTGAGATTTATGCTTTAAGGAGGTTCTATTTTGGTGTATTTTGAGGTTTTGTTTTAATATTTAGAACTCCTTTTAGCAGTTCTTGCAGCTCTGGCTTGGTAGGGGCAAATTCTCTCAGCATTTGTTTGTCTGAAAAAGACTATTTTTCCTTCATTTATGAAGCTTAGTTTCACTGGATACAAAATTCTTGGATGATAATTGTTTTGTTTAAGGGGACTTAAGATAGGACCCCAAACACTTCTAGCCTGTAGGATTTCTGCTGAGAAAACTCTGCTAATCTGATAGCTTTTCCTTTATAGGTTACCTGAAGCTTTTACCTCACAGCTCTTACAATTCTTTCCTTCATCTTGACTTTAGATAACCTGATGACTATGTGCCTAGGTGATGATCTTTTTGTAATGACTTTCCTGGGTGTTCTTAGAGCTTCTTGTATTTAGATGTCTAGGTTTCTAGCAAGGCCAGGGAAGTTTTCCTTGATTATTCCCTCAAATAAATTTTCCAAGCCTTTAGATTTCTCTTTTTCCTCATGAACACCAGTTATTCTTAGGTTTGGTCATTTAACATAATCCCAAACTTCTTGGAGGCTTCGTTCATTTTTTAAAATTCTTTTTTCTTTGTCTTTATCTAATTGGGTTAATTCAAAAGCTTGTCTTTGAGCTCTGAAGTTCTTTCTTCTACTTGTTCTATTCTATTGTTGAAATGTTCCAGTGTATTTTGCATTTCTCTAAGTGTGTTTTTCATTTCCAGAAGTTGTGATTGTTTTTTATTTATGATATCTATTTCCCTGGAGATTTTTTCATCCATATCTCGATTATTTTTTAAATGTCTTTAAGTTGGTTTTCATCTTTCTCTAGTGCCTCCTTCAGTAGCTTAATAATCAATCTTCTGAATTCTTTTTCGGCCAATTCAGAGATTTCTTCTTGGTTTGATCTATTGCTGGTGAGCTAGTGTGATCTTTTGGGGGGTATTATAGAATCCTATTTTGTTATATTATCAGAATTGTTTGCCTCTTTCCTTCTCATTTGGGTAGACTATGTCAGAGGAAAGATCATGGACTCAAGCGCTGCTGTTCAGATTCTTTTGTTCCGCAGGGTCATCCCTTGATGGGGTGCTCTCCACCTTCCCCTAAGGATGGGACTTCTTGAGAACTGGACTACAGTGATTGTTATCGCTTTTCTGGGGCTAGCCACCCAGTGGAGCTACTGGGCTCCAGGCTGGTACTGAGGAGTGTCTGCAAAGAGTCTTGTAATGTAATCCATCTTCAGGTCTCTCAGCCATGGATACCAGCACCTGCAGCAGTGGAGGTAGCAGGGGAGTGAAGTGGACTCTGAGTATCCTTGGTTGTAGTTTTGTTTAGTGCACTGGTTTTCTCAAATGTTGGTTATGCCAGCAGTGAAGTTGTCATGTGGACAGACTCAGGACCTCTGGTTAGCCAGAATGTTACAGGTGGTGGAATTAGCTGTTGTTTTCTCCTTCCTTGGAGCAGGGTTGTTCTGTTATGAGTTGCTGTAATGGCTTGAGTTAATTGGCCTGCAGCCACGAGGTGGAGCTTTCAAGAGATCATCAACCGTGGTAGTATGGGGTGGGGGATACAAGCTTGCCCTAAGGCTGCCTGGATAAGTATTTGGGTTTCTCAGGTGATAGGTAGTGCCATAGAGCCTTCATGGGTTTATGGCTTCAGCTACCAGTATGGGTAGGGAAAGATCATTCATCAGGTGGGAGCAGGGTTAGGTGCGTCTGAGTTCAGACTCTTTTTGGGTGGGGCTTGCTGTGGCCACTGTCAGGTGATGGGGGGATGGCTCTCAGACCAATAGAGTATGTTTCAAGGGGGATTATGGCTACCTCTGCTGCTTTGTACAGGTTGCCAGGAAAGTCGCGGAAAGCTGGGAGTGACAGGCCTCACTCAGCTCCCACACAGCCAGCAAGGCCAGTCTCACTCCCACTATGCTCCCCCAGCAGCTAACAGAGCCAAATTTATACCCAGGCCTCCAGTGCATAGGGCTGAAATCTTGCCCCAGGCTATAAGCCTCCATCCACACTGAGAAAGCAAGCAGAATTTTCAGGTCTCGCCCCTTCCTGCCTGCATGCCTTCTGTGCTCATATTTGCACTTCCTGCCCACACCCCCACCCCTGGCAGGAAAATTCACATTCAGTTGAAATTATTACAAAGTTCAACCAGAAATCTTCTTCTCCCTGTGGCCCTTCCCCAATTCCACTGGCTACCCTCTCCAAGGACCCCTGTGAGTTAAAGTCAGAAATGGCTTCCCTGGGCACCAGGAGTGCCTATAGGGTTCTTCCCATTGCTTCTTCTACTTTTATATTTTGCTTGGCTCTCTAAATTTGTTTCAGCTCTAGGTAAGGTTAAATCCTTCTCCCATGATTTGGATTCTCATGTTTCCCAGTGAGGATGTGTGTTCAGAGGTGGACTTTCCACCACGCACACTTTGAGCACTCACAGTTTTTTGGCTGTCTCATGGAGTTTGCAGTGGCAAACCACTTCTTTCAAAGGGTCTGTGAATTCTTTCAGTTTTTCTGGTATGTTCTGGCAGTGGTTCATGGATCAAAAATTCATGATGTGAGTCTCCATACACTGTTCTGCCCACCTGAGAGGTAAATGCAACTTAGTCCTGCCTCCTACCCACCATTTTCCCTCAGATGTCTACTTCTGGTCTTTTCCACATCTCTTTTTCTTTTTAGCTTCATCTTTTGTTTGTTTATGTACATATTTTGAATTTCAAGGCTTTTCTTGGATGCTTGATGTTCCTTGGTTACTTATTTACATTTAAGAGTGAGACATAAAAAAAATTTTAGTTTGGAAGCTCCACATATGTTGTTTGGGCTCAACTAGTGGGACTCATCATAGGGTAAGAAGGTAAATCTGTTTTCACGAAGTACTCCAAGTTGCCAGTATATTGGGGTGATTAGTTTTCTTGGAGAAGAATCTTCCGGTCTCTTGCCTGGATGGCATAGCCTGGTTGTTATAATCCTACAAGCCAGTATGAGAATGGGCTAGGAGTTTCACCACTGGATTTGTAGACTTTAATGTAAAGCATTTGTCTTCAGCATATGCCTTATTCTGCCTTCTGACAAGGCTGGGAAAAGCTAGTCACTTGACTGTGTAGTGGGGAAGAGGAAATGGCCGTCTAGATGCTTCTTGTAGATTTCAAATCTATCCTTCTGTGCTCAACCCCACCCTGAGTCTTTGCCTTCAGAGATATAGTTTGTCCTTCACTCCTGAACCCCTCTGAAACAACAATCTATTTGCTTCTTGTTGGCTTACCTCTCTCCCTACCATGCAGCAAATCTAAAGATTAAAAATAATGAAAATGTCCCTGTCTGACAGCTTTGAAGATTGCAGTGATTCTCCCAGCACACAGCTGGAGATCTGAGAACGGGCAGACTGCCTCCTCAAGTGGGTCCCTGACCCCTGACCCCTGAGCAGCCTAACTGGGAGGCACCCCCCCGTAGGGGCAGACTGACACTTCACACGGCCCGGTACTCCTCTGAGACAAAACTTCCAGAGGAACTATCAGACAGCAGCATTCGCAGTTCACGAAAAACCACTGTTCTGCAAACACCGCTGCTGATACCCAGGCAAACAGGGTCTGGAGTTGACCTCTAGCAAACTCCAACAGACCTGCAGCTGAGGGTCCTGTCTGTTAGAAGGAAAACTAACAAACAGAAAGGACATCCACACCAAAAACCCATCTGTACATCACTATCATCAAAGACCAAAAGTAGATAAAACCACAAAGATGGGGAAAAAACAGAGCAGAAAAACTGGAAACTCTAAAAAGCAGAGCACCTCTCCTCCTCCAAAGGAACACAGTTCCTCACAAGCAATGGAGCAAAGCTGGATGGAGAATGACTTTGACGAGTTGAGAGAAGAAGGCTTCAGACGATCAAACTATGAGCTACAGAAGGAAATTCAAACCAAAGGCAAAGAAGTTCAAAATGTTGAAAAAAATTTAGACGAATGTATAACTAGAATAACCAATACAGAGAAGTGCTTAAAGGAGCTGATGGAGCTGAAACCAGGGCTTGAGAACTACGTGAAGAATGCAGAAGCCTCAGGAGCCAATGCAATCAACTGGAAGAAAGGTTATCAGCGATGGAAGATGAAATGAATGAAATGAAGCGAGAAGGGAAGTTTAGAGAAAAAAGAGTAAAAAGAAACAAACAAAGCCTCCAAGAAATATGGGACTATGTGAAAAGACCAAATCTACGTCTGATTGGTGTACCTGAAAGTGACAGGGAGAATGGAACCAAGTTGGAAAACACTCTGCAGGATATTATCCAGGAGTACTTCCCCAATCTAGCAAGGCAGGCCAACATTCAGATTCAGGAAATACAGAGAACGCCACAGAAATATTCCTCGAGAAGAGCAACTCCAAGACACATAGTTGTCATATTCACCAAAGTTGAAATGAAGGAAAAAATGTTAAGGGCAGCCAGAGAGAAAGGTTGGGTTACCCACAAAGGGAAGCCCATCAGACTAACAGCGGATCTCTCGGCAGAAACTCCACAAGCCAGAAGAGAGTGGGGGCCAATATTCAACATTCTTAAAGAAAAGAATTTTCAACCCAGAATTTCATATCCAGCCAAACTAAGCTTCATAAGTGAAGGAGAAATAAAATACTTTACAGACAAGCAAATGCTGAGAGATTTTGTCACCACCAGGCCTGCCCTAAAAGAGCTCCTGAAGGAAGCACTAAACATGGAAAGGAACAAGCGATACCAGCCGCTGCAAAATCATGCCAAAATGTAAAGACCATCGAGACTAGGAAGAAACTGCATCAACTAACAAGCAAAATAACCAGCAAACATCATAATGACTGGAGGTGCTGGAGAGGATGTGAGAAATAGGAACACTTTTACACTGTTGGTGGGACTGTAAACTAGTTCAACCATTGTGGAAGTCAGTGTGGCGATTCCTCAGGGATCTAGAACTAGAAATACCATTTGACCCAGCAATCCCATTACTGAGTATATACCCAAAGGACTATAAATCATGCTGCTATAAAGACACATGCACACGTATATTTATTGCGGCACTATTCACAATAGCAAAGACTTGGAACCAACCCAAATGTCCAACAATGATAGACTGTATTAAGAAAATGTGGCACATATACACCATGGAATACTATGCAGCCATAAAAAATGATGACTTCATGTCCTTTGTAGGGACATGGATGAAATTGGAAATCATCATTCTCAGTAAACTATCGCAAGAACAAAAAACCAAACACCACATATTCTCACTCATAGGTGGGAATTGAACAATGAGAACACATGGACACAGGAAGGGGAACATCACACTCTGGGGACCGGTGTGGGGTGGGGTGGGGGGGAGGGACAGCATTGGGAGATATACCTAATGCTAGATGACGAGTTAGTGGGTGCAGTGCACCAGCATGGCACATGTATACATATGTAACTAACCTGCACATTGTGCACATGTACCCTAAAACTTAAAGTATAATAATAAAAAAAAAAAGATTGAAAATAACTTAAAATTTTCAGTGCATTCTGACATGAAAAGATCTCAATATATTCTACAATAAAAAGGAAAAGTTTGATTTCTGTGATTTTATTTTTCCACAAAGCTACACATATATACTATATATATATAATGTTATATCACATTTTACATATGTGTGTGATGTGTTTGTGTATGTGTGTATATATAGAGAGACAAAGGAAAAACCATTGACTAATACATACCAATCTTGACAGTAGTTACTTCTGGGAACTGGATTGAACAGGATATGACTTTCATTGTTTACTGTTTACTCGTTTTAATTTTTTTAAACTGACATATTTAAACTTTATAATAATTACGGTTGATGTGAGTATACGCATAATAGTCATCGTCAAGTGATAAAAGCAGGATGCCAATTTATTATGCACATGCATAGCCACAATGAGATAGAGACAAAGAGAGAGGAAGAGAGAGAGAGAGAGAGAGAGAGAGAAAGAAAATGTATGAAGAGTTGCTATCTCTGGATAGTAAGGCTAATTTTTTTCATTAAGAACTTCTTTCACATTTTACTAGTTTTCTATATTTCCTTGTTTTGTCATACATTTCCTCGCATGTATGTATTATACACTTATCTTGCCACAGGTGCTATTCTAGTCATTGTAAATTTAGAGGTGAAGAAGAAAAAGTTTGTAGCATCATAGAACTGATGTTCTGGTGGGTGAAGATCATTAGCCAACAAATCAAATAAATACAATGATTTCAAAAAGAGGCAAATGATATTAAAAAAAATCTGGGTTATTGAGAGAGAGAATAATTGGGTGATAGTGACATCTTTTAGCTGGCCAGGAAGTTTTTTCAAAGAAGATGACATTAGGGTTGAGGAAGTGAGAACCATGAGAAAATTTCAGGGAAGATGTTCCCAGCAAAGGGGGAGAAAGATTGAAATGAACTTGGCATGTAATATGGTTTTGCTGTGTCCCCAGCCAAATCTTACCTTGAATTCCCATGTGTTGTGCAAGGGACCTGGTGGGAGGTAATTGAATGATGGGGGCAGGTGTTTCCCACGCTGTTCTTGTGATAGTGAACAAGTCTCATGAGATCTGATGGTTTTATAAGGGGAAGTTTCACTGCACAAGCTCTCTCTTTGCCTGTTGCCATTCATATAAGACATGACTTGGTCCTCCTTGCCTTCTGCCATGATTGTGAGGCCTCCCCAGCCACATGGAACTATAAGTCCATTAAACCTCTTTCTTTTGTAAGTTGCCCAGTCTCAGGTATGTCTTTATCAGCAGCATGAAAATGGACTAATACAGTACATTGGTACCAGTAGAGTGGGGCACTGCTGAACAGATACCTGAAAATGTGGAAGCAACTTTGGAACCGGGTAACATGCAGAGGTTGGAACAGTTTGGAGGGCTCAGAAGAAGACAGGAAAATCTGCAAAAGTTTGGAACTCCCTAGAGACTTGTTGAATAGCTTTGCCCAAAATGCTGATAATGATATGGACAATGAAATCCAGGCTGAGGTGGTCTCAGATGGAGATGAAGAATTTGTTGGGAACTGGAGCAAATGTGACTCTTGTTAGGTTTTAGCAAAGAGACTGGTGGCATTTTGCCTCTGCCCTAGATATTTGTGGAAATTTGAACTTGAGAGAGATGATTTAAAGTATTTGGTGGAAGAAATTTTTAAGCAGCAAAGCATTCAAATTGTGACTTGGGTGCTGTTAAAGGCATTCAGTTTTATAAGGGAAGCAGAATATAAAAGTTTGGAAAATTTGCAGCCTGACAATGCAATAGAAAAGAAAAACCCATTTTCTGAGATGAAACCCAAGCCAGCTGCAGAAATTTGCATAAGTAACTAGGAGCTGAATGTTAACCCCCAAGACAATGGGAAAAATGTCTCCAGGGCATGTCAGAGGTCTTTATGGCAGCCCCTCCCATCATAGGCCCAGAGGCCTAGGAGGAAAACATGGTTTTGTGGGCGAGACCCAGGGTCCCTGTGCTGTGTGCTGCCTAGGGACTTGGTGCCCTTTGTCCCAGCTACTCCAGCTGTGGCTGAAAGGGCCAATGTAGAGTTCAGGCCGTGGCTTCAGAGGGTGCAAGCCCCAAGCCTTGGCAGCTTCCATGTGGTGTTGAGCCTTCGAGTGCAGAGAAGTCAAGAATTGGGGTTTGGGAACTTTTGCCTAGATATCAGAGGATGCATGGAAATGGCTGGATGCCCAGGCAGAAGTTTGCTACAGGGGTGGGCCCCTCATGGAGAACCTCTGCTAGGGCAGTGCAGAAGGCAAACATGGGGTGTGAACCCCTACACAGAGTTCCTACTGGGGCACTGCCTAATGGAGCTATGAGAAGAGGGCCACCATCCTCCAGACACCAGAATGGTAGATCCACTGACAGCTTGCACTGTGCACCTGGAAAAGCCACAGACACTCAATGCCAGCCTGTGAAGGCAGCCAGGAGAGAGGCTGTACCCTGCAAAGCCACAGGGGCAGAGCTGCCTAAGACCATATCTTGCATCAACGTGACCTGGATGTGAGACATAGAGTCAAAGGAGATCATTTTGGAACTTTAAGGTTTAATGACTACCCTACTGGATTTCAGACTTTCATGGGGCCTGTACCACCTTCGTTTTGGTCAATTTCTTCCATTTGGGTTGTCTGTATTTATCCAATGCCTGTACCCACACTGTGTCTAGGAAGTAACCAAGTAGCTTTTGATTTTACAGGCTCATAGGCAGAAGGGACTTGCCCTGTCTCAGATGAAACTTTGCACTGTGGGCTTTTGAGTTAATGCTGAAATGAGTTGAGACTTTGGAGGACTGTTGGGAAGGCATGATTGGTTTTGAAATGTGAGGACATGAGATTTGAGAGGGGCCAAGGGCAGAATAATATGGTTTGGCTATGTCCCCACCCAAATCTTATCTTGAATTCCCACGTGTTGTGGGAGGGACATGGTGGGAAGTAATTGAATCATGGGGGCAGGTCTTTCCTGTGCTGTTCTCATGGTAGTAAATAAGTCTCATGAGATCTGTTGGTTTTATAACAGGTAGTTTCCCTGCACAAGCTCTCTCTTTGCCTGCTGCCATTCATGTAAGACATGACTTGGTCCTCCTTGTCTTGCACTATAATTGTGAGGCCTCCCCAGCCTCATGGAACGGTAAGTCCATTAAACCTCTTTCTTTTGTAAATTGTCCAGTCTCAGGTATGTCTTTATCAGCAGCACAAACACGGACTAATACAGCATGCTTGAGGAACAGGAAGAATGCCAGTTAGCTGGGAGGTGATAAATAAGGAGAAATACTAGGATAGGAGTTCAGTGAGAAAACCAGAGGCTGGATCGTGTAGATTTTAGATTTTATTCTACTTGCAATGGGAAGCATTAGAGGGCATTTGGGAGTGATATTATCTAACATATTTTTAGAATATCATTCTATCTACTGACTGGAGAATGCCTTGGGATCAGATGGGTATGCTTGGGATCAATTGGAAGCAGAGTGGGCTAGTTAATGGACTGCTTCAGTAGTCCAGGCCAGAGAGGTGGAGGTGTGGACTAGGGCAGTAGTGGTGGAGGTGGAGAGGAGTGGTTGGAGTCCAGACATATTTTAGACATAGAGTTGATGTATTTGCTTGGATATAGTTGTAGTTAATGGAAGTGTTGAGTGGTGAGGGAGACTGGATAGTAAAAGATAACTCCTCCAATTTTGGTGAGATGGAAGTGTATAGCAGAAGCAGATATTGAGAAGAAAACTCTAACTTCTCTTTTGGATATGTTCTATTTGAATATCCCACTAGTCATCTCACTGAAGAAGTTAAGTAAGCAGTTGGATGTATCTGCCTGAAGTTCTGAAGATAAGTTTTATCAGCAAAATGATTTTATTTAAAATGATGGTAGTGAACGAGACTTCCTAGAAAAAGAGGGAAAGGAGGATGAGGATGGGACTTTGGAGTCTGCAATACCTAGATGTGTAAAGAATGTTGAGAAGGAGCAACCAGTGAGGAAGGAGAAACTTAGATGAGCATGATGTCATGACAGACATTAAAAAAATTAAAGTAGTATGTGAAAAATAGTGCTGAAGTAATGTTTGTGTATTTTGTACTTAAAGGTTAAGAAACAAGTGCTGATAAATAATTTTTAGACAATATTTTTTTAAATCAAGGAAACAGCATAGAAAAGAAAGCCAGTTACCAGTCTAGGGATCTAGATTTGGAGTGCCACACATTATCATTTATTTTATGTCCTCTGGCCAAGCATTTCATCTCTATTGACCTAAATTTATCCCTCTGTAAAATTAGAGCTAATAAACACTGAGACTATGTGGATGAGCTAATGGTTGGTATATAAATAGAGAGTTGCTATTATTCTTTGGGCTGCCTTTGTATGGGCACAAGAATAGTAGCAAAGCCAAGAGTAGTGCACACCCATCACCTCTACTGCTTAGGGCTCTGTCCACGTCCATCTTAGGGATGTTGCTGAGGATTCTCTTTTTTCTTTTCTTTTCTTTCTTTCTTTTTTTTTTTTTTTTAAACAGAGTCTCACTCTGTTGCCCAGGCTGCAGTGCAGTGGCATGATCTTGGCTCACTGCAACCTCTGCCTCCCAGTTCAAGCACCCCTCTGCCTCAGTCTCCCGAGCAGCTGGGATTACAGGCACCTGCCACCATGCCCGGCTAATTTTTGTATTTTTAGTAGACACAGGGTTTCACCATCTTGGCCAGGCTGGTCTTGAACTCCTGACTTCATGATCAGGAGGCTCAGGCTGCCTCAGCCTCCGAAAGTGCTAGGATTACAGTCGTGAGCCAACACATCCTGGACGAAAATATCACACTAAGCTTCCTAGTTCCCAATTACTCATTATAAATTCATTCTCCTGAGGAACACAGAAGAATCCAGGATGGATGGCTCAGGCTTCAGCTGATTTTATTCAGAAACTCTGAGCAACATACTTCTTACTCATCCATGAGTTGAATGGCAGTCATTGTTTTGTCTTATGCACTTTGCTCTAAGACGTTAATGTCTTCCACAGAGGTCAGAAAACTGAATCCTTTGATTAAATTCATGTAATTATTCAGCTTTATAAGAATGGGAATTTATTTCTGGGATGCAAGAAGATTTCAACATGTGAAAATCAATCTAATGTAATATGCCACACTAATAGGATGAAGGGGGAAAACCCCATATGATCATCTTAATTAATGTAGAAAAGCACTTGACAAAATTCAAAACTATTTTATGACAAAAACACTCATTAAATTAGGAATAGAAAGAACTACCTCAGCATAATAAAGGCCATAGATAAAAAGCCCACAGCTAACATTACACTCAATGGTAAAAGACTGACAGCTTTTCCTTTAAGATTAGGAACAAGAAGGGTGCTTGCTTTTGCCACTTCCATTAAACATGGTACTGAAAGTCCTGGCCAGAGCACTTACACAAGAAAAATAAATCGAAGGCATCCAAATTGGAAAGGAAGAAGTCAAATTATTTCTGTTTGCAGATGACACAATCTTATATGTAGAAAACCCTAAAGGTTTCAAACATGCACAAAACACTGTTAGAACTAAGAAATAAAGTCAGCAAAGTTGCAGGATACAAAATCAGCACAGAAAATTATTTGTGTTTCTAAACACTAACAATACAAAATTTGAAAAGGAATTATAAAAATAAGTCCATTTATAATAGCATCAAAAATTACAATAGGAGTAAACTTAAGCAAATAAGAGAAAGACTTATACACTGAAAACTATAAAACTTTGCTAAAAGAAATCAAAGAAGATACAAATAAGTAGAAAGACATCCTGTGTTCATAGATTGGAAGCTTTAATATTGTCAAGATTCCGATATTACCCAGCTGGGCGTGGTGGTTCACGCCTGTAATCCCAGCACTTTGGGAGGCCAAGATGGGCGGACCATGAGGTCAGGAGATCGAGACCATCCTGGTTAAAACGGTGAAACCCTGTCTATACTAAAAATACAAAAAAATTAGCCAGGCGTGGTGGCAGGCACATGTGGTCCCAGCTACTTGGGAGGCTGAGGCAGGAGAATGGCATGAACCCAGAAGGTGGAGCTTGTAGTGAGCCAAGATCATGCCACTGCACTCCAGCCTGGGTGACAGAGCGAAACTCCATCTCAAAAAAAAAAAAAAAAAAAAAAAAAATTTGATGGTACCCAAAGCAACCTAAAGATTCAATGCAATCCCTGTCAAGAACTCAATGATGTGTTTTGCAGAAATAGAAAAGTCTATTTTAAAGTTCATATGGAATCTCAAGAGACCCTGAATAACCAAAACAATTTGAAAAAAAAAAAAAGCTGGAGATGTCACACTTCCTGATTTCAAAACTTATTACAAAGTGGCAATAATCAAAACAGTGTGATACTGGCACAAAGACAGACATATAAACCAATGGAATAGAACAGAGACCAGAGAAATAAAGTCTTGCACATAAGGTCAAATGATCTTCAACAGGGGTACTAAGACCACTTGATGGAGGAAAGGACAGTCTTTTCAACAAATGGTACTAGGAAAACTGGATATCCATATGCAGAAGAATGAAGCTGGTTTACTAGCTTATACTATATACAAAAATTAACTTAAAATAGATTAAAGACTGTAAAACCTAAAACTATAAAAGTCCTAAAAGAAAACACTGGATAAAATCCTATGACTTTGAATTGGCAACGATTACTTTTTTAAAAAATTTAACTTTTATATTAAGTTATGGGTACATGTGCAGGTTTGTTATATAGGTAAACTTCTGTCATGGAGGTTTGTTGTACAGATTATTTCATCATCCATGTATTATGCCTAGTTCCCATCAGTTATTTTTCCTGATCCTCTCCCTCCTCCTATCCTCTACCCTCTGATAGGCCCCAGTGTGTATTTTTCCCCTCTTTGTATCCATGTGTTCTTATGTTCCTGTGTTAGTTTGCTTGATTTCTTGAATATGACACTCAAAGCACGGGCAATAAATGCAAAAACAGATAAATGAGATTACATCAAACTTAAAACTTTTGTGCATCAAACGACACAATCAACAGGATTAAAAGGCAACCCATAGAAAGGAGAAAATATTTGCAAATTATATACCTGATAAGGGATTGATATTCAGAATATAGAAAGAACTCCTAAAACTGAACAACAAAAACCAAATAACTCTTTTAAAAAATGGGCAAAGGAGTTGAATAGATATTTTCCTAAAAATGATATACGAATGGCCAACCAGTGTATGAAAAGATGCTTAACATCACTAACCACTAGGAAAATGCAAATCAAAACCCCAGTGAGATGTCACCTCACACTCATTAGGATGGCTACTACTAATGAAAACCACACAAAACAGAAAATAACAAATGTTGGTGAGGATGTGGAGAAATTGGAACCCTTGTGTATTGTTGGTGCAAATGTAAAATGGTGCAACCACTATGGAAAATGGTACAGTTCTTTGAAACAGTAAAAATAGTATTACCATATGATCCAGCAATATCATTTCTGGGTATCTATACAAAAGAATTGAAAATAGGATCTTAAAGAGATATTTGCACATTCACGTTCATAGCAGCATTATTTACAATAACCAAGATGTGGAAGCAACCCAGCATTCATCAATGAATTATGGATAAGTAAAACGTAATATGTACACACAGCTGAAAATATTTCAGCCTTAAAAAGGAAGAAAATGGCTTTACACA
This sequence comes from Homo sapiens, assembly GCF_000001405.40. Classification (NCBI taxonomy): domain Eukaryota; kingdom Metazoa; phylum Chordata; class Mammalia; order Primates; family Hominidae; genus Homo; species Homo sapiens. The sequence goes on along the minus strand of NC_000006.12, from coordinate 138,041,865 downwards.
CTATGACATGGATAAACCTTGAGGACATTATGTTAGGTGAAATAAGCCAGTCACTGCATGATTTCACTTATATGACATAGCTAACATAGTCAAGTTTACGGAAACAGAAAGTAGAATGGTGATTGCCAGCGGCTGGGGGAAGGGGGAATGGGGAGTTATTCATCAGGTGTAGAGTTTTAGTTTTGCAAGATGAAAAAGTTCTGGAGATCTGTTGTGCAACAATGTGAATATATCTCAGTCTACTAACGTATAAATTTGGTTAAGATGGTAAATTTTATGTTATGTATTTTTTAACACAATTTAAAATAATAAACAAAAAGGATGCCAGAATGCTGCAAAATTTGAAAACCAGTGATGTAAAGCTCTAAGTGGCACAATGCTGACTTTTTATGCCACCATTTGCAGCTGTGTTGTTTTGGAGACAGACATTGACATCTTGGCTTCAGTTATTTTTTGTGTAAGACAGGGAGATTATCTCTGTAGGATATGCATACTTTACCTAATAAGGAAAAAAAGTCAAACTTCTTAATTTTTCCCTAAAAGAAGAATTTCCTGATGGAGAGGTACAGTTGGAGCATATCACCTTTTTCTAAGATCTCCTCTTTCCCCCAAGCTTCAACTCACTATGGTGCTTGCCTCTAGAAGAGTCCTTCCTCTCTGGTGTGTCAGGCTAACTATGGAATACGTATCTTCCCTTGGGTCTTTGAAGTATTGCTGAGACAGGTTGAGAATTGCAAATAAGGCTTTAGGGGATAAAATGTGGGAGATAAACACAGATGGCTCTCTGAGCCTAAATTGGTTTATAAAATAAGCCTAATTCTGGTTTGAAAACCTGCTTCTTGTTTGTGGAGTGAGGGGGAAAGACAGATCCTAGACAGGGCCTTTCCTTTCCAGCTCCAGTCTGAGTGCATACGGCAGATACCATCTTCTTATCCAATCCCTTAGGAATTAATCCTTGATACGGAGATCCAATGAAGTCATGTCTACAATAGGTTTAGCTTCATAGGCATCCAGGGGGGATGCAGAACACCATTCTAGAAACCTGTTTTTCAGAACTAAACTAATCAGACCTAACGTTTAAAAACATGTGTCAGTAACTAGATCAATAAAACACACACTATTACTAACATCCAATAATTAAATCAACTAATAAGATATATATTTTTAAATATCTTCCCATAGAATAAGACAAATTAGGCTGGGCACGGTGGTTCACACCTGTAATCCCAGCACTTTGGGAGGCCGAAGCGGTTGTATCACTTGAGCTCAGGAGTTCAAGACCACCCTAGGCAACATGGTGAAACCTTGTCTCTACTAAAATACAAAAAAATTAGTCAGGCGTGGTGGTGTGTACCTGTAGTCTCAGCTACTTGGGAGGCTGAGGCATGAGAATTGCTTGAGCCTGAGAGGCAGAGGTTGCAGCAAGCTGAGATCGCCCCTCTGTACTCCAGCCTGGGCTACAGAGTGAGATTCCATATCGAAAAAAAAAAAGAGAGAGAGAGAAATTACACTTTGGTTAAATTTTTCATTTTGAAGATATTGGGCACTGTCCCATATCCCCAGCTTCTGATGTAATACCAGTGTGTTTACAGTCAACACTACTGAAGAAATAGTGGGCTAGAGAAAGGAGAAGAATAAATTCTGCATTTGATAGTTGCTAGTTTGTAATGTATTCTATCTTGCTGTTCCCCAAAATATGTCCTGACTTCCAAGGGAAAGCAGGATGTAGGGAGCAGTATCTTATTATGCTGCCGAGAACATTTGTGTGTTTTCTTATTACAGCACATGTCAAACTTGCCTGTTTCTCTCCTACTATGGATAACCAGGAACGTGGTTGCTACGAGGCCATTGTCAATGTGTGGAGTTCCTTCTGTGTGGTACTTGCTCTGATTTAGAAAAAAATACTGGCATTATATGAAAAAGCTAGTGTTGCAATTGTAAACACTCATTAAGAGAGGCTAAATAATAGTTGGTCTTATTTTATAAACATAAAACCTTGAAAAAAATAAATTTTGATAATAGGTCTAGAACTAACAGAAAAGAATTGCAGCAGAGACGGCTTTTTGGAACCTGTTACTTTTTCAATGGCTCTCAGGCCTAGGCTGATCATCAGAATTACCTGTAAAACTTTAAAAAAAGGCCAGGCCCGGGCGCGGTGGCTCAGGCCTGTAATCCCAGCACTTTGGGAGGCCGAGGCAGGTGGATCACGAAGTCAGGAGATCAAGACCATCCTGGCTAACACCGAGAAACCCCATCCCTACTAAAAAAAACAAAGTACAAAGAAAAAATAGCTGGGCATGGTGGCTGGTGCCTGTAGTCCCAGCTACTCAGGAGGCTGAGGCAGGAGAATGGCGTGAACCTGGGAGGCGGAGCTTGCTGTGAGCCAAATTGGCACCATTGCACTCCAGCCTGGGCGACAGAGCGAGACTCCATCTCAAAAAAAAAAAAAAAAAAAAAAAAAAAAATCCTTGGTCCTGGCATCCCTGACCTAGAGAATCAGAACTCTAAGGGTAGGGATCAGGATTTTTTTTTTTTTTCAAGTTTTTCCAGTGACTCTGAAGTATGGCAATTCTGGCCTAACCCAAAAGGTCTAAACAAAATACTGGTCTAAACCAAAAGGGAGACAGAACTTTCTTCCTCAATTCCTGAACACTTGGCTTCTTATGTTTTTTTTTTTTTCTTTTTTGAGATGGAGCCTCACTCTGTTGCCCACACTGAAATGCAGTGGTATGATCTCCGCTCACTCCAACCGCTGCCTCCCGGGTTCAAGCGATTCTCGTACCTCAGCCTCCCAAGTAGCTGGGACTACAGGCGCGTGTCATCACGCCCGGCTAATTTTTTGTATTTTTAGTAGAGACGGGGTTTCACCATGTTGGCCACGCTGATCTCAAACTCATGACCTCAGGTGATCTACCCGCCTCAGCCTCCCAAAGTGCTGGGATTACAGATGTGAGCCACTGTGCCCGGCCCTTAATTTTTTTGAGAGACGGTCTCTCTCTGTCACCTAGGCTGGAGTGGAGTGGTGCAATCACAGCTCACTGCATCCTCAACCTCCCAGGCTTAAGTGATCCTTCTACTTCAGCCTCCCAAGCAGCTAGGGCTACAGGTGTGCACCACCATGCCTGGCTAATATTTTTATTTTTTGTAGAGATGAGGTCTCACTGTGTTGTCCAGGCTGGTCTTGAACTTGTGGACTCAAGCCATCCTCCTGCCTCAGTCCCCCAAAGCGATGCGATTACAGGTGTGAGCCACCAAGTCTGGCTGCTTCTCAGTTTCTGCTTCGCATCTGGAGACCCTCTTCTCTACCTGAGGATTCACACAAATGAGCTTCTTGGAGCAAAATTGGTATGAGTGGCACTATTTATGAGACGCTTCTGAAACCAGCTACAAAGGTATTGACTAATGTTATGATCAGAAAGAGGGCTCAACATGCTTTTGGCAAAATGCCTTCATCAAGTGACACTGAGGGACACTGCACAATGGAAGTGGCTTTCAACTTGAAAGAGCAATTAGTATTGGCTGTGCAGGGGCAGATGTTTCACTTTACAGTTGAGCGAACGTAGTCATAGGTTCTGTACAAAGCAGTTCTAGCTAATGTGTGTGATTTATATATGGAGAAACAATGGAGTTTTGACCAACAGATGACTGCAAATCTGTGTTGCTTTTATTTAGTTGCTATTATTTTGTGAGCTCTGTCTCGGTGACTGCTGAGACCAGAAACCTATATTCAGTAGGAGGGGTATTGCTACAGCAATAGGAAGAAGGTACAGCTCTGAATGCCAATCCAGAGCACAGTTGGTGGTCCCCATGATGCCTCTTGACTACGATTGAATGATCAAAGAAATATTACAAGATTTGCCCCAAATCAGTCACATCAGTGGAGTAGAGTAACATTTTATTTGTGGGCTCAGGGTCTGATCTTGGCATGGAAGGCAAAACACTGGGTAATCAGATTATCCTTGAAAGTTCCTTATGTTATCCTAACACTGAACCCAGCGGCAAACTTTTTTGGTTTTCCCTTATGTTTTAACCATGGCCTCATTTCCCTGTGGTAGTTCAGGCCAAGGTTAGGTTTAAATGGAGAAAACTGCAGAGTTGATGAAGGGATAGTTTTTCTTCTTCGATTTTTCTTTTGTTCTGTTTTTCCCTGTTCAGGTAGTTTAATGTATGTTGGTTATAATGTTCCATTCACATATCATTTTTCCTTTTCGTTGAGTTTTCTTGTTTTCTGAATTTGGTGTAACACATTGTTTAGGTATGTGGGTCTTGGAGACAGGCTTCCTGAGTTTAAATCCACGTTCTGCAATGGATTAACTGTATGCCCTCTGGAACGTTACTTAACCTGCCCAAGCCTCAGTTTCCTTTTTTGTCAAGAGAGGGTAGTAAGTGTTTTGACGTCATAATTAAATGAGTCAATACATGGGATCCCTAAGAGCGCGGCCTGCTAAGAATATGTGCTCAAAGGTCAAAGTTACTGATACTTGGTGGTGATTTGTGGGAGATTGGGTGGCAGTCAGTGTTCAATCTCAAGAGACTCACAGTACAACTATGAGAATCCTAAGTGCTTAATTAACATAGGTTTGCTTCAGGCTAGAGAGTACAAGTATCCCTTCTATGACTCCAGTTATTATTCCTTGAATGTTATCCCACTGCAGCCTAAATGGCCATGACATCAGCCTCTAGTTAAAGTTAGACTCAGAGTGAGCAATTGTTTATTCTTTCTTTGAACTCAGTTGATTGTGAAGAGGTAATGGGGCCAGTCATAGAGCCTCATTCAGAGCATTTTAAGACCTCCTTGTTTTTATTCCTCGTGGATGATATATAGGCAGATATGTTTTCATTAGAGGAAGTAAATGGCATTATAATTGTTTCCAGGAAAATAATGTGTTCTAGTACATATCATGTATAAGTATTGCCTGAGCTTCTGACGGGATGGTGACATGGTCTAGACAGTACACAAATACTCATTTGTGTCAATTACACATAGAAATCAGCTGATCAGAAATCACCTGAACTGGTGGTTTCAATAGAGGCTACCTCATCTTTTGATTAGAGCACATAGTAAATGGCTAACATCCCAAGCAGTAAATGGGTGGCTCATTCAATTATAAGATCATTATTTTGTCTCTTAGAGTCCCTGCTTTTATGATTTCTGTGGAAATTGTATTACTTGGGCCTAATCTACATAGCCTTCAAATTAGCACTTGAGGTCAACTTCTGCAGGCCTCTCACTGATGCTGTGAAATCAGTTGGCTAGGTAAATTGGGCCAGGTAAAGGGATGGGATGCATCAAAGCAGAGCCAATGTAAGTTTCTATGTTGGGTTGGTCATCCTGAAGCTCTCATAGCTTTCATGTCTTGCCTGGAGTCCCCTCTGTCTCCAGTGTGTACATACACAGCTCTCACACCCAGCCTCTAGGAGTCTAGGAGGTTAATTGTGAGACCAAAAAACATGCAAAGAACAGACGCTCAAATGGCTCCTCCCTACCCCACCCCATCTTACCCCACCTGGATTCTGACAGCACTCCCCACCCTTCACCTGGGGCGCTCCACACGGGCCACACCCTCACAATGACTCAGGAAGGCTGGCTTTGGCGCTCTCTGGAGGCCTAGGAGTATGACGGCCCCAACCCCCAGGCCTCTGTGCCCTCTGTCCAAACAAGCAAGGTAGCAAAGTATAATTCACTGGCTTCACTGGCTTGGTAACTCTCTTGAAATGATTTTTCATAAGACACCATGAGGATTATTCACATAGTAGTTTCTATTCTCTTAGCAGTATATTATATATATATATATATATATATATATATATATATATATATATATATATATATACACACATACACATTTAATTCCCAAGGGCTTGCAGTCTCATGATTCGGCTATCTCTGGATCTGGATCCACACATTGTTTCTGATTCCTTTCAAATAAATCTGGATGCCAAAGTCAAACTCATCATTGCTTTCCAAAAACAATCTATTCATAATGTTAGTTTTATAAGGCTGGCAGGCTTTTCCAGGGGAAGGGTCTCATGACAGAGCATATGGCCTTTTGTGTTTTGATGGCTTTACTCTTTCTCTCCATGCTTGTAGGTTTCATCTTCCTTTACTCTCCCCATTTGTTCTGAGGATCAGACAAATCCCTCTCCTTGTGTGATACAGTATTGCTCTTTTCTTCAAGGCTTGAGTACCAGCTGTTATTTCTTGCAGGAACTCACTAAACCCAAGTGATCTCAAGAAAATATGTCCCAACAAAAATGATTTTTGCCCTAAGAGAAGTCTCATACCTGATACTAACAAAACGAATATTCTCTGTCCTGTTACGTATATTAAAAAGAAATATCATGGCAGCAATAGGTATTCTCAAAGAGACATATCCAAGGTACTCGAGGTTCACCAAGGATGAGGGGTCCACTCGGCTTGGGAGTTTAGGAAGAACTTCCTGGAGGTGGTGGCACAGCTGTCAGGCTCTGGGAAGCAGTTGAGAATGGAGGTATAGTTTTGCTGACCTCAGCATGGGTCTAGCTTGGTTTCTCAGCAGCGTCATAGCTGAGGTGTCAGCTATCAGGAGGTGGTTGCCCCAGACAGTTGAGAAGAGAGAACCTAGAGACAGGCACACCCATCCCAGGGGGCAGGGAGGATGCTCCAGGGCAAGTGCAGCTGCAAGCAGTGGCAAGTCCGGGCAGGTGGAGCATGGCATGTGGAAAGAATGGGAACTAATGCCAGGGGGCAGTCCAGGCAGGCAGTGGCATCAGGGAGGGCTGGCCAGGCAGGTTAGGGTACGAGCCGGGGAGCAGTGTGTAGGGATATCACAGCAGAGCCAAGACAATCTGAGAAGATGTGGGCAGGCAGAAGAAACAGGACATAACTGAAAAAGTGTGTGTGTGTGTGTGTGTGTGTGTGTGTGTGTGTGTGTTTGAGATGGAGTCTGCTCTGTCACCCAGGCTGGAGTGCAGTGGTGCGATCTTGGCTCATCGCAACCTCCACCTCCCGGGTTCAAGTGATTCCCCTGGCTCAGCCTCCTGAGTAGCTGGGATTACAGGTGTGTACCACAACACCCGGCTAATTTTTTGTATTTTAGTAGAGACAGGGTTTCACCATGTTGGCCAGCATAGTCTCAATCTCTTGACCTCGTGATCTGCCCGCCTCGGCCTCCCGAAGTGCTGGGATTACAGGCTTGAAGAAGGGGTTTTAAGAGCAAAGCTCCCCGCTGGGAGGGAGGGAGTGGGATGGCAGAAGCTAAGGAGGTTGTTGGCCTAGAGGAATTAGGGTGCAAACTGGGTGTTATCTGGAGCACAGGGTCAGGAGATGCTTAACATTAAGGCCAACATCAAAGTGAAGCTGAGGTGCTAGAAGCCGAGCTCCTCCAGTTCTCTCTGATGAAGTTCAGAGGCACCACTGAGCCGGTGGGGTGGGTGCTGAGTGGGAGGAGACTCTGGCTGGTGGTCAAGGACAAAAGTTCAGGAAGCTGAGTAGAGAGCCAGGCAAATCACTAGTGTCTTCTCCAAATGCACCCAGCCATCACCTCCCAGCCTCAGAGACTCCCCTAGTTCTTCCAGAACTTGGGGACGGTTCAACTCTTTCTTATTCTAGACTAGTATCTTTATCATAATTTTAGGGCCTGATTCTAGGCCAGGAAGTTCTCTTTTTTTCTGATGTTAGGGATATTTCCCGCTGGGGCTGAGTGAGACACTGCAGGGTGAGGCCGTGCATACGATGTCTTCCGTGGGGGATGGCACCTATGGAATGTTAAGAACCTGGGTTCTGGAGCCAGAATGCTTGGGTTTGAATCCTGGCCCTAGCACTTACTGGTTGTGTGACCTCGGATAAGTTATTTGACTTCTCTTTGCCTAATTCTTCTCATCTGCAAGGTGGGGATTAATAATAGTGCCTACTTCATAAAAAGTGATTGTGAAGATCAATTCAGTTAATTTAGATAACAAACATTTAGAACAGTTCTTAGCACTTAATAAGCAATCAATAAATATTCAGTTATTATTAGCAATTATTTCTCCAATGATGAGGAGGCCTGAGGAAGATTCTGTGTGGATCTAAGGCTATTCTTCACTGGATAAAATATATTTTGAGTGTCTACCATATACCAGGTATTGTTCTAGGAACTTGGGATGTATCAGTCTACAAAACAAACAAAACACCCTGCCCTATGTCACCTTTTTCTGTTGACTGTAAAACAGAAAGTAGGATTTTCGGAAATTTTATCTATGGGAGTTCCAAGGACCCTTCTATGTATATATTTTTTCTGTATAATTGTTTATAAGACCTGAAGTAGCAAGTACCAAGCCCAATTCAAAGGCCTCAACCAGGACAGGCCAGACCATATTATGACTACTTCCTTTCGGGAAACACTGATACCCTTGACAAGCCTCCTTTGAACCAACTTCTTACTCAAAGTAGGGTTGGTGGCATACTCTAGAGCTGGGCTTCTCAACCTTGGTGTTACTGGCATTTTGTACCGGGTGATTCTTTATTGAGGGGCTGTCCTGTGTGTTGTAGGGTGTTTAGCAACACCCCTGGCTAGATGTCACTCACTGGATGTCAGTAGCATTCCCCCAGTTGTGATAACCCAAAATGTTTCTAGATTGCCAACTCTCCTCTGGGGGCAAAATCATCCCAGTTGGGAAACACTGCTCCAGAGGCTGACCAATGCCACAGTGGACAAGGCTGCTTAACACCAGCTGCAGTGACCACTCTGTTCCGCCTCTTTCGTCAGTGGAGCTTCTCTGGCACCCAGAACCCAAGAGCCTTGGGTTCTTGATATTCTATGCTGCTCAGGATTTCTGCAATCTTATCACACAAATAGGTAGTTCCAAGAGCTCTCTGACCCCGGCTCACTCATGACATGAGGGTGTGTTTGTGGATTAGGGATAGGAAGAGAGAAAGGCAGCTGCTCATTGTCACTATAGCAAGAGTCTCATCCAGCACTTATTTAGATAGGTAATTGAGTTCACTGCACTTGGGGAGATAATCAGGTATGATTGGTGGGGGACCTTTTTCCTTTATTCTATTTGTCCCTGTCCTCCATGTTACAACACTGCCTACGCTGAATTTGACTCACCTGGGTGTGTTCTGAGGCTGTGCGATCCAGCTCAGGAGCCCTAACAACTAGTCTTGAAGTTCCTAAAACCAATTGCAGACAGGGAGTATGCCCAGGAACCCTGTCACAAGGCAGGACTTAGCAGTGGTGGCTGCTGGCTCCAAGCTAAATTGGATTTTGAGGGCCCGGAGTGCCTGCATTCATCCACCACCATCTCTCCATGGATATTCACTGAACCTTACATATAAGAGCCTAGTTCACTATGCATTTCTAGAATGGTGGCTATTCTTCTAAGGTGAAGGCCACATAACTGAGTTGTTTTAGAGTAAAAACTGAATCTGGTATTTATATTAGGACATTGATTTTGAGGGGACACCTGTATTTTTTATTTTTTTAATCAAATCTTACTTCTTTGTAAATTGCCCTTTGGAAGATGCGGGCATGCACAGCTCAAGGGACTCATTTCTTGCAAATTTTTAAAATGGTTTTCCAATTCAGCTGTATGTTGCTTAGTGCTGTCCTTAACAACTGCACTTCTTGATCCTGCTTCCGATGCTTCTGGTTCTTTTTAGTAACTCAGCCCATTTAAACAGACCTATCACAATATCATAGTAGGAGTGTGTGTATATATAGAGAGACAGACAGTGGAGAGTTTGTAAATTATGTGCCAGGGCTTGCTCTGAAGCCAGCTGGGTGCATGGTGGTAGCATTCTTGCTTGACTTGGTCATAGCTGTCGATGCCTTAGAGGAATAGTTTCATACCGAAACTCGTTTTCTCTTAAAAACCTCCCTCAGTTATCTCTCATTTTAGTTTGCTCTGAATCATACAGCTTAGCTAGTTGAAATGGGAACCCTGTGGAGGTGATTTGCTCAGGTTTACTCAAGTCAGTGTCTCAGAATAACTGAAAAGCTTTCTATCCTGGGAAATGTCATTCTTCAAGTCACCTGAGTGGGTCCTGAAGTCCTGTCATTGCTTTGCCAAGTTCTTTCTCCAGCCATTGGTAAACTTGACAGAGAATCAGGTAGAACTATTTTCCCCCTCGTTTCTCTGAACATTTATTGGCTTAGTGTATATGTTCTCCAGTATTGGTCCAGCCCAAAGCCCGGAGAGCTTAGGGAATGGGAATGATAGACAGTTGTTCGGAGGCTCTGTTCTCCCCCTTTCCCCAGAGAGCACTGCTCTTGGCTATGCTTTCTCAATAGCACCTTCCTTCTCCTGAGAACTTTCTGTTCAAACAACATGTATAAACCTGTGCAATCTCACTTCACAGTATCTGTCTGCATCACTCAGGGGTTTAAAAATAGTGCGCCCCAAGCAAGACTTATATTCTCATTGCCTCACATTATCAGACCAAATACAGAATTGGGTTCTGGGAGACACTCTGCAGCTTGATATTTACTCCTTCAGCCTGAAATTCACAAGGGCTGTTTTCAAAATCCATTTTGTCAGACTTCTGGGAGGGCCTTTATGAACAAAGTTATGGCAGAACAACTGAGCCTGAAAAGGAGCCAATAAATTCAGAATGAAATGAACAGTGGAGCTCAGGAAAATATGGTCTCATGAAGTTGAGGACAGAATAAAAACATGGTCTCAGAGTTGTCTCTAGAATAAGGATACTACTGGCTAATCATGACAGAGATAGAAAGTGGGCAATGTTTCCAAATAACTCAGCATGAGGGCCAGATCAGCCCAGCGTTCAGCTGACAAATTTCATGTGGCAGTGACTCCACCCTTTGCAGCTCAGCCCCACTCCTCCTTGCCCAGGCTCCTCCTTGGAATGGCTTCTCTCTGTCACATGTCACCTTGCAGCACCTCACCCAGGCTGGCTTTGGCCTTCTAAATACCCAGCCAAGTCCTAACTTTGCTCTTCATTGCTGTTTGCTTTTATCTGTGTTTTCAAATTAATTTTTCCATGGAGGTAGTTACTGAAGACACTTTATAGAAAAATAATATATAAAATCCCATATACCACAGGATATTTTGGCGGGTGAGTGAGGGCCCTTCTTCCTTCTCCACTCCTTCTCCTTATCCCCATATCTGTTTTCAACCAGGTACACTTGTGAGACTCCATTCTGTAACTCAAGGCAGAGGAAAGAGATTTTCCGGAATTAGTGGTTGATTGGAAGAGATGGGAATAAGCTCTATGTTTTCTCTAATTCTGAGATGAAGCACAAATGACAGTACTATTTCCTTGTGAGACTTAAGATTCTAGCAATGGGCAATGGTCAGAATTGAGGAGACCTTGTTGGAGCCAGGCATAATAAGCGTAGCAGCCTTGGGGGCCGTGTAAGCCATGTGTCACAGAGTGAAGGATTTGGTGTGTGGCAGGGATTCCGGAACTGGGTGGAGAGTTGGCCTTGACAATTTTTAGGGTCCCTTCTAATGTTATCCCTTGATATTGAAGTTTCTTAGTAATTTCATAATTCATGTGATTAAAAACACATTACCATAAGGTAATACTTCCATTACATGTGGGTGTTTTCTTGCAACATTGTCAAATAGATTTTAAATAACAGATCTAAAATGTGGATTGATTTAAGGCAGAATTTAAAAACAATCAATTTACTTGGGACTAGCAACAGAAATTTCTCTCATTTAGAATAACTTCTAGCAAATATATAGGCAAGTTAGCAAAATGACAGCCAAGAAACTGGCCTGGCACAACCAACACTGACAATAACCATCCCAAGTAGGTGGCATGGTTTACACAGCATAGCTTCCTTTAGATTCCATGTGGTTGCAGTCTCCATTCTGAGCAAAATGATGGCTTCTTACTGCTCATTGTCAGAGGGCTGGCGCAGCTCTCTAGGAATGGCCATGGAGAACGAGTAAAGAATGTTCTGGTGCCCATGACATGGAGCCTACCACTGCACAGGAAGCTCTGTGCAAATCCTCTGCTGAGATATGTGCTGCAGAGAAATGGTTTCCAAGGCATGACTACGGACTCCGGCAGATCTAGTCTAACCCATTGACATTCATCTGGGGTAAAATGGCAGTGATATTATTTCTTAGAGTTAATCTGATTACTTTATAAAATTAATTTAATTTGTTCCAATTGCGTTCTTCCCATCTTTAGATGTTCATTGCCCTTTCATTTGAGAAACAATGTAAGAGGCCAGGCGTGGTGGCTCATGCCTGTAATCCCAGCACTCTGGGAGGCCAGGGTGGGCAGATCACGAGGTCAAGAGATTGAGACCATCCTGGCTAACATGGTGAAACCCCGTCTCTACTAAAAATGCAAAAAGTAGCCGGGCATGGTGGCATGCGCCTGTAGTTCCAGCTACTTGGGAGGCTGAGGCAGGAGAATCGCTTGAACCCAGGAGGCGGAGGTTGCAGTGAGCCGAGACCACGGCATTGTACTCCAGCCCTGGCGACAGTGTGAGACTCCATCTCAAAAAAAAAGAAAGAAAGAAAGAAGGAAAGAAAGAAAGAAAGAAAGAAAGAAAGAAAGAAAGAAAGAAAGAAAGAAAGAAAGAAAGAAGGAAGGAAGGAAGGAAGGAAGGAAGGAAGGAAGGAAGGAAAGAGAGAGAGAGAGACAGAGAAAGAAAGAAAGAAAAAGAAAGAACGAAAGAAAACAAGTAAGTCATGAGTTGGAAGTGTCTGGCACTCATTCCAGATGAAACAAGGAGTGGCCCCTTGGGAGTGGGAACCTGCAGCATCATCTGATGGGCGAGTCGGGCTGAATGAGGTTGGCTCACTCGCCCCAGTGCTGGGAAGTACTGCGTGCACACTACAAGCTTTACCTGTCTGATGGCTCAGAGAGCCGTGGGCAATTGCTAAGGACCTGGTTGTAACCATTGGCACCAAGCCTGCTATGAAAAAACCTGAAAGAAGATCATGCAAAGCCAGAGTAGGAAGAATCAGAATATTACTTTTCTACCATGGTGTGGGAGACTGAGAAATTTAGCTTGCCTCTGTGGGGAGAGTTTTTGGACACGTTCTCTGCAACTTAAAAGGACTTGAGCACTAAAGGTTTTTTGCTTGACACTGCCTTGCCTGAAGGCTTTGGTGTGTGGGGAATATTGGAGTCTGTTAAGTGGCATTGTGTTCTAATGTAATTAGCATAATTATTTAGGCTCAAGGACAAGCCAATGAGGCTGGGTAGTGGTGATTGGGGGGGTGATATGACTTCCCCTTAAGTGAGTGGCATTCTCAATATCTACTGTTTGGAGTGGGTAGGGGTAGGAGGCAAATGGAGAAGAATTTATTCACTCAGCTCCTTTTCCCATTGGTTGCATATTGCTCCTGTGGGATTCATGACATTAATTCTCCAGAATTTTTGGGTTGTGATTACAGGAGTTCCCTGAGAAGTTCTCAGATGATTTATACCTCAGCATCAACAGGGAAGCCAGGGTAGGTAGCAAAAAGTATGTGGCACTGGCATGAGACAGGTGCTATTGGGTGTGGCTGCAAGAAGTTCTTCAGAGTAAGTGGAAAAAGCCAAAGACCTCAGAGGGGTGAGGCCAAAATGATCTGATGTGGCGCCTAAGGAGTATTTGATGCAGCCCGCCCCTTGCGCCACTCAGATTCAGTTGCACTCTCTAGTGTTTCTAGCACCACAATGAAAATATGGAGCTGCCTTTAAAAAATTTTATTTTTATTTTTTATTTTCTTAGAGACAGGGTTTCATTCGGTTGCCCTGGCTGGAGTGCAATGGTGTGATCATGGTTCACTGCAGCCTCAAACTCCTGAGCTCAAGCCATCCTCCCGCCTCACTTCCTGAGTAGCTAGGACTATGGGTGTGCACCACCATGCCCAGTTAATTTTTAAGCTTCCGTTTTTGCTAGAACAAGATAGTCTCACTTATTCCTTAAGAGAAAAAGTGTAAGTTCAATGTCATAGAGTTTATTGCAAGGTGTAGCCAGTCACATCTCTAAGAAGACTAAAGCAAGAAGATCAGTGAAGTAAATTGCAGTTCCTAAAGTTGTAGCTGGTCCTGTGACCGTAATTGATTTTCATCCTCTTTCTGCTACACCATCCATTCTAGAGTTCCCTTTTACTCAGCCATCACTGAACTGGCCTGGAGGATTTGCCTGATGGTTGACTCAAATTCTTATCCTTAAGGTATCCAGGCTTCTAGGTTGCCTTGCTTTTACTGGGCTCTGGTACTTGTTATTGCCCATTTATCATTCTCACTGGGCGTGGAATTCCCAAGAGATGCCCCAGTGTATCTCCTGGATTCTAAACATATTCTTTCCTGCCCCATTGTGTAGAAAAAAAAAAAAACCGTAGAACTTCATGTGAATCAGGGTGAATTACTTCCATGCTAATATAACTCCTTTCCAAGTTTGCTGGTCCACCGCAAACGACTTGGTAGTAGTTATAGCTCCAAGTTCAATGGAACCCTTATTGTGTCCTTTGGCTGAAGTTTTTCCCCAAAGAACTGAGACTTCTAACCTGGCAGTGCCAAAGTTTGCTGGAAGGGAAGCATAGATTCTATAAACAGGACACTGAGAGGGATGGGGAGAAGGTCCATTTCTACTTGCACAACTGGGTTTCAGGTCCCAGGCATTCAAGCTATGGGGGATGTAGTACTCTATATCCATCCATGGTCCAATGTGTCTAGCAGATTCTAGAGGCAAGTATCCCAGAACCATGGGGTTTTGAGCCTAATCTGGCTCCTTACCTAACAGACCATCATTCTGTTAAACCAAATGCCTCTGAATAAGGGGGTGTGTGATAAGAACTGCAGATGCTCTGGTCATGTCATTTTTTGGTACCTCCGTTTCTGTTAAAAAGGTTCCTTGATCTAAGGCAATTTTGTACAGGGTACCAAGTCAATAGTTCAGGCATTCTATGACGCCTTGGTTCATGGTGCTTATAGAGCGGTACTACAGGTGGAGGAGGCAAGTGTATATCAGGAATTGATCGCAATTCTGGTAAAAACTGTTAGGTTTGGAATTAGATTTTACCTTACTTTTGAAGGTAATAAGTTAACCTGTTACTATTTTATGGATTCTGGCAGAAGATATAAGACTCTTAGATCAGAGACAAAGACTTTTACTCCCAGCACAGCAAGCAGCATGATATATGTCAGCTCCCCTGTCTCCAAGTCTCATGGGGGTATGATAGAGGGCACAGATAGATGTAGTAAGTTTGTATCACAACTGAGGAATATGCAGCTTGGGAAACCATTGTTTTATAGAAAGCAATAAACAAACCTTCTCTTTGTCTTGGAGGGAGATATTACTTCATCTCTCAAGGTTGATTACTGCAAACACAACCTTGATAAATGACCTGGCAAGAGCTGTGAGGGCCTTGCATTCTTGTCATACCCAGCAAGAACACGCAGGGAGGCTTAGAGTCTACAGCAGTTGCCTCCCCTAACAAGAACAAATCCTTGCTTCCTCCAGCGCAGAAGGGGCCAATGTTATCAACTTGCCACCAGGTGACTTTATGGTCTCCCTGAGGAATGATTCCATGTTGTGGGTTCAGCATCCATTACTGCTGCTGGAAGGTCAGGCGATGACCAGTATCAATAACTAGATTAGGCTTGGCAAGAGGGAGCCAAAACACTGAGGCAATGCGGTCTCTATCCATGGGCCCATTTTCCAAGCATAATGGTGGCCAAAGAGAGAGGCTGGCTGACATCCATAGGACAAGTCTTCTCCTCCTGCTGGCTGAGTGCCACTCTGCAGTGGATACTCTGTTGAGTGTTTAGGGGAGGGGCAAAGATCCTTGTGGTTTATGTCCATTCACATTGGTCCATCTATATGCCTTTTAGCAAACTGCCAATCTTGCTCCTTCAGAGAAGTTTACTCCTGGTTAAAAACCAATGTGTGAGCTTTCAGGCCTGTCCAGAGGCAATGACAAAGGCTCTAGCTGGCAGGCCTCAGGGGCAAAGCTGCCCTCCCCACCCCAGATGAGATGCACAGTCCATGCATAGTGCACAGCCACAGCCCTTGCATGGCAGCCTCTGAAGGGAGATGCAACAGAGGAATCAGGCTTTTCACATGCTTGCATTCCCATACTAGTCCTTCATTCCAGGTCTCTCTATCTGAGGCCTTGGGCACAGATCCTCTTCAGATGCATTATGAGGGAAGAAGGAAAAAACCTTGAAAATGCATACCTTTCCCCACTGACTCAGCGCCCAGTACTTTTCTACTCCTCACACTCCCCTTGACCCCAGGGTTCATAAACTGCTGAAGCCTTTTGTTTTGAGCTCCCTAGCACTGAGATGATGCCCATATCTGTGCTAATTCAGCTGACCCTTGACCTGCACACCATTCCTTGGCAGAAGATTGCTCAGGGTGGTTGGCACTTTCTCTTCTCGTACTATGGTAGTAAGTGATTAAAGGCCTAGCCCTTTCTGCCTCTCTTGACTCCTTTTGGATTGTTGCTTTAATTGGCTACTCCAATACCCGGTAGCTCAGCTCTTTCTGGGCTCAGCTGAGTCTCCTAACACCCTTGAAGTCAAGCAAGTTTTCCACTGTCCAGGAGGTCATATGTATCCTTACCTTAGGCTGTTTTTTTAATAATTGAAAGCTATAATCCCATAGCACCTACCACCTGTATCAGCAAAGAAAAGAAAACTACTCAAGGTATTTCAAATAGGAAGTTCAATGTCAAGAAAACAGTGGGAAGGGCAGGGGAGCCCAGTCACTCCTGGCTCTCAGGAAATCGGGAATTTCAGGAATTGTGGGCAATCACCACTGACTATCTCAGGTGGCTGTAACACAAAGGGGGTGATTTCTAGGACTCTGAATAAATTGCAAAACTTCGTATCTGCCGTCTGTCAAAGGCCTGCCTGCCTACTGCAGTTGGAGCAATAATGACCTCCCTTTCTCTCCTACCTCTTGAAGCTCATATGAGTGCCTCTCAGTGGTGGGACTTAAACTGGAATGTTGTTGATAAGACATAATGGAAGTGTAGCTTTCAGGCTTCCGGATCTTGTGTACAGGACAAGTCTAGAAGGGAGCAGGAATGGTATTGTTATACCTAGACAATCTGGCGCAACATATCATATTACAATTGTATGTCTTTCTCCTGTTAGGAACAGTTTCTCACATCTTTACATCCTTGGTGCCTTATGCATTGACTGGCATGATGTAGACGTTCAGTGGGCTTAGTCCACTAGCTTTCAAGGAGTCACAGCCTTGAAATGTAGCTTTCTCTAATGTTTTAGTAAATAATGAGTAGTTTTAAGACACATTTTTTCCTACTATCTTATTTCTAAGTCTTAAAGCTTAATAATGGTTTCTATAATAATAAAAACTTCCAGTCACTCTCAAACTATCATCCATGGCCCTCGCTTTGCTGCTATTTGTTTCTGTACTAGTCAATAGGAAGGGAATGAAACAGAGTATAGCTCTCTACTGGAAGAAAAAATTATTTGGTCTCATTTCATTCCCCCCAAAATGCATCAAACTATAGTAACTCAAAAGTTACAATAACAATAGGTAAATAAGTAATATTTGCATAATGCTCAAACACTTGTACAAAGACTTTCTCCTTTCTCTCAAACCAACCCTGTGGGGAAGACAATATCGTTTCCACCATTTTATTAACAAAAACTGCCTTAATAAGTTGAGATACCTCTTTCTCTCCTTACTTAACAACTTTTAAAACCATGTTTAAGCATTTCACGATGTTTCTGTCTTACATTAGCAGGTGCATAAACACTAGGTGATAGAAGTGCAAATTATTTACTATTTTTGGCCATGAAATTGAAAAATATTGAACAGATTGGCAATATCAAGTGTTGGGAAAGTGTGGGAAAAAGACTCTCTGGTATACTACTGGTGCTAATAGAAACAGAATTTTGGGTAGTCATTAAAACAAAAATAAAATAACCTTTTCTGTAACATTTGTTCTTTTATGAATCAATTATAGAGAAAACTCTCACTTGTCAGAATGAACATGGAAAAGAAGGTTTCCAGGTGCCCAGTGAAAGGCAGAGCAGCACTCACAGTCTCAGAGAATGGGAAAGTGTCTCTATGGCAAGCAACAGAAAAGTGAGTATTGAAATATGATATTAGCATACTATGTAATGATTAAAAAGAAGAGGTAGATCAATGCATTAATATGGCAAGTCTCGAAGACAAAATGCTGAGTGAAAAATAAGCAATTTGCCGGATAATAGGTAAAATGTTTTATATACATACATACATATATATTTAAAAATCTATAATTTTTTCATATATATTTATATAGACATTTATATTTTTATTTAATATATTTACTATATAATACATATTTTTATTCATATATTTATATATCATTATATGATATATGTCATATATAAGTATATATTATATGAGATATATAAAATATTATAATATAAATATTATCTGTAAATGTATAAACTATAGATTTGGAGGAATAGCCACACAACTGAAAAAAATGGTTAAATCTATGAAAAAGAATAAGATTAAGAAAGTCAGGAAGAAGGCATTTTATATAGTTTAAATTGTTTGCATTTATGTGTTGACATTTAAAAGTAATTCATATTCTTCACAATGATGCATATTTATATATTACTTGTGAACTTAAAATGATGAGAACTGCCAAGAGATTCTCTTCCTTCATTTGAGAGACTGGAGAGGAGGGATCATTTATGCTGCTCTCTTGGTAACTCTCATCAGTCCTGGTTCCACTGTGGTCAGGTCACCCTGACAGGGCGCTTTAATGTTGGCCCACCTGGCAATGTAACACTAGTTCTCTTGTGCTCCAGCCTCACATGACACTGTCCCCAGGATCTTGAACAGAGTGGCAGAAGTCAGCTTGCTCTTGCTACATACTTCTCAGTAAAGACTAACTTCTGTGGTTAAAAGTACATCCAGCATACGTTCCAGTTTATCTTGGAAACTCTCTCGGAGTCTGTTGATGTGGGTCTTGAAACATCAGGAATGCCAACAGAATTGGCTCCTGCTAGTGAAAGGTGCTGAGTCTCAGCCCTTCTCCTTTTGCCATCTCTTTGGGTTACCAGTGGCATGAGACTAGAGATGTATGACTGCGATAATTTGGATAAGGCTCTAACCCAAATTGTCTTAAAGTCTCCTGCTGATGGCCGGGCGCGGTGGCTCATGCCTGTAATCCTAGCACTTTGGGAGGCTCAAGCGGGTGGATCACGAGGTCAGGAGAACGAGACCATCCTGGCTAACACGGTGAAAACCCGTCTCTACTAAAAATACAAAAAATTAGCCGGGCGTGGTGGCGGGCACCCATAGTCCCAGCTATTCGGTAGGCTGAGGCAGGAGAATGGCGTGAACCCGGGAGGCGGAGCTTGCAGTGAGCCGAGATCCTGCCACTGCACTCCAGCCTGGGCGACAGAGCAAGACTCCATCTCAAAAAAAAAAAAAAAAAAAAAAAAAATTCTCCTGCCGATACACTCTCAGGAATCTGCCTGCTAAGTGGCTGGTTTGAAGCTGTGATAGTTATTGGCAGAGTTTTGATACTATAAAGGTACCCTGAACCATTCTGGGGACTATAGCTCAGTCAAAATTTTCACACAGTTACTCTTATAAAAATCATATTCATCCTTCAATAATGATGGTTTGTCATTTTTAATGAAAACAGTATCAGGTCTCCTGATAGTTTTACAGCCAATTCTTTTTTATGGGCCATGTCTAAGTGTATTATTGTTAAATGAATCCATGCTGTATAAAGTCAAAACAATGTAATAACTACCTTCTCTAATGATTTCATTTTCCTATAAAAGGCATCCTTTATTGATAAATAATTCATATTAATACCTTATATTCCTTAGGCAGGTTTTCAAATTATTATTTAAGCATTTAGACACTGGTCAGTCTGGAACCATATAGTACAAATAACAACATTCCAAACTTAGAGTGGAGGTGGGACAATAAATTCCAGGTTATAATGTAGCTGATGGCTCAGTCCATCAGCATCCAATTTTATCTTTCCTGATAGTAGCCTACTCTGTACTTAGCAAAAGAATCTCTCATTGCCTGTGTGGCAACTGAGCCATGAGAAGGTTTGCAAATCTGCAGCACATCGCTTGCCACCTCACCAGCTGGCGTCCATGGGGTCATTGCTAGTTGATCTTAGTGCTCTTTCTAACTGAGCTATATATGCCGTCAGAATCCTTCCCAAAAGATACTGTAAGGCAGCCACTAACCATTGGTGTCAGAACATGATGCTCATTTTGTAACAGGTTTATCTTATTATGGATAATACCTCATTGTCCTATTACGTTATGGGCTGAATTGTGTCTCTCACACAAAAATTCAAGTGTCAAAGTCCTAATCCCTAGTACTTTGGAATGTAACTGGATTTGGAAATAGGGCATTTAAGGAGTAATTAAATTAGAGTATGGGCCCTAATCCCATATGATTGGTGCCCTTATAAGAAGAAATCTGGATACAGGCATATAAAGGTGGAATGCTTTATGAAGACACAGGGAGAAGACAGATGTCTATCAGCCAAGGAGGGAGGCGTAGAGCAGATCTTTCCTCCATAGCCCTCAGACACCTTGATCTCAGGTTTCCAGCCTCCAGGCTATGAGAAAATAAATTCCTGTTTTTTAAGCCACCCAATCCATGGCACTTTGTTACTACAGCCAAGCAAACTAATGTAAGTCTCATAAACTGGACAAAAGTAGAGGTAAAACTGAAAGTGATTCAGAAACTTCTTGATTTCTATGATAAAAGAAAGAAATCCTTTGCAATTTGTTTATAGGCACACTCTTAAGTTAATATTATTCCTTAGTATTGAACTGTAAGCTATTGGTGATACCCTACTGTTATCTGGCTTGTTGTAAGTTCCACTACCATTGAGTAAAGCTGCTGTAAAAAGGAACATAGTTTCATGCACATTATGGAATACTAGAACAGATCTGGAAGGCAGAAATTGAATTTGTATAGTGAGTCTAAAAATATGAAATGGCTGTGTGGTAGGCAGAATAATGACCTCCAAAGATGCCCATCCTAAACCTCAGAATCTGTGATTATAT
The DNA here is from genome assembly GCF_000001405.40 of Homo sapiens. Classification (NCBI taxonomy): domain Eukaryota; kingdom Metazoa; phylum Chordata; class Mammalia; order Primates; family Hominidae; genus Homo; species Homo sapiens. Next base: position 138,020,894 of record NC_000006.12, on the reverse strand, counting down.
TACATTACATGGCAAAGAGGAATGAAGGTTGGAGTTGGAATTAAGGTTGCTAATCAGCTGAACTTAAAATAGGGAGATTAACCCAGATTATTGTGGGTGGTTCCAGTGTAATTACAGGGTCCTTTAAAAGTGGAGGAGGTAGGCAGATGAGGAAGTCGAAGTGCTGAACTATGAAAAAGCTCAACTCACTATTGCTGGCTTTAAAGATGGAGGAAGGGTCCATCAGCCACGGAATACAGGTGGCCTCTGGAAGATGGAAAAGGCAACGAAACGGATTTTTTTTCCAGACCCTCTTAATAGGCATGCAGTCCTGCCCAGACCTTGATTTCAGCCCAGTGGAGACCTGTGTCAGCCATCTGACCTAAGATAAAGTTATGCTGTTTTAAGCCACTAAGTTTGAAATAATTTGTTATGGCAACACTAGAAACTAATAAAAGCTCCCATAATTGATTTAATCTTATATTTGCAATGCTAATGCTAATTTCAGAGAAATTGGGCAGAATCTGATTTGCTCGTGGAATAGTTGCAGCTGTTGTTTTGTTTTAAAAGTAGGTGTGTCCTGGATGATCCTTATTTTATTCTCACCTTTACCCTTCAAACTTTCCCCTTTGTCCTGTATTTCTCATTCTTTCACACCAAAACACCAGCAGAAACCCTTGGTTTCCTTATTTTTTTATTTTTTATTTTTTTTTGAGACGGAGTCTCGCTCTGTCGCCCAGGCTGCAAGCTCCGCCTCCCGGGTTCACGCCATTCTCCTGCCTCAGCCTCCCGAGGAGCCGGGACTACAGGCGCCCGCCACCACGCCTGGCTAATTTTTTTTTGTATTTTTAGTGGAGACGGAGTTTCACCGTGTTAGCCAGGATGGTCTCGATCTGCTGACCTCGTGATCCTCCCGCCTCGGCATCCCAAAGTGCTGGGATTACAGGCGTGAGCCACCGCGTTGGCCCTGGTTTCCTTATTTGTTTTGACGATGTTACCTTTGTCTAGTCACCTAGACTCAACTCTGAAGGCAACTTCGACTCCTCACTCTGAGAGGGAGTGAGAGAAATGGAGAAAGACACACAGACTGTGAAAACAAATAGGACCGGACTGAGGGGGTCCCGGTCCTGTTTGTTTTCACAGCCTGTGTGTCTTTCTCCATTTCTCTCACTCCTTCCTTTTCCCTGCCATCACCACAACTCTGCTTTCGACCCTTGATTCCTTTCGCTTGTCCAGATTTCTTAACTGATCATATGGCCTTCAGTGTCTACACATGCCAATTCCTTTCTCCCCATTTTGCCAGAAAAATCTTAATATACAGAACTAATGATCTCCTTCCACTCAAGGCTGTTTATCAAGGCTTTCTAAAGTGAGGCTCTAATCTCTCTCTCCAGCATCCACATACACATGCCTTAGGCTTTAGACTGGTGGATCTCAACTGTGGTACACAAGAGGTTCATGTGAGTAGCTTTTGAAAAACACTGATTCCCTGGCCCAGTGAATCAGATCTCTGGATGTGGGGCCCAGGAAATTGATACTTAAAAAAAATTTCCTATTTAATAATAATGTCTGACCAGGACTGAGACCCATTGCTCTAGCCAGGTGGTCACATACTGTAGTGTGCATCAGAATCCCCTGGAGGGGTATAGACATGCAGGCTGTAGGACCCCAGCACCTGGGCTTCCAATTCATGAGAACTCAGGTGAGACATGATACTTTTCCTTTCTTTTTTTATTTAATTGTGACATAATTCACATACCATAATGGTAACCCTCTCAAAAGGTACAATTTAGTAGTTTGTAGTATATTTACAAGGTTCTGCAACTATTACCACTATCTAATGCTAGAATATTTTCATCACCCTAAAAGACACCCATAGTAGCCACTTCCCATATCTCCCTGTCCCCAGCCCCCAGAAGCCACTAATCTACTGTTTCTCTCTATATATTAACCTATTCTGACATTTCATATAAAATGAATTACATAATATGTGGTCCTTTGTGTCTGGCTTCTTTCACTTACTACTATGTTTTCAAATTTCATTCATATTGTAACATGTATCATTATTTCATTCCTTTGTATAGTTGGATCATATTTCACTGTATGGATATATCACATTTTATTTATCCATTCATCAGTTGATGGACAGTTGGGTTGCTACTACTTTCTGACTATTATGAATAATGCTATTATAAAGATTCATGCACAAGTTTTTACATGGGCATAGGTTTTCATCTCTCTTGAAATACATGCCTAAGGGTGCAGTTACTGGGTCAGATGTTGAAACCTGAGAATTTGCATTTCTAACAAGTTCTCAGGTGATGCTGAAGTAGATGCTCTGGGAATCACACTCTGAAAACCACTACTACCCCCAAACTGGACTACTGACCCTGCCCTCAAATACCATGCATTTTTTACATCTGTGCTTTGTTGGTCAGTTGGCTTGAAGTGCTTTCCTTCTCATCTCCACCTTGTGACATCCTATTCATTTTTTAGGCCCATCCCCAAGGCTACCTTCACCATGAAGTCTATGCAACCATTATCTGTGTGTGTATTGTTCATGTTCCCTTGACTGAATTGTAAGCTCCTATGTGCACTGTTGTGTTTGAATCACTTTTATGTGAGAGCCCTGGCCAGGCACGGTGGCTCATGCCTGTAATCCCAGCACTTTGGGAAGCCAAGGCAGGTGGATCACGAGGTCAAGAGATGGAGACAATCCTGGCCAACATGTTGAAACCCTGTCTCCACTAAAACTCCAAAAATTAGCTGGGTGTGGTGGCATGTGCCTGTAGTCCCAGCTACTTGGGAGGCTGAGGCAGGAGAATTGCTTGAATCTGGGAGGCAGAGGTTGCAGTGAGTTGAGATTGTGCCACCGCACTCCAGTCTGGCAACAGAGCGAGACTGCATCTCAAAAGAAAGAAAGCCCTGAAGCCTAGCAGAATGTTTGTTGTTGGCACTCATTAATCATATATGTTCAGTTGAACGGAATTCCAGGTCTGTTGACTTTGTAGTCTAACGAGATGACCCTAAAACATGTGACTTTACATTTTTCCATTTTTTAAAAATCGGGTAAATCCCAACAATTTTGTACCTCGATTTTTTTTTTTTTTTACAAGTTCCGCCCTAGCTTGTCTCATGATCAGGAACCAGAAGGTCAAATGACAAAGATCCCTTAAGTTTCTATTATTAAAGGTATTTTTATGACTATTTCTTGGACATCAAAGTTACTGTAATCCTACAGCCTAGGTCTCTGTGGAATGTTGGTTTATGACTGGGAAAGCAAAATTTGCCTTTCAATGGATTACTTCAAACACACCTGCCATTTCAAAGTAGTGTGCAAAATGATAGTGCATACCCACTTATGTGTTTACCTTCCCAGTTCCCCAGGCATCCATGCTGTGAGCTGAATCTTTAAAGTGGCTAGGAATTCCCCTCAGTTAGATCAAAATTCCCCTCAGTTAGAGCCCCCTTGTTGGTGGAAATAGTTCCACTATCCTCTCTTGATGGTACTGGAAAGTCTCCATTGTCACATTTGACCTTCTGGAAAGTCAGGAACCACTCACATTTCCTGTTGCCTAATTTCCTCCTAAGGCACATAGCACTGAAGAAAGGCAGTGTGCTAATTTCACCCTCAACCATCATTGAAGACCTCTTCCAAGTCTTTCACTCCTTTTCTCTGCCTCCAGGAGTCACACTTTCTGCCTGCACAAGGATTCTTGTGAACCTGCTCACTCTAGCCAGCTTCTATCACATCTACCTGTAACAGTCTTTTTCCAATAGTATTTTGTTTATATTTATTAATGAGCTAGGAAAGATAGAATTTCATGCTTGATATGACTGTAGTATATCCTTAAAAGAGAGAAAATGAGGGAACATGTTGCTTTTTAAAAAATTAAGCTAAAAAAAGCTAGGCTGATTAAAATTCTAGAAGCCAACACTTAGAAATGGAGTAGAAAATGGTTTGATAATGACATATCCAAACATAAATAAGGCAGTTTAAAAATCAACCAGTGGGAGTGGGGGAGAAAAAATGGCTGACCTAAGTCACACTGGGAAATGGTGCTTTGACGGGAAACTACAAGACTAAGGACAAAAGGAATTGTACATAAATGTTGTATTCTAGTTGGCAAGGTTGTTTCTCATGAGGGTGTGAGTTAATTCTGAAACTTCTGTACATGTGTACTGCAATTGAACAAACAAAAAATGGATGGCAGATTATGGGAGCCAGGGCTTTTCACTGTTGGAGAGAAAGGTTACAGCTGAGTGAGGAGAAAGGCCACCATGAACCATGTTGGATTAGATCTGGAGACATCAGAATGAACTGATATCTAGCTTAACATAGACACAGATGAATAGATATAGAACTAATTACAGATATGCATATATATGTGGGTTAGTGTGCATGTATTTTCTAGCTCTGTCTGCTGAGAGGGCCTATCCACGACACCCCAGCAACAGCAAGCACACCTAGCATCCAAATTCTGGTTTCTAATGCCGTTCTCCAATATAAGCAACTAGAGTTCTTGGGAGAAATGATGGATCCCAGGGCCAATGGAAAGAATATACAAGATAAGCCTGGAACATCTTGTCATGCCAGAGTGTAAGGCTGTGCTCAAAAAACAAAACAGTGGGGCTACGTCAAACAATGGGGATGTGCCAAAGAGACACAGGAGCCAACCAAAATAGCTCCCAATAGCCAAAGCCGAACAATTTTACCAACAAAATAAATAACAAAATACTGGATTATAAAGTATAAAATCCATGACCATACTGATAAAATACATGAATTAAGAAATAAATGCAGAAGACACAAATGAAAAAAATCAGTCAACTGCAAGTTTCATTCCCATTCGCATATCACCTTGCAATTCCTCTCTTGGCCTCACTCAGTGTCACTCACCTTCCGACTTGTGCTCTCACCCAGTGCTGCCTCCAATACCTTGATCATGTCCCCAGTCTCCTACAACTCTCGAGTTTATCACATGATGATTATCCTACCTCCTTGCCATAGAGAAAACTTGCTCCTTCTTTCCAGGATATGATGCTTCTTTGTGGTCCTCTCTGGTGTGGACTGTGTACTCACCATTACTCCTCTTACCATTAGGCAAGTCAGAATTTTTCTTGTTTTCCATTCCTGCTTCATGCAAAACCAGTTTCCCTTTGTCATTTTCATGTACCAAATATATGAGTTCCCAGCACAGTTACTGACAATATATTTCTTCATTTATCATATTTCTTTCTAGCTTGTCTCACCATCATTATCTCACCAAATCTACTCAGAGGTAAAGAGGACAAGCTCTCACCAAATCTACCCAGAGGAAAAGAAGTCGTTATATGAAAAAGATACTTGCACACACATGTTTACAGCAGCACAATTCGCAATTGCAAAAATATGGAACCAGCCCAAACACCATCAATCAACAAGTGGATAAAGAAATTGTGGTACATATATACCATGGAATACTGCTCAGCCATAAAAAGGAATAAATTAATGGCATTTGCACCAACCTGGATGGTATTGGAGACTATGATTCTAAGTGAAGTAACTCAGGAATGGAAAACCAAACATCATATGTTCTCACTCATAAATGGGAGCTAAGTTATGAGGATGCAAAAGGCGGTAAGGATGATAAATGGACTTTGGGGACTTGAGGGGAAAAGGGTGGTAAGGGGATGAGGGATAAAAGACTACAAATTGGGTTCAGTGTACATTGCTCAGGTGATGGGTGCACCAAAATCTTACACATCACCACTAAAGAACTTATTCATGTAACCAAATACCACTTGTTCCCCAATAGCCTATGGAAATTAAAAAAAAAAAAAAACTACTAGAAAAAGTCTATACCTCATATTTTAAAGACTAGAGTAAGGTGTAAATAAATAAATAAATGTATAAGTATTCATCTCATTTTATATACTAGTTCAATTATTTGTGCTTTTAAAGTCTAACTACATTAACCTTTACTTCATTTTGGTAATGCTGAACCTGATGATTTTTCAGAATTGATCCCTATGTAAAATCTGTAACTACAATTTCCTATTCTTTGACCATAACTTTATCAGTCTCATATTATTTCAGTTTTTTGACTCTCTGAATCCCAAATTCCCAAATACTTGCCTCTTCGACATCATTTCAAACTCCACTTCTATGACCCTTTCATTTTATTTTGACCTATTGTCTACAGGCTTTATGCTCCCCTTTCCAGCCTGGATCCCATAGCCTCTCTCTTGATTATACTTTTGCCCAAATTCTCAACTTTTTTGCCCCTTTGTCCTTCCATGACACACTGTAGAATATCAGCCCCGAATCAGTCCAGTCCCCTTCCTCCCTTGTTCCTCTGCCCCAGTTCCATCACACAGTTGGAGAAAATCACTCAGTCCTTAGACTGGTGTCTCTGCAAATTTTTGGTGTTTATTTCCTTCTCAAACACCAAGAAATCATTCTCTGCTGCTCCATTTGCCATTTCCTTCCATTCCCCTTGTTGGCACTTACTAGTTGGGCGACATGAATAAATATCTTAAGTTCCATTTTCCTCATATGTAAAATCTCACTAAGAATACTTCAGAAGGCTGTGTCAGGGGCTCAATAAGATAACACACATAAAAGACACACCCACATATTCAGTGCACAACATGTGGTTCTGCGTTTAGCAGCAGCAGTAGCAACAATGACCTCAACTTTTACTGCTAGCAGATTTTGTTTGCAATTTACCAAGAAAACAAAGCCATCACACAGAACTTTGTTTTGTCCCATTTGCAAACATGTCTGCACCTGCAGCTAATCCCTTCATTGCTCCTCTGTCCCAGAAGGTGACCTGTTCATGCCTGTGCCCAGAGCCACACCCTTTCTACCTATTCAACAACTTGGCTCCATTAATCTTCCATTCTTTCCCCTTCTGGCAGGGGAGCCAAGACTGGCATTAAGCATTCCTCCCTATGGAAACTAAGGAGAATCCTTGCCAAAGTTTGAATTCTTTTTTAGTATCTTGTCTCAAAATTTCTCTGGTGTAACTAAGAGATCATAATACTGTGCCTTATTGAAGCCATGCAGAAAGAAATCTTAAAAGCTCTAAAAGTTAAGAATATCTTTTATTCTTCTTTATAAGTCTGACCTTTGAGAATTAATGTTTGCCTTGGGAGATGTGTGAACCTGGGCCCACAGATGTGGGAAAGCCAATCAGGAGATCTGACATGGAGAAGGCCCAGGCCCAATCCTGGCCCTGCCTGCTCCCGCTCTTCCCAGACCACACACTTGAGCACAGCTTTTTGTTTCCTTCTATACAGTACAATTTCCACTTTATTTCTCCAGTCTTTCAGGATAGAATGGCATATACATCCACGTCGTCAGGTGTGGAGCTGCCAGAAGGAAGGAAGAAAGGAAGAAAGGAAGGGAGGGAGGGGAAATTCTGGAATAAGGAATGGTGAGTTTAGGGTCATCCAGGCCTGGGGATCTGTTATGCAGCTGGGGAAAGAGATCATAAGCATACATTTCGGAACAATAAATATCACTAGTACTATTTGAATCTATGGCTTTTACAAAGAAAAGAAGGCTGAGATCTTAATTCTCCTTTGGAAGACCAAAGAGGCAGGGTGGAAGTTGTGGTTCCCCTCTAGTCTTGCAGAAGGAGGAGCTGGGCAGAAAAGGCTGTGTCTAGGAGCTACTGGCAGGGGCTCATGATGAACTCTGGAGGAATGGGGAGGACCCCAGGACATAGAGGAGCAGTTCCATGAGGATGCTCAGTTAGATCTGAGAGTTAAAGTCATGCTCAAAAGGGTGGAGACCTGCAGATGGGCCCCATAAATGAGTTCTATTAATTCTTGACTGTGCATCTCCTCTGTCTCTCTCCTTTCCTATGGAGTCTGGCTTACTGAAGGGATAATCCACACATGATCATCAGCTCATTACCATCTGACATTCTCTGACTAAGCTTTCTCATCTACATCACCAATACCTTCCTTCTATACTACAAACATAGCAGGCATTTCGGCCTATATTTTTCTCTTTGTACTCTTTGGCTTCTATGACATATTACTTCCTGGTTCTTCTCTTGCTACTTGGATCACACCTACTTGGCCCCCTTCCAGGAAATCTCATTCTCTGGCCTCCACTTAAATGTTGGTGTTGCCCAGAACTCTGTTCTCAGCCTTCTTTTCTTTGTAAAAGCCATAGATGCAAATAGTACTAGTGATATTTATTGTTCTGAAATGTATGTTTACAATCTCTTTCCTCAGCTGCATATAATGGACACCCCGGCCTGGATGTCCTTAAACTCAGCATTCCTTATTCCAGAATTTCTTCTTTCTTTCTTTTTTTGAGATATGGTGTCAATCTGTCACCCAGGCTGAAGTGCAGTGGTGCAATCTCAGCCCACTGCAACCTCTGCTTCCCAGGGGCTTAAGGAATCCTCCCACCTCAACCTCCCAAGTAGCTGAGACTACAGGTGTGTGCCACCACATCTAATTTATTTTTTAGTTTTTATTTTTATTTTTGTAGAGATGGGATTTTGCCATGTTTCCCAGGCTGGTCTGGAACTCCTGGACCCAAGCAATCTGCCTGCCTCAGCCTCGCAAAGTGCTGGGGTTACAAGCGTGAGCCACTGCACCCAGCCCCAGAATTCTTTATTTCTGAGAATGACATTGTCATTCTCTAAATGACCCAGGCAAAGCCTGAAGCATAATCTTAAATTTCTCCTCCTGCTCCCTCCTTATATTCTCTTCACCCACCCCCCATATTCAATTGTACCCATTCTATCCTTCTAAATGTCACTCATATTTTTCTCTCTATCACCATCATAAGGGCTAATACTGAATAATCATTAAGGGCAGGTATTGTACCATATATCATCTTGTTCCTAGTGCATAGAATATTGGCACAATTTCACTATATTTTATAGAATATATGAAAGAATGAATAAGGGAATATACAAGTAAATAGATGGACCAATCAATTCAAGTTCAGTCTTTCTGACTTTAAGAAACAGAGACGTTTGTAACCTAGGTTAACGGAAGTACAAAGGGAGGTAGGGTATCTTAGTTTAAGGAAACACATAGCATACAGGGAGATGAACCAAAACGCAAAATAAGAAACAGTAGACCAGCCAGTATTCTGTCAAGGCAGCGGTCTCTAAGAACCTCAACTCCTGGAGTTTCTGAAACTTCACTCTAATTCTCCTCCATTTATAGGAGTCTGCTATTTTCTGGGGGGGGTCTGCTCTGTTTGCCTCTCAGTACATCTCATTTACCCCTTTACTCAGCATATGTTTTTCCTGCATACATCACTGAATCTGCCTACTCATAGTTTCTGCCTTCTCATTGCTGCTTGGCCATGACTTGCTGTGATCACAACATGACCTCCTACCTTCATCTAAACATCACTCCAACTTTAGCTCCTACTGTCTGGTTCTCTCTGTACTTCCCAATTCAAGTCCCCAAGGGCAAGAAATGGATGGACCTGGCTCAGTTTGAAAATGCCACTCCACTGAATAACTGCTCTTGAGCAATTGTCCAACCCAGTCCACCGTGTTTGGTAATGAAGAGTCCCATGACCCAAACCATGGCTGGAACAGTAGTCGTGGCAGGGATTGTGACAGACGTGGAACACAAACACTCATCATGTTGCTCCCAGGGTTATCAAAAATATATGAATTCTTACCCCCAAGGAGGGTGGAAAGGGGCTCACCCAAGGTAGTGGGAAATGCTGGGCTAAAGAAGGCAGCAGAGTCAAAACCCACCGAGGAATGTTAAGGCTACGAATGCCAGGGTGGGACTCCAGAGAATCAACACATGCTTTATGGGGGAATAGCACCATAGCTATGTTTTTTTGTTTTTGTTTTTGTTTTTTTTTTTTTTTTTGAGATGGAGTCTTGCTCCGTTGCCCAGGCTTGGGTGCAGTGGTATGATCTCCGCTCATTCTAATTTTCACCTCCTGGGTTCAAGCAATTCTCCTGCCTCAGCCTCCTGAGTAGCTGGGCTTATAGGCACTCACTACCATGCTGGCTAATTTTTGTATTTTTAGTAGAGACAGAGTTTCACCGGGTTGGCCAGGCTGGTCTCGAACTCCTGACCTCAAGTGATCTGTCTGCCTCGGCCTCCCAAAGTGCTGGGATTACAGGCATGAGCCACCATGCCAGGCCCATAGCAATGCTTTTGGTGGGAAGGAAGAGCAAGATTTGAGAATGTCCTAAGAATATTACTTTCCAACTCTAGGTTACACAGCACAAAGGCCCAGAAGCAAAACAGACAGTTTTTGGGAGCTGATTTCTTTGCTTCTAGGCTAGCCCCCACTGTGGCTGCCATTTTTAGATTTTAAGTAACATTTTCCCTGATGATAAAAATGGTTACTTAAAAATCTGGAAAATAATTAATTAAAAAATAAAAATTAATGGTATTTTCCCTACCTAGCAAGAACCACAGTCACAATTTCATAAAATTTTGTAGTCTTTTTCTCTATGCATTTTTTTTTCCTAAAAGGTTGAGGTTTTATATTGTAATTTTTTTCTTTTTCTTTTCTTTTTTTTTTTTGAGACAGAGTCTCACTCTGTCACCCAGGCTGGAGTGCTGTGGTGCGATCTCGGCTCACTGCAAACTCCACCTCCTGGGTTCACGCCATTCTCCTGCCTTAGCCTCCTGAGTAGCTGGGACTACAGGCGCCCGCCACCACGCCCAGCTGACTTTTTTTTTGTATATTTAGTAGAGACGGGGTTTCACCGTGTTAGCCAAGATGGTCTCGATCTCCTGACCTCGTGATCCACCTGCCTTGGCCTCCCAAAGTGCTGGGATTACAGGCGTGAGCCACCATGCCGGGCTGACTTTTTTCTTTAGTTATTATGCCACTAGTAAAATAATATATTCTCTAAAAATATGGTTGTAAAAATATTCCATTATAGGGTGGTCCCATAATTTATTTCACCATGTCCTATGGGTAAGGTTTAGATTGTTACTGGTTTTTCACTTTTATAAACTAAGTAGTTCAATAGAAAATTCTTAGAAGTGGCCAGGTGCAGTGGCTCATGCCTGTAATCCCACTACTTTGGGAGGCTGAGGCAGGAGGATCGCTTGAGCTCGGGAGGTTGAGGCTGCAATGAGCTGTGATCATGTCACTGCACTTCAGCCCGGCAACAGAGATCCTTCCTGTCTCAAAAAAAAAAAAAAAAAAAAAAAGCAAAAGAAAATTCTTAGAAGCAATAGACCACATTAGAGGGTAATATTTTTTTAAAACACATATTTGGTCATATAGTTTCTCAATCTAAAATTTTTCAAAATTTAACCTTTGCCTTTAGGATCAAGTTTCAATTCCTGTAGTTAGCAAAAATAGGATGCTTCACGGTCTATAGACGTTGGCTCATATTACTCTTCTGCTTAGAACCCTTTTCTCCCCATGTTTCTCCATTACTAACTTGTCTCATCTTCTAAGATTCAGCTTGTTCATTTTCCCCGTGAGGAAGCATTCTATCCCCACCTTCCAGTTTGGATTCCATACCTGTACCAGTTTGCATTCCATACCTGTACCAGTTTGCCAGTTTTGATTGCATTCAGCTGCAAGTCAGATAAATGCTGACCTACGCACCTGCAGACAAACAGAGGCCGCTTCTGGTATCGCTTCAACGACTAAAAGATGCTAGTGCTAGTGTATCAGTGATTCTTTTGGCTTTTACCTCATGGTTATACGATGGCTGCATCAGCTCCAGGCAGTTGCCTTGAGCTCCAGGGACAGAGGTTTTACCACCCTTGCATATGCTTTCATTTTTTTCTTTGTTAAACATTAAAAGCAAAAACTTCTTTGGAGGCTCCCAGCTGATTTTAGCTTCCCTCTCTCCTTGAGTAAAACTGTCTTCTTGCCAGGCCTGGCTTTAAGGGGAGCTGGGGAACACAGCACTTGATTTTCTAGTTGTTATCTTGGAGACGACAAAGGGTTTGAGAAAGTGCTGGGTTAGCTGATAAACAGTGTCTGCAACAATGCATGCTCTCTGGGCTCCTCCCCCATGCTCCCTTGATACTGCTAACTCTTTCTCTCTTTCCAGACTATAAGCCCCTTGAAGTTACAAAGAGTATTTTTCAGTCCTGTTTCCTGAGCGCCTAGCATGTGCCTCAAACGCATTATTTAAGACATATTTTTTAATAAATGAACTACCTTTAGAGAGCATCCACACTGCACCCTCAATGAGCAACTTAGCATGTCAGGGGAAGAAGAGAAGCACCTTCCCCTAAGCACATTTTCCAAAAGTGGCAACAGCATTATAAAGGGAATATACTGACCTGGGAGTTGTGGAGTTGACGATGGAAGGGCGCCAGCAGCAGCAGCCTGGAAGAAAGCTACACAGAGAGGTCAGTGGTTCTCAAAGTTGGCTGCACAGTGGAATCACCTGGGGGAGGTTTTAAATATCCCCATGCTCAGGCCTCACTCCTTAAGCCCAGTCTTTTCAGTGATGTGCAGGAGCTGGCTCATTCTGGTTGCAATTCTCTTTCCGACTCTGTATTCAGTGACATCCTTCTGGTAGCTTAAAATTGGCCACGGTGTGACCGGGCGCGGTGTGACCGGGCGCGGTGTGGTGGCTCACGCCTGTAATCCCAGCACTCTGGGGGGCTGAGGTGGGCAGATCACGAGGTCAGGAGTTCGAGACCAGCCTGGCCAACATGGTGAAACCCTGTCTCTACTAAAAATAAAAAATCAGCCTGGTGTGGTGGCGGGTGCCTGTAATCCCAGCTATTCTGGAGGCTGAGGCAGGAGAATTTCTTGAAACCAGAAGGCAGAGTTTGCAGTGAGCAGAGATTGCACCATTGCACTCCAGCCTGGTGACAGAGCGAGACTCCAGCTCAAAAAAAAAAAAAAAAAATTGGCGACAATGTGATATTTGTATTATAGCAATTGACAAATAAGACAAATCACAAATCAGCCCCCACTCCTACTTCGTCGCCTGAGAGCCAGGTCAACGGCACACTGCTCTTGGTATTCTTAGACACTCCCCAGATGTTTCCAATGGACAGCCAACTTTGAGAGCTCCAGGTCAAGGTCAGCTCCTCTTTTGGCCTGTAGTGTCCCGCCAAATAGTATCTTGGGTTCTTCCTTTTCCCCAGTCCTGCCTTTGGGTTAGCATCATTGCATGGGGTAACTGAGCTTGCCTCTAGGGAGCCCGAGTGCAACGTAGAAGAGAGAGTAGAACTGTGGCTTCATTTGTAGCTGTTATTGAGTTTCTTTGAATACAACTTGATTTTCTTTTAGAGCTAGCCAAATCTCTTTCAGTATACCTTTAGGGTTGGATCTATGGGAGGCATGCTATTTCACTGAAGGAGGTGGGAGAAACTTTCAATAATGTTGTGCAATTAGGAACCCTAATTACCCACTCTTGAGATTGCAGTTTCTCATTCGGAGGCATAATTTTCTATGGTGTAATTTGCTAGGTCTGACTCCCCTGCCTGGATCTGATTTGAGTAAAGTGGGCACCGCCCCATCCTAGGGTAGTCTCACTATGGCTAACACACATCAAACTGACTTTCCTGCATCACAAAATCACACTATACAATGCCCAGCTTCATTCCTCTCTCATAGGCCAGATTAGTCATCTTTTGCCTGGTGAAGCAGACTGAAGCATTAGCTCAAAGTAAGCTACCGCCACCACCACGTGCTGTGCAAATCTGGCTGGACAAACTTTGACTCAGCAAATTTGCAATGCCCCATGGGACACCTAAAAATCCCAGGGACAGAGAGGACCCTTGAAAAGCCAGAAACTGCTCTTTTTAAAAGTGGTGCTGGGCCCTAGAGAACATTCAAAGTTAGAGGGCAACTTTGGTCTCTGCCACGAGGGGGCAGAAGGAAGCTGGAAGGAGGTGGGAGTACAATTGGGATTTATTTTAGGGAGAGGACAAGGGCAACTGAATGGTCGCAGTTAGGTGTATGCACCGTGGGGCTCCTTGGGAAAGATGGGCTGCCAAGGGCAGCTGATTTCAAATGCTTTAAAACCTGATTTCTATAATAGCTTTGTTGCTCAAACACCATCCTGAATAACTTAACAGGAAATTGTTCTCAAAATGCTTTTCTTATCTGAACACTTTTTTGTGATTAGGAAGAATAGAAAATTATAAAGTTAAGAATTAAGGTGTACTGTGCAGGAAAAAAATTAAAGTAGAAACTTCTAAAGAATGTCTTAGTATCAATAAATGAAATAGATGTAGACATTGACTAGATTATAGAAGTGAGGGAAGTTTATAATACTAGCCAGTGCCTTATAAACAGTATCACACCCCTCTCATCAGCTCCCAGGCAGAGGGTGGAGAACTCACCTCGTAATTCAGGTCTGCTGCAAGATTGGCCCTCAGGGAAAGGGTCCCTTCTCTTCTGTCTTACCTACCATCAAAGGATCAGGAGTTTATGATTGTATTTCTTTATGGTTTCTTGACTATTGTTTTTATTTCTTTTTTTCTAGCTTTTCTGTTCTTCATAATAAAATGAAAATACCACTCAGGTTATTAACTCTTGGTGTTTTTTTTTTTTTTGGCAAATCTTTTTATAGTGTTACTGTCTGCTGAATTTCTTTAAGAGGGTATCTTACGTTGGTTAAATATCGTGAGCTAATTTTCTGTGCAGAGTCAGCTGAATAAAGTATTCATTTCTTTTGCTCCAACCTGGTGGCTAGAGTGGATTGCTGAAATAGACTCTTGGAGAAGGCAATACTACAAAAAAAGGAATATGATCATTTTCTTGCTTTTGTTGGGGTTTGCTTGACAGTATCCCTGGCAGGAAGTGATGTGCCTGAATCTTCTCATGCCTCTGCCTACTGTAGGAAAGCCTTGTTTCTGAGAACACTTCCCCCTCCCCCACCACTCTGTCATAGACAATCATGAAAGACTTAAATTACGTTTGTGAAGTTTCTTTTCATATGGGTGTTTCACCGTCAATATCCTTTTTACCAATCCCTAGGCCCCTCCCTACTCTATCAGTGGCAGGTGTTAAAATCTGTTTACTCTTTCTGAAAACTTTCGAGTGAGCCACACCTGTGTCTTTCAATGGCGCTCACAACGATGAAGTCAACCTAAACAAAACTGTGAATCTGGGAAATTTTGATTTTAACATTTTCAAACTCTGTTTTCTTTTTTCTTTAATGATTTACCTTTCAAACAACTTTCTATTTTCCTAATTATTCCCCTTGTCAAAAATAAAATGTTGTGACAAAATCATTTGCACTCTGGTTTTAAACTTACCCATATCATTGGGTGAGGGAGAACATGATGGTTAAAAGCTCTTTTATATCGGGAGGAAGATGGTCGCATGAGAAGAGAAAATCTAAAGATGTGATTTCTGTAAAAGCAATATTAATTATGACAATTATGCGGCCGGCTCAGCAGTTATACCTAATTACTGTGTCCTATACATTATTGATGATACATTGTTAATGACAGCTAATTTTGCTGTACAGTTGATTTCATTAGAATCGTGTACTGCATATGCATGCTCAACCTTCAGAGTTTATTGCTCAAACCAGCACATTCACAATTTTAAAAACCATAAGAGGGAGACCACTTTCCAGTGTTACATTCTAAGAGGGCACAGATTTCCTGCCCTTGCTACTCAAAATGCGGTGCAGGACCGACAGCAGCAGCAGTCTCACCCGTGAGCTTGTTAGAAATGTAGAAGACAGGCCCCACCCCAGACTCACCGCATCAAAATCAATGATGTGATTCACAACAAAATTTGAGAAGCCCTCTGTCAATAACTGACCTTAAATAATTTCCTAAGGGAGTTGCCAGAGGAAGGGAGAGTACACAGAAGTCAGTCACTGCTGTAGGACTCACACAACAGAAGTGAGCCTGCGGCTTATTTCAAACAGGACTTCTCAGCTTGGTGCCTACAGCGTCCCATTCTGTAGGTGTAAGGTGGGCTCAGTAATCAGCTTCTTTAACAGGTTCCCTCAATGGCTGGGATGCCTGCAAGTTTGAGATCCACGGTCTGTGCCTACTTCTTGACAAAGAAGAAAGAAGGATGGGATGGCACTGCAGCTGGAGGGTGGAAAGGACGTTCAAAGCAACACATGAGGCTACAGGGTGCAGAAAATGTGGTTAGTTCCTGTGCACTCTGGGAATGTCCACATTTACAATTGAATTCAAATGATCAATTAAAAAAATTACTCAGGTCAAGAATGTATGTTTAGATTTTTAAAGTAATCTGGCCTTCAGTGACCCTGAGTCTTCAATGAAAACCATGTATTACAGAGAAACACCCACAACGTGCACCCCTCACTCCTATGCAAGAAGCTATGCTGTAATTCACCACCTAAATCACCTCTGCCACTGGGTGTCAGTCTTTAGCTAACATTTTCTGGACTATATTCTTATATTGTTTGTAATATCCTTGCTTAGGGAGGACCAAGATAATTTGTGGAAGATGTGTCTTTGGGAAAATCCTGCGAAGCTGTCTTCATTTTGAGCAGGACTTAGTAACACCAGGATTTTTTTTTTCCTTCAAAGTCAAGGCTATGTATCTGGTACTTATGTATATAATGTGATAACTATTTTTATGTATAAATGAAAACTATAATTAATATCAAAATATCAATTTAAACAGGAAGAAAGTTTGGTTGGAGAATGTATTTTACAGATTCTTTTATATGATTCTATCTAATTGGAGTACATTATTAAGTAATTTGCTGAAAAAAGTCAAAAAGTATCGTTGCTAAATTTAAAGGCAAAATGGCTCAAAAAATCTCTTCCTTTCTCTCATTTTTGATGCATTGCTCTCCAGGGGCAATCAATGCCTTCCCAGTGGCCCCATTCAATGGAATTTTATGTAGAAAGGATTTCATTCTTACATTCCCACCCCAAATTTCAGAACAAATTCACTCATTCATTTTTGAACCCTTGTGACGATGAGGCACGGTTGGTCACCTGTGTTTCTTAAAGTTCTGAAGGATAAATACTTAATATTTGAAGGTATCTGGGTCCGTATTTGCTGAATACAGCATAAATCTGAAGTTATAGAAAGAACAGCTCAACTACTGGTGAGCCCAGAATCTGATTCATAGTTTTTAAAATGATTAACCCCACACCCTTCCCTGCCCTAGCTGGCCAGGAGCAAACCATCCTTTAGGGAGGTATAATTTAAGGGAACATGCTTCATATTAAGGAATATGCCATAGATTCATCTAAATGCCCTCGGTGAGATATAATGTGTTTAAATACTGTTTTAAATGCAGTCTGATTTATACGTTTGCATGATTTGTAAAACTCTGAAATTTTGCTAATACCCTCTAATAAACAGTAAAGATCATTGTAAAAAGTAGGTCTGAATTCTTCCAAAGTCTCATTAATTATATGACCCTTTGAGAAGATATGAACCACCTGGGAGCAGAGTGCAACTTTTGTGTAAATGTGATCTATTGAGATAGCTACATTATGAAATGTCTGAACTTTTTTGGAAATATAAATAGGTTGGTATGGCTTTCCTTCAGTATCCACGGGGGATTGGTTCTGGGCCAATCCACGCCAACTTTGCATCCAGGCTACCTCCTCCGTACCAAAATCCTCAGATGCTCAAGTCCCTGATATAAAATGGCATTGTGTAGCACTGCGTGGCACATTGTATCTCAATTTTGCGCTCTCTGTAGGAAAGTAGGCTCCCAGAAGTGCTGGAGAACACTATTGCTATAAAGTAGCTTAAAAAAAAAGATTTAAAAAAAATTTTTGAGACAGGCTCCCACTCTGTAGCTCAGGCTAGAGTAGCAATGGCATGATCATGGCTCACTGAAGCCTTGAACTCCTGGGCTCAAGTGATCCTCCTGCCTCCTAAAATAGCATTTTAAAGTGAAATGAGGTTGGGATTGGTGGCTCATGCCTATAATCCCAGCACTTTAGGATACTGAGGTGGGAGGATACCTGGAGCCCTGGGGTTCCAGACCAGCCTGGGCAACATAGCAAAAAAAAAAAAAAAAAAAAAAAAAAAAAAAATTAGCTGGGTATGAGCGTGGGCACCTGTAGTCCCAGCTACTGGGGAGGTCTAGGTGACACTCTTGAGGTGTCAAGGGTGATTGCGCCACTGTAATCCAGCATGGGCAACAGAGCAAGACTCTGTCTCAAAATAGATAAAAATAAAAAAGCAAGGAAATGGAACAATTACCATCACATCAAGGACATTTTAAGATAGCCAATGCCATTTACATGTTTCAGATCCACTAAGTAACTTCGCATCTGTATTTCACTCTGCTGTACTCTCAGCAGTCACCAGAGCCCCTTGGCTCTTCAGTTTTACACTGTGCTGCTCTTCTCTGCACCATTCTTAAATTAAAAATGTATTGGGCATGGGGCCAGGCGCGGTGGCTCACACCTATAAATCCCAGCATTTTGGGAGGCCTAGGCGGGAAGGTCACATGAGGTCAGGAGTTCAAGGCCAGCCTGGCCAACATGGTGAAACTCCGTCTCTACTAAAAATAAAAAATTAGCCAAGCGTGGTGGTGGGCGCCTGTAATCTCAGCTACTTGGGAGGCTGAGGCAGGAGAATCGCTTGAACCCCAGGAGGGAAGGAGGCAGTGAGCCGAGATGGCACCACTCCACTCCGGTCTGGGTGACAGGTTGAGACCCTGTCTCAAAAAAAAAAAAAAAAAAAATTATTGGACACTACTATATTTAGCTAGGAGCTGGAGAAATATGCAAAGAGGAATGGAATCTACCCTCAAGGAGCTATAGTTTAGCTTGGACTATAAGACATTTGTAGGTGAGTAGCTAGCTGTCACAGGACGTTATTGTCAGGAAGAGATCACCATTGAGAATTGCTTCCTCTTAAAATTTGAATAAAAGGACCAGATTATGGAATATAAAAAAGGCATTTTTAAAAGATGATGAAAATAATGCACAGGTGAACAAATTACAACGTACTTTTCTCTTTAGCAACTGCACCCTACCCACAGCCTATTTTATGTCCTGGAAACTTACTTTGATTCAACTAGTTTTACGCATTGATAGAAATCTGCTGTATTCTGGTGCCCCCTGGAGGCAGTCTACCGCTAGGCCGACGAGAAAAAAAAAATCCAGAGAAAGCCTTTCAACTACAACTGGAGCAACTATATTTTGTTCAACAAATCCCCCCCTTTTTTTTCAATATGGAATTCTGATCTGGGTTTGTTAAACTAGAATTTGTCTAAAGCACAGATTTTCCAAGAGAGTAGGGTTGAGCAGAAGAGAACATGCTCGGCATTAAAGAATATGTTGTGTCTTCTTCTAAATGCACTTGGGCGGATACTATATGCTTAAATACAGTTTCACACACAATATAATTGTTTACATTTGTATAATTTGTGAAATTGAAATATTTATGATACATTCTAAAATGTAACAAAATTTACTTGTTAAATGAATAAATGAATGAATGAATTGCCATGCTTTGGTGTTCAATTAGATAAATTGATCTTATTTTCTCTCTCTCTTTTTTTTATTCCCTTCTTGGAAGCCCTTCCATCACAGAGACTTTTAATGCAGTTGTTGAACTTAGTCAATGTTCATAGAGGGATAGAGAGGAAATGGGATTGTGGTATAATTTTTCTCTAGGAAAATGTGTACAGTCCTTTGCAAACGACTATTAACTTGTAAATCAGGTTGAAAGCTACTCTTGCCCTCAGAGACTTCCTTTAATGGAATAATACATAATGCTCACATTAATTTTAAACAAAGTGATTTTATTTTCTGGAATAAACACAGAGCCTCAAATTCATTAGCTGGTTTGAAATTTCAGGATCCCAAATGTACTCTGCTTTAAATCAAGAAAACCCCTCAGGCTTCTTTCTGGAGAGGAAGTGGAGCTTAACAAATACCTATGTCACAATAATGTCATCAACTTCAACTTTGTTATGTATTGAAGACATTAAATTTGGTTTTCCAAGATGGTGGGAAAATCAATGTTTTGGCTTATTAAATATTCTGGTTAATAGAAAGCTATTACATTAAACACATATGGTTTACCAATTATTTTCAAAGAATCAGAACACAACAAATAAAATCAGTAGTATATTAAGTATAATTAATTTTTTTTGATGACTGTAGAATTCACTTCAGCATCTTTTATTGCCTTGGTAATCATGGTGAACATTAAAATGCAAGTCTAGGAGGTTGTACTGAAGGCTCAGTTGGGAGTTATGGTGATATGAGATTTAGCAATTGAAGTCAGCTATTCTACAAAGGGAAAAATTATAAATAAAGGTATTTATAAGAGTTGTTATATTAGCGATAATTACCACTATAAAGCTATACCTAAGAAATACTTAAAATAAGATATTTTTCACTGCTCTCTACTGTGTTTGTATGTGTGTGTGTGTGTATTCGTTTAAAGCTGTATCTAAATTTTGATGGTAAATGTCTAACCCTGGGAAGAGGAAGGACAACTTTTTTTTTCTTTAAAAAGAGGGGTAGAGTCTGGGCGCGCGGTGGCTCATGCTTGTAATCTCAGCACTTTGGGAGGCTGAGATGGGCAGATCATGTGAGGTCAGGAGTTCAAGACCAGCCTGGCCAACATGGTGAAACCCCGTCTCTACTAAAATACAAAAATTAGCCAGGTGTGGTGGCGTGAGCCTGTAGTCCCAACCACTCTGGAGGCTGAGGCAGGAGAATTGCTTGAGCCCGGGAGGCAGAGGTTGCAGCGAGCACCGAGATCACACCACTGCACTGCAGCCTGGGCAACAGTGTAAGACTCCGTCTCCAAAAAAAAAAAAAAAAGGGTTAGAAAGAGGGAGAACTAAACTGATATGGTTTGAATATATGTCCCCGTGAAATCTCAGGTTGAATTGTGATCCCTAATGTTGGAGGCGGGGCCTGGTGGGAGGTGTTTGAGTAATGGGGGCAGATCCATCATGTCTTGTTGCTATGAGTGGGTTCTCAGGAAGTCTGATTGTTTAGAAATGTGTTCATACTTTCTCTCTTGCACTTTCTGTCTTTCTCTCCCTCTCCCCTACACTCCCTCTCACCACGTGGGATGCCTGCCCCTCCTTCGCCTTCTGCCATAATTGTAAGCTACCTGAGGTTTCCCCAGAAGCCAAATAGATGCCAGAACCATGCTTCCTGTGCAGCTTGCAGAATCGTGAGCCAATTAAACCTCTTTTCTTTATAAATTACCCAGTCTCAGATATTTCTTCATAGCAATGCAAGAATGGCCTATTGTATATACCTAATCAGACAGTACTCATTTTTTAACAACATGCCTTTATCGAGTATTTGCAAAGTATTCATCCTTAGTTCATATAGAAGCTTTTGCCACTCATTATTTTGATTACATAATATTTAATTAAAATACAAAATTACAATAACAAATACAAATGTCATAAACATATTTGAGACCAGACACAAGTGATTCTTAGTAAAAATCCCAGGGAACTTGAGGGAGCAGCAGGTCTGGTGCTCCCTGGAGGCCTCCTGCAGGGAGTTGGCAGCGTGGCCAGTCTACAGGATTCTGGAGAAAATAAGGATCAGCGGGTTAGCAAGATTCTACCGTAAAAATGGCTGTAAGCCCCAAATGGCCATAGGCAACCACTCTTAATACTTTGGTAGGCACGTCTGTATGTATTTATGATTTTTTGTTTGCTTGTTTGTTTTTGTTTTTGAGAAGGAGTCTTGCTCTGTCGCCCAGGCTAGAGTGCAGTGGCACAATCTTGGCTCACTGCAACCTCTGCCTCTTGGGTTCAAGCAATTCTCCAGCCTCAGCCTCCCGAGTAGCTGGGACTACAGGCATGCACCACGCGTCTCGCTAATTTTTGTATTTTTAGTAGAGATGGGGTTTCACCATGTTGGACAGGCTGGTCTCAAACTCCTCACCTCAGGTGATTGGCCCGCCTCGGCCTCCCAAAGTGCTGGGATTACAGGCGTGAACCACCGCGCCTGTATTTATGCATCTTTTTATACATGTCGTTACAGTACATCTTTTTTTGGTAGTCTGCCAACTCACCTAAAAATATGTAGTAGACAAATTTCCATGCCATTGAATAAATATGCAAATCATTTTCCTCATCCGCTGCTAAAAAGGACAGAGAGAGGAAGAAGGAATGAAGAGGAGAGGAAGGGGGGAACAGAAAAGAGGAAAAGAGAACAAAGAAAAATGGTAAAGGAAAAGGAAAGAACTGCTTAAACTAAGCAACTTCATAAGATTCAGTGGAAGATTTTTCAGATCCACTCTCTGCCAGATCACATAATCCACACAGGAACTCACAGAGAGAGATGAGAGTGCACACCCCTGCTGATTTTTGCTCTCCCGAGCTCAGAAATGAGTGCAGCCAACTCAGCAATCGGCACTCTCTGAGCAAGGCACCTTTTTCCCTCTCCTCCCCTACCCTTCCCACCCTCTCTTCTCTGCCCCTATTCTCCTCCTCTTTCCCTCCCTTCCTTCATCTCCCTCCCTCCCTTCTTTCCTTGCATACTCCTTCCTTCCTTCTTCCCTCCCTGCTTCTTTCTTACTCGTGCCTCTCTCTCTCTGCCATTTAAAATGGATGTATAATCAATATTCACAGTAAAATGCACAGATCTTAGGTGTGTGGTTCAGTGAGACTGAAAAACGTGCATACACTAGGACCCTCATTGCCATCATTGCATAATGTTTCCCCACGCACAGTTAGTTGGTCTCCTACCCACTGCCCCCTGCCCCTTGCCCCCTGCTATCCCATCCAGGCACCTGCCCCCCAACCCCCACCCCTGTTGCCCAGGCTGGAGGGAGTGGCTCCATCTCGGCGCTCACTGCAACCTCCACCTCCCAGGCTCAAGCCAGTCTTGTGCCTCAGCCTCCTGAGTAGCTGGGACTACAGGCGTGCACCACCATGCCTGGGTAATTTTTGTATTTTTTCTAGAGAAGGGTTTTCACTATGTTGCCCAGCCTGGTCTCAAACTCCTGGCCTCAAGTGATCTGCTTGCTTCTGCCTCTCAGAGTACTGGGATTACAGGTATGAGCCACTGCTTGGAGGCCTCCCAGGCACCTTTCTATCACCAGAGACTAGTTTTGCCTATTCTTGTACTTCATACACATAGGATTACAAGGTAGGTACACTTTTGAGCAAGGCTTCTTTAGCTCAATGTAATGTTTTTAAGATTCATCTGCATTGTTGCATGTATCCATACTTCTTTCCTTTTCATTGCTGAGTAGTATCCACTGTATGAATGTACAATTTGTCTATTCATTTTCCTGTTGATGGACATTGGGTTGTCTATATTTTTTCTCTGTTATAAATAAAGTTGTTATGAACATTCATCTATAGGGCTTTTTGTGGACATACATTGTTTATTTCTCTTAGGTTTATGTATACCTAGAGTTGAATTGTTAGGCCATAGGGTAGGCGTATCTGTAACATAGGAAATAGACAGTTTTTCAAAGTGGTTGTATGATTTCATATCCTCATTAGCAATGTATAAGAGTTCCAGTTGCTCCACAACCTCAGTAACATTTGATGTTGTCGATTTTTAAATTTTAATTGTGTTGATGGGTGTGAAATCGAATCTCATTGTGATTTATTTAGCATTTCACCAGTGACTAATGATGTTAGTACTTTTTCAAGTACTTTTTGGATACATATAAATATTGCAAGTGTTTTGGCCATTTAAAAATTGGGTTGTCTTTTTATTCTTGAGTGGAAGAAGATATATATATATATTCTATAATATGTAGAGCTATATAAACCCAGCCCCCACACACAATTTTATCCCAGTCTGAGGCTGACCCATTCATTTTCTGATGAGTAGAAGTTTTAAATTCTGATGAAAACCAATTTATCTTTTTTCTTTTATGGTATCCTAAGAAATCTTTTCCTAACTCAGTATGCAGCACTCTCTGGGCAAGGCACTTATTCCCTTCCCCTTCCCCTACCCCTCCCATCCCCTCTTCTTCTCTCCCCTCCCTTCCCCTGTATTTTCTTCTGGAAGCTTAAAGTTTTAGCTTTTATGTTTAGGTCTATGGTCTTTGTCAAATTAATTTTTGTGTATGCTGTGAGGTAGGTGTCAAGTTTCTTTATTTTCCATATAGACATACAGTTATTCCAGTACAATTTTATGAAAACAACATTTTTCCCCATTGAATTTTTCATGGCCAATGCTGAAAATCAAATGACTGCGTATGTGTGGGTCTGTTTCTGAACTCTCTATTCTTTTGACTGCTCAATGTGTCTCTTCTTATGCCAGTTCTACACTGTCTTTATTACTGTAGCTTTAGAGTAAGTCTCAAAATCAAGTAGTGTTAGTCCTCCAACTTTGATTTTTTTAAAAAAGATTTTGTTTTCCTGGCTAAATTCTAGGTCATTTGTGTTCTCGTGAAAATTTTAGAATCAGTTTTTGTTTCTGTTTTTTTTTTTTTTTTTTAAGCCTACTGGGATCTTGATTAAAATGGCAGTGAATCTATAGATTAATTTGGGGAGAACTGATAGCAATATTGAAGCTTCTAAATCAGGGATGTGGTATGTCTTATTATTTATTTCAGTCTTCTTTAATTTCCTTCAGTAAGGTTTTATAATTTTTAGTGTAGAGGTCTTACACATCTTTTGTTAAAGTTTTTGATAATATTTTTGATGTCACTATATTATGATATTTTCAATGTTGATTTCCAATCATTGCTACTCTATAAACATACAATTCAATTTTGCATATACATCTTATATTCTGTGACTTTGCTAACATAGCTAAGTTTTTTTTATAATATATTGACTGAGATTTTTCTCTATAAACAATCATGTCTTCTTTTGAGTCATTCTTATTTATTTATTTAGAAACTAATGTTTATTTTCCATCAACCTTATTTCTATTTTGCTTAAGAGTCTGTGGAAGAACAGCTTAGGAACACTCAGTGGTTGTTCCTACCCATTCAGCAGCCGGAGCAGTGAGAGCTGCAGACCAGTCTTCTGTGGCAGGCTGAATGCTTCAGTCTTAGTAGGGACCTGCTGAATAGGCACAGAGGGCACCTGCACGTCTTTAGACTAGTCAGCCTGAGTAGCGGTGCACTCATGAGGTGCAGCAGTCCATTCTCCCTGAAATTCATCCTTGGCCGCAGCTTTTTCAGCAGCAGCCTGCCTCTTCCTTTTCAATCTGCTCAGGATCTCTGTAGAAGTAAATATCGGGCATGACCTTCTCCCATGAGTGCTTATGGGAGATGGTGACACTCATGTGTAGACCTTCCTGGGTCAGTCTCCACCACATCAGACCCACTGAGTGAGAGCCCTTGTTGTTGCATGGGATTGCAATGTCCACACAGTGCAGAGGAGAATCTGTGTCACACAGAGCAATGGTTGGTAGGCAGGTTAACATAAGACGACTCTGTCAGCAGCTGGTGGTCAGCCCTGGGGCCAGTAACCACCAGAAGATGCAGTTCTTGGAAGGCTGCCTAGATCTGGCTAGTGAAGTTTCCAGGAGTGAAGTGGCCAGCAATAGGAGTGACTCCAGTGGCAGCAGCAACTTCAGCACAGCCTGCTGGCCAACATTCCTATATGATATGACATTGACATTGGCAGGGTATTCAATGGCAACAATAGCATGAGATGCCAGCAGATGCTTCTCCCAGGTCCTCTTCAGATTTGTGATGTAGAAGCCATCACTCTTCCTTTTTGTAGATGTACTGTTCCATTTGGAAGTCAAGGTTGGTGCAATAAGTCAGTTACTGCTGCAAGATAGTTGAGGACATACTTCTTCACTTGCATGACATCAAGGGCTCTGGACGTTGTGTGAGTTTCCCTTTAAGTTATGAAGGGAATCTAGAACAGGACCGTATGGATGCCTCTCTACTTAGTGCAGAAAGCCTTGATCCTTTATTTTTAATCTTTATGTCTTTGTTTGTTTCATGGTCTTGCCTCATTGCACTAAGACCTCCAGTACAATATTGAATAAAAATGGTGCGCAGTGGACATTGTGCCTTCCCAATCTCAGCATGACTTAAGAATTTTGTCATTGTGATGATACCTTTAGGGTTTTAGATCTTTGTCAAAATGAGGAAGTTTCCTTATATTTTTAATATGCTGTGTTGTGTTTTATGATGAATAGGTGTTGAATTTGGCAAATGCTTCTTCTGCAACTATTAAGATGTTTATATGCTTCCCCCCTTTTTTGTTAAGTAGTGAATTACACTGATCTATTAATTTTCCATTGTTAAATCAACCTGGCATTCCTGGGGGAAAAATCCTACCTGGTCATGATATATTATTATTTCTGTGTATTTATGAATTTGCTAATATTTTGTTAAGGATTTTTGCATTTATTTTTATGAGGGATATTGGTCTGAAGTTTTCTATTTTTGTAATGTATTTATCTGGTTTTATGAGACATGCTGGTCTCAAAAAGCAAGTTGGGAAATGTTCTCTCCTCTGTATTCTGAAAAGACTGTGTATGATTGGTAATATTTCTTCCTTAAATGTTTGATAAAATTCACCTGAGGTTGAAGTTTTCTTATTCTTTTTTTTGAGACGGAGTCTCACTCTGTCGCTCAGGCTGGAGTGCAGTGGCGCAATCTCGGCTCACTGCAAACTCTGCCTCCCAGGTTCATGATATTCACCTGCCTCAGCCTCCCGAGTAGCTGGGACTACAGGCACCCGCCACCACACCCGGCTAATTTTTTGTATTTTTAGTAGAGACGGGGTTTCACCGTGTTAGCCAGGATGGTCTCTATCTCCTGACCTCATGGTCTGCCTGCCTCAGCCTCCCAAAGTGCTGGGATTACAGGCGTGAGCCACCGTGCCCGGCCAAGGTTGAAGTTTTCTTTGTGGGGAAGATTTTAACTATGAATTAATTTTCCTGAACAGATATAGGGTTCTTCAGACTTTCTATTTCTTATTGTATTAGTTTTGTTAATTTGTATTTGTCAAATAATTTAATCTGTTTATATAAAGTTTCAAATTTACTGGCATACATTTCTTTATGTATTTCTTTATTGTCCTTTAGTGTCTATAGGCTCTATGTTCCCTCTTTCATTCCTCATATTGATGGCTTGTATTTTCCTTTTTTTCTTGAATGGTATTGCTAGGAGATTATTCATTTTATTTAACTTTTCAAAGAAACAATTTCTGACTTGGTTGATGTTTCTCTTTTGATTGTCTGTTTTCTATTTCATTGATTTCCACTCTTTATTGCTTCCTTCTTTCTACTTACTTGGGGTTTAATTTGTTCTTATATTTTTGGCTGCTTGAAGAAGGGTAGATAATTGATTTTAGACCTTCATTCTTTTCTAATTAAGCACTTACAGGCCCAAACTTCTAAGTAAAGAGCTGAATCCCACAAATTTTAAAATGTTGTGATTACCATTTAATTCTAATATTTTCTAATACCGCTTGCGATTTTTTTCTTTGAGCCATGGGATATTTGTAATGGTATTGCTTACTTTCCAAATATTTGGGGATTTGAAAAAAAACTGGTTTTTAAAAAAGTTTTATTTTAGAATAGTTGTAGATTTACAAAAAAGCTGCAGAAATATAACTGATAGTTTCTGTATGCCTGTCACTCAGTTTCCCCAGAGATAACATTTTACATTACCATGCTACATTCGTCAATACTAAAAAAAAATCAACATTGGTATATTGCTATTTCTAGATTCAGATTTTATCAGTTTTTCCACTAAGGTCTTTACTCCAGGATCAGTCTAGGATACCACATTGTACTTAGTAGATATCTTTTTTTTTTTTTAAATTCTAACTTAATTCTTTTTGTTTTCAGAAAATATGTTTCGTATGATGTCACATCTGTTAAATTTGTTGAAACTTATTTTATTGACCAGTATATGGTCTATCTTGGTATAATTCTATGTGCATGTGAAAAGAACCTCTATTCTGGACTTTTTATAGGAAATATTCTAGAAATATCAGTTAGTTAAATGGTCTGATGGCATTATTCAGATCTTCCATATCCTTAATGATGTTACTAACTTTTCCTATCAGTTAGAAAGGAGGGCTCAGATCACCAAGTATAATTGTGGGTTTGTTTTTCCCTGTAGTACTGTCAGTTTTTGCTTCATATATTTTGAAGTTTTGTCATTAGGTATACATAATGACCTTTTTATTATTATAAAATATCCTTCTTTGTCTCTAATATTGCCATATGTCTCGGTGTTTATTTTGTCTGATATTAATATAGCCACTGTAACGTTCTTATAATTAGTACTTTCTTGGCATATTTTTTCCCCATCCTTTTTCTTTTAATTTGCATCTTTAATCTCACCCAGCAAGCTGTTGGGGTTTGCTTTTTAATGTACACTGACAATGTCTGCCTTTTAATTTCAGTGTTAATTATATTTACATTTAATGTGATTATTGATATGGCTGAGTACACGCTATTTGTTTTCTATTTTTTCCATCAGTTCTATTTTTACTTTTTCTTTTTTCTACTTTCTTTTTGGTCAATAAAATAATTTTAAGCATTCTATTTTATTTCTACAATTGACTTTTTTTAATTAGCAAAAAAGCCAATGGTAGAAATAGAGTACTTAAAAGTATGCTTTTTATAAAGTGGGTGGCATTAAGAATTACAATATGCATTCTTAACTTACTAGTCTACTTTTGATGAATATTAAATCATTTTATACATAATGCAAAAAGATTTAAGTTGCATAATTCCATTTAATATTTGACATTAAAAAAGACATTAATGTTTTTAATCTCTCTCTTGTCCCACATATCCTGTAAGCGGTTTTTGTCATACATTTAATTTCTACATATAATTCCCACAAAACATTGCTATTATTTTTTGCTTTAAACTATCTATTGTCTTTTAAGTAAATTAAGAAACATGAAAAAGTCTTATACTTGCTCACGCTCACCATTTTCAGCAAACTTTAGTCCTTCATGCAGGTTTGAGTTTTCATAGCACTGTTTCCTCTCAACCTGAAATGCCTCCTTTACCATTTTTGTTGTCTATTGACAATAAATTCTCTCACATTTTATCTAAAACTTTTAAATTTGGCTTTAATTTCTGATGAACATTTTTACTATATATTAAATTTTAGATAGACAGTCTTTTTCCTTCCTATATTTTAAAGATGTTTCATTTTCATCTTGCTTGTGTTATTTCTGAGGAAAAGCCAACTTATCGGTTTCTCTGCATGTTCTCTGTTTATGTGTGCTAGTCTTTTCTTCTGCAGTATCTAATCTGCTGTAAACCTCTTATGTAAATTTTAAATTTTATTTATAGTTTTTTTAGCTTTAAAAGTCATATTTGTTTCTTTAAAAATGTTTTCTTTATTACTGTGTTTATGTTTTTCCCTAGATCCATATACATGTTTATAAAAGTTGTTTTAAAATCTCTAACTGCCAGGCCAGGCACAATGGCTCAGGCCTGTAATCCCAGCAGTTTGGGAGGCTGAGGTGGGCAGATCACCTGAGGTCAGGAGTTCAAGACCAGCCTGGCCAACATGGTGAAACCCTGTCTCTACCAAAAATACAAAAATTAGCTGGGTGTGGTGGCATGCACCTGTAATCCGAGCTACTCGGGAGGCTGAGGCAGGAGAATCTTTTGAACCCAGGAGGTGGAGGTTGCGGTGAGCTGAGATTGTACCACCGCACTCCAACCTGGGTGACAAAGCAAGACTCTGTCTCAAAATATATACATAAATATGTTCAATTTACCATTTTTTCTTCTGATTTTGGATCACATTTTTCTTCTTCTTTACATGTCTAGTGATTTGTTTTTCATTGTTTGTTGGAGATTGTGAATGCAACATCATTGAAAGTCAGGATATTTTTTCCATTTAAGATTGTTTACTTGTGTCCGGGAAGGCAATAATTTCTTGGTAGACTGCGTTAATCCTGATGAGATTAGATTATTGGCTCTGCTTGGCCAGTTCTAGAATAGCCCTTACTCTAGAGCATGATCCCTAGTTCTACCATGGCCTTTCTGAGACTCATCTGAATGACTGGGGTGATCATGAGGTTTTCTTATTTTGGCTGTTGAAATTCCGATGCCTCCTAACATTGTGCAGTCTCTAAAATCTGGATTCACCTCTCAATCTTCATGAAGCTGTTTGCTAGGCCTTCAGGTGTCTACTGTGCCTAAACACAGCTTAGTATTTGGCAAAGACTTGAGAAAATCCTATGCATATTTCTGCGGCTCCTTCCCCGTCCAGCTCCCTTCTGTCTGTTACCCTGTCCACAAATTCCACCTGCATCAGCAGCACAGACCCCGATCTCAGTCTCCTCTGCCTGGAAAGAATGATATCTGTTTAGGCCACTTCCCTTGGAAGAAGTTTAGTAGTCCTCCCAAGCAGAAATCAGGGGTGAATATGGGCTTGCTGTATGCATTTTCCTTCTCTCAAGGATGACAGCCTTATGCACACTGAAGGTGATTAATAAATATTTGCTGAACCAGACAGAGCTGTTAAACTAGATTTCCATTTCTTTTTTCTATCTGTGATGCATAATTCCTCCAGTTCTTTCCATCCCTGAACCTCCCTTTCCAACAAAATCTATCCTTAAACTCATATTTGTGTTATAGTTATGACTCCATATTTCTGAAACAAAAATTTAGAACTTTAACTAAAAAATATGAGGATATTGGGATAGAATATTTGAAATCTGTGTTACTCATAGAAATCCTTGACCTTAACTAAAATATAAGCTAGACTTGCCAAGGGGAGACTACCTTAAGAGAACAAAGTTAGCTTCAGAATTTCTGGCATTAGCATCAGGTACCTACATAAAGCTGTACTGCAATAATTTCAGTATCTTTTTTCTTTTTGAGGCAGAGTCTCACTCTGTCACCCAGGCTGGAGTGTGTGGTGGCATGATCTCAGTTCACTGCAACCTCTGCCTCCCAGGCCCAAGAAATTCTCGTAACTCAGCCTCTTCAGTTGCTGGGACTAAGGTGTGTGCCACCACGCTCAGATAATTTTTGTATTTTTTAGTACACACAAGGTTTAATCATGTTAGCCAGGTTGGTCTCGAACTCCTGGCCTCGAGTGATCCACCCACCTCAGCCTCCCAAAGTGCTGGGATTATAGACATGAGCTACCGCACCTGGCCAATTTCAGGATCTTTTAAAACTCTTAGCTGCCAACTCCATTTTCAGAAATATGTAAGATTCTGTGTACAGTCATTCTCCAAGAATGTCTATTTTACTCCAGCTTTTTCACTTATTTCCTACCCAGTTTTGGGCACGAAATGCTTAGGAATGAATTTGTGACTAAGAGATCAATTTGAAATGGGAATTTAGTTGTGGACTTGTGAGGGCTTGAACATTCATTCATTTATTCATGCATGCAAAAAAACCTTCTGAGTGGAACAAAAGGCAGCAGAAACTTCTGCACACTTAAACGTCCCTGTCTGACAGCTTTGAAGAGAGTAGTGGTTCTCCCAGCATGGAGTTTGAGGTCTGAGAACGGACAGACTGTCTCCTCAAGTGGGTCCCTGACCCTTGAGTAGCCTAACTGGGAGACACCTCCCAGTAGGGGCCAACTGACACCTCATACAGCTGGGTGCCCCTCTAAGATGAAGCTTTCAGAGGAAGGATCAGGCAGCAACATTTGCTGTTCTGCAGCCTCCGCTGGTGATACCCAGGCAAACAGGGTCTGGAATGGACCTCCAGCAAACTCCAACAGACCTGCAGCTGAGGGTCCTGACTGTTAGAAGGAAAAATAACAAACAGAAAGGACGTTCACACCAAAACCCCATCTGTATGTCACCATCATCAAAGACCAAAGGTAGATAAAATCTCAAAGATGGGGAGAAACCAGAGCAGAAAAGCTGAAAATTCTAAAAATCAGAGTGCCTCTTCTCCTCCAAAAGAACGCTGTTCCTCACCAGCAACGGAACAAAGCTGGATGGAGAATGACTTTGACGAGTTGAGACAAGAAGGCTTCAGACGATCAGTAATAATGAACTTCTCTGAGCTGAAGGAGGATGTTCAAACCTATTGCAAAGAAGCTAAAAACCTTGAAAAAAGATTAGATGAATGGCTAACCAGAATAAACAGCGTAGAGAAGACCTTAAATGACCTGATGGAGCTGAAAACCATGGCACGAGAACTACGTGACACATGCACAAGCTTCAGTAGCCGATTCAATCAAGTGGAAGAAAGGGTATCAGTGATTGAAGATCAAATGAATGAAATGAAGTGAGAAGAGAAGTTTAGAGAAAAAAGAGTAAAAAGGAATGAACAAAGCAGTCAAGAAATATGGGACTATGTGAAAAGACCAAATCTACGTCTGATTGGTGTACCTGAAAATGATGGGGAGAATGGAACCAAGTTGGGAAACACTCCGCAGGATATTATCCAGGAGAACTTCCCCAATCTAGCAAAGCGGGCCAACATTCAAATTCAGGAAATATGGAGAACGCCACAAAGATACTCCTCGAGAAGAGCAACTCCAAGACACATAATTGTCAGATTCACCAAGGTTGAAATGAAGGAAAAAATATTAAGGGCAGCCAGAGAGAAAGGTTGGGTTACCCACAAAGGGAAGCCCATCAGACTAATAGCATATCTTTCAGCAGAAGCTCTACAAGCCAGAAGAGAGTGGGGGCCAATATTCAACATTCTTAAAGAAAAGAATTTTCAACCCAGAATTTCATATCCAGCCAAACTAAGCTTCATAAGTGAAGGAGAAATAAAATCCTTTACAGAGAAGCAAATGCTGAGAGAGTTTGTCACCACCAGGCCTGCCTTACAAGAGCTCCTGAAGGAAGCACTAGACATGGAAAGGAACAACCAGTACCGCCACTGCAAAATCATGCCAAATTGTAAAGACCATCGATGCTAGGAAGAAACTGCATCAACTAATGAGCAAAATAACCAGCTAAGATCATAATGACAGGATCACATTCACACATAACAATATTAACCTTAAATGTAAATGGGCTAAATGCTCCAATTAAAAGACACAGACTGGCAAATTGGGGTAGAGTCAAGACCCATCAATGTGCTGTATTCAGGAGACCCATCTCATGTGCAGAGACACAAAAAGGCTCAAAACAAAGGGATGGAGGAAGATCTACCAAGCAAATGGAAAACAAAAAAAAGCAGGGGTTGCAATCCTAGTGTCTGATAAAACAGACTTTAAACCAACAAAGATCAAAAGAGACAAAGAAGGCCATTACGTAATGGTAAAGGGATCAATTCAACAAGAAGAACTAACTATCCTAAATATATATGCACCCAATTCAGGAGCACCCAGATTCATAAACCAAGTCCTTAGAGACCTACAAAGACACTGAGACTCCCACACAATAAAAATGGGAGACTTTAACACCCCACTGTCAACAATAGACAGATCAACAAGACAAAAAGTTAACAAGAATATCCAGGAATTGAACTCAGTTCTGCACCAAGCAGACCTAATAGATATCTACAGAACTCTCCACCCCAAATCAATAGAATATACATTCTTCTCAACACCACATCGCACTTATTCCAAAATTGACCACATAGTTGGAAGTAAAGCACTCCTTAGCAAATGTAAAAGAACAGAAATTATAACAAACTGTCTCTCAGACCACAGTGCAATCAAACTAGAACTCAGGATTAAGAAACTCACTCAAAACCGCTCAACTACATGGAAACTGAACAACCTGCTCCTAAATGACTACTGGGTACATAACGAAATGAAGGGAGAAATAAAGATGTTCTTTGAAACCAATGAGAACAAAGACACAACATACCAGAATCTCTGGGACACATTTAAAGCAGTGTTTAGGGGGAAATTTATAGCACTAAATGCCCACAAGAGAAAGCAGGAAAGATCTAAAATTGACACCCTAACATCACAATTAAAAGAACTAGAGAAGCAAGAGCAAACAAATTCAAAAACTAGCAGAAGGCAAGAAATAACTAAGATCAGAGCAGAACTGAAGGAGATAGAGACACAAAAACCCCTTCAAAAAAATCAATGAATCCAGGAGCTGGTTTTTTGAAAAGATCAACAAATCTGATAGACCGCTAGCAAGACTAATAAAGAAGAAAAGAGATAAGAATCAAATAGACACAATAAAACATGATAAAAGGGATATCGCCACCAATCCCACAGAAATACAAATTACCATGAGAGAATACTATAAACACCTCTATGCAAATAAACTAGAAAATCTAGAAGAAATGGATAAATTCCTTGACACATACACCCTCCCAAGACTAAACCAGGAAGAAGTTGAATCCCCGAATAGACCAGTAACAGGCTCTGAAATTGAGACAATAATTAATAGCCTACCAATCAAAACAAGTCCAAGACCAGACGGATTCACAGCCGAATTCTACCAGAGGTACAAAGAGGAACTGGTACCATTCCTTCTGAAACTATTCCAATCAATAGAAAAAGATGGAATCCTCCCTAACTCATTTTATGAGACCAGAATCATCCTGATACCAAAGCCTGGCAGAGACACAACAAAAAAAGAGAATTTTAGACCAATATCCCTGATGAATATTGATGCAGAAATCCTCAATAAAATACTGGTAAACCGAATCCAGCAGCACATCAAAAAGCTTATTCACCACGATCAAGTCAGCTTCATCCCTGGGATGCAAGGCTGGTTCAACATACGCAAATCAATAAACGTAATCCATCATATAAACAGAACCAAAGACGAAAACCACATGATTATCTCAATAGCTGCAGAAAAGGCCTTTGACAAAATTAAACAGCCCTTCATGCTGAAAACTCCCAATAAATTAGGTATTGATGGGACATATCTCAAAATAATAAGAGCTATTTATGACAAACCCACAGCCAATATCATACTGAATGGGCAAAAACTGGAAGCATTCCATTTGAAAACTGACACAAGACAGGGATGCCCTCTCTCACCACTCCTATTCAACATAGTGTTGGAAGTTCTGCCCAGGGCAATCATGCAGGAGAAAGAAATAAAGGGTATTCAATTAGAAAAAGAGGAAGTCAAATTGTCTCTGTTTGCAGATGACATGATTGTATATTTAGAAAACCCATCATCTCAGCCCAAAATCTCCTTAAGCTGATAAGCAACTTCAGCAAAGTCTCAGGATACAAAATCAATGTGCAAAAATCACAAGCATTCCTATACACCAATAACAGACAAACAGAGAGCCAAATAATGAGTGAACTCCCATTCACAATTGCTTCAGAGGGAATAAAATACCTAGGAATCCAACTTACAAGGGATGTGAAGGACTTCTTCAAGGAGAACTACAAACCACTGCTCAGCGAAATAAAAGAGGACACAAACAAATGGAAGAACATTCCATGCTCATGGATAGAAAGAATCAATATCATGAAAATGGCCATACTGCCCAAGGTAATTTATAGATTCAATGCCATCCCCATCAAGCTACCAATGACTTTCTTCACAGAATTGGAAAAAACTACTTTAAAGTTCATATGGAACCAGAAAGAGCCCTCATTGCCAAGTCAATCCTAAGCCAAAAGAACAAAGCTGGAGGCATCACACTACCTGACTTCAAACTATACTACAAGGCTACAATAACCAAAACAGCATGGTACTGGTACCAAAACAGGGATATAGACCAATGGAACAGAACAGAGCCCTCGGAAATAATGCTGCATATGTCCAACTATTGGATCTTTGACAAACCTGACAAAAACAAGAAATGGGGAAAGGATTCCCTATTTAATAAATGGTGCTTGGAAAACTGGCTAGCCATATGTAGAAAGCTGAAACTGGATCCCTTCCTTACACCTTATACAAAAATTAATTCAAGATGGATTAAAGACTTACATGTTAGACCTAAAACCATAAAAACCCTAGAAGAAAACCTAGGCAATACCATTCAGGACATAGGCATGGGCAAGGACTTCATGTCTAAAACACGAAAAGCAATGGCAACAGAAGCCAAAATTGACAAATGGGATCTAATTAAACTAAAGAGCTTCTGCAAGCAAAAGAAACTACCATCAGAGTGAACAGGCAACCTACAGAATGGGAGAAAATTTTTGTAATCTACTCATCTGACAAAGGGCTAATATTCAGAATCTACAATGAACTCCAACAAATTTACAAGAAAAAAACAAACAACCCCATCAAAAAGTGGGCAAAGGATATGAACAGCCACTTCTCAAAAGAAGGCATTTATGCAGCCAAAAGACACATGAAAAAATGCTCATCATCACTGGCCATCAGAGAAATGCAAATCAAAACCACAATGAGATACCGTCTCACACCAGTTAGAATGGTGATCATTAAAAAGTCAGGAAACAACACGTGCTGGAGAGGATGTTGAGAAATAGGAACACTTTTACACTGTTGGTGGGACTGTAAACTAGTTCAACCATTGTGGAAGTCAGTGTGGCGATTCCTCAGGGATCTAGAACTAGAAATACCATTTGAGCCAGCAATCCCATTACTGGGTATATACCCAAAGGATTATAAATCATGCTGCTATAAAGACATATGCACACGTATGTTTATTGCGGCACTATTCACAATAGCAAAGACTTGGAACCAACCCAAATGTCCATCAATGATAGACTGGATTAAGAAAATGTGGCACATATACACCGCAGAATACTATGCAGCCATAAAAATGGTGAGTTCATGTCCTTTGTAGCGACATGGATGAAGCTGGAAACCATCATTCTCAGCAAACTATCGCAAGGACAAAAAAACCAAACACTGCATGTTCTCACTCATAGGTGGGAATTGAACAATGAGAACACATGGGCACAGGAAGGGGAACATCACACACCGGGGCCTGTTTTGGCGTGGGGTGAGGGAGGAGGGATAGCATTAGGAGATATACCTAATGTAAATGACAAGTTAATGGGTGCAGCACACCAACATGGCACATGTATACATATGTAACTAACCTGCACGTTGTGCACATGTACCCTAGAACTTAAAGTATAATTTAAAAAAATGTGGCACATTTAACCATGGAATACTATGCAGCCATAAAAATGGATGAGTTCATGTCCTTTGTAGGGACATGGATGAAGCTGGGAACCATCATTCTGAGCAAACTATCGCAAGGACAGAAAACCAAACACCTCATGTTCTCACTCATAGGTGGGAATTGAACAATGAGAACACTTTGACACAGGGTGGGGAACATCACACACCGAGGCCGGTCATGAGGTAGGGGGGAATGAGGAGGGATAGCATTAGGAGATATACCTAATGCAAAAGACGAGTTAATGGGTGCAGCACACCAACACGGCACATGTATACATATGTAACAAACCTGCATGTTGTGCACATGTACTCTAGAACTTAAAGTATATTAAAAAAAAAACCTTCTGAGCACCTGTAACAGACCTAGACCTCTTCTGAGTACTGCAGATGAAACAAACAAAGCAGACCAGGTTCCTCTCCTCCTGGGGCTGACATCCTAGTGAGGAAAAGCGACAACAAACACATAAACAAGTAAACATGTAGCATATCAGATGTGATAAGTGCTGTGGAGAAAAATAAAGCAGAGTGAAACGAATCAGAAGGGTTGAGCACAGACCTTAAGAAGCAAGGGAGCCAGCGTGTGGGTATTGAGGAAGACCAGGTGGAGTGTACAGCCAGAACAGGGAACAGAGGCAGCCACAGGCCTGGTGTGTGTAAGGACGAGCCCGGGCTACAGCAGAGAGAGCAAGAGGGAAGGTAGCTGGAGATGCAGTCAGGAGGAAGCCGAGCTGTGCAGGGGCATGTGGGCCTCTAAGACCTCTGGCTTTCCCTCAGAATAAGGTGGGGAGCCTTTGCATGGTTTCAAGCAAGGAGTGACATGTTCTGACTTATGGTTTAAAAGGATCATTGGCTGCTATGTTGAGCATACATCGGAGTGGGGAGGAGGGAGGGTAAGAATCAGGGAGACCCGCCAGGGCTGGTACAAAATTATCTCGATTTATTACTCAAAATGCTATATTGTAAACATACACCTCAGTAGCGGTTTCCTTCTTCAGATAAGATCACCCTGACGTTCTGTAAACAAGGAGATCCACAGGTGTTGGCCCCTGTCCTCCTATCCCCATTTCCCAGTCTCCCCTTACTGATCACAAAGGGCTGAAGTGCTCCCACAAAGACTGATTTCAGAGCCCAGATTCTGCGCACTGAGCTACCACGGACAGGGAAGAGGGAAGCCAGGGTAAGGGGAACTTCATGAATTGATTTTCCTTATTTGAGAGGCAGGAACAAATGACATATTCACAGTTTCCCTGGAAAATAAGTTTTGAATCTGCTTGGGCAGTACTAACCTGCTCCCCCAATCACAGATGGGCATCAAGGAGGGGTGGAGTTACAAATGTTTACACAGAGAAGGGAGAAGATGGGTCGTGTAGATTGTGACAGGCCTGGCCTTGGCCAAGAAGACAAGACAGACCTGGAGAAAGACCTGACAGAGATAAGTAGGGCACAGCGATGCGAACTTCATGATGATTAATGAGCCTCACTTCCTTGTTGTGAATGTGTGTGTCTGAGAAATGACCTAGAAGTCTAGTCTAGAATTTCCTGAAGTCTGGAAGAAGCTGTCTGGTATCTATAAGTGGCGTCTGGCAGGTGGCTCCTGTGGCGAAGTAGCAAAACCCATGATAGTCGCTGTCTGAGATACTGATTTTTCTCAGCAACATTGTGCCTTTATAGAGCGTTGCACAAAGCAGCCTTCACAAACGCTTGCTAAGTGAAGACGTAGGCTGTGAAAGGTGTACGTTTCAAACAACTGTCTCTACCCTTCATCAAGCCCTTGTGGAATAAAAATGTTATAGATAATAGCCAATAAAATGCCCTGTAATTATATTCTAGCTGATTTTTGTCAGGTATTTATGTGACTATTCAGGAAAACAAACTGACTGATGTACTTCTAACCACTTTTTTCTATAGATAAACCAATACATGGCTTACAGAGTTGAATCATCCCAGGTAGATGAACGTATTCGTGTTAGTCCGTTTGCATTACTATAAAGAAATACCTGAGACTGGATAATTTATTTTAATAAAAGAGGTTTAATTGGCTCATGGTTCTGCAGGGTGTACAGGCAGCATGGTGAAAGCATCTGCTTCTGTTGGGGCCTCAGGAAGTTACAATCATGGCAGAAGGTGAAGGCGGAGTAGGTGTGTCAGATGGCAGGAGTGGGAGCAGGTCCCAGGCTTTTAAACAACAAGACATCGTGTGAACTAACTGAGCATAAACACATTTATCACCAAAAAGACAGTGCTTAGCCATTCATGAAGGATCCACCCACATGATTCAATCATCTCCCACCAGGCTCCACCTCCAACACTGGGAATCACAATTCAACATGAGATTTGGAGGGGACGGACATCCAAAAAATATTAGTGTTTAAATGTAGAACCCCAAGTAGCTTAAATGGTTGACAGATGACAAAAGTGTAACTTCCATAGTAAGACAGGGAAATTCAGGTTCTTACCCAAGCTCCTGTATTATCTAACAAATGTTCTTGAACATTTGTGTTTGAGATAATGTAATATTTATTGGGTGTTTACTCCGGGCCAGGCACAGTTCTAAATTCTTTACATATATTAACTCATTTAATCCTTACAACAGCTTAGTTGGGCGCGATTATTATTCCGACTTTACAGATGAGGAAACCAAGGCACAGAAAGCTGCAGTGACCTGCTCAGATGTGTTTGGCATCCCTGAGGCCACCCCCAGATTCATGATTTGCTAGGAGGACTTGCAGGACTCAGCACACAGTTATACTTATGGCTATGATTTATTACGGCGACAGATACAAAGCAAAATAAGCAAAGGGAAAAGGTGCAGGGGGAGCAGTTCAGGAGAAAGCAGGCACGTGCTTCTGAGGGCACTCACGCAGGGCACATTTAATTACCCCAGTAATGAGTGGTGACAACGTGTGAAAAGGTGGCTATCAGGGGAGCTCACTAGAGACTCAGCACCCAGGGTTTTCAACTGGGGGCTGGCCATGTAGGCACCCTCTGCCCAAATGTCAAAATTTCACACTCCCAGAAGGAAAGTTGTTGAGCATAAGTCATGTTGTTCGCACACTTTAGGCATAGTGATCAACTCTTATTTCTGAAAGTGGAGAGGTCCTTCCTGGAATCCAAGTTCCCAGATGCCAGCCAGAGGTTAATCTTGCAGGAAGGCCTTTCTAAAGCTAGAAGTCAGACCTTATATGGCAAGTCTTTTCTGCACATATGTCTGCTGAGTGGAAGAGCTGGGCTTCACTCACAGGTAGCTTTTGGTGGCCAAACACAGAACAACTTGTGATATATGGCCCATCAGAGATGTCCAGCAGGCAGAGTCAGGAGTATGGAATTCAGTGGAGATGTGCAGGTTGGAGAGAGCACTGTGGGAGTTGCATGCCTGTAGTGACACTGAAAACTGTGAGATCTGCTAAGTTCATATAGGAAGTGAATGTAGTTTGAGAATGACAGAGGTCAGAGGATGGTGCCCTGGGCCCCTCCCAC
This sequence comes from Homo sapiens, assembly GCF_000001405.40. Classification (NCBI taxonomy): domain Eukaryota; kingdom Metazoa; phylum Chordata; class Mammalia; order Primates; family Hominidae; genus Homo; species Homo sapiens. Next base: position 137,980,656 of record NC_000006.12, on the reverse strand, counting down.
CTCCAGAAGTCAGCTCTATGAGGATGAATCCCAATGAATACCAAGAAGGAGAGGCCGGTAAGTTCAGAGAAGAGCTAAAAGGAAGTTATAACCTATAAGCCAAGTGAAATAAGTATTTCATGCAGGCAGAGATGAACAGCAGATGATGCTGGTAGGTCCAACATGAAGGAAACCATGAACTGGCCATTGAGCATAGCAACGTGCAGGTTGCTGACTTTGACAAGAACCGTTTCAGTGGATTGGTCTGGAAAAAACTCGACTATAGTGGGTTCAAGAGAGCACGAGAAGAGGGGAAGTGGAGATCACAGAGTGTTAAAAACCCACTTGGGGAGTTTTGCTGTAAAAGGAAGAAGGGAAATGGGGTAACAGCTGGAGGCAAAAGTGGGTTTCAGAAGGGGGTGTGTGTGTGTGACTTGGGAGATTGTACAACGTGTGTGTATGCTGATGGGACTGATCCAGGAGGTGGGGGGCATTAATAATAGATGCGATAAAAAGATCATGGTATTCTCCAGCAGGTGAAAAGGGAGGGACAGGTACCAGTTGGCTTTAGATTCATTGGCTCATGCCGGGAACAGTGGCTTGTGCCTATAATCCCAGCTACTTGGGAGTCTCAGGTGGGAGATCACTTGAGCTCAGGCTGGGCAACATAGTGAGACCCTGTCTCAAAAACCAAATTATTAGCTCATGCACTATTCATCCAGAGTAATGGAGGAAAGGCAAGTTATTTGGGCACAGATGCAGGTGGAGGGGGCAGTGTGTGAAATTTCTGGCAACTTCTTTCTTAGCGAAATGACAAGCAATATGCTCAGCTGAGGGTAAGCAAGGGGAGAATGTGATGGAAGACTGGAGAGAGAGGAGGAGCTGTAGGAGCGTCATTTAAAAGGGCAGAAAAGTGAGCTGACCAGGGAAATAAGTTAGAACTGCCTGAGGTCCTCCAGGGGCCTAAGAGAACCTTAGGCATTGGCTCTCAAGAATTTAAAATAAGTCCAGTTGTCCATGGTTGGGTGGTTTTTCCAGCCATGTGCAGCTGCAGAGATGCAGGCACAGAGTGACAGAAGGTTGATTTAACCAGGATTGGGTTTTGCCAGGCAAGCATGAGGAAGGGAGAAAGCGGTGTAGACATTGAGGGTGGATGCAAGGGAGTTTATCTAAAGTGGAGAGGCAGAGTGGTGTTGACCAAAGCTTTGATTTTTCTTGGAAGGTGGTGTGGTAGAAAGGTTGATACTGGGCTGGGTGTGGTGGCTCACGCCTGTAATCTCAACACTTTAGGAGGCCGAAGTGCGTGGATCACGAGGTCAGGAGTTCAAGACCAGCCTGGCCAAGATGGTGAAACCCGTCTCTACTAAAAATACAAAAATTAGCTGGGTGTGGTGGTGCACACCTGTAGACCCAGCTACTTGGGAGGCTGAGGCAGAAGAATCGCTTGAACTGGGCAGGTGGAGGTTGCAGTGAGCCAAGATTGTGCCACTGCACTCCAGCCTGGGTGACAGAGCGAGACTCCATCTCAAAACAAAACAAAACAAAAACAAAAATTAGCCAGGCGTGGTGGCACATACCTGTAATCTCAGCTACACAGGAGGCTGAGGCAGAGAACTGCTTGAACCCGGGAGGTGGAGGTTGCAGTGAGCTGAGATCGCGCCACTGCCCTCCAGCCTGGGCCACAGAGCGAGACTTCATCTCAGAAAAAAAAAAAAAAGAAAGATTAACACTGGCGTGCCTCAAAAATGACTTCCCTTAAATGTATGGTGCATGATAAATGCAACACAGCGGGTAAAAGATTAATGTGCGGAATACAGCCTACGGCTTTTGATGACTGTGACTCACCTTTGTACCAGTTGCCCAGACTGGTGGCTACTAGTCCTCGGTTTTAGAGGAGAAAAATGAGTGAAGAATAAGTGACATGTTCCTGCACATTTATCAGATGCCTCGGACCACTGTCCAGGTGGCCCTGAACAGGAACAGTCATGCTCTCAGATGAACCTGGCCCTTTTTAGTCAGCATGCCATTCATATAGCAAACTTGGCATCCACCAACTCTTCTTTTATGGGAAGAAGGTTTTGAAAGGTATATTAGTTGTTCCCACCCAGGTGTGAACCACAGTGACTCCCTCATCAGCCCTGCACCTGTCAGAGAACTTCATACAGCTTTTCTGCTTCTTACTCAGCCCAGGGCCTCTTTTCAAGCACATACCTCTAGGCTCTTTCGTTCTTCCTTTACAGCAGGCTCCGGTGACTCAGTCCTCCTTATCTTTACTGTCCCTTGAGGGCCAGGTCCCCTCCTTCCCCACGTTCCCTCCCTTCCTAGTCATCTCAGAAGATAAGTCATTAGGTCCTTTTGATTTTAAAGGAATTATTGCTTATCACAAATATGTAAGACAAGTAACAAATATAATACAGATAACAAAAATTAGCATAGTACAGAGTTTCTAGAATCCTAACAAAAGTTTGTATAATTTTGGTCCAGCTTATGGTTTGTGCTTCTGCCTGTGATGGGGAATGGAAAATTCTGCTTTTAGCCAATTCCCAAGACCAAATTCAATAGCAAAAATCAGATAGTCTCCCACTCCCCGCAATGTCTCCTAAGAGCCCCTCATTCCATCTGTGAGGTCTGACACACACTCCCTGGAGATCAAGATTGGTATCTAAAAACATCTGTTGCTCTCCCCAGTCCAAGATGAGGATATTTTGGTCCAGAGAAGTAAGAAGTTTCCTCATCTTTGGACTGCGGAGAGTAACAAATGTTTTAGAATGGCTGTGAACTCTGGGAATAACAACATTAGTTTTCTTTCTCTTTCCTTTCTCTGGAGCATATCAAAACCACTCTGTAATGGTCACCCTAAAACGACACAATCATAGAATCGAACTGTTTAGGGTTTCTAAACAAAGAGTGCCACAGAACTCAGAGTTAAAAAGCCAAGCAAGCCGGGCGCGGTGGCTCACACCTGTAATCCTCCCAGCACTTTGGGAGGGTGGATCGCCTGAGGTCAAGAATTTGAGACCAGCCTGGCCAACATGGGTGAAACCCCATCTCTACTAAAAATACAAAAATTAGCTGGGCTTGGTGGTGGGCGCCTGTAATCCCAGCTACTTGGGAGGCTGAGGCAGGGGAATCGTTTGAACCAAGGCGGCAGAGGTTGCAGTGAGCCTGCATTCCAGTCTGGCAACAGAGTGAGACTCTGTCTCAAACAAACAAACAAACAAACAAACAAAAAGAAAGCAAGCAGAGGGAAACAGCAGGTGATTCAGGCTAATGAAAGCACTGAGAACCAGACTTGCACCCAATTCCCCAACCCTTATTCACTTCAACATGTGCGCCAAAGGAAACACCCGTCCCACCCCTCCTTATACCACAGAGAGTGCTCAGAGTTGGTTGTTGGAATAACTGGACTTTAATTCCACGTCTGCCATTAGACCAGCTAAGGGACCCTCAGCAAGTGCCCCAGGCTGGGTCTGGTGCTTACCTGGAACCTGGGGCAGTGAGCCAATTGTCTTCCTCATGCTAATATTCTATTCTCTCACGTTTGCTCAAAGCTATGTGTAGAGGTAGGTTAAGTCAATGCATTAACTATGTAGCAAACACAATGTCCATAACGTCTACCTTCTCGTAACAGGGAAAATAGAGATTGCTTTAAATAACCAAATATAGATGGGGCAAAAGGGGCTGGGGAGGCAGACAGGGATTCAGGGCCAGGGTAGAGGTTTTGGACTTTAATCTGAGGACAAGGGAGGCTCTTGAAGGACTTAAAGACAGTAACGTGGTCAGATCTGTATTTTAAAGAGATCTTCTGGCTGCAGTGTGGAGACTATGTTGTGTATGTCTGTGTGTGTGTATGTGCATATGTTTGTGTCTGTGTGTGTAGGGAGGCAGGATGGGAAAGGAGGCTTCTAAACTAGGCCAGAGATGTTGGTCACTTGGACTAGGGTTACAGCAATGAGGCTGGGATGAAGGGGACAGGAAGGAGGAGATTAAGAGGCAAAGTTAAAGGGACTTAGTGCTGGATTGTGGGGTGGGTGGGGGGTAGTTTCAGGGAGGCCACCTAGAGTTTTGCTTTGAGGAGCTGGGTGGTGGTAATGCCATTTCCTGACATAGGGTGTGTGTGTGAGTGTGAGTGCACACTTGTGAGTGTGGTGATATGTGGGGGCTGGTAATGAGAAAGTGGATGAATGAATTCCATCTTGGACCTGCTGGGTTTGAGGTCTAGCATCATTTGAGGAATCCAGATGGTTGAGAACTTTTATTAAATATCAACTGTGCATTTTGTGAGGATACACACCCCCGCTACAAGAATGGAATAGACATTTGCTTTGTTTATTGAGCAAATACTATTTTGATCTTTAAAAATAATCACCCTAACTTTTTTGTGTTGTGTTCTGTCTTTCCCAAAGTATTTGACTTTTGGCTACTCATGTAGGTTGACATCAACGCCACGACTGACCTGGGCAGTTCCCTCATGTTAATATAGCAGATCTTGAATCTGCACCAGCGACTTGAGAGAAAATCACTCTAAACACTCAAAACCACAGAAGTTCCTTCTCAGGACCTCAAACATGCCATAGGCCTACGTACCAAATTTGTTCTATACTTGGATTTTTCTATACTCAGTTTGGAAATAAAGTATGCCTCCTTCCTGGGAGAAATCACAGCCTTCAGGGAAAAGAGAAATATAGCTTTGGGCCTTGGGATTTAAATCACAATGTTAGATGGCATCCACTCTTGGTCGACTGAGGCTCCAACTGCATGGTTGTGTATTTTCAGGTATTTAAGTGATTTTTGAACGCTGCATTTCTTTGACTAGCTGAATATTTAAATTTGCCACAGGATGGCAGCATGATGTTATAAAAGAGAAGAGAAAAAAAACCTTTTAAAGCCCAGGTATTAATGAATAGAGGCCTGGAAAGCAAACATAACTGAGAATTTTTCTTCTTGTTCCTACAACTGTAAAGAAAGGAAGGAATAAAGTATGAGAGAAAGCAATGAAGTAAAAGATGAAAAAAGGGCTGGAGAAATTGAGGGAGGGAAAGCAATTTAAAAAGAAAGTAAAAGCAAAAAGAAAAACACTTCACCTCCAACTAGATCATATTTAACTAAAGAAAAGAACCAAGCTGCTGATGTAGGAAGTTTCCGAGGGAGGAAACCAGTGCTATAACCACATTTATTCACAGCCTCGATGTGTGAGTGCAAGACAGACATTTGACCTTCTTATGAAAGCAGTTGTCTCTTTGGGAAACTATGAGAATGAATTTACATTTACAAAGTTTTCTAGTCCCTTTAAGTAAGTCTTACATTAGCATAATTCCCAGCTTGCATTCAAAACTGATTTTTTTCAATATCCTTCAAAGAGGTCATTAATGTTGGTTTCCATGTTTACATTGTGTAGGGAAATAAGTGAAATTACTCAAGAAGGGAATAAACGGTATTCAGACACACATTGACAGCAATGGCTTCCTGTGATGGAAACGAGAAGGCTGCCTCCAGTTCAGCGCTTCCAGAAGTCTGCAAGCTGGGAAGAGATCTTCCAGAGCTGGCGGCTTGACTCTGCACTGACCAGCCACCACTTACGTGGGCTATTCTTCAGGTCCGTCACCAACTTGCTCTCTCCTCAGTCTAATTAATTTGACTTAGCAGGGAGTTCTGGGATGGGAGAGATCTTAGGAATGGTGATCGGTTTTTCAGCCTTGGCGATAATGACATCTTGGGCCAAATAATTCTTTTTTTAGGGGGCAGGGAGCTGTTCTTCTTATGGTAGGATATTTAGCAGAATCCCTGGCCTCTCTCTATCCGCTCAGTGCTAGTAACGTCCTTCAGTTGTGACATCCAAAAATGTGTCCAGACATTGCTGAATGTCCTCTGGGGAGCAAACTCCCCTCTTCCTCCATTTGAGAACCAGTGTTTTAGATAAACTCTAATTACAAGAATGAAGGAAATTCTGAAAGTTTTCTCTGTCTTACTGTCCTGTTTATGGGCAAAATTGTTATTGAATCATCAGAGATATGTGTGCTCTTCAAATCTATGTTGGAGATTTCCAAACATTAAATCCAGGCATAAAATGCCCTTATTGTAGCAAAGACAACGTTCTCTTATATGAATCAGAAAACAACATATGCTTATTATAAATATTCTGTTGGGCAAAAACTTACACAAAGCATCACAGGGGATGAAAAGCAGTAAGAATTTTTACAGAAATAAAAACAATTACGTTGTTAATTGCCAGGTACTTTTCTTATTCATCAAGATGTCCATGTTCTATTCATTTCATTTAAAGTTTGCAACATCTCTATGGAGAAATATTATTTGCATTTTATAGAGAAAAAAACTGAGGCTGAGAGAAGTTTAATCACTAACTCAATGTTACATTAATAGATAGCAAAACCAGATTAAAACCCAATCTTTCTAACACCAACAACTGTATGTGCTCTAGTACTGGCCACTAACCCTTGAAAATCTTACAATCTAGTTGGGGAAACAATACACGTACATAGGAAAGTTGTCCAATGTCATAAGGCAATAGATGATTTAATCCAAAAGCCATAAAAATTGTTAAGATGCATTGCTGTAGATAAGAGTGGTCTGAGAAATTATGAGGATATGATGGGTCTTGATCTGTATGTATTTAAAGAACCGAGGATTGGAGAGATGGGATGAGATGGGTTCTGTGGCATAAAGCGGCAATCTTCAATGGAACACTGGCCGCACAAGGGTGCTGCCGGAATAGGGTTTTATTATTAACTGCATGTTTGTTCCCCCCAAAATTTATATTTGAAACCGTAGCCCTAATGTAATGGTATTGGGAGAGGGAGCATTTGCGAAGTAATTATGTCAGGAGGTTGGAGCCTTCATTATGGGATTAGTGTTCTTATAAGAAGAGCTAGCACCATCCTCCACCCCCTGCTCCAACTCTTTGCCATATGAGGATACAATGAGAAGACCGCCATCTGCAAACCAGGATGCAGGCCGTCACCTGACACCAGATCCTCCAGCATATTGATCTTGGACTTCCCACCCTCTAGAACTGCAATAAATAAATGTTTGTTTTGAAGCCACCAGTCTGCAATCATTTGTTATAGAAGCCTGAACTGACTAATCAGATAAAGATGGCTACAAGGAGAGGAAGACCTATGTTGAGAAAGGAGAGTGATGCAGGCTAAAAAAGGAAGCTGACAACAGAGGGCAGGGGCCTTGAATACAACCCAGCGGTCATCAATTGGAAGGCCAAAATAATGTATTTTGTTTGGCTCAAGTTTTAAAAATTGGAAAGTTTGCGGGGGGAAGAATTTGGATTTCTGAACATTCTTGAACAAAAAGATGTGGCAACATCAGGCCTACATTCCTGAGTCTCGACTCTTGGCTGAAGCCAAGGAGGAGTTATTCTCATGAACGGGGTCTGGATTTTCCAGTTCACCAGTATCCACATCATGCCCTATTCTTTTACCCTCTTCTTTCTTCTCTTAATTATTTGCTTAGCCCCTCTAAGCAGTGGAATTTGCAATCTTCAGTTTAGAAAATAATGTTTATTAGAAATTAATCTGATAACACCAATTAAAAATCTATTTTTTATAAGTCTGCTAGAAATGAGAGACAAGAAACATTAAACATTTTTACCATATGTCCAAAGATGGTTATTAGGGTTTCCTTTTATTCCTGTCTTTTGTACTGAAATTACCCATGGTTTGTTCCACCTTTCCTGGGGCTATGCAGTGTAAACTTTTCATCACTGTTGTTGCTTGGCGTTGGAGTTGATGTTGATTTTCCCATCTTCATAAACTGTGAGCACCTCATCACTATGTCATTTCCTTCACTCAGGGCTGGTGTGTGACACCACCACAACAAATATTTTTGAGCGCCTACTGTGTTCCAGGCACTGTTCAAGAAATGTAGGCTATCATCGAATAAAACAGACAAACCTGAAGAGTTTATCTCAGGATAAGCTCTGGGAGTTTTATTCGGTGATAGCCCACATTCCCAGAACAGTGCCTGGAACACTGTGGGTGCTCAGAAATATTTGTTGTGGTGTTGTCACACACCAGGCCTGAGTGAAGGAAATAGTATGGTGCTGAGGTGTTCACAGTTTACAAAGGTGGGAAAATCAACATCAGCTCCAACATCAACATCAGCAGACAATAAGCAATGACTGTAATACACAAGTAAATTATATATGTTGGAAAATAATTTGAAAAAGGAAAAATAACACAGTGGGCTAAGAGGGCTGACAGTGGAAAACTGCCATTTTTAAGCAGGGCATTCAGCATCAGCCTCATTGAGAAGATGACATTTAAGCAAAGACTTGAAGGAGGTTGTCGTGGGAAATTACCTCAACAAGATGGGAATCTCCAAGTACCAGGCAAGCTGTTCTGTCATGGAACAGAGGCTCACAGACCAAATTAGGATGTTCAAATCATGCAGATTATCAAATCAACCTAAAACACATGATGAGAAGCAAGAGGAAAGAAATGCTGTAAGTTAACATATGAAATACTTGCAATGAGGTAGAAGCAGGTAGAACCCACAGTATATGAATGCTGGCTTACACATTGTTAATATACTCTTCCTATTTCTTTTTGTCCCCCTCCTGTGTTCCCTTCTCTCCCCTAGCCTTCCCCCCGATGGTGAGGATATAAGGACCAGACTTGGAGCTCAGCAGACAGAGGTGCCTATGGCCAATGCACACTTGCTTTATTAGAGAGACTCAGCACCAAGCACTCCTGGTCAATAGCTGTGGCTCATATTATTAGCCTGTTGAGCAGCTGGGAGCTTTTTCTGATTCTGCTGGGCGGAACACATGTGGCGTCAGAGGAAGGACCACAATACATATCATCCATGGGCAAGCAGTTTGGGGTGACACAGCTGTCAGCCTGGAGGTGGTATGATCCATACCTTACCATTGGTTCTTCTATCCCTTTCTTTATAGAGATAGCTCTCTTGATTATTTTGTGGTTTACAAATCCTATATCTCATTCATTATATCTCTCTTTAACATGTCTTATAAGGTACATACTATATTTAACAAATCTTAGAAATTTCATCCACCCCATTGTTTTTCTCATCTTTTAGAGCAGAATTCAATATTCTCAAGTAGTGAATAATAGTAAACACACTTTACAGAGGGGAAAGAGTCAGCTATGAGAATATCAAGGCTAAGAGTGCACCAGTCAGAAGGATTAGCAAAGGCAAGAATATACCTGGTGCATCTCCAGGACAGCAAGAAAGGCAATATGGCTGGAGTGGAGTCAGTGGGTGAGTGGAGATTAGTAAGAGAGATGGTCAGATTTTTCTGGACCTTATGGCCATTGTAAGAACTGTGTAATAACAAATTTATCCTTCACTGGGTTATATAGTTGACCTTTGAACAACACGAGTTGGACTGCGTGAATCCACTTATATGCAGATTTTCTTCCACTTCTGCCACCCCTGAGACAGCAAGACCAACACCTCGTTTTCCTCCCCCACCCCCCAGCCTCCTCAATGTGAAGAAGATGAGAATGAAGACCTTTATGATGACCCACTTCCACTTAATGAATAGTGAATATATTATCCCTTCTGTATGATTTTCTTAATAACATTTTCTTTTCTGTAGCTTACTTTATGGTAAGAATGCAGTACAGAACACATACAGTACACAAAATATGTGTTAATCAACTATGAATGTTATTGGTAAGGTTTCTAGTCTATAGTAGGCTATTAATAATTAAGTTTTGGGGGAGCCAAAAGTTATACTCCAATTTTCAGCTATGTGGTGGGTTAGTGCCTCTAACCCCCAAGTTGCTCAAGGATCAACTGTACTACCAATTTTATTTTTCCATCCTCTAGGAATTACCCTTTACTCGTGAGTAGGAGGAAAATCACAGTAATGCAGTGTCATGGAAGCTCGGGGAAGAGAGAGAGTTTCAAAAAGAGGTCAGCGGTGTCCCTGAAATGACTTTGGTAAAGAAGAGGTTATGGGAGATGATGAGAACAAGGTGGAAGAAAAGGCCCTTTGAATTAGCAATAAATATGTCATCAGTGACCTTCAAGGGATAAGTTTCGACAAAGCAGCTGGGGCAGAGGGCTGAGTGCTAGGTTACAGAGGAAGCCTGTGGGGAGGAAATGGATGTATTGCTTCCTCAGGCCTGGGTGACCTTTCACAGATCACTGTGCCTCATGGCTGCTGATATGAGAATGCCCCCTCCCCTGGAGGACTGCGGCACATGCTGTCAAGCACTTCCCAGCAGAGCCCCACACACCCCGTTCCCATGTCTCAGGCTGCTGATTAAATTGTTTCCAGCAAAGTCTACCAGATTCTTTGAAAGGCCTTGAGGTTGCTCATTCAAGTGAATACTTTTACTCACTGTTTTTTCTTCTTTTGTTGTATGAGTGGAGGGAAAAATGAGACTAATAATTCAATTTGCTAATGATACTTTCTTGTACAGTTCCTATCATTCTGGTTCCAAAGATTATCTGCATTTCCATCTATCTATCCATGCATCCATCCATCTATCTGTCCATTTATCTGTTCATCCCTCAATCCATTCCTTCATTTTCCATCCCTCCATCTATCCCTCCTTCCATCCATCCTTCCATCCATTCATCTCTCCATCTATCCCTCCATCAATTTATCCACCATCTAGCCATTCATCCATCCACCTATCCCTCCATCCATCATCTTCTTCTTGGTGGTTATCTCTATGACAGACAATCTTTCCTTATCTCCAAGGCTAATTTGTCCATCTGTCCTTTAAATTCCACCTTCTACCCCCTACTCCACTGTTCCCTTTTCTCTTTCTTTGCTCCTCCTGGGGAGCCTGAAGATCAGTGAATCCCCCCTCCCACTTTTTTTTTGAGATGGGATTACAGGCCCCCACCACCATGCCCAGCTAATTTTTTGTATTTTTAGTAGAGACGGGGTTTCACCATGTTGGCCAGGCTGGTCTCGAACTCCTGATCTCAGGCGATACACCCACCTCGGCCTCCCAAAGTGCTGGGATTACAGGCATGAGCCACTGTACCCAGCCCAGTGAATCCCTGTTTATCTCTGATCTTTACTCCCATCCTTTCCTGGATAAACCCAAGTTGTTTCTGTCTTTAAAAATAACACCTCTCCCCACCTCCCTGTCTGTCTGTATTTATTATCCTAGGTCTTTTATTTTCTCAAAGCAAAGTTCCTTGAATGCAACATTTGCACAAGTTTGTATCTGCCCTCTTCAACCCTCCAAAACTGCTGTCCCTAAGGCCTGGTCACACTCCCATGTCAGCTCATAACACCCTCAATTTACTTATTACATTTTCTATTGTAATTGCCTATTTTCTGTCTCACTCAATAAACTAAATTCACTGAGAACAAGATTCTTTTATATTTACCTCTGTCCCCAGCATCTAGAACAGTCTCTGGCACATAGTAGACAATCTATGTCTGTTCAGTGAATGAAAGCATAACTGGCTGAATGAACAGATCCTATTTATGACCTCTTTTACATTTGACTCAGTTAACTATGTCCTCTTTTCTCTTAAAAAAAATTCTTCCATTAGTTACTCAGACAATAGTGTCTCTGGTTTTCATTCTAACCCTCTGTCGGTTCTTTTGTGGTTTCTTATCTCTAAATGATGCAATTTCCTAAGGGTCTTTTTTTGTTCTTTTCTCAACACTATCTACTCTACCTGGGCAAGCTCATCTATGGCCATAGCTTTAAGGACAGCTTTATCTATCCCTCCAGCTCTGATCTTTCTCCTGCTCCCCTTCTGATCATATATCTAGCTGCCTACTAAACATCTTCATTTAACTATCTCATAGGGCCTTCAAGTATAAAAGTTAAAGAACTGAACTCATAACTCCTGTCACAGTGAATGCCATAGCAATCTATTTAGTTGCCAAAGCTAGAAATATGGGCATTTTCCTGGATATCCTTTTCCTTTATCTGTTATTTAATCAGTTATTGATTCCTTTAGATCAAACTCCTGCGACATATTTGAAACGGATTCTTTCCTGCTCCACTTGCTTGTCATCGTCTGGGTGTCATGAGTGAGAGAATTCAGTTTGCTGCAGGAGGGATGATGAGTTCTGCGCATCTCCCTCCTTCCCCCTCTCCCTACACTCACACAGAGACACAAACACCTGTGTCTGAGCACACACACAAAAAGCTGCACTCAGAGTCAGGCCATTGCAAACACTAGGTTCCAGGCCTTCTGGCCACCTTTGAGGGAAGCAGTCAGCCCCCTTCCACGAGAGAGGGGAGATCAGGAGGCAGCATTGAGAAGTAGGATGAAGCTAACGGCAATGGCTGTGCCTCCAGTCTCCCATCCCCACCAAAAACTTCTCCCTTAAATAGTATTGTAAAATACCATAGAAAAGAAAGCAATAAAAAGAAACCAAATTATATTTTGACTGAGCAATTCCAACCACATATTTCACAATCATGTGTTAACTTCCCTGTCTGTATTTCATTTACTGCACTGACTTTGTCTCAAAAACAATTGTCATTACAGAATTGGAGAGTGTTGATTCTCTTCTGCATCATTTTAAAACAAGTTGTCAAGTGTCTGGCGATATAAGGCACAAGCTGCACCGCAGGGATATTGGACTGGGACATCAGAGTGTGGTGGGGACAGGATGAGGCTGGGAGATCAAAGTGATGGTGGGGGAGAAGCTGAGACTGGATCATCAGAGCGATGGTGGGGACAGGCTGGGACAGCAGAGTGATCGTGGGGACAGGCTGGGGCTGGGACAGCAGATTAATGATGGGACAGGCTGGGGCTGGAGCATCAGAGTGATGATGGGGACAGGCTGGGACAGCAGAGTGATGGTGGGGACAGGCTGGGACTGGAGCATCAGTGATGATGGGGACAGGCTGGGGCTGGGACAGCAGAGTGATGGTGGGACAGGCTGGGGGTGGGGCATCAGAGTGATGGTGGGGCTGGGATGGCAGAGTGATGGTGGGGGCCAGTTGGGTGCAGGGATGATTTTCTTGGCTTCTGCTGAACTTAGAGGAGGCCTTTTAGTGTAACATTCTCCATGGCAGTTAACTTGCTCATGGTGATAATACTTTATTAATTCTTTCATTTTAATTTTGGAGAACAAAATTGTGGATGGTGCCCCTAAAACATAGCTGAGGAGGGCTTCAGATAACCTTAGCAAATTTGGATTCTTATATTAAGGGCAAAAGAGAACACTAAGAATTTTAATCAGGGGGATGATAGGATCAGGTTTAAGTACTAGAAATGATAACAAAATTATTTGTATCTAGTATATGCTAGGCCCTTTGCATGGACTATCTTATTTAAATTTTAAAACAGCTCTCTGAGGAAGTACTCTTCATTTTCTTCTTTTTATAGATGGTGAAGTCAAGGCTTAGAGAGAGAATCTGTCCAACTTCTCACAGTTAATAGAAGGGCAGCTGGGTTTCAATCCCAGATTTGTTAGACTCAAGTTCATAGTGAGCCACCACATTGAGCCCAGAATCACTACAAAGGAGGTTAATAAAATGTCATTGCCAGGGTAAGCTGTTTTTTTTCCCCCCATATGAGTCTCTATCATCCTTCCTTGGCTTATTGTTCATCATTTCCCTGTGTTTAAGCTGTATGACAATGATCTCCAAACACATCAGCCTCTCTGCTGCCCCTGGGTACATGCTGGTTCCCCTTAGGAAAGTTCTCCTCTCCACCACAGTGGCCGTCCCCAGTCCTTCAAGACTGTTCTGTCACCACCATCTCCAGTCCACCCTCTGCCTTCTCCTTCCCATTCCCTCGTCCAATCCTGGTGCTTAATGTACGCAACCATCATCTTTCAGCACTGATCTTCAAACAAACTTTACAGCCACTAAAAGCACTTTTTTTGAGACTGAGTCTTGCTCTGTCACCCAGGCTGGAGTGCAGTGGTGCAATCTCGGCTCATTGCAACCTCCACCTCCCAGGTTCAAGCAATTCCCATGCCTCAGCCTCCCGAGTAGCTGGGATTACAGGCGTGCACCACCACGCCCAGCTAATTTTTGTATTTTTAGTAGAGATGGGGTTTCACCATGTTGGCCAGGCTGGTCTCCAACTCCTGACCTCAGATGATCCGCCTGCCTTGGCCTCCAAAAATGCTGGAATTACAGGTATGAGCCACGGCTCCCAACCCACTGAAAGCATTTTTAAGACCATGTGATCTGTCATGCATTTTTAATTATATTCAGATGTTTAAAAACATTTTTATTATAGCTTAAATAGTCACAAAGGATATCATTTCTGATGTAAACAATAGACTTTCTATTTATTTTTAATTTTTGGAGAAATGGTCTCATTCTATCACTCACGTTGGAGTGCAGTGGTATGATCATAGCTCACTGTGGTCTTGACTTCCTGGGCTCAAGCAATTCTTCTGCCTTAGCTTCCCAAGTATCTAGGACTACAGGTGTGCGCCATCACACCTGGCTAATTTTTAATTTTTTTTTTTTTTTTTTTGTATAGTCAGGGCCTCACAATGTTGCCCAGGTTGGTCTCAAACTCCTGGCTTCAAGTGATCCTCCCACCTTGACCTCCCAAAGCACTAGAATTACAGGTACAATAGACTTTTAGTAAAACATTACATCACTTTCTAAAATATCTTCAGAAATTAAATACCATATCATTTGATATCCATAATTGTTCTTGGAGAAAAGGTATACAGGCAAGCTCTTTTTGACAATTGGGAATTTCATACCACTTCTTTTCTTCCTTTACATTGTATTCCCATTTTGGTATCTGCACAGATTTTTTTCACATTGTGAGATATTTTTCACTTTTGAAAAGAAATACAATATGATACTTCTGCCAAATGCAAGTTCTCAAGCAGATCAACTCTAGGAAGGAGGACTACTAATGCTGAGGATCTGGACTGTCCGTACCCACATACCCTTAGAAAGTCTTGCTCCACCTCTGGGACATACACACTCAAATGTAAAGACTGCTGCTTCATTCTGTGTTGCTCTTTCTGCTTTTCAACCACATTTTGTCTCATTAATTCACAATTATTACTTTACCTGTCTTCGTATCCCCTGGACAATGCAAGTGTGCAAAATTTTGTTTCTCTCTCTATCTCTAGCACAAAGCAGACATTTCATACTGGTTTGCTGATCCAAGGAGCTAATTAGTGTTCTGTCCTGTTCTTTTATTTCTTATTGTAGTTTCTTTCTTTTTCTCTCTTTTTCTTCCCTCCCTCCCTCCTTTCCTCCCTTACTCCCTCCCTCCTTTCCTCCTTTCTTTCTTTCTTTCTTCTTTCTTTCTTTCTTTCTTTCTTTCTTTCTTTCTTTCTTTCTTTCTCTTTCTTTCTCTCTATCTCTCTCCCTCCCCTCCCCTCCCTTCCTCCCTCCTTCCCTCCCTCCCTTCTTTCCTTCCTTCCTTCCTTCCTCTCTCTTCTCCCTTTCTCTCTTTCTTTTCTTTCTTTTTTTTTTCTTTCAAGATGGGGCCACACTTTGTTGCCCAGGCTGGTCTCGAACCCCTGGGCTCAAGTGATTCTCCCACCTCGGCCTCCCAAAGTGCTTGGATTGCAGGCATGAGCCACCGCACCCAGCCATAGTTTCTTTTTCAGACTGTGTTATTTTGAGCACTCCAGGTGAGGTCCATTTAACAGTAAACATAAGGGGAATTTTTAGCAGGTGGGTACAAAGAGTTCACTTCCTCACTTATAGAAGAGAAAGAAATAATATTAATAACATAGCCCAGGCCATGCCTTTGAAGCCTAGAAGCTCCAGCTGCCCAGGATGTGATCCTTGCTCCAAAAGAGCTAACCAGTTAGCACAGGGTGCATAGACATGGAAAACATATGCTAATAAAACGTTATGGGGCAGGAAAGGCAGGAGTAGCCATTGCCATTTTTATTGTAGAGCAGGGCCTGCTACAGAGTTGGGCAAGATTGCCATGAAATATTGTATTCATTAGACAAGAACGCCATGCTTTGGTCCCTTGTCATAGACATAGAAGAAGTGCATGTGTTATTAAGTATTTGAGGTGGAGAAAGAGCCCAACTACTTCTTGGGTGTGGCTAAAACTATCCTTTTCAAGAGGCAACAGATGGGACAGGGGCTTTGGAGTCTGACAGATTTGAGTTTGAGATCTACCCTTTACTAACTGTGGCAACTTGAGGTGCTGAATCTTTTGAGTTTTGGTTTCCTCATCTATAGAATGAGAATAATGTTATGTGCCTCAATGTGTTGAGTAAAGACATAATGTGATTATATGTGTAGAGTGCCTGACATCTGGCAGATATCCAATAAATATTAATTTTTTTCTTTTCTTCCTGTGTGGCTCATAATACTTTGCACATACTTTGATGTTATTTCTCACTAGTTTGATTTATTGTGAATTTCTTTTTCTCTCCCTTACTAGAGTCTTCAGAGGTCCCATTTAATCCATCTTTGTTTCACTGAACATGTCATAGTGCCTTCTCCATGAAGAGTGATCAGGAGTGTTAAATTCAATTAAATAGGTGAAGAACCTCTATCATAGATAGGAAAAAGAACATCTTTTTCCAGCCCTAAATCTTGATCTTGGCTTTGAAATTCTCTTTATTTAATGTTCTTTGGGCAATGCAATAGAAATAGACTCTGGTTAACTGGTTAACTTAAGCTAAAAAGGACTTATAGGAAGAGCTCTTCAACAGTCTTTAAAAAATTTTTTTTCAGATGGTGTCTCGATCTGTCACCCAGGCTGGAGTGCAGTGGTGTGATCTTGGCTCACTGCAACCTCAGCCTCCCAGGTTCAAGTGATTCTCCTGTCTCAGCCTCCACAGTAGCAGGGACTATAGGCATGCACCAGCACATCCAGCTAATTTTTTTTATTTTTAGTAGAGACAGGGTTTCGCCATGTTGGCCAGGCTGGTCTTGAACTCCTGGCCTCATGTGATTCACCCACCTTGGCCTCCCAAAGTGCTGGGATTACAGGTGTGAGCCACTGCGCCCGGCCTCAGCAGTCTTATAGGAGAACTCAACAAGCAGCCCTCGGGAGCACGGAAGCAGGGGAGCTCCAGCACCTGCAATGCGGGAGCCTTGCTCTAGGCGCCACCATCAGACCTGCAGCTCCAAATTTATCCATTACTGGGATTACCTCTAGAAGTTCAAATTCCCAGAAGAAAGCCCAACTTGTATCAGGTGCCCTTCTTATAGCTAGAGCACCAAGATTGCAGAGGGAAGCAATAGTTGCTCCACATCGCAGATCCTGGGACCCTTCTAGGCATGCCTCATTGCCAGCTTCTGGTCAAGCATGAGAACTTTAAGCTGCCGCCTATTTATACCATCTGTGTCAGGTGTTATCTCACATCTAATTCCCTCCCACCCAGCCATAAAATGAAAGCAAGTCAAGGGAAGCCTCAAGCAAAGAACAACTGGCCGGGTGTGGGGGCTCATGCCTGTAATGTCAGCACTTTGGGAGGCTGAGGCAGGTGGATCACTTGAGGTCAGAAGTTCGGGACCAGCCTGGCCTACATGGCAAAACCTTGTCTCTATTAAAAATACAAAAATTAACTGGGTGTGGTGGCACACACCTGTAATCCCAGCTACTCGGGAGGCTGAGGCAGAAGAATTGCTTGAACCCGGGACGCAGAGGTTGCAGTGAGCTGAGATTGTGCCACTGTATTCCAGCCTGGGTAACAGACGAGACTCTGTCTAAAAAAAAAAAAAAAAAAGAAAAGGCAAAAAGAAAAACTCACTGAAGAGCAAGTCCTAAAGCTAGCAAAAAGCCCCTCCCTCCTTCCCTCCCTTCCATCCTCCTTTCCATCCTCCGTACCTTCCATCCTACCACAAAGATCTCTTTGGTGTCTATTATGTAGCAGCCCCTAGGGACCACTAAGAAACACACCACATGATCCTTTCTCTAAAGGAAGTAACTTCCTAGCAGAGGTACACAGACACAGAAAAATAATTTGTTAAAATGTAATGAAATGAAAGTCGGGGGATGGAGTGTCCAGTTGAAGAAGACAGTATGATGCTGGGGAAAAAGCACAGATTAGATCATAACGAAGCTAGGATCCAATTCAGGAAGGCTGATGAAGTGTCATTACCATCCATGTGGGGATGGACATTTGTTTCCAGGTGTCTTCCCCCTGCCTTAAGCCACAACAAATGCCCAGGTAGTCCTTTAGCAATTATTCTAGGCTAGTCTTATTTATAGACAGATGTTCACTGTGCATTTGAAGAGTGTCAAACGGCCCCTTGCCCTAGCATCTTTTTCTTAACTCACTGCTCTGATACCTGAAGTTTCCAGACTGATTAGAATGATTGCCATGGGTAAGGCAGTATGTGTCCAGAAAGCCCCCTTAGAATGCTAAGAAGTAACATCCACAGTTACAAATATGTTATCAAGGACTAGCTCATCTATCATACAGGCTGGCTTTCAATTAGCTATGAGTTGGATCCACTGAGAACTAGTCTCAAGACAAGTACAATTTATTTGAAATGAGGGGCAAGACAACATTGAGGCTTGAAACACTGAGTACTTCACAAGAAAGGCTAGATCACAGAAGGAAAAATGTGAGGGCCAAGAGATGGAAGGGAGGGGCAGAGAAAGAAGGAGAGGCAGTGGCCTGGAGGGAGACAGACTCTTCTTATTTTTGATTTAAGAGAGGGTGGTGTCTTTGAAGTGTTCTAAGAAGTACTGAAAAGGCATTCTCTGGTCACAGAAATTTGGGCAAAGGTGGATTGAACAAAGTAAAATTTCTATTCTTAAAATTCTCAGATTCTTAATTATGCCAACATACCTGTAAATCTTAATAAAAACACCCATAATATCAATAATAATATTGATAATAACTATTACCTGTTAAAGACTTGCTTCTTTTCAAGTACTACACAGTTTGTGCTTTATATGTTATAGTTACTGAATTCTCACAACCTTACAAGTAAGTGCTATTGTTACAGATAATGTTTTACAGATTAAAAAAAAAAAAAACAAAGATTTAGAAGAGGTTAAGAAACTTGGATAACGGCACAGCCAATGAAGTTATGGCACTGAATTCTAGTTGGAATTTTTGCTCTGACTTCACCATTAAAATTCTTAACTACTAGAGTAGGGTCATGTATTTTAGGGAATAAAGTTCTAAAGCAGAGGTTGGCAAAGTTTTTTGGTAAAGGGCCAAACAGAAATAGTTTTGGCTTTGTAGGCCATATGGTATCTGTCCCAACTACTAACACTGTTGTTGTAGTGTGAAAGCAGCCATGGGTGATACATAGACAAAGTTGGTTGTGGCTATGTTCCCATAAAACTACACATACAAAAAAAAAAAAAAAAAAAAAAAAAAAAAAAAAGAATGGCCTGTTCTAAATACACTAAAAAGGCAAAAATAGTAGATAGTCAAAATGACCCTTCAAGTAACAGTAGTTGCTTACAAGAACTACCGTTAGCAATATAGCTGGGCCTATCAAAGCACAACAGCAAAAACTAATGTTTTTGTGTCTCTTTGAATTTCAGGGTTCTCTCTTTCTTTGATGAAGGAGAACAAGTTTGGTTTGAAATGAGAGAAGATAAATAGAGGATATATTAGCCTGTTCTTGTACTGCTATAAAGAAATACCTGAGACTGGGTAATCTATAAAGAAAAAAGGTTTAATTGGCTCACAATTCCACAGCCTCTACAGGAAGCATGGCTAGGGAGGCCTCAGGAAATTTACAATCATGGTGGAGGTGAAGGGGAAGCAGGCATGTCTTACATGGCTGGAGCAGGAGGAAGGTGGGGAGGAGGTGCCACACACTTTTAAACAACTAGATCTTGTGAGAACTCTCATGAGAACCGCACCAAAGTGGGGAATCCACCTCCATGATCCAGTCACCTCACAACAGGCCCCAACTCCAATATTGGGGATTATAATTTGACATAAAATTTGAGTGGGGATGCAAATCCAGACCATATAAAAGGACATAAAGTATTTCCCCACCACCTCCCTTTTTTCTTTTTTTTGCAGGGTAAGTATAGCTGAATTCTAGTAAAATAAAAATGTCCCCTGGTGGCCATTCCACTAAATATTCTTTCTCAAATGATTTAACTCCCTCCTGCTTTGGGGAGGGAGCAGAACATTTTATGAACTTAAAGAATCATGTAAAATTCTTGACAAAATGTTTGCCTGGGATTATTTCAACATCCCCTTCCTGACTGACAAGGAAAACTACCTTCAGAAAGTTAGAGCTGGAAGAAATACTTTGAGGCTGAAAAAGATGAATAGCTAGCTCTGGAAGTTACCTGCTAACCAGGTACTATGGAGGGGTAACTTGTCTGGATTGCGAATATGATTTCTTTGGACACATTTAACAGTGAAACTCTTGAGACCTAAAAGGAAAGAAAGTTTTATTTTGGTTCACTGTAGGAACATGACTTAGGTCTGATTTTGGGGAAACTGAGACTAGCCCAACAGAAAGTATGCATATTTGAAATACCCGAAGAAGTACTAAGAAGACCCCTTTGTGTGTCATAATATCTCCCAGTTGGAGGCTAGAAAGTCTCTAGTACAGATTTATTTTTTGTGATTAAAGCTGTGCTTTCTGAAACTATAATCCTTAGTTACAAGTGCCTTTGGAGGTACAAATGAGGGATGCAGGGTTGTATTATGACTGCGTACCAGGCTTGTGTGTGCTGCCTGGCTCCATCCAGCATCTACCACCTTCCTAACTTACCTGAGAACATCCAACTCTTTAAGACTAACTGACCTCTTAAAATGAGGATAATAATAATGCCTATTTCCTAAAAATGTGGTAAAGGTAAAAATATTGCATAAATATAGCCTTTTGCTCAGTGCCTAGTATGTGAGTGCTCAATAAACCTTAGATATTATGACAGCTATTAGTAAGTCTTTGTTAGCCACTATCACTAGAGTGCATTTAGTTAATCAGATTGATTTCCACAGTAATAGTTCCCTAAGAACATTGGACAGGCAAGAGAGAGAAATCTTTCTTGATCTGTGAGGGGGAACTGAAGATAGTATAATTGTGGATCGAGGAGAAGAGGAGGGCTTAGGCACGACATATACCTGGATTTCAAATCTGATTTTATTACTTGCAGTACTTGGGATATTAACTTGGGTATTTACATAATTCTCTTGGCCTCACTTTCTTTTTACATAAAAAAGTGGAGGCTGGGCATGGTGGCTCATGCGTGTAATCCCAGCACTTTGGGAGGCCGAGGTGGGTGGATCATTAGGTCAAGAGATTGAGACCATCCTGGCCAACATGGTGAAATGCTGTCTTTACTAAAAATACAAAAATTAGCCGGGTGTGGTGAAGGGCGCCTGTAGTCCCAGCTACTCAGAAGGCTGAGGTAGGAGAAGAGCTTGAACCCGGGAGGCAGATGTTGCAGTGAGCCTAGATTGCAACACTGTACTCCAGCCTGGTGACAGAGTGAGACTCCATCTAAAAAAAAAAAAAAAAAAAAGTAGAAAGCAATACCTGCCTGTTTTGTAAAGCAGTATCTGGAATAGGGTAAGGTGAGGATAAATGAGTACATGATAAGTAACAGCTACCGTAGGTGGGACTCCAACACTTTGGAGCTCTTTTTATTAATTGTTTATTTTTCCACATCAGCCTAACATATGTATGTTTTTATTAGGATCATGCTACATTTAAAAGTTATTGAGACTTAAAGAGGAAGGAAATTATGACACATGTTACAACATGGAAGAACGTTGAGGTCACTATGCTAAGTGAAATAAGCCAGTTGCAAAAGGACAAATACTGTATGATTCCACTTAGATGAGGTGCCCAGACTGGTCAGATTCACAGAGACACAATGTAGAATGGTGGTTGCCAGGAGCTAGGAGGAGGAGAACAGGAAATTATTGTTCAATGGGGATGGAGTTTCAGTTTTACAAGATGGAAGAAGGCCAGAGATGGAGAGTAGTGATGGTTGCACAACATTGACAATGTATTTGATCCCACTGAACTGTCCACTTAAAATGGTTAAGATAGTAAATGTTATGCTGTATGTATTTTATCACAAGGGAAAGATCACCTAGGGAGAATTGACACCTTCTTATGATTGAGTTTTCTATCCTTGATATTGAACAAATATCTTCATATTCATTCAGCTTTGTAATTGTATTCTTCAGGAGCACTTTTACATTTTCCTTATATACATTTGCACATTTCTTATTAAATTTTTTATCTGGGTATTTTCTGTTTTTAGAGGCCACTGTAAATATGAGCTTCTATCCCATATTTCTTCAGACTAGCAGTCATTTAAAATATAAAACATTAAGAAGCACCATGAAAAAAACCATATATTGCAATAAGTAACTTATAAGGTCAATTCAGGAAATGCAGAATGAATTAGCTTCAGAACCATTTCAGTAAACAAAATTCGTACAGACATTTGTTCCTACCATTAAGTTACTGTAATACATGCTACTTATGTAGTTTCTGAAATCTTAACCACAAAGAGAGATGGCTGTTATTAGAAATAATAAAACAGCAAAGCACAATTGGAGATACAGTTGGAAAGGATACAGTTTGTTCACATTTATAACTCCTTACTGTCTTCTAATGGGTGACCTTAGTCTCTGGAGGGCCCTCTGCTTTGCTGATGGTCTAGCTGTGAGAAATACAAATTAAGAGGATGTTGGGCTGAGTGGGAATAAATGGTTTGGGTAAGAAAGACAAGAGAGGCCTAGACTTCTAGGGAAAGATCCGGGACTGTGAAAGCCTGGAATGAACTGGGCTGGACATTGGAGGGTAAAGGAGTGAGAAGCAAGCCCTCTAGCTGGATGGAAAGTTTGGGAGTGGAAGAAAATGCTGCCCTGTGATACTTTAATTTGTGTGTTGAGAGCAGGGCCATGTCAACCTTTTCTCAGGAGAAATGGTCCTTACAGGTTGAGAAATCAATCCTTAAGAAAATTTGCACCTATTTTTTTTTAAAAAGCAATCCATAAACATTGTTATTTTTCCAGAATTGGGTTACTTTTCCCATCATGACTCCCCTCCTGACTGCATAGTGTTACAGTCAATTCCTATTTGTGAAATTTTGTGAGGAACCATTTTAGAAACATAGTTTCTCTTTCATTTCCAGCAATTGACTCTAATAAGCCTGATTCTTGTTGCATTTTGGATAAAGAGAAGGGCCTTGCTGAGGTCATTTGCATTTGCTATGGCCTCCACTCTTGCTCCTCCGGATGACCTCCACATTGCTGGCTTCTTGTTGGGTAAGTTCTCGGCTCTCAGGTCACCATGTCTTAGCTTCTTTCTGGGATACACCCATATCTAAAATTACTTCTATTTTTGTTTATTTCTTTATTGCGGCTTCTCTTCCTAAAAAGCTTTGGTGGAGAGATGAACATGGATCTTGTCCACTTTGTTAACTGCTAGATTCCTTGTGGTCAGAATAGTGCACATGATAAGCCCTTAATAAATATTTGTTGAATGAACAAATTAATAAGATACGGTCAAGCCTCTATATTTCTTTTGCTGTTTCTTAAGTTGCAATTTGTATTTACAGCATTGGCTGAAGTATAGGTTCAGTTTACATGGGTTCATCCTCATTGCAATAATTAAGAAATGTATGACAGTAATGAATTAAGAAAATGACTTTCGAGTTTCCTCTCTACTCATAGCTATTTAATATTAAATAACCTTGTGTTCTCACAGAATAATGATAATGATAAAAAATACATAAAAAATAGAGTAAAGCCAAAAACCTCAAACAGTTCCAGATGTTAAACATTTAGCAGCACAGAGAAAGAGAGGAAAAATTAGGGTGGAAAAGAAAGGAAAAATTAGGGTAGGAAAGAATGGGTGGGTTTGGTTTGTACCTGAGGGTAGTTTGGTTTTTTTGCTTGCTGTGAAGACCCTACTTTATATGATGTAGACTTTGATTTCTAGCAATATATTTGTTTTAGCCCAGTTATAAAATCTATTTTTAAAAGTAAACAACATCTGCAAAGTAGTAGATGGAAAACAGTTCAAAGCAGAAACATTTTTTGTTAATGAGTACAAAAATAGATACAAAGAATAGGAATCTAGTATTTGATAACACAACAGGGTGACTACAGTCTGCAATAATTCGTGTACATTTTAGAATAACTGAAGGAGTACAATTGGAATGTTCATAACACAAAGGAATGATGAATGGTTGAGGTGATGGATGCCCTGTAATTTACCAGGAGGTGATTATTATACATTGTCTGCCTGTATCAAAATATCTCATGTACCCCATAAACATATATACCTACTATGTACCCATAAAAATTAAAAATAAAAAAATTTTAAAAAGAAGGAAAGAAAAATACCTTGGTCAAAGATTTGGAGTTAAAAATACTAAATTTTAAAATAAAATTTTGTTAGGTTCGAAAATATTTGTCACCAAAGCAATAATATTAATGTAGCCCACATTTACTGCGTAAATTTTAAAAACTAAAAGATGAGCATAAAACAACTAGGCATTTAACTGAAGATTCTAGAGGAAAAAAAGCAAAAAACAATAGGAAGAAGAAATAAATAAAAATAAATGTGAAAATTAATGAATTTAAAAGCAAGTACACAAACTTGAAGGTAAAAGTTAATAAGTTTGAATACATCAAAATGAAAGATGTCTGTTAAGTAAAAGATTCTCAAAAAAGTTAAGGCATACACAATATATTAAGATATTTGCAATATTTATAACTAACAAGTAATATCTAGAAAATACAAGGAACTTCTCGGTGGCTCACGCCTGTAATCCAAGCACTTTGGGAGGCCGAGGCAGGCAGATCACGAGGTCAGGAGATCACGACCATCCTGGCTAACACGGTGAAACCCCGTCTCTACTAAAAACACAAAAAAATTAGCTGGGCCTGGTGGTCAGCGCCTGTAGTCCCAGCTACTTGGGAGGCTGAGGCAGGACAATGGCGTGAACCCGGGAGGCGGAGCTTGCAGTGAGCTGAGATCGCGCCACTGCACTCCAGCCTAAGCGAAAGAGCAAGACTCCGTCTCAAAAAAAAAAAAAAAAAGAAAAAAGAAAATACAAAGAACTTCTTCAAATGAACAACAATATCAACTATCACCACACCAAGTACCAAGTGAAACACTCTGGAAGAAAATGAGGAGCAGATTCCAAAAAGTAGGAAGCGGCATGGATAGCAAGCAAGCACATCAATAGATGGTCAACCACATAATAATCAGAGCGCTTCACAGGAAAGCGCAGGTTCTTAGACCTGGCCGGTAAGCTTTGATATGCAAATGAAGGCCATTAGAAACTGGGTCCACCCAAACATGGCGATTCCCGCCCTCTTCTTCTTGCCCTGGCCTCACACATGCCTGGCAACATGGCCACCCCCATGTATCTCCACGTGTGTAGAACAGCGTGGCACCCTGCATTGGCATATTAAAAGGCTAGGTGGGAGGTCCAGTTTTTTTCCACGGGCTATGTGAGTGACATGCCTGGTCAAACCAATCCCCTGAGCCCTATGCAAATCAGACACCACCTCCTCCAGCCACCTCATATAAGCAGCCACTTTTCCAAGGCACACAGGGTTTCCTCACTTGGCTTTGGAACTGCCCCTCCCTGGGTCTCTGTATGGGGGAGCTTCTTCCTTCTTTCTTGCCTATTAAACTCTCTGCTCCTTAAAACCACCACCAAAAACAAAAACAAAAACAAATAGTGCCTCAATGAAAATGGGAAACCATTTTATCCCCGTCATAGTAAATAATGAGAAAATCTGATATTACCATATGTTAGCAGGGTTTTGAAGAAAATTACAATCTTCTTGCACCGCAGGTGAAAAATGTAAAATGATACAGCCAATCTGGAGAGCAACCTGGGAATAATTGGAGAAATGGCACGTGTGTGCACACAACAAGCTGGCAGTAGTTCTTCCCAGTATAACCCATGGCTAGTGAGTAGAATTTTGGTTTTTAAGGGAAAATTGCTATCAAGTCCCCAAACAAGGGTGAACTTGGCAACAATCTTTACACGGGATTTGTTTTGTTATGCAGTCTAGGTAGTTGACACCCTTCCAGATGATGGGGCTTGGGAATTTGTGTCTGATTTCACCAGTCTCACATAGATGCTCAAGAGACCATGTTAGAGGATATTTACAGAAGAGATGTACATGGTAGCAGCTGTTTATTTGTAGGGCATGGATAACTAAAATATGGGGCAGGTATGCCACAGAATGCCACACAGCTGTTAGAAGAGATGGACTGGATGAGCATTGTGGTAGGCTGGATAACAGTGCTCCAAAAATGGCTACATCCACATGTCCACAACCTTTGCAGCTTCGATTAGGTTAGTGATCTTGAGATGGGGGTGGTGATCCTGGGTTCCTAGGGTGGGCCAATGTGATAACAAGGCTCCTTATCAGAGGGAGGCAGTAGGATCAACAGTCAGGAGTGGAAGATGTGATGAAGGAAGTAAAAGGTGGGAGTGAAGCAAGGAATCAGCCATGAGCCAAGGAATGCGGGTGGCCTCAGAACCTCCAGAAAGGACCAGTTCCACTGACACCTTGACTTTAGCCCAGTGAGACTGATTTTGGACTTCTGACCTCCAGAACTGTAAGAGAATAATTTATTTTTTTTGGTGGAGGCATAACTAAGAATCTCTATTGATGGACATTTACATTGTTTTCAATCTTACTCTTTTAAATAGATCACAAAATGTACATATGTCATTGTGTATGTGGTAGTTTATCTTTAGGATAAATTTCTAGAAGTGCCTGGTTAAAGCATATATAGTCTTACATTTTTGATAGATTATTGTAATTTTGCCACATTGCCCTCCAGAGGGTTTGTAACTGTTTACATTCCTGCCTGTTTTCCCACAGTCTTGACAAGACAGTCACCGAACTTCTGGATTTTTGCCCTTCTAATGAAAGAAAAGTAGTATTTCCATGTATTTTTAATTTGCATTCCTCTTGTAAGTCAACATTGATCATCTTTTCACATGTTTAAAAATCACTTGCAGTTATTTTAGTGTGAACAATCTGTTCATATTCTTTGCTCATTTTTATGCAGGGTTGATGGTCTTATTGATTTGTAGGAGCTCTTTATGTAAGAGATTAGCCCTTTATAATAGGAATTGTGAATTTTAGCAAAATATTCATGACTTCTACCCAGGTTATCATTTGTTTCTTTGCTTTGCCTACAGGGGTGTGTGTATGTGTGTGTGTTTGTGTGTGTGTGTGTTGGCATGGAGGATTTGTAGGTTTTTGTATAGTCACTGTAACAATCATTGTCATGGCTTCTGGATTTTAGGTAATAGACTTTCCCACTTGCAGGTTATAAAAGAAATGTGTTACGTTTTAGAGAATTTTTTTTGTTCTTTGAAGCCACTAAGTTTGTAATAAGTTATTATAGCAGCAATAGGAAACTAACATAAGCATACAACGTGCGTAGATGTTAAAATCAAGCAGTTGAGTAAAATAAATTTAAAAACATATTATATTTTTCCTAAGATACACACAGACCCAAGGACAGTAAGAAGTATATTCAGGAGAAGGGAATGGGAGTGAAGATGATGGTAGAGTGAAAAGACAAAATAATTAAAATAATTATACTGTCTCATCCAGAATAATTGTGATATGAGCCATAAAGAAGAGAGTATAATTAACACATCTCTGCATCTGAGATCTCCCATAACACTGCTTCTATCAAATTGAAAACAAAGAAACAAGGAAAACAATGGAATAGAATTGACATGAAAAACACAGAGCTGGTTCTATGGAAAAACTTAGGTAAACCCCTGGCTTCTGTGACCACAGAAGAAAGGGAAAGGGAACAAAGAAAGAAAGGGAAGAAAACACAGTAACATTATCATTTGTTGTAAAAAATCAGTTTGGCCACAGATATAGAAGATACTTAGAAATTAAATACTACTTACAACATTAAGCACATAAATTGAATATTTAGATGAAATAAATCTTTTTTTGGGGAGAATTGTAAATTACCAAAATTGAGCCAAGGAATAGCTTAAAAAGCCCCAATCTGGTGGAAAATCAAAGAGGAATTTAAAATGTTCTCCCAAATCGAATCCTCCAAAAGCCAGATCCAGATATTTCAAAAAAACCCAATTTCATCAATATCTTCAATAAATAGGTGAGTCCTTAATCTGTTCTGGAATGTAGAAAATGACAAAAACCATCTGTTCTACCCCTAATAGTAAGCCCAGGGAAGATTAGCAGTGTGATAAAGAGGAATTCCTATTTAAGAAGCAGGTGACCTGTTTTCTAAGCATGCACATTCCACTTGTAAACTGGATGCTCTTGAGCAGTTAACCTAATATCCCCCTGCCTTATATACTCTTCTGTCAAACAGGTGCTTAATAAATGCTGATGTCAGCTCTGCCCTGCATCTCCCAGCTGTTCTCTGATCTTCACTATTGGGTTTGCTGTTGCCTCCCCTCCCCCTTCGGAGTACATATAGACTGGGGCTATATGCAGTCAGAATTGGCTCAGACACTGGAATGGGATGAAGCCTATATCCATAGGCTACATCCGTAGGCTCCATAGGCTGGGATAGAGCTGATATCCATCCATAGGCTACATCCCAGTCTAGTGTTTGAGCCAATTCTGACTGCATATAGCCCCAGTCTACTCTTTCCCATCTCTTCAATCCAAGACAGACTTTATCTTTGTGAATTTCATAGATTCTGGATGAAGAGGAAGCAGGGCTGACCACTGAACACCAACACTGTTCCCTAGCAATCAAAGCTTCCTGCATCCTACACTGTTCACCTTATCCCCCAAATAGCTTCATTTTCATGTCAAGGATTCTTTCTTCCTGCCAATCTGTCCATTTTTAGTCCAGGGTTTCCTGACTTGGTGACTATGGACACTAGAAGGTTGCAGGTATCAGTAGCAAGGGATTTGAGAATGCTTTCTTATACCAAATGTTATCTGTAGATTGAATATCTCGTACACATAAGTGTTGCTGTTTTTCCAAATGAACTTCTATCAGTCTGAGTTCAAGCAAGAGACAGAAACCACATAGTAATGTAAAGCAAGAGAAGTTTAATATAAAAAATTATTCGACAGTGATAGAAGAATAACTATAACAATGTAAAGAGAACTTTCAAGGGTATCCGAGGATTGAGGGAGAGTACCCAAGGAAAGACAACTCGGAAAGACGGTTCTCTCCTTAAGGCTGGGGTCAGGCCTTGTTGGAGAAGGTGTGTTTGCAGTCCACTAGATGTCAGAGAAGCCTGCTGTTTTCCAGGACCAGGAGCTGGTCCATAGCTGCTGGGCAAATAGGATGCAATTTCTTGGAGCACAGGCAAACTGAGGCTGTGGCTAAGTGCACAGTCAGGCCACTGCTGGGGACGTGAGGCCTGGAGCACACAGTGCCTGTGTTGCAGGGCTGTGAGAAGGTGGCCACAGGCTCAGAATCAGGCCAAATAGTCAGTGAGGGATGTGCCTCTGGGCAGGTGGTAGGGCAGGGCACAGCGGGATGGTCTTATACATAGTACCACTGATGGATAATGCAGCTGGAGCAAGAAGAAGAAAAGTAGCACACCAAAATCAGGAAGAGAAACTCGCTTTCTTCTGCAATGCTGCTCCAGTGGCATCTGCTGACAAAGCTTAGCATTGTGCTCACTGTAAAGGAGAAATGCTTAAAGGGTCCATTGCATATTTGTAGAGCAGCTGCTGAAGAAATCTGGAACAAAGAGGTAATAAATTGAAAACTGGCATAGCACTGGTAGAATTAGTGAAATATAAATTCATGTTAAATCTCTGCTGATTCCTAGTTGATTTTTATCGTTATATATTTTTAATGAACAGATTTTTATTGTTATATATTTCTCAATTAACAGATATAAAGAAGATGACAATTAGCGTGTGGGGAGTCCCCAAGACATTTTGATGTTAAACGTGGGTCCTTCTTCTTGACAAGGTGGGAATATGCTGCTCTAGCAAGATTGCAATGATGAATCCCAGGTGATGCCCACCTGTTGGCTTGAATCTAAAATAGCCTCTTCCTGTCCAGCTGTCGGGTTTCTGTAACTTGTACTATTAACTCTAGTGTGAATCATTTGCATAAATTATGGTTGCAATTCTTGAGCTCCTGGTGTATCACTTCTGGACCTTCTGAGTCCCAGGATGCAATCAGCCCTGCAAATACCCGACCTTTTCTCTAACTACCTGTTCATTGTCTCAAAAAGCGGTCTGGCCGTTTGTCCTTCTCACAAGCTAGGACAGTTGATTGAATGAACGAGTGAATGAATGAATGCCTGTCCCCCTCCTCCATGGTTTTGAGAATTATTATTAAAAATGCATATAAAGCCTATGTGGAAATGTACCAAGCAGCATAAATCATCATAATTGCTATTACTGATAATAGCCACACTTTTAAACAAGGCTTTATTTGCCTTTCAGTAGATCTCATTTGCAAATGGTGGTTTTTTTTTTTCTTTTTTAAATAAGTGGTTTCTACTTATAACCAAGCTCAATGGTAACTAAGCAATTCAAGAATTCTGTGGCATATGCATTATCAACAAAACTCTGTTTTTAGACTCTACTCACTTGCAAACCCATGTCTAAACATTGCAGCTATAGCAACATGCAGGCCCAGGTGCTAAATCACCTGGTTGGGAAGACAGAAACCATCTCACATTGCATCTAAGAACTCTGACCTGAATGACATTTTCCAGGAAGTAGGTGAGAGTAGGGGAGAGGAAAGAAGAAGGGAGAATTAAGAGCAAAAGTTAGTTTCATTTAAACTGAAACAAGTAGGTCAGCTGACATTGTGCTAAGTGAGTCCGCTCACTTTTCAGGTTAAAGTTTTTCCTTAAACTCAGATTTTTTGGTAAAAGAAAAAAGAACAAGACAACTCCAGGATACAAATTGTGAAACTTGTAATGATGATGTGATACCTTAATTTGGTTAAAATGCATGACAATATAAGTCAGGACAACCTTTGGCTGACACAAATGAGGAGTTATGCTCAAGTGCACAAAAGCTTTCCCATGAGCCACTTGTTTTTGGTTTTAATAAGGCTTCATCTCTTTAAGTGGATTACCAGTAAATTCTTCTGATAGTTAATACTAGAAAACAAATGGGAAGCTTGAGGTTTTTCCCCACAAGATGGCTATTTCTAATATCAAGATTGTCACAGCTATTTGGGGGATGGCAGCACAAAGGCAAGAGAAAGCGTCAAAAAGTGTTTTGGGGTCGGGAAGTAACATGAAGAAACTCGTGCTTAAAGAAGAATATGTTTGCAGACTGGTGATGTACACAGCTAGGCAGCCTAATAAACCGATGTAGTAATTCAAGTATAAAAGCCCTCAGAAGTTAACTAGTCAAGCCCCTTTCTAGTACAAAGGAGGAAACTGAGCCCCAGAGATTAGAGAGGAACTTGCCTAAAATCTCTTACCTGGTTGTTGGCAGAGCTATGTCTAGTGACCAGACTAAAAAGTTTTGGCTGCTATTCTTTTCACCAAATGTCACTGAACTTTAGAGGTGACATGACATTCTCATTTTTAATATTTTATATTTTGAGGTGATCTAAGAGTTGCAGATCCCAGGGGATTATTTTTCCTTTAGGATCTTAGTTATAAATGTTCTTTTCTCTAACTGCAACCTCCTTATAGGTTTCCTCTCTCTTCCCTCCAAATCTACTCCAGTTTCTTTTCTTTTTCTTTCCTTTTTTTTTTTTTTTTGTTTGAGATGAAGTTGCCCAGGCTAGAGTGCAGAGATCTCAGTTCACTGCAACCTCTGCCTCCTGGGTTCAAGCAATTCTCGTGCCTCAGCCTCCTGAGTAGCTGGGAATACAGGTGTACATCACCACTCCCAGCTAATTTCTGTATTTTTAGTAGAGACGGGGTTTCGCCATGTTGGCCAGGCTGGTCAACCTGGGCACTTGAACTCCTGGCCTCAACTGATCCACGTGCCTTGGCCTCCAAAAGTGCTAAGATTACAGGCATGAGCCACCATACCCAGTCTACCCCAGTTGTTTTCAAACCAATCATAGCATAACAGTTTTGTAACATTAGACATATTTCTTAACTATTTTGTGTCTCAGTTTCCACTATAATATAGAGAAAACAATACCACCTACCTCATAGGGTTGTTATAAAGAACAAATTAGTTAACATATATATAATACTTAGCATCTGGCATATCAATGCTCTATAAATTTTAGCTATTTTTAGAGACAAATATAAGAGAAAGAGTTTTTGTGATACTTTGTTTATTTGTCCTATTCTGAAAAGTTCATGACACCTGAACCTGATCCTACATGAGCTGGTAAAGATTTGCTTGAAGGTGTTGAAGTTAATTCCATTCTTAAGGACTGCATAGTGAGCCTCCAAAATGCACATGGGGTGTTGCAGGGGAAGGTCTAGGATGGGAAAGATGGAAGGAAATGTCAGCTGGGGGGTTGGATGAATAAGAAGGTGAGAAATTAGAGAGAGGGAAAGGCCTATTTGAGGAGCAAAGAGCAGCAACTCTTTCGGTCCCAGAGAGAGAGAGAGAGAGAGAGAGAGAGTGTGTGTGTGTGTGTGTGTGTGTGTGTGTGTGTGTGTGTTCCAGGTATGGTATTATGATCACAACTGAGATATTATATTCATCTAATGCTCAAATCTCCAACCGCTCACCTCTCATCTGAGTAAAAGTTCTGTATGTCCGATAGTCTGTGAGGCATCTTCCCAGGAATATCCAGCTATTCACTCAGCACAACATGAGTTCATTTTTTTTAGAGTCACCTCTGTTCAAAAACCCTATTTATGCCATCAGTAACACCTTCCCTCCAATCATTCAGGCTTAAGATCTGTATTTATTTGCAACTCTTTACTCTTAAAATTTAAGCTGTAATGTATGCTAGGTAAGTGATCATGAGTAGGCTATTTATATTTATGATCTTTGTTTACTTATTTGTAAATTGTAGTTAATTTTAACTACCATATAATAGTTGTTGAAAAGAATAATACTACTACTACAGTAGTAGTATTTTTCTTTTCAAAAACCAGTATAAGGTAGTGGAAATTAACTACTAAAAACTATTACTATAGTATTAGTAGTAATGTGGTAGAATAGTATTAATATTAGTAAGACTAAGTACATAGTATTAGAAATACAATACTACTAATAATAATGTAATAATAATAATGGCTAACATTTATTAAGTTCTATTTTCTCATTTAATCCTCATAACCACTCTATAAGGCAGGTTGTATTTTTATCCTTAGGTCATAGAATAAGAAAATGAGGGTTATGGAGGCTCATTCATATGTTAAGTAAATGTTTACTGAGTGTCTAGTCTGTGCCAGGAACTCCTCTAGAAGCTTGAGATTCAACAGTACTGAAGATAAGGTCCTCACTCTTATAAAACTTACAACCTAGTGGGGAAAACCAAGTCAACAAATGAAATGATTACAAACTGTGAAGAATCCTGTGAAGTAAACAATAAAGTCTTGTGAGAGGGAGTAACAGGTGGCTTGGTCTGCTTTAGGTAGATTAATTCATGAAGGCATCTGGAGCAAGGTTACCTATAAGCTGAGACGTAGGGATGAGGAGGATTCAATCCTGAAAAGGCCTGAGGGGAGAGTGCCAAGGCCTCTGAGCAGGAAGGAGCTGGCATACTTGAGAGACTTAAAGACAAGCAGGGGCTAAAGAAAAGTAGGGGCAGGGACCTTGGGGAGGATGCGGATGGGGAGGAGGGGCATGGCCTAGAACATGGAGGTCCCCATGCACCATGGCCACCAGTTTGGAGTTTTATTCTCATGCCATGGCAAAGCTGAATACAGTGAAAGCTGAGCAGTGAGTGACTGATCTAAATTAAAATTTTAAATATCCCTTTGGCTTTATTGTGGTGAAAGGCTTATAAGGGTGTATGAGATAAACCTGGGATACTAAATAAGGCCCCTATTGCAGTAGTCGAAGCAGGAGATGACGGAGCTTGGACCAAAGGAGCAAGTGGAGATGGATACAAGGGGGTAGGTGGGGCCTATGTTTTAGCTGAGAGCTGTAGAGGAAAGCAAGGAGAAGGGAGGAGCCAGAAAGATGTTTCTAGCATAAGCAACTGGGTGAATGGCAGTGCCAATAACAGAGTTAAGAGGACCAGAGTAGTAGAAACAGGTGTTGAGAAAGAGAAATGGGACATGCAATCAAGAGTTCTATTTTGGCCATGTAAAAAAAAGATGATCCAAATCAAAAGGTCAATTAGACAGCTGAATACTTGAATCTTGATGAGGAATCTGGCTAGAGGTAAAAATATGGGATTATCTGCATATACACAGTGTTTAGAACCATTGGCCTGCAGGAGAAAATATACATAGAGAAGAGAAGGTGCCTCCGTTCTGAGCCCTGTGGAGCCCAGACGTTTCTGAGACAGGCGGAAGAGAAGAATCCAGGGACGTGAGAAGGGAAGCTTGTCCCACAGCACCCAGTTAGTAAGGAACTGAGCTGTGACTGCCGATGCAACGTTTGTGAGGAGTCCTACAGAGTGCGCTGCCCCCTGCAACCTCAATTACTGCAACAGTCCCTTCCACCTCAAGCTCCACAGTCTGACTTTCAAGGCCAGCTTTGACTCCTCCCTCCTTCTCCAACCTACTTCTGACACCGCAAATATTCCTAAACACCCTACAACTTACAAAGCTCTAGATGCCTGTAGGATGCACTTTTATGTAACAGTAACCATCGCAATGATAACATTTGTTCATCCAACACATATTGAGTGCTTGCTGTGTGTCAGGCCCCCTTCAAGCCTCCAAGGAGACTCCAGAGAACAAAGTCTCTGCTCTTGTGGGTTGACACTGGGGAGGAGGCTTCTCTAGTCTGTTTTTTTTTTTCATAGATCCCTTATTGGTCACACTCATTTCCACCTCTACAAATGTTCCCTCCTTCCTTCTCAGCCTCTTTCCTCCCCTCCACTTATCCAAATCCTCCATTTTCCATAGAAGCCAGCCAGGCTGAAAATAGCATGTTATGTTCCTACATGTGATCACTGGTATATCTAAACATAAACACTACCTTATCACCTCTACTCCCTCCCACAGGGATACACACCTACCTACCGAGAGACCTCCAAACAGAGACATCAACACAGAAACCTCCGCAGAGATAACCAGATCTCCATATGCAAACCCATGTAAAAAGAAACCTAGAGAAACAGATGCCCAGATGAAGAGGGGTATGAGTATAACCTTTTGTGAGTAAAACCAGAGTGAATTTAGGGGGAAATGGGTGCTGTAGAGAAAATGAACAGGGCTAGAGGAGATAGAGGAGAGGGTAAATAAATGGTCAACAAAGCAACTTTCAGACACAATGCTAAGTCTGGATAGCCCCTAAAGGGCTTTTGGTGGTATTCTGAGCTCCCATGCCTAGCTCATTACCTGCTGACAAGATGAAAAGGCAGGGATAGCCATGTTCAGAACTTCTCTCAGGAGCCCAACTTCAGGGAAAGGCTCTTGCAAGGAAGGTCAGTGCATCTCCATCCAGCACAGGCTATATTAGGGAAATTTCACTGGGTGTTAACCTATTTAACACTAAAGCCTTCTCAACCATGTAGATTAGTCTAATGCTCTCTGATGGGGTTACGTGGGTAATTCTCTCCTCCGCTTACCTATAGCTGACAAACAACTTCCATTAGCACAAGTGACCTGGTCAAATAGTGAATTGTGATTTAGTACATGCGAAGGCTCATCTATATGAAACAGTGGGACACTGATTAGTTTCCTTCTATTCCAGCAGGTGGAGCTACTGCCTGGAAGGACTCAATGTGCTTCAGTGGCTGATGCCCACTCCTTAAAAAACAAAACAAAACCCAAAACAACAAGTGGTATAGAGAGAAACAAGAATTACCAAAAGGGAAAATTACTTGGTCTAGAATTATTTTGTGATTGTCCAAATACCTGCACCAGCGTCTGACCAATAACGCATACTCCGTATAGTGAATGAATACATGTGACATAATCTGATGACCAGACTGTAGCTTGAGTTTAGAATAGTAATTCTGTCTGCCTTTTTCTGTTTTGTTTTTCTCTCCTGTCCCTTTGATCTTTGTATATTCCTGTCTTTGGACACCCACCTCCATCAAAATGTCATAGAAAAATTCTGTGAAACTTGACTGCAGGGTCAAAGTGATGTCAAAGGGAGGTTTGGGGAGAGGCATGTGATGAAAATAGCCCAGCTGAGGTTCCCATCTGTTTCCCATGCCGTATAGCACTATGCCCTAGGCAGTGTTTCTTGAAGTGTTTCCCCAGCGTCTGCATCAGTATCAGCTGGGTTGTTTGTCAAAAATTCCAATTCCCAGGCCACACCCCAAAGAATCTGATTCAGTGCTTCTGGGCTGGGGCACTCTTAAGTAGTTCTGCAAAACACAGCTTGAGAATCTCACTTGTAGATTAAGGAGAGTGAACAATCTTTTATCCTTAATCCTAAAATCTAAAGAGTACTGAAAACTGAAAACCGCTGGGTTTTCATAGCTCATTTTGGTGGCAAAATCTGATCCATGAAGTGACATCACACTATAAATGATCCTTATTTATTGCACATAATGTGGACATTCATACACTTTGCTGCAGAAATATTAGTGTGTTTGATTAGAAGTAGCTCTCCCTGACCCTACTGGGAATGTTAAGGGATGTAGGGTATGTACATTGTGCTGAACTGTCTTTCTAAAATCCAAAGAATTCTTTTTTTTTTTGAGACGGAGTCTCGCTCTGTCACCCAGGCTGGAGTGCAGTGGTGCGATCTCGGTTCACTGCAACCTCCGCCCCACTGGATTCAAGCGATTCTCCTGCCTCAGCCCCCTGAGTAGCTGGGACTACAGGCACATGCCACCACACCTGGCTAATTTTTTGTAATTTTTTTGTGGAGACGGGGTTTCACCATGTTAGCCAGGATAGTCTCAATCTCCTGACCTCATGATCTGCCCGCCTCGGCCTCCCAAAGTGCTGGGATTACAGGTGTGAGCCACTGCGCTTGGCCCAAAGAATTCTTGAATTCAGAAACACACTTGGCTTTAGGGGGTTCAGGTAAAGGGCACCTGTACTAAATCCTCATGTGCAGTCTATAGGTGGTATTTGGGTCCGATTTAAAAAAAAAAGCCTAATAAAAGGAATGTTAGTTTGGGAGCCAGAAGACTTCATCCTTCTGGCTTCAATTCTCTACCCTGAGAAGGAGATGGCATTTAAAGTCTTCTGTCTCTAAAATTTTGATTTCCACACCTTCTTGCTTTCTTAAGAAATGTTCAGACATTACTGCCATAAAGATGAGATTGTTGTGTATTGTTATTTGTATTAAAAATTTAGAAAGGTGAAAATCTTTTTCTTTCTCATAGGTTTCCAGACAGATTCTTGGCTGACGTTTCTGTCAGTGGTGTGAAAGGACATTTACCCAGATTCTATAGATATTTTGGTTATGCACTCAACAAACCTACAATGAAACTACCAGAATACAAAAGCAATTGTGAACTCCAGAGAGTGCTAGAAAACATTATGGAAGAGGGTATAGTTTATGTTAATTATAGAGGACTAAAGAGATGTAGAATAGGAGAGCTGAAAAAGCCTCCACTTCCAGTGGCTCTTAGAGTGTAATTAGTCCAAGGGACAGCAAGCTGCCTTCTAGCAGAATCGTTGTGATCCCAAAGCCCACATGACTGGGGCCTCTCTCTGGTCCTTTATACAGTAATTAATATTTAAAAGATCTCGCTAAAGCCCTGTCAAGTCCTGAAGCAAGATTTTGAAAAATAAAAAAACTCATAAAACACAAAATAGAACAAAACAATGAGCTCTGAGTTTGCTTTGTTGAAAGCAATGGGTTGAATTGTGTCTCCCCATAATATGTATTTTGAAGTCCTAACCTCTAGTACCTTAGGGTGTGACCTTATTTGGAGATGCAGACATTACAGAAGTAATCAAGTTAAAGTGAGGTCATTGGGATGGGCCCTAATCTGATACAACTGGTAATTTGGACACAGACACATTCAGGCAGAACACCATGTGAACATAAAGATGGTCAGGTACAAGCCAAAGGGGAGAGGCCTGGAACAGATCCTTCCTTCACAGGCCTCAGAAGGAACCAACCCTGCCAACATCTTGATCTTGGACTTCTGGCCTCCAGACCTGTGAGACAACAAATTTGTGATCTTTTGTTATGACAATCCTAGCAAAATACACTGTGACACCCAGTTTCTAATCTGATGACAAACGGAGGCATCTACAATCTCTGAGGGTGTGTGCATTTGGGCACTCATTTCACCACTGACTTCATTTATGTCCTATTCTTTGTTTTCCATTTGTTTCATTTTTCTAATTTTATCTTCCATTTTTAAAAAAGTTTACTGTACTAGACGTAACTTTTTAAGCTGCCTGAAATTCTTCTTAGGTTTACAAATGATATAAACTGGTAAATAAAGATGATCAGACCTTAAGCACATATAGCACACATGGCTGGGATGAAACAACTAAGTAGCAAAATATTAATTTATAAAACAAATTAAACAGCAAAAAAAGAAAATAGTAAAATCCAACTCTCCTGGACCATTGGAGGAGGAACTGCAAGGGATGATGAAGATTTCATAGAGCAAATGATTTCTACACTCTGGGAAAGAATTCTTCAGGCAGTACACCACTTTAAAATGGTGCTTGACTCACCAAAACATCAGAGCCGTCTTCAACTTTTCACAACGCAGAGCAGAGAAAGAGGAAGATCACTTGTAGATGGAGTGTGGCAGGAATTTTGTGAAGTGTATAAAGAAGTTAGCAAGTGTATAAAGAAGATAGCCATTTACTAAGCATCTGCTATGTAGCAGGCACTCTGCTAGACATTTGTTATGGAATGAATCATTTAATCCTTGTAATAAACTTGCAAGGATATATTTTAGCCCACCCCCTACCTAAAACCAATAAATATGTGGCTCAGAAAAGTAAATTAACTGGTCTAAGAGCAAGTAATTAGTAAAAAGTTGAGCTGGGATTTGATATAAAGAAAAATCTGATCTAAACTTGATAATATTTCTGCTTCCCCAAATTGCCTCCTTAAAGTTTACACATTGTTTGGTCTCTTCAATACACATCAAAATTATCAATACCTATAGAAATGTCAATGAAAAGTCTTCCTTTAAATTAGAATATTTAGAAACTTTAGGCCCAGAGACTAAAAAGTATGTGAAATTAGTATAAAAGTATGTAAAATGTTTGTAAAGAAATGATGATAACTTCGTAGACCAATGTGGCATGTAAAACATGTGGGCCACAGAGGGAGATTAAGAAAAAAATATATGCAATCATAATAATAAAAGTGGAGTTACTCCAGACTATGCTTTTTGCCAATTCTTTGGTGAGAAGGGATTGGTAGTTAATTATAGAACCACTTTCTATATTAATTCTAGATATTGTATTCTAATCCTTAGAAAGTAGGCTGTGGAAGAACTAATAATTGCCCTCAAGGACCCATTCTCTTCTTCTCATAAGAGAATCTATGGTTGCCCAACTAAAGCTTCTATTTCGCAGCACTCATTGCAGATAGTTATAGCTATGGACTCAGTTCTGGCCAGTGGACTCTGAATAAAGGTACTATGTACACTGTTGGCTGTGCTCTTAAAGCTAAGGGATGTGCCATCTCATCCCCTGTGCTCTCTTTGTTGGCTGGGAAGCTGGCAGGATGATAGGAGTTAAGCCAGCCATTATGGACTTTCAGATGGAAACCAGCTGTTGAGGATGAGAGAGCGACAAAAAGAAGACCGTCAAGATTGTGGGGCTAATTTACCAGCCTGAATTGCCAACCTGTGTTTTTGTATTACAGGCAAATAAAGTATGTGTTTTTAAAGTCGCTGTTATTTTGAGTCTCATTGTAACTGCAGCCAAACCAATATTCTAATGAATAAACTATATTCTAACTAATAATTAAACAGAACACTCCATTCCCCACCCAAATCTCCTGAATATGAATGTATGCAAGAATTCTCCATGTAGAACTATATCGTTTATTTTGGTATTCATATTATGGTACATTTTCTCCTAACAACTTGTTAGGACTTGTCATTTCCTTGCTTTCTGAACTCTCTTCATTGAAAAGTCTCCCAAAGGATTCTGGCTTCTCATGTTGTCTTAGGAGTGTCTTTACTGGGTCCAGAAACCTTGGGTCATTTCTTTTAAGTGCAGGATAGGTACAACTGGGAAAGTAAAGACACTATAGGATGATCTAATATTTATTAGTGATTTTGTTTATGCCCAAACACTCCAAAAAGTGTCTGGAAATTTCTGCCATAATCTGATTTATAAGAACCCTTTGAAACCTGGGCAGCATGTTGGATCAGGAGTTCTCAGACTTGTCTGAGGTTTTTAGATCCAGTACATGGGCAGCTTCCTGAAGAGGGGTACAGGGGGAAGCATGTGTGTGGAGGAGGTGTTATAACCAGAATTCCCCTATAGTTGCCTTTTCTAAAAAAGGGTTTAGAGAAGATGTGGGAGGAGTCCCCCTAAACCACTAAAATGTCTCAGTTGTAAAACTGATGACTCTCTGGTGAGCACACAAAGCCAACAGCTTCAAGTTCTATAGTCCATTTTGATGAAGACAGAAAAAGTTAAAGGGCATTTACCCAATTTTTGTGGATGATTGAACAGGCTATTGCACTACGCAAAACTAGGAAATACTAAGCAAATACCAGAAAACTTATTACAGAGTTTGAATCAGAGTTAGTTTCAGGTA
The DNA here is from genome assembly GCF_000001405.40 of Homo sapiens. NCBI lineage: Eukaryota > Metazoa > Chordata > Mammalia > Primates > Hominidae > Homo > Homo sapiens. The sequence goes on along the minus strand of NC_000006.12, from coordinate 137,940,146 downwards.
GCATCAGGAATTGCACGTAGCCTCTTGAATTCTTTGTCTTCACTTTACATATCCCATAGCAGAACACAAGGGGTCAGCCTCATATAATGGATGCTAGAGTTTAGGGGGCAAGGTGGGATGGAGGAAGCAAGGAGACCACCTGGGGATGTTAGCTATATCCTGTCTTATAAGAAATGCTATAGGGGGCTGGGTGTGGTGGCTCACGCCTATAATCCCAGCACTTTGGGAGGCTGAGGCAGGCAGATCACGAGGTCAGGAGATTGAGACCAACCTGGCTAACACAGTCATCTCTACTAAAAATACAAAAAAAAATTAGCTGGACATGGTGGCGGGCACCTGTAGTCCCAGCTACCCGGGAGGCTGAGGCAGGAGAATGGCATGAACCTGGGAGGCAGAGTTTGCTCCACTGCACTCCAGCCTGGGTGACAGAGTGAGACTCTGTCTCAAAAAAAAAAAAAAAAAGAAAAAGAAAAAGAAAAAGAAATGCTATAGGGAGTTCTTCAAGTTGAAACAAACAAAAAAAAGCTAACAACGTCAAAACATAAGAAAGTATAAAACTCACTGTAAAATAAGAATGTAGTCAAATTCAGGATACTCTGATATTGTAATGTAGGTGCATAAATAACTTTTAACTCCAATGTAAAAGTTAAAAGACAAAAGTATTAAAAATAACTATAGCTATAATAATTTGTTAATATACATGATATACAATAGAGGTAAATTGTGACATCAGTAATGTAAAATATGGAGGAGGAAAGTTAAAGTGTAGAGTTTTTCTAAATTTGACTACTTACTTTTCTAGTGAGCTTTATACTTTCATATGTTTTCATGTTGTTATTTAGCATCTTTTCATTTCAACTTGCAGAACTCCCTTTAGAATTTCTTGTAAAGCAGGTCCAGTGGCAATGAACACCCACATGCAGCTGAAGTTGAGTTGTTTCCTGCTTAAAGTAGGCTGTTATAACTACAAGATACTTTATGTAAGCCTCATGGTAAGCATCCCCCCAGAAAGCTGTAATAGATACACAAAAGATAAAGAGAAAGGAAGCAAACTACCACCAAAAATCATTACATTATAAAAGAGGACAACAATAGAGGAAGAATGGAACAAAGGAACTACAAAACAGTGAGAAAACAATTAAAGTGGCTGTAATAAGTTCTTGCCTATCAATAATATACTTTAAATGTAAATGGGTCAAATTCTCAAATGTAAAGTCATAAAGTGGCTGATGGATTAAAAAAAAAAGACCTCACTATATGCTGCATACGAGAGACTCACTTTAGCTTTAAAAACACATGCAGGCTGAAAGTAAGGAGATGGGAAAAAAATATTGCATGAAAATGGTAACCAAAAAAAGAGCAGGAGTGTCTATACTTACATGAGATACAATATACTTTAAGTCAAAAACCGTCACAAGCGTCAAAGAAGGTTACTATATAATAATAAAGAGACAGATTCATCAAGAGGATATAGCAATTGTACATATATATGCACCCAACATTGGAGCACCTAAATATTCATATATTAAGCAAGTACTAAAAGAACTGAAAGGAAAAATAGACAACAATAAAATAATAGTATGGGACTTCAGTACCTGACTTTCAACTATGGATAGATCATCCAGACAGAAAATCAAAAAGAAAACAGCAGACTTGAAGAATGTTATAGGCCAAATAGACCTAATATACATGTACAGAACATTCCACCCAACAGCGGTAGAATACACGTTCAAGTGCACATAGAACAGTCTCTAGGATAAATTATATGTTAGGCCAGAAAACAAATCTAAGAAAATTAAAATCTTATCAGATATATTTTCTAACTACAATAGTATGAAACTAGAACTCAATTATAGGAAGAAAATTGGAAAATCCACAAATATATGAAAATTGAACAGCATACTCCTGAGCAACAAATGGGTCCAAGAAAATATTTTTTAAAATCTTGAGACAAATGAAAATGGAAACACAACATACCAACAGAAACAGAAAGAGCTGAAGAGAGAAGTTTATAGTAATAAATGCCTACATAAAGGAAGAAACATATCTCAAATAATCTAAACTTACACTTCAAGGAACTAGAAAAAGGAGAACAAACTAAGTCCAAAGTCAGCAGAAAGAAGAAAATAATAAAGACTAGAGCAGAAGTAAGTGAAATAGAGGCTAGAAAACCAAGAGAAAAATTCAAAGATACTTAGAGTTGGTTTTTGGAAATAATAAACAAAATTGAGAAACTAGTTGAATTAATTGAAAAGAGAAAGAAAATTCAAGTAAATTAAATTTTACATAAAAAGGAGATAGATATTACAATGATATCACAGAAATACAAAGAATCATAAGAGATTACTATTAATAATTATATGCCAACAATTGGATAATCTAGAAAAAATGGATATATTCCCAGAAACATACAATTTACCAATACTAAATTATGAGTAAATAGAAAAGCTGTACAGACAAAAAACAAGTAAGGAGATTGAATCTGTATTTGAAAACCTTTTAGTGAAGAAAAATCCAGGACCTGATGTCTTCACTGGTGAATTCTACCAAAGAATTCTTCTTAAAGAAGAATTAATGCCAATCCTTCTCAAACTCCTCCAAAAAATTAAAGAGGAGGGAACACATCTAACTAACTTTACCAAGTCAGCATTACCCTGATACTAAAGCTGGAAAAAGACATCACAAGAAAAAAATTATAAGCCAGGATGAACAATGATGTAAAAATCCTCAATAAGATACTAGCAAGCCATATTCAACAGCATATTAAAAGATCATACACCATGATCAAGTGTGATTTATTCCAAAGATACAAGGATGGCTCAACATACACAAATCAATATATGCGATACACCACATTAACAGATTGAATAATAAAAATAGCATTTTTATAATAAAAATAATATAGTCATCTCTATAGATGCAAAAAACCCACATTTGACCAAATTCAACATCCTTTCATGATTAAAACTCTTAACAATGTAGATATTGAACATAATAAATGCCATACATGACAAGTCCACAGATAACATCACACTCTTTGGTGAAAATTTGAAAGCTTTTCCTCTAAGATTAGGAATAAGATAAGGATACTTATTGTCAACACTTCTATTCAAGGTAGCATTAGAAGTCCTAGCCAGAGCTATTAGGCAAGAAAAAGAAATAGAAAACTTCAAATCATAAAGGAAAAAGTAAAATCACATGATCACATGATCTTATATATAGAAAACAGATCACATGATCTTATATATAGAAAATTTCAATGATTACACCAAAAAAAAAAATCCCAAAAACTGTTACAATAAATAAATTTGGTAAGGTTGTAGGACACAAAATCAACATACAAAAATCAGCATTTCTGCTACTAACAATGAACATCCAAAAAAATCTAGAAAACAATACCGTTTACAATAGCATAAAAATATTTAGAAATGAATTTAACCAAAGAGATAAAAGATTTGTATATTGAAAACTACAAAATGTCTATGAAAGAAATTGAAGAAAAAAATTGGAGATATCCTGTGTTCATGGATTGAAAGAATGAATATTGTTTAAATGTCCATACTACCCAAAGTGATCTATAGATTCAATGTAATCTCTATTAAAATTCCAATGATGTTTATCACAGAAATAGAAAAAAAATCCTAAATTTCATATGGAACCACAAAAGACCACAAATAGCCAAAACAGTCTTCAGCAAAAAGAACAAATCTAGAGGCATCACATTACCTCATTTCAAAATATACTACAAAGCTATTGTAATCAAAAGAGTATAGTATTGGCACAAAAACAGGCATATAGGTTCGTGGAACAGAATAGAGCCCAGAAACAAATCCACGCATTTATGGTCAATGATCTTCAACAAAGGTCCAAAAACACACAATAGGCAAATGACAGTCTCTTCAATAAATGGTGTTGGGAAAACTAGATGTCCACATGGAGAAGAATAAAATTAGGCATTTATCTCAAAATGGATTAAAGATTTACACATGAGAGCTGAAATTGTAAAACTACTAGAATAAAACACAGGAAAAAAGCTTCTTGACATTGGTGGGCTGGGCTATGATTATTTGAATATGACCCCAAAAGTATAGGCAACACAAGCAAAAACAGACAAATGCAATTGCACCAGACTAAAAAGCTTCTGCACAATGAAGAACATAATCAACAGAGAGAAGAGAAAACCCACAAAAATGGGAGAAAATATTTGCAAATAATTTATATGGTTTTGGGTTAATATCCAAAATACAAAATGAACTCAATCAACTCAATAACAAGAACACAAATAACCCAATTAAAACATAGGCAAAGGAACTTAATAGACATTTCTCAAAAGGAGACATACAAATGTCCAACATATGTAATAAAAAAAAGCTCAACATTACTAATCATCAGGGAAATGCAAACCAAAATCCCAAGGAAATCTCACCTTACACATGTTAAAATGACCATTATCATAAAGACAAAATATAACAAGTGTTGGCGAGGATGTGGAGAAGAACTCTGGTACACTGTTGATGGGAACATAAATCGTAAATTGGTATAGCCATTATGGAGGTTCCTAGAAAAATTAAATATAGAAGTATCATGTGATCCAGCAATCCCACTTCTGAGTACACCTCCAAAGGAAATGAAATCAGTATATTGAAGAGGTATTTGTTCTCCCATATTCATTGCATCATTATTCACAATAGCCAAGATATGGAATTAATGTAAGCGTTCATTGGTGAATGAATGGATAAAGAAAATGTGACACACACACACACACACACACACACACACACACACACACACAGAGGAATATTATTTAGCCCCTCAAACAAAGGGAATCCTGTTATTTGTGGTAACATGGATGAACCTGGAGGACATTATGCTGAAAGAAATAGGCCAGGCACAGAAAGACAAATACTGTATAATTTCATGTATTTATCTAAAAAAGTCAAACTCAGAGAGTAGAATGGTGGTTGCCAGGGGATGGTGGAAGGAGGAGGTATTGTTCAAAGGCTACAAAGTCTCTGGCAGGATGAATAAATTCTGGGGATCTACTATACAGCATGACAGCTATAGGTAATAATAATGTAATGTATACTTGACATTTGCTTAGAGAGTAGATCTTATACATGCTTGTCACATAGACACAAATAGTTAACTATGCAAGATGTTGGATATGTTAATTAGCTTGATAGTGATAGCCACTTCACAATGTATACATATATCAAAACATCATGTACACTGTAAACATATGCAATTTTTATTTGTCAATTGCACCTCAATAAAGCTGAGAAAAAAAGGACATTGGGAGGGAATTATTTTGTAAGGAGAGAAAAAAGCATAAATTTCATTTTTTTTGCCTAATATAAGAAGTCTGTTCATCAAATTGACAAAGTCTAAGGTCCTAGGACTGAATATTTGAATAATGTCATCACATAATATCTCTAAGTCCTAGGCAAATATTAGGTGAAAAAAATTAAACAGATAGGGCTCCTGCTTTTGACAGTAAGTTCTGACTAAACGGTCTTGTTTACTGTTTACAGATGACAGTGATCTAGTTTGAAGAAAGCTGTAATGCTATAAGCTATGAAGTTGATGTTTAGACTACAGTATTATTTTCAACATTCTTGCTACCCCACTCCCCCAACATTTCTGCTGTGGTTGTATTGAGTTAAGCTATAGTTCAGAAATATATGGGTTATGAACAGAGGTGGTGGCTTATGCTTGTAATCCCAGCTCTTTGGGAGGTCTAGGTGGGAGGATCACTTGAGGCCAGGAGTTTGAGACCAGCTTGGGCAATATAACGAGACCCCATCTCTATTTAAAAATAAAAATAAAAATAAAATTAAGAAAAGAAATAATGGCTTAAAAAATTTCCTCCAGAAGAAAAACAGGTTATGCAAGAAGAAGCCTGTTTTAATAGAAAGTAACTATAGGCACCTGAAGGCTACCTCTGCATGTGTTTATTTTTATTTTGTTGGCAGGGCATTACTGGAAGAAAAGTAGATATTCTATAACAAGTTTGAGTGAATAAGCTCCACATGTGGTCTCAAGCCAAAGTCCTATCATCACATCTGGCACGAGAAAAACACCACAGTTCTCTGAACCTTTTCCCCAGACCTCCTGAGGCTCTTTGCTCATTGGAACGAGGCAATGCTGAGGCAAGTTGGTTTCCAGACTGAGGTTGATACTCAGCCTTGCTGGCCAGCTCTCTTATTTGGCAGACCAAGGTCTTCTCATGCCTCAGGCTAAATAGCAAGGAAGTGCTCAAGGCCAGAATTATTTGAAATAAGAGGAAAGTTGGAGGTGCTGCCCAGTTCATGACTCAGTGAAACGAAACTCTGAAACACAGCAATCCAGAATTGAGAAGCCAAAATAGGAAGGCTTGAATGGAGCAGTAACCCAGCCAGGCCTTGACAGAGTATTTGGAAACAGGTGGCATAAAAGATTAAATATACCAGGACTGAACGGGATTAATTAAGAATGGCAGGGGCCAGCTGAGTCAGGAACACATGGGCAGATCTGGAATTAAGCTTGGTTAATAAAGATAGGTGAGCCCAAAGTGTTTCAGATTGTATAAATGATCCCTACTTTAAAATCTTGTACTGTAGCCCACATACAGATCACAGACACTAAAATCACAGAGAAATATTTGCGAGAAGCCTCTCTCGACCCTGCTGACTTGTATTCTATGAATTGTCAGCACTGACCTGGGGCAAGAATAAACTACAGGTAGATAGATGTCTGTCTGCTTTTGTAAGACAGGAGGAGATAGATATGATCTTAACATTTTTATTAGAACAAAAAGAATAAATACATTTTAAGGCCTAACCTGTTCAACTTAATACTCTAATATCATTTTCTTACTTTAACATTTTTGTTTATTGAAAATCTAAATAATTTAGTTAAGTAATAGAAATCCTCCATAGAAGGCAGGGGGCCTGGCTCTGTCACAGAATCAACATGGAATCCCAGTCACCAGAGTTAGCTTTTATGAACTTCTGGTTTACCTTCTGAGAAACGGTTTTGTTTTTGAGGATCAAATATGATAATATTTATAAAAGTACTTGGAAAACTATAAATTGTTATATAAATGGAATATATTATTTTATGAAATCATTATTCTTTGCTCACAGAATCATGGCTTGATTACCCTGGGGACCAATTGGGTTTTTTGTTTTACTAAAACCAAAGAAAAAGAAAAATAAACTTTGTTACTTATCACTGACTTATAAAGAATTCTGCTATAAGTCAAATTATTTAAACCTAGCCTAGCAATTATCTTTCTTTTTCCTTGTTCCTGAAAGGTAGGATTTTGTACACAACTTGCTACTAAGTACAGCTGCAATTTGATTAGGAGCCTTAACCCTTGAAAATAGTCCTTTACTGCAAAAAAGCATCATAAAGAAACACCTTTTATGTCTTCTGAATAATAAAAGGGAAAATTCATATTCTTACATTTCTTTGAACAGAAACATGTCTAAATGCTTCAAGTCACATGTTTAAAAGACAGTGGAACAAAGTATTTAGACTACATCTGATAGACAAAGTATTGGCAATTTATAAAACAGCCCCTCAAGATAAACAAAAGACAATCCAAAATAAAAGTGGCCAAATGACATAAACAGGCAATTCCTAGAAGTGAACATGCAAATGATTAATAAACATATGAAATTTAAAAAACAATGAGGTACATTTGCACCCAACAAATAGTGCACAATGAAAAAGACTGATAATATGTAATACTAATAAGAATATGGGAAAATAAGCAGGCTCATATATTGGTAGTTGGGAGTACAAATTATTGCAATCTTTTTGGAAAGACTCTGTGGGCCACAGTAATTCTAAATATTAGTGCCAGAAAGGATGGTGACTACCATCTTCATTCACTTATTCATGAAACAAATATTTACTGCACGCCTACTTTGTGCCAGGGATACAGACTTACATCTGTAAAATAAATCTCTGCTCCTGTGGAGTTCACATTTATTGCGGGACAGACAGACAATAGCCATAATAAATAAGTACAGTGCATAGAGTATAAGGAAGTGATACGTACGATGGAAAAAACACAGCAGGCCAGGGAAAACCTGTAATATTGATATGAGTGTGTGGGCAGCAACTTCAGATAGGGAGTCTGTATAGGTCTGGACTGAGAAAGTGAAATCTGAGCTAAGACTTGAAGGAAATAGGGAGTAGCTATGAGGATGCACAGGCGAATAAGGTTCCAGGCAGAGGAAACAGCCGGTATAAACATAAATAAGTAAAAATAACAAAGTGATTGAATACAAATATAAAGATGTAAGTGAAAGAAGAGTGGATGGAGACTGCTCCTTTCCCTTCCAAGGTTAACAGTTTCCTTTCTGCATATTTTCTTCATTTATTTATTCAGTTAATGGGATCTGTGTCTGTAACATCTAGGAGGGTGTGTTGATCTGTCAATTATCAAAAAGATAGTCTTACTTTTGGTCAATCAGGCACGGTCACAGAGTCCAGAGACTTTTGGCAAGCTACTTCCTTTTTTTTCCCATGAAATCGGTCATCAATCCATACAGAGTCCACCTGCAATAAGAGTAGCTTGAGTGGAATCACTGAATCTCCTCCTTATCTGGTCCCCTCTCTTGTCTCCTTGGAGCTTTTTTCTACTCATCTGCCTACCCTCAGAATCTTCTGGCAGCTTCAGAGCCTAAAGATTTTGCCAACTCCTTTAAGTCCTTCATATTGTTCAGTGAAGAACCCTTATGAGGGCAACAGACTTATCTCTTGTTAGTGTGAACTTCTGTTATAGCATTCAATTGTGGCATTAATTTTGCTAACAAAAATGCTATTACATTATTCTGTCCAATCAGAGACGTCTATAATCATATAGTGGTAATAATTACATCTGACAACATTACGATAGATTTTTCTGTATTCCTTTACCATCTCTTCTGACCATTTCTCATACTTCACAAGTTTTCTAAATTTCTTTTGAGGTATAACGTACTTTTTAGTATAGAGTTTGTTGGATTTTAAAATAAACATGCCCTATTTACCTCCCAGATTAACACTGCCAGCACCCCAGAAGCCTCTCTCTCATGCCTCCTTTCAGTCAATAACCACCCTAAGGTAGCCAATATTCTAATTTGGATCACCATATGTTAATTTTTGACTGGTCTTTAGACTTTATATAAATGGAATCGTTTTGTAAGTACTCTTTGTATAACATTATGTTTGTGAAATATATCACTTTTGTAGATAGCCATAGTTTGGCCGGGCATGGTGGCTCATACCTGTAATCCCAGCACTTTCGGAGGCCGAGGAGGGCGAATCATGAGGTCAGGAGTTCAAGACCAGCCTGGCCAACATGGTGAAACCCAATCTCTACTAAAAATGCAAAAAATTAGATGGGTGTAGTGGCGGGTGCCTGTAATCCCAGCTACTCAGGAGGCTGAGGCAGGAGAATCACTTGAACCCAGGAGGTGGAGGTGGCAGTGAGCCAAGATTGTGCCACTGCACTCCAGCCCGGGCGACAGAGTGAGACTCCATCTCAAAAAAAAAAAAAAAAAAATGCTGGGCATGGTGGCTCACGCCTATAATCACAGCACTTTGGGATCGCTTGAACTGAGGAGATGGAGGTTGCAGTGAGCTGAGATTGCGCCACTGCACTCCAGCCTGGGCAACAAGAGCGAAACTCCATCTCAAAAAAAAAAAAAAAGCAATAGTTTGTTCTTTGTCATCATTGTATAGTATTCCATTGTATAACTATACCAAGATTTATTTGTTCTACTGTTGACAGACATTTGGGTGGGTTTCAGTTTTTGGCAATTGTGTGTAAAACTGTTATAAACATTCTTTAACATACTGCTTTGTGAATATATGCATTTATCCTCCCAGGCAGAGAGAGTGGCACATTTCTACTGTAAAAGGTCAAAGAGTAAATCCTTTAGGATCTACGGGTCATATGGTTTCTGTCTGTCGCAATTATGCCATTGCAGTGCCAAAGTAGCTCTAGAGAAGACATAAACAAATGGATGTAGCTGTGTTTCAATAAAGTGCTATTTACAAAGACCAGATTTGACCTGTACACCATAGTTTGTTGAACCTTGCTCTGCTCTTAGGTATATACCAAGGATTGATAATGCTGTGTGTTGGGTAATGCTGTGTGTTATATACCAAGGAATGGTAATGCTGTGTGTTAGGATGTTCATTATGTTTTACCAGTTTTCTAAAGTGGTTGTGTCAATTTACACTCCCACCAGCAATGAATGAAAATTTCATATATTCACCAACATTTCCCAAATATTTTTAAATTCCTGAAAACATTGTATTTTCTGTCATTTGTAAATCAGTGCCATTATTGCTATAGTAGTAAAATATTATTTTTTTCTTCTCTAAGGAGTCATTATGTCAATGACCTATCATTAATGCCTCTTATTCTTGCAAAGGAATATTGAGGACCCCTACATTGTGCTTTTCTCTCCCTTTAATTTGATGTAGACAAAGAGCACTTTATTGGCAGTTGGGAGACCTAAGCTTAACCATGCTATGACTTTAGTATAGGCACTTCTGTGTCTCATTTTCTTTTTTTTCTTTTTTTCTTTTTGAGATGGAGTCACAGTCTGTCGCCAGGCTGGAGCGCAGTGGTGCAATCTTGGGTCACTGCAACCTCTGCGTCCCAAGTTCAAGCAATTCTCTTGTCTCAGCCTCCCGAGTAGCTGGGACTACAGGCATGTGCCACCATGCCCAGCTAATTTTTGTATTTTTGATAGAGATGGGGTTTCACCATGTTGGCCAGGATGATCTCGATCTCTTGACCTCTTGATCTGCCTGCCTTGGCCTCCCAAAGTGCTGAGATTACAGGTGTGATCATTTTCTTAATCTGTGAAATGGGGCTAATAACATCTGCTCTGGCTATTACTCTGGGTTTTTATAATAACAAATGAAACAAAAGATGGATCAAATTAAATGACAGAAAACTAATTACACTACACCATAACAGTGTGCTAGACATACTGTTATGAAACAGTATGTTTAACATGATCCCAACTGGAGGAGTGGGGTAGGAGAGGGGCAGGGGGTGGTGGTGATGAATATTTAAAGGCATAGAAAAAAATGCTAGAAGAATATTTCCCAAAATATTGAGGTGCAATTTTGGGGAGATGATCTAGAGCAATAATTTTTTTTTCTTAATGTTCTGCAAATTTCCCCAAAATTTCTCACGTAAACGTGAATTACCTATATAATCAGAAAAAAAGTGAATGTTTAGAAGTACACTGTAGATTGAGAGGCTGCACCTTCTCCCCCTCGCTGGGTGGCCTCACTTGCACTCTGTTGCTTGATCCTTGGCTGAACAAATCAACAACACAAACTAACAACAACACAAATACATAGACTATGACAAAGTAAGGAATTATCATGATGGGCATTAATAAGCAGCGGGAGGCCTCTGTCTTTGGTTTTGTAAAATGTGATTTTGAGTATTCTGTCAGCACTTAGGGGCTTTTGAAATATTATATTGTGTCAGGGCTTAGCAGTGGAAATAAGCCAAGAAAAGGTGCCTCAAAATTGCCTGAAAGCAGATGACAGAAGCAGTTTGCTTTGCTGGGGATCCTCAGCCTCTGTCACTTTGGGGCTGCACAGTGGAGGGAGGTGGCAGGAGCATTGCTGTGGGTGGCAGAGGCCTGTCTTAATGCCAGTTTCTGCAGTGAATGCTGCAAACATCAAGAATGCAGAAGTGGCCCAGGCAGGCTCATTGGCACTCTAAACAAAGCCCGACCCAAATTGAATGTGGAAATGAACTTTGAGGAAGAGTGTAAGGATGTGGACAAGTTTGGCTTTCTTTATAAAGTGACCGCTATCTTTCCTATATTTAAAATTTACAGAAAGAAACTGCTACATTTTTCCTTCAGGCCATGGTAAAGGTTAGAAGTATGAAGTATGAAGTATATTTTCCAAAATGCAAACCTTTCTTGTTTTTCAAAGCAAATACAAGCTGTTTTATGAAGAAGTGCTGGCAAAAGTCCAGAAACTAGCACAGAACTGAAATCAAGGTTGAAAAGAAACGATTCAAAGGAAAACATCTATTTAAGTGGGAACCACACCAACACGTGGGATTTGGCTCCCACCGGAGGCAGCCCGCAGACACCAGGTGTCACGTTTAACTGATAGTGCTTGTTGCTGACCCTGTGGGTGGCAGGAAGGAAGAGGAGTGACTGTGGCATTCGGCAGAGGATGAGCTTTGTCCTATCACTGGCACAGAAGCTGAATTCTTAGATGGCTCGACCACGGGGTTGTGTGGTGAAAAGGGGGATTTCCACTTTCAAAAATAGTATGACTTCAGTTAGGCTTGAAATTGCCTTTTTGGGAAGTTTATTATATTTAGAAACCCCCATTCTCCCCACCCCCCAGTGGCTTTTAAAGTCCATCTGCAGCATGGCACAAGTCTTCAAAAGTTTATTGACTTAATTTACCCCGGGGTTTGGAATCAAGATGTTTTCTTAAAATGTCTGAAACAACCATTGCATTGACAAAAATACATTTTAATTAAAATGCTGAAAGTAGTAAAATGGCAAGGGACCTTTTTTCCTCTTCAGAGTTCTCTCTACTTTTCAAATTGCCTATTTTGTGGTTTTCACAAAGGGTATTGATATCCCAACTCTGGGCAGTGTGCTCTGCTTGCTAGCTTCTGGGAGCCACTGCCTGGAGTCAGGCAGCCACAGGAATCTCCATGTCACCTAGGATGTCAATTACACAAACTGCAAAAGTAGAATCAACTAAAAAAATTCAATAATGAGCATTTTTGTTTAAAAAGTAAACATCAATGTATTGCATTTAGAAGAAAAAAAATCCTTGTAAAATGTAGTAGTCCCGTAAGGAAAGATGAGTTTTCAAAGATGAGCTTTTCATGGAGGCTAAGATGACAGCCCGCTTCCAGTTCAGCAGGAGCCCCTTGGTATGTTTGGCCACCCAGCACAGTGCAATGTGAGAAGGCAGGCAGATTATGTATCGTGGATTTAATTTTGGATTTAGGGAGGCACATGGTCTGCCCAATTCAGTTTCCATTTTTTTCTGTCCTCCCTGAAAACAACTTTCTGTGCAACTTCAATGTGCTGTTCCTCTCAATAACTCCAGCCTGTGGCTAATTTGGACCAGGACAAGGAGAAAAGCTCTTTCTTGCTATGAGTTGCTAAAGGATTCATAGAAGCTAATTCTTCGCCTCCATTTGAAAAGTGGAAGGAAGGTAAAGAATTCCTACTGATCTCCTGTTTCCTACCTTGGAGCAGTGATGTCAAACTCTGTAATCAGTGGTAGTAGCTTTGCATCACATTACTTCAAAATATCTCCTTTACCTGATCACCATTAACTTGAAATCGCTGATTTTTTGGGTGCAATCTCTGCCCCAAGTTTCCACAGAATGTTTTATAACAAATCTTTTGGGTTTTTTTCTTCCCAACTTATTAATCATTTGCCAGCATAAGCAGTAACATGACCAGCAGACAGTCTTTTTGGGTAAACCTCTGACTACCTTTCTCTGTTGGTGGAATTTAGGAACCATGTGTAGCAATGCAACAACTGAGCCTGCCAATCTCTAATGAGAGCTTGGGACATTTCAGGCTACTCTTTGGCCTTAAATTCCTCTCCTCTCATGGAAACTTTCCTTTCATCTATCCTATCCTTTTCCAAGGCACATTCCAAGATGTTGACCAACTGATCTATTAATGAGCTTCTGGGAGTAAGTGAAAGGGAATTTAGGTGCTTATAAATGAAGTCTTACAAGCCCAACCCCTTTGTTGACTCAGAGGGCTGTAACTACAGCTGGCACGGGGGAGGGGAACTGGTCCTGGCAGGTCAGGATAAAGAGGTGTTTTGAATAATACCCCTTCCCCTAAAAGGTGGGCTTGGTTTAGTGATGGTGATCCACCCCACACACTGTACTTGGAAGCCAACCAGCAGTCTAAAGTTTGGAGGTAATTTTCTCTCCGAAGCTGGGCCCCATCCCCCTTTTCCCTCCAGCTTTACCACTTTATTCTGAGTCAGGTCCAGTTTTGTTTATGTTTTTCAGAGGGCCACCTACAAATATCAGCAAAACCCCTAGCACAAAAGAAGAGATCAATGCCTGTGTCTGGGGGTTAGGGAGGAAGTGGGCTCGAAGGGGAGGAAATTGGAGCAATTTTGGGAACAAAGCACACAGCCGGAGGCCTGAGAGGAAAACTTCGGGTGGGCAGGACACTTTGGGGGTCCCAGTCCTGTATGGAGAGGAGCTGGAGTCTGGTGGAAAGGGAGGGGAAAGGCAGAGTGGCAGAGCAGGTGATCCTGCCGCGTCATCAACAGGGAAGGCTGGCAAATCGTATCACCTTTCCAGGACTCCGTTTCCTATTCGGCAAATTGAGGGAATTAATTGCTTTGGATCAATGCTTTCTCTCTGAGGTTCCTTCATCTAGCTTTGCATTTCAGCAAGATGAATTTCAGTGGAGCTTCTAATCCAACAGAAAGCTCTTAAAGAGAAACGTCGACAGGTCCTGGAAAGTGAATACTGACGGGATTCGTGAATGGCGAGAAGAAAGAAAAGACTGAGGACTGAAACTGTGAGGAGCAATACAGAGGGGTGGGTGAGGGTGGCTCTGCTGTGCACTAGCTGTGCCACCTATGGCTGTGATAGCATCGCTCTGAAGCTTTCTCAGCTATAAAACATAAAACCGGGATAATACCAGGACCTGTTGAATTGGTACCTGTGCACATTGTGAGGTTAGCTGACAATGAATGTGAAGATCTTAGCTCAGAGCCTGGCACATTGGCGAGAAATGTTGGCTGCTGCCGTTACGCACATGAGGATGAAGTCACGGGTAAAGGAAGGAGAAGAGCACATTGAAGGCTTTTGAGGGTGCTGTGGCTTAGGGAAACTCCCACTGGAGGTACGTGATCCACAGAGAAAATGAAGCAGTCTGGTAAATCAGAAAAGACCCTGATGAAGGAAACCTATCAGAAATAGATATCCCAGGCCAGTGCTATGCCAGGTTACATTGCAGCCTGGAGCAAAAAGAAAACTCAATAATATTGACCTCAGGTTTATTTAAAATTATCATATTTTGCTCATCATGGATTTTTTTTGCATTAGTGTCTATTTTTAAAAGACACATTAAAATACTAGTTATCTTGGTTACTGAGTTTTTGGCCATCTCCTTAAATACTGTGCTCAAAAGCAAGTGCTTCACTAACCTTATCCTAGTCCTGGCCTTGTCTAAAACAAGGCTGAAGACTTGATCAGTCATCGAAGTTGATTCTATAACAAAACGATAGTAATTTGGTATAGAAGACCCAGAGCCATCTAAATGATTACAACAGCAAGGACAGAAGGAAATATGTCTTTTTTTCTACTGACAATGGAAGAAAAGTCTGAAAATACGAAATACCCCATCCTAGCACCCACTGCCATAAAAAAAAAATCTGGGCCTCTCAGACCCAGATTCTAGGAAAATTACTACAGCATCATTAACATAGTTTTGCTCCAGAATGCCAGGCATGAGAAAACTCCAAGGAAGCTTTCTAACTTAGGGAAGGAACATGAAATGCTTTACAGGATTTGAGTAGGAGGGGGTAGGTCAAAGTTCAGCTAGCTCCAAAGCTAGGTGGTCCAGGAAGGTTCTCTGAAGAAGGAAGAGCTGTTCTTACACAGTAGCAGCTATTGGGCAATTTGGATTTTATCATGATGAATGAAGAGAAACAGAGGCTACAGTCTTGTGCAAAAGAAGGTGTGGAGAAATAGTTGCAAAGGATAGAAAAGGCAAAGGCCATTGTGGATGATGCACAACCCTTCAGGGCCCCCCTCAGATCTGTCCTGGGCGTTCACAGGCGGGAGTGTTCTAGCAGATGTCCAGCAGGAAAATCAACATTTTCAAGGAACTTCTGATTATTACCTTACAGCTGGTGGAGGGAAAGGATAGATGACAGTATCTTGGAAAGTTCTTGTTTCCCTTAGGCTCTTATCTGATTTCAAGAGAGACAAAAGCACCATTCACAGCTAAAATTATAGGCAACATAAGCTGCAAACCCACGCAACAATGCTCACTTCCAGGCTCTATGCTAGACCTGGGGCTGCTCACAAGGGCCCTGCCCAAATAGCTGATGCAGCAAACTCCAGGACACCTAAGTGACCAGAACACAATGGGAACAGTGCTTTGCTATCTATATCACTTCACAGAGCATGGAAAGGGTTTTATTGTGAAGAGATTTTACATGTATTACCTAGTTTTGATTTGCACTATGGCACTGTGATTACAGCGACAACTTTTAGCCATTGAGTGGTTAAGTGGCTTGCCCAGTGTCACTCAGCTGGTTCAGAAGAAGGCTGAGGACTGAGTTTTTTAATTCCCGTACTCCAGTTATTTCTAGGAGGCCACATAGTGGAAAAATTTGCAGCTAATGTACCCCTCTGACCCTGTAAGACCTCTCCTTCTTTCCAAAGTCATCATGGTGCTTTTGTTCCCTGACCTCCCCGAAACAGGCTGGGAAAAGGGCAATAACCTGAACCCATCAGCCAGTCTTCATGAGCCAGAGTCCACCAAGCTTCCTTTCACCCCTTCCTTCTTACCTTCATCCCAGGGAAATATCAGCATCTAAGTGACCCCACCACCAGCCACCAAGTAAATTTCTGACTGGGCTCTGTGGTCTAATCCTGGTTCTTTCTCTACTGGAAGGGAAATACAGCAGAGGAAAATCCCCAGTGTGTCCCAGACAGTATTCAAATGTATTCATTAAGTGATAAAATATTGGTTCAGAGCCAGGGACATCATCATCATTATCATTGTCATTATCAATAAGTGCTGGAATTAGAAGGAAAATAGAAGACTCTCTGTCTTCAGGGAATTTCTTGTAAACAGGGGCATCATAGGGAGATTTTTAAACAGGCAATCTCTACACTCTTTGATTGCTGAGGGGCAAAACCGAGTCAAGGTGCAATGGGAACAGAGAGGAAAAGGGGCCATGATCTCCCTAGGGGTCTAATGAATAAATCCCCTGGATGCAGACCCCTTGTGAGGTTGAGGCCACGTGTACGTACATGTGTGGAACATTCTGAAGGAGGTTCATTATATATAAATGAATCTAACTTAATCTTTTAGAATTCTGCTTGGGGCTACAGGGTCACCCACATTTCTATGGCCAGGATTGACCAAAGAATTAAGTAGTTGAATAGGACATTCAGTGACAATTTTGACTTTATCGTGTCCCTGGGGCATGGTGCTCTGATCTGCTTTATAATCAGAGTAAAATGCAAACACAATTTGTTGAATGCCTACGCTGTGTCAGCTAGTCTGGGCACTCAGGTAATTTCTGTGAACAAAACAGAAAAACGAGGCTTATATTCTAGTGGTGTAAGTTGGAGATCATCTCAAATGACCTATGTTTCCCTTGAGCAGTGGTTCCCAAGCTGCCCATCAGAATCACTGGGGGACCTTTCAAAAAATTCCAAAACCTGGCCAACCCAGGCCAAATTCAGAATCTCATGGGTGGCTTATAATTTTTTTAAGTTCCCCAGGTGATTCTCATGTGCAAGGTGGGTTGAAAACCACTGCCCTCGAAATTCTGGTGGACTTCCCTAAGGAGGCATGTCTTCCCCGTCCCACTTCCCACCACCCTTCGAGAGTCATTTATATAAATCACAGATGAGGAAACCCAGACCTAAAGGCTCAGAGTGACATGTCCAAAAAAAAGGGGCACATCGAGAGGGTCACCAGGCCAGAACTTGAACCTAGGTCTTCTGATTTTAAGCCTAGTGTGTTTTTCATCACGTTGAAAGAGTTAAGAAAACTGAATATTGTTATTGCCTATAGCAAAAATCGGAGGGGTCTCCCAGGGAAGAGAGGAGATTGTCTGCAAGCCTCCTGGTCACTTCCTGTCATTCATTAAAAACTTTAGCACCTGGACCAGTCTTCATTCTTCTTAGAAATGTGAATATTCAGGGGCATATTCAACATAGAGCCCATTGAATGGGCTCTTTCCTGGGACCCCCTCATTGCCAATACATGTTTTCTACACTCTACCTCAGCCATCCACTCCAGCTGCCACCCGCTGGACATCACTGCTACTGCTACTTCAAATAAGAACTTCTCCAATGAGAAAGTGCACAGGCTTGAGGTCCCTCGCTGAAACCGTTCTCCAATCTCAGCAGCCTTGGTCAGACCACCAATGTACTCACTCGCTTTTTTTCTTTTTCAGCACCTCCCTCTTTCATTTCCCTTCATGTCTGGTTTGCATCCCTTGGGCCATCATTTTCATCATTATGGGGCAAGTACCATATTTGTAACTCCCATGCCCACTTCTCTAAACACTCTTTCCCTCGAACACCAGCCCACACACCTGCTGTTATTAATGTCTGAAGCCCTCTTCCCATACCATTTTGTCTAATTCCTAATCATCCTTTAAGTTTCAGTTTAATTACTTCGACAGGTCCTCCCTGACCCTTCAGTCTAAAGGAGGGACCCCCGTGTTACACCACTCCTTCTCAATTCTTATCTTAAGTTGTATTTCTACATGTATTTTGGTGTTTTGTTTAACATCTCTTTCCCTAGCAGGCATGGGCTTGGGGTTCTCTGTTTTGATTACTGCTATATCCCCAGTGATTGACACACTTCTGGCACGTAACAGCTACTTTATAAGTACATAAATGAATGAATGAATTAATTAATTAATTTATTCACTCAAAGTCACCCAGGGTTATTTAGTGGCAGAGCCACAACTTACCCATTTGACTACAGTTTGACCTTTGAGATGATTTTTACAATTAAATTTTGCAGTTGAGCCCCCTCAGATGCTCACTTGCATAGGCCCTGTTGACTGGACTCTGCCAGAGGTAGAGTTTGCCCAGTAATGAATCCTAGAACCCCATGTGTTCTACATGATAGCATCAAGAAATTGTCCATGGGGATGAGATATGAACCCAAGAGGCCAGAATGCATTGCAGCGGAGCTGAGAGTTACACGTTTTAAGAAGCTATGCCTCTGGCTCTGCTGTCAGCCCTAGATGGCACCTTTAATTCTTTCCTAGTCTAGGTCAAAGATGCCTTGCTTAATATGTCATTTCTCTAATTCAGTAGTAAGTGGGTCCTCTACAATGCGATTTTAAACTTTTCTTCACATAAAATGTTTGTTTACATAGAAGGACCTTTTAATTCCTGAATGTCCTCAACTGCTCTTGAAAAGCTCACCTTCAGACTGGGCCCCCCAGCTTTTATATGAGTCATTATGAAAACTTTTTTCCCTATAGGTTATTTGAGATCCCTCAGAAATCTCAAACATGTGTTACTTCTTTGAATATTTATTTAGGTTCTGAAGGAGAAGGCTGAGCTAGGGACCTGGAGAATGAAATAAGGTATTAGTATCTACTGCCTTAATTGGTTAATTGATTAAGCACAAATGGGAGGCTGACTGTGCTCAGAGTTTTATAGAGAGTAACAAGATGAATGAGTTGGAAAGTTTGGGACAATTGACCATCCAAAAAGAACTAGAGAAGAAAGGTCCCGTTTGTTGTCTGCGTGGTGTCCCACCAAGGGCAGCACATGACATGCGCTTCTGTCACTCACAGGTGTCCAAATAGAACACACGGTTGGGTGGCCTTCTGTAACTACTGCTTTCAAGTAGCCTCTGTAACCTTGGCTTCCAACCTCACACTGATTTTTATGCTTGAGCCCCTACCCCTAGAGATCTGATGAAGAGGAACTGGAGAAGTTGAATGTCTGTAGCATCGAAAAGCTCCCCAGGTGAATCTGATGCTCTGCCAGCATTGGGTATTTGCCACCTTCATAGACATCTCTGAGCAGGAGGCCTTTGGTGATTTAGGTTACTGATGGTATGTATTTTTTTAGTGTCAGAGTCATCTAGGCACTGCACTTTAGAGAGTCCAGTGTTTCACAAACACTCAAAAAAACAGAACTCTATTGATGAACACATGGTTGCCTTTGTTGCTTGGAATTTGCTGCCCAGTGCGGGCCTGGTATATAACCCATAAACCTAGACATCCATTCAACAAGCAATGCTCTTCAAGCCCCACGGAAGCTCTGCAGTGTTAGGGGTGGGCCTGCATGACAGCACAGAAATCCAGGTCTTTTCTGAGGATAAGTCCCACTAAGCTTATCTTTTTCACCCTTAGCCTATCCTTATTTTTCTGCCTCCCAAACCAGCTAGACTATCTTTTAGCTCTGCTAAGATGTTTTGATAAAAAAAGGAATGATCCACTGGAAGTTCATTCTCAGAAGGTCTGTTTCCTTTTGATAAAGAACCCAGGGAGAAACGAACTGGTGAAAGCTGTAACCTTGCTGGGGCTGTTAGTCTTTATTGAACCATGAATTCCCCTGGACGGAGGCCTAAGCAGAAATCCCTCATTCTTTACATAAATAAACAAATAAATAAAATATTTTGGCTGGTACCTAACAAAAACACACACAGGCAAATCAAGTTTAGCACATATCCTGGAAACTCCCAGCTTTCAAACTTCAATAAGATAGTCGCAGGGTATCCAGCCCAATTAAGACATATACACAAAATCCCCTTTTCGCTTAAAAAATAACAAATAACAGGGTCTTTTTCTTTATTCTAGACCCTTTGGTTGCGGTTTAGTGGCTAAGACTGAGATTAGTGAAGAAAAATATTACTAATCTGAAAACTTTTTTCTTGGGAGGAAAATGCCATGAAGTATCAAAATGTTCTAAGCAATTATTCAAACAACACAACACAAAACAACCAGGCTAAAAATGATCTTCCTGCAAAGGGATTTGTCATGCTTGGCTCCTGTGCTTATTTCAAAAGGAATGAGGGAAAATAGATGGGCATCATACCCCCACTCTGGCCATATGGTTTTAGTTTTATTTGGATCAGTTTGAACAGAAACTTTGAAAAGCAGAGACAGGCAAACAGACAGAAAGAAAGAAAGAAAGAAAGAAAGAAAGAAAGAAAGAAAGAAGAAAGAGAAAAAGAAAAAGGAAGAAAGAAAGAAAATAAAAGAAAATGAAGAAAAGAAAAGGACAGAAAAGCAGCGATTGATCGGATTTCTGGCTTTCAAATAATGCCAAACCAGGATATATGCCCAGCCTATTTTGGTCTCAAGGCCCAAGGCCAAAATCACATAATGAAGAATCCCAGCAGACATAACTTATTTCTAGTGGCATACATTTCCCATTTTGAGTTTAGAAACTCTGGTCTAATGTGACAGAGGTACATATTTTAAGATCTTTGGGGCCCTTTTGCTTTTCTTCAAAAGCACATAATGCAGTAATTCTCATGGTGGGGGTGGTTTTGCTCCCCCTAGGTGCATTTTACAATGTCTGGAGACTTTTTTGGTTGTCACAGAATGGAGATGGGAGTGGGTGGGGATGGGGAGTGGGCATTTTCTAGTCTGGAGAAATCAGAGATATTGCTAAACATCCTACAATGCTCAGGACAACTCCCCCAACCAAAAAATATCTGGCCCAAAATGTCAATAATGCCAAGAATGAGAAACCCTGACATAATGGGCCCCCTTAGCTGACTACAGAAGTTACTGTATGATGGACACACTCCCTGGGAAGACAGAGATTAAATAATTACAGCTATTATTCATTGAGGGTTACTTGTGTACCAGATGCTTCATGCACATTAACATTTTAAATTAATAGACTTTAATTTTTAGTGCAGTTTCAGGTTTACAGAAAAATTGCATAGCAAGTTCTCATATGACTCCTCATCCACCCCTCAGTTTTTCTATCACTGACATCTTGCATTACTGTGGTATATATACTACAATAGATGAACCAATACTGATATATTATTATTAACTAAAGTCCGTAGTTTACATTAGAGTTCACTGTTTGTGTTGTAAATTCTATGGGTTGTGACAAATTTATAATGTCATGTCTCCACCATTATAGTATCATAAAAAGTAGTTTCTTGTCCCTAAAATCCTTTGAGCTTCTCATATTCTTCCCTCCCTTCCTCCCCCCAAATCCTTGGCAACTACTAATCTTTTTACTGTCTCCATAGTTTTGCCTTTTCCAGAATGTCATTTAGTTGGAATCATATAGCATGTAGTCTTTTCAAATTGGCTTCTTTCACTTAGCAGTATGCACTTGAGCTTCTTCCAAGTCTTTGTGACTTGGTAGTTCATTTAGTCTTAGCATTAAATAATATTTCATTATATGGATATACCACATTTTGTTTATCCATTCACTATTGAAGGACATTTTGGGTGCCTCAAAATTTTGGCAATTATGATGAATACAACTTCTATAAACATTTGTGTGCAGGGTTTGTGTGGAAATAAAATTTCAGCTTATTTGGGTAAGTATCAAGAAGCGCAATTGCTAGATTGTATGGTAAGAGTATGTTTAGTTTTCTAAGAAACTGCACACTCTCTTCCAAAGAAGCCTTGCCATTTTGCATTCTCATCAGCAATGAATGAGGGTTCTGTTGCTCCACATCATTGCCAGCATTTGGTATTGTCAGTGTTCTGTACTTTGGCCATGCTAACAGGTGTGTAGTGGTATCTCAGTGTGGTTTTAATTTGCAATTCCTTGATGACATAAGATACTGAGCATCTTTTTATATGTTTCTTTGTCATCTGTGTATCTTCTTTGGTGAGGTGTCCAGACATTTTGCCCATTAAAAAATTTGTATTGTTTATTTTCTTACTGTAGTTTTAAGAATTCTTTGTATATTTTGCACACCAGTCCTTTATCAGATATGTGTTTTGCAAAGATTTTCTCTCAATCTGTGGATTTTCTTTTCCTGTTCTTAATAGTATCTTTCACAGAGCAGGAGTTTTTAATTTTTATAACATCTAACTTATCAATGTTTTCTTTTAAAGGTCATGCTATTGGTGTTGTGTCTAAAAATTGCCAGTTTGAAGGTCCGTTAGATTTTGTCTTATGTTTTCTTCTAGGAGTTTTATAGTTTTGTGTTTCACATTTATGTCGATGATCCATTTTGAGTTAATTTTTGTGAAAAGTCTAAGATCTGTGTCTACATTGATTTCTTGACTGTTCCTTGTGTACCAGAACATTTTATGTATATATATATATTTTTTTGAGACAGAGTCTCGCTGTGTTGCCAAGACTGGAATGCAGCGGTGTGATCTTGGCTCACTGCAACCTTCACCTCCTGGGTTCAAAGGATTCTCCTGCCTCTGCCTCCTAAGTAGCTGGGATTACAGGTGTATGCCACCATGCCTGGCTAATTTTTGTTTTTTTAGTAGAGACAGGGTTTCGCTATGTTGGCCAGCCTGGGCTTGAACTCCTGACCTCAAGTCACTTTGGCCTCCCAAAGTGCTGGGATTACAGGCATGAACCATTGCACCCAGCCGATGTACATTATTTTTAATCCTCATACTTGTTTTCAAGATTGGTACTTTCATCATTTGAAACTTGAGGAAGTAGAGGCTTAGAGGATTAAATATCATACCTGATTTAATTATGTACTAAGTGACAGAAGTGAGATTGAAATTAGGTGTGTCTTGAGTCTGACTCCCAAAACCATAATTTTTCTACAACACTATGCACTCTTTCAAATGAAAACAAAGATGCTTTTTAGAATGGATTTGTAAAGTCTAATCTTTCACTCTAAAAATCCATATCCATTTCTGGGCAAAATTTATTTTGAAATTAAATAGCTATTTTAAGGGATACTAGAATATTGAGACCCACACTGTATAACAGAAATACAGGGCTTGATTTATCCAATAAGCTACAATGTATGCAGTTAAGTAATTCAAGAAGAGACCACAAACACTAGTGTGGACCCTCAAAATGTTGTGAATGAGATGCTGTTTCAATAACAAAGATGCATTAAAGTATGTTACCTAACAAGTACCTGGAGGTAGGGAATCCAGTCCAGCAACATCATCAGAGACACTTGCTCTCTCTCACGTTTAGTTCTATAATTCTTAGTGGGCTACCCTTCTGTCCTCATGCTTGTTGGTTCATGATGGAAAAAAATGGTTGGTCCATTCATCACAGCTATACTCTACACAGAAAGAAGGGGAAGAGAGTGGCACCTGCCTCCTTCTATTTATTTTATCTGGAAAGAGACAGAGACCCTCTGATACGGTTGGCTGTGTCTCCACCCAAATCTCATCTTGAATTGTAGTTCCCATAATCCCCACACGTCGTGGGAAGGACCCAGTGGGAGGTGATTGAATCATGGGGCAATTACCCTCATGCTGTTCTTGTGATAGTGAGTGAATTCTCACAAGATTTGATGATTTTATAAGGGATTTTTCCCCCTTTTGCTCAGCACTCCTCCTTTCTGCCACCATGTGAAGAAGGACATGTTTGCTCCCCTTCCACCGTGATTATAAGTTTCCTGAGGCCCCTCCAGCCATGCTGAACTGTGAGTCAATTAAACCTCTTTCCTTTATAAATTACCCAGTCTCAGGTATGACTTTGTTAGCAGTGTGAAAATGGACTAATACACCCTCTCACAAACTTTCCTTTACATATCATTGTGTTACACGGCTGCTTTTAGGTGTTCTAGACTCTGTAATAGAGGCTGGCAAGAAACTAGGGGGCTGAAAAAAGGTATTGAATATATCCACTTAAAAATATCTGTGACTGGGCATGATGGCTTGTGCCTGTAATCCAATCACTTTGGGAGGCTGAGGTGTGTGGATCACTTGAGGCCAGGAGTTCGAGACCAGCCTGGCCAACGTGGTGAAACCCTGTGTCTACTAAAAGACACGAAAATTGGCCAGACATGATGGCACATGCCTGCAATCCCAGCTACACAGGAGGCTGAGGCATGAGAATCCCCTGAACCTTGGAAGCGGAGGTTGTAGTGAGGCGAGATCATGCCACTGCACTCCAGCCTGTGTGACAGAGTGAGACTCTGTCTCAAAAAAAAAAAAAAAAAAAATTGCCTTGGGAACCTCTTATCATAAAAGAGTCCTTTTCTTTCATCCTATCTCTTGCCCAACCTGTTACTGTGTATAAAGGGACCCCCAGCACAATGACTGCTTAAACTTCCCCTCCAATTCTGGCTTCTCTAATCATTAAGTACAGTTTTCTCAGACTATATATATTTACTTAGAGAACCACTGGAACTGCCCACAGAACCTCAGTAAAGAAGATAGATTGGTGAAATGGGAACTGCTACTTTAGAGAAAGAGGCCCTCCATTGGCTGTCTCAAATCCTGGCATCGTCACTTAGAAGTCACTCAGTTCAATGAATTCATAAGCACCACATTAGTGCCAGGGAACACATCAAAAACAAAGAAGAGGAATATATACTAAGGGAAAAAGGATCCAATTGTTACATTAAATCTCAAATTTCCTTTTCTCTGTGGTCATCTTCAATACCCAGTAGAGTACACATTCAGATGAATTTCGGAAGTCCTACCCAGAGTAATCAGAGAAGAGAAAGAAAAGAAAAGACATCCAGATAAAAAAGAGGAAGTTAAATTATCTCTCTTCACTGACAATATGATTCAATACCTTGAAAACCCTAAAGATTCTGCCAAAGGACTTTTAGACGTGATAAATGACTTCAGCAAAGTCTCAGGATACAAAATCAACATACAAAAATCAGTAGCATTTCTATATGACAATAATGTTCAAACTGAGAATCAAATCAAGAATGCAGTCCCATTTAAAATACACACACACACACACACACACACACAGAGCTACGAATACATCTAACCAAGGAGGTGAAACATCTCTATGAGGAGAACTGCTGAAAGATTCCATCACTGCTGAAAGAAATCATAGATGACACAAACAAATAAAAAAGCATTCCATGCTCATGGTTTGTAAGATTCAATATTGTTAAGATAAAGTAATCTACATATTCAATGTTATTTCCATCAAATTACCAACATCATTTTTCACAGAATCAGAAAAACCTATTCCTAAATTCATATGTAACCAAAAAAGAGCCTGAAAAGCCAGGGTAATCCTAAGCAAAAAGAACAAAGCTGGAGGCATCAGATTACCCAACTTTAAACTATACTACAAGGCCACAGTAACCAAAACAGCATGGTACTGGTACAAAAATAGACCTATAGACCAATGGAATAGAACAGAGACTCTTGAAATAAAGCTGCACAGCTAAAGAATACCCAATCCAATAAATGGTGCTTGGACAATTGGCTAACCATATGCAGAAGAATGAAAATGGACCCCTACCTCACACTATATACAGAAATTAACTCAAGATGGATTAAAGACTTAAATGTGAGACCTCACACTATAAAAATCCTAGAAGAAAACTTAGGTAATACTCTTCCAGACATTGGCCTAGGCAAAGGATTTATGATGAAGACCCCAGTACAACACAATAAAAAAATAGACAAATGGGACTTAATTAAACTAAAGAATTTCTGCACAGCAAAAGAAACTATGAACAGAGTAAACAATCTACAGAATGAGATAAAATATTTGCACACTATGCATCCAATAAAGAGCTAATATCCAGAATCTAAGGAACACAAATAAATCAACAAGAAAAAAACAAATAACCCCATTAAAAAGTGGGCAAAAGACATGAACAGACACTTCTCAAATGAAGAAATACAAGCGACCAAGAAACATGAAAAAATGCTCAACATCACTTATAATTAGAAAGATGCAAATCAAAATCACATGAGATGCCATCTCATACCAGTGAGAACGGCTATTATTAAGAAGTCAAAAAATAACAGATGTTGGTGAGGTTGCAGAGATAAAGGAATGCTTATGCAACGTTGTTTGGAAGGCAAATTAGTTCAGCCCTCATGGAAGGCAGTTTGGAGATTTCTCAAAGAACCAAAAATAGAATTACCATTTGACCCAACAATCCCATTACTAGCTATATACCCAAAGGAAAATAAATTGTTCTACCAAAGAGACAACTGCACTTGTATGTTTATCACAGCACTATTCACAACATCAAAGACATGGAATTAACACATATGTTTATCAAAAGTGGACTGGATGAAGAAAATGTGGTACATATACGTCATGGAATACTACATAGCCACAACAAAAGAATGAAATCATGTCCTTTGCAGCAACATGGATGCAGCTAGGGGCCATTATCCTAGGCGAATTAATGCAGAAACACAAAATCAAATACCACATGTTCTCACTTATAAGTGAGAGTTAAACATTGGGTACACATGGGCGCAAAGATGGGAACAACAGACACTGGAGACTCCAAAAGCAGGGAGATTGGAAGGTGGCAAGGGTTTAAAAATTACCCATTGCATACTATTTTGGCTACTTGGGTGACACGGTCATTAAAAGCCCAAATCTCAGCATCACACAATATATCCATGTAACAAACCTGCACATGTACCAGCTTAATCTAAAATTTAAAAACAAAAAACTAAGGTATTTCATCATCTGACCTGATGTATACACATATCTTTTTATGTTCTCACAGGTTGTTAGTACTAACAGCATGCGGACCATTATATGAGTTCAGCACTAAGACTACAAGTGACCTTATACTGAACCAAGAATGTCTTTCTAGGTCAAGATTGGTCTATGCCAGAGGCATTTAAAATCCAGTGCAAGACAACTGCTTGGATATATCAGTGTAAGTGTGAGCACGTTAGTGGGGGCACAATACTGTGAAGCAGAATGATTTTTTGTAAGTACAGAACACAATACATTCCTTTTCTCAGGAAGCCTACCTTTTAACTGGGGAGATCACTCACTCACGCTGACAAGTTGAAGGGGGCATTGGGAATATAAATGCTAAAGAGATGCACAGAGGGGTGATCATAAACTTGGATGGGATTAATCAAGTCTTTTAGCAAGAGGTAAAATTTTCAATTATATTGATAAATGCAAGACTGCTTTTGGATGTAGTTCAACTTGATTTCAAAGAGCTTAATTAAGAGAGTTAAACATGATGGAGGATATAGTAGACAGACAAAAAAGGAAGCAATCGTGCCTGTCGGATAAATTCATCAGTACACCCTCAGGGCCTGCCCAGGAAGAATCCCTAAACAGGAAATGAATTAAAATGAAAAGCATGGCCACCAGAGAAGAAGAGCTCAAGGGGCAGGATGGAGATAATTTGGCCCCGGGATTCTGTTGTTTCCCTAACACATTCCCTGACTGTCCTTCTGCCAATGGACCTGCTTTGTAGCATGAAGGTGTTTCCCCAGCACGAACGAATTGTGAAGATGCCAAAAAGGAACGAAGCTTTAGCCATCAATCTTCACTTTCATTCATTTCCTAAATCTGCTTGTTTTTCTGCTTGGCTTGAAGGGAGAAGGGTTTTTTTTCTGAAGAACAGCCTGGTGACAGACTGTGGCTGTCTGAAGCGTAGAGGGGGACTCGCACTGCAGATGGCACCTGGTCTGAGTGTTTCAGCTGCAGCCAGCTGAAAGTTGTATGGCCAGACGGGGCATTTCACATCCTTTAACTTCATTTCGGTTCAATCAGCATTGTCCAGTGCCTACACAGAGGTCGCCCTCTAATGTGGAGGCTGTGCTGGGCATTGGGGATTAAGAGGTGAATGCGGCATGCTTGCACTGTGGGGTTCACAGTGGAGTCTCTAACAGAAGTGTCTGAACAATGGAGGTAGGAGATCAGGGGAACACAGTGAGGGGCTCACAGCCCCCCATGAAGGTCATGGGAGACTTGTGAGTGGGCAATAAGCATTGAGTGCCGGTAAAGAGCACTTTTTAAGAATGAAAACAACTAAGCCTTTGTTTACTTATAGGAAAATAAAATGGGAATAGAAAATATCCTGTTGCTAAAAGGACGATTGGCCGGGTGTGATAGCTCACATTTGTAATCCTAGCACTTTCGGAGGCTGAGATGGGAGGATTGCTTAAGGCCAGCAGTTCAAGACCAGCCTAGGCAACATAGTGAGATCCTGTCAACAAAATACATAAGTAAAAATTAGCTGGGTGTGGTGACGCATGCCTGTAGTCCCAGCTACTTGAGTGTGAGACAGGAGGATCCCCTGAGCCCAGAAGTTTGAGGCTGTAGTGAGTGATTATATATCTACTGTACTCCAGCCTGGGTGACAGAGCAAGACTTTGTCTCTAACAAAACAAAAGAATAAGATGATTGGGTTGGGGGGAGACTTTGAAAAAGTTATAGAATTTGTAGCTACATAGTTCAACTGGTGAAAGCAATGAATAATCCCCAAACGATTCATTTATAGGTGCCGCAACAACAGCTACGGCTACATTATACTTGAAACTAGAAGTTTTAAAGTGGTAGATGCTAAGGCAGAAACAAGGAACCTAGAAACCCTGTAAGCTAAGTAATACCTCTGGAAAAACATAGTATGATATTGTAAGAAAAAATAATATAAATATGTATGAATGTGTTGGCCTTATTTTAGAAGGTAGAAATTCCCTGGGTTTGTGTTTCTATAAATGGATTATACTTTGGAAATTGTGCTTGAAGTCATAAAGGGAAGAGGAGCACAGAAGAGCACAGAAAGGGACCTCAGCCAAAACTGGGACAAGAGTTTGCAAGTCACTGTGGTTTGGCTTCCCCCAAGCCATCCTCAGTCCCTTCCTCCTTTCCCTCCTCCCAGGAGGCAAGCAGAACAGTCATGCAATCTCTTTCCCACCCTCCCCTGGAGCTGAGGATGGCCATTTCGCCCATTTCTGCTAAATGAGGCATTAAGTAGATTTGCAGGAGGACATTTGGGAAAGTTATTTTGCTTTCTGATTAAAAGGACAGAACCTTTCCCTTGCCCTTGATTCCAGCTTGAGATGCTGAATTGAGGACAAAATCTTACAACCATGAGGCAAAATCACAAGGACAAAAAACAACACTTAGAGGTTAGCAGCCCTCTAAAGGACCCTGGAAGGGACTACCTCCAGACTTCTTGTGAACATTACCACTGAAAACATGAATTTTTCTGTATATGCCAATAAAAGCATTCTTAATTCATATAGAAGGATTAAGAAAAATGCCAACTGGTAGAAGCAGGATTTTCTGATCTCAACCCTGGCCCTAATCATACACCTTCCCCTTCACCATTTCAGTTAAGGTAGATGGATGTTCTACAACAGATACATAAAATATACGTGAATGTTTTATAAAAGCAGATAAATAACTGATGCTTATTTTCTATTTATGTATGCACAGCTTTTATTGAAGAAGAAAAGAATTGAGGAAGGAACTGAATTGTAGATAAATAGATCACTGAGGAGAGTTATAGCATGTCTGCCTATGATGTCTTCAGTAGTTGCCGTCTTGTTGAGAGTTGGGATTGAATTACCCGATCTTTTGAGATCCACTTGCACTGTCAGAGTAGGAGCATCTGAGCAAATGGGAAGGCTGTATTCTTGATTTCCTACATTTTGCTTCATTTTTCTGCTGGAGGTGAGCCCCGGATATTGGTGTTCCGTGTGCCTCTTCTTCCTCTTCTGTCTGCCTTCCTCTGTTTTGACCTCTTTCTATCCCATCAATTTCTCACTCAACAAGTGCCTAACTGGCATCCCTACCTGCCCCTCACAGGGCTCCTCTCTGCCATGGCACTGCTCTTCCTCCTCGTGTGCCTGCCTGTTCCCTTGCCTGGCTTCTCTCACACTTTCTCTCCTTTCCCTCCTTTTTGTCCTTTTCATTTTGTTGTGTTGTCCCTCCCTCTCCTCTCCCCCTCTACTCCTTCCCTCTTTTCTTTAAAGGGAAAGGACAGGTAATAAACCATGAACTTATACCTTCTATTGAAAATACTCATGATTTGTTAAGCAGATTACTGAGCAGAATTGGAGATACCAAAGATGGTGATAAAATGATGAAATTCTCACATCCTCTACTTTTCATAAACTGACACGATTTAACCTTCTTCTACTTTAAAACCACAAAAGGAGAGAGATTTTCTTTTACTCCTGCTTCATGGGTCTCCTCTCTTGTGCTCAGTTCCTGTCTTTATCCAGCCTCATTTTTCTTTGGAGAGCTCATTGTGATCATCTAGAGTGGTAGACCATGGAATCCACATTAAGACACCCATCCACGATCAGAGGTGATGTCTTAGGCAAATTAAATCTGAATCTCAGGGACAAGGCTCAGACATGGATTTTTTTTTAAATTCCCTAAGTGAATAAATTTGTGGCCAGAGGTGAGAACCAATATTCTACAACATGCATTCTCAATATAATGCTGCCTGTTACAATTGTGTAAGTTAAAGTTGGGCCAAGGGTATAAGGAAACCCCACGTTGATTTGAGAATGAAGCAGAAAAAAAACCTCCATGAGGGTATCAGGACTTCCCAAAAGGGTAAGAGGGGGCTGAGATGACAATGTGTAGGCGCTGCCCACGTTCAGGGGTATGCCCGAAGCTAAAATTATTTCCAAAAACCCCTACGTGACCACGGACAGCTCTGAGCCTGTCATGCTTATATTTAGAAACAAAGCAATACATACATGAAGGAATTCTATCAGACATAGTAAAATTAAAAGAAATAGCTTATCTCCACCCTATAAAGAAAGGAAAATAAAGCATTATGCACTAGTCATCTTGTTGAGAAGTACCCAGAAAATAAATAAACTTAAAAAAACAAAACAAAACAAACTCAGGAGGAGCTAGCACTGCAATTTCTAGGGTGGGTAATTTTGCAAAGTTTTCCTAGGTAGTTTTAGTGAAACTTTTAGGAAGTTTTTGGTTCCATTTAATGATTCAAGTTTAGAGTGCTGGGGTGTGTGTGTGTGTGTGTGTGTGTGTGTGTGTGTGAGAGAGAGAGAGAGAGACAGAGAGAAAGAGAGAAAATGATTACAGAATGGATCAGATACACACTTGGTGGGAGTATATATTGGAACAAAATCTCTGGAAGATAATTTGGCAATGCTATTTAAAAAATGTAAAATTTTGCATTCTAATTCCAGAAACTTATTCTGAGGGAATCATCATAGGATGATAGAAAGTCATAACTATTTATAATAGCAAAATATTGAATGCAGCACATATGCAATAAAACTAATTAATTATAATACATACAATGAAATATACAATGCATTCATCAAAAATAATGTGGCAGAAGAATTTTCAGTAATGTCAAAGAAATGGTTACATATATCGTTTGTGAAAAATATTAGGTTGCATAACTGCATGTACAATATGACCTGTTTGTGTTAAAAATATGTATTTATTATTTTAAAAAGCCTAAATGAGTATAATATCAAAACATTTACAGTAGTTATTCACCAGAAAGCAAAATCTTTGAAAATAGGAAATAAGTAGTGCATTTAGATCACATGGTAAGTAATTTAAAACTATGTTATTGAATTCTAATTAATTGTGTGATGGGATTATGGGCATTTTGATTTTCTTATGTCTATTCTCTAAGTTTTCTGAACAAATAAATATTACTTAAATGAGAAAACAGATCAAAATTTATATATATTGACAGAGAAATGAAATAAATATATAAAATAAAATTGATTTTTAAGTGGTAAAATAACAATAATGAACACTGTTTGGGTCTTTAATGTATCTTTCAACACACACACACACACACACACACACATCTTGACAGTCACCCATCAGATGATATAATTGTGTTTATGAAGAACCCAAAAGAATCCATAGATATTAAAACACAAATATTTATATAAAAGTCAATTGCATTTTTATATAACAGCAAACAAGTTAAAAAAAGAAACCAGCCTATAATCTCAGCTACTTGGGAGGCTGAGGCAGAAGGATGGCTTGAGTTCAGAGGTTTGACCTGATCAATATGGCGAGACCCTATCTCTTTAAAAAAAAAAAGGAAAGAAAAAGAAACCAAAAAATATATTTTTTAAAGGCAGCAGTCACAAAAGCAAACAAGTTAGAAAAGGAAACCAAATTGAAAAAAAAAAGACAATAGTCACAAAAGCAGTTAAAAACATAAGATACATAGAAAAACCTTTTTCAAGAGAGGAGCAAGAATGTTATGGAGAAGATTGTAATATTTTAACTATAGAGCCCACGTGGTCTGGTTTCAGACTGTGGCTCCCCTGAATTCATGGAAAAAATAAAATCAGATTCCTGCCTATTCTTACCATATCCCTAAATCAATTTCAGAGACATTAAACATTTAAATATGTAAACCAAAACAAAACATTTCAGATGAATAACACCTCTGGAAATAAAAAGATTTCTTAAATAAGGTTTTTACTCATAAAGGAAAAAAATTAAAATTTGACAATGTTTAAACTTAAGACTTTCTCTGAGAAGTCAGCTGAAAATTTGGAGAAGATATTTGCAACATGTATGCCAACAAAAAGAGTAATAAAAATATATAAAGGCAGCCCACAAATTAGTAAGAAAATGAGCAGCAAACAGAACAGTAGAAAAACGATGGGAAAATTTTTTTTCAAAATATAAAAAAAGTAATTGACACGGTTATGTAAGACTGAACTTCACACACCCTTCAATCTGCATTTTATTCCTGGATATATACCCAAAAGAAATTTTAGCATGTGTGTACCAGGAGACTTGGACAAGAATATCTATTTGATTTGTAACAGCAAAAACCTGAAGCGACACAGATCCAGGCAAATGAGATAATAGGTAAATAAGTGTGGTATAGTCATACAGTTGACTACTGTATAGCAGTGAAGATTAAGAACTATACACTATAGTCATCAACGTAGGTGGTACTGAATTAAAAGAGCAAGTTACAAAAGAATAATTATATAAAGTTCAAAGCCAAGCAAAATCAAATAGTACAGTGTTTAGGGATAAATGCCTATGTGGTAAAACTAAAAAGAAAAATGAAGAAATAATAAACCCAGTTTTTTTCTCAAGAAGCCTACTTTCTAACTGGGGAGGTGGCTCACTCACATGCACTAAACCATGTCTCTGGATTGGGGAAGATGAATAGATTGGGAGAAAGGTACACAAGGCTTCAAAGGTGTTGCTAATGTCTGATTTCTTAAGCTCAGTGGTGGGTATGCAAGTATCCATTTTATTATTATTCTTAGGCCTTATACTTAGGTTATAAATATGCTTTTTGTATTATTTATTTACAGTTTTTCGTTACTGAACAGAAACATTCAAAATGAGGGAAAACTTTATTAGAACCAGTTTGAGCAGTCTACACATTTCTCTTAGAGACACCATAGGATGGGTTTTTGAGATAGAGAGTTAGGATTTTTAAACATGACTGTGCACATTTCTGAGACCCAGTTTTCTTGTTTGTCAAATGGGGATAATACTTAACACATAATGTATTGTTAGGATGAAATTTGATCATATATATTTTTATAAACCCTAGCTTATGGACTGTCATATATTAAGTATGTAATATATACAGGTCATTGTTATTATTATTAAAATATAATATTACAGTAGTGAAGAGTTCTTTAAAAATAAACAGAAATAGAAATTACAGTTGGTCTTTTGAAATGAAACATACTGAGGTTATATTAAATGAATGCTGCATTATTTATAATATTGCTCTCGAATGTGAGGAGTATGTATGTGAGGAGTATGTTTTATTCGAAGGACTAAAAATAACTGCTGTACATCATCTAAACTTTCTCACATTTTGCATGGGACATTTACACATAATGTGTATTTTGTCCATCACATCAGGCTTGATTACTAACAATTACTACGGGTCTTCAGAGAACCGGCATTGAAGATCATTCCTATTAATGTTCACCTCCCATCAAAAGAAGATTAAGGAGAAAAGTAAGATAAAGTTCAAAGAGGAGATTTAAGGTGACAGGTCTGAGCAGACATGGCCAAGAAGTGACACTTCAAATTACCCAAGGACCTAGAGACAGGCAGAGACCTTTGAAGGTCAGGGTTTTATATGGGCTCACCATCTGGATGACTTCATTTAATGAAATTGTATCAAAGCGAGCGGGTTTTACAACCCCAGAGAGGTGGGCTTGGGGTAGCTTCCACTGAAAAGTCAAATTACTTCACAGAAAAACAAAACAAAACCAAAGGTTATGTTGCTAAAACTTTTGAACCAAAAGGAGAAGACAGAATTTCCTCCAATCACAAGGAACCAAGAAAAATATCACATTTCCTGGCTGCCCACTCAATTTACCACCCCCCGCCCAGTCCCCTTTAGTAACAGAGAAAGAAATCACAGTAGTGAATTAATAAAGCAGTGAGCCAGACTTTCCTTCCTCGTGTGATTCAGCCCCGCAGTTGGGGTGGCGGGGGGGCGGGTAGGGAGCGAGTTCTTTAACACTGAGCGCTCTGGACTGGCTTTCAATATTAGACATCCGGAGTTTTTGAAAATTAACACTGGAACAAAAGTGACTATCATACTCCATGTCCCCTTCACCCGCCCTCAGTCACAACTTTATTTTAAGGTTTCTTTGAGGCTGATTAAAAAAAAAAAAAAAAAACAACCTAATGGGAAACACTATCTAGAAATGGAGAAATCAAACCAATACTAAAGCATGTTGTAGCAATTGCCACCACCTATGATTGATTTTATTATAGGAAAAATGTGTTTTACCATAAATGACACTCCTTAAACTCGGTAACCAGCCTCCTTCCTCTCTCTTTCCAGCATATCTAGTTAATCATACATGACTGCAGCAAGGTGATGCAATAGTTTCAATGTAACTGCCTTATCTAGGCATGCAATGAGAAGACCTGTGTGGTTGAGGAGATGCAGACACTCACAGCGTGGCCCCTTGGGCATAAGAATAGTGGTGAGAGTTTTTCCACTGAGTCTTGCAGGGGTATTTGTGGCACCTGTACCTTCTGGAAGGTGCCCCCAAAACCCGGAGATCAGATAGGACTCCAGGGCACTGTGCTGACTTTCTTGCCCTGTGCTTACATTTCTGAGACAAGGATCTAAGAATAAATTCAATTTCCAGTCCCCTCACTTGCTTTGTGAGTTTTCAAAACCCGAAAAGGCCTACCTAAAACAGCATGCACATCCAGAGGTACTCCTGTTAACCGCTAGTGGCATTGACGACTATGAGATGCCCCATTGGCAAGGAGATGCCCCCTCGTTTTTGAGTCCCCCACTGACATTCTCAGGATGATGTCTGTTGGAGACACACTTCTAGCAGGTAAAATTCACACTAACAGGCAGGGTGAACTCTTCCAGACCACCAGAGAAAAAGCAACACTTCATGCTAAAACTTGGACAATACAAGTGTAAAAATACTACCTGGGGCCAGGTGCGGTGGCTCATGCCAACAATTTGGGAGGCCGAGGCGGGCCAATTTCTTGAACTCAGGAGTTCAAGACCAGCCTGGGCTACATGGTGAAAATATCGATAGATAGATAGATGATAGATAGATAGATAAAAAAAAATTTTAAAGCCAACTACCGGGGGTGGTTGTCTCTCCCAGCTGAGAATGAAGGAATCCTCCAAGCACAACTCTCTGTGGAATTCACCATTATCATTCTCTAGCACATGATAGAGCATTCTAGAAAGTGCCCCAAAGCTGCTTTCTCACCCAGGAATAATGAGCCTCAGATGTGAGCTGGGGCTAAAAGGTACCTGGACAACTGCCCTCCTCTGAGGAGGAGAGGTTGGGCCTTGGTGCCCAGAGCAGTGGTGAGTAGTCATCTTATCTCCTTTTACTTCCTCTGTGAAGCCTCTGCACTGGATTTTGACATCACAGATCAATATGATCCTATCCACTATATGCAATTCACAGAAGAACTGTGTAAAATACTTGAATAGAGATTCTGACTTCTAGTTACAAGTTGTTCTCACTGTTAAAAAGGAAAATTGGCCTCGGTCGTTTCTTAACAATGCTACCATTTACTTCAAGAAGAAAATTGTGGGCTTTAACCTTTGCGCATTTGATTCTTCCGCACGGCCTTCCAAGGAACTAGGGTAAATGGACAAATAGTTCTTATAATTTAATACCGCTGTTTAAAAATAGATACTGTACTGAATTTTTTGCTAATTATATTAATAACTTCAAAGCCTTTTATGGAGGATGCTTGCTGGAAACAGAAGGTATTTTTATTTCACTGAAAAACGTGATGAGATTTGGGTTTAGGATTTTGGAGGGAGGACCTGGAGTGTAGTGTAGTTGTTCAACGCATTTGTCAATATGTTCTTTTAGGATATCATATTTGGTCTTGTTTAAGGAATTCTTTTCTATTCTCAAGTCAGAAAACTATTTACCCATATATATTCCTCTCATAAAGTTTTGTTTTTGACATATAAATTCCTTACTCTGTCTGTAATTGATTTTTAAGCAGACTAGGAGCTAGGAATCCAAATTCAATTTTATCTATATTTATAATCAGTTTTCCAACTGTACTTTTTAAAGATTCCTTCCTTTCTCTACTGCTCAACTATGTCACCCCCATCATGTGACAAATTTCCATGTATAAATGTGTCATATGAAGTGATAGTCTCACTGGTGAGCAAGGAAATCCAAGTCAAGACTGTTGAGATGTCATCTACACCCTGTTAACTGGCCTCTCCATTCTATTCCACTGAAAATTTGTCTGTTCTTATGCCAGTACGAAACTATTATTTATGATAAATTGTTCTTGTAGGATGAAGACAGCTAGCTCTTAGTGTATTATCTTTCTAAACACAGTTAGACTTGGTTTTCCAAGAGTTTGTTTCTTTTATGTTGAAAAAAAAAAACTTGATGGTTGATTTGGGCCTGTATATATACATCGATGGCCTAGTTTGGCTTGTAATTTTCCTTTCTTATTCCATTCTTGTCTAATTTTGATAGCGAGGTCATATTGAATTCATAGAATGAGCTGTGGAGTATTCCTTCTTTCTCTGTGAATTGTAGAGATACTATAAGAGATAGGTTTGCAGAAAATCTTTTAAAAAAGATTATAAAAGTAATGTAAACTTATTGTCAGGAATTGTAAAAACACCCGATATTACAAAGAACAAAACAGAAGTAATTTATAGGCATTACCATCCAGAAATTATTGTTAAATATATTTTGGTATATTTCCTTCTACAACTTTTTATCAGTCTCTGCAAGATATGTCCAATTTTCTCTTTATCTATATCTGTATACAAGTAATATGCACACAAAGAATTCTGACCATAGTAGCATATACTATTTACCAACTCTTTGATTACTTCATTAGAATTTCCCATGCCATTAAATATTCTTTAAAAACAGAAATTTTAGTACCTATTAAGCTGATTATTAAAACAAATCCAAATTAAACTCCCTTTGCCTCCCAAATAAAAATATTAATTTTTTAGGTGAATAGTTAATATTTAAAAACTCAGTGAATAATATATTAATATGTATTTTCACTTTCTGTTAAGCTTTGGGCACCCGCCACCTTCATTCTTAGCTCCATCCTGGTCCTGACGCAGCTAGCCTGACCAAGCCTTGAAGTACATCAGATGCTGTAACCCTACTCATAGGTACAATTTTGAATTTGTGCTGGATCCAAGGCCATTGCGTCTGGGGTGAGCTTCAACGTCTTTGAGCCCCTTGAGCTGTATCCTTTCTCTTCCTCCTGGCCTTCACTGAGCTTGCTCTGTCCATGTCACTAGGCAGCTTGCCCTGGTTAACACTGAAATCCCTATCTGGGCCTGGAGCCAGCTCATGAACTGCACTCAGGTTCTCTGGGGTCTTGACAACATGATATCTTATTGCCAGATATGTGTTCCTTTATTCTGTTTATCAGTAGGTCAAGTCAATAAAAATATATTGATTGCCTACTCCATGCCAAGCTACTATGTGGGGGATATTACTGTCTGGACTTTGATCTGCTGTTGAGATATCAATCCAAACAACTAGATCTCAGTCAACCCTGCCGAATGCCTGATTCCAAAATTCACCATTGGCTGGACAGTCTGTTTTGCCCCAGATTGGACCTCTTAGATACTGATACCGTGTCAAGCTTACTATATCCCTTTTGACACTATAACTTGAAAATCTAGCTATCCATCTCAGGTCCCAGTTCTACAGAAAGGTTAGTCCCCAGTAATTCTGGCTTCTTTTCCTGTCCTCATGTCTCCCTTGCCAAGATCCTGCAAACTTTCCAGGTAAGCCTTCTTGGGTTCTGACCTTTATAACATTTATGATTTACAAAAATATCTTTATATATATTTTCCCATTCTAGTTTTGAATCTTAAAATAACTCTTTGAGATAGGAGGGGAGGCTTATTAAATCTCTGTTTCACTAAAGAGGAAACTGTCTTTAAGAAGACTAATGACGTATTTATGTTTAATAAATGGCCTTTTTAGGATGTGAACTCAGACCTTATCTCTCATTTTAATGTTCTTTACCCTGGGGGGTGGGGTGGCTAACCTTCACTTTGAACAGACCTTATAATTCATTTCAGGAAGCAGTCAACTCTTTGGTATGAAGGATTGATGTGTTAGACCTCCTAGGACGACACTTTAACCCCCAAATAATTACTCAAAACACATAAATATTACATCCTATGTAGTTAGAAGGATAAAAGTCAGTAGATGTAAGGCCAAGCATGGTGGCTCATGCCTATAATCCCAGCACTTTGGGAGGCCAAGGCAGACAGATTACTTGAGGTCAGGAGTTTGAGACCACTCTGTACCCAAAATACAAAAAATTAGCTAGCCGTGGTGGCATATGCCTGTAATCCCAGCTACTTGGGAGGCTGAGACAGGAGAATTGCTTGAACCCAGGAGGCAGAGGTTACAGTGAGCTGAGATCATACCACCACACTCCAGCCTGGGCGACAGAGTGGGACTTTGTCTCAAAAAAAAAAAAAAAAAATCAGTAGATGTAAAGGACCTTTGAGCAATGTGAGAATATGTTTCTTAGCTAGGCATAGACCTATCAAAGGGAAAGCTCTGTATAGGATCTCTTTTTTAAAAGAATTTAATTGTTATATTGAAACATAATTGTATGCCTATATGTGATACGTGTGATATTTTGATACATGCGTACGATGTGTAGTGATCCAGTCAGAATAATTAAGATATCTGTGACCTCACATAGTTATCATTTCTTTGTGCTAGGAACATTTCAAATCTCTTCTAGTTTTTTGGAATACACATCCTATAGCCTTTCTGCAGACTGAAAGTCGGCTTGGCTACTTCAGGGTAGAGAAGTCACCCACCCCAATATACATAGTACATGGCAGTGTTAGTTGCCACCACCTTCAAGAGCCCTTCCCAGCTTCCCTTTCTCTGTTGAGGCTGAAAGCCTGGAAACAACATTGCCTGACCTGTGTTTCTAGCAGAGTTCTTGTTTAGGGCTCACCTCCAAGAAAAAATCACCAGAGATCTGGAAAGCAAAGGAGAAGGAGAAACCATTATCTTCTCATGACAGCTGTAGGTAGTGGATGTAGGCAGGAAGAAAATGTCATCAAATGTAATTCCTGAATTTTCATACTTTTGAAAATCATCAGCAATTTATCCTGAGCTTCTCTTGCCCAGCAAGAGAAGTTATCTTAGCATCACATTTCCTATAAAAAATCCTTTCCTGCTTAGAATTTCTAACATGGTATTGTTTTCCACCAGTCCAGTTTCAACTGATGATCATATTTTCCCCATGATTTTACCTTTTTTACATTTACTTTATTATTATTTTTTTTTTGAGACAGAGTCTGCCTGTGTCACCGAGGGTGGAGTGCAGTGGCACAATCTCAGTTCACTGCAGCCTCCGCCTCTTCGGTTCAAGAGATTCTGGTGCCTCAGCCTCCTGAGTAGCTGGAATTACAGGCCTGCACCACCACACCTGGCTAAGTTTTGTATTTTTAGTAGAGACTGGGTTTTACCATGTTCGTCAGGCTGGTCTCGAACTCCTAATTTCACGTGATCCTCCCACCTTGGCCTCCCAAAGTGCTAATATTACAGGCGTGAACCCCCTGCCCAGCTACATTTACTTTTGTTTCTCTGAATGGGAGCTCTTCAAGGGATGGATGTGTCCTATTTACTTTTGCATCTCCAATGCTTGCAATATATGAGGCACTCAATAAATGTTGTTAAAAGGGAACATAAAAAATAAATTTGGGTGGGAGGAGGGTGAGATATTTTGGAGCAAACGAAGAACCGAATATCCTGAGCAAGGGAAAAAAGGAAATCTTCAAAATGTCACTCTTTAATTCTAG
The DNA here is from genome assembly GCF_000001405.40 of Homo sapiens. Lineage (NCBI taxonomy): Eukaryota > Metazoa > Chordata > Mammalia > Primates > Hominidae > Homo > Homo sapiens. The sequence continues at coordinate 137,899,245 of NC_000006.12, read as the reverse complement.
AGTTGTTTTGTATGGGTCAACTAGCTATTAGCGTTTAAGGCACTACCTTGATGAAGAAATCCTATGCAAAAACCTCCTCTTTATAACAAAGCTGGACTTCTAAAAAAATCACAAAAATATTTGTACATCATGCAAATTCAGATTGACATGCTTCATTAATATTTGATTCAATGGTGACATGCCTTCTAATTGAGGTATATTAGTGGTGATCATCACAAGAGAAACTACTCATATTTAAACATTTTTTCAGCCCATGGTTGGAGGTATAGAGGGCAGACACTGGGCAAAACACAAATTCTGATCCCTAAAAAAATCTTACATCTCAAACATCATCTCAACATTTACTTTTAGAGAAAATCCATACTGTGTCAGATGTAGGGTTAAGCATTTGAGACACAGAAAAATCAAGTTCCTCTACTTTGAGAAATTCACATGTATGATAAACATTAATCAATAATTATAAAATCGTGACAGAAAGTACACAGGTTTCAAGGAAGTACCTAGGAAAAGCAGCTAAATTGTATTGGAGAGTGGGAGACCACGTGCCTCTTGAATTAAAGGACTCTAGAGTTGAGTCATGAAGGATGCATAGGGCTTGGCTAGGGAATAAAGGTGGTGCAGGTGGTGGGAATGGCAGAAGCAGGCTCTGGATTGAGGACTCAGGGCATTCCTGGATTCTCTGTGGGTATGAATGGAGGCAGAGAGCCATGGGCCACATATCACCAAAGGGCCTTGTGAGCCACATTAAGGAACCTGGACTTTGGAAATCTATTGAGGGCCATTAAAAACAAGTCCTATGGTCAGTGGAATTCTGCTCAGAGTTTAGAGACCTGGACTTCATTCAAGTCTTTGTCCCTGAAATCCTTCAGATCTAGGGTGTTCCATGGACCCCAGGAGGAGAACGTAATTACATGGATATTTAGAAAGATCCCACTGGCTGCACTTTGGCAAGTGGTTTGGAGGGCTTATGACTGAAAGTAAGAGTACTAGTTATGGAGCTTTTGGGGTGGACCAGGTGAGGAGTAATCTGATGCATGGGCAATGGTGTACTAGACAGATTTAAGAGGTTCCAAATGAACACTCTCTAACCTTCTTCTCTTTTTTTGGTTAATTAAAATTTTTTCATTAAAATTTTTTTCTGCACATTTCATTTCATTTTCATTTATATTAAATAATGAATAATCTTCTAACTTTTACTGATGGCTTGGAATATATGCATGCTATATTATTATAACATCATTAACAAATTTTCTGACAATCAGGTATTATCTTTCATTTACTTTTAGATTGGAAGAGACATTCGTGTGTTTTGTTCAGACATGAAATATCAAGCTGTTCTTTTCTTAAAAATACAAAATCCTACATAGATAACAAAAGAAGCATAAAGTTGGTTTAAGCAATATGTCTCTAAACTCAGTGGTTAAATAATTACAGTACATTTTTCACAGACCCACAAATGATTTTGCTGCCTCTGAGGACGTGTGTAGCTTGTGCTGGGCCAACGGGATTGAGCCTCTTGTGGAGCCAGAGGCCTCTGTGTCAACAATTTCCCCTCAACTCTTTGAAACTACTCCTGTTTAGTTTTTTTTTTTTCACTGCCAAAATAAATAAATAAACAAATAAATAAATAAAATGGGCCAGGCCTGGTGGCTCACGCCTGTAATCCCAGCACTTTGGGAGGCCGAGGTGGGCGGATCACCTGAGGTCGGGAGTTCGAGACCAGCCTGACCAACATGGAGAAACCCCGTCTCTACTGAAAATACAAAAATTAGCCGGGCGTGGTGGCACATGCCTGTAATCCCAGCTACTCAGGAGGCTGAGGCAGGAGAATTGCTTGAACCCAGGAGGCGGAGGTTGCAGTGAGCCGAGATCGCGCCACTGCATTCCAGCCTGGGTAACAAGAGTGAAACTCCGCCTCAAAAAAAAAAAAGACTGCTCCTTTTTAATACCTGTGATAACTGTTCTTACTTTAAAGTATCTACTTTAAGAGCCACAAACTTGTTGATGTCTTTAAACCCTCAAGAATGGATAAAACTACCACCAGACTTTTCAGTTTTCTAAACTTAAATTTAAGTCATTTAAAAAGTTATGTTTTCTAAAGATGATCATGAAAAGTGTTGAGTACTAACTACTTCCTATATTCTGACTCATTATTCTACTGGAAAATCTATAAAACTGGAATTCACAGAGAAGCATATTCGGTAAACTAGTTCAGTATTCAACCAATACGTTAATTAATTTCACCTTCATGAAACTGTTGGTGTGAAGGGGCATGGAACAGCCAGGACCTGGAGGATTTCACCAGCAAGTCTTTGAATGAAGTCCAGGTCCCCAAAACCAGAGCAGAAGTTTACTGAATCACAGGACTAGGAAGATGATAGAGCACTCATAAGTGCTGTTTTAAAGGCAGGGGATGAGTGGATAGGACAGTGCAAGAGAGATTTATTCTACTTCTTTCCTTAGTCATTTCATATTAGGAATCCAAGCTTTTTTTTTTTTTTTTTTTTTTTTTTTGAGACAGGGTCTCATTCTTGTTGCCCAGGCTGGAGTGCAGGGGCGTGATCATGACTCACTGCAACCTCTGCCTCCTGGGTTCAAGCTTTTTGCCTGCCTCAGCCTCCCTAGTAGCTGGGATTATAGGCGTCTGCCACCATGCCCAGCTTATTTTTGTATTTTTAGTAGAGTTGGGGTTTCACCATGTTGGCCAGGCTGGTCTCGAACTCCTGATCGCAAATGATCCGCCCGCCTTGGCCTTGGTGCTGGGATTACAGGAATGAGCCACCGCGCCCAGCCATCAAATTTCTTAATATTAGAAAATTCCTGCTTGTTTGCTGTGCTTCTTCAGGCTGTAAATCATATCTCCTCTTGTTTTGATTCCTGTGTAGTCTGACAGCAGCTGGATGTCCTTCTTACTATAATAAAGTATTCCAATAATAATTGAAACTCTACATGTCAAATCTTACTCCAACAAACTCTAAGGATTTCCCAGATTCCTGAGTTCTAACTCAAGGTTTTAGATAGTAACTGGAGGTAATACCTTGGAAATAGATTTTCCTCTGGGAGTTAAGTAATAAACCAGTTCAGATATGTATGAAGTCGCCAGAAGAGACAGACTATGGCTTAAAATTGAAAGTGTTGACCAGGATTAGAGGAAAGTAGGCCAATCAGAAGGTGGGGGTGGTGACACAAAGAACGGGCAGGGTTTCAAAGGCAGAGCCATTGGTGGGACTCATCAAGCCATGTATGCGGAGACAGTATCCTGAAGGACTATTGCTGAGTAAGGAGAGACGTAAGGAGAGAAGACTCACTCCATTGGGACATGGAGACGGATATATCCAAATATGAAGAAGGATGCTTCAATCACACAGACAGTCACTAGCTCCCCTCAATCTGACTCCAGGCTTATCAAGCACCCTGATAATAAGCATTGCTATGGAGTGTGCCTCTAAGGAGGGGTGTCACTGACTGGAGAGTACAGTGTTTGTACCTTTTTGGTAATTAGCGGATGTTATGAAAATAATCAATACCGGTAGCAGCATATCTCTGATCAATATCTGATCTGATCTGATATTGTCTCTGGGACACTGAGTTTTTATGGCACTTCTATACTAAAATGGATTCACAATGGTAATAAATACCACCTAGTGCATGTTCACATGACAAGCTGGTCACCTGCAGAAGAAGGTGCCTGCCCTCTTGTAATGCCCCAGGTATACATTGTAATTTTATTCGCTTTCCCTCAATTGCTCTTTGAAAGCAGCACTCTTTTGGCTACTAGCAATTCCAAACTCTGGCTGCATATTAGATTCACTGGTACTTAAAAAAATAAAATACCCGAGACAGCCATCACAAGCCAATTACAGCTAGGAATCTCTGTGCATTGGCATCACTTAAAAGACCTCTGGGTGATTCTACTATGTCCCCAGGGTTGAGAACCCTTAGCTGGGTTATCCATAAAAAGAGCATTATCTGATAGTGTGAGGGGAAAAGTTCCCTGATATATTTTTGAAAGCATTTAATGAGCATTTTACAGATGAGCAAACTGCGACTCAGAGATATGAGGCAACTTGCTGAAGGCTGAATAACTCATGGGTAATGGAGCTGGCATTTGAACCTAAATATTTCTTTTACAAAATGTCATGTTCTTTCCATGATGTCTGGGAGAATGCACGGCAGAAGGCACAAGCTCTACCATGTTCTGATGAAGGGAGAGAAGAGAGGATGGCAAAAAGGGCATAGGGAGTATACAATGGAGTTTTCCGGAGGCTCCATGACATGTCATGACGTCAGCATTCTGGAAGCTAATGGTGTGTTTACTTGTGAATTCTGGCTGTGACATTTTTCTCAGTTTTAATTTCTAAAATGGTAAATATAAACAAATAAAAACACATATAAACAAAAGCTCTCTGGGGTCTTGAATAATTGTTAAGGCTGTAAAGGAGTCCTAAGACCAGAAAGGTGTCCTTTTCTAGAGAGACTAGGAAGCCGTAATATGTATATGTATACATGTAGTGACAGAAGGCAAGAATGAATACTCAACTCGGTTTATTCTAAAAAGCATTGCATGTCATGTTGGAAATTGGACTCCAAATCCTTTTTTTGTTTGTTTTTTTGAGGCGGAGTCTCTGTCACCCAGGCTTGAGTGCAGTGGCGCCATCTTGGCTCACTGCAGCCTCTGCCTCTCAGGTTGAAGTGATTCTCCTGCCTCAGCCTCCTGAGTAGCTGGAATTACAGGCGCTCACCACCACCAAACCTGGCTAATTTTTGTATTTTTAGTAGAGACAGGGTTTTGTCATGGTGGCCAGGTTCGTTTTTGACTCTTGGCCTTAAGTGATCTGCGCACCTCAGCCTCCTGTGAACCACCACGCCCAGCCCCAAATCCTTTTGCTTTCATACCATCTTTAAAAACATTTTTTGAGCATAAATTTACAAAATATGAGTTATTTTAAATCAACTATAATGCACTATTATTTAAAACATTAAAAATCACAAAATAGAGGAATTTTAAAATGAGATACAGATGAAGTAGGTAATATTTTTAAAAAATCATTTTTATTAATAGTAAAAGTATATTTTGACCTCAATAAGAAGTGGTAAAAAATTAGTTAATATGCTTTATTGAAAAAAAAAACATGTCTATCACTTTGTGAGAAAGCCACTCCAAAATGATTCTAAGTTCATTTTATTGTAATCTTTGATGATAATGACTATCAGGGCTGAAAAAGACACCTCAAGAAAATGGAAAAAAAAAATAGAAGATATGTAGAAAAAAATCACTGGGTGTGCCTGCTAATTCATGGTGAATCACATTTCATTGTCAGTTATGAAGTATGAAGTTTTTGTTGAAACTCAGCTAGTAAATTCCTATCTTCTTTGATGTCAATTAGTTGGGAAGTTATAAAGATAAGTTGAAATTCTCAACAAATGGGTTCAAAATCTCTTGAAACCCTTCATTTGGGTAATTTTTAAGCTGACTAGAAAATTTAGTTTTCAAGTTTAAGTGTGCGGATAATCGAGTTTGTAGGTGGCACATCTGCATCATTCCTGAATGAATGAATGAGTGAAGGTGCCTCTGGGACCCCCCTCTGAGCTAAGTAAAGCATACAGTGACAGTGACCCATAGACACTGTCAACTCATATATCAAATACTAGCAACATGTGGTTTATATCATAATTTTTAAGATGAAAAAATAAACTCAGAGGTCTTCTATTTTGTTCCTGCATCTCCTGGTGGCATGCACCCTGCTTTGGGCTTTGGGAGCAACACAAAGCCCCCAGGAAGTCTTAATTAGAGGGAAAGCATGTCCAGGCCCATTATTCACAGGCATAGGTCACTAATAAAGATACAGCAAAAAGTGGGCTGGAAAAAGGGATGAAGGAGGTTCCAGCTCAAGCTAGAGCAGCAGAAGGGGAGGGGGAGGGGTGGATTTGAGAGACATTGTGGAGATACACTTAAAAGTTTGGATGTAAGGCCAGGCACGGTGGCTCATGCCTGTAATTCCAGCACTTTGGGAGGCCGAGGAGGGTGGATCACTTGAGGTCAGGAGTTCGAGACTAGCCTGACCAACATGGTGAAACCCTTTCTCTATTAAAAATACAAAATTAGCTGGACGTGGTGGCGCACGCCTGTAATCCCAGCTACTTGGGAGGCTGAGGCAGGAGAATTGTTTGAACCTGGGAGGCAGAAGTTGTAGTCAGCTGAGATGGTGCCATTGCACCCCAGCCTGGGAAAATGATAATGCCCTTTCCTCCCTGAGCATGGGAAGAAGAGGGTGGGGCATGAAATGTGATGAGTTCAGTTTCGGATGATGTGAGGTCCCCTTCGCTCCCACCGTGTGGTATATGGGAGGCTTCCTGCAGTGTTGGGAGTGAATATCTGGGCAAGCTGAAGCAAAGCCAGTTCCTTCCAAGCTTTATTTTTCAGCCTTCTAATCCTTAGGCTCTTTGTCTTTTTGGAAAGTTATTTATTTCTTTGAGACTCTGAAGAAAACCATGGGCTCTGGTTCAGAAGAAAGTGCATGTACACACCACAGCATAAATTTCTACCTGTACTTTATAGGACACTCAGCCCCAGAGATCTGTCCAAGTCCAGATGGGAGCCCTACTCTAACAGGCTCTTTCAGTGACCTCAAAACCTGCTCTGTTTCACTATGTGCCAATCTTCTGAGTCAGAGATAATTTGCTAATTATAAGTCACTTCCAATTTTAGAAATCCTCATGACTTATGGTCAAATGCTAATGTTCATCACGCTGATTGATGAATTGTAATTTCTAATGCCGGGTGTGAGATGGCGGAGAAAATGGAGACAAGAGGAGGTTCACTCTGAGACTTTGATTCCTCTGGGCCAGCATTCATATGGCTCAACCAGGATGGAATGCAGTGGGAAACACACAGCACCATCTGTGAATGATTCTTGCCTCACTGAACCAGAATCTAGTAAGAAGTACAAAAGAACAAGTTAAATGACACCACAAGAAAGCAACCAGCCAATCCAGAATGTGGGATACTCTATCTAACAGATGACCTCATTGCTCTAACAAATGAATGGCATGAAAAATTAAAAAAGAATATTCCAGAAAAAAAAAAGAGCCTTGGCTGGGCGTGTGGCTCATGCCTGTAATCCCAGCACTTTGGGAGGTTGAGGCAGGCAGATTGCCTGAGGTCAGAAATTTGAGACCAGCCTGGCCAACATGGTGAAACCCCATTTCTACTAAAAATACAAAAATTAGCCAGGCGTGTGGGCACATGCCTGTAGTCCCAGCTACTTGGGAGGTTGAGGCACAAGAATTGCTTGAACCCAGGTGGTGAAGAACTCAGAGAGCCAAGATTATGCTACTGCACTCCAGCCTGGGTGGTGGAGCAAGACTCTGTCTTGGTGGCTGGCAAGAAGCCGAATAGGAACAGCTCTGGTCTGCAGCTCTCAGTGAGATCAGCACAGAAGGTGGGTGATTTCTGCATTTCCAACTGAGGTAACCAGCTCATCTCACTGGGACTGGTTAGACAGTGGGTGCAGCCCATGGATGATGGGCCAAAGCAGGGTGGGGCATCACCTCACCCGGGAAGCTCAAGGGGTTGGAGAACTCCCTCCCCTAGCCAAGGGAAGCCGTGAAGGACTGTGCTGTGAGGAAGGGTGCACTCTGGCCCAGATACTACACTTTCCATGGTCTTTGCAACCCACAGACCAGGAGATTCCCTTGAGTGCCTATACCACCAGGGCCCTGGGCACAAAACTAGGTGGCCATTTAGGCAGACACTGAGCTAGCTGCAGGAGTTTTTGTTTGTTTGTTTGTTTGTTTGTTTTTTATACCCCAGTGGTGCCTGGAATGCCAGTGAGACAGAACCATTCACTCCCCTGGAATAGGGGGATGAAGCCAAGGAGCCAAGTGGTCTAGCTCAGCAGATTCCAACACCATGGAGCCCAGTAAGCTAAGATCCACCAGCTTGAATTTCTCACTTCCAGCCCAGCAGTCTGAAGTCAACCTAGGATGCTCGAGCTTGGTGGTGGGGAGGGGTGTCTGCCATTACTGAGGCTTGAGTAGGCAGATTTCCCCTCACAGTGTAAACAAAGCCGCCAGGAAGTTCAAACTGGATGGATCCTACCACAGCTCAGCAAAGCCACTATAGCCAGACTGCCTCTCCAGATTCCTCCTCTCTGGGCAAGACATCTCTGAAAGAAAGGCAGCAACCCCAGACAGGAGCTTATAGATAAAACTCCCATTTCCCTGGGACAGAACACCTGGGGGAAGGGGCAGCTATGGGCACAACTTCAGCAGACTTAAACGTTCCTGCCTGCAGGCTCTGAAGAGAGCAGTAGATCTCCCAGCACAGCACTCGAGCTCTGCTAAGGGACAGACTGCCTCCTCAAGTGGATCCCTGATTCCCATGCCTCCTACTGGGAGACACCTCCCAGCAGGGGTCAACAGACACCCCATACAGGAGAACTCTGGCTGGCATCTGGCGGGTGACCCTCTGGGGCAAAGCTTCCAGAGGAAGGAACAGGCAGCAATCTTTGCTGTTCTGCAGCCTTTGCTGGCGATACCCATAAAGCAAACAGGTTTGGGAGTGGACCTCCAGCAAACTCCAGCAGACCTGCAGCAGAGAGGCCTGACTGTTAGAAGGAAAACTAACAAACCGAAAGGAATAGCATCAATATCAACAAAAAGCACATCCACACCAAAACCCCATCCAAAGGTCACCAACATCAAAGAGGGAAGGTAGATAAATTCATGAAGATGAGGAAAAACCAGCACAAAAAGGCTGAAAATTCCAGAAACCAGAACACCTCTTCTCCTCCAAAGGATCACAACTCCTTGTTAGCAAGAGAACAAAACTGGATGGAGAATGAGTTTGACAAATTAACATAAGTAGGCTTCAGAAGGTGGGTAAAAAACTCCTCCAAGCTAAAGGAGCATGTTCTAACCTAATGCAAGGAAGCTAAGAACCTTGAAACAAGGTTAGAGGAGTTGCTAACTAGAATAACCAATTTAGAGAAGAACATAAATGATCTGATGGAGCTGAAAAACACAGCATGAGAACTTTGTGAAGCATACACAAGTGTCAATAGCCAAATCGATCAAGCAGAAGAAAGGATATCAGAGATTGAAGATTAACTTAATGAAATAAAGCATGAAGACAATATTAGAGAAAAAAGAATGAAAAGGAATGAACAAAGCCTCCAAGAAATATGGGACTATGTGAATAGACTAAACCAACGTTTGATTGGTGTACCTGAAAGTGACGGGGAGAATGGAACCAAGTTGGAAAACACTCTTCAGGATATTATCCAGGAGAATTTCCCCAACCTAGCAAGACAGGCCAACATTCAAATTTAGGAAATTCAGAGAACACCACAAAGATACTCCTTGAGAAGAGCAACCCCAAGACACATAATCATTAGATTCACCAAGGTTGAAATGAAGGAAAAAATGTTAAGGGAAGCCAGAGAGAAAGGTCAGGTAGCCCACAAAAGGAAGCCCATCAGACTAACAGTGGATCTCTCTGAAGAAACCCTATAAGCCAGAAGACAGTAGGGGCCAATATTCCACATTCTTAAAGAAAAAAATTTTCAACCCCGAATTTCATATCCAGCCAAACTAAGCTTCTTAAGCAAAGGAGAAATAAAATCCTTTACAGACAGGCAAATACTGAGAGATTTTGTCACCACCAAGCCTGCCTTACAAGAGCTCCTGAAGGAAGCACTAAATATGGAAAGGAAAAACCAGGACCAGCCACTGCAAAAACATACCAAATTGTGAAGACCATCGACACTACGAAGAAACTCTATCAACTAACAGGCAAAATAACCAGCTGGCATCATAATGACAGAATCAAATTCACACATAACGATATTAACCTTAAATGTAAACAGGCTAAATGTTCCAATTAAAAACCGGCAAATTGGATAAAGAGTCAAGACCCATCAGTGTGCTGTATTCAGGAGGCCCATTGCATGTGCAAAGGCACACATAGGCTCAAAATAAAGGGATGGAGGAAGATTTACCAAGCAAATGGAAAGCAAAAAAACAAAAAACAAAACAAAACAAAAAAAAAACCAAGGGTTGCAATCCTAGTCTCTGATAAAACAGACTTTAAACCAACAACGATCATAAAAGACAAAGAAGGGCATTACATAATGGTAAAGGGATTAATGCAACAAGAGTTTACTACCCTAAATATATATGTACCCAATACAGGAGCACCCAGATTCATAAAGCAAGTTCTTAGAGACCTACAAAGAGACTTAGACTCCTACACAATAATAGTGGGAGACTTTAACACCCCACTGTCAATATTAGACAGAACAATGAGACAGAAAATTAACAAGTATATTCAAAACCTGAACTCAGCTCTGGACCAAGTGGACCTAGCAGACATCTACAGAACTCTCCACCCCAAATCAACAGACTATACATTCTTCTCAGCACCACATTGTAGTTATTCTAAAATTGACCACATAATTGGAAGTAAAACACTCCTCAGCAAATGCAGAAGAACAGAAATCATAGCAAACAGTCTCTCAGACAACAATGCAATCAAATTAGAACTCAAGATTAAGAAACTCACTCAAAACCACACAACTACATGGAAACGGAACAACTTGCACCTGAATAACCACTGGATAAATAACAAAATTAAGGTAGAAATAAATAAGTTATTTGAAACCAGTGAGAACAAAGACACAATGTACCAGAATCTCTGGGACACAGCTAAAGCAGTGTTTAGAGGGAAATTTATAGCACTAAATGCTCACAGGAGAAAGCAGGAAAGATCTAAAATCAACACCCTAACATCACAATTAAAAGAGCTAGAGAAGCAAGAACAAACAAATTCAAAAGCTAGCAGAAGACAAGAAATAACTAAGATCAGAGCAGAACTGAAGGAGATAGAGACATGAAAAACCCTTCAAAAAATCAATAAATCCAGGAGCTTATTTTTTTTTTAAATATTAACAAAATAGATAGACTGCTAGCCAGACTAATAAAGAAAAAAAGAGAGAAGAATCAAATAGACACAATAAAACAGGATAAAGGGGATATCACCACTGGTCCCACAGAAATACAAACTACCATCAGAGAATACTATAAACACCTCTATGCAAATAAACTAGGAAATCTAGAAGAAATGGATAAATTCTTGGACACATACACCCACCCCAGACTAAACCAGGAAGAAGTGGAATCCCTGAATAGACCAATAACAAGTTCTAAAATTGAGGGAGTAATTAATAGCCTATCAACCAAAAAAAAGCCCAGGACCAGGAGGATTCACCACCGAATTCTACCAGAGGTACAAAGAGGAGCTGGTACCATTCCTTCTGAAACTATTCCAAACAATAGAAAAAGGGGACTCCTCCCTAACTTATTTTAAGGCCAGCATCATCCTGATACCAAAAGCTGGCAGAGACATAACCAAAAAAGAAAATTTCAGGCCAATATCCCTGATGAACAACAATGCAAAAACCCTCAATAAAATACTGGCAAACTGAATCCAGCAGCACATCAAAAAGCTTACCCACCACGATCAAGTTGGCTTCATCCCTAGGATGCAAGGCTGGTTCAACATATGCAAATCAATAAATGTAATCCATCACATAAACAGAACCAATGACAAAAACCACATGATTATCTCAACAGATGCAGAAAAGGCCTTCAACAAAATTCAACACCCCTTCATGCTAAAAACTCTCAACAAACTAGGTATTGATGGAACATATCTCAAAATAATAAGAGCTATTTATAACAAATCCATAGCTAATATACTGAATGGGCAAAAGCTGGAAGCATTTCCTTTGAAAATGAGCACAAGACACGGATGCCTTCTCTCACCACTCCTATTCAACATGGTGTTGGAAGTTCTGGCCAGGGCAATCAAGCAAGAGAAAGAAATAAAGAGTATTCGAATAGGAAGAGAAGAAGTCAAATTGTCTCTGTTTGCAGATGACATGATTGTATATTTAGAAAACCCCATCGTCTCAGCCCAAAATCTCCTTAAGCTGATAAGCAACTTCAGCAAAGTCTCAGGATACAAAATCAATGTGCAAAAATCACAAACATTCCTATACACCAATAATAGACAAACAGAGAGCCAAATCATAAGTGAACTCCTATTCACAATTGCTACAAAAAGAATAAAATACCTAGGAATACAACTTACAAGGGATGTGAAGGACCTCTTCAAGGAGAACTACAAACCACTGCTCAAGGAAATCAGAGAGGACACAAACAAATGGAAAAACATTTCATGCTCATGGATAAGAAGAATCAATATTGTGAAAATGGCCATACTGCCCAAAGTAATTTATAGATTCAATGCTGTCCCTATTAAGCTACCATTGACTTACTTCACAGAATTAGAAAAATTCTGAGCTTCTGCACAGCAAAAGAAACTATCATCAGAGTGAACAGGTAACCTACAGAATGGGAGAAAATTTTTGCAATCTACTCATCTGACAACGGGCTAATATCCAGAATCTACAAAGAACTTAAACAAATTTACAAGAAAAAAAAACCCCATCAAAAATTGGGTGAAGGATATGAACAGACATTTCTCAAAGGAAGACATTTATGCAGTCAACAAACATATGAGAAAAAACTCATCATCATTGGTCACTAGAGAAATGCAAATCAAAACCACAATGAGATACCATCTTATGGCAGTTACAATGGCGATCATTAAAAAGTCAGGAAATTCTGAGCATGGTGGTTCTACTTTAAATTTCATATGGAACCAAAAAAGAACGCATATAGCCAAGATAATCCTAAGCAAAAAGAGCAAAGCTGGAGGCATCATGCTACCTGACTTCAAACTATACTACAAGGCTACAGTAACCAAAACAGCATGGCACTGGTACCAAAACAGATATATAGACCAACGGAACAGAATAGAGGCCTCAGAAATAACACCACACATCTACAACCATGTGATCTTTGACAAACCTGACAAAAACAAGAAATGGGGAAAGGATTCCCTATTTAATAAATGGTGCTGGGAAAACTGGCTAGCCATATGCAGAAAACTGAAAGTGAACCCCTTCCTTACACCTTATACAAAAATTAACTCAAGATGGATTAAAGACTTAACTGTAAGACCTAAAACCATAAAAACCCTAGAAGAAAACGTAGGCAATACCATTGAGGACATAGGCATGGGCAAAGACTTCATGATTAAAACACCAAAAGCAATGGCAACAAAAGCCAAAATTGACATATGGAATCTAATTAAACTAAAGAGCTTCTGCACAGCAAAAGAAACTATCATCAGAGTGAACAGGCAACCTACAGAATGGGAGAAAATTTTTGCAATCTACTCATCTGACAATGGGCTAATATCCAGAATCTACGAAGAACTTAAACTAATTTACAAGAAAAAAAAAAAACATCAAAAAGTGGGTGAAGGATATGAACAGACATTTCTCAAAAGAAGACATTTATGCGGCCAAAAAACATATGAGAAAAAGTTCATCATCACTGGTCACTAGAGAAACGCAAATCAAAACCACAATGAGATACCATCTCATGCCAGTTACAATGGCGATCATTAAAAAGTCAGGAAATGCCGGGCATGGTGGTTCATGCCTGTAATCCCAGCACTTTGGGAGGTCCAGGCAGGTGGATCATAAAGTCAGGAGTTCGAAAGCAGCCTGGCCAATATGGTGAAACCCCGTCTCTACTAAAAATATAAAAATTAGCTAGGCATGGTGGCGGGTGCCTGTAGTGCCAGCTACTCAGGAGGCTGAAGCAGGAGAATCGCTTGGACCCCGGGAGATGGAGGTTGCAGTGAGCTGAGATCACACCACTGCACTCCAGCCTGGGTGACAGCAGAGTGAGACTCCATCTAAAAAAAAAAAAAAAAAAAGGAAACATCACAAGCTGGAGAGCATGTGGAGAAATAGGAATGCTTTTACACTGTTGGTGAGAGTGTAAATTAGTTCAATCATTGTAGAAGACAGTGTGGCAATTCCTCAAGGATCTAGAACCAGAAATACGACTTGACCCAGTAATCCCATTACTGGGTATATACCCAAAGGATTATAAATCATGCTACTATAAAGACACATGCACATGTATGATGTATGTTTATTGGGGCACTATTCACAATAGCAAAGACTTGGAACCAACCAAATGCCCATCAATGATAGACTGGATAAAGAAAATGTGGCACATATACACCATGGAATACTATGCAGCCATAAAAAAGGATGAGTTCATGTCCTTTGCAAAGCCATGGATGAAGCTGGAAACCATCATTCTCAGCAAACTAACACAGGAACAGAAAACCAGACACTGCATGTTCTCACTTATAAGTGGGAGTTGAACAATGAGAACACATGGACACAGGGAAGGGAACATCACACACTGGGGCCTGTCACGGGGTAGGGGGGCTAGGAGAGGCACAGCATTAGTAGAAATACCTAATGTAGATGATGGGTTGATGGGTGCAGCAAACCACTATGGCACATGTATACCTATGTAACAAACCTGAACGTTCTACACATGTATCCCAGAACTTAAAGTATAATAAAAAAAAATTTAAAAAAGACTCTGTCTCAAAAATAAATAAATAAATAAATAGAGCCTTATAACTCACTGTAGCCTTAAGCAGTTCTCCCACCTCAGCCTCCTGAGTAGCTGGAACTACAGGTGCCTATTCACTCTTACTGCTATATGATAATCCATTATATGAATATACCACAATATATTTCTCTTTTCTCCTGTTAATGAACATTTGGATCGTTTGTAGTTTGGAGCTATTATGAATACTGCTGAGATGAACATTTTAGTACCATATTTTGGTGAACATATGCATGCATTTCTGTTTTATGGGTGTATAGCTAGGAGTAGAGTGTATACCATTGAGTGTATACCTAGGATTGGAATTTTTGGATCATAAGGTAGGTATACGTCCTAATAAATATTGCTAAACATTAAAAAAAAAAGAAAAGATCCTTACTAAACGAAAGCAATAAGACTTTGTCTTGTATGGTGGATAAACTGAGAAATTAGAATACATACTTGGAATTTGGATATTAAAGAATAAAATAATTTAGCTGGCTCTGATAATGGTGGTTATGTTAAAAGGACATATTCTATTCAATTAGAGGTGCACACTGAAATATTTATGGGTATGAAGACACAATATCTGGGATTTGCTTTCAAGTAGTCCAGGAAAAACAAAAAAGAGGATGTGATAGATGAAACAAATTGGGCAGAACGTTGGTAATTATTGAAACTGGAGGATGGCTATAGAGTGGCTCTTTATAGTACTTGTCACTTTCTTATTAAAGTTTTCTACTTTTAAAAAGTTAAAAAAAAATTATAAATATATTTTTTAAAGTGTGATTCTAAAATCTGGCTGATCATCCAGATCACCCGAGGAGCTTAAAAAAGTAGATTCTGGGAGCTGCGCAGTCCTGCTGAATCAGTCGTCTGTGAGTCCATTTGTACTGGATGGGAGGTGGGGATGAAGGCTTGCGCATGGAGGAATGTGTTATTTTTTAATTTCCTGGTTCTGGCAGCCAGCACAGCCACGCTGCCTCCTCTGCTTTGTCTGACCCAGGAGATCTTACATCAGTCTTCCTTCCTGCCTGCCTACTTCTCTCTTTCCTGTCTTTCCCTCCTCCTCCCTCTTGTTTTCTCTTTCTTCACTTTATAAAAGTTTAGGGCAGGAAGCTTAAAAGGGCCACAGGGTCCTAGCATCCCTTTCCTCTTCCCATCAGAGGAAGAGTGTCTTCATTGTCAAGCGGGGGCTTGTGCTTGAGGACTGGGCCTGGACCTCATACAGTTATTATTTATGAAAAGCTGCCTTGCTACCATGGATGAGAGATGTGTGCATTGCTCAGGTGCACCTCAAAATAAAGCTGCTTAGGAAGCACAGTCTTAATATCCAAGCCTTTCTTTTTCTTTCAGCATTCATCAATTGAAAACATCACAATCTGTTCTTAAATAATTTATTTTTTAATGTTGACTCTTGTGAAAAGTTACATTTATTTAGAAAAACTTGAAGAAATCCAACAAAGAATAGGTGGCTTTCTATTAGGGACAATTAAATGTGCAAATTTCAAATACTTTTTATAATAAGTATAAATAATTACTTTTTTTCACATTAAGAATGGAAATAATGATCAACACAAAATATTAAGATATCAACTTTAAGAGAATTAGATGAAAACACTGAAGTTTATTTGGTATCTTTGGAAAGAAATTATAAAGATTCGTCTGGGAAAAACTTAGGGGGCTCTAAGGGGAAAGTGTGCCTAATAGTATGAGTAAAGGCTGTGTAGAGTTATGGATCACAAATATTTTCAGGCCATAAGTACAGACCCCCAAAATGGCAGCCTTTATCTCTGGGGAAAATGCATTTCCCCTCCTTTTTTTTTTTTCTTCTAGAGCAAATATGACAGCAACCACAAAGCACACAGAGAAACTGTAAGCCAGCAACAGAAAGAGATTTCCTCATACTCATGGTTACTGGCTTTTGCTGTCCCAATACCAGGGTACCATGGGATGCAGGGGACTTCCCAGCCCCCCCAGGACACAGTGTTAACAGAAAATAAAACCATCACAAAAGGCCACATCTTTCCCTGTGACCATTGCCAGTCTCATCCCTGCTCCTTCCCTATCTCATCTCCAAGGAGGTAGGACACTCAGAGGCATTAACAGAACACAGAGTATAGTTTTTTATTACATAGCTGGAGTTTCATAAGGAGAAGCACGAAAC
This sequence comes from Homo sapiens, assembly GCF_000001405.40. Taxonomy (NCBI): domain Eukaryota; kingdom Metazoa; phylum Chordata; class Mammalia; order Primates; family Hominidae; genus Homo; species Homo sapiens. The sequence goes on along the minus strand of NC_000006.12, from coordinate 137,882,528 downwards.
ATCGATGAATATGTATGTATACCTTGGATGCAATTCCTTCTTTCCTGGGGAGGCAAGCAAAAGTGTATCAAAGAGGCCAATTTACTCCCTGTGGTCAGGAACTTGCCCACAGCCTGACTCAAAGCAAGGATGTTCTCTCAGGAGAACACTGTGGCATTTTCCCCAGAGCTGAAGAAATATCTTCACTTAAATAATCTTGAAGTTTGTAATAAAATAAATAAAGTGAATTACACAAAAAGGACTAGAGCTCCCTTTAAAAAGGCAGCTGGTTGAGTTTATGCAAGCAGTGTATACACAAGCTCATGCCCCAACAACAACCAGAAAACAGGTTATTATTATTTAGCCTTCCTATTGTACTTCTAGGGCAGCATTTCAATATAATTTAAAAAAATCCCTCATACATAATGTAAGGGTATATTATATATGTACACACTTTTACTCCTCAGTTCAAGCTAACTTCTTTAGAAGTAAAGACAGTAATAACCCAAAGAGTTACACGTCTTCCCAGTAAAATATTCTAATTTTTTAAAAGGTGCATATTATAAAGAGCAGCTTGTTTTTCTGTCAATGTGAACATGTTCAGTCTCAGCAGCCTCAGAATCACAGTCCATGGATGGTTCTGCATTTCTGCCGGGTCCTCAGGAAAGGAACCGGGCAGGTAGGGAAAAACCATGAACTACAAACACTCTCTGAATACGTCCATTTTCCCTGAGCTTCCTTGAGCTTCTTGCAGAGGGCCTCGCTGCCATGAGGATCTGGCTTCACATCTCTGAGAGATGCTGGGGGAGGGGAGGTGGAATGGCTCTGGCTTCTCCAACCCACGCGACTTGTGTGTCTTTTCCCTTTCTCAGCCAAGACGATGAAGCAGTCCTGATGCGCAGGGTGCAGGGGCCTCGGCCAGTCCCCGCACACCTTCCAAGTCCAAAGAAGTTCCTGGCCTCCTGCTTGGTAGGAGAGGAGGAACCTTGGGCTGAATCTGACATCATCCCTTGCCAGTTACAAGCTTTGCTTTCTAAGGCCACCTGGGAACACTCCCGGGTTACCAAACCTGAGCATCGTGGGCACCACGAAGAGCTTATCTTTCCTCTCCTGCTCAGACACCCTTAAGCCCACTGTTGCAGTGGCAGCTGAGGGGTTCAGAGGATAGCACCATGATGACTGACAGCTCGAGGCCCCACTTCTTGCAGGAGGTGACCCACCTGTTTCCGGTTAGCCATACATCTGCTTGAACTGAAAGCATTCGTTGCAGTAGCCGTTGCACTTGGCATTGCCAAAATGATCACAGGCGGGGGCCCGGCAACGCTGCTTGGGGGGGTCTTCGGGGGCAGGCTCACCCCGGTGGGCCCCAGGGCCCATCCTCTGGTTGGGATGCTGACACTCCATGCAGAGCTCCTCGCTGCGGCAGGCCAGGATGTTCTTGCAGGAGGCCCGGGCGCACTTGGGCCTTGAGGTGCTTTGTGTGGTTCGAGGCACATCTCTGCGCTGGCTCGATCTCTGAGTGGAAAGAACAGGCAGATCATTAAAAAGTCAGGAAACTATTGCTCACATTTCTTAGGGAGAGCACAATGAAATCTCATTGGAGAGTGTGGAGTCTACAAAGAGCTTTACCTGCCTGAGCAAGGGAACAGGAGAGCATTGCAGTCTATGAGCCAGAGCTCTCGAAGGATGTTTCTTTCCAGTCTCAAGGAAAGCTGACTTGGCCCCCAGGGAGGCTGAGGAAAACCGCCAAGCCTAAGTTGGCCTGCAAACTTTCCCTGGCTCTCTTCTGTTGGGACCAAAAACCACTGTTCTTACATAGCTTCCCTACCATTCTGTGAGCAACAGGCGACACACCTATCTGTCAAAGCTGGCTTTTCTGACGCGCCATTAGGTGGAGGCAGGCCCCTGGGAAGCTCTGTCTGTTCGCTCCTTATGATAAAGGATTATTTAAGAAGGGCTGCTTTTTAGATGTCTGTGCTTCTCTTACAAATCAAAGAAGCCTCTGATCACCATCTGGCTTTTTGGAGGCTTGAAGAAGTTTTATGCAATGGCTGTGTTTCTTTGTTTTTAAAATAAATTTGAAAGCATACTTGGAGCATGAAAATTGGAGGTAGCATTTCGGACCTGGGGAGCCACAGTGACATGGACATTCCCCTTCAGGTTCTGAATTAATCCTTTATCATGAGGAGACAGAACCTGGCAGAGAGGAAAGCCTGCTTGTCACTGTCGGTAGAAAACGCTCCAGCAAAAAGCATCGAACACACGGGAGGGAGGGAAAGCTCCTCCAAGTGTCTCACCAGTTGCTCTTCTGTCCTTTTGGCCTCATGAAATCTCTGATTCTGAGCTTCAATGAAACACTTCTGGCAGTATCCTTCAAACATGGTGCTTCCAAGGGTGCCGCATTCCCTCCCCAGGCACGGAATGGTGTTCTGGAACCTGGACGCTGTGGGACTGACTTTCCCTGAGGCAGCAGCAAAATCTACATGAGAATGGATGCTAGTTAGTACCACATAGGGGTCACCCCACCGATACAGAGATGCTGACAGTAGAGAAATAAATGGGTTCCAAATACAGATTAGGCCAGCCTTAAATGTATAGAAATATATATATGTATATGTTTAAGTCTATAAATTCAGCAAAAGAAATAACATCCCTATTATGGAAACATCTTTGGCTTTACCAATCTCTCATTTTGAACTTGAAGCACTGATTGCTCACAGGAACAGGCAAGGAGCAGGCATTACCTGATCACCCTTCTTTCCAATGAGAGATTTCCAAACCACATCTGTTTCCTTACAGTGTCAACAGAGACTTCCTTCTCTCCAGTTACTACTCTTCAGATTTTAAGATTGTTCTGTTATATCTAAGTTGCAAAATAAGTCTAGTTTAAACTTAGACTCTCTTAGATATGCCAGACCTGAATGGTCTAGTAAAAGCACATCCCATGAGCTCTGTCTACAGGGCACTCTGGTTTTTGGAATGTGATATTAGGAGCTGCTGTAATCACGCAGTGCCTTTTGCCTCCATGGGCGGCTGGCAGGGCCACCGTGACTGTCCCCTGCACAAGCTGGTAGAAAAGCACGGTAGGTCCTGACAGTTCTGCCTGACTGCCTACATGGGCTTTTTTTCTTAAAGGTCAGGAACAAAACCCCTTCTGGACAGCAGCCGCTGTGTTAGGAAGTCAACCACTTCACTCACGTTTGTTTTCTCTGTACTCGATGAAACACAGTGTGCAAAAGCCCTTGTTTTCTGGAGTCCCAAAATACACGCAGCCGGCTTTTCTGCACTTGCTCGTCCCCGTCCTGTCCCCAGGAGTCCGTGCAGCTTGAGACAGGCAGCCAGCAGGGGCGTCGTTTCCAGCTCTGTGGCAAGAATGCGGGGAGGGGCTCCGGACGAGCCGCGAGGGATCTGACTTGGAACGCTGGTGACAGGAAGGAGGGAGGCTGGTGCTGAGGCTGGAGGAGGCCTCTGCTGTAGTCCTTTTGAAGCAAGTACTGCAGATCCCATTAAATGTCCTGGTAACATCCTGGAGGCAGGCTTGGCACTTCCCGGGATCCAAGTGCCTTGTGTGGTCTGGGGCGTGGCTGGCGTGAAGTTGCCGGGCGTTGTGGCAACGTTCACAAAATCCGTTGTGCTGCACATTCAGTGTGAAGGGGCAGCCGGGGCTCCTGCACTTCATGGCAGTGGTCTCACTGAACAGAAAAGGGCTGGGTGCTGTCGGTGGGGCCGAATGAGGCCCCCCAGTGGACTCCTCAGGGTTCCACGCCAAGGGCTCATAGGCTTCTCCCCGAGAGGCCCCGAGCGCCATGCCAGGGAGCCCCTCAGGGCCCGGCTTGGAGTTCAGCTTTGGGAGTTTGTTTTGATTCTTTTGCCGCCTCTCTGAGCACTCATGGCATAAAGGCTGGGTGTTCACAGACATGAAGAAGGGGCAGTTGGGCGTTTCACATTTTACATCCATGAGAGAAAGCTGGGGCACGGAAGGTTCCATGGGATTCTGGGCGTGCCCCTCTCTCCTCCCCTGCTCGCTGTTTTCCTGCCATTTCTTGTACTCATGCTGAACAAGTTCAAAGTAATCATCTACCAGATTGATTTCTTTTGGTAAGTTAGCTTCATCCAACCTGAAGACCAAAAGGAAAAAATATGTATGAGAATACACAAAATCACACACAAGATTTTACATCATTAGCTCATAGAACAAAGTTTTAGAATGTGGATTATGGCAAGAATTGTAGAACCATTCACTGAAATGCAGGCCTGTGATGAAGAGCTCACACTTTTCACGCAACATGATCTGACACATTTCCCAACATGTTCGAGTCAAGAATGATGTCAGTTAGTTTGCTAAGACTTCCTTATTTTTAAAATCACAGTTTCATTTAATCAATCTTGGTCCATCCAAAAATTATAGATAGTTCTAAAACAAGGGCTAAGAAAAATCAGTTGACTTTCCAATTTCTCAGAGATCAAATTCTGAGTAAAATATTACTGAGGCCATTGGTTTGGGACTAGTCTACTTTATAGTACAAACTACTTTGGAACCTCAGGTTGGGTATTTTGCTGTTACTAACTTTAAACTTGTGTCTAGTCTCCACCAGCATTAGCAGCCATGAGTAACTAAGACGCAGACACACTCAAAGGCGCTTGTCTATTTACTGTTGACTCTGTAATTTGCTAATCTCCACATTGAGAGACAGATTCTCTTACGGCTTCCTTGTCATCTGTTGTGCGTTTCAAGTGCTCAGAAACAGGCATCTCTTTAACATAAAGCCAATGTTTAAAGACCGGATACCTGCACAATGGGTATTCTGGGGCTTTCCTCCCATTTCCATGTGGCAGAATCATGAGCTGCAACATAAACAATTCTACAGCTCCATCTATGTCTGATGTGCCTGTTCTTACCAAGAAGCCAAGAGAGAAAGGCTTTTGTTTCCAAGTGTTTTCACTAGTCTTTTTAATATGTACCAGAGTAATTAAAATACAAAAACAAGAAACAACAACTATCCTTGATGTAAATGCACTTTGAAAACCCATAATTCTGCAATTCTGACTTTTGGGATCCAGATATCCAGGAAAATCATTATGGATAAATGACATGTTTTGATTTGAAACCCAAGTTAGTACTGCCTTACATAATCCTCTCTAACCATGCACAAGACTCTGAATTTGTTTCCCATTGGCAGAAACTGGCCGCAAATCACTCTACTGTTGAGCTTCAGGGTGGCAGCAACTCAGGTGGCTGAGGTTAAAGACAGTTACAGATGACACAGGAGAGAGCTGAACATAAACTGCTTACTTTGCGGCATTGATGAGATGAGTTGTGCCATGGTCCCAGCCTTGGACGGGGATTTCTATCACCATTAAGTACTCTTTTAAGAGCTTCTCCTTCATCTCATTTTCAGGATCTGTCAAAAAGTGAACTTTTAAGTCTTCAAATCTTCCCCGGTCTCTGTTAACAAGTGGAACAGCTCGGATTTCTAAGGAAAAAAATAATACATAAGTAAAACAGTATTCTACTAAACAAGGCCATAGGTAAGTAGATCTCATTTTGAAAATGTATAAAAGATATAACTTACAGAATAGAAAAGTATTCTTAGCCACAGTTAAACCCAAATGGGAAAACAAAATGTGCTACAATCTAATATAAAAATGCACTGTTTCCAGGAAACTCACATAACATTAACCAGCCTGGAGGTGGTGGATCTTATTGGTTAAAGTCCCAGGCTTTAGAATCAGACTGACCTGAGTTTGAATCCTGGCTTTGTCACTATCAAGCTGTGTGGCATTAGGCAGGTTAGTTGACCTCTCTGAGCTTTAACTGTCTAATATGTAAAATAAGGCTACCAAGGCCTACATCTCACAAGAGTGCTAAAAGGATAAAAATGCAGTAAAATAATATTTCCAAAGCACAGTGCTTATTCCACATGAGGCTATTAAAATAACAGCTAACAGGCCAGGCATGGTGGCTCGTGCCTGTAAATTTGAGAGGCCAAAGCGAGAGACTGCTTGAGCCCAGGGGGTGGAGGCTGCAATGAGCCATGATTGTGCCACTGCACTCCAGCCTGGACAATGGAGGGAAACCCTGTCTCAAAAAGAAAAAAACTAACCTGACAGGCGTTTACTTGCTCCATACCAGGCACTGTATTAAGAGCACTGTGCGCCTTAATTTATCATGTATGAAAGTACTTTCCAAGTCATATTCAAAAAGATATGAGGGTATTATGATTACTGCTACTGCATTACTCTTACTAACCAAGCAAGTCACAGAACAATATATTTAAATAAAAATAATATACTTAAATAAGACTGTTTTAATAAGAAGCAAAAAGGAAAACCCTGATGTTTCAGTGTCTAGTTATAGATGTGAATTAATGCAGTTTTCTCACCAGGCCCACTGTCCTTCAGGGTCACCAAGGGTACAAAATGATGGCTGTCATAGCCGAGAACAATGGGGTATCTGTAGCATTCCTGGGCAGGCCAGTGGAGAGGCAAGTAAATTCCACCCACTTTCAAAGGGGCGAAATTGGAACCTGATTCCAAACTTCTTAGCATTTTGTCTGTTCAAAGAAAGAGAAAGGAAAATGAGGCCCTTAGGTGACTTTCATCAAATTCCATTGAACTCTGTTACCTGAACTTTGGCAGTGTGGTTTTCTCCAGGAGCCAAGGCATAAGGCTGAAAGCATTTAAGTACAGATCCGTGATCTGCAGGCATCTCACCTGAAATGACAATGATTGGCCTTCTGAGGATGTTGCAAAGGACAAATATGTGTATTTCTTCCAGTGAGTTGTACTGAAGTCCACTTCGGGCCATGGGTGTGTCTGTGGAAGCCATTTTGATAAGATTGTCCCATTCATCATTCCAGTTCTAAGGGGAGCGGGGTGAAAAAAAAGCTTGAATGTATCCTGTACTCCCTGTACTAAAAAGTCATTCTGACATCACTCTACAATTATTCATTTATATAACTCAGCTTATTTTTTCCCCTTTCATGAAACCATCATTCAAATGATCACCCTTTTTTCCCCATTTCGGTTTTCTTCCTTTACTTTTTTCCACTACAAGGCAAACTCAAAAGTTGGGGAGGACGGGGACAGCACCTGCTTTAAAAAAAAATCCCTGATGAGGTATCATATTGCAGCCCCTTATCCAAATGTTCACAAAAATTCCAAACTTGTGACTGAGGATGGTGAGGCACGTGTCTTAATCTTACTGGCTGGCTCAGCAAAGCTAAGGGCAATCAAACTGAAAAACAACAAAACACCAGTGGAAAAGGCCATGATCAAAAGACTCGCTGCTACAGGAACGGATCCACAGCTGGGAATCTGCTAACCAAAAGCAGGGCAAAAGCCTTGGGTGAGTCCCACTGGAGGTTTCTGGTGTTTTCCATTGAGTATGCTTCGCTTAGCCAAATTCATGTGACCTAGTCCATCAGATGCTACCAGAGGGCAGGGACTCGCCCAGGGGTACCCTATGCCCACCATGGAGCTCTGTTAGTAGATAATTAGGGGGAAAAACCTACCCGAGTATCATAGCAAAGCCCCGTTTCAACAAATTCCTGAGATTTGAGAGACTCCAGTTGCCAGCGGAATTTAAAGTTGCGTGTGTCTGTTTCCTTGAGCGTGCTGAACAGCGCCTTCCTCAGTACCAAGTCTGTGTCCTGAACGCCCCACATGTACTGAGAAGTGGCATGCATGAGGCAATTGCCGTCACCTGAGGACAGAAAGGAGGAGAAGAGAAGGAAAGTCAAGTTATCTGCATGTAAGACCCAGCAAAGGTTTTCAGAATAAACCAGCCCTACTGCTATTCTAGGGGACTGAATGGTTTAATTTGATGTAATTTCCTAGTCAAGGGCAAACTGATATTTCACAAGATGATGACAGCTTTAAGAAAAAAAGAGTTCTTTTTATTCTTCTTTTTAATGAATGACACCAACTGCAAAGGAGCCAGGGGACCTTGGTTCTAGCTTAAGTCTGCTCCTAACTAGTTTAGGTGACCTGGAGGAAATTCCTTAAGTTCACTGGGCATTTTTCCTCTTGTGAAATGAGGGCAGTAAGTGATGATCTCTAAAGCCCTATCCCTTCCTACCATCCCTTGATTTGCTGGTGAAGGCACTGGCATTGCTGCTCTCTAGTTCTAAGGAGGAGCACACAGGGCAACATGCACAAACCAGGAAGCAGGCATGGCTTGCTAGATAGGGATGGTCTGGCTATGACTCAATGGCAAATGACTTGACCATTCCACTTTAGCCTTTGGGCCCTGGGAGTTTCCTCTCCTGGTGTGGAAAGTCGTATTGACAACACGGAATTACCTATGGCCTGCTAGTCCGGCTCTCAAAAATGCCTTATGCAAACCTGCTTGTTAGTAACTGTAAAGTACAAAAGTTAAAAAGCACCTGGGTGTCTAAATTTGAAAATAATTCAGTGTTTAGGGCTAACATTTTGAGAAGAAAAACAAACAAAAAAACAGGTTTAATTGTATGCCATTAATCTGTGACCTTTCCAGTTTAAAACTCACAATTCAATGGGCTGCATTTTTTTCAACCCCCAAACGATAAATATTTTGGGGGAATGTTTAAAACAAAAAAAGTTAACTCCTTAATCTCCTTTGGCAAGTGCAAAATAATTTTTATAATGAAAAGTTACATTGTTTCTTACATTACTCTATAAGTAGGGCAATAGAGCTATTTGAAATTTTATCAAATTGTAATTACAGTCAAACTGTAAAGAAACCAAAAAACCCTCAAATATACTTCCACAGCCAGTATTCCTTCAATGTATACATTTAGAAAAACTAGCTAAGTATTCAAACAAATGAACAAAAAAGATCGCCCAAGCCTTGTGTCTTGGCAGACGTGTAGCAATGATTGCGTTCTGTTGAAATTTCCCCTTTGCAAAATCTAGAGCAAAGATAAGGCTTTTTTTCTTCTTGTGCTTACTTTCAGTTCTTTATTGAGATGCACCAGTATAAAATTCCCTAAGTAACATCTGGAATTCCCCAGTGCTAAGTTATTTGACTAGCAATTGAGCAACAGCTATTGTACTTTTTGTTCTGGTGTGTAGACATTTAAACTGCGAAGTGCACCCTGGACTTTCCAAGTGGGTGTGGTCAGGGTGAGCTGGAATAGGGCTACTCATTATACAAGTGAAATCGCTGCAGCCAATAGACGCTGGAATTTTTCACATGAAGTTTCAATTTTATGCCACCTACTCCCTTCCTCATTCACCGCAGTCTCATATCCTCAAATGCAAACTTGTGAATCACCCCCTCCCCAAACAGATATTGCCTTTGAAGAACCCTCCTATCAGGGGAAGGATTAATTTTTTTTTAAAAGGTGCTAATTAAAATCAAAGAAAAAGTCATTTGTTTTCCTCCCTCCCTAAATATCTTTTCTTCCTTTTTTAGAATCTTAAGGAGTTTTCTTGAAAGTGAAGAAACAAAAGGACTCTGAGTCTAAAAATGATTTCCCAGAAAATGTTACCAAAATGCACCTGCTTTTGTAGTTTTATTTGTAGTGTGGCTCCTTGTTGATTTAAATGACATGTTTACAAAATAAGTGTTTCCTATTTATATTCCTTTTTTTTTTCTAGTGGAAATAGAGCATTTCCTTTCTTAAGGAAATAAAGCTAAAAGTCAGTTAATTCTCTTAATAAGGTGTTCCTCTTTCTACCACATTTTTAATTCAGCAGAATCTTTGTTTCCAACTCCCCCAAAGTTGACTCCATCTCTTTTTGGTAACAAATGGGAGATGATTAAAACCACAAATTGTCAGGCACATAAACCCCGTGATGATGACTTCACATAATTACCTACCTCTAAGTATCACTTAATTTAATGCCAAGAACAATGCAGATAGTAGCTATCCCCAGTTTTCTTTCTATCTATGTTTCTAAGAATCAGTGTTTCATAAATCTAGGCAAGACGTTGGGGTAATGTACAAGAGCCCCCAGAATCAAAATTTAAAAACCCATGTCCACCAATCACTCTAAGTTACCCAAGTCAAAAAAAGCCAAAGTTAATGTACTTGGCTTTTGAATGAAGTTAATTAAGTTAGTGTTCTTATCGTAATCCTTGTCAACAAGGATTTTCTGCCCTTGGACATATTATTTCTATTAGGATGGTTTGGGACTGTCACAGATATAAGGACCTGAGATTCCTGCTCTTATGTAGACTATGAGCATTTAATTGAGCTTGTACAGTCAACTTCCTTATTGTCATAATTATGCACATCCATAGAGCAGAATTTTGTGCCTGCATGAAACAGTATGCTCTGACATTCCTGTTGATGCACATATTCTTACCCAAGGGAAATGATTAAAAAACAAAACAGTAAAGCTTGGAATAGGAAATAGCTACTAGTGGTAAAGGCCATTGGCAGAACAGCACAGACAGGAAGGAATTCAGTGACTAAGAACCCCTAAAAATAATGAAGGTGAAGTCTAAAATTCATGCTAAAAATCTCAGCTATCTGTCTATTTCACCTTGCAGGGCATAGGCAATAGAACCTAGGTCAGAGAGGAGGAGGAGACAAAAGAAGTTCTTCATGTCTTCAACAGCCATTCACTGGTTAACCCATAAAATGCTACCAATTCAAGAAGTGTAAGAACATCACAAGCATTTTCTAATGACAGTGGGAAACAAATGTACTACCAGTTTTCACACCATTCTTTCCTTTTGAACTTAAAGGCTTTTAACATTTCCATTACGGGCCAGAGAAGGGTATTTTACAGATGATTAGACATTTGCAAGAATTAGAAAGAAATCACCTAATGGAGGTATGGTGTTTACAAATGCATTCTCCAAGCCTCAATGTGCTCTGCAATATACACAATCAGAAAATATCCTTAATAAATAGATTCACAAAACAAGTCTGCTATTATCACATACCCCGAATAGAGATTCTATATAAAGGTCTCAATACTAAATCTCAAGATTGATTTGAGTTTGGGCTTGTCCTATTAAAGCTTCATGAATGGGGATCCAGCAGGCGGGAGCTATCACCCAGGCAAAAGAAACACAACAGAACAAGTCTTACCGTTCGTTTTCAGCGCCACAAGCTTCCGGACTTCTCGACACCAGTTGAGTTTCTTCTGGCTTTCCAGGGTGGCCTGGATGTTTCTGTCGATGAGGGCTTTGTGGATGATCTCCCGAAACTGAGGACAAAACTGGCAAGTTCTGAACATTTCCAGTGTGTATCGGTGCATGGTTTTAAAATGATGAATGATCCCATTAGTAGGTTTAAAAATGTCTTCTGGAGTTCTCTCCCGTATCTTCACAGCTTTCCGCATATTGCTCAAATACAAAGCCTGAGGAAGGACTTGTTCAGCCATTGTGCTCTCCAACACCTGAAAAGGAAAGGAAAAAAAAAAAGCCATTCTATTAGCCTGACTTTAATACGACTCCTCTATAGCTGCCTGCAGGAAACCCCAGTGTTTGATCTTGTCATTACCCTGATCTGTAGGCAAAAGATCTTAGCACCTCTACTCCCGGGATACTAGCTGGCCCCAGAGATTAACTCACACTGGACTGTTTTAAGTTACATCACTTTAAAAGATTAGCCTAAACAAGAGAAGGAAGGCAGAGAGTGGGTACTGAGGAGGAGGGGAATAACCCGTGTTTTCAGTAATGTTTGTCAGGGAGCCAACCCTGTCTGTCAGCAACAGGTACTGCTCCTCAAAACCAACTTAAGCTCCCGTTTCATTCTGAGGCCACCCTGAACAGCACTGGATTTGGGGAGTACTGGATGCCAGTTAAGGGCTCAAAGTAGCCCTGACAAGTCTGTAGCTCCTCCCCTCAGACCACCACCAAGCACTCCTGCTCTTGGGCAAACTCTTGAGTTATCACTCCCTCCCTATGCTGGAAGGACAGTAAAATACTTTATGAAAAATCTTGCAATTTTATGCTGTCACTTAGGCTGCTGGTTGGTGTTTCCTCTTTAGCCCCAAAGAGAAGTATTTATAAAGTGTTTAATCATGAAGTTTATTCTGATGTTTATAAAGAGTTAAAACCGAATGTTTTCTAATCAATAAAAAAGTCCATTTCCAGCAAGATGCTTTGCAATTTTAAGAGCAGTCAGCATTCCTTCAGAACCTCCGCACCGGACTTCATATCAGAATAAGAAACAGACTAACAATAGGCTAGGCATGGTGGCTCATGCCTTTAATCCTGGCACTTTGGGAGGTCGAGGGAGGAGGATCACTTAAGCTCAGGAGTTTGAGACTAGCCTGGGCAACACGGTGAGACCTAGGTCTCTACGAAAACAAAAAATGAAAAACCGCAAAATAATAATAGAACAATAAATTCTATACTTCTAAGAACAGATATTGGAGCTCAATCATTTTAACTCAACTGCCAATGAAATTTTATCATCACCCTCCAGGTACCAACACAGAGGCAAGTCTGCCTGGCTTTTCACCCTGAAATCTTTAAGCATAATCAACTAGTAGAAGGAATGAAAATCTAGAAGTAGACAAGGAAAGAAGTTTCCACCAGGAGGCCACTCTGGCAAATGAAGGAGGAAAGGTGGCAAAGACCAGCATCTACAACCCATGCCAACAGCGCAGGATGATGCAAATTAACATGATGTAGGATCTCTCCAGTGTGGAACACTGTAAAAAGCCAGCTGTGATTTACTAGCCCTTAGTAGGGTGTCTGGCCACACTTCCTAATTTCCAAGAAGATGAAGAAGTTTTCAGAGCACAAAGACATTCCCTAGGAAATTTCACAGTGATTGTTAATTCCATTCCTGCAACATCTTATTTGCCAGGGCAACTTTCCAGTTAATAAAAATGTTAAACCTATGGAAGAGGGAGGAGAAGAAACCTAGATTTTAGGGTAGCTACTTCTGTGTGGGTCTAGACTCTCAACACCATTGATAAGGTGTTGAGATAATTCTTGTGGCCCACTCAAAGGAGAGAGGTTGGACTAGATGACCCATGGTTTCTCCTGAGGAGTTTTCTGGTGATAGTTTTAGATTGGGATTCTTAATCTGATTGCTGGGAAAGGCATAGTGGGAGTCATTCTCTGGATCAGATGGTGCTCTCTTTTGATGTCAGACGTCCTCTACAGGTGGAATTGGGCAAAATCATAGCAGGATAAAAATAACACATATACCTTTCCTTTGTGGCACAGCAAAAGTCTCTTTCACAATATCATCTATCCGTCCGTCCGTCCGTCCGTCCATCCATCCATCCATCCATCCATCCATCCATCCATCCATCTATCCATCCATCCACCCATCCACCCAACAAGCACTACCTGACCACCTACTGAAGGCCAATCACCATGCTTGATGATGGGACTAAAAGTCAAAGATGACCTTATTCCCTTCCCTGAAATTACACTACCACCTTAGTCTGCAGCTAAGGCAATGGAGTTACAGGTACTGCTCAGATCCCACAGCCATTCAGGGGCAAAGTTTTGCCTAGGAGCCAGGTCTTTCAATACCTGCCCCTTGCAATCCCACAACACCAAACCTGTGGCTACAGTGCCTGCCACAATCAGATGGAAAGAGATGGGCAGTAGGAAGATTTTAAACAAATGAGGTGTTATCTCTTTTTGCTTGCCTGACTCTTTTATTTTTCTCTTCTGAATCTAAAGATTTTTCACCAAAGATCTAAAATAGTGAGAGCTGTAAACCATAGGCAAGACATGCAAATGTCAATATCGGATACGCCAGTGTGATCTCATTGGTAGGGTTAGCCTTGCACAGCCTGTAAAACTGCCTCCTTAGAAATCAAAACCCACTGCCCAGATTTCCAGGTCTTGGACCACTCTACGCTTAAGATTAAAGAACAAATGTTTCAGATACGTTATAAGTGGCAAACAATGCAATATTACCCTTAACTTTTTTTTTTTTAACATTTGTTACCTCACTGTCTTATTTAAAGGTAGTTTCTCAACTTTTGTCACTAGGATTCCACAGAACTTCTCCGTTACTCAAACTCTTCTCCCCCTTGTTTTATTTTTCCACTCTGGGCAGACATTTTTGTCTGCATTGTGGAAATTGATGAATTATTTATCAACAAATACCTCATCCAAATTTGGGGATGTGCCTCTCCAAAAAATCAAAAATAGTACAAAGAATTGAAAAAAAAATCAAAGCAGCACCTTAAACAATGAGAATGAAGCATTCATTGGCTGCTCAATAATCTGGTACATTAAGGTTGCGGTCCAGAAGTCCCTTTAATTAACAATGGTTCTGCCAAAATGCTACCCTGAGACACTTGACCAGACTGGCTTTCCAAGGCAAGAAGATCTGAGGCGAGGAGAACCGAAAACAAAGCGGGCTCAAAAAGAGTTAAGCTCCTTCCTTACTTAATGCCACTGCTTTTCTGAGAGGCCAGGTGGCAGGATGTGGGACGACTCCAGCTGACAAAGACAGTCTAACCGTGGGGTAGGGGCTGGAGCAGGGGCCAGCGACCCACGTCTACATGCATACTTCTCTTACACTGCTGCTACTGGAAAAGCTGAACCCCGCGCCAGGACCCCAGCCCCCTGCAAGGACCCGTGAGCGTCTGGGAAGCTGTCTCTGGGACTGAAGCCCCCCACCTCCGCCGGGCTGGCGGCCACTGCGGTACCCTACGCCCCGTCGGGCTGGTCCTGCACAATTTGGGAAAAAGCCGCAGCGCTTCTGCAAGGTCTACGTGGCCATGAGCATGCAACGCTTGGCTCCAAAAAAGACACGAAAGGAGCAAAGCGCCAACGACCACCCGATCGGAGGGCCCGAGGGGCGCCTCTTCACCAGTCAGCTGCAGCTTAAGTTCCGTGCATTATCTGAAAGGAACAGCTGGCTGGAGGTATCCAGGGCTGTCACTCCAACCTCTGCAGCAGTGACCTCAACTCCCAGCACTTCAAAACCCAGACAGAAACGTCCAACAAACTCCCAGTCCAGGAGCGCTGCAAAACCAACGCCAGGTAGACGGTGCCAGCCCGGGGGTCGCTGCCCAACATGCACCCGCAGCCCTTGACTGCGGTGAGCCCGAGGCAGACGGCACGGGGAGGCGCGGCGGTTACCTCTCCGGGAGGCGCGGCGGTTACCTCTCCGGGAGGCGCGGCGGTTACCTCTCCGGGCCCCGCGATCCTTTCGCAAAGTCCCAAGTCCTGGTCAAGGCAGGAGCGCGCCGCAGGCGGGGGTCGGGGCAGGGACCGGGCGGAGGCGACGCTCCATGGACGCCTGGGGTCGGGCTCGCTCGCTGGCAGGGTCGGCTGGGGGTGTGATCTCTCTTGGCGGCCGCTCTCACCGCTCCGCCCCCGCGGGCTCCAAGCTCGCTTGGCCCGCCACGAAGACTGCAGACTGCGCAGTCTGCTTTGCCCCGTTTCAGTTGTATGCGGGTTGTAGGCCCGGGGATTTCCACGGGACTTTCCAAAGTCACGTGACTCTCTGGGTCGGGCTGCGAAGTGCGTCCAGCCGGCCGCCAGAGGGCGCAGGGGGCGAGGGGCGCGCGCGGCCTCCGCCCGACCGGGCCTGCGGGCCCCGCCCCGCCCCCTTTCCCTGCCCCGCCCCGCTGCCCCGCCCCGCCCGGTCCCTGCAGGCGCCCGGAGAAACTCCCTCGCCCCGCCCCGGGGTGTCCCCGCGTGAGTCACCTGGGCATTTCGGAAGCTGGGGTCACGTCACATCCATGTGGAAATCGCGGTGATGGGAACTGGAAATGAAATAGGTTCTTTTTCGCAGTTGTTTTTCTGCAGAAAATCATCAACTGTGGAGAAGAAGAAGGGAAATAAGAAAGAAAGAAAACCCTAAAAACCACCCTGGCGCCCGGGCCCGCAGGCCTCGGGCCGGCTCTGAAAAGTTTGGGCTGTGCACGTGATGAGCGCGTAGGCGGGAGCCCCAGACAGGACCCGGGCGGGCATTTCGAGAAAAAGCAGCGGTGACAGCCTTTGGTCCCCATCTCCATTGTTCCTGCCAGCTCTGGACCCCAGGCTGCATGAGACGTAGGTCCCAGGGGACACCCGACCCCGTGGCCCCAGTCTTAGGTAAACTTAGGAATCAGAACAACACTCACCCCTATGCCGCGCTTGCTCCATTTCCCCTTGTCTATTTCTGCTCACCAAGCATCCAGCTGACATTGCATTCAAAGCAGCATTTCAGCTTAGAAATCGCTTCTAGTCCATCACGGTGCTTGCCATGTGTCTCCAAGGCTTTATTAGGTGTGTTTTTAGTTGTCCTGATAATCAGTTCACCCCAGGGTGCTGATGGCTGATAATACTGGCGCTTCCCTCCCTACCCCCATGCGTTGCACAGGGAGGGTGAGTCATGTGGAGATGGATGCAGCCCCCTGGGCAGTGGGGGTGCAGGTGCTGTGCAGGGAGGAGTCTTAGGGCGTTTTTACTGTCTTACTGCCCTCTAAGCACGGGACCCTTTGGATCATTTACTAGATTGGCTAAACTAGAACCGGATGGAAATATTCTGTACTATGGTCCCCTTAATTACATTTAAGAATACTTGTCAGGCCATATATCACAGGTTTTTAATTAGAAAAGTATCCTCCTCTCGCCAGTAAGGACTTGCAGAGATGGGGGTGGGGGCTGGATGGAGGGTGGCACTTTTTTGGCAAAAAGAAGTTTGGAGCAGAGTGTCACTAGTGGCCTCTCTGAAGACTGGTCCTCGTCTTTTAAAACCGATGGCTGGAATTTCTTCCAGTTCCAAACCTCTTGTTATTTGTCCTCTCTTCTTGTTCACAAATGTGCTATCAACATTCAAACAATGGATAGTCAGCTATCCATTGTAAATGGACCTTGCTGGAGTCCAGGGCTAGCAGAAATGACAGGGTCTAAAATGACATTTATCAAGTACTTGCTATATGCTTATATATGCTTTTTATATGAAGGTTAAGAAGCTTGAGGCATTTGCCCAGTTTCCACAACCAAAAGGGGCAGAGTCGCCAGTGGCATTAAGCCTGTGTTACTCCAAAGCCCATAATGACCAGTCTTACTAGACCATTCCTCTCAGGAAAGATCCTGTGAGACAGGTACTCTTTTGGTGTCCTGTCTCCCAGCCTCTCAAAACAGCCAAACACGGACCTTAGACAGAATGCGGCTTCAGAGGTAGAAGGGTCTTGGTTTCACCTTCAGGAAACCTCCTGGGTTTCAGTTGAGCTGGCAGAAGAAGATCATGTATCTGAAAGACCCTGCATGGAATGTTAATCCTCACACCACTCTCCTGCTGGTGCTCCTTTGTAAACAGAGTTGGCCTGTTTCCTCTCATCTCTGGCTCCATGACTTCAATCCTCCTGCAGCTTCCACTGCCCCTATCTGGCTCATGTCTTGCTGTCTGGTGTCATGAACTGGGAGTGCAGTAAAGAGGAGTGACAAGCCTGAGGGGCCACGTTCATACCTGCCACTGCCAACTGTCCTGATGTAACTGCTTTGTCATCTTGCCTGCCAGGATTTGTGACAAGGTAATAGCAGTCAGATGCAGGAGTGGTCTATAGCCCTGGATTATGTTCGAACTCCACTTTCCATGATTCTACTGCTGGGCTTGTGAATTGCCACTCCCACCACCAGGCGGTCTTTACTGTCCTTTCCACCTTCTAAATCAGCGCTGTGTTGGGCTGTACCCTTGCCTTTTCCCCTTCTATTATGTAACACATGGACAAGACCAATGACAATTTTCTTGGTGAATCAGAAGGAAAGAAAAGAAGAGAAGGAGAGAGTATAGATGGAATGCCTTCTTATGAAAAAAAGGAGAAATACAATTTGGGGAGATTTGTTGAATAAGTTGAAACCAAAGAGATATAGAATGCTGAAAAGCCTTGAAGGAGATTTAATTTGAGCTATAGGCCTTGTCAAGATGGACAGAACTCTTTAAAGAAGAGAATATTTATTAACATTTAGTAGACACTTAGGAGAAAAAATATGTCTCCTTATTAGATGAAAAAGGAATTCTGATTATGTGAAATATTTTTGGAGAGTTCCTAAGTTACGTGCCATTTTGACACCAATGCTGGGGTTTATGGGTCATGAACTATGTAAAATGAGCACACATGACCTCTTGGAATTAAACGGTTCCCGTGAGACTGTGCTTGCAGCCTGTATCCCTGTACCATGCAGTAAAAAAGATGTGCTTGCCCAGATGGGGGGAGCAGGAAGAACCTGATGAAAGAGAGCACCACGTGTGACAAGTGAGAGGAGACCCTGCTGAGCTCAAACATATTTCATGAGCCTTTCTTAATCAAGAATCAGCAACAGTTGATTGGTTGTTGATTCTTTTTTTTTTTTTTGAGACGTCGTCTTGCTCTGTCGCCCAGGCTGGAGTGCAGTGGCGCGATCTCAGCTCACTGCAAGCTCCGCCTCCCGGGTTCACGCCATTCTCCTGCCTCAGCCTCCCGAGTAGCTGGGACTACAGGCGCCCGCCACTACGCCCGGCTAATTTTTTGTATTTTTAGTAGAGACGGGGTTTCGCCGTGTTAGCCAGGATGGTCTCGATTCTCCTGACCTCGTGATCCACCCGCCTTGGCCTCCCAAAGTGCTGGGATTACAGGCGTGAGCCACCGCGCCTGGCCCCTGGTTGTTGATTGTTAATTAGCATGCGTCTGCAGTCCCAGCTACTCGGGAGGCTGAGAGGGAAGGGTCCTTTGAGTCCGGGAGTTTGAGTCTATCCTGGGCAACATAGTAAGACCCATGTTTCTAAAAATTAAAAAAATAAAAAAGAAGAAATTATGTATTTTTAATAATCAGTGACACTCTCTTTCTGAGACTGTACAGAATTCCAGGGCATGGCAGTCATGGGCCAAACTAAAACTGGACCTTTTGTGTCTTTTGTACAATTGCCCCCTCCCCTTTTCCCTGCACTGTGCTCTATTGGAAAGGCAGATTCATAGAAAACATATTGGGAAGCAGCCTTAGGTAACTATGGCAGCTTAGTTATTGTAGGGTAGCTTTGAATCATGTTTCAGATTTTCAAATTCTGCCTCAAACATTACTAAAGGGTAACGTTTGCACATTCAAGGCCACTACAAGGGCTAGTTCTGAGAATAAAGAGAAGCTTTCTGTGGATTATAACCGTGAGAACTGGGATAATGATGTCATAAATTTCATCATCCTATGAATGCCAAATTCTACTGAATGTTGCTTCTTATCTAGGGACCTCAGATCCTTTACATGTGTTATCTGGACTGAATGGAGAAACCCAAGACCCACCATGGTGGAGGGACAACTGAAGTCCTTAGTGACCCAGTGAGTCATAGTACCAGGATCAAAGACCCTCCACTGGGAAGGAGGCAGTTGGTGTAATGACAAGTACAGTTCCTTCTGTTGCACTTTGCCTGAAAGCGTGCGATGCTGACATCTCAAACTTGTCAGAAAATCCACTATCCCTGTGAATTCTGTTTTATTTCCTGTCAACACTTGGCTGAAACACTTGGGAAAGTAATTTTATTTTACATCATAAATATAAATATTCAATTCTTAGTTTCATTTATGTTTCTGTGAAGGCTGCTATTAATGACCAAATAGGATGTTAGAAAGCCCAGAAATGGGTGTTATTAGGAACGAGCTAGAAAGCAGTGTTGGTTTTAGCAGTAAGCCCGGTGTTTCTGAGATAAATTAGTTCCTGTTACTTGGAATAGTGCAAGCCATTGTGAAAATTTGCCTTGACATTCCCCTTTCTCATTTGTCCCTCAATCCCTTCAGTCTAGTTTGGGGTCTCTATAATCCTGCTCCTTTGGCTGCCAGCCATCTCCATAAAAAAAGAATTTGAAAGGCTTCCATTCTTTCAGAGACCTGTTTCCCGGGACTGGCTGGTAAGATAAATCATGCTCATTTTTCAAACAGATTGTGATGTGTTACTGTGTTATATTTCTTGATAAAATGTTCTTACAGAACTTCCTAGAGCTTAATGGTGGAAATTCCAAGCACTTTAGCAGGCTGGAGAAAGAGCTGTGGTATTTCTATGATTCTGAGAGTCCATGTTTGTAAGACACACTATGGATTTAATAACAAGATTGGGAGGGGAACAACCTTATTGTAGGAAATGTACACACGTTTCTTCCTTTACTCACTTAGCCTATGTTTATTGATGTGATGACATTTCTCTTTCTTCTTCACTGTCACCATTCATGTT
Source organism: Homo sapiens (assembly GCF_000001405.40). Taxonomy (NCBI): domain Eukaryota; kingdom Metazoa; phylum Chordata; class Mammalia; order Primates; family Hominidae; genus Homo; species Homo sapiens. Next base: position 137,862,495 of record NC_000006.12, on the reverse strand, counting down.
TGATTCGAAGGCTTCTTGGAGTTTTATGATTCCTCTGAGCTGATTTTGATCCTTGACAATTGTGTACTGCAGTGCTCAGATAGGCTGTTTGCAGTAATCTGCCTCTTCTGGCCTTTTTAGTAATTTAGAATTGACTATAACATTACATATTCCTTTAAACTTCTCTTGAAGGTCTGCTGGAAATAGAGATAGTCCTTTAAGATGCTCTTTTCATTTTTTTTTTTTATCATACTTTAAGTTCTAGGGTAAATGTGCACAACGTGCAGGTTTGTTACATATGTATACCTGTGCCATGTTGGTGTGCTGCAACCATTAAAAAGAAAAAAAAAAAGATGCTCTGTTTAATAACAGCTTTGGAAAGGAATTTGGCTCCCTATAAGCCTTTCATCATGAGAGTGGGCCTATTTTTCCATGATGCATTTAAACAGCTTTATCTCTATATGGGGACCAAACGGGCCATTGCTTTACCAGAAACAATGGACTTTAGTTCTGCGTTTTTCTCTGTTAGCTTTAGTCTAGCATCATAATGTATCTTTTGAAAGATATTTTGTTTAAGAGATAGAAATCCAAATTTAAGTTAAATGGAACTTCTTGTTCAGCTAGCCATGTAAATGAGTCAACAGGGTGTCTCCATGTTCCCTTATTCTGCTGAGCTCAGGCCAGCTTGCCCCAGGGCCCCTGCACTTACTGTTTTCTCTACAGGGACTGCCCTTGCAACTGCTCAGCACTCAGCTTTCTGCTTACATGTTATTTAATCAGAGAAACCTCCCTGACTTACCCCACTTCCTGATCTTTCTGTCTTGCTTTCTTTGTAACATTTATCACAATTGAAAATTCTTTATTTATCAGTTCAATTGTTTATCATCTACCTTTCCCTACTAGAATGAGACTCTTTGAGAGTCTATCATTGATGCTTGCCTATCATTGTACTCTGTACTCCCTGTGCCCAGAAATGTACGTGATACAAAACAGGCACTCAGTGAACAACAGTTTGTTAGATGAATGAAAGGATTGGGAGGAAGAATGAAAAGATACCTTTCCTTTAGACATTTCTAAGCTTGCAAATGCACAGGCAATGAGAACCACCTCTCTTCACTCCCTGGCATTTGAGGCTTTTTACGTAAAAATTTAAACTAATGATTATATTAGAAATTTTTAAATGTTTAAAAAAAGTATGTTGTAAAATTGAGGAAATATAGTATTTTGAGAGTCCAAACACGTTCATGCAGTTGATTGAGCCTAAGTGTTGGGTTAATCCTAGTAAGTGATTGATCTTTTTAGGTAGGTAAGGGAATAAACAGAAGATCAGAAAAGAAGAGGTACTACTATTACATTTTAAGTTTCCAAATATACTACTAAGTGTCTCTAGTAAAACTTAACTCATTGAAGAAGAAAATAGTCTGACTCTAAAAAAAGAGTGTGTGTTCCTGAGAAAGACTAAACCAGTTATTTTCTCCTTTCATGTTTGAATGAATAACCATCAGCAAGGGAGAGATGCACTGACCTTCTGCCAGGTATGTTTAGTATGGATGTTTCTATGCTGTTGACAAACAAAAAAAAAAAAAAAAAGAAAAAAGAAAAAAAAGCCAATCTCTGTAAAATATTTAAAGACATTTATTCTGAGCCAAATGTGAGGACCATGACCCATGACATAGCCTCAGGAGGTCCTGAGAACATGTATCCAAACACAGTGGTTGGGTTACAGCTTGATTTTACACAGTTTAGGGGGACAGAATTTATAGGCAGACATCAATCAGTGTATGTAACGTATATGTTCATTTGGTCCAGAAAGGTAGGACAACTTCAAGGAGGGTGTTGGGCTTACAGCTGATAGTTGAATTCAAAGGTGTTCTGATTGGCAGTTGGTTGAAACAGTTAAGTTTCTTTCTAAGGAGTTAAGACAGAAATGCTTAGGGTTAAGATAAGGAGGGTTGTGGAGGCCAAGGTTCTTGTTATGAAGATGAAGCCTTCTGGTAGCAGCCTTCAGAAAGAGTAATAGGTGGTAAATATCTCCTATCAGACCTTAAACGGTGCCAGACTCAGTTGAATATCTCCTGGATCAGGAAAAGACCTGGAAAGGAGAGAGAATTATCTACGGAATGGAGAGTTTCCTCACAACAGACAGCTTTGCCAGGTCATTTCAAAATGTATCAAATAAATATATTTTGAAGTAAAATACTTGGATTTCTTTCAGGGCCTCCTGTCACATTGCTATCTTATTGCTACAAAAAGTCTGTTTTGTCAGTCTTAAGATCTCTGTTTTAATGTTAATGCTGGTCAGTTGTGCCTGAATTCCAAAGAGAGGAGAGTATAATGAAGCATGTCCGACCCTCCCTTCCCATCATGGCCTGAACTAGTATTTTAGGTTTCTTTGAAATCCCCTCGGCTGAGAGTTGGGGGTCCATTCAGTGGTTCGGGGGCTTAGAATTTTATTTTTGTTTAGAATATTTATTATTCTTTTGTTTACAGCAAGTTGGCTGTTTTCCCATATTAATGTCTGGAAGTTTTAAAATGTTTTTTCATGCACTTTAATTTTTAAAAATTTATTTGTAAATGAACTTACATGCAAAAGTGTTCATCTTTTGTTTTATATTAATGGGAAAAATGTTTTAATTTTTCTTAACTGGTTCTGTTCTCATAAAATCCCTAGAATTTAGCCTTGTTGATTTCTAGTTTTTATTAGAGAGCATTTAGGCATTCAGGAGAAAAAGTTGGAATTGCCATATTTTTAGTATATGCTTTCCAGGGAGTAGGAGAGGGTTGGGGAGGGGTTCCTGAATTTTTCATATTTGAAATAAATCTACCAAATCTATCTTGAGACATGTTCAGCTCTCTGCAGAAAACAACTAGAGAAGCATTATACTTCATCTCTACAATGAAATGTAATTTTCTCTTGAAATAAGTTACTTTTATGATACCTTAAGAAGTACCTCTGGGAACACTCAACTTGTTACAATTCAGGTGTGAAATAAACCTGTAAGAAATGCCTTGATTCTTGAGGCTTTCATGGTTGGTTCTTAGGTTCTCTGGTTGAACCAAACAGTCATTGTTTGGTTGGTTCTCAATGGTGTCAAACATCCTAACTTGAGCAAGTATGGGATTTGAGATTTTTGCAAAAGATTTTTTATGTAAGAACTTAATTCATATATACATCTCTGGCTTTGAACTTCGAGAAAATTATTATACTTCTTGGGTGGCTGAAAAATTCTTGGCCTTAGGCATTTTAGCAATAATTGTTCAGAACTGCACAGCCTGCTATGTCTTATTCCCTTGCTACAGCTGTTTACTTTGTGATAACTGAACGAACAATGCGGAACTCTGGATGCTGCTATTTTCAAAGTGTCTTTCTAGTGCTAAATTGGATAATTTAAATAAAAAATTCACAACAGAACATTAATAACCTTCTAAACTAATGATCATTTACTCTAAGCCTTAAAGCTTCTGTTTGTCTGAGCTGATACCTGTTTTTTTTAATTTTCAAATTCTTAAAAGTTTTATTATTTTTTTAGAGACAAGGTCTCACTCTGTCACCCAGGCTGGAGTATGGTGGTGTGATCATGGCACACTGTGGCCTTCACCGACCCTTCTGCTTCAGCCTCCTGAGTAGCTGGGACTACAGGCTTGCGCCACCACACTCAGCTAATTTATAATTTATTATAGAGTTGGGGTCTTGCTTTGTTGCCCAAGCTGGTCTTGAGCTCCTGGCCTCAAGTAATCCTCTTTCCTCGGCCTCCTGAAGTGCTGGAATTATAGGTGTGAGTCAATGTGCCTGGCCAATACCTATTTTTTTTTTTAAATGTCTTTAAGGTACAAATTCTTATATAAATCATTTTGAGAAACTTTAGAAAAAACAGTGGAACTTTCAGCTGAACCAAGAGATTAAGAGATTATTTTTTTCCCTTCTTAAATTGGCCTCATTTTGTTCATTTATAAAATGAAGGATCTGGATGCATTGATCCCTAAGTCATTCCAACTCCACTATTTTATCTTTCTATGATTCCATCAAGAAAATTGTATATGATTTGATATTACAGTGGATAACATTTTATATGGGAATCTGAGTATAGGGTCTGAATCATACTGCTGGGTTCAAAGCTTGTTCTGCCACTTACTAAACAACCTTGGGCAAGTTACTTGCTTCTCTGCTTTGGTTTTGAATTTGAAAAATTGGAGATAATAATAGGACTTAGGGTTATTAGGAGGATTAAATAAGTTAATACATGCAATATGCTTAGAACAGTGAGTGGCATATAGTAAGCACTCAATAAATGTTAGTTGTTATTTGCTCACTTTACTGACAGGAGAAGTCTTTTTATTGTAAGGTTTGCTTGGAATTAACAAAACTAAAAGCTACAACAAGGTATTTTATGGTTGTTTTCCATATCTTGGGGTAAAGGGTATTTTGCAAGGGAGTTCAAGAATTCCTTTACACATTTACTTATTTTTACAGGTATAGAACTATTGAATGGTACAGTTTGAGATCTTCGAAACCATCAGGACTGATCATTTTCTGGCTACTTTCTACATAGGAATCCTAGAGTTCCTTGGAGAGGATATGAAGGTTATTCTCAGGCCATGCAGATGGGCAAGAAAGGATGTGCGTCCATGGTTCCTCTTCAAATCCAACCAAAACAGCCTTGCTTCCGTTGGCTTTATATAATACTGCAACTCTTGATAATCTGATTTAACACAAATTTCCTCATTGAGTTTCTCCTCATGAAGAAACGGCCTCAGTGAGGTAAATCGGAATGCACAGGAGCACATAGCAGGTTAGTGCAGACCAGAAATCAAACCCAGGCTTTCTGACTGCTCAATAGACCACAATCTACCATGCTACCATGGAAACTTTAAAACAGATGAAAGTAAAAACAAACAAACAACAACTTAAAAAAACAAAAACAAAAACAAAAGCAAAACCCAGAGCCTCTCTAGGAAATACCAACGTGCTTTTGCCAAGTGGGGTTTCTCTCACTTCATAAGAGCAGTAAACACTAAACCAAGGGAATGTGAATTTAGAGGTTAGAAAAGATAACCAGAGATTTGGCCGTGCGTGGGGCTCATGCCTGTAATCCCAGCACTTTGGGAGGCTGAGGCTGGTGGGTTGCCTGAGGTCAGGAGTTTGAGACCAGCCTGGCCAACATAGTGAAACCCTGTCTCTACTAAAAATACAAAAATTAGCTGGGTGTGGTGGCGTGCACCTGTAATCCCAGCTACTAGGGAGGCTGAGGCAGGAGAATCGCTTGAACTGGAGAGGTGGAGGTTGCAGTGAGCCGAGATGGTGCCATTGCACTCCAGCCCGGGCAAGAAGATTGAAATTCCATCTCAAAAAAAAAAAAAAAAGAAGAAGAAGAAGAAAAGATGCCAGAGATTTGGCGGGGTGCCGGGCTCATGCCTGTAATCCCAGCACTTTGGGAGGCCAAATGGACAGATCACTTAAAGTTAGGAGTTCCAGAAAAGATGCCAGAGGTTGGGCCTTTACATTGTTTTGTAAATTCGTCAAACCTTAATCTTATTTAACTTCCCCACCTATACAAAAATTAATGCAGTAATTGCTTTTTAAGGAAGCATTCCAAAGGCCAAATAATTCATATATGTCAAGTACCCTGGGATTCAGGAAAGAAAAATTCTCTATAGCTCTAAAGCAAGGATTATAATTTGAGGTTTCCTGACAGTTTTTTTTAAGAAAAGAAATACCAACCTTTCTTTTCTGGGCCAAATGCCAAGGTAGGTAATAACCCCTTGCCCATTTTCTTTCCCCAAGCTGTTTTAACTAGATAAGAGCTCTGCCTTCATTTCCTTTTGTGAACTGACTTGGGATGTTGCCACATGCCCTTCAACTACTGTCAATGCTCTAGTTTGCTGAGTGCTTTCCCCTTCAGAATGGAAAAGGTTTTGGCATAAATATCTAGCTTTCTTCAAGGTACAAAATGCTTTCCAAGGAGCAGAGGACAGAGGGAACAAACTTTCATGTTTCCCAATTGTATTAGTCTGTTCTCATGCTGCTAATAAAGACATACCCAAGACTGTGTAATTTATAAAGGAAAAAGGTTTTACTGACTCACAGTTCCACATGGCTGGGGAGGCCTCACAATCATGGTGGAAGATGAAGGAAGAGCAAAGGGATGTCTTCCATGGCCAGCAAAAAGAGAATGAAAGCCAAGGGAAGGAGAAAACACCTTATAAAATCATCAGATCTCATGAGACTTATTCACTACCATGACAACGGTATGGGTGAACTGCCCCCATGATTCAGTTATCTCCCACCGGGTCCCTCCCACAAAATGTGGGAATTATGGGAGCTACAATTCAAGATGAGATTTGGGTGGGGACAGAGCCAAACCATAGCACCAATACTAGATCCCTCAGCTTCAAGGTGGCTCCAGTGATCCTAAGAGGATCAAGGAAGCCCTACCTCCCTGCTTGTCCTGGATGTCTCTGACACATGTTAAGGGAAAAGCATTAATAAAGTGCTCAAGAAACAATTGTTCAATAGGTCAGTCTTATAGTCAATACCTCATCCCATGCTCTGTCCCCTACTCTTTGAAAAACTGCCCAAAGAAACAATGGATCCACGGAGTCACAAAAACAGGGCATCCAGTGACCCTCCCCATCTTACCAGCAATGTGACTTTCCCACAGTATAACGACAGCAGTGCCCAGAGCCCAATACAAGCAGGGCTCTACACTGAGACAGAGCTGAGTTCTAGTAGCAACTACCCTCCTTATAGCAGTGTTATTTTAGGCAAGTTTCTCAGCTTCTGGAAGGTTCTTTTCTCAGGCTTACATACTTTTTACCCGAAAAGATCTTGGAGTCGTCCATATCAGCACAAGCAATCTACATTATTAGTTTTTTTAATGGCTGCACAGCATTCCATGATATGGCTGTACCATTACTTAACTATCGATGAACATTTAGGCAGTTTCCAGTCTCTTTCTGCAGGAGCCAATGCTGCAATGTGGTGGGTCATAACTTTTTCTTTTTTTCAAATGTGGTCTCACTATTTCTTCCAGGCTGGAGTGTAGTGGTATGATCACAGCTCACTGCAGCCTCGAACTCCTGGACTCAAACAATCCTCCTGTCTCAGCCTCCAGAGCAACTGGGAGTACAGGTGTGTGCCACCATGCCTGACTAAGTTTTTAAATTTTTTGTAGAGATGGGGTCTTGCTATATTGACCAGGCTGGTCTTGAACTTCTGGCCTCAAGAAATCCTCCCACCTGGGCCTCCCAGAGTGCTGGGATTACAGGAATGCACCACTGTGCCCAGCCCTAAATAACTATTTTTATTTCCCTTTCTGTAACCGCTCATCTTTTGTGCATTTTTCCTTGGGTATTGGCCTTCTTATCAAAGTTTAAGAACTGTTTATATATAGGGATTAACCCTTAGTCTGTTGTATGAATTGCAAATATACATGTATTTTTATTTGTATATGCAAAGTTTGTCTTTTATCTTTGTATATGGGATAGTTTTCCAAACACAGTTTTATTTTATTTTATTTTTCATCTTGCATGTCTTTCCAAAGTACCAAGCAGAGTTTTTTTAAAAGTTGTTTTATGGCTTCTGGGTTTTTTAAGTCATATTTAGAAAGATCTTTCCCACTCTGAAATTAAAAAAATAAATAAATAAAATCTCCCAATTAAAAAAAATTTGTGACTTTGTTTTTCATATTTAAATATTTATTCCATCTGGAATTTATTTTATTTTAAGCTGTAAAGTAGAGACCTCATTTTATTGTATTTCTCCATATGGCCACCCAGTTGTTACAATACCATTTACTAAATAATACATCAATTGCCACTGAATTTAGCATACCAACTGAATTTAGCATGTACTAAATTTTCATGTGTGTTTTGTTTGTTTGTTTGTTTTTGAGACAGAGTCTCGCTCTGTCACCCAGGCTGGTGTGCAGTGGTGCGATCTGGGCTGACTGCAACCTCTGCCTCTCAAGTTCAAGCGATTCTCTTGCCTCGGCCTCCCAAGTACTGGTACTACAGGTGCCTGCCACCACACCTGGCTAATTTTTGTATTTTTAGTAGAGACAGGGTTTTGCCTTGTTGCCAGGTTGATCTTGGACTCCTGACCTCAAGTGATCCTCCTGCCTCAGCCTCCCAAAGTGTTGGGATTACAGGCGTGAGCCACTGCGCCCAACCCTTCTGTGTGTATTTTGATGTATTGGACTTTCTAGTCTGTTCCATTAATTTCTTGTCTGTTCTTAGGCAAAGAAAGCATTGTTTAAATCGGAATTTTGTAACATGCTTTACTGTCTAATAGAGTATCTTCTAACTTTTTTCTATGATTTTCCTCGCTAATGTTACTTGTTTATTTTTTCATATGAACTTCAGTATCCATTAATCTAGTCTTCCCCCGACTCCCAACAAAATTAATTACTATTTTGTGAGGGGTAGTGCATTAAACTTATGAATTAATTTAGGATGACTTAACATATTTATGATATTGGACCTTTTTACTGAAGATTATGATATGCCTATTTAACTTTTTGTGCTCCTCAGTAGTATTTTGAAGTTTCTAAGTATAGATGTCATAGAGTGTTTAAATGTGAAGAGGGTATAATAATGGTACTTCCTGCAAAGAGTTATTGTAAAGATTAAATGAAGATAATAGTCAGTGCCTGGTCATAACACACACTTAAAAAATTAAAGCATGACAAATGCACACTTATCGCCATATCCTGGACTATGTGTGACTAATCTAATAAGATAAATCGGTCTTTCAATAATCTCAAATTTCCATGGTTGTGACTCACACTTGGCTCTACCCTTGAAATAGGAACTCTTTTTCTACTTATGTCGCACTCACTATGTCCTGCTCACCTCTGTGAAAAGTGAATTGAGACAACCAGAAGTCCCACTAGGGGTATCTGTGGCCATCTTTGGACAGGAGATATTCAGGGTATGGCTGCCGTGCCGATCAAGGGAAGTATCAGGACCCAGAAAGAGGTGATTGCATAAAAGTCACATTTCACATCTCTCTTGACAACTCTGGACAGGAGGAAGAAAATATTAAAAATACATTACAGCTTTCAAAGCTACTTTATTTTTGTTTTGAAGGTAGAGGATCTCCCTCCATAGGATAACAGGGGGGTTGATAAGATTGCTCAGATGTCGATCACATGTAGAGTCTGGATTTATTGTCTCCCGACACTCAGCACCCCATATCCATATATGTAATACACCTTATGGCACGCTCACTGTATACTAAGTATGAGCTAACTGTTTTATTCGCTTTATCATATTTAATTTTCTGAAGTAAGTATCATTATCCCATGTTACAGACAGAATAACTGAGTGTTAATGTCACAGCTCTAGAAACTGGTAAAACTGCATCTGGAAATTTGCTTGTCTTCAAAGTCTGTGCTATTAACACAGTGCTTAATTTAGCTGATTTTAAAGAAGCTAAATAAAACCAACTGTAAAATAAATTGAAATATGATTTGACTGCATGTCAGAGCATGCTCCTTCATCTGGAACAGAAGCATTGTCATGCTAGGTATTATTAGTGTATACCTTGTTTTCGCTAGTAAAATTGCACCTTGACTGAGGGCTGTAGTTCCTGGTCTATCTTGAAAATCAGTCTGAATAATATCCTAGGAAATCTAACTATCTTTTCAGCTGCATTTGCAGGAGGATAAGGTTTTCATTTTTATGTGACAGAAAATGCTATCACATCAATATCCAAGGAGTACTCTGTTAAATTGTCTTAATTTTTTAATGCCTTCATTTGGCAGAAAACTTATTTATGTCACACTTCCATTTGGCCTTTCCCAGGTAACCTATTCAACCTCTGAGAAATACATCAGCAAGTAGGAAAAATGGCCTAGCAAATTACTTATTCCCCAAGGGAAAAGCATGTGGCCAATGAATCAGGGGAAACTGATTGCCCAGGGAAGGGAACACTCAAGGCGTTTCAATATGAGTCACCAAACATAAGGACTACCCCATGATCAAAAAAGGTGAATGAACAAAGCCAGGATTCCTTTTAGAGTTTCCATCGATGCAATCAGCATGGGATTGTTCCCACACAGGCTGGTGAGGCCTGTCGTGTAAAGAATGAGGGTTTGTCACTAAAGTACCCAAAGGGATGCTCTGTCAGAGAAGAGGCTCCAAGTAGGCATGGAGGGCCTAGGGCCTGGGAAGCAGCACTGGGTGGGTGGGAAAGGTATTTGGAAGATCAGCATCACATTGATGGTCCAATTGGGGAAAAGGCCTGGAGTCCGGGAGCAGAAGTATGTGGAGACACGCATAGTTACAGAGCTGGCAGGAGATGTTGGCTGGACTAGATGTCAGAGGACCTCATTCCTACAAGAACTGGGAGAGCAAATCTGGGACTTATTCTTGGAGGAAGTGGAATATTTAGGGTTTTAGGAAGGCAGATACTTGGACAAAAAAACTGACTCACTGGGGTGTAAGGGGAAGGCTTGTTTCTAGAAACTATATGTCTGTTTTGCTTATTGCTATATTGTTTCCAAGAGGAGGCCCTCTGCTTGGCACATGGGAGGTAATTAAGTGTTTGTTGAGTGAATAAATGAGGCATAAGGCAGACACCCAGTTTCAGAATGTAGGGCACGTGGTGAAAGCAGGTCTCTGAGTGGGGTTGACTTGATGCCGACTCACCTGAGCAATGACTAAGGACATGGTTATTGCAGAGCCTCGGGTGGGGCTGAAGCTGCAGGTGGCATGTGCAGTGTCTGGGTGCAGGGCATATGTGGGAGAAATTAGGAGGATGAGGAGTAGGCAGGAAGCTCCTTACTCATTCTATGACAGCTTTACACATTATTGATCTTCACTTTTGATCAAATATAATGAAAATGTTTCCTGACTTTCCATGGAACTTCTTACTAAGGAAGTCACATGTCCCAAATGCCCAGGATTCACAATCTTATGAGCTACCATTTAGTTTCCATTTATTTGCTTGCTATGTGGCTGGTACTGTGATGAGTTCAGTATAGTCAATATCTCTATTCCTCCCCGTAATCCTTAGAGGTACTACTTTGCTTATAAAGTCCCAGCTGCTGCTGCTGCTGGTGGTATCTGCACCACATGTGGAGAAGCAAGAATCTACAGCAGGGTTGGCCAGATAGTAAATATTTCCAGCTTTGTGGGCCATATGGTCTCTGTCACATCTCTTCATCTCTGCCACTGAAGTTCGAAGGCAGCCATAGATAATACATGGATAAATGAGTGTGGCTGTGTTCCAAGAGAACTTTATTTATGGACACTGAAAATTGAGTTTCATATAATTTTCATATGGCACAAAGTATTTTTTAATTTTTTTCAACCATTGAATATGTAAAAAAATTAGTTAATGGGCCATAGTTCCCTGACCCCCAGTCTAGAAAATTCAGTGGCCTTGATCCCAAAGTGTTGAAGAGCATCCCAAAGAGGATAGCCCAGGTTCTGAGATTTTGTGAAACCACCACCAACCAAAACAGGTGGCAGGCAGGTGACTAACATGAGGGAGCACCTCATCTAGAGCGTGGGGCCAGATTTGCCTGTGACAGCCTTTGTCACTTCCAGCAGGGTGACACAACAAAGTTTTTAATGTCTTAGTACCTTAATTTCCTCATGTCCAAAGTGAGGCTAAAAACAGGGTGATTGTGACAAGAAAAAGAAATTAGTTAATGCAGGGAAAGCGTTTGTGATACCTGACAGAGATGAATTACAAGGTTAGACTTACAATCTTAGCATCACTGACTGAAGCAGGCTGTGAGGACAAGAGTCCCTCAGAACCTGACTGGACCTCAGAGCCAACCCACTCAAAGATGACCTGAGAGAGAATTTGCTGATCGCTACACTGCAGTTGTCAACAGTCATACAATTTTGAGGACAATTCTTTGAGGAATTCAGAATGAAGTTCAGTTCTATAAAGGGCAGGTAAGGTCAGTGCAGAGTTCTTATGAAGATGCCTTTATAGGGCAGGCAGCAGAAACCCTCAGGAGAACTGTTGGCAAGGCACAAGGACACGGTTGGTATTAAAGTAATCAGAGCAATGAATATAGCTGACAGTTATATAGCATTTATTAATATCCTCTGCTTGGCAATGGTCTAGTGTTTTCTAAGCAGAAAATATGTAGGTTTAGTTTACCCCCATGATCACTTTGTAAAGTAAGCACTATTATTAAACCCATTTAATAGATAAGGCAACTGAGACTGAGAGGGTAAATAATATGCCCAAAGCCATGCTTTCTTTAAGTGGCAGCACAATCTGGCTGCTGCATCCTTGTTCTTAGTCTCCAGGCTGACAGTCTTTACCCCAGGCTCTCTAGGTCCTCGGATAAAATTAGCTTGGCCAGACTTGGGGACGGTGGGATCAGGGATTTCCTTCCAGGGAGCAAATGGGGCTCTGGGGATTTGCAATACTTTTATGTCACTAGGTTATGACGGGTAGCAAATATGATTCATGTGCAAATGGAAATAACAGTTTTTGCCTTTGTATTTCACATTTACTAACCTCTCTAGCCAGAGTCCTGGTCTAGTCACACAGCATACTGTACAAGTTCAGACTGTATCCTGCATTTTGATGTAGATTCATTTTCAGAAGCGGGTAGGGGTGGCACACATATTTTTGTCTCTTTTCTGTGTGGGTGATGACCCTGGCCTCATATGTGGACTGTGCACAGACAATATGAAACAGAAAGGTGCCCGTTATGGATCAGAAGGAAATGCCACTTGAACCAGGGCTCCTGAAATTAGTGCCTCTGATTACTTGGATCCTATGAGTCTATAGAAAACTTTGGGTGATTCCCCACATCATGACTGTTGTTTTTTCCCATCAGTAATCTAAAAAGAGTTTTAGACTTTTTTTTTCTGTTTTATCTAGCAATTAAACAGATCTTCTAAAACTGGATTTGGGAAAGGAATTTTTAATAAGGGTATTCCCAACTGCATATACCTCAGAGGATTTGCACTGGAAAATTGGTCTCACTCTATGCCCATATTTGGGAGCTTCCTCATTTGTGAGATCAGATTTCCTGGATATTCCAGAATTGCCTCCACCACGTTTTTTTTTTTATTTTGTTTTTTTTTTTACTTGCAAAAGGGACACGGAACCTTGAAATGTTATGTTACCTTTTCTCAAAGGATAAAGAATGATATATGAACTGCCTATCTTTGTATACAAACTGTGTTCATAAGCTTTGACCACCATCCAGTGTTATTTCTCTTGGTTAAGCAAAATAATCTCACATTCTCTAAATTTTCCAAGGACTTTTTTTCAGCTGATTAGTGACTATGAGCCTGTACATTATTTCCTAAGGAGTTATAGATATGTCTTGGATTCTAGCCCTGCACATAATTAATATTTTTATGAATATAATGATAGTGAGCCCTTAACCACACACACGTAACTAACTGTCATTTGTTACGTAGATTTCCTTTCTGTTTTCTTTTTTATGGATTTAATACATAGAGGTTTTTTTTTTTTTAAATGAAAACTGTTTTCGTTTTATAAGAAATATGCCTTCAGCGATTCAAAGACAGAGCTTGCCTAATTTCTATGGGATATACAGCCAAGAAAATCACTGGAAATAGTTGTTTAAATAAGAGTCACACACAAAAAAGTCCTGAATTGCCTTAAACATACTTTGTAATAATGTCTTCATATGTTATGAGAGTCACTGCAGTCAGTTAGAAAAATACACAGAATACCAGGAATTCCTATCCCTAGTCCAGCCTCACTTGTAAATATCATATGACCTCAAATAACTGACTTGGGAGAGATCCTTATGGCAGTAAATGTATTCTAGAAAGGGATTGTTTATAATTCATCCCAAACATATCCCATTAACTATATACTCGCAGGAGACTAGGGGAAAAAACAAGAAAAGCAATGCTAAAATATATTTTCCAAAATATGTTAAATTTCAGCCGGGCCTGGTGGCTTACGTCTGTAATCCCAGCATTTGGGGAGGCCAAGGCGGTGGATCACATGAGGTCAGGAGTTTCAGACCATCCTGTCTCGAATTCCTGACTCATGGCAAAACCCCATCTCTACTAAAAAATATAAAAATTAGCCAGGCACGGTGGTGGGTGCCTGTAATCCCAGCTACTGGGGAGGCTGAAGCAGGAGAATTGCTTGAACCCAGGAGGTGGAGGTTGCAGTGAGCTGAGATCGCGCCACTGCACTCCAGCCTGGGAGACAGAGTGAGACTCTGTCTCAAAAAAAAAATTAATTAAAATAAAATAAATAAATAGAAACAAAATATATTGAATTTGAAAAGAAATTCTTAAGGTAAAATGATTTCTCAAGGTGTTTGGACATTCAGTAAACAGATAACCTGACCAGCATCATAGTCTGGGGGAAGACAAGGGTGATCTACATTATTTTAGGTTCCCCTTGGTTTGATGAGGAATTTATTATCTATTATGAGACGTGTATAACTCCCAAGAATCTATACTGAACAATCCAGGACAGTATACATTGAGAACTATGTTGTGGTTCTCTGGGGCTATAGGAATTCAAAGGAGCCTAAAACAACTAGGCAAGAAACGGCCAGAGGCTGAAGCTCCAGGGAGGAACTGAGAGTTGAGGTCGGTCTTAAGTGACAGGGACAATGCCCAGTGTGTTCTGGAGAAAGGTGAGGGCCTTCCAAGAAAGGGAGGCACTGTGGGCCAAGTCATGGAGGTGGGAAAATGAGCCCGATAGGTTAATGGAAGCATGAAAGAACTAGCCTTCCATGAGCAGAAGTGAGCCGGGGCCCAGACACATTCTAAAGGCCACTGCAAGTCTGTGGGGGGACTTCAGTTGCAGCAGGGAAGGGAAATGGAGTCTCTGAAAATTTTAAGCATGAGTCCTGTGATAAAAATGGTGTTTAAAGAAGATTGATCTGGCAGCGAGGTACTCCGGGAGAGACTGAGAGATTGTCCTTTGGGTAGCAGCAGCCTATATATTTATATGCTGTAGAGTCTTAATTTGAGAGATTAGCTGTTTCACCATCCAGTGAACCATTTACCTTCACATTCACTTACACATTTAATCTAACATTTTAAATGTATTTCTGGAATATTAGTTCAATATTTTATATCAAAATACCGCATACATTGCATTGTGCCACTTCCAATCCTCACAGACCAAGGGTAGGTAAAAATGCATCAGTGGGTCCTCTATTAGGGACTGAGTTGTATTAATAGACAAGGCAGGTAGGGTGTCTGCCCTCAAAAAGCTTATCCACTGAGATTGGCCATAAGCAAATCATTACACCATACTGAGTTACAATTGTGGTAAATGCTAAGAAGTACTAGGTAATAGGGGGAAGTTTGACAGAGGGTTCTAACACAGACTTAAGGCCCGACGATTTGGGGAAAGTCTTCTTGGGGAAGTGATATTCAAAATGAGATCTGATTGGAGTGGAAGAAGGTAGAGCAGAAGCTGAAGGGTGTTAGAAATTCTGAGAAGAGGAAATTGCACTTGTGAGGGCCCTGGGGTGAAACAAAGTCCAGGGCATTCAAGGAACTGAAAGAAGGCCCACTGGGCTGGAGTGGGGAGGCTGGACCAGGGCCGCAGGAAGAGAGGCTGGCGGGAGGCAGATGGCACCCGGCCTCATAGACCGCAGGAAGGGCTTTCAGGATATATCTCCATCTTCCTCAGAGGGTGCCCTCCACCCTCCCCTGCCATGAGTCACAGTGACTTCCTCATCCATGCTTACTGTCCTCTCTGATCAAATTCTCAAATCTAACTTCAGACACTACCCGAGCCACATTAGTGCAAGTAGCCCCCTTGGAGCACAGCCACATCTTAGAACTCAAGGTCAACTGAAAGCACTCTACCTCTGGCATCCTACATGTTGCGATTCTCTATCCTGACCATAGCCACTTATCCCTACGTCTCCCACTGAACTTCTGTTTGACCTCAGAAACACCTTCTGTTCCCTTCACTGTCCCGGAACTCTTTACTAGGCTTTCCTCTGGCTCCTCATCTATCCTGGCACAGAGCTCAAGCTCAGTGACATTGAGCTGCACCGTCACTGGTGCCTGATAGTTCTCTTTCTGCTTGACCTTCTACCACTCTCACATTCCCGCACTTTGCTCTAGAGGAAAGATGAACCTGTTTTCTCTGCTTCACTCCTAAGCTCTGCTGGGAAGCTTAGGTCACCTCCTGGTGATGTTACTACTGATTCATGCGGCTAACTTCAACTTGACCCTCGTACCATTTGATAACCACTTATGATTGATTGTTTATTTCATTCCTCTTAACCACTTTTACATTTCAAACTTTATCATCCTAACTCCCAACTAGGTTCCCCCTCTACATTTGTTTTCTATCTTAGGGATGGGCACTCCATCCTTGATTTCCCCATGCCACGAACCCGGGAGTCTTCTGGACTCCTCCTTCCTCACCCTTACATTCAGACGGAAGCCAAATCTCATTAATTGTATCAATTAAGCCCCTCTCTTTTCAGTTTCCTTTTCTCTATCCAATAGTTGTTTCCCAAACTCAAACTGTCATTGCTTTTCTTGCTTCTCATCAGGAATTCTTCCAATTCTTCCTCCACATGGCCTCAGATGTGAAATCTTTGATTTAAACTCATCAATGACTTCCATTCCTGTAGGAGGAAAGTCCAGCCTCCTTATACAGAAAACAGGACCTCTGTAGCCTGGCCGTCACTCACCTCTCCAATTTTTTTGCCCAGGCATGCCACCTCCTTCTCCTACCCCAATTCTCCCCTTGAACCTTACACACTAGCGGTTCAAACTTGCCCTCCCTCTAACCCACTATGCTACTGGCTGCCTCTGGACATGGTGCTCCCTCTGGCCAGAGTGTTCCCACCCAGGTTACTCTTTACATACTTGAAATATTTGCGATTCAGTACACAAGTTACAAGAAGCCTCCTCTGAACCGCCTTCCCTCCCTCCTCCATAGGTTGTCCTGATCACTCCTTCCTCTGTGCTCCACTCCACCCAGTGGATATTTCTATTAGAGCACTTATTATACTTAGTTGTAATAATTTGTTTTCAAATCTCTCTCCTTTAAAGCCATTATGCACTCCTTGAAAACGGGTTTCTGTGTTATTCGACTTTGCACGCTTGGTGCCCAGCACAGCTCCTGGCCTGCAGCAGCCACTCGAAGATGTCACCAGACCAAAGGACAATCTCTGGCTTGGTGAATGATCTCATGGTCTACCTTACTGAGATGAACTCCTCTGAAGGGGTGGGTTGCCCCTCCACACCTGTGGGTGTTTCTCGTTAGGTGGAACGAGAGACTTGGAAAAGAAAAAGACACAAAGTATAGATAAAGAAATAAGGGGACCCAGGGAACCAGCGTTCAGCATATGGAGGATCCCGCCAGCCTCTGAGTTCCCTTAGTATTTATTGATCATTCATGGGTGTTTCTCCGAGGGGGGGATGTGTCAGGGTCACAAGACAATAGTGGGGAGAGGGTCAGCAGACAAACATGTGAACAAAGGTCTTTGCATCATAGACAAGGTAAAGAATCAAGTGCTGTGCTTTTAGGTATGCATACACATAAACATCTCAATGCTTTACAAAGCGGTATTGCTGCCCGCATGTCCCACCTCCAGGCCTAAGGCAGTTTTGTCTCAACTGCAAAGAGGGATTCTTTCCTCTTCTACTAATCCTCCTCAGCACAGACCCTTTACGGGTGTCGGGCTGGGGGACGGTCAGGTCTTTCCCTTCCCACGAGGCCATATTTCAGACTATCACATGGGGTGAAACCTTGGACAATAACTGGCTTTCCTAGGCAGAGGTCCCTGTGGCCTTCCGCAGTGTTTGTGTCCCTGGGTACTTGAGATTAGGGAGTGGTGATGACTCTTAAGGAGCATGCTGTCTTCAAGCATCTGTTTAACAAAGGACATCTTGCACAACCCTTAATCCATTTAACCCTGAGTTTGACACAGCACATGTTTCAGAGAGCACGGAGTTGGGGGTAAGGTCATAGATTAACAGCATCCCAAGGCAGAAGAATTTGTCTTAGTACAGAACAAAATGGAGTCTCCTATGTCTACTTCTTTCTACACAGACACAGTAACAATCTGATCTCTCTTGCTTTTCCCCACACTCCTCCTCTTTCTTCAATCTCATTTCAAGGAAGAAGTGTCCCTGAACCTCTCCAAGGTCCACTACAGCCCCCGTGGCCAGGATCCAACAGGCTCCCATTTCTCCTGTGCTTTGCTCCATAAGTATTGCTCCTGTCTTCCACTTTTTGTTTCTTCTTCTACTTTCTTGCCTACAAATAGGTTCTTTCTTTCCTATTAAGATAAAAGAAATCTCGTTTCCTAACTTTTCCTTGATCATCCTGTCTACAGAAGTTTCCCCCTCCACCTTTATCCCTGTGCCTGCTTGCTCATTTACGTAATTACTTTCTTAATTATAGTTATCACAAAACAATTGCTTAATTTTCTGTTAACTCATTTTTTGTCCCCACTAGAATGTAAGTTCCATGAGGGCTGGCACCTATCCCCAATGTCTAGCAAATTGCCTTGTGCAGAGATGTTATTTATTTAATTTACCTGTTGGATAAATAAATGCATGAGTGAATAAGTGAATGAATAAATAAGTCTATCTATCTTCTCTTCAAACTCCCTTGAAATCTGCACTTCCAATGCTCTTTCCAACCCATTCTGGCTTCTAGCTCACTGCTCCACTGAAATTGTTCTTTCAATGTTTCCCAGTGACTCCTTTGTTACCAAACCCAGTGGCCTTGCCATTTCTGTGGTGTTTGATAAACCTTCCTTGAAATTTTCTCTGTTACTGGTTTCTGAGACAATACAGTGACATGGTTCTTCTCTCACACTTCTGGCCATTCCTCGGTCACTTTCACTGACTCCTCTTCTTCCACTCAATTTCTTAATTGTTTTCTGGGAGCTAGTCTATTCTAACACTATGCAACCCACTTATCTCACCCATCCCAGATATTTCAACTGTGATCTCCAAGTGAATGAACTGCAAACCCACACCTCTACCATCAGCCTCTTTCTGAGCTCCATGTTGGCCTAGTGTATATTTCCAAATGAGGATCCTGCCAGTAACCCCAAACTCACCACAACTCCAAAACAAATCTACAAACTTCCCTCTTCCTGGGTTCCATATTTCAGCCAATGACAGCATCCCTCCTCCCACTTACATAGACTTACATCCTGGCTCTGATCATCTCTCTGGCACTTCCCACTCATCAGTCACCAAGTCCTGTCAATGATTGTACTGCAAGACCTCTGACTTTAATCTCCATCCTTTCTTTTCCATTGGAATTCAGCCTTCATATAATCTCTAAAGCAACCTTCTTGAGATACCAATTCTGAACACCCCAAGCCTCTGTTCAAAAAACTGTGATTGCACAGAAAACTTTTCGAAGAATTAATAAGAATGCACAATTTGAATTTTGTACCATAATCGTGACTTAGTATTATAATTTTATAAAAGTCTAATTTGAAAATACCTTTTATTGCCTGCCAAATTTATAAACTTCTCCACTGAACCATTTTTCCATCCACAATATGATGATCCCAACCTAACTTTCCACCATTATTTTTCACTTACTCCATGCTCTAGCCAAATGCATTATTCATTATATATGCTCACTTTTTTTTTTTTTTGATTCATGGTTAAACTAGTATAGGAGGAAATAGGTAGAATAAAAAATTGTCTTTTAATGTAGTTATCGTAAAGCTTTGGTCTTCAGTGAAGTTTATTTGCACATATGTAGCTCAGAAAATTGAGCTCATAAGGAACCTCACAGAGTCCATTTCACCCTCCACCACCTCCACCAGAACAGGCATGGATATGACTGAGAGACCCACATACAGTTCACATCACAGGACTCTGTGCAGACAATCCTCAGTACCAGCCTGGAGCTGGGTAGACTTGCTGGGTGGTTAGACCCAGAAGAGAGACAACAATCACTGCAATTCAGTTCACAGGAAGCCACATCCACAGAAAAAGGGGAGAGTGCTACATCAAGGGAACACCCCATGGGACAAAAAAATCTGAACAACAGCCTTCAGCCCTAGACCTTCCCTCTGACAGAGCGTACCCAAATGAGAAGGAACCAGAAAACCAACCCTGGTAATATGACAAAACAAGGCTTGTCAACACCCCCCATAAATCACACTAGTTCACCAGCAATGGATCCAAACCAAGAAGAAATCCCTGATTTACCTGAAAAAGAACCCAGGAGGTTAGTTATTAAGCGAGTCAGGAAGAGACCAGAGAAAGGCAAAGCCCAGTGCAAGGAAATCCAAAAAATGGTACAAGAAGTTGAAGGGAGAGATATTCAAGGAAACAGATAGCTTAAATAAAAAACAATCAAAACTTCAGGAAACTTTGGACACACTTTTAGAAATGCAAAATGCTCTGGAAAGTCTCAGTAATAGAATTGAACAAGTGGAAAACAGAATTTCAAAGCTTGAAGACAAGGTTTTCAAATTAACCCAACCCAACAAAGAGAAAGAAAAAAGAATAAGAAAATATGAACAAAGCCTCTAAGAGGTCTGGCATTATGTTAAACGACCAAATCTAAGAATAATCAGTGTTCCTGAGGAAGAAGACAATGCTAAAAGCTTGGAAAACATATTTGGGGGAATAATTGAGGAAAACTTCCCCAGCCTTGCTGGAGATCTAGACCTGCAAATACAGGAAGCACAAAGAACACCTGAGAAATCCATCACAAAAAGATCTTCACCTAGGCACATTGTCATCAGGTTATCCAAAGTTAAGACGAAGGAAAGAATCTTAGGAGCTATGAGACAGAAGCACTAGGTAACCTATACAAGAAAACCTACCAGATTAATAGCAGATTTCTCAGCGAAACTCTACAAGCTAGAAGGGATTGGGACCCTATCTTCAGCCTCCTCAAACAAAACAATTATCAGCCAAGAATTTTGTATCCAGTGAAACTAAGCATTATATATGAAGGAAAGATACAGTCTTTTTCAGACAAACAAATTCTTAGAGAATTCACTATTACCAAGCCACCACTACAAGAACTGCTAAAAGGAGCTCTAAATATGGAAACAAATCCTGGAAACACATCAAAACAGAACCACTTTAAAGTATAAATCACATGGAACCTATACAACAAAAATACAAGTTAAAAAGCAAAACCAAAAAACAGCAAAGTACACAGGCAACAAAGAGCATGATGAATGCAATGGTACCTCACATTTCAATACTAATATTGAATGTAAGTGGCCTAAATGCTCCACTTAAAAGATACAGAACTGCAGAATGGATGAGAACTCACCAACCAACTATCTGCTGCCTTCAGGAGACTCACCTAACACATAAGTACTCACATAAACTTAAAGTAAAGGGGTAGGAAAAGGCATTTCATGCAAAAGCGAGCAGGGGTAGCTATTCTTAGACAAAAAAAAACTTTAAAGTGACAATGTTTAAAAGAGACAAAGAGGGGCATTATAAAATGGTAAAAGGCATTGTCCAACAGGAAAACATCACAATCCTAAACATATATGCACCTAACACTGGAGATCCCAAATTTATAAAACAATTACTAATAGACCTAAGAAATGAGATAGACAGCAACACAATAACACTGGGAACTTCAATACTCTACTGACAGCACTAGACAGCTCATTAAGACAGAAAGTCAACAAAGAAACAGTGGATTTAAACTATACCTTGGAACAAATGGACTTAGCAGATGTATACAGAACACTTCATCCAACAACCACAGAATACACATTGTATTCAGCAGTGCATGGAATTTTCTCCAAGACAGACCATATGACAGGCCATAAAAGGAGCTCAATAAATTTAAGAAAATTCAAATTATATCAAACACTCTCTCAGACCACAGTGGAATAAGACTAGAAGTCAACTCCAAAAGGAACCTTCAAAACCATGCAAATACATTGAAATTAAATAACCTGCTCCTGAATGAACATTGGGTCAAAAATGAAATCAAGATGGAAATTAAAAAATTCCTTGATCTGAATGACAATAATGACAAAACCTATCAAAACCTCTGGGATACAGCTAAGGCGGTGTTAAGAGGAATGTTCATAGCCATAAACACCTACATCAAAGAGTCTGAAAGAGCACAAACAGACAACCTAAGATCACACCTCAAGGAACTACAGAAACAAGAACAAACCACATCCAAACCCAGTAGAAAAAAGGAAGTAATCAAGATCAGAGCAAAACTAAATGAAATAGAAACAAGCAAACAAAAATATATAAAAGATAACTGAAACAAAAAGCTGTCTCTTTGAAAAGATACATAATATTGATAGACCATTAGCAAGATTAACAAAGAAAAGAAGAGAGACAATCCAAATAACCTCACTAAGAAATGAAACAGGAGATACTACAACTGACACCACTGAAATACAAAAGATCATTCAAGGCTACTAGGAACACCTTTATGCACGTAAGCTAGAAAACCTAGAAGAGATGGATAAATTCCTGGGAAAATACAATCCCTTAGCTTAAGTCAGGAAGCATTAGATATCCTGAACAGACCAATAATAAGCAGCCAGATTGAAATGGTAATTAAAAAATCACCAACAATAAAAAGTCCATGACCAGACAGATTCATAGCAGAATTCTACCAAACATTCAAAGAATTGGTACCAATCCTTTTGAAACGATTCCACAAGATAAAGAAGGAACTCTTCCCAGTTAATTCTATGAACTTGTGTCACCCTAATACCAAAACCAGGAAAGGACACAAACAAAAAAGAAAAATACAGACTGATATCCTTGATGAACATAGATGCTAACAGATGTTAAAATAGATGCTAAAATAGAAATAAATGCTAAAATCCTTAACAAAATACCAGCTAACAGAATCCAACAACATATCAAAAAGATAATCCACCATGATCAAGGGGGTTTCATACCAAGGATGCAGGGATGGTTTAACATACACAGGTCAATAAATGTGATACACCACATAAACAGAATTAAAAACAAAAATCACATGATCATCTCAGTAGGTGCAGAGAAAGCATTCAACAAAATCCAGCCTCCCTTTATGATTAAAACCCTCAACAAAATCGGCATACACGGGACATATCTTAATATAATAAAAGCCATCTATGACAAACCCACAGCCAACATAATATTGAATGGGGAAAAGTTGAAAACATCCCCCGTGAGATCTGGAACAAGACAAGGATGCTCACTCTCACTACTCCTCTTCAAAATAGTACTGGAAATCCTAGCCAGAACAATCAGGCAAGAGAAAGAAATAAAGGGAATCCAAATGGTAAAGAGGAAGTCAAACTCTCTCTGTTTGCTGATGATATGATTGTTTGCCTTGAAAACCCTAAGGACTCCTCCAGAAAGCTCCTAGAACTGATAAAATAATTCACCAAAGTTTCCGGATACAAGATTAATGTACACATATCAGTAGCTCTTCTATACACCAACAGCTACCAAGTGGAGAATCAAATAAAAAACCCCTTTTACAATAACTGCCTAAAAAAATTACTCGTGAATATATCTAACAAAGGAGTCGAAAGACCTCTACAAGGAAAACTACAAAACACTGCTGAAAGAAATCATAGACGACATCAACAAATGGAAACACATCCCATGCTCACGGATGTGTAGAATCAATATTGGGAAAATGACCATACCGCCAAAATCATTCTACAAATTCAATGCAATCCCCATCAAAATACCACCATCATTCTTCACAGTTAGAAAAAAGAGTTCTAAAATTCGTATGGAACCAAAAAAAAGCCTGCATAGCCAAACAAGACTAAGCAAAAAGAACAAACCTGAAGGCATCACACTACCTGATTTCAAACTATACTATAAGGCCACAGTCACCAAAACAGTGTGGTACCGGTATAAAAATAGGCACATAGACCAATGGAATGGAATAGAGAACCCAGAAGTAAACCCAAATACTTACAACCAACTGATCTTTGACGAAGCAAACAAAAACATAAAGTGGGGAAAGGACACCCTTTGCAACAAATAGTGCTGGGATAATTGGCTATGTGGCCACATGTAGGAGAATGAAACTGGATCCTCATTTCTCAACTTACACAAAAATCAACTTGAGATGGATTAAGAACTTAAACCTAAGACCTGAAACTATAAAAATTCTAGAAGATAACATTAGAAAAACCCTTCTAGACATTGGCTTAGGCACGGGTTTCATGACCAAGAACCCAAAAGCAAATACAATAAAAACAAAGATAAATAGCTGGGACCTAATTAAAGTAAAGAGCCTTTGCACTACAAAAGGAACAATCAGCAGAATAAACAGACAACCCGCAGAGTGGGAGAAAATCTTCACAATCTATACCTCTGACAAAGGACTAATATCCAGAAACCACAACAAAGTCAAACAAATCTGCAAGAGAAAACCAAACAAGCCTATCAAAAAGTGGGCTAAGGACATGAACAGACAATTCTCAAAAGAAGATATACAAATGGCCCAGAAACATATGAAAACATGCTCAACATCACTAATGATCAGGGAAATGCAAATCAAAACCACAACGTGATATCACCTTACTCCTGCAAGAATGGCCATAATCAAAAAATCAAAAAACAGTAGGTGTTGGCGTGGATGCAGTGATCAAGGAACACTTCTACACTGCTGGTGGGAATGTAAACTAGTATAGCCATTATGGAAAACAGTGTGGAAATTCCTTATGAATAAATTTAAGTTCGTAAATAAAACTTAAGAAGTAAAAGTAGAACTACCATTTGATCCAGCAATCCCACTACTGGGTCTCTACCCAGAGGAAAATAAGTCATTATTCAAAAAAGATACTTGCACACACATGTTTATGGCCGCACAATTCACAGTTGCAAAATTGTGGAACCAACCCAAACGCCCATCAGTCAATGAGTGGATAAAGAAACTGTGGTATATATATATACAATGGAATACTACTCAGCCATAAAAAGGAATGAATTAACAGCATTTGCAGTGACCTGGGTGAGATTAGAGACTATTATTCCAAGTAAAGTAACTCAAGAATGGAAAACCAAACATTGTATGTTCTCACTGATATGTGGGAGCTAAGCTATGAAGATGCAAAGACATAAGAATGATACAATGGACTTTGGGGACTTGAGGGGAACAGTGGGAGACAGGCGAGGGATAAAATATGGTGCAGTGTTTACTGCTTGGGTAATGGGTGCACCAAAATCTCACAAATCACACTAAAGAACTTACTCATGTAACCAAATATCCACTGTACCCCAATAACTTATGGGAAAATAAAATAAGATAATAAAAAATAAAGTGTACCAGAGGTCATCTGCTTCTGGTTTTTAAAAAAATTGAGCTCAAAATACATATCTATAGATGTACCCTGAATTGGAAACATTAATTTACAACTATTCCATAGCACGACTTGAGTTTCTTAAGATAGACTTAACTCACTGAAATGAGGCCTCGATGTAAGCTGTTCTTCAGATGTCTGGAAACAACCACAGCAATGATGATTTGTGTCTAGCCAATTTGCTATTAGGGTTCCTGTTTCCCAACATCCATAGATTCCAGGGTCCAGGGCCCAGGTCCAACGTATGGAGGACTTCTGGCAGTCAGTCACCTTACTTTTTCCTGTTCTGGGTGTTGAATTCCCATGCAAACAGAGCAGGCAACCATCTGCAGTGTGAACCTGATCACTTGCTTTTCTTTTTCTCTTCCCACTCTGCTGTATACATGCTGTACATTTTCAGGATGCTGATTTCCCAGTCAGCCAGAGGACGACCTAGATCCATATGTGCTCATCTTTCCCCCATTCCAGAGACAATCTTCCTCTCCAAATTAGAAAATGAGCTGTGCATGCTACTCTCTGCCACTAGCTCTGAAGTTCAGAGGCCCACATCCCCTAACTAGAATTCTATCAAAGGGAAACAGAACTGCCCATCCACTAGCATCTGGTTGACATCCTTCCTTTACCTAGCCATGGCTATCTACTAATTCGTACCTCAAGGAAGAACATCTGGAATACAAAAAAAAATCTTTTCAAATCATTTTATTGTTTTCCTTCTTATTAGAGAAATTCATTAGAAACCCAATATATTTTTCTGATTACAATACAATTACTCTCTCACTGTACAACTACAATAGTATAGCAATAGAGTGTTGTGTATTAAATAGGCTTAGGTTTGGGGAAACCTAACAACCTTTAATAATTTTATTTTTATAGGAAGCTATATTTTGGTTTTCAAATAGCCAAATGTATGCAAGCTTTTGAAACATAATTACAGATATTATGATTTAAACTTTCTAACACACATGTATATATACACATACTTATGGACAAAGTTTGAATGGAAACATGGAAAAAGGAAAACTGTCAATGTGCAAAGTGGTGAAAAAATGTTCCCTTAATAATGTTATTATATTAATTTATGCAATTAAAAATTACCTTAGCAAGAGATAACTGTGAAAAAATTGTCATCTCCTTCATCTCCTCCCTAAAGGTCGCCCTTCTCCATAATCAGGATATGCTTTTCTATGTTCTCATAACATCTTATATACAAATCTTAATATAATAGTTACTTTGGAGCATAATGTATAGTTATTTGCTTATGTGTCTATTTTTCCAATTAACTGTAATTTATTTACGGACGGGGATTATCTCTTGTTAGTGTCTGTACACTATACTAGTTCAATTACACAGCGGCATGCGGTAGGTATTTAGCAAATTGTTGAATGAATGAAAAATGAATGAGTAGGTATATTTCTTCATGTGGTATAGTGGAAGTAACACATTCATATACTCAGCCGGTTAGGATACAAATACATGAATATCATCTACAAAACTTGAAAACTTTGATCAAAGCAGAAAATAACGTTTTTTGAAGTAGAAATGTGCAAATAATTTCTAAGTACATCTGGAGGAAGTGTGAACAAGAGATTTGGGGTTTTGTTCCTTTGGTATATTCCCTGACTTTAGGCCTCAGATGTTTTCACTTCCTCAAGTTTTTGTTTTTGTTCTTTTTTTCTTTTTCAGCTTTTCCTGATAAAACTATTTCCTTTCTCCAAGGTTTTAAAGGTTTTGACCTGAACATGTATTACCCGAACCATGAGGACTCTGATGGAAGAGTTATCAATGATGACGACTTGGGTGGAAATGGTCTAGAGATTCAGGCAGATATGGCTGCATCACCATCCTATAAGGGAAGAGATAAGACTCCTAGAGGGAAAAAATGTAGGGTAATAGGGTTTGGGACTGAAGAAAGGACCACTGAAAATGTCCATGGTAAAAAGATCTTAATTAAGCAAATGAAATATTATGAACAGAGCAACGTGAATCAGTTAGTTCAGTATTTCCTAAACCTGCTTGATAACAAGGATCACCAGGAGGTGATTACTTGTTAACAATACAGATTTCCACTCTTCTTTCAGATCAGAATTGTCAGCACAGAGGCCTGGAAATCAGTACATTTAACACATAGTTTCTGGTGATTCGTATAAGCAAGCAAGTTTAGAAAATTTAAATTCATTCATTTTAATTTCTTGATGTCCAATTTAGAAGGTAAAGTCCGCAAATCCTCACACCCATATACCTACATCTACATCTGTGCCTATAGAGCCTGCCTTCCTTCCTTCCTTCCTTCCTTCCTTCCTTCCTTCCTTCCTTCCTTCCTTCCCTCCCTCCTGCCTCCCTTCCTTCCCTCCCTCCCTCCCTCCCTCCCTCTCTTCCGGCATATTCACTAAATGTGAATGTCTGTGATGCGAATAAGATTGCTCATCATTGTGGAGGGAGTTAAAGGAACTACAAAATGCAATCCCAAACTCTACAGGCTACTACTTGATGCAGTTTACAAATTTGCAGACTTTTATTGCTGATTTGAGTGTTTTACCTAACTGCATAATCAGGTATGGTGTATGTGTGTGTGTGTGTGTGTGTGTGTGTGTGTTGTTTTGTTTGCTTGCTTTTTAAACCCTGCTGTAGTTTGGATATGGTTTGTTTGTCCCTATCAAATCTCATGTCGAAATTTGATTCCCAAAGTGGTAGTGTTGAGATGTGGGGCCTGGTGGGAGGAGCTTATGTCATGGGGTAGACCCATTGTGAATGGCTTGGTTCTTGTATTAGTCTCTTCTTATGCTGCTAATAAAGATATACCCAAGGCCGGGTGCAGTGGCTCATGCCTGTAATCCCAACAGTTTGGAATGCCAAGGCGGGCGGATCACCTGAGGTCGGGAGTTTGAGACCAGCTTGACCAACATGGAGAAACCCAATCTCTACTAAAAATACAAAAAATTAGCCAAGTATGGTGGCACATGCCTGTAATCCTAGCTACTCTGGAGGCCAAGGCAGGAGAATTGCTTGAACCTGGGAGGTGGGGGTTGAGGTGAACAGAGATCGTGCCATTGCACTCCAGCCTGGACAACAAGAGTGAGACTCCATCTCAAAAAAAAAAAAAAAAAAAAAAAAAAAAAAAAAAAAAAAGACATACCTGAGACTGGGTAATTTCTAAAGGGAAGAAGTTTAATTGGCTCACAGTTCCACATGGCTGGAGAGGCCTCAGAATCCCGGCAGAAGGTAAATGAGGAACAAAGTCAGGTCTTACATGGTGGCAGGCAAGAGGGCATGTGCAGAGGAACTTCTCTTTATAAAACTATCAGATCTCATGAGACTTATTCACTATCACGAGAACAGCACGGGGAAGACCCACCCCCATGATTCAGTTGCCCCCCACCGGTCCCTTCTATGACGTGAGAATTATGGGAGCTACAATGCAAGATGAAATTTGGATAGGGACACAGTCAAACCATATCAGTTCTGTTTTCAAGGAATTGAGTGAACTCTTGCTCTCCTGAGACTGGATTGGTTCTGCGGGGAATGGATTAGTTCCTGAGGGCAGGGTTGTTATAAAGCCAGGACACCCCTTGGGTTTTGACCCTCTTTGCACGTGTCTACTTGCCCTTTAGTCTTTTCCACCATATTTTGATGCAGCACACAAGCCCTCACCAGAAGCTAAGCAGATGCCGGCACCTTGCTTCTTGTACAGCCTGCAGAACATGAGCTAAATAAATCTCTTTTAAAAAATAAATTACCCAGTCTTAGATATGCCTTTATAGTAACACAAAACATACTAAGTCAAATAGCAATTGAATAATGTTGGATAATCAAGCTGAATCATTAAATCTCTTTAAAAAGTCCCCAATTCTTTTCCACTTGGGAATTTTGAATCTGGAAAGTTTGAGTATTTTATATATGATCATGCCTTTTCTAAAAAAACTGTTTCTGCAAACTCCAACACTATTTTCACTCTGTGCATTCAGTGTGCTAAGGGAGCATCTTGGAAATCTTTTGCTTGAATTAGCTATAACTTTAGCCTCTGCCGATATTCTGACCAGCAGCCTTTTCATTTTTCAGCCCTTTTTTGATCCAATCAGTCTCTTACTTTTTGAAATTTAAGTTTCTGGGTTGCAAATAAGTAATTTGTATTTTCCAGGATGTTCACATTGTACTTGTAGCATCATTAATAAATGAATACATGCCTCTCCTTGCAATAGATTAAGAGAAAATAAATACAACACTACAAATGGAAGCCTGTAGTAAGGAAGTCTATTGAACTTGAATTGTGTGAGGTCTTCATGTGCCCCTGGATCCTCCCTCATTTATTTATTCTGAGGACAGAGCTAAGCACTAGCAGGTAGTAATACTTAACAACTCTGATTAGTATTCAAAGGTTTGTGAATTTAGTATGAACTCCTCCACTGAATAGTAAGCTTCTTCAAGGGAAAGACCTGGCCTTACTCACTCCCCAATACTTGTCAACAGAGGGTGGCCCATAGTAGGTACACATAAATGTTTGTTGGACTTCAATTTGATTAAGAGATTCCTAGGAATAATTGTTTTCTCTGGGTATGAGCCAAAAATTGAGGTAATTGGTCCTTAGGTGAGTTATAATTTATTCTCTCTTTCCGCCCTTCCAATACATTGGTGAAAAGCAATAATAACAAGTCTTTGGTTAGCAAGTTTTTCATAGAATTAATCCAGTTTACCTCTTGTAAAACTTTTGTCTCTCTCCATGCATCTTTTCCTAATATAGTAAATAATGCATTTCAGAGAGCGTTTTCTTGACTTGGTTTTACTATTAGTTAATTCTTTTAAAATGTCCCATTTTCACTATCAGAAGTTGCTCATTTCTTGTTGGGAGCTGTGGTTTATTGAGGAGGGGGAGTTCCTTTACAGCTAGTAATACTTTGGAATCCCCAGGGATGGTCCATGACAAAAGAGATTAGAATTCTGAAGCAACACCCTTCAAACCACAAGTAGTCCGTCTATCATCTGAGTCACAGTCATCAACCAGGTCAGACTGAACATAAAAACGGGGGAGAAAAGGAAGAAATCCTCCTAAAAGCACATTGTACCTGGTAAAAAATTATTGTCATGCTTTAGAATTTTGAGAATCAACCCACTGAAACATTTTATACTTAAAATTCCAAAGAGATTGCCATATCAAGTCCCTACCATAAACTTTCCTGCATTATATTAAGTATTTTTGGGTTTATTTATTTTGTTGAACACCTATTCTTTAAGTTGGTTTATAACTTCCTTGGTGGGTATTTTTTTTTCTGAAGAAATGTTTCTAACATCTCAAGATTCATATTACTTAAGGTACTTTTTATAGGTATCTACATTCTAATGAAATACAAAGAATAGAATTTATCTGAAAAAAACATAAGCCATCAAATCGTTTTGTCAGAGCTGATCTATATGGGTGATAGGTCTGAATATGCTTATAGATCACAGCTATGCACCTTAATCATTGAAGGGGTCCTGGAAGGGGAATTTATGTTATCACAGAGAGCAATAAAAGCCAGGGGACAATCAAATGAAAATCCTTTTCCTTTCATAAATAACTTAATAATTAGCATTTATGAGAATAACTGAGTAATTCTGGCTATTAACCAAACCTTTTTTTATCGTGTTTTATGGCCCAGGCTTGGCTGACAAGTTGCCTAACCATGAGTGTATATATATATTTTTTTTTTCTGCTGTCACTACCACCTGTTTTAGACTTTGCTTTCATTTTTTTTTTTTTTTGGTGTTATCTTTTGCTCTCACAGGCAAAAAAATGCTTAATTTGTAGGAAATACAATTTCTTGCAAATAAAAAATAAAATTCAGGTTCATGAGCCCTGAATTTATATGCCAACTTTAGAGCTTTTTAGCAGTGGGATTTGGGCTACTTACTTAACAGACTCCCTCCCTCTGCTCCCCCTCCTCACAAAGTCATCCTTACATCTAAAATGCAGGTAATTAGACTGACCACCTAGAGTTGTAATGGGCAGATGTGAAAACATAATGCTAAGTTTCCAGCATCATGGTAAATGAACAAATGGTAATGTCCTCCAGTAGAAAGTCAATATGGCCTACAAGAAAGGGCAGGGGGAAGGGGCTCCCAAGACCCACATTGAAGTCCTGGCTCTAGCACTTACTAGCTGCCCAGGTTGGGAATTCTCCTAAACCTTCTCTGCATCTCAGTTTCTTCATTTGTAAAATGGGCAGAATATTCCTTAATCTACCTCTCTAAGTGGCTTAAAGGAAATAACTTTGTGAAACTGCCTTATAAAAATGATGAGATATTAAAATATTAATAATATGATGACAAAGTTTTTGGAGTTAATTTTTTCCCTCTGGGGAACAGTATTTTTTCAATGATAGTTCAATGGTTCCCTTTTGCTGAAGGTAGTGGCATTTCTCTTTTTTTTTTTTTTTCTGAATGACTCAGTTGGCACTTGTTATGAGCTATCTTGTAGGTTTTCTTTTCTTTTTTTTTTTTTTGGCACCTCAACTCTGTTTTAATCTTTTCAAGAGTAAAGACTCAATTTTAAACCTTGTGGGCTGCATGCTGAGATCTCTTAGGTGGGGCTGAAGGGGAAATCCTCCCTGGGGCACCATACTTAGTGTGAGAAGGGCCAGGGTTGTGGAGTGGAGCAGAGATGGCCTTCAGAGAGAAGAGGAAAGAAAAACAGGAACTTTGATGACATGGAGAAATTCTGAGATGCAGGGGAATATTGAGGGGCTTCCATGGACTTGCCTTGATCTTAGTAAGAAAGAAGGCCAATAAGATGAGGGAAAGAGAGTGGAAGGGAGTTGGGATCTTAGGGGCTGTATATCAAAGTGTCATGTTAACAGGATAACTAGCATATAGCTGACACTAAAAAAGTTTCGTAACTTTGAGATGAGTAGAAAATATTATTTTGTTATTTCATTATTCATGTCATATAATATTAGCATAGATAATAACATATATAATAATAGTAACAGCATGTATTAGGTACTTATGTCATATGTTTTGAACTTTACGCCTATCCTTTGATTTAATACTGAGAACAGCCTTACTAAGTAGATGCTATGATTATCTTTATTTTAAAGATGTGAAAACTGAAACTTTGGAAGGAAGTTCTGAAACACTATTGTGGGGCATAGAGTATCAAGTTTAGTAAGGAAAAGAAAAATGATTATAAGAGAGAATCGAGGGTCCAACTGAAGATGGATGGCATGAGTTTAAGACAAAACTCTCAGCACAATTCCATGTTTACCTCAGCCATGTTCTGCAACTTGGAGCAGTTGGTTGAGCTGACTGAGACTTCGAATACAATGGTTAGGAAAACAGTAACCTCTTTGCGTTCCACGTTGGACTTAATGACTATGAGTCATGTCATATATAGGAGGCAAGTTTTTCAGTGGAGATAGGAACAACTGAAATATGTTCTTCAGCCTAGTGGAGACAAGTAATTGTCATTGGCTGGTGAGTGTTTCAGATACTTCAAAGCATGGGTTGTGCTTCACCCCACCCTCTCTAGCTAAACTCCTTGGCTAATGGCCTGCATGATCTTAACTTCATTCCGGAAATACTGGTTAAGAGGATTTGGGACAGGCCATTTGGAGGCTGGTGAACCTGACAACTTACACAACCTACATTTGCAAAGCCCAGTTATTTTCTGACTAATGGGTCAGAAAGAGGGGGCAGAAGAGGAGAGAGAAATCTTCACCAAACAAACAGCCAGGCCATCTGGGTGGAGTTGCTTAAGGCAGTCACAAAAAAATGATCACATCATTTACCTCTCATTTAACAAGGGCAGAGCAGGGATACTAGCTGTGAGACACTTCTGCTCCGGGAAAGGTAGGAGCATTTGTACAATCTTTCCAGTATAGGGGAAGGGGGACATGGGAGTAGAAGTTGGATTGTTGAGTCACGAAGCAAATAGGTGTCTTTTTATTCTAATTAACTTGAGAAAGAAAGAATTTGGTATTATATCAACCCAGCACTTAAACTTTTTACCTTCATTGTATAAAAACTGTTTGTGAAAATTGTGCCACTATGACTTACTTTTTGATACGGATAATGGAGCATTCTCTAAAGGGAGCAGATGGAATGATGAGGAGGTTCAGAGTAGTGTCAATCATCAGGAAAGAGGGTGGCCCTGTTGGCCTGGGGGTGAGGGGAGAGGCTCTGACAAAGGTGCTCAGTCCCCAGCCAGGCTGCATGTGGTTCTTGTCTACCTGGGTCCACCTGAAAAGACACTACCAGATTGATTTGGGGTGTATCCTGGGCAGTGAGACTTTTGAAAGTGCATTGGTTGATTCTAATGCACAATCCAGTTGAGAACCACTGTTGAGGGAGCAGGGTGCCTGAATCATGAAATAAAAAGAGGCTTTTTATGGGAAAGGCTCTCTATCTCTCTTCTTTAACACCAGGAAAGGAGCTGTATTAGTGATAGGAAGTGATGGGGAAGCCAATGGGGGCTCAAAAGAAAGAAAGCTTTGATGCTTGGTACTGAAATGGAAGTGGCGTGGTAAGTGGAGGAGCCCCTGATGCTGGAAATGATCAAGGAGAAGGTGGACAACCATTGACTGGGAAGGCTGAACTAGCCCAGTGATGGCTAGATAGTGTCAGGAGGACCAGAAGCAACCTCAAGTCCCTTCCCCTTCACTCAGGGCAGCTCAGTTTTCTCTCTTTTTCTGTATTGGTTTGGGTTTCCCCATAAAGATTTCCTTTGAAGAAAGAGTCTGCTCAAAAAAACTTTTAAAACCACATAACTAGTTGACCTTTATGGCTATTACCAATCTGAAGTTCTGTAGCATTAAATCTTCTTTGATGTTTTCTAAGAAACCAGGCTACTGATTGATCCATTCTTCCAAAGGCCAAGGGGGAAAGGAAGGAGAGCTTACAAGGGTGGAAAGCATGAGTAGAAGAGGGGAGACTTCTCTTAGCTGAGGGCCAGGGCAGGAGCCCTTAACCCTGTCTAGGCTTGGAACCACCTGGGAACTTTTCAGTAAGACACCCTCCCAAAGCAGTGATATCAGTCTCTGGGGATGGTGCCTGGGCGTGGGTATTCATGAAATGCAGCAGAGTTGAGAACCACTGGCTTAATAGATGGGCACTGAGGAGAACTCTTTTTATACATTGAGGCCAAACATGTTAGACAACCACGAACACGGCAGTTCTTAAACTTCAGCTGCATCAGAATCACCTAGGCTTGTTCAGACAGATCACTGGGCTCCACCCCCAGAGTTTCTGATTTAGTAGGCCTGTGATAAAGCCAAGAATTTGCATTTTTAACAAGTTCCAGGTGATGCTGACACTGCTGATCTGGGGGACCACACTTTGAGAACCACTGCTTTAACAATAGGAATTTACTTTTGACCTTAAAAACAACTCCCTAACATTGGCAAGCGATTGATAGTGTGCACCCTTGATGATATGATATAATGAGAATGGCACTTTGCCTCTGTGGTCTCCCTCCCATTAAATGCATTAACTCAGTCTAATCATGAGTAAAACATCAGACAAAACCCAATGGAAGGACATTCTACAACATACCTGACCAGTAATCCTCAAAACTATCAAGGTCAGCAAAGCCAAGGAAAGTCTAAGAAACTGCCACAGCTAAGAGGAGCCTAAGGAGACATGACTACTAAATACAATGTGGTATCCTGCATGGAATCCTGGAATAGAAAAAGCACATTAGGGGCAGGGCACGGTGACTCACACCTGTAATCCCAGCACTTTAGGAGGCTGAGGCAAGCAGATCACTTGAGGTAAGGAGTTTGAAACCAGCCTGGCCAAGATGGTGAAACCCCATCTCTGCTAAAAATACGAAAATTAGCTGGGTGTATTGGCGGGCGCCTGTGATCCCAGCTACTTGGGAGGCTGAGGCAGAAGAATCACTTAAACCCAGGAGGTGGAGGCTGCAGTGAGCCGAGATCGTGCCACTGCACTCCAGCCTGGGCAACAGAGTGAGACTCCATCTCAAAAAAGAAAAAGGAAAAAAGACATTAGGGAAAAGCTGAGGAAATAATGTATCAATACTGATTCATTGGTCATGACAAAGGTACCATATTAATGTAATATGTTAACAATAGGGGAAACTCAGTATTAGGTAGGGAGCGCTCTGTACCATTACTGCACTAATTACATTACTGCACTAATTACATTAATTCTGTAATTTTAAAACCATTCTAAGATAAGCAGTTTATTTGAAAAAAAAAAAAAAAAAAAAAAAAAAAAAAGAACTTCCTGACTGCTGAAATACAGACCGTTCCTGATTGTGGTTATGGAGGAGGTGTCTTCAAAAGCATCAAGGAAAAAATATCAAATAATTGTATTTGTTTGACTGAAGACTTATCTGGATACAGGAGGTGAGTTACATAACATACCTTTATCTCTTTTTCTATGTGCTTGTGTGACTCAGATGATTGTGTGACTTTGAAATAATTTTTAAGGGCTATACTTTATATATACATATAGCATATAGATATTATACATAATACAAATATAATATACATATGTATATCAGCATACTTACAGCTGGTATGAAAGATAAGGTAGCTAGCTGATGCCTCTCAGTTTATTAGGATGCAGCCATGCAGTGGGAATACAATTTTAATTAGAAAAGGTACCTGCTGTAATGACTTAATATTCTTGGTAGAAATTTTCAACCTTTTGATTAGGCCTATCTGGAAACCATCACAATGGTGGTCTTTCTTTCTCTCTCTTCTTTTGTTTTGCAGTTCCAAGAGAACCTGCTTCAGGTGGTCTAAATGAAATAGAGTCCAAGTCCCATGCTTACGTAATATTTAGCTGCTGGTTTATAGTTATGGATGACCTTATTTCATTGGCTTCAAGAGTGCATTTCATAAAATTCCTCACTTATTGATTCAGGTTTTTTTGTTTTGTTTTGTTTTGTTTTGTTTTGTTTTTGAGACGAAGTCTTGCTCTGTCGCCCAGGCTGGGGTGCAGTGGCACAATCTCGGCTCACTGCAAGCTCCGCCTCCCGGGTTCACGCCATTCTCCTGCCTCAGCCTCCCGAGTAGCTGGGACTACAGGCACCTGCCACCATGCGGGGCTAATTTTTTGTATTTTTAGTAGAGACCGGGTTTCACCATGTTAGCCAGGATGGTCTCAATCTCCTGTCCTTGTGATCCGCCCGCCTTGGGCTCCCAAAGTGCTGGGATTACAGGCATGAGCCACCGTGCCTGGCCTGATTCAAGTTTGAATATATCCGTGGAGCACTGTGTGCTCACGGCAGATGAGGGTAGAGGTGAGAAGACCCAACAACTCTTTGGATATCCACGTGTTAACCAGCCAGGCATTTACATTGTTTCCCTAACTTGGCTTCAGTTCCCCTCAGCCTTTTGAGTGTTGGTCGCTGATCGTGGTTATGGAGGAGGTGTCTTCAAAAGCATCAAGGAAAAAATATCAAATATTTTGATATTTGATATCAAATATCAAAATTTGCCATGGTGCCCAGCATGGTTCAAGATCATAAGTGTCAAGCACA
This sequence comes from Homo sapiens, assembly GCF_000001405.40. NCBI lineage: Eukaryota > Metazoa > Chordata > Mammalia > Primates > Hominidae > Homo > Homo sapiens. The sequence goes on along the minus strand of NC_000006.12, from coordinate 137,825,778 downwards.
TCAGGTAAGGAAGATAATAATAATTCAAGGGCAAATGAATTGCCCCATGGACAGTGAATTACAGTATGCTACAATGGATTTGTTTGGACCATTTATCTTTTCTTTTGAATTGACTTAACTGTACATTTGTAGGAGATAAGCAGGAAATCAGAAGCACTCCTAGGGATTGGCACTGGTCTAAATGACAGCCCTAAGGAGGAGCTTAGATACCAGATTCATCCTCCATCCAGGCAGAAGCTCCCCAGGGATAAAACTGCAAGGTTAAATGTGAAACTCAAAATTTGAAGCAAAAGCCTCTCCTCTTCTGCACTTCTTTTCTTCCTAAGTTGAGCAGTAATACTAGAAACAGAGTCAATTGAACCTGAATAGCTCCTCTGGGGTACCAGGCATCATTCTAAGGAACTCGTTTCATCCTCACAGAGGCACAGATGGGGTATGTAACTTGCCAAAGCTCACACTGCTTGGAGTAGAGTCAGGATTCTAATCTGGCTTGTCTGGCTCCAGAGCCCACGTTCTAAACCATTAGGCTCATTCTGCCTCTCTTGGAGAAGACACAAGAAGTCCCAGTCTTGGCTAGCCTGGCTAGTTCCAGAGACCTCCATAGCTAAACAAGGTGTAGAAATAGAATGTCCCGTCACTTAGCTATACTTCTATCCTTCCCACCTTCTACACAACTACCATTACCATTGCCACCAGCAACTGGTAAATATTGATGGAGCTTCTTTTCTTTGCCAGGCACCATAGATACAAAAACTAAAAAAAAAAAAAAAGAGACTGTAATCTTGACCTCAGGAACTACAGAGGAGATAGACATCCAAGCAAATATGCCAACAAAATCCCAAGTGGGGTCTAGTAAGGGCCAAAAAAAAAAAAAAAAAAAAAAAAAAAAAAGAGCTGGTGTAGCCAGATGGGCAGGGACTCACCTTGCTTCAGGGACAAATTTGCAGTGGTGATGAATTCCTTTCATTCTTAGCTTTCCTCCTATTACTTCCCTGATTTATTTTACTTACAAATGACACGTCTAAATGGCAGAGACCTGAAGTTCTCTTGATGGGGTGCTGAGATGTTCAGAAGGGAGGTATCCTGTTTAACCAACAGATCATTTATAGATAAAGAGAGGCTCTAACTTAGCATACAGTTCATCTATTTCCTTCCCCCAAGAAAGAAGGGATATTTACATCTCCTCTATTCCTTCTTCCAGGGCAAGAATCTTCTGTTCCATATGCAACATCTTCTGGCAGCCTTGTCCTTTTTCTGTCCTTGACGACTACAATAACAAACAGCTGTTGCCGAGGCATTGCTGTTGACGTGTTACCTTTGAAACCTCCCTCCTGTTATGGAATAAGCCTCTTCCAGATCATGGCTCATTATCATCTAGTCTGACAAGCAGCCTTGTTGCCACGGAGACCCAAAGGGATCAGGCGTGGCATTTGCCTGCATCATCACCCCCTCCAGGGGAACTATAAGGACTCTTCTGTGCGTCATGCGTGGCTGTCCTGGGACTGGCTGCCACCAGACTTTTCCTGCGGGTAAAACCTAAACAAATGATCAGCTGCAGATAATATCAAGACCTCTGTTTGATATGTTAATAGTGACAGCCAGATTTCCACAATTAACAACGAGGTGGGAAGAAAACACTGTAGTCACCAGACTTGGGAGGAGAGGGTTTGTATTCACATAAACACAACCTCACGTCACTGCTTGCCACCACAAAGGGCTCTGTTCACTGTTTTGTTCTCAAAGATCATCCTTGCGCTCATCCTCTGATCTTGAATTTCTACATAACTTTCTCAGTTTATATGCCCTGTGGCAAGTGCAGCAAGCACTGTTTCCTGTTTCTAAACTTGTAGAAAATCATCCATACATCTTACAGTTGTCAGTTTTAACCAGATAACAGTGGCACTTTGTTGCTGCTTTTTTATCTTTAGCTTAGGTTAACAGGACCCTGGAAGTAAAGTTGTTGATTTATTCAATAGAGTATTCTCAATTAATTTGGCTAGATTTCTACATGATTCAAAATCTAAAAAAGTAGAAATGCATGCTTACATGTCTAAGGCCTGAAAAATTGGTAGTGACATCCCAAAATAAATGAAGGTTTTAAAACAATAAATGATCTCTTTTTTTTTTTTTGCTTCTGTGCTTGGGGAGAAGCAATGAAGGAAACAACAATGTTGCTTTAAGGAGTGAGGACCCCAAAAATAAGAATATATAATTATGACAGATAGGGCATAGGGCGTTGTTCAGAATTGATGGGGCTGGTGCACACACAAACATTTTAATAGTTCTAATACTTTGTGTACACTCTTGCGATGAAGTGATGACTTCATTAATTGATTGAATAATATTTATGCAATGCTACTATGTGCTAGCTATAGAACTAAGCTTAGTCTCTTAAGATCTTAACATTCTGAAACTATTAAAATGTATAATCACCATTTGTAAAAGTAAATATACTAATCTAATAATTTGGAATGTACATTACAGTAAAAAAAAAGCAGGGGAACATCCTGTAAAATGTCACTCAGAGATAACCACCACTTACAGAGTGAAGTATATTCCTGCTTTTTGCGGATAGTGTGTGCGTATATATGTTTAAGCAAAGCTAACAATATACTATTTTTATAATTGGCATTTACTTTTTCTTTTGCTTAACTTTATATCATAACCTCTTTCCCACATCATTACAAACTCTTCATAAATAATCTTACAAATGGTTATGTAATATTTATCTTATTTGTAACACATACTATCTTCTTTTTTTCATCAACACACTGCATGGATAACAGATTTATTTTTTAAGTCAAAAATCTTTCTTGGCTACACTAACCAATGTTTTTGGTTTTTGTTTTGTTTTGTTTTGTTTTGAGACAGAGTCTCACTCTGTCTCCCAGGCTGGAGTGCAGTGGTGTGACCTCGGCTCACTGCAACCTCCGCCTCCTGGGTTGAAGCGATTCTTCTGCCTCAGCCTCGCAAGTAGCTGGGATTACAGGCATGTGTCACCATGCCTGGCTAATTTTTGTATTTTTAGTAGAGATGGGGTTTCACCATGTTGATCAGGCTGGTCTCAAACTCCTGACCTCAAGTGATCCACCCTCCACGGCCTCCCAGAGTGCTGGGATTATAGGTGTGAACCACCACGCCTGGCCACTAACCAATGTTCCTTAGAAAAGTTAACCTCATTTGTGTTTGGGGATGTCACTCCCGTTCTCTTGGAGATACAAGTGCACACACACCACAACCCTTGGAGCCTGACAGGCCCAGACCATAGATGTGTGTCCAACACGATGACCTTTCCTCATTCCCTTGTGGGTCCTCCTGATGGGCCAGGTCTTCATGTTTTTACTGATGAATTCAAGACCCAGCACTTCGGATTCAGTGTCCCTCAACACTGCCACATAGCCATCCTCCCATGTGCTTCCTGGTGGTGGGTCACTCCCTAACACCATTATGAGCACCTAATATGTGTCAAACACTGATCTAGAACAGAAACCAAACACAAGACAAATAAAATTCTTTTTTTTTTTTTTTTGAGAGAGAGTCTCGCTCTGTCACCCAGGCTGGAGTGCAGTGGTGCAATCTTGGCTCACTACTACAACCTCCGCCTGCCAGGCTCAAGAAATCCTCTCACATCAGCCTCCCAAGTAGCTGGGACCACAGATGTGCACCACCATGTCCAACTAAATTTTTGTACTTTTGGTAGAGATGGGATTTCACCACATTGGCCAGGCTGGTCTCGAACTCCTGGCCTAGGGTGATCCTCGGCCTCCCAAAGTGCTGGGATTACAGGTGTGAGCCACCACACCCATCTGCAAGGCAGATATAATTCTTACCCTTGCAGAACTTACAGTCTTGGAGGAGATAAGCATTTAATCAAGTAATTATGACATTTGCTACAAGAGTTCATAGCAGAGGGGACTTAACCAGCGTAGGTGACATTTAAACTAAAAATGTGAAAAACCTGTGAAATTAATCAGAAGAAGAGGAGGAAAGCAACTCCACTGTGTTTCCTGCTAGGTCTCATCTTCCCAACAGATGCTTGGACTCTCTTCATCGCCACTTTGAAATATGAGGACACTCTTAATTTAGGTCAAATTTTTTTCCTCCTGGACTTGCAATATGTTGTTTCCTTTTTCTGGAACACATTATGATACTTCCTTGAAACGGCAAGATTCTTTTATTCCCATTGTTTCTGCTTCTTGAAGTATTAATCAGAATATTTCATCTGCCATCCCCTTCTGCTTACTTTCACATAGTTTTCAGGAGTTAGTTTAAATGTCACCCCCCTCTGGTTAGGTGCCTCTGCTATGCATTCCTGTAACAAGTGTAATAATTACTTAATTCAATGTATATCTCCTCCCAACCTGCAGTTCCTCCCAGTATTGGAAGGATAAGAATCATAACTGGTTTGTGTTTGGTGTCTGTTCTAGCTCATTGTTTGACACATATTAGGTGCTCAAAAAATATTGAAATGAATAGTAGGCATTTAGGGTGTTCCGTTTTTTTTTTAATAAGCAATGATGAAATGAACATCTTTTATGCATGATGTCCATATTTTGGAATTTTTAAATTACTTTCTGATGATAAGTTCTTGGAAGCAGAATTACTAGGTCAAAGGATACAAACCCTTAGAGTCCTCTTGGGAAACAGCACATTGCTTTCCAGAAAGTTTTATACTCCTGCAAGCAGTTTATGAGATTTCCTGTTTCATTGTGCTCTTATCAACATGATTAGGCAAAGAAATTATTTTTGCTAACTTGATAGTAAGAAAAATTACTCTACTACTGTTTCAATTTTGCCTTTGTTAAGTAACAAGATGAACATTTTCCATCTGTTTTTTATTTATTTATATTTGCTGTATTGTGAGTTGTCTTGTGTCCTTTGTCCATTTCTATTCTGAAATCTTCATGTTTTTCGAATCAATTTTTATAAGCTCTATGTTTCAGAAGATATTAGATGATTATCTCTTATTTTTTACTGTAGATCTTTCTATGTAGATGTTTGTATTTTAGTCTGTGCCCTTCTTAATGTTCAGAAGTTTACCATTTTTCTGTGGTCAGGTCTGTTATCATTTCCCATGGGATTTCTTACATGACAAACTCACAGTGCTCTTCAACAGCAGTGATTAAATAAATATTCAGCTATTTTTGGCATGTATACAGTTTTATTTCTTTGCCTATGTGTGTGTGTGTGCACGTGTGGTGTGTGTGTGTGCATGTGCGTGTACTTGTGTATGTGCATTTATGTGCACATGTACTTGAGTCTCATCCACTGATAATTTAATTTGTCATTTGGCAGGAGGGGAGGGTTTTCTTTTGCTAAAGGTACTGACCAATTGTCTTACCATGATTTGTAGATTTTTTGTTTCCCAATGATCTCAGGTGTCTCTTTTCACAGACTTTGAGAAGGCACAGTACCTTCTTCTGCTTCCATGCTTCTCCCCACTCACTCCCCTGGCTCTGTGTGCCTCTGTTCAGCAGCAACTTCACTGAAGTTGAACTCTGAGCATCTAAGGAAAGCTTGAGATCTGAAACAGTAAAGGCACAGGGCATTTGCATGAAAGCCCACCAGGCTAATTTGGCCATGTTTGTAAGTGTGTCTTTCTGGCACTATCAGAGCACAGCTTTAGTTTGTCTGGCATTGGACCTTTTTAAAAAATGTATAGCCTATGAAGAGATGACTGCTAAAAAGTAAGTGCTATGGCAAGAGACAGATTATCTAGTGTTCCTAGATAATCATTTGAATGTGCAGGAGACCCAAGTCTCTATGGTGATAGTTTCTTCCTTTACACAGCATCGCAGAGTTGTACAAAAGGGGGAATGCCAGTCTTAACTAAGACAAGAGCCAACCAAGTGTTTCCTTCACAGGAAGCCACTAGCCACGTACTCAGAACAGTTGGGGGAAGAGACATCTTTATATTAAGTTAATTTGCTCTTGCTTGCTTTCTTGTTCACCTTCTTGCTCACCAGCTTTTGACTCAGTTACAATATTATAGTTCTTGCAAGTTGGTCTCTGAGAAAATCAGAGTCACAGAATATAACTTCTCAAGTTGTAAAGCATTGTCAATACTAATTTGATGCATTTTCCATAAATCAATATTGGAAACAGAAACAGGTGATTATTTGTATATTTCAAGAAGCAGAAAACAATGGGAGTAAAAGAACCTTGCTGCTTCAGGAAAGCAGCATAATTTATGTCAGAGTGCTACAGGATTGAAATGGAAACATTTTAATTCCCGTGCCCTGCCCCCAAAATGTGGATATGTATTTTCCAAAACTGATGAATTCAACCTTTATCTAGAACTCAAATATAACGTCCCTCCCCAAGCCAAATCTTAGACAAATGTAATTAATATTCTTTTTTATTTTTTAAATTTTTATTTATACATTTATTTTTTTTAGATGGAGTCTCCCTCTGTCGCCCAGGCTGGAGTGCAGTGGTGTGATCTCGTCTCACTGCAAGCTCTGCCTCCCGGGTTCACACCATTCTCCTGCCTCAGCCTCCTGAGTAGCTGGGACTACAGGCCCCCGCCACCATGCCTGGCTAATTTTTTTGTAGTTTTTAGTAGAGACGGGGTTTCACCGTGTTAACCCGGATGGTCTCGATCTCCTGACCTCGTGATCTGCCCGCCTTGGCCTCCCAAAGTGCTGGGATTACAGGTGTGAGCCACCAAGCCCAGCCTAAAATTCTTTTTTTAAAAAATCTATAGAAATGTTTACCTCTGGGTGTGTGTTAGGGGAAAGGGGTTACGTTACAGGTATTTAGAATGTCCTAAGGTGTTGTAGGTTTATTAGCAAGTAATAGATAACAAGTAGCAGAGAGACCCCCACCTTAAAGAATACAGAGCCTCATCTCCAGCTCTACTCACCCAGTCCCATCTCCCTTACCTGCTCTTCTTTTCCTTTTCCCCACCATACTTACCCTCCTCTAACATGCTATTATTTCACTTATTCTGCTTATTGTCTATTTTCTGTCTCCTTCTCCCTGAGGACAGGGATTCTTACCTGTTTTATGCGCTAACGTATTGTGAGTGTCCAATACCATGTCTGGCACATGACAAGGCACTCTGTCAATATTTGTTGAGCTCAATTTAATCAACTCTCATCCCTGGAAAGAGCAGGGTTTTGATGAGGTGGGGAGTCATTCTGCTTAATGATGTCATGCAGGACATAGCTCTTTATAACTCTATTTTTTTTTTTTGATGTTGGCTCTATCCTAAGTCAGCCTCCTTCTGTGATTCCTAGATGACTCTTGCTTCTTATTCAAATACACCAAGAGGGAGAGAGGAACTTCGTCTTGTATTCCAAAGCAGAGATCCTGAGACTCACACTGAACAAATGGGCTTAGGTCACAGTCACTGTGGCCGGGGTTGATAGAACGTGCTGATGGCTTAGCCCAGGCCACGTGTTCCCTTCTTGCCACTCAGATGGAATTAGACTCTCAGGTATCATACGTATCCCCAAACAGAAATTGAGGGGCTGCTGGAGAGGGAAACATGGAGAATGGATGTCCACATTACTCGACAAGCAAGAACAGGTTAATCGGTTAAAAGTTTACCATTACAGGCCAGGCGCAGTGGCTCACGCCTGTAATCCCAGCACTTTGGGAGGCTGAGGCAGGTGGATCACCTGAGGTCTGGAGTTCGAGACCAGCTGACCAACATGGTGAAATCCCATCTGTACTAAAAATAAAAATATTAGCTGAGCATGGTGGTGGGTGCCTGTAATCCCAGATACTTGGGAGGCTGAGGTAGGAGAATCACTTGAACCTGGGAGGCAGAGGTTGCAGTGAGCCAATATCGCACAATTACACACCAGCCTGGGCAAAAAGAGCAAAACTCCTTCTCAAAAAAAAAAAAAAAAAAAAAAAAAGAAAGGAAAAGTTTACCATTACAAGCAAGCAAACAGAATTTGGAAAATCCCCTCCCAATTCTACCTAGTTTATGTCACTAGAGATGAGGTTAGACTCAGTTTAGGAGGCTAGACTGAGTTAATATTCTTTGTGGGACAAATTTGAGATTTCCTAAGCGTGGGAGGAATCTCCTAAGAGAATTCAGGAGAGAGCAACCAAACAAGATGCTGACCTTAAGAATCAAGAGATTGTTGCCTCTTCACTTTTCCTGTGGATATAACTTACCAGAGTTTACTTGGTGGGTACACCAGACACTGCTTCTTCTTCATCTCCAGGGATTTATTGTCCCAGTTAGGCAGCCACGTAGAGAGGCTGTGAGTTGCAGCCCGTGGCCAGGAACACAGGCGTTTCCCCAGGCGGCTCCTGCCAAAGTGGAGATTGTCCCCTAGAGAGGCCCACTCTGATAACTGGTTCCTCTCCATGCCCTTCCCCATCCCTGTATTACTAACCCAGTGCTCACCCCCTGGTGGAATACTGTTTAATTTGGCCATCCGTCATTCTATAATGCAGGGAATGGGTTGCTACCGGTAGGTCCTGGGAAGTGGTGCAGTTTCCTGGGTTATGCATGAAGTTGGCCTATCTGCCAGAGAGGGTAATTCCATCCCCAAGATCTTAGGCTCCTTTCTTCTTCTCAGCATAAAGGAAGCACTCTCATTTTCTAATACCTCAGCCTAAGAAAGTAATAGAGGTGATCATTATTTTCATGACCACAGCTGGCTCCTCAGAACAGTATTGTTCCTTTGGAGCAGCATTAATTAATCAGCCATGACACTCTCTGAGGATGAAATATGACCACCTTTCCATGCATGCTCTAGGCCCTGCCTGCTTTGCCAACTCCATTTCTCTCCCATTTCCCTCCCCGTTTTCCTTTCCATTTCAGTCACACTGGTCTTTAAGTTGCTAAAATAATCCAAAGTCTTTTCTTCCTTAGGGTCTGAAACTGCTCGGATTCAAATTCTGCCTTCACCACTTAGTAGCTGTGTGACAAGGGCAAGTTACTTAACCCTTCTGTGCTTCATCTTATACCTCTGTTAAGCAGGGTTAACAGTAGTTCCTACATAGGGTTGTGTTAGGATTAAAGAATATAACATGTGTAAAGTTCTTAGAATGTTACTGGGTCATAGTAATGTCTCAAAATATTAACTCCTCCTCCTCTTTGTACCACCCCCATCCTCCCCAATAAATTTCTTCTAAAAACCCCTCCCCTCCCTTTTTCCAAGTCTGGATTTCTAATATGTCCTATTAATAGTTATTATTATAAACTGTCATGAGCTTGGAGACCTTTTCTGACCCTCTGATCGAAAGTAGCTCCTTTGTTATTTTCTCTCACACCTCTCTGCCTGTTTCCTTCATAGCACTTATCTCAATTTGTGGTTGTGTATTTATTTGCTTTTATTTCTTGGTCATCATCTTTCTCCATGACTAGGCTGAAAATTTCATGGTCAGAGTCCTTGGCGGTTTCACTCATCCCTGTGCACGTTGTAGGCATCTACACAGAGCAGGCAATCAGTACATATTTAAGAATGAAAGCCTACCTCCTCTGAGCAGTCAGCAGCCTACAAAGGGAAACTGAAATTCTGAATTCGAACTCTGTAATATACTGGAGCAGAAGCCACATTGCTGGGCATCAGTGCTGGGTGTCCTCATTGTGGTTGGCATGAGGGGGTAGGGGAAGGAAGCGCTCCTCCTACTTAAAAGAGAATGCCGTGTCACTTGGACATCTGCAGCTTTCCTGAGCCTCAGCTGTGGAAGTACATGGAAGGGGCAAACAGGAGACACTGCTGGCCAGCCAGTGGCCAGGAGAAGCCATGGGCCAGCTTAGAGGAGGGATGTTATGCAGCAGTACCTGGGAGACACCTTGTAGGGACCTCAAGAAATATTTGAAAGATACCTTACAGGGTATTAAAGGTCCACCATCCCCAGGCTATGGAAAAAACCAGGGAAATTTGAGTTGGGGTGGTTCCTGTTATCTGTACAGTCTGGTAAGGCCAGGGGAAACTTGAATGACAGTATTCATACTATCATGGCCAGGACTCAACCCCGTGCACAGAGTTGACAGAGAGAAATATTCCAGTGAAGGCCCATACCAGTCACTGGGGAAGAAAGAACAGTTATCAATACTCCCATATCACTACCTGTGCAGCCTCCACCAGAGGCTTTGACCTTAACAGGCTGCAGGGAGTATTGGTGGGGAAAATGAATCATTTTCTTTCTTTTTTTTTTTTTTTGAGACGGAGTCTCGCTTTGTCGCCCAGGCTGGAGTGCAGTGGCGCGATCTCGGCTCACTGCAAGCTCCGCCTCCCGGGTTCACGCCATTCTCCTGCCTCAGCCTCCCGAGTAGCTGGGACTACAGGCGCTCGCCCCCATGCCCGGCTAATTTTTTGTATTTTTAGTAGAGACAGGTTTCACTGTGTTAGCCAGGATGGCCTCGATCTCCTGACCTCGTGATCTGCCCGCCTCGGCCTCCCAAAGTGCTGGGATTATGGGCGTGAGCCACCGCCCCCGGCCCGCTCTAATTAGTTTTGAGATTTCCAGCCTCCTCTAGGTGATGGCTGCTTGAGGCTGATTTTTATACTGGGTTTTAGAAATGATTCTCTACCAGTAACCAAAACAGCATGGTACTGGTACCAAAACAGAGATATAGATCAATGGAACAGAACAGAGCCCTCAGAAATAATGCCGCATATCTACAACCATCTGATCTTTGACAAACCTGACAAAAACAAGAAATGGGGAAATGATTCCCTATTTAATAAATGGTGCTGAGAAAACTGGCTAGCCATATGTAGAAAGCTGAAACTGGATCCCTTCCTTACACCTTATACAAAAATTAATTCAAGATGGATTAAAGACTTAAATGTTAGACCTAAAACCATAAAAACCCTAGAAGAAAACCTAGGCATCACCATTCAGGACATAGGCATGGGCAAGGACTTCATGTCTAAAACACCAAAAGCAATGGCAACAAAAGCCAAAATTGACAAATGGGATCTAATTAAACTAAAGAGCTTCTGCAAGCAAAAGAAACTACCATCAGAGTGAACAGGCAACTTACAGAATGGGAGAAAATTTTTGCAATCTACTCATCTGACAAAGGGCTAATATCCAGAATCTACAATGAACTCCAATAAATTTACAAGAAAAAAACAAACAACCCCATCAAAAAGTGGGTGAAGGATATGAACAGACACTTCTCAAAAGAAGACATTTATGCAGCCAAAAGGCACATGAAAAAATGCTCATCATCAGTGGCCATCAGAGAAATGCAAATCAAAACCACAATGAGATACCATCTCACACCAGTTAGAATGGTGATCATTAAAAAGGCAGGAAACAACAGGTGCTGGAGAGGATGTGGAGAAATAGGAATAATTTTACACTGTTGGTGGGACTGTAAACTAGTTCAATCATTGTGGAAGTCAGTGTGGCGATTCCTCAGGGATCTAGAACTAGAAATACCATTTGACCCAGCCATCCCATTACTGGGTATATACCCAAAGGATTATAAATCATGCTGCTATAAAGACACATGCACACATATGTTTATTGCGGCACTATTCACAATAGCAAAGACTTGGAACCAACCCAAATGTCCAACAATGATAGACTGGATTAAGAAAATGTGGCACATGTACACCATGGAATACTATGCAGCCATAAAAAAGGATGAGTTCGTGTCCTTTGTAGGGACTTGGATGAAGCTGGAAACCATCATTCTTAGCAAACTATCGCAAGGACAAAAAACCAAACACTGCATGTTCTCACTCATAGGTGGGAATTGAACAATGAGAACACATGGACACAAGAAGGGGAACATCACACACCAGGGCCTGTTGTGGGGTTGGGGGAGGGGGGAAGGATAGCATTTGGACATATACCTAATGTTAAATGATGAGTTAATGGGTGCAGCACACCAACATGGCACATGTATACATATGCAACTAACCTGCACGTGGTGCACATGTACCCTAAATCTTAAAGTATATAAAAAAAGAAATGATTCTCTACCTAGAAGCGAGCCAGAGAGAAGAAGTATTAAAAGCAAATGAGCAAATGCAGCTGAAAATGAACATGTACTTCATGGGAATTGGATGGAATTAAGCCAACGTGGATGAAATACACTTCATATCGTGAAAGGATAGATCTAAAAGTGGTGTGTTTGCCATGAGCAGTCCACATAGATATTTCATCTCAAACAGTGTCTTGATATTTAGAGATGAGCATTCTCAGTACTTAATGGAGGGCACTATACCAGGGTTGGCACTAACCCAGCCCATAACTTTTGAGCCATAGTCCCTGTAACTGTGTCATCAGCTGGTTTCATAAGAGAACATGCCTAAACCTGCTCAATCCTTGGCTGGGGATGCTTTCAGGAAAATCCAGGGTGCTGTTGAAGTTTTGTAGGTGACTCAGGTAGTGGAATTCTGCTTTTGAGTCAAGACAGAATTTTAGCTTTGCCTGGTTGGGGGTTTAGTCACTGGAACTAGCCCTCTAAGGTCATATTGAAGAAGGCAGAAAAATTGTCTACAGAATATGTTACCTTAAAAGGTGATTTCTTCTTAATTGAAAGATTCACAAGATTTTTCCTTATGATTCCACATTGATTTTAGTTGAAGATGTTATTACTCACCTCCTTTCTAGGAATAATAGGTTCAGCCTTAGAGAATGACCATCATATTTCCATAGTAATCCAGAAACAACTACGATGTCCAAACCCTATGACAGGGTCTTCCTAAATGAAAGCCAATGGAGAATCTTGGAGCAATTCATTCTAAATAATTGGTGAAGCTTTTCCTTAATAAAAATGCAGAGCTTTCCAATTTAATTCAATAGTACTAGATTCCCACTCTACATTACTGAGATTTTTAAACTGTTATAAAATGAACATTTGAAGAGCACCCATATATCACTAGGCCTTATGAGAAGAAAAAAAAAACCTGAAATCTTCTATTTAAAGAAGACATGTAAACATACCTACAAGTGCAGATCCAATTTCTCCAAAACAGGATGCCAAGAATAACTTCATTGAATGTTGTAAAGATACAACCCTAATCAATGCATATCCTTTTTTATTTGGGGCTTAAAAGTGCTGATCTAAAATGTTAATGGATACATTTATTTCTCCAACACAAATCCATAATATCACCAATCCAGAAAGATTGGCATAAAGAAGTTGGCTATACACATGCTAGTTATTATTCAGCTAATAGATGTCTGTGTCCTGTTTAGAATCCCCAAATGATCTGTAAATTATTACATTGAGTTTAGATTATTATTTCTATGTTTAGCCAACTTTTTATCCAAATACTGATTACTTTATTAGCATATTAAGTGGAAGTGTGTTAAGCCTGCTTGGGCCAAATAGTGAAACCCTGTCCCAAAAAAGAAAAAATAAATAATAACTAAAAACAGGCTAGGCATGGCGGCTCATGCCTATTATCCCAGCACTTTGGGAGGCTGAGGTGGGAGGATTGCTTGAGTCCAGAATTTCAAGGCTGCAGTGAGCTATGATCATGCCACTGCATGCCAGCCTGGGCAACAGAGCAAGACCCTGTCTCTAAAAAGAAATAATAATAATAAAAACAAACAAACCTAAAAACATCAGATGAGACAGGCTAGTGTTACTGTTCCTTTATCTTCTTTTAATGAGAATGAATTTAAGCCCCCACGTAGCAAAATAATATACAAGATATTTGCAGAAGGCAAAAGTGCCCTCCAGACTCCTCTAACTTTCTAGACGTTGTTTATTCTTGAGCCTCCAACTTCCCCATTATTTTGCTCCAATGACTTCCCCAATCCACAAAGTTTCCTTATTTGTATTTTAAACCCATCCTCTCTACCCTCATAGCTCCTTTCCTGTAATTTTGAAATTCCTTTTCAACTCTACTTGCATCATTTGGATTCCAGAGTACGCACTTGGTCACAACCGTTTGCCTTACAGAAGACATCCCCGAAATGTGGCTGAAAGGAAGAAGACCCTTGACGAAAGGGGTTGCCCGGATAAATGATTCATTGCCTAAAAGGATAGACTTTTTAAAATGTCATTTTTATTTTGGAATGTAGGAAACTGGTTTCCCTGTCTCTTGAAGCATCATCACAGAGGCATAAACTGAGGAGCAAAGCTTATAACTGAGAGGTTTTAAATGAACAGGGTAGGGGAAACAAACAATATCCCACCAGGAGAGAGGTCTGATAGCTCAAGTCTGTCCTTTCCTCTCCTGGTCGCCTCACACGCAGAGGCAGCCTCACTGAACGTGCTGTGCAGCAACGACGTGACTCACGGTCAGCTAACAGAGCAGGAAGTCACCTGACGACAGATGGGAAAGTCCAGAGTAGACTGAACGTACTTTTTAAGAAAAGGAAATAAAGAAGGCAATTTGTAGGGCTGTGTCACAAGGTTAGAAACCCCAATTATATTTGATAGTTCTGTGCAAGGCACTAGCCTGGGAATGCATTAATCTGTATATCAAGTAATTACTACCATATTTGGAAGCTAAGTAAGTAGGTCTCAGTCATTAAATAAAGAGCAGCATTCTTGATTGGAAGGATGAAATTATGCAATAATCACTGGCTTTGGTTAAATAATAAATTAATTTCTGGGGTCTTGGCAGGGACGGTCACATGCCGAATTGTGAAGCAGAACATTGGCTTTGTCAGTGTGGTTGTCCGCTTTGGGGAGTTCTTCCCTTTTCCCAGAGGTTTAGGGAGAGAAATTGAAGTGTTTTAGTTAATCAATAAAACCAGAAATATATGAGAACTTGTGTGCCAAGTCTGCAAGGGAGTATGGGGCAAATGGACAGGAAAAGATCCTTGAGGAGCTCTATCTAGTTGGGGGCAACAAGATGTAAGCATTTGGAAAGGTAAGTAAGAGTTTAAGAGTTGTTTCAAGGAAGAACATGATGGATTACAAAATAGCAATGTCAAGAGGATGTGTTGTGGGCATTCAGAGAAAGGGGAGTTTAGTGTGGGCAAGGTAGATAAGGGAAGTTTTTGGGCAAACAGTGGATCTAGAGCTATGCTACACTTTTAAAGCAGAAAGAATCTATAGATAAGTAGCAAAGTCCAAATCAGTTATCCTAGGAATGGCAGCAGGCAAGCAGATATTTGAATGGGCTGGTGGTGCAGGTCCACAAGTCTAAAGATCTGGGTTAATCTTTGTTGAGAAAGACTGTTGAACAAAGGTGCCTCTATTTCCTCATCTGCAAAATGGGTGCAAAATACGTCCAACCTGCCATCCAGGTTAAATAATTCTGTGAATCTCAGTGTAAACTATAACTCACGTAATAACCTTAAGCTATTGTTAATGGTAACGTACGTACGATGATTTTAGGAATATAATTTTGCGTATACAGATACTGCTTGACTTTAAGGACTAAAATGGTAATTTAAACAGCCATATATAGGTTATGAGGAAGAGTTCGAGGTAGGGGTGCTAACTGTAAATATCAAATTGCAACATGCAGGTGACCAATGAGCACTTGCATCAGCTTGCTCTGGGGTCTTGCTAGAAGCAGGATGAGGACATTTGTTTTTAAAATATTCTAACTAATAAAGGTATTTTCCTTTCTTTTCTCTTTCTTTCTTCCTTTCTTTCTTTCTTTCTTTCTTTTCTTTTCTTTCTTTCTTTTCTTTCTTTCTTTCTTTTCTTTCTTTCTTTCTTTTCTTTCTTTCTGTCTTTCTTTCTTCTTTCTCTCCTTCCTTCCTTCCTTCCTCCCTCCCTTTCTCTCTCTCTCTCCCTCTTTCTCTCTTTCCTTCTTTCTTTCTTTTTTTTTTTTGGAGTCTCACCTGTCTCCCAGGCTGGAGCACAATGGCGCGATCTCAGCTCACTGCAACCTCTGCCTCCTGGGTTCAAGAGATTCTCCTGCCTCAGCCTCCTGAGTAGCTGGGATTACAGGCACGCGCCACCAAGCCCAGCTAATTTTTTTGCATCTTTAGTAGAGACAGGGTTTCACCATGTTGGCCAGGCTGCAGGTATAATCTTTCTAAGGATCTTTTTGTTTTCTCTGGCTGTGAAGATTGTTTGCTCTCAGTGTCCTATATGAACATTACATGTTTAATCTGAACTTACGGAGCTTGCACATTGCATGGTATACAGTAAGAGCCTAGTATTGAATGGGGAGCCCATAATAAAGAGCACATATATTGAATGGGGACGTTTTCTAGATTTAAGACACAATCTGGTAATCATTGCTTTTAATTTGGGGAGTGGGAAGCATTTTTTTCTCTTAACATATTGATAGGAAACTAATTGATGTATTTGTAGTGGGGTCAAAATTCACACATATGAATCACATGTGCATAAATAAAAAATAAAGAAGTGCATCTTTATTTTCCTTCACTGAGCTCATCTTGCCCGGAGCCCCTGTTTTCATTGACAGCAGTGTCTTGACAATTTCCATTCTTGACAATTTTCTTGACAATTTCCAGTCTTTCTGGGCTAAAATAGTTCTTTGGGGGTAAATATTCAGTCCATTGAAAGTTGAAACCCTCTTCCAGGGCAGTTTCTCCCCTCCCAAGAGTTCCTCTCTTCCTCCTTCTATTCCTAGGTGAGAGAATTGTGGGCTGGCAGAGAGAGGAGGGGCTCTGACCTTGTGTTGCCCTCTGCAGACTCATGGCTTCTCCTGAGGAGCCTGCTCTCTGAGCTCTGCTGTACGCAGAGGAGTGATTAGCCCCATGCACCTCAGGTGCTGAGCTGGAGTTCCTGGCTGATGTCAGGGGCCTGCTTACACTGTACGTGTAGGCCTGGACTCTGCACCCTGTCCCCATCTACTCGGACGGTCCTACTTGCACCTACATCCTCCCTCCTGC
The DNA here is from genome assembly GCF_000001405.40 of Homo sapiens. Taxonomy (NCBI): domain Eukaryota; kingdom Metazoa; phylum Chordata; class Mammalia; order Primates; family Hominidae; genus Homo; species Homo sapiens. Next base: position 137,809,062 of record NC_000006.12, on the reverse strand, counting down.
CCCCACCCCATCCTCCTGTTGCTGTCTTATTTCTATATTGCAGCACGTGAGACCGTGGGAGTTGCCCCAGGCTGGTTCTCCAGTTCTAGATGACTGGAAGTCTGTGAAAGACTGGCTGTTTTCCTGGCTTACACTGTGCTCACAGATTACCCCCAGACCTCTCTGACTGCCCTATGATGGCCCTTCCCCATCTTCCTCCCTCTCATTCGGCTCCTTTCCACAGCCCAGGAAGGCTGCCGTGGGGCTGTCGTGGGGGAACCCTTCTGTGGCCAGTGCTGTCCATACCTACCCCTTGATCGGCCCCCAGCATTCAGCTCCTCAGACCACACAAGTGTCTTTTTAAATCTTTTTTTTTTTTTTTTCTGAGTAAAGCATGGCCTCTGCAGAACAGTGGTGTATGCTTGCAGGCTTTAGTCTACCTGTAATTTTCTAAGACCCATTTTTACACGAAGAACAGTAATGGCTCTCATTCTCACTGGATTCTGCCCATTAGTTCAATAGGTAATGACATATAAGACAATTAGGGAAAAGGAATCACCAGAAACAAATAAATATTTACTTAATGCCTCAAAAATGTTATTCCTGTTACAAATGTTTAAAGCATTTTGGTAGCTGTGACACATTTGTGAAGTGGGTGATGGTGACATCAATTCTTTGATTGGGAGGGGCTTGATCATTCATTCTACAACTTCCATGTTCCCAGGTTATGAGTCACTCACAAAATATTTATTCAGCAGCTATTTCATTCCAAACATGGGAGAAATAAAACCATGTTTCAATATCCTTGCATGTTACTACATGTTGTTAAACATGCTTCAGGTAAACTACCCTGTATAAAGATTAATGGGACAGGGATACAGGTGGACTTTTAGGAGCCCCAAACAGTGCAATAGCCTGAGAAGAAAGCGAAGTAGAACCTTGTAAGAGCAGTGCACCACAGTTTGAAGCAAGAAGTGAACAGTCTAGAAACAAAAGAAAAAGGGCTTTTCACCTGCAGGGACCAAAGCTGAACCCAAGAGGCTCTGGAGGAGCAACTGGATGGAAAGAGCGAGTCCCAGAGGTCCATCCTGGAAGGAAGGGTCAAACCAGGGCAAGGAGGGAACTCCCATACCTTGATGCAGTGCCAACCTTACCTACATTGAATCAGATGATTTTGTTGCTAACCGGTCCAATTTACAAAAGTATGTTTTTCTGCTGACTTCTTGGACTCTCACTGTTTTGCTTCTCGCCCTGCCCCTTGCTTTTATTTTTTACTTCCTTTGTTTTCTAGAACTGGTGAATATTCAGGGAGATTTGAATGGAGACTTAGAAAGCCTGAGAAAGTTAGAGCTGGGATTCAATGTCTTTGGACACGGTTATCCTTTCCACTTGGATAACCCATCGCAAGCAGTTCTAACAAAAACCATGCACATGTGACATGAAGTCTATACCTTTTCTTGCTTAGATACAGCAATGCTTCACCAGCCCATTGGGAAATACTAACTGACTTTCTACCAGCACTCTGTTAGTAAACAGGACTAATAATTTCATTCTGGTGATGTGAACCAGGTGCTAAACTTCAGTTGTTTCACTCACAATAGACCTAATATGGGGGAAGATATTTGTAAAGTTTGTGGTTTGAAAGTCTTCGTCACTTAATTGCAAGAAATTAATCATAGGCCTGTTAGTTACAATAGTCTGTTCTCGCATTGCTATAAAGAAATATCTGAGACTGGGTAACTTATAAGGAAAAGAGATTTAGTTGGCTCACAGATCTGCAGGTTGTACAGGAAACATAGCAGCCTCTGCTTCTGGGTAGTCCTCAGGAAGCTTCCAATCATGGTGGAAGGCAAAGGGGGAGTGAGACATCTCACATGGCCAGAGCAGAAGGAAGAGAGAGAGGGGCAGTTGTTATACACTTTTAAACAACCAGATCTCATGATAACACATGACCACAAGAATAACACTGAGGGGATGTTGCTAAACCATTTATGAAGAATCCAACCCTGTGATCCAATCACCTCCTACGAGGCCCCACCTCCAACACTGGGGATTACAATTTGACGTGAGATTTGGGCAGGGACACAGATCCAAACCATATGACCTGCCTTGTCCAATCCAGTAGCCACTCACTTTGTATGGCTATTTAAATTTAAATTAATTAAAATTAAATTAAGTGAAAAATTTAGTTCTTCAGTCACTCTAGTCACATTTTAAGTGCTCAATAATCACATGGGGCCAGTGACACTTTATTATGTTGGGCACACAGTATTGGGCAGTAGGGGTATAGAGAATTTACATCATTGTGGAAAATTCTATTGAATGATACTAGTGCAGATATTTGTGCAAAAGTACAGCTAGAGGAGAGGAATGGTTCAGGATCTTTTTTGTTGTTTTTGCACAGGTACCTTGATTCCTAGTCCATTCCTCTTGCACTTACACTGCAGTATCTTCTAAGAGTTGAGGAGAAGATAAATGATGAATGATGAGTTAACTGCCTCCAAATTAACACCAGATAAGTTATTTCCACTAAATAATTTTTAAACCTAAATAGACTAAAATTATTCCAGAAAGGCACTTCAACTGTGCTTGCACCAAATGATGGTATCAATAGTTTTGCGCAGTCAGTTTATGCCATTGAGTTTTTTCTCTAAGATGAGGTTTAGTTACAAAGATGCTTTAGGATCATTCTTTTAGAAGAAGTGTGTCATTGTGACAAAAATGTAGGTACAGATAACACAATGAAAATTATGAGAAAATGGCAAATGTTGCAGGGCAAACTAGATACATTGTTGGACAGTGGGAAATATTCTAAAGCACAAAGAATGAATTATGCAACCAGTGAAAAGCAACACATACATATACTGCTCAACAATCAGTAATAGAAGGAATAAAAATCTGATGAAATGGGGAAAAATATATCATATGTCTTATATATGCATGTGTGTGTATGTGTGTGTGTGTGTGTGTGTGTGTGTGTGTGTGTGTGTATCTCTATATATCAAATATATATATATAGAGAGAGTTGGGTCAATCGTAGCAAATGTGAGTGTCAGCCATACTCTTGAGTACATGCCTGAGGTCCAGGCCATTTCCCCCACTAAGATATAGCAAATCAGGCAAGAAGTGAAAGATTTCACAGCGACTTCCTGGAGGGCCATATCATGATAACCATCCAGACCCTTGCTAGACTGGCCTTCTGCCAAAGGAAAGGAAAGCAGGAGATTCCTGAAGGCCAAAGAACGCCCGCCAGGAACTGGGCTTTTGAGAAGCCGAGAGGTCAGATCAGCCTATCCTCACATTATTCAGTGACGTCAGCAACAATTCACTGGGGATTTTTCCAAGGTTACAAGCTTCCTATGATCCCTGTCTTGGAGACCTTGAAGGCAGCTTTTGACCTTGGCAGCCACGTAGTGGTGGAAAGTATTGGAGGGATCAGTGTCAAGGCTTTGCGTTTGGCTTGTGGTAGCAAAAATCAAATAGGGTCCACCGGGTCTCCCAGCCAAGGCAGGTAGCCTACAGTTAATTTAGGAGAAGTCTAGAGTGCAGGTTTAAAAGTCCAAAGTTAAGCATGGAAAAATGTGACTAGGGTTTCATAAATGTAATGCCTGTTGGGATTTACATAACATCAAAATATACTTGCTCAGGGACTTCATAGAACATTGGAAAAACCATCAATAAGAGGTGGTTTTCCTCAACAGGTCTTTATTGTAATTGAAATTGCTTGATTTCAGAAAGGAGATGCCTGAGGCAACTGCAACATATCCAAGTAAAGAGAAAATGTATGCCAACTTTCAAAGCATGAAAGAAATCATTCCTTCTTCTGTTTGGTAGGAATACATCAAGAAGTAATACAATATTAAACACTTTTGGTCTCCTTTTACTTATAAACAAAAGGATTGATGAATAAACTTTGAAAACCAAACCTGTTTCTGAGTAGAAAAGCTCCTAGATTAGAAAATTTTGCAAATGCTTTTTCACTTCAAATATAAAGCTGGTCTCTCACAGCAGTGACCTAACTTGAGAGAAGAGAGACTGGATCTTACCATTCTTTGTTTTCCTAAAGTGTTTGTAAGATAGCACATCTTTGATATGTGCTTATTATTTGCTGACTGTGTGAAAGGAATAGTCCTTTATACAGCTTGGAAGGAAAGAGCCCAGAACAAAAACAGTAAGGTTCTGACATATTTAAAGTACAGGATGTTCAGGCAAGGGAGTGAAAGTACATTAGGTTTGTTTTCAATTCATAAATCATCTAGTTCCAAAAGATAATTCTGTACGTTTTGGTTAGTTTAAGAAAGACAAATGCTTGACTATGGGCAGCATATAATCTTTTGGAAAAAAACGTTTCATTTGATTGTTCCCAGGCTTTCAGTTGAGAATTTTCCAAGGTGAAGTCACCTTCTTGCTGTGGTCTGCAGCTGTAGAAAGTCTGAAGTTAGAGTCTTTGACCAAACTCATTATTTTTCCTGCCAATGATCCTTTAGAGGATTTAACAAAACTTCAAATTTCACTAAAGAATAAAGGGAAATACAGTACAAGGTAGAGGAGCCCAAATCTTTGTTAAAGAGAAATTATTTTTATTGTGATTAACTCTTCTCAGACACTTAACTTTTCCAATCCAACCAGAAAGAAAGAATGGGAAGAAAGATTCATGAGACCACTGCTAACCCAACCCTTTTCTTCTTGTTTCTGAAAAAGCAAGATTTAGGAGGCTGCAGCCTCAGCTACCAGGCCATTGGCTTCTAGTCACTGTGTGAAAGTCAAAGCCTTTCTCCCAACTATAGGTCCTCTTCTCTTTTTCCCTGTCTCCCTGCCAAGCAAGTGGTGTGTGTGTGTGTGTGTGTCCACTAAAGGACTGGTTCTCAGCTTGTGGTGATTTTGTCCCTTTTCCCTCAAAATGTATGACAATGTTTGGAGACATGTTTGATTGTCACATCCTGGTACCTTACTGGTTTCTCATGGGTAAAGGCCAAGGATGCTGCTAAACATCCTATAAATGCACAAGGTAGCCCACACCACAACACATTACATGGCTCCAAACCCTGATCTGAAGGTTTAGATATGGAGGCCTCACTGGTCATTAATAGGTGTATGGGGAAGCTTCAGGTAAAGAATAGGTGGATACTCCAAACTATTTCTGGTAAAACTGTAAGATTTACGAGGTGGATAGGTACATGGACTTTAGAGCTAGAGCCAGAGACCTGGGTTCACAGTGTAAACTCTGCCACTCAGTAGCAAGGTGTCACTGACAAGTTACTTAACTTTTCTGCACCTATTAGGGAAATATAATTAAAAACAGAATCTCCTGTATTAGTCTGTTTTCGTGCTGTTGTTAAAGACATACCTGAGACTGGGAAATTTACAAAGAAAAGAGGTTTAATGGAGAACTCACAGCTTCAAGTGGATGGGGAGGCCTCACAATCATGGTGGAAGGGAAGGAGGAGCAAGTCACATGTTATGTGAATGGCGGCATGCAAAGAGAGCTTATGCAGATACACTCCCATTTTTAAAACCATCAGATCTTGTGAGACCCATTCACTATCACGAGAACAGCATGGGAGAGACCCGCACCCATGATTCGATCATCTCCTACCACGTCCCGCCCACAACACATGGGAATTATTGGAGCTACAAGATGAGATTTGGGTGGGGACACAGAGCCAAACCATATCACCTCCAAATCCAGAAAACCTCTTTACAAAGGTGGAAAAGTAGGAAACAACTTCACTACTGACTCAGCATTAAACCAGAATGCGGCCAGGGGTGGTGGCTCACGCCTGTAATCCTGGCACTTTGGGAGGCCAAGGCGAACTCCTGAGGTCAGGAGTTCGAGACCAGCCTGGCCAACATTGTGAAACCTTGTTTCTACTAAAAATGCAAAAATTAGCCAGGCATTGTGGTGGGCACCTGTAATCCCAGCTACTCGGGAGGCTGCAACAGGAGAATCGCTTGACCCCAAGAGGCAAAGCTTGCAATAAGCTGAGATGGTGCCACTGCACTCCAGCCTAGGTTACAGAGTAAGACCCTGTCTCAAAGAAAACCCAGAAAGGTAAAAACAAAAAACGAGAATGTGATGTGTATCACAGACAGGCAACCTGCTGAAGGGGTTATAAAGAAAGCAATTTCATTCTTTTATATAGCCAAGTGGATCCAACCCATTACCTTGGGTAGGTTTTGCCATTTGAGTCAGGTGACAGGTAGGCCTATCTCTTCCCAGGACACAGGGAGACTGGCTGTTATCTTCCTTGATTATAGTTCAAAGAGAAGCCTCTCAGATACTTCAGGAAACATTCCTGAGTATTGACACTGGCCAGAGGTTTAGTTAGCCATTAAAAAGGTTTACATACATTTGACAAGGACAGAGAAAGAAACTCTGAAGAAAAGGAAAGGGTGGGATGCTCCTTCCCTTATTTTCAACAGGGAGAATTAAGCCTTATTTCTAATTTGCATTTATCCTCAGATCCCTCAAGTGATTTGCCTATAAAAACAGGGTGTTGGCTGGGTGCGGTGGCTCACGCCTGTAATCCAGCAGTTTGGGAGGCCAAGGCAGGCGGATCACCTGAGGTCAGGAGTTCAAGACCAGCCTGGCCAACATGGCGAAACCCCATCCCTACTAAAAATACAAAAAATATTAGCCAGTGTTGGTGGTGGGCGCCTGTAATCCCAGCTGCTTGGGAGCCTGAGGCAGGTGTATCGCTTGAACCCGGGAGGCAGAGGCTGCAGTGAGCCGAGATTGTGCCACTGCACTCCAGCCTGGGCAACAAGAGCGAAACTCCTTCTCAAAACAAAACAAAAAAAATAAAAACAAAACAAAAAAAGAACAACAACAACAACAACAACAAAAACGGGGTGATAATAATGGTCCCTATTTCTTAGAGCTGTTGTAAAGATTAAAGATTATATGAGTTAACATGTGTATAGGGCTTAGACCAGTGTTTGGCACTCAATAAATGTTTGCTATTAATATGCTGCTTTAAGGCAAGCCCTGGTGATAGCCAGGGTTTTAAGATGTCCCCATGATTCCTGTCCCTGGTATATATGTCTTGTATAATTCCCTCCCATCTTGTGTGGGCAGAAGCTGTGAAGATGAAGGCATATTACTTTATGATGAGGTTACTCATCAGTTGACTTTGAGTTCATAAAAGGGAGATTATCCATTAAGCCTGAGTGAGACAGGGCTCATGGAGGAGGCCACATGCCCAGGAACTGCCGGACAGCCTCTAAGACTTGGGAGCACCCCAGGTGCATGGTCAGTGAAAGAACTGGAGCCTCAGTTTTGCAATCACAAGGAACTGAATTCTGCTGATCTCCAGAAAGGAATGCAGCCTGGCTGACACCTTTATTTCAGTTGTATGAGACCCTGAGCAGAAGCTCCAGCACATCTGGGCCTAGACTTTGACCTCCAGAAACCTCAGAGTGAGCCTCTGGGCAGCCTTTTGCTCAGTTTCCCTTCTGTAAAGTTAATAAATGGAAGTCGAGAATAACTAGGCGGTTGTTTCCTGCAGTTCTGAATTCTGTAAGGATCCCAAAGAGTGAGTGCTGGAGGAACAGGAGTGGCTTTCTAAAAGAGACCATTTCAAACCTGAGTACACTGGCCTGAACTTTCACCTCCCCTTTGATATTCACGCTTTTGGTGTTCCCAAGAAGGCAGACTGAGATTCGTGTTCAGCAGGGCTCCAAACACTTGGTGGGTTTGGCTCAAAAATATCTTATTTACAGATACCTTTTTCTCTTAGAAGTTTAAATCACTTGAAATGCATGTAATTAATCTTAATGAATAAAGACGGGCTTTATCAGAGATCAGAGGGCTCTGGAAGGCTACTGACATTCCCAAGAACACGCTCTCAGGCACTAGCTGACTCCCAGCAGTGGTGAGCCTCATATCAGGTCCTTCAGCTTCAGGAGCGTGTTAAGATGGAGATGCACTCATCACCACTGGGCTCTCTTAGAGATTCTGATTAGAAAGATGGGTCCCAGGAAATTGCATTTTTAGCAAGCACCTACGACAATTCTGAAAGCAAGATGTTTGTGGGCTGAACTATGAAAAACTCAAGGCTTAAAGGAAGCATCACCAATAGCAAGTTAGAGATTAACTTAAAGGATCAGGAAGGGTTGCAGCAGGAAGCAGACTCCAACTCCTGTGACTGAATAAAGAATTTCAGTGAAGAAATTATGAGCATGTGGGTAGGTTTAAAGGAAACAATAGGGGTTGTTAAAGCATTCAGAGACTGGCAATAGCTGGAAATCATCACCGTCCATAGGGCTGAAGGAACAAGGGGAATGTAATAGTGTCACTAAATTCCATTAAGCAATGGGGCTGATGAGGACAGGCCCCCAACAAGGGCTGTAGCCAAAAAGGGATGCAGCAGGTGCCAGAGACAGGGAGGGTGCATAAAAACAGGGAGGGTCAAACAGGCCAGGCACCTACAGTGGTAGAACCCAAATGGAAGCCAGCCAACAAGGGAGCCTGAATGAGCAATTCCAAGGGGCAGTTTCTCTGGGCACTAAACAGGGCAGAGAAGGGCAGGCAGGGGTGGCAATGGAAAATCATCAGCATATTTCAAATCTTAAGAACAACATCACCAACATGAAGAATTGCTGGACAATTAAGGGAGTGAGTAGACCAAAAGGGAAGTCATCTCTACTACCACTACTGCTGAGAGCATCAGTTATAGGAGACGGCCAAGGCCAGGCGTCTTGGAATCAGGAGGGGATGTGGAGGTATAAAGTGTTGGGGAAGGAGAAAGGAAGATGGCAGGGCAGGGCTGTGGTGCTGCGAACCTGACAGATTAGCCTTTTTCAGTCAGCCCTGAAAACCATAAGAAATACACCTGAAAGTACTGTAACAGCCTTCCCAAGACATTCTGAGTAGCACTCACTGTCCTGAGCACCAATTCAGTGTCTTTCTTTGCTGATAGCATTGCCAAAGCTCACTGCTGCCCCCTGGATAAAACAAACCAACTTAATGAACACTTGAAGCTCTCATCATAAATTGTCTTATTATGATGAATCAGGAAGCATCTAATTTCCTCCCTAGATTATGACCACCATTAAGAGGATAGCCAATTAAAAACATTATGTAACTGGATCACATATGTCAGTTCATAGTACAGCTGAGATGTAGAGAAAAGGGGATTTCTTTATCTTTTGTTTAACTAAATTGGCCCTCCCAAGCTTCCACCAGTTCAACCTAGTTGAGATAGTGAGGTCTAGGTGAAAGCATGGAAAAGAACGTGACTTGCTGGTTCCATGTTGTGCTGACGGGATATGGATAGGCCCTGGGCTCATGACAGTTCACAGGTTGCGCTGACAGGAATCCGTGTATCTGTAGCAGCCAGCCCCTTGTCCAGAGCTGCTGCCCTGTTGCTCTTCAGGGCTGAAACCTGCAGCTGGTGGTCTCCAGCTCCAGCAATGTTCTTAAAAAGAACTCGACACTCATTTCCTGATCTCTGCTTCTCTTCAACTCAAATGAGCTCTAGCCCTTTGGGTTTCTGCTGCCTCCATCCCTTGGCTTGGCTGTCCATCCTGTGCTGTGGGGTCACCTTGCTTTGTCTCAGCAGACCCTGTGGCAAGTCCTCTGGCTTTCATCTCAGCATCCAGACCCTGTGGCAAGTCCTCTGGCTTTCATCTCAGCATCCAGTGGGGCAAGAGAATGAAGGGAAGCTCCAGATTGCCAGCTAGCTTGCCAGCTAGCTCTTTCTGTCTGCTCATGTCCTTCCACCCTCTTAAGCACCTGATGATCACATGTGGGTGTGGGCCTGTCTTCACTGTAATCCTCTCCCTACCATCCAAATGGGCATTTATGGCAGCCCGTCTCCTGGGTGATCCTCTCAATGTATCCAAAAAATATACAGTTGATCCTCATTATTTGTAGATTTGCCTATTTGCTAAAATTTATTTCTAACCCCCAAATCAAAACTTGTGCTTTTGTATCATTCATAGACATGCATGATGTGGTAAAAAATTTGAGTCACTCATGCACTTTTCCAGTTGAGGTCGCACCAGGTGAGGCTCTGCCTTTTTGTTTCAGCTCTCATCCTGTAAACAAAAGTCCTTCTGCCTCCTTAGTTGCCCATGTTTTCATTTTTGTGGTTTTTTCTTTGTGACTTTACTGTTTCAAATGGCTCCCCGCCATAGTGCAGAAGTGATGTTTGGTGTTCCTAAGCTGAAGAATGCTGTGATGACCTTACAGAGAAAAGACGTGTTATGGACTGAAGGTTTGTGTCCCTGCAAATTCATATGTTGAAGGTCCAGCCCAAGTTTGGCTGTATATGGAAATGGGGTCTTTAAAGAGGTTTTAAGGTTAAAAGAATGGGCCTTATCAGGTTATTGGGGGGGGGGTCATAAATTGGGCCCTGATCTGATAAAATTAGTGTCTTTATAAAAAGAGCTTTCTCTCTCTTCTGCCCACCCTGCCCATCTCCCCCCTTCAGAGGAAAAGCCATATGTGGACAAGGCAACTGTCTGAAAGCCAGGAAGAGAGCCTTTGCCAGAAACCAAACCTGTGGGCACCTTGATCTTGGAGTTTCTAGCCACCAGAAGTTTGAGAAAATAGATTTCTGCTCTTTAAGCCACAGAGTCTGTGGAATTTTATTAGCTCAGCCCGGGCAGATTGAGACAACATGTCTTAGATAAGCTACAATCACACATGAGTTATAGTGTTACTGGCCATGAGTTCAGTGCTACTGAGTCAATAATATCTATTAAGTAAGGTGTTTAAAAATAGACACACACATAAAACAAGATTATATACTGATCGATTAATGAATTAAAAATACTTACTCCCTGTTAAGAGAAGGAAAAAGTTGCAGACCGGGAGGAAATATTTGCAAGAAGATATATCTGGTAAAGAACTGTTATTCAAAATATACTGACATGGTTTGCATCTGTGTCTCCACTCAGGTCTCATGTTGAATTGTAATCCCCAATGTTGGAAGTGGGTCCTGGTGAGAGGTGATTGGACCATGGGAGTGGATTCTAATGGTTTGGCACCATCCGCCTGGTGCTGTCTCATGACAGAGTTCTCAGGAGATCTGGTTGTTTAAAAATGTGTGGCACCTCCCCCTTGTCTCTCTTCCCCCTGCTCTAGCTCTATAAGATGTGCCAGCTTCCTCTTTGCCTTCTGCCATGATTGTAAGTTTCCTGAGGCCTTCCCAGAAGCAGAAGCCTATACAGCCTGCAGAACCATGGGCCAGTTAAACCTCTTTGCTTTATAAATTACCCAATCTGAGGTATTTCTTTATAGCAGTGTGAGAATGAACTAATACATGTATAAAGAGCTCTTAAAATTCAATAAGAAAACAAATAACCTGCTGAAAAAGAAGGGCAAAAGACATGAATATAGACCTCATAAAAGAAGATATACGAATAGCAAATCAACGTATAAAAAAATGCTCCACATCATATGTCATCAGGGAATTGCAATTTAAAACAACAATGCAGGCCGGGTGCGGTGGCTCATGCTTATAATTCTAGCACTTTGGGAGGCTGAGGCAGGTGGATCACCTGGGGTCAGGAGTTTGAGACCAGTCTGGTCAACATGGTGAAACCCTATCTCTACTAAAAATACACAATTAGCCGGGTGTGGTGGTGCATGCCTGTAATCCCAGCTACTTGGGAGACTGAGGCAGGAGATTTGCTTGAACCCAGGAGGCGGAGGTTACAGTGAGCCGAGATCATGCCATTGCACTCCAGCCTGGGTGACAGAGCAAGACTCTGTCTCAAAACGAAAACAGGCATGCAGGCATCTTTCCCTCTGTCTATGTACATGCATGTATACATACCTCCAGCCTCTACCCACACATGTATAAGAATTCTTTTAAAGGGATCATACTTAGAGGGATTGTGCTACTGCACTCCAGCCTAGGCAAAAAGAGCAAAATTCCATCTCAAACAAAAAACAAAACAAAACAAAACAAAAAAACAGTGTGATACCGCTACATGCCTATTAGAATGGCCAAAGTCTGGAACACTGAAAACATCAAATGCTTGTAAGGATGTAGGGCAACAGGAACTCTCATTCATTGCTGGTGGGAATGCAAAATGGTACAGCCAGTTTGGCAGTTTTTTTTTTTACAAAACTAAACACTCTTACCATATGATCTAGCAGTCTCACTTCTTGGTACTTACCCACATGAGTTGAAAACTTATGTCCACACAAAAATCCTGCACGTGAATGTTTATAACAGCATTATTCATAATTGCCATAACTTAGAAGCACTCAAGCTATCCTTCAGTAAGTGAATAGATAAATCGTGTGTATTTGCTCAGGCCAATATAACAAAATAAAACAGACTGAGTGGCTTAAACAACAAAAATTTATTTTCTAACAGTTCTGGCAGTCAGAAGTCCAAGATCAAGGCCTCAGACGATTTCAGTTCTGGTGAGGGCTCTCTTCCTGGATTGCAGATGGCTGCCTTCTTGTTAAGTCCTCACATGGCCTTTTCTTGAGAGAGCAAGCTCTGTGGTATCTCTTCTTATAAGAACACCAGTCCCAGCTGGGTGTGGTGGCTCATGCCTGTAATCCCAGCACTCTGAAAGGCCAAGGTGGGTGTATCACCTGAGGTCAGGAGTTCGTGACCAGCCTGGCCAACATGGTGAAACCACATCTCTACAAAAAAAAATACAAAAAATTAGCTGGGCACAGTGGCGGGTGCCTGTAATCCCATCTACTCTGGAGGCTGAGGCAGGAGAATGGCTTGAACCCACTTGACGGAGGATGCAGTGAGCTGAGATCATGCCACTGCACTCCAGCCTGGGTAACAGAGTGAGACTCCATCTCAAAAAAAAAAAAAAAAGAACACCAGTCCCATCCAATGAAATCCCTATCATAAGACCTCATTTAACCTTAATTACTCCCTTAAAGGGCCTTATCACCAAATATAGTCCCATTGAGGGTTAGGGCTTGAACATATGAATTCTGGGAGGACACAATTTGATCTAAAACCCTGTGGCACACCCAGACATTAGAAAATTTGTCAACATTAAAAAGAAAGCAGCTGTGAAGCCATGAAAAGACATGGTGGAATCTTAAATGCATAGTACTAAGAGAAAGAAACCAATATGAAAAGCTCCATGCTGTATGGTTCTGATTATATGACATTCTGGAAAAGGTAAAAAGTAAACTATGGAGACAGTAAAAAGATCAGTCGTTGCCGGGGTTAGGGAGAAGTGAGGGATGAATAGGCAAAGCACAGAGAATTTTTAGGGCAATGAAAATACTCTGTATAATACAATATTATAATGGTGGATGTATGTCATTATGCACTTGCCACAACTCATAGAATGTAAAACACCAAGAATGAACCCTAACGTAAACCACGGATGTTGGGTGATTATGCGGGCTCATCAATTGCAACAAACATACCACTCTGTGAGGGATGTTGATAGTTGGGGAGGCAGTGCAGGGAAAGGGGCAGGGGCAGGTGGTAAATGGTAGTTCTCTGTATTTCCTGCTTTACTTTGCTGTGAATCTAAAATTGCTCTAAAAAATAGTCTATTTAAAAAGAAAAAAAATGCTGTGAACAGAGGCTCACAGGAACACAACTGTGTATTTCTCTTGAGAACAATAGTTTAGTATTTGTTAATTCAGTGTTTGTGGTGGAGGGAAAGAATAATTTTTTTCTTTAATCCCCATAGGTTCTGGCCCCATAACAAAAGACAGATTAGCAAGAGAAAAACAAACAAAAGTTTATTAACAGATAAATTTCATATGTACATGGGTGACACCCAGGTAATGAGTAGTTCTCAAAGGGGTGGTTTTTAATTCCAGCTCACATAGCATTTTCATCAAAGAACACTAAATTTTTAGAAAAGTGACAGGACAAAGGAAAAGGATTTTGAGTCTCTAGGGGTGGCAGTTTGGGGGAAGGCAAATTAATGGCAGATGAAGGCCAGTTAGTAAAGCCCTTAATGTAGATTCCTCTGATACCATTTTCAGGCCAATAAGGGTCCAAAGTTGTGTTCAGTGTTTACCTTTGTTCTCCCCAGTGGGGGCAGGGAGGAAGGAAGATGCCTTTTATCTTTGAAAAACTATGTCCTGCTTTTAGGTCAACAGAGAGAGGGTAGAGAGCTTTCCTGTATCCACTTCTTAACTGTTTCAGCTCAACAATTCTTCATATTTGGGGATGATGTGTTCTGGTTTCCTACAGCAGTGACCGTGATGAGTATAACTATGGAAAATAACAAAAATTTGCTGGATATACTCCTACTCTAGGCCAAAAGTCAGGAAAGGACAAATGGGACATTCATGTGGCTCTCCTGCCTCCCCCACCTTCCTCCTTTTCTTCCCACTTCTCTGGGGTCCAAAAGAAACAGTCCCCTTTCGCCACCTCACACACTGGCCTTCACTAACCCACTTCCTGTTCTTGAATTACCTTATCAGAACTCTGTGATCTGGTTGGTCAGGCAAACTTGTCTGTAAGCTAAAGAGCAGATAAAGACACAGAAACAATCTTTTGTCAAGGTATTCGGCAAGTTTATGAAGCTAATGTCATGCTGCAAAGTCCTATTATGGAATGCCGGAATGTGATTATTATCTTCTAGTTCACTGGATTCCTTCTCTAACAATCCCCTTAATCTCCCCTGTATCCCTCCTTACTTCTAGATATTCCAGGCCAATGAGGGGAAATTGATGTACTGGCCAAGCAAGAAGAGCAAAGTTCATTAATCATTTGTAACAAGTAGTCCTCATTGTCCCTGAAAGCCTCATAGAGCAGAGCTCTGTACCCTGAACGTGATAGGGGCTCAGTGAAAGACTGCACTCAGTCGGAAGCTATCAAGAACTACTACGTGGTTGCCACACCTCCAACCTACAGGTGTTGATTAGTATCTTTTTTCTTTCCTTCTTCCTCCATCGTCACACCTTAGTGATCCTGCAGCCAAATATTCCTTTACGTAAAAAACCCCCACAAATACACAATCATCATGGTGACTGACGCCTTCTCTCTCCTATTCTGAAGCTCTGCCCCTCCCAAGAGACACCGACTATCACCAAACCACACGGTTTGCAGGTTTTCATCAAATATCTTCATATCCTTTTGGAATGTAGGTGGCACTTGGGGAAATGCTCTCTAACAACTTGCAATGAGACTGCATTTGATGAGTGAAATTCAGAAAGGAGCTTGCCAGACTAGCACAGCCATAGAGAGTAACTCTATTGAATGACTACTGGTAAACTTAACAGAACATAGGAACACAGAGAAAAAAGAAATGTCAACCAGATAGGGAATTAATCAGCAGCAGACACAGATGACAAAAAGACCCATAAAAGCATGTGGCTGAAAAGAAGATACTCTGTCAGTGACTATGTATTTGGTTTGTCTGGCAAGTCTATCTATAATTTAGAAATGGGCTGGGCGCAGTGGCTCACACCTATAATCCCAGCACTTTGGGAGGCCGAGGCAGGTGGATCATGAGGTCAGGAGTTCAAGACCAGCCTGAACAACATGGTGAAACCCCGTCTTTACTAAAAATACAAAAACTAGCCGGACATGGTGGTGTGCACCTGTAGTCCCAGCTACTCAGGAGGCGGAGGCAGGAGAATCACTTGAACCCGGGAGGCAGAGGTTGCAGTGAGCCAAGATTGGGCCACTACATTCCAGTCTGGGGGACAGAGCAAGACTCCATCTCAAAAAAAAAGAAAGAAAGAAAGAAAGAAAGAAAGAAAGAAAGAAAGAAAGAAAGAAAGAAAGAAAGAAATGGACATAACAGGCCATCAGGGTCTAATGCCATTGTGCCCTCATTACCTTTCTTGGCACTCCATGCCTAACAACCAATCTAGCTGGGCGTGGTGGCTCACATCTATAATCCCAGCACTTTGGGAGGCTAAGGCAGGTGGATCACTTGAGGCCAGGAGTTTGAGACCAGCCTGGCCAACATGGCAAAATCTCGTCTCTACTGAAAATACAAAAATTAGCTGGGTGTGGTGGTGCACGCCTGAGTCCCAGCTACTTGAAAGGCTGAGGAATGAGAATCACTTGAACCCGGGAGGCGAAGGTTGCAGTGAGCCTACATCATGCCACTGCACTCCAGCCTGGGTGATGGAGTGAGACTTTGTCCCAATAAATAAATAAATAAAATTAAACAAAAATAAAATTAAATAAATTAACAACCAACCTTATGTTAATGTAGCTTGTTTAAAATAAGAGAATGGGCTACTCAGACCACCGTGAGTGTAAAATTCTCAATTTGCATTCTAGCTTTATACATCATTATCTTGTGGGCTTTGAGTGAGTCAGCATTTCCAGTCTAGCCAATCCTGGTGCACTTACAACATCATTTCTGCACCTACAAAATTATGGACCAGATTTTGGAGAGCAACAAGTTCACCAAGGTAATTGCCAGTTTGCGGGGTCTGTCTGGGGGTCAGTGAGTCTTCACATTATTCTCTAACACTTCTTTATTTTGACTGACCATGTCGGGGCTCAGCAATTTTTAGGTAATGCAAGAGAATGATGTTTCCTTTGTTAGGTGGTTCTACTGCTTCTCATTGCCAGTCTGGTTGGAAATACCCTGGGGGCCTTGTTATCCCACAATACTGGATACTTCTGCTTCTGGTGAGATGAAGCTCTCAAGAGTAATGTTTGTAAAATACAGAGTAAACTTATTTTAAAAATTACCAATACTTTTACAACTGTAGGAAAAAAGTTTCTGGGGAGTTTGAGCTTAAGAGGAACTTCTATCCCCCGTCCCAACCCTCCCACCCAGTTTCTCTATCTAGATCAGAGAGGGGGTACACACACTATAAATGTGGGATTTATATTCTAAGTTTTTCCATCTTGCCGTGTATCAAGAGGTGGCAATAGGTCAAAGAGTACGTTAAGTTGTTTCACTTTGACAGTTGGCAGAAACTACTATGTCTACCTTCAAATTAAACTTGAAAACAAATTTTAAAATATGTCCAAAATCATGGTTGATTGGCTTGGCCATTTTCTAGCAACTTTTCTTCATTTCTGGACAAGTACCAGTGCCATGCTTGTGTATTTTGCCCTGGTGCCATGAGGACACTTGAGCCGAGCACAGCCAGTTTTTATTCCTGAACAGTGCATAAGAGCACTCTAGCAGCGAGTGTTAACCACACACATCTTAAATAGGATTTGGCTTGCAATGTGATTCTGACCTGATAACAGGCATCAATCCTATAAGGTTCTTCATCTGTTATATAACTCAAGTCAGCCTCATTCTTGATAATGTGACTCTGGTTGTGACATTCATCTATTCTCCCCAGAGATTTCACTTGGATTTTCTTGGCTAGCATTTGTGGGAGCAAAAGAAACTCTGCTGCAGTGAAAGAAAATGCATTTATGTTTTAGATTAACATTAGAGTCTTGAGTTTTTAGACCTAACGTGTAAGTTGTTTGTCTGCCTGTCTCTATCCAGTCCCAAGGACATGTGAGAGGGAATCGGAAATGATTAAAGTGGATTTGGTTGGATCGGTGAGTCAGAGACCTTGGAAGTCAAGTTCAAATCCCCAACAGGAAGCTGTAGATGGGCAAGGAGGAGACACCTCTCAGTAGATATCTCTGCATTGCTTGTCTGTCTATGGGGTGGGCATTGTCTACTCTAGATTCATCCTCAGGCAAGGAGGCTAATGTTTCTCATATGACACAGTCACATCCTAACCCTTGAAGATTGGAAAAAACAATGCATAGCTTTTTTGGTTTGGGGCACTATTATTGAATGTTTAATATTTGACATCATCAACTTGAGTACTAAAGTGTATGGATCAAAGGGCTGGATGTGGTGTATTCTAGTATAGTACATAACCTCCCGTAAGCTGCAGGTTGAGAAAACAAGAAGTACTCTGACTTCTGCCAAGCTCAATCATTTGTAACATCCAGCGAAAAAGGATGGTATGTGAATGCAACTTTGGAATATCATGGGCAACTACTTAAAAGAAGTAACTTGTGAAGAAGGTGCTTAACAGGAGAAGTTAGGCAGCTTCTGGGCTTTACAAACAGTGCTATATGGAAAAATGAACAGAAGCAACACTGAACAGACATTGGTGAAGCAGAGCCCCAGCAATTTCCACAGCCTGCACGTGCCTATAGCGGCAGAAAACACAGACGTCCAGTCCTGGAAGAAGCCAAGCTCAGGCCATGTCTTCTGGAAGGGATGATTCTGGGCAGATTGCCTGGCCCACTAGGCTTAGCATTGGTTTGCTGAGCAAGAGGTTTGGTCCCAGAAGAGATGACCAATGAAACGCAATAAAGTCTGTTATCCTTTGCCCTGGGGCCAAGGCTTAAAGAAAGCTGTGCCATCTTTCAAAGTAGGAAACCAAGCACCTTCTGGGATAGTTTGTGGGGCCCCTCCACCTTCCATTCTGTTTCACATTGCTTGCAGCAGCCCCACATCCTCTCAGGCCGCCAGCTGTAGAGGAACTGTCAGGCTTCCAAAAACTAGTTCAGATTGGGTCTGAATTCCCCCAGGAAGTACAGCCTGTGTGTGTGTGTGTGTGTGTGTGTGTGTGTGTGTGTGTGTGTGTGTGTGTATGAGGGGTGGGGTGGGGAGGAGGCGACTATTACCCATCATTTGCCTGAAAGACCTAGTTCCTGGAAAAAACCCCGAGGAAGTAGGTGGCCTGTTGTTAGGGAACTTGGAGAGAGATAAACTCACTTTGTTGTGGAGCATTAGGTTGTAAATTACTCATTGGCAGAGAACATGCCTTCAGTTCTCAGTGCCAATGCATTTAAGGTAGACGATGCAGAAGGCTACAGATTTTCTTATTGTTGACCGAATTTTGTTGTTGAAAATAAATATACAATGAAGGCTCTCTCACTACCACCATCACCACACACACACACACACACACACACCTGAACACAAACAGGCATCACTGTAAACAAGTGCACGCCACCTCCCCCTACCCCCATACCACCATCCACACTCTTGGTTCACAAGAATCCAAGGTTACATAAACATATTCTTCAAATTCACATTTTGGGATTCCTCATGTTTTATTTTATTTTCAATTAAATGCACCCATGTTAAATGTACAATTCAGCAAGTTTTAACAAATACAGGCACCAAGTAACCACCATAACAAACAAAATATAGAACATTTCCATCACCCTAAAATGTTTCCTCATGCCCTTTGATAGTCAATCCTCTCAGCTCCCCCCAGGTACCAGGCAGCCACTAATCCACTTTCAATCAATACAGATTAGATTTTCCCATTCCAGATTTTCACAGAAATAGAATTATGCAGGTTATCACAGACACCTTTTGGTGTCTGGCTTTTCTTTACACAGCATAATGTTTTCAAAATGTTAAGATTTATGTTGTTGCATAAACTTGTAGTTTATTCCTTTTTTTTTTTTTTTTTGAGCTGGAGTCTCGCTCTGTTGCCCAGGCTGAAGTGCAGTGGTGCAACCTCGGCTCACTGCAAGCTCCACCTCCCAGGTTCTTCTCCTGCCTCAGCCTCCCGGGTAGCTGGGACTACAGGTGCCCGCCACCATGCCCAGCTAATTTTTTGTATTTTTAGTAGAGATGGGGTTTCACCATGTTAGCCAGGGTGGTCTCGGCCTCCTGACCTCGTGATCCACCCACCTCGGCCTCCCAAAGTGCTGGGATTCAGGCATGAGTCACCACGCCCTGCCAGTTTATTCTTTTTTACTGCAGAGTAGTGGCTTGCCATTGAATGGATATACCACAATTTATTTTTCCATTTACCCCTTGATGACTATTTGTCTTGTTTTTAGCTTGGGTTATAATGAATAGGTACCAATCTTTGCATGGGAATATGTTTTCATTTCTTTTACATACATCTTAGGAATACTATTGCTGTGTCATTTGATTTCATTTATTTTTCTCTGTTGTTTATGCATTATTCTATACATTAATTTCTGCTCTTTATGATTTCCTTTCTTCAGGTTCAGTTTGCTCTTCTTTTTGTAGCTTTAAGGTGAAACCTTGGATGATTGACTTCAAAATGTTCCTTTTTTTTTGAGATGGAGTCTCGCTCTGTTGCCTAGGCTGGAGTGCAGTGGTGCGATCTCAGCTCACTGCAAGCTCTGCCTCCTGGGTTCCTGCCATTCTCCTGCCTCAACCTCCCAAGTAGCTGGGACTACAGGTGCCTGCCACCCCTCCCGGCTATTTTTTTTTTGTATTTTTAGTAGAGACGGGGTTTCACCGTGTTAGCCAGGATGGTCTTGATCTCCTGACCTCGTGATCCGCCCGCCTCAGCCTCCCAAAGTGCTGGGAGGGATTTTCTTTTCTAAAGTAAGTGTGCAGGACTTTGATTTTTCCATTAAAGAACTTTGATGCACCTCACGAATTTTTATATATACCTCGCAAGGCAATCCTTGTTTTACCTAGTAGGAAAGAACCATGAAAACGATGATGCTAGCTGAAATCATGCAAAGTGATCTTAATAATAAATAGAAAAAAATTACAACTGTTCTGTGACCTTTACGTTTTTTATCATGACATTAAAAACTCTTATTATCTTTTATAAATGTATCGGAAAATGAAAAAAATGGTGAAATTTTTTAATACCATAATTTAAAATATTAGAAACATTAAGAACTAAAGTACTTTGTGTCTTTGTAAAAACTTATCAGTCAGCTCTCAGTTCCTACTGTGCTTTGGGATAGTGTGAGCTTCATTTTGTACACATGTGACTTCCTCCAGTTATAAACCCAATAAGCTCTGTGGGGAAAAAAAACCCACCAACAACTTATGAGAGAGTGAATGTAGAGTTTCAGTTTGGGAAAATGAAAAAATTCTGGAGATGGATGGTGGTGATAGTTACACAGCAATATGAATGTATGCAATACCACTGAACTGTATATTTAAAAATAGTTAAAATGGTAAATTTTATATAATGTATATGTTACACAATTTAAAAGATGTTATCAGGAGTAGTTTGGACAATGCTTGATGCCTTCTCATTGTGTAATTTATGATATAAAGTGATCTTCTTTTCCATGCCTCTGTGAATTGTCAGACTCCTTTGTAAGTTCAGGTCAACTTCCAACATCTTATTCTTTGCATTTTCAATGGTGTGAAATATCTGAGAGCTCCTTTCATGTAAAATTTTTGCTGGCATCACTTCTTTTGGGACACATCTTTATCCTTTTCATCATAAATTCTCTCTTCATTTGTTACTTTCATCAAGTCCTTTGCATACCTAGTCTCTCAAAAAGTGACAATGTTAACATTTCAATATCAGCTATTTTTGTAATTCCATCTACATTCAATATAAATATTTCACTTCCAACATTATAACTTTTTGTTTGCTTGCTGCACTTTCATCTTTGTTGGCCAATTTCTTCTTTTGGTCATCGATTTTTGTAAAATGCCATGTGAGTTTATCAATGGGAGACCAAGAGGAAACAGCTTTACTATATGTGTGTGAACTGAGTATGAAATGCACAGCAACCAATCACCAACAGCCTTTAGAAGAAGGGATGTGATTGGTCACAGATCATGATACACATGATGTTACTTATATAATTATTCATGGACTGATGTGCTAACAATGAAGTTTATATTTTATGGAATTGCTTGCAGTTAATATATGGTAGTAACAGAAATGTGGTAGCTGAAATTTGAACCATGTTGTTGGGGGACTGGTGTTATTTTTTGGTAATTGACATCTGTGCATATTAGGACCTGTGCAAAGCAAGGATAACTTGTACTGTGTTTTCTTTCCTTCTAATTTCTTTTGATCTATGAGCTATTCAGAACTGTATGGTTTAATTTTGAAATATTTGGAGATTTTTCAAGTATCATTTTAAACCTTTTAGTTTAATTTCATTTTGGCCAGAGGACATTCTCTGTGTGAATAAAGTACTTGTAAATGTATTGCAATGTGTTTTATGGTCCAGCATATGGTCTATATTAGTGAATGTTCCATGTGCATTTGAAAAGAATGTGTGTCCTGCTGGGCGTAGCAGCACCAGCCGTGTAGCATTCTACTAGGCCAAGTAGGCTATTTGGGTATAACATTCTATTAGGCCAAGTGGACTGATGGTGTTGTTAAGATCTCCAGATCTTTACTGATTTTCTTTCTTTCTTTCTGTTTTTTTTTTTCCTTTTTTTTTTTTTTTTTTTTTTGAGATGGAGTCTTGCTTTATTGCCCAGGCTGGAGTGCAGTGGTGTGATCTCAGCTCACTGCAACCTCTGTCTTCCGGGTTCAAGCGATTCTCCTGCCTCAGCCTTCTGAGTAGCTGGGACTACAGGCGCCCGCCACCATGCCTAGTTAATTGTTGTATTTTTAGTGAAGACGGGATGTCACCATATTGGCCAGGCTGGTGTCAAACTCCTGACCTTGTGATCCACCCAACTCAGGCTCCCAAAGTGCTGGGATTACAGGAGTGAGCCACCGCGCCCGGCTGATCTTTACTGATTTTCTGTTGACTTTTTCTATCAAGTACTGAGAAAGAAGTATTGAAATCGCTATAATTGTGGATTTGAATATTTCTCCTGTCAATCAATCCATCAGCTTTTGTTTTATATATTTTGAAACTTTGTTGTTAAGTACATATTTTTAGGATTATTATGCCCTCTTATTGAATTGATTCTGTTAATATGACATGATCTTATTGATCCCTGATAATATTCTTTTTCCTGAAGTCTATTTGTCTGACATTAACATAGTCACTCTAGATTTCTCATGATTAGTATTGACATAGTATAATTATTTCATTCTTTTACTTTTAACTTATACATGTCTTTATATTTAAGTCTATTTCCTGTAGCAACTTATAGTGGGTCTTGCTTCTCATACAGTCTGGCAATCTCTGCCTTTGAATTGGGGTGTATGTAAATGTAAAAATGTGAAATCCAAATGGAAAATAGTGGCTATTTACATTTAATGTAATTATTAATATAGTTAAATTTAAGTCTACCATCTTGATAGATAAATTCTATTTGTTTTATCTATTCTTTGTTCTTTTCCCTTTCTCTTGCCTTGCTATCTTTGGGATTGAGTACTTTATCTCTATAACTGGTTTATTCACTGTACCTCTTTATTTTGTCTGGACTTTATGTTATGAACATAAATTTTTAACTTATCACAATCTATCTTCAAGTAATATTATAGGCTTTCATATTTAATGTAAAATCCTTACCATGGTATACTTCCATTTCTTCCTTCCTATGCTTTATGCTATTTTTCGTCATTCCTTATGCTTTCACATATGTTAGAAACCCCACAAAATAGATTGGCGTTACTTTTTATTTTTAACAATTATTTTTGAGAGAATTTTGTGTGAGGAAAAAAGTCATACACTTACATATTTGTTTTTCTAGCATAAGAGTCAGTTTCCATCTGTTGTTTTCATTGTGCCTGAAGAATTTTGGAGCTATACTACCACTACTGATGACATTTTTCTCAGTTTTTGTTAGAAAGATATTATTACTAATATTTCCATATAATTTTAAGTCATCGGGATCTTGTTTTATCACTTTAAAGATATCATTTTTTAATCTTCCAGCTAAAAAACAGCCGCATAATACCACACAATTATGAATATGTGGTATTTTGTATCACTGTTCTCTATTTCCTCTAGCTGTTTTAAAAATTTCTCTTTATCAGAGGTTTCTAGAAATTTATGATGTCTGTTGGTGTAGTTTGAGTGTGTGTGTGTATTGTGTATAAAGAGAACAACTGGATATTACAGGGCTGAAAAATACAATACATAAAATGAAAAATTTATTAGACAGAACATATGGAAGATTAGGATCTACAGAAGAAAATATCAGGAAAGAGATATATGTGTGTGTGTGTATAGACAATTATAAACACACATATATATTTATATATCCTCACATTTGTTGAGATTCCTGGATCTGGGGATATATAATTTTCACAAAATTTGGAATTTTCTGGCCAATATTCTTAAATAAATAAATATACATATATATGTATATTTATATGTCTTTTTCCTTGCTTTCTGAGACTCCATTAGACTGCTCAGTATTGTCTGACAGGTCACTGAACTCTATTAACTTTTTGATATTTTTTTTCGCTGTGATTCAGCTTGAATAGTTTATATGGCTATTATTTTCAAGTTCACTGATCTGTTCTTCTGTAGAGCCTAATCTGCCATAAGTTTGGTCTAATACATTTTACATTTTATGTATTGTATTTTTCAGCCCTGTAATATCCATGTTGTTCTCTCTATAGCTCCCATTTTTTCCTTATTTTGTTTATATTTTTCTTTAAATAACATGATTGTAATTGTAATAACTGTTTTCTTTTGTTGTTGTTCTGACAGGGTTTTGCTCTGTTGTCCTGGCTAGGGTGCAGTGGTATGAACATGGCTCACTGCAGCCTTGACCTCCTGTACTCAAGCAATCCTCCCTCTTCAGTCTCCTGAGTAGTGAGTAGTTGGGACCACAGGTGTGTGCTTCCATGCTAATTTTTTTATATTTACTTTTTGTAAAGATTGGAGGGTGTCCTTATGTTGCCCAAGCTGGCCTCAAATTCGTAGGCTCAAGTGATCCTCCAGCCTTAGCCCCTCAAAATGCTGAGATCACAGGCTTGAGCAATTGGGCCAGCCTGCTTTTAAACTCTAAAATATCCTTATATGCTAATTTCATCATTTGTGTTGGCTGTTTCTCCTCTCTCTCTCTCTCGATCTCTTTTCAGGACTAGTCAAGTGCAATAGTGAGGAGGGGTGAAAGAATAGAACACAAAATTTGATCTGTAACTGACTGTGAACAGTAAATTGAAATAACTCATTACCTTCAGACCAGCCCTGGTTGTTCCTATTGACTAATTATCTCCCTGATTATGGATCACATTTTGTGGCTTTTCTTTTGCATATCTAGTAATTTTTCATTGAATGGTAGACATTATGAATTCTATGCTGGTGAGTGTTTCGATTTTGTTATCTTTCGTTTAAAAATGCTGAATATTATGAAGCAAGCAATGAGATAACTTGTCATCTTTTTGATTTTAGATACTTGTTTTTAAGCTTTCTTAGGATCATTGTAAAATAGTTTTTATTCTAGAGCTAGTTTAGACTTATTACTAAGACATAACCCTTCTGGAGTCTCTACTGAATGCACTGGGTATTCAATGAGGCCTGTCCATTCTGGCTGGTAGGGATCCAAATTTCTCCCAGATGTGTTTGAGTTCAGGAAGTTGTTCAGCTTATATTACTGTGGCAGTTATTCTTTCCTCAGCCTCATGGAAATTTAGCCTACCATGCACAGATTAGTATTCAGCCAAGGAGTATTAGTATTTGGGCCTAAGGGGATCGTTGGATCCCTTTCCTTGTGTAATTTCTTCCTCTCTGGCACTCTGCCATACACATAGCAGAAATCTCAGTCTCTGCTATCTTCTTTATCTGTCTCCTCTATTTAAAGAGATCACCAGGCTTTCTTTCCCCTTCCTGTGGTCTGGAAATTGTCTCCACACAGAAAGCTGTAACAATCAGAGTCACCTGGTTTGTTTCTCTTCTCCCAGAGGATCACAATCCAGCTGTGCCTGCTGTCTAAATATTCGAAAAACATTGTTTCACATATTTTGTCTATATTCCTAGTTGTTTATAGAAAAGCACAATTCCCATAACAATTCTTCCCTCATGGGCAGGTGAGGAAGAATGTTGTGTATTTGTTTAAAAAACTATTTTTTAAAAAGCTTGATCTGAACTATTTTTAATCAATTTAATAAATAGTCATGAATTCCCACTGTGAGTCAAGTCTATTGCGGATACCAGTGAAAACAAAAGCAAACAACATTCCCTGTTCTCCTTGTCCTTACATCTAGTGGGGCAGTGGACACGAAGCAAATAATCATACAAGTGTTTAATTATAATTTCTGATAAATACTGAGAATGTAAGGTGAAAGGTGAAATGGAAGATGATTACTAAGTGACTTAGAATTTGGTGCACTGTAGGGTACTTTGAGGAAGAAGCGTTACATGGAAACTTAAGGAACAAGCAAACGTCAGCCAAGAAAAGAGTAAAGGCAGGAGGGTTCTAGGGAATATTCAACTAAATACAAATGAAATTTTGGCTTTATACAATTTTCATGGGTGAAGTGAATGAAGGAGAATGTTCCCATAGTCTTTGGCGTTTGTTGGCTGTGACAATGGCCAGCTGGGATGTCATTAGGAGTTGCTTTATTTGAGTGGAGTAAGAGGCACTCACTGGGCCTGATATCAAAGTTGAGAGCAAGTGTCTGTGTTGTCTGTGTTTATGCGTGGTGTGGGGAAGGGGTGGAGAAGAGAGAAACGGGAGAAGAAACTATAGGAAACCAGAATATGTCAACCCAAAATATGCCTCGTTGACAAAAATTATTTTTGAGCTAAAGACAATTAAGAAGCAGCAGAAAAAGGGGAAACTCTCCCTATCCTCCTTTTTTCCTTCCTGAAGATGGGATGTAAATTCTCCTCTGCTGGAGAGCTTTATACCCTCATCAGCCCAGATACAGCACCAGAGGAATCTGCAAATAAACATTATTCTGTCAGCTTTCTCCCATATTTACCTTCCCACAGTTTCCTCTCTTTGGAAGCCTAAGACTACTGCCCTTCATCCTGTCATTTATCTACATATTGATTGTTCTTTGTCGAAGATGCTTTAGAAGCCAGAGTTCTAGGCCACTGCTTTGAGATCATTCTTACTGAGGTTTCTCCAGTGTGATGTGCACTGCATGTGTCAATAAACGTGTTTGTTTTCCTCTTGTTCATCTGTCTTTTGTTACAGGAGTCTGTCCCAACTAAGAACTCACAGGAGGCGCAGCGCAGTGGCTCACATCTGTAATCTCAACACTTTGGGAGTCTGAGGCTGGCGGATTGCTCGAGTCCAGGAGTTTGAGACTAGCCTGGGCAACATGGTGAAACCCCATCTCTACCAAAAAAACACAAAAAATTAGCCTGGCGTGGTGGTGTGTGCCTGGGGTCTCAGCTACTTGGGAGTTGGTGGGAAGATCACTTGAGCTTAGGAGGTGGAGGTTGCAATGAACCATGATTGTGCCCCTGCACTCAAGCCTGGGAGGCAGAATGAAACCTTCTCTCAAAGAAAAAAAAAAGGACTTCTGGGGTTTGAGGAAGATTTTTATTCCTTCCCTGACAAAACTCTCATGGTTCTAACTTATGCTTATATACTGTTAATATCAAAATTATATCTTTATATTAGATCATGCCAGTGTGCTTCCAGTTGGTGAACATCTTCAGTTAATTGTCTCTCGGGTCCCTCAAACTCACTATTCTCAAACTTGGCTTTCTAGCATCCTCACTCTTTAGCTAACAGTTCACTGGTTACTCAGGCCTGAAACCTGGGTGTCGTTCTTGTCCTCTTCCTCTCTCTCACTTCTCATTGCCCAGGTCACCTCCCCACACTCTTTAATCTTTTTTTTTTTTTTTTTTTTTTTGACAGCGTCTCACTCTTGTCTCCCAGGCTGGAGTGCAGTGGTGGCACAATTTCCATCTTGGCTCACTCCAACCTCTACCTCCTGGGTTCAAGCAACTCTCCTGCCTCAGCCTCACGAGTATCTCAGATTACAGGCACCGGCTATCATGCCCAGCTAACTTTTGTGTTTTTGTAGAGCCGTGGTTTCACCATGTTGACCAGGCTGGTCTTGAACGCCTGACCTCACACGATCTGCCCACCTCGGCCTCCCAAAGTGCTGGGATTACAGGCATGAGCCAGCGCCCCCGGCCCACATTTAATCTGACTCTCTTCTCCCTCCTTACTCAAAGTGCTCTAAATTAAACCCCCAGGAGCTCTCACTGACCTCCCTGACAGCATCCTGACTGGTTTCTTTGGTACTATTTTTGGTGCCCCTCAAATCTGTCTTTCACAAATCCCTGTGAAATAGGTAACGGGAATAAGTGAGGAAGGTGCAGGGCCCAGGAAGGTACCAGAAATTAATGAAGTGGGCTGACTGGGACTATGATAAAATAGGAAGATTGTGTCCATCCAAAAAAGGTGAGCACTCCTCAGCCACAGCCATTTGTTGTTTTCCTGGAATGGGAATCCACTTTTGCCAGATCTTCGTATAAGAGAAGCTAGAAAACCAGACTTGTATGTGAAATCTCTTGGTTTTTAAATGCTTGCAACTGCTTGGACCAGACACAGCCTGTATGTAAGCTCTGCCTCTGCTCAGTGGTACCGCTTTTCTAAAAAAAGTCTTCAGTGGCACTTCATATTTATGGGATAAAGTTCCCACTCCTGGACCTAGTGGAGCATCTGAAACAGTTTTCTTTTCCCTTCCCAGTAGTTCTGACTTTTTGCTCAGACCTATGTAACTATGCAGACCTGGCCCCAGGAAAGAGGAAGACAGAGACAAGTGGAAGAAAAAAGCCGTTGCTCAGGCTTGGGTTTACATGTTAAAGTCCGTAAGGAGACAGCAGACTCAGAAATCAGGCTTTCAAGAGACAGGAGTTTTCTGAGAACTCTCAGTTTACATTCCACATGTCAAGAAACTAAACTTAGAGGGCTAACTGTAGAGCGGATCACAGATCTAGGAAGAATGCAGGATAAGAGGCAGTTCCCTTCTCTCAGTAGAAAAGCCCAAGGGAGTTGGGAGTGGAGAGGGCAGGGAGGAGGCAGGAAGATCCTCTGGCTCTTGCATCGGGCCCAGAATCTGAGGTGGGGTGCGGTACATACAGTTTCAAGGGAACATGAGAATGTTCTGGAACTCTGTTCTCCTGGGGGTAGCTGGGAGATTTGCCGGCCTTCCGGAGAAGTATGGGGTTGAGCCTGTGTTCCACCTGCGTGATCTTTGTGGCTGGGGAATGGGCTGAGGAAGGTGGCCCCCACATAGCCTCACCAAGGCCTGTACTCTGAGGCCATAACTTAGTACCCAGGTCCCAAAGTAGGAGAGTGAAGGCCAATGGCAGTGACAGCAGCAGGATTGTGATGTTATTGTGGAGATGAGGCTGCACTACCTTCAGAGCTTCTGGCCCTGGATGTCCTGTGACCAGGCAGGTCCACCACAGCAGAGGCCACACGGAGGGAGGCCCATGTCTGAAAAGGACATGGGTGAGTCAGCAGTGAGTAGAGGACTGGAGGGTCACCCTCCCTAATACAAAACAACACATGGTAACTTCTGTGCCCTAGGAACTTAGAAAAGAGCAGGCGAAGAAGTGTTAAAGAGAAAATCATTCACAACACTTGTCACTTGGGAACTATCGCTATAGGTATAGAGACCACTGTACTGGGCCCTTGCAGTAGGGGAGAGAGGCTGGGCTCACCTCTGACTCCAATGAGGGCAAGGGGGGATTGATAGCCAAGGCCAGGAATTTCTCAGTGGAAAATTACTAAGAGGAAACATCAGGAAGAAGGGGATTTCTTCTTAGATGGACAAAATAGAATTCTTGCTGAAGGCAGGCCAGGGCGATAACAGAACGAGGGTGGGGGGATAAAGACAGATTCCAAAGAAGGGGGATTTTTGCTAAACTGACTTAGCAGGATTCTTGGTCAAACTGGATTCTACAAGGGCAGATAGAGAAGCCCAAGGTTAGGACCTCATCAGAAAGAGGCCTCAGAGAAGCCTGACTCACATTTGGTGAAAGGAGAATCTTTCTCAGAGGGAGATGGGGAAGAATCCCTACATAATCAGGCATTTACCCCCCAGAAAGAACTGTGTCTGAGCTGGAAAATCCTGAGATAAAATACATGAATTTGGCTGAAAAATCACTGCATGGGATTGAGTACACTGAGTGGTATAGAACAAGAGCTCTCCTTTAAGCAGACTGTGGGATTCGTAGCAACACCAAGTCAATTTTAGAAATAAAATTAGTTATGTTTCTGCACATCTGTCTTGTAACTACTCAGCTTTTACCTACGAGAGTAGTTAAAAACAAACAAACAAAATGCTTTCCACGCTCCATCCTTCTCACCACCTACACTTCATTCTCCAGTATCACAAAACTGCTTTATGTGTCTCATGGGAGGTCAGCGCTAGTACGATTTATACAATTTATATGCTTTTTCTCCTTTGTATCTGCTAATCATAGTAGAAGGAAGCTCTTCAAAGATTGGGAACAAATTTTATTACCCTTTGCATTCCCAGGACCTAGCACCAGGCCTGGGAGATAGAAAGTCTTCAATAAATGTCAGATGGATATATAGATAAAAACATCCCAACACTCGTGGTCAAATCACAGGTAGGAAAAAGCAAGAGGTTGAATTATCTGTAAATGAAAATGTTCAAATACTTTCCTATAGAATTTTGTCCTAGAAATCCTTCTACCAGAGACTCTAGAGTGAGTTAAAATGCCAGCTCCTTGTACCTTATTATTCCATCGTTACGGAATACCAACATCAGCATCTTATCACATACAAACTCAGCTGAGTGGGGGCAGAGAGCAGGGTTCCAAGGAAGAAAAATTAAGAATGGGACTGTCTGGGGCACTATGGGGTAGGCACTTCCCTTGGACCAGCCAAGAAGAGACTTCTCATGGAGGCTGAAGGCCTGTTGGTAAAGGGGTGGGAGCAAACCCCCTTCATGGGCATGCCACCAGATCATTCACATATGGCCCCACACTTAACAGGACCTCATGCTCAGTTTAACACTCTGCTGTCAGTCACCATCTTGAAATTCTTAATTTTCTAACATGGGATTCCACATTATCATTTTGCACTGGGCTCTAAAACTGAAGATAAGGATGCAAAGAGAGAAAACGGAAAGAGGCACAAGAAAAGTTATTCCATCTTCATGGTTTTGCATAAGATCCTGTGGTCAGCAGAGCATGGTGGCTCATGCCTGTAATCCCAGTACTTTTGGAGGCCGAGCCAGGAAGATCACTTGAGATCAGGAGTTCAAGACCAGCCTGGCCAACATGGCGAAACCCCATCTCTACTAAAAAACACAAAAAATTAGCTAGTAATTGTGGTGCATGCTTGTAATCCCAGCTGCTTGGGAGGCTGAGGCAGGAAAATCCCTTGAACCTGGGAGGCAGAGGTTGCAGTGAGCAGAGATCGCACCACTGCACTCCAGCCTGGGTGACAGAGAGAGACCCTGTCTCAAAAAAAAAAAAAAAAAAAAAAAAAGACCCTGTGGTCAAAGCCAGGAAGCTTGCAGGATGGCCAGGAGGACAGAGACAGCAGAGAAGCCTCAGGGTGAGCACCAACTAAGGGTTCATGTGTCTCTTAATGAGAGACAGGCTTCTGAGATGTCAGAATGAGGGGGCTTTGGGAACCTCTCGCTTGACATTCTCACCACAGATTTTGCAGCCTCCTTCTCTGCCCTTCAGTAAGACCATCTGTTTCTTGTCACTGATGGCTCAGGCTTTTCTTTGAAGCTGAAGACTAAGAGTTGGATGTCTTTTGCTAATATCACATCACTGACTTTCATAATATTCCAGGAGGTAGCCAGGCAATAAGGTTAATCATAGCTGTGCTGCACACAAAGAAACAATTGCAGCAGAGATGCTAGAGTTCATACAGTACATTTATCATAAAGCTGAACTTTTTTTTGGTAATAATCAGTGGTTACGCCTTGCTGGGAAACAGTCTCAATCACTAATATCATATCTAAGAACGTGTAAAATACCCTCCTGGTTGACACACTATGGTTAGGCATGTCCCCTATCCCTTTCATGATTTGAAACAAAAGATGACAATCTGCTTTATCTAATGCATTTCCTCCGTGAATTCATCATTAGCATTGTCATCTTCCTTTCCAGATAAGAGTTCTTCACGTACAACTAGTCAAACATTTATGTCCTTACATGCAGTTTTTTTTCTTCAGTACAAACGGGAATGCAAATTGATTGAACACTTTGTTCTTCACCTATAACTAAAATAAGGCTGAAAAATGACAAGCATTGCATGAAGGAAAGTCCCCTCTTTGACATTTTTATGAACATCTTTATAAACATTTCATATATTTGGCTCTGTGCTAGACTTAAAGCAAATCCAAAGATAATCTTTGTCCTGGGGCAAGTAATCTTATATCTAGAACACATGGAAGAACACACACAAATGCTTCCTCACTGTTCAGAGGGGGGCCGCAGAATGCGGATACAGAACACCCATGAATTGAGTTGCAGATATTTATTATGCTATGAACATAATACGTTAAAGAACAGAGGAGCTTTTCATTTTAATACAAAGAAGCAGAACGGAGACAGGGGTTTTGCTAATCCTCAAATGAAACAACAGAACGTTTCCAGAGTGACGTACCAGCACGGCCCTGGTGGCCAAAGGGAACTCCCGTTTGTTGTTTATATGCTGTTCTGGGCTATGTCCTTTGCAGTTAATCCCTCATTTAGTCTCCATGAGACATTTCACATTGCCAGCATTGCATAAATATTTGTTTAATGATGACGGATATGAATGTAAATCTTCGGCTCCCAAATAGAAATTTCACTGGGGCTCTTTTAGTCCTATAGAAATTACTTAATGAAAGTTTTTTAGTCCTGTGGAAATCATAAGGTAAAAATAAGAATGAAGAAAGTTTCTTTTTTTTTTTTAAAGACAGGGTCTCGATCTGTCACCCATGCTGGAGTGCAGTGGTGCCATCTCAGCTCTCTGCAGCCTCGACCTCCTGGGCTCAAGTGATCCTCTCACCTCACCTCTGAATACCTGGGACTACAGGCACATGCCTGACTAATTTTTGTGTTTTTTGTAGAGACGAGGTTTAGTCATGTTGCCCAGGCTGGTCTTGAACTCCCGGGCTCAAGCAATGAGCCCACCTCGGCCTCCCAAAGTGCTGGGGTTATAGGCATGAGCCACAGTGCCTGGCCGGAAGCCTCCTTTTAACACCCTTCTCCAGTGATCTTCTCTTCTCTACTTCTTGTCCCCGAAGAGCCTCTCCTTAGGATGGAGAGAAAGAAAGAGGCAACAAGAAAGGGTTGGTCTCCTCGCTGTCGTTGGAGCTGGTTCTTCATTGTCCCAAGAGGTAACCGGAAACATAGAAGCTCCGAGACTGTTTTATTCGTCCTCTCCCACTCAATAGGATGGTCTTTTAGTCTCAGCTCGAACAGTACAGTAAAAGGACCTCAGCATCTCCTGGAATACCCTATTCAACTTTTGAAACAAAAATGTTAAGAAAGTTATTTCACATGTTGAATTAAATATCTGTCTCTTTTTAATTTCTATCCACTGGCTTTGAACTTCTGGAGGGCTTTCTAGCCCCTTTCTCTCTCCAGCCCTTACCATTGGCCTGGAAGAGAGCCATCTTTGTAGAACAATGGAAAGCTGGAAAGGGTCCAGGTTATGCACAAACTGGGAAGTTGACATGCTGTACTGGTCAGAAACATGATGCTTAGAACAAAAAGAATAATAGGGGCCGGGCACAAGTGGCTCATGCCTGTAATCTCAGCACTTTGGGAGGCCGAGGCGGCAGATCACCTGAGGTCAGGAGTTTGAGACCAGCCTGGCCAACATGGCGACACCCAGTCTCTATGAAAAATACCAAAATTAGCTTGACGTGGTGGTGTGTGCCTGTAACCTCAGCTACTCCGGAGGCTGAGGCAGGAGAATCAATTGCTTCCATCCAGGAAGGTGGAGGTTGCAGTGAGCCGAGATCACGGCATTGCACTCCAGCCTGGGTGACAGAGTGAGACTCTGTCTCAAAAAGAAAAAAAAAAAAAGAATAATAGGAACAGATCCTAGGGGAGGCTGGCAACTTTGGGTTTGAACACGTAAGTAATCCCAGTTACAAATCACAAACTAGAAAATTCCAGTAGGCAATCTGAAGTCAAGAAGGAAGTGGTAAGAACTAAGAATAAATGAAATCATTCATGATGAGTGCACACTTTAAGAAGAGAAAAATGAGGTCATTATAGCCCAAAGCAGTTATGTTAATGAGATTACAAACAAGTTAACAGCATTATGACTCGAATATTAGTTTTATAGTAAGATAGAGAATAATAATATGCCAGTAAACCAATCAGAAAGAATAAAAATAGTAAAGTTTACATAAATGACTAATGAGGAAATAAGATATAAATATTAAGTGGGAGGAAAAGAGTGTTATTGGCAATTGGGCTGAACCTGAGACCTAGCTACATGGTAGATGTGGTGGACTACAGGAATTCGCACCTAATAATTGATCATTATTTGTCAAATGAATCCCTAATTATTGCATCAACTTTATGAGGTGGTGGAAATTAACATCCCCATATTTCACAGATGTTAATAATTTGCCTACAGAGAGTGAGCAAGCCAATAAGTTTGAATTTCTTTGACTCTAGCACTTTGCTGCTTCCCCAAGATGACACACTATTTCCCTGGATTGGAAGACAGAGCTTTCTGGGCCAGCCAGGGTGGCTTATGCCTGTAATACCAGCACTTTGGGAGGCCAAGGCAGGTAGATCACCTGAGGCCAGGAGTTCAACACCAGCCTAGCCAACATAGTGAAACCCTGTCTCCACTAAAAATACAAAAAATTAGTTGGGCGTGGTGTCTTGTGCCTGTAGTCCCAGCTACTCAGGAGGCTAGGACAGGAGAAAAGCTTAAACTTGGGAGGCAGAGGTTGCAGTGAGCTGAGATCATGCCACTGCACTCCAGCCTGGGTGACAGAACAAGACTCCGTCTCAAAATAAAAATAATTTTAAAAAAAGACAGAGCTCTCTGAAAGGGTGTCAGTTGATGGGACTTAGGAACTTTCTGCTAATTTTTAATAATATTAGCCCAATTGCATGACCTGTTATGACTAATTGGAAGATTGGATAGATAGATGGATGGATGAAAGGATGGATGGATGGAATAGAATCACAAACAAGGAGGCCTTCAATAGTCAAAGAATGAAAGTATGGATCTAATCATCATTACCTGTCACTCGGATCGCCCTTGGGCCTGGCCCACAAGAACTTAAGTTTGGGTCCTAGGGAGAGGGGCTCCAAACAGAATCTAAAGGACAGTTCTCTAAGATGAGAGCATGGCACTGGGTCTCCTCATATAAATGGTGTTGGCACTCAGCAGGGAGAGAGGTATTCTCTTCACTTCATCAAAGTCCAGACTCTGGCAGCACTGGCTTTGAGGGCCCTGCATGCAAATGCTTCAGGTTCTCAGAGCCTTTGGCTCAGTGAGTCACCTTCAGTTCTGCAGAGCACTGATGAGGAATAACTCAGATGAACATTAATGGCAGATGGTAGTAATATCTTGGAAGCTGACTTCATAGAGAATTGCAAAATGTACATGTTACTTCTTGTTTTTTTTTCTTTTTTTTTTTGAGACAGAGTGTCGCTCTGTCGCCAGGCTGGAGTGCAGTGGTGCAATCTCAGCTCACTGCAGCCTCCGCCTCCCAGATTCAAGCAATTCTTCTGCCTCAGCCTCCCAAGTAGCTGGGACTACAGGTTTGCGCCATCACGCCCGGCTAATTTTTGTATTTTTAGTAGAGAAGGGGGTTTCACCATGTTGGCCAGGATGGTCTCAATCTCTTGACCTCATGATCCACCCACCTATGTGTTACTTCTAAAATATGCAAAGAAAATTTAACTTCACTTTTTTGTTTTTTTTTGAAATGAGATCTCACTATGTTGCCAAACTGGTCTCAAACTCCTGGACTCTAGCAATCCTCCTGCCTCAGCCTCCCGAGTAGCTGGGATTACAGGCATGTGCCACCAGGCCCAGCTTTAATGTCAATTTCTATAACTGATTTGGACTTTTGCAAGAATCCTCATTTTTTGGTAGCAACTATCAGGAAAAAATTGTGAGAGATTTTGAGCAAAAATGTTACTATCCCATCTAGTACACCCTTCTTGGTTAACTCTCCCCTTATTGCCTTTGAGCTATTTTAAAACTCTGTAAGTTGTAGAATACTGAGAGTAATGCAGATGGATCTTGCCAGTGTGTCTGGTGGAGATGAGTTAATAATTGCCTTGTGGATATTGGCCAATTCTCAAAATTAATTTCAATCTTCTGGATGGCCTGTATGTGTGTGTGTGTGAATCCTCCTTTGAACTGGTTTTAACGTCTTACTGGCTTCCTTATAACTTGAAATAAAATCTTTAACAGATGAGAGTCATAGTTTTGACCCTTAAAAATACATCCTTCAACACAAGAGAAAACTAACTTTAAGCCTGACGATATGTGACCTCACCATTTCATCAGGCTTCATCTATTTCAAATAATGACTTGCTCTTTTTTTGTTTCCTGCTGCACCTCCCACTGCAACTTTCCAAGGGGGCATCTTGATGTGAGGGGGAAGAGGTTCATGTGACTTGCTGTGGTGGAGGAGACAAGACCTGAGAATCACATGGTGCCTGTGTGGTCATTTGGTCATCACTCTAGAACTACTGCCTGACAGGAGACTGTGGGCCTGGGGAGTATACTATGTCTTCTTTTTCACCCCAAGTCTTGGTGCCGCTCAATATGGTACATGCAAACCACTAGTTACAGTGCATGGTCTGTGTAGACCATGGGAAACCTGGAATGCTCCCTCACGTGCAGCTATTTAGCCACTGCCCTCCCCCAATGCGGGTCTGTGGCTCCTTCTCCACGCTGACGTGGCTGCATCCCAGAGGTGCTGTTAGGCCCGGAATGCTCTTGATCTTTCCTATACCCATATGGACATTTCTGCCATTAAAGTGATAGCTTATAAGTCTGAACCTTCTGCCCAATCTTTTTCTTTTTTTTCCCTTCCCATCATCCACCAAGACCAGATTGGCACTTTCACTTCCAATCTTAGGGATCCTTCTTCTACAGCATACATGGTGCCCTTCTGAAGTGTCACGCACTCTCTCTCTTCTTTCCCTTTGGATTATAATGGCACAATGGATCTTGGGGAACACCATATATGGAGAAAGGACATGGAAAGCCCATTGATGTAATGGCTTCAAGACATTTTCACTATTATATAGAGTATTGGAGGTCTTGAAAGTAGAAATCCTCACAGAGAGTCAGAGCCAGTGAAAGAGAGAGAAATTGTGGAAACCAGAAAATAGTGGAGAAGGCTGTTTAAACAAGGACAGCTAAGACAATTCCTGGGACACTCCTTGTGAGTTTGAATGGTGCAAAATCTTTATGAATGCATCTTTTGCATTAAAGACAATCATTTTCAACGATCATCAAGAAAGTCTATTTATTCGGGCATTTTATACTTCTAAAAACCCATATTGGCCCCTAGGGATAAATGCATTTTAACAAATTTACTCCCAAACCACATGCTTACTAGTAAGTTTAAGAAATTTGTCAAAAACAAATAT
This sequence comes from Homo sapiens, assembly GCF_000001405.40. NCBI lineage: Eukaryota > Metazoa > Chordata > Mammalia > Primates > Hominidae > Homo > Homo sapiens. The sequence continues at coordinate 137,772,022 of NC_000006.12, read as the reverse complement.
TAGGTCAGTATTCGGTGGAATGCAATTTCTACTTGTCCTCATAAAAAAGGAACATTTTACCATTTCAGTCTTCGTGAACTTTTTCTGTTGCTCCAAGTACCAGAAAATGAATGATTACCTGGATGCTCCAAAGACAAATAATATTCTAAAAATGTATGAATAAATAACTCTATTTTCATAAAGTTCAGAGTCTTCAGATGAAGTATGAATGTGCTGGAAGGCTCTTGAGTATCTGGAAACAGTCTTTTCCTTTTTCTCTCAAAGGAGATAGGCATCGTGTCTCCCTGATAGGAGCTATTGGCTCTAGGCAGTAACTATAACAATACTTAGACAATTCTAATTCTAATATAACAATGTTAGACAATTCTGATAACAGGTACAGGTTAAGCAGCTGTTTATAGAATTTCCTGGTAAAAACTAGTGATGAAAATGGCATTGTATAATTGAAACAATAAATGCCTCTTCAATGTAGCATGATCAGTATTAACCCACACATGATTTCCTGTCAGGTATATGACATTATAAACTAAACATTTACACACACACACACACACACACACACACACACGTACTTAGTTGTCCTGGAAATAAATGTTTGGCATGTTCTTCATGTAGAATGTATGTGTTGGACTCATTCTCAAAGGAAGTCATTGGCTAATGAGTCTTACCTTTAGTGGCAAAGAAAGAGACATGAATACTAGTTCCTCCCCGGCTTATGCTGCACCAACACCAGTTCAGATTTCTCCATATGAAAACATTAATTCTAAAATCTTTCTTGTTTGAAGTCATGGAATATCTGTTATCCTCTAATATGTATGAGGATTCATTCTGAGCCAAACACTAGGAATATAAAGAAGGTAAAGAGGGAGTCTCTGTATTCCAGGAGAATGCACTCAGGTTAGATAATGGCTTACTCTACTGGAATTCAGATCATTGCATATGTCAGTTCCTTGACCCCAGGTCTCTACTACACCAAGCGCAAAACAGTCTCAGCCCTGGGGGGTCTCATACATGCCTGCTTTTTGGAAGCTATGGTGGGGTTGTCAATGTTTTGTGCTCATGATAAATTGCTTTCTTTTTGAGACACATACTAAATTATGTTGAAGTCTCAGTCTTTATAGCTCACTGCCATGTGTGACAGAGATGGCTACCTCTAGTTGTTGGCTCCTTGTAAAGCAATTTGTTTATAAATCAAAATTTAAAATTCAAGAAACACTAAATTTGAACTCATATGAGAATGCTAAAAATTGCTGTCCTTATTTTCAAGAACATTGTTCGCTTAAAGTTTATCTTCATCACACCATGGATCTATGGTGATTACAGGGACAATAGTGTTGGGGATGGTGACAGTGATACATCATTTGGCTGTTGGTGAGCTTGTGCCAAGGACTAAATATTTGTGTCTCATCCCCTTGCCCTAATTAATATATTGAAGCCCTAATCACCAATGTGGTGGTTTGGCCTTTAGGAAGTAATTAGCCCATGAGGGTGGAGCCCTCATGACCACATGAATGGGATTTGTGACTTTATAAGAAGAGACTAAAGAAAAACTTTCTCTCAGTCAGGTGAGGATACAGCAAGAAGGCAGCAATCTGCAAGAGCAAGAGAGCCTTCTCCAGGGACCAAATTAGCATCTTGAGCTTGGACTTCCCAGAACAATTCTGGAGGCTGGGAAGTCCAAAATCAAGATGCCAGATAATTGTTGTTGTTTAAGCTGCCCAGTCTACAGTATTCTGTTATAGCAGCTGTAACTGTCTAAGACAGCGGGGCTCTCAGCAATCTCTCATGAGACCAGTGCCCACTGTGGTTCAATGTGCCTACTCAGGCAGCCTCATGTTGAATCCACAAGGGGGTAGAAATGAAGAGGTGAGGTAAACCCTGGATCTCGATATGCGTTACTGACCATGAGATGTAGGAACTATGTAGTTCCTGACCATAGTTCAGAACTAGCGTTGTTTTAGTTGACTAGTCAACCCAGAAAAAGGTGAACATAGGCTCTGTCATGCCCCAATTTGCATATAAGGAGCACGAATTACAATTTGAAAAGGGACTAAAGAGGTTTCCTTGAAGATTTTTGGTGCTATGATGGGGAGCCTTATGGCCTAGTAGATAGTAAGCCAGTTCGTCATAATATCAGCTAGCATTTATTGGGTGTTTACCATATGCCAGGCTCTGTGCTGAGGACTTTACATGCATTAAACCATCTAATCCTCATAACAACCTTCTGGGGGAGGTACTATTATCATCATTTTTACATATGAGACCATTGAGGTACAAATAAATTTACTTGTCCAAGGTGCAGAGTTAGAGGTAGTGCCAATATTAGAATGCCAACAGTGTGTGCTCTTAATCACCATCCCACATCCCTTCATTAAGTGAAGCCCAATTATATAATGCACACAGCAGTACAATGCTATAGGCACTACCACAGCCCCATTTCTACATGGTGGGAAATGTGAGTAAAATAAGGGACTGTCACTAGCCTCAGTGTGGGTCGAGGGATACATTGCAGAGTTTGAACACAGGTATACCAGACTCCAGAACCTGCTTCCTTCTCATTAGCACAACACAATGGCTCTGTTCCTCATTCTGAGATGTCTTAGGAACTTGGAAGTGTTGGTCATCCTGATCATAAAACTATTGCCTTCCTATTCCCTGCTTAGAAAGTTGATAACGTGTTTGGGATCAGATGCTCTCCTTTGACACTCCCTCCACTGTTCTCTCTACACAACCCTGTATTCACTTGTTTTTGCCTTTCCATTCTTCCTTGTAGCTCTTGGCTTATTAAGTCTCATGCTGTGGGCACCTAACAGGGCCTGGCACAGAGCTTGCGCTGGTACATGATTGGTGACCTAAGAAGTTATTACACAATGGATTATGTGTTATCCCCCCAGGTAGCTTTGCATCAACAGTGGTCATGATGCAATAGAGGAGAGACTAAGATGAGACTTCTAGGCAAAACTGTAGCCCCTGGGGGCATCTGTGATCCTTCCCTACAATAGAGAATAGTTCTGGAGAAGAACAGAAAGTCTCACTATTGGAATGTAGGGCTAGTGTGCTTGTGCAAACAGAAGGGGTCTAATAGGTGCTTGAGGTTCCCCAAGATGATGCTGGCAAAGCAGGTTACTAGGGCAGAGCTGTTGGCTGCATTCTTCTGCCCTCTGTTTCCCCCAGCACACTCCAATCCTAGTTCTTTTGAAGAAAAATCACAGGATAAGAAGCCAAGAAGGGAAAGCCTATCCTATTCACCACGTATTAGCTGTGTGAGTTTAGAAGTCACTTTGCCTCCCTAGGTGGTCATTTTGTGACCTGTAAAGTAGGAATTATAATAATATATGGCCTGACTACTGCTTAGGTTTTGTAGATCAAAAAAGATTGTGAAAATGAAAGTCCTTTGTGAACCAAAGCACACTGCTTGTCTAAAGTATTATCTTCATCTGCACACTTGGTCTTCCTGGGGTGATTTATGTTTATGGTTTCTTTGATATGTCTCGGGAAAGTCCTGGCAGTCCTGACACTCAGGTGTCGTTTACTTGTCTCTGTGTTTTAAGACATGCCTGGAGATTCTCCTTATAAAATGTTCTCTTTCCGGGGCTTCCATTTTTTCAGCATCTATAAAATGAATGTATAATGTGTCTTACAGCCAGTAAGTAAAAACCACATCCCTTTATCTTTGTTCTGAGAGGGAGGTCAAATTACAGGTTCTGTGAGAAAGGAACATCTTGGTTCCTCTTCTTGCTGAGACTAAGTCTTAGATTGCTAAATCATTCCCAGAGATGCACGTTGGGGCTAACCAAAGGGTCACCCCAGAAGCTTATGTGCAAAGGCAAATGAATCCATTGTAGTTTAGTGATTTCTGAGTAGAATAGCAGTTCCTTTGCAACAGCAAAGGAAGTCATGAGAAGAAAGGGCCAAGATATACCAAAGAGGGCTGGAGAAATGGCAGGAAGCAAGAAAGACAGCAAGGGGAACATTGATGGAAGAAGAAAGGAATTTTGGTGGTGACTCAGTTCTTTCCAATCTGGGGCCCCAAGAGCATTAAGTGGTTGAGAAGCAAGGTCAGCTGCTCGGGTCCTGATCTTCCCACTCCTAATTCCCATTAGTAAGGACTTCCCTCTCACTGATTTTTCTTCCTTTAGATTTCATGTTTTCAGTGATGTAAAAAGAATAGTTGTTTTGTTTGCAATAGCCAATGAGGTGAGAGGCAAATATGGGGACAACTTTTCCTCTACCCTCTAGGTTCAGTGACTGAGGCCTGCAAATTAAACTGACAAAAGACAGATTAATAGAAGAATATTTCATATATACACAGGAGCTTTACAGAAAATAAGTGAAAAACCTAAAAAAATGGTTAGGCCTAGAGGCTTATATCCCATTTTAACAAAGGATGATAAATCCTAGAAAAATGACTAGACAAAGGAAAAGGAATTTGAGCTTCTGATGGGAAGGTAAATATTTGGGGGAAACTAACGGTAGATAAGAACAATTTTATAAGGCTTGTTATGCAGACTCGAGTTGGTACACCTCCAGTGACAAGAGTTGTCTCTCTGGTCATTAAGAGTCATTCTCCTTTTCCTGGTACAGCAGAGGAGGACACCTTTACAAATGGAAATTTCTGTTTCCTTTGCAAGGGAAAATGTATGGCCTCCTTTAAAAAAAAAAGTCTTCTTCATAAGCAAAGGCACCCTTGCTTCAATTCAAGTCTCGGTATCTTCCCTGGACTATACAGGATGACGCAGGGCACAGGGTGGACTCATGCTATGTCTTCCTAGTTTTGGGTTCTATGTGTAAAAAGGTGGTGAGAAGGATGCTAATCTAGCCAGAAAATGCAAGCCTCGCCAGCTATCTGCTTGAAATGCTCTGTTATCTGCTTGAAATGCTCTGTTATCTGCCCTAGTCCACAGAACCCTGAGATCAAACTGTGCTTGGTCTGCTAGCCCTCCTTAGCCCTAGAATTGGAATGAAGTGTTGCATCCTAAAGACAGTCTAAACACCTAAAAGAAAAAAAAAATCACAGAATCTTTTGGAATTATCAGAGGATTTAGGGAGATCTAACCTAACCACTCCTCTCTCCCTCCACAAAAGGAGACTGAGTTTCAGAGACAAGACTATCATGTAAGGTTGAGCAGATTGTCTACTGCCCAATTCTAGGGGAGATCAGTTGCACTGTTGTCATTAGAGACTTTTTTTCTCCCACTGAATGTGATAAAGTGTCTTGAGCAATGTACATATTTTCCTAGTGTGTATGAGGGCCCTGTACCGACTAGCAAGTGTTTTACTCTGAGGGGATCAGAGGGAGGTATACCGACTCATTCAAGAAATAAAAAGAACAGAAAATTTTTCATCCACTGCCATTCTTCTTAGTAGGTTAAAGTCATTCCAACTACAGCACAGTTATGGAGCATTGTTTATGTAGGTACAGTTATCACTCCTTTAGAAAAAATTTTCTAAAGGATGCACAGTCAGTAAGTGACACATCTAGAATTTGAACCCAGGTGGTCTGGCTCTGGGCTCTGGTACCTACAGTTTTAATCACCTCAATTATCCAAGACTGTACCTTCATTTTAGAACCAACATTATTAGTCTAGAGAAGTTTCTGGTGGAATAAGTTGAGGAAAATTAGACAATTAGCTATGACTTCTGCCTTACTCTACGGTATCCAGCAAAGAGAGTAAAATGAGGAGGTATCTCACAGTTGAGTCCTTTATCCCCATCCTCTTATTGTTAGCTCCAAACTTGGACTTGATTTTCATGTACTGTATCTCATAGGTGTGGCCAGAGCATCAGGGAATATAGGTGGTTTTTCCATTATATTGAGTTTGCTTATAATAATGGACATAATAATAAGTTACATTTGAATAATTGTTTACAATTTTAAAAGTACTTTCACATTTATTTCCTCATTTGAGCTTCACAACAACTTAGGTAAGGAAAATATAATTATCCTATTATTATTACTATTATTATTGTTATTATTTTGAGACAGAGTCTTGCTCTGTCACCCAGGCTGGAGTGCAATGGCACAATATCGGCTCACTGCAACCTCCACCTCCTGGGTTCAAGCAATTCTCCTGTCTCAGCCTCCCAAGTAGCTGGGACTATAGGTGCATGCCACCATGCCCAGCTAATTTTTGCACTTTTAGTAGAGGTGGGGTTTTGCCATGTAGGCCCGGCTGGTCTCGAATTCCTTACCTCAGGTGATCTGCCTGTCTTGGCCTCCCAAAGTGCTGGGATTATAGGCATGGGCCACCGTGCCCAGCCCTATCCTATTATTATTTTACAAATAGAAAACTGAAGTTTAGGGAATTTCCAAAGGGAGAGAGGTATAGATTGTTCTCAACCCAAGTGTCTTGATTCTTAATTTTATGTTCTTTATACTATATTCTGTGCGGATATCTATATAGATGTATGCATGTGTGTTCAACTATATAAATATTTTAAATCTTATTTTCATCGAAAAATATTATTTTAAAATGCACTTTGGACACAGTGTGGATTTCCATGTGAGCTTTGTCATGTTTTCTGGGGGAAAAATGGGTCCAATCTGTGGGGATTTATTGGTGACACAGCTTTGGGAAGACTTGGCCTTCTTGCTACCAGGGCTCTCTGGGAAGTGAATTTTCCCACCCTGTTTCTTTATTTTATGTGCTTATATGATCAGTTCCCAAAACTTTAAGACTCATTTATTTTCTGCCCTTGGTGGGACCTTTGTGAAATTTCCCCATTAAGGAATTTCAAGTTAGTCACTACCCTTTGCTTTGACTTTGGAGATTTCTTATACACCATCTCAGCTGCACAAAAAGAAATTCCCACAGAGGAAGCCCACGGTTGGACGGAAGACAAACACCTGCAATACCAACTCACTTGAGTGACTAAGCCCATCAAGGTGTGTTTAAGTGTAATCTTTGAACAGGAACTTGAAATTCTGTGTAGACTTCCAAATCTCTGTGCTTTTTCTGGACACCCCCTCCAATTTTCTATAGTCATTTTCCTTAAGGAGCTGGAAGACAACATTAAAAAGCATCAGTCTTATTAAGAAAAGCAAATTTTACAGCCTTCCCAGTTAGAATTGTTTGGATCATTAACCAATCTCCTTTCTCATTTCCCTCAATTATGGAATGCTCCTATCTACTTTTTGACTCATATCCATCAACACATCACTGAAAAAACACAAAAATTCCAGGAGCCATGTAATCCTCTAGTAACTTCACTTCTTCTCAAAGGCTTAATGGGATTGGGGCTCATTGATAGTCTAGTGGAAGGCATCCAAAGAAACTCCCAAAGCATTGAGGAAATGCTATGTTAGTGACTCAAAAACCATACTAGTTTAGCTTTATTCAAGTGTTTCAAGTTTGAAATGATTTATACTTGATCTACTCATCATGAAATAACATACTTCTTCTCTGACACATGATGCCTCTTTGTGATCCAAGATAAGTTACTTAAGCTCTCTCCCTCTAATTTCCTAAGTTGCAAAAGGCACAGGGCTAGGTATGAGGAACTGATTACCTGATAAGGAAAGTGACTGAGTTCTTATTTATAACATATCCTGAAGATCAAAACTACATATACATAGCATAATTAGTAATACTTCGTAGTGCTTGCCAGAACCTATAGAATGAATGGCCATGAATGAATCAATGGCCTGGGCATTATATTCAGTAGACTAGATCTCAGAAAGGAAAAAGGAGCAGCATAAAATACAGCCTTGGTCCAACATTTTGACCACAGAGCAAAGTTAAAGAGGACCAGAGGAAACATCTCCTTCAGTGGTGGAAGTAGTTTCCGCAGACAAAAGATAGCCAAAAGTATGGCATGCTGGGGACATGAGAGACATTTTAAAGGTCTCTGAGACTTGATCAATGACCACTTTCTTGGAGAGCCCCACATGGTGTAATTTATGCAAATCCTGTGAAGTGGAGTCATCTATCTGCTCAGACATGCAGAAATCTTTCAGGAGAAGGGTGAGAGATTTTTGGAAGAAAAGAAGTACAGTGGCCAGGAAAGGAATTACCTTAAGAAGGTAATATGTTGATGGGAGGAGCAGATGCCCTGGAGTAAAACTGTTTTCCAGAAGTTTCTTGTCCTAGTGTCCAACTGGATAATGATGAGCAATCCTTGAACTCCATCATGTGCCTCATGGAATAGAGTGTATTGTAAAAATGCAGCTCAGCAAACGTCTCTCTTCAAAAAGTGGCTTTAAAACCTAGGACATATTTAGCCTACTCAGGGAAAAGAAACAAAATAAAGCATTCTATAGCAGCCTTATGACCCATTGCTAAAGGAACCCAAATCCACCAGCACAAGACACAGGAGTCATTATGAGGCAAACAGCAGTTAACCTGTGAGCTCTGAAGTCCTCCAGAGGCTGTGTGTGCGCAGTTGCCATGGGCTGTGGATGACCCAGGGTGTTGTGTGCCTGTTCATTGCTCAACCTCTCATCCTACATCTCATCAGTAATGGAATAAGTAGGTGAGTGCACTCATCTAAGTTTGCCTTTTGCAAGGGTCCAATTTTGTCCTCATCTTTTAGAGTAGAAATGAGAAATATTCTCTATTCTACTGGGGATCACTGGAGCACACACACACACACAGAGCAAGTGAAGGAAGACTTCAAGTAAAGTATGTTATAGATTCATTATGTTTCCAAGAGATTTTGTGTGGAAAAGAATATTTGCTACCACTTGTACTTTGTTTAAAAGTCTAATTTAGTAATCTTATGAATTTATTTAAAAATCGTTTTAAAAACAACCTTCCTTTAAAAATTCACATACTTCTTGTCTAAATAATACATCAAAAACATAATTCCCTAAATGTGCATACATCAATTATAAATGTAAAAACATTTAAATAGAAAATTAAATCACAAATCAAGTATATCAGAGTTTCTTAGGCATTCTCTGTAGGAAGCTGATGTGTGGCCACTGAAAGATACCAGATCCTAATCCCTAGGATCTGTAAATTTTACCTAATGAGGAAAAAGGGTCTTTGCTGATGTGATTAAGGATCTGGACTTGGGGGATTACCCTGGATTATCTGAGTGGACCTTAATTCCAATTACAAGTGTCCTTATAGGAGGAGACAGAGGGAGATTAGATGGACACACAGAAGATGAGGAGGCCACGTGACCACAGGGGCAGAGTTCAGAGGGATGAGGCCACAAGTCAAGGAATGCCATTGTCACTAGAAAGGGATGAATTCTTTCCTAGAGCTTTTGGAGGCAGCACAACCTTGATTTCAGACTCTTTTCTTCTCCAGAACTATGAGAGAATAAATTTCTGTTGTCTTAAGCTACCAAGTTTGTGGTAATTGTTACAGCAGACACAGGAAACTAATAAACTCTCTAATACCTTAAGCAGCAACCAAAACAACATAAAATGTCACTATGGTTACAAAACTGTTTAAATGTCTTCACACCATTTCTGGTTTAAAAAGTGTGATGGGCCAGGCATGGTGGCTCAAGCCTGTAATCCCAGCACTTTGGGAGGCTGAGGCAGGAGGATCACTGGAGCCCAGGACTTCAAGACTAGCCTGAGCAACATAGTGAGACCCCATCTCTACAAAAAAAAATTTTTTTAAATGTGTTGGATTTGACTTTGTCTCTTAATCTTCTTCTTTAGGCTGGAGTGCAGTGGCATGATCATGGCTCAGTGCAGCCTAGACCTCCCAAGCTCAAGAGATGCTCCCACCTCAGCCTCTTGAGTAGCTAGGACCACAGACATGTGCCACCACACCTGGCTAACTTGTTATTTTTTTCTGCAGACAGGGTCTCACCATGTTTCCCAGGCTGGTCTCAAACTCCTGGGTTCAAGCAATCTACCTGCCTGGGTCTCCCAAAGTGCTGGGATTACAGGTGTGAGCCACTGTGCTTGGCCTGTTTCTTAATCATATTTTCTATTTTCCTGGGTTTTAATAAATCTCCTTCCTAAGATTTTAGTAATTGTACCATCCCATGTATAAAATACTTTCCAATCAGGACGTAAGTTTGCACATTCTGCATTTGTTGACCAGTTAACTCAGTTGGGCCCTGAGGTCTGGTTGCCCACGCTAAGGTGATGCAAACATGAGCTGCTGATCATAGGCTAAGGTCCTTCTGTAATCATCTTCTCTGGTTTTCTCATAGGATTTTTAACTGCCTTTCCTATTGACTTTATGTTTTTTCAGATTAGGTGTCTTTAAGTTGGTTTGGTCTATAACTATACCACAGTGACACATTCTGTAGCATAATTGTAGCTGCTGGGACTTCCTTATAATTTGTAGAAAAATCTAGAGGATTCAGTTTCTTGGCTGGGCAATTAGCTCTCTAATTAATTTTCTCAAAATGGCCCTGCTGGGACTGCTTTTGTAGTGGTTATTGTACAGGTCCCTTTGCGCTCAGTTCTTTCTACCTAATCATCCCGCTAGAATGTACTCACCACAATTCTGTTCTCATGTTCCTGATTACACAGATTTTTTAAATGTATGTAAGCTCTCTTCCTATAAGCCACTGAAAATGTAAGCATAGTCTATGCATGTGCCACAAGCAAGAGTGGGGGCATTGAGTCTGTTGCTTGAGGCCTTTCTTCTCACTCTGCAGCTTTAGTGTGTTGGCTCTTTGCATTTATTGCTTCATGGATTAAAAATGTTGCAGCTCCAAGCTTCATGCAGGTAGAAGGGTAGAAATGGGCAGCTGCCTGTATATCTACCCTTCAATCAGGAAGCAAATGCTTTCCCAAAATGCCCTCTCTCAACTAAGCCAACTTCCACATACCTCTCATAGGCCAAAAATACATCACGTGACCTCTTGGCTTCAAAAGAGACTGAAAAATGCTTAGAATTTCTAATCTCCACTAGAGTGGGGGAGGCAAAGGAGAAGGGCTGGGAAAGTGTGACTGGTGAGCCCAGCTCCTGGGACCTCATGACTTTTCTCTGTATGTCTGCTGTATACTTCCCTCTCTCCAGGCTTCTTTCTTCTGCGTCACAGTTATAGGACCAAAAATGTCCACCTTAGCTCTATGGAACCCCTAGTCCAGAAGCCTATTTCCCAGATGGTGATCCATGGCCTTCCTGTTTCAGATTCACCAGGGATATGAGTCGAAATACTGATTCCTGAGCTCTAAACCTGCTACACCAGACACATTTTGAAAAGCAAAGATTTTGAAGACCAAAGATCTTTCAGCTCCAATTCTGAAGATACAGTGGTGGAGCATAAAAACTCACAAGGGTCTTAGGTATGCTAAGCTTTGAGAGTTGATGAACCAGAGCCCCTGTGTCCCAATTCCAAATTCCCTGGAAAGGGCTGCTGATTGGCCTGCTTGGGTCCAGTGTGTAGAACACCCTCAGTCCATTCAACTGAGGATGTTGTTGGAAGGCGGTGGGCTCAGACCTCATGGCCATTGCCTTCTAATCAAGGATTTTTGGAGTAGGCAAATCTGCTAACTTTTCTGCTACAGTGCTTACAATTCCCAAGGCAGGTAATTTCATACTTCACAGCTGCACCCTGAGGATCCCAGCTGTCTGCCTCTCCCAGTAAGTTTCTGCTTATGCAACTCAACCATTGCCCTGATCCAGGGCCTTGCCCTCCTCTCTTCTGGTTGGGCCCAACCCAACCATCCCTGTCCATTCCTGGCTTCACTCATTTCCCTCAACTTTGCAATGCTCTGGGGCTTTTGAGTGGTGCACCACAGTGTAGCACATGGAGCAAGTTCAAAATTTATAGTCACAGTCCGATGTGAAAAAAAGTAACATTTTAAATTTTTCTGTAATTGAAATCAGCTCAGCTCCAGTTGTAGAATCCATTTTTACTGATAGTCTAAAGCTTTTAATTTTTCTGTTTTAAGACAACTCTACTTCTGGGCTGGGCACGGTGGCTCATGCCTATACTCCCAGCACTTTGGGAGGTGAAGGCAGGAGGATGGCTTGAGCTCAGGAGTTTGAGACCAGCCTGGGCAACATGGAGAGACCCCGTCTCTACAAAAAATACAAAAATTAGTTGGGCCTGGTGGCTCATGCCTGTTGTCTCAGCTACTTGGGAGGCTGAGGCAGGAGGATCACTTGAACCCAGGATGCAGAGGTTGCAGTGAGCTGAGATCACACCACTGCACTCCAGCCTGTGTGACAGAGGGAGCCTGCCTGGTTCAAAACAACAACAACAACAACAACAACAACAACAACACAAAACAAAAAAGCAGATAACTCTACTTCTGGTTTAAAATGTTGCCTTTTTTAGTAAGGATTCTGTGAAATTCAGAGTTCTCACTTCCTTCTTCCCAAGAGTGACCTTATGATCCAGGGAGCTTAGAAGTAACCTGGGTTCTCATATAGCCTTCTCCCGTTGATGGCCACTGTGTTGTCATGCTCTGGTCCTTGGGGAATTGTGGCTGGCACCCAAAAGGGGTCTCCATCCTGCCTGATCTTTCACATGGTGGGCTGGTAGCTGCTGCTGCTGACCCTAGTCCCTGCCTTGCTCTGATCAACAGTGAAGTCCACATATCTGTGTCCTCCTGCTCTTCTCCCAGACCCCCTGTGACCCACCCACTCCTACACCTCTTCTATTCCTCTCCTTGAGGACTGAAAACTCTCTGTTGCCTATCTTTAGTATTCTGTGATGTACATGGCTCTGCAAGGCTGTGCGAAGGCCTGGTCTGCCTCACCACCTCTCTCAGTCATTGCTCATTCATTTTCGAAGAGCCGTGTTGTTCAAATGCCATTCAAAATAGATGTTTTTCCATGAAACTCTGTTAGAAACTGAATGCTTGTGTCTCCCAAAACTTGTATGTTGAAACCCTACCTTGTAATGTGATAGTATTAGGAGGTGGGGTCTTTGGGAGGTAAGTAGGATTAGATGAGGTCATGAGAATGGAGCCCTTATTAATGGGATTAATGTTCTTAGAATAATCTTAAGATAGCTTGCTTCTTCTCCCCACCATGCGAGGACACCATGAGAAGGCATCGCCTATGAGCCAGGAAGTGGGCCTTTACTAGACACCAAATCTGCTGGCACCTCGATTGTGGTCTTCCCAGCCTCCAGAACTATGGGAAATACATGTTTGTTGTTGAAGCCATCAGTCATGGTATTTCATTATAGCACCTGAGGTTAAAACACTGGCTGTCTTCTTGGGGTCTGCCATGGAAAGTACTATTAAGTAAGGATTTCTGAGTGTCTTTACCACACTCCACCTAAGGTTTGACCACAGGAGGGAACAGATTTTGTCACTAGCTATCTTATTCTTATTAAGCACTCTATTTTATTCTCTCTAAATTTCCTCTTCTTGCTCACTGGGAAATCCTTTCCATTGTGGGTAAGAAGGCAAATATATCAACTGGCACTCTTCACTGTTCTGTAGAGGTTACTGCTCAGTGTCCAATCCACAAAACTTGAATTATAAATCATATAATACAATCTTATTAATCTCAGCTTTTAGAATTCCATGGAATCAATTTAGTTCACAGAACAAAGGCTGGTTCTCACAAATAAACAACCCTTTGGCTTTCAGATTATAGTTTCTACTCTGCATTTAAGAAATCCAGTCACATTTTTAATGGACTTCTTTGTTTTAGGCTGATCTGCCTTACCCTAAAAGAAGCTCATATAGAAAGTACCACTGGTGCCTGAAAAACCTGGAAAAAGGAAAGATAAAAGCCACCAAGAACAGATAGTGTAATATAAAACACTGTCCTCACCCCATTCACCTGCTCAATTATATTGTCTTGTGAATATTTCACTGTGTTAATTTTGCCTCTAGTAATAGATTAAAAGCTCCATGATGGCAGGGCTCATGCATCCTGCATCTCTCCTCAATCCCCCAAAACTCAGCAAGTGTCCTTTCCACAGTTTATTCAGTGTCACATTTTTTTTGCATTTTTTTTCCTGTGGATGATTTCACTATTTAAAATGGACCCTGAGCATAGTGCTGAAGTACTGCCTAGTGATCCTAAGCTCAAAAAGGCTGTGATGTGCCTAACAGAAAATATCTGTGTTAGAGAAGCTTAGTTCAGGCATGAGTTATAGTATAGTTTGCCATGAGTTCAATATTAATGAGTGAAAAATATATATTAAATAAGGTGACTTTAAATAGAAACACACATGAAACAAGATTTTTTATATATATATATGTTCATTGACAGAAATGTTGTGACCAGAGGCTCGCAAGAACCTAACCCTGTATTTCTCCTGGGAGCAATGGCTCAGTATTTGCTAATGTAGTGTTCATAGAGACTGTATAGAATGTGACTACTGCAGATAATAAGGATCAGCTGTATGTGTTTGCAGAACCATGTGAAAGTAAGTTACAGTCTTTGTAACAACTCACCCCTACATCTTCAGCTATCTCTGTTATCAATGTTAATTTTCAGTGATGTTTATTTTTACTGATGGGCACAATATAATAAACTAGGCAGAGAATTACATTTAGATTTAGACACAACTGTGAATAAACCCATGTTCTACCTCTGAGCAAATAATAATCTAGTTGATCTTTAGTTTTCTTACCTCTAAAACAAAAAAAAACACCTGAATTTGTTTTGGTGGTTAAAATGAGATCATGCATAAGCCTGGCCTACAGGAGATATTTAATGAATAGTAAATATCACCGTAATTGACACTCAACAATAGTCGATTTCTCAAGATAGGTCTAATTGGGTATTAAGAGTAGAAGCAGGTAATCTCTCTAGTCATTTCTCCATGCTCATTTCAATGGAAGCTTCGGTATGTGGCATTTGGACTTCTCACCTGATACCACATCTCTGAGATCTTCAGAACAGGTTAGCCTGAGCACCCTACCAGAGCAGAATAGAGGAATCCAACCAAAATCAGTTTATTATAATTAATGCAGGCCATCTTGGACATCACTAGAATATTAAGAAAAATACTGCTCTGAGGGCACCTTTCTCCCTTTTTTCCACCCCAAAGGAAGGATTTTAACTATACCCATCAGAAGCTATGAATCAGTGACACAGAATTTTATCTAGCATCAATGATTGTGTTTTATAAGAATTTTGTTTTAGCTGGGTGTGGTGGTGCATGCCTATAGTTCCAGCTATCTGGGAGGCTGAGTCAAGAGGATCGCTTGAGCCCAGGAGGTTGAGGTTGCAGTGAGGTACGATGGAGCCACGGCACTCCAGCCTGTGTGACAGAGCAAGACTTAGTCAAAAAAAAAAAAAAAAAAAAAAAAAAACCCAACAAAGAAACAAAGAAGGAATTTTGTTGATATAAAAACTATGTTTCTGATACTGCAACTGAATCATTTCTTGCTTCTATCAGATTTTGATGCCCACAGAGAAATTAAGTTTTTTTTGTTTTTTCTTTAACTGAATCAACTTTTGTGTGTTGATAGAGGTAACTTAAGAGTTATTTAAATAAAAGTTTTTGAGAATACTTAATTCCATAAAAAATAGTGAATATCACTTTCTAATAGTGTCAAGCTTTTTCTTTTCGATTTGGTAAAACTGAATTGGATATTTTGTATAATGTAAGTTTACATTACACTTTATATAAATACAATTTTCTTTTTTTTTTTCTTTTCTTTTTTTTTTTCGTTTTGGAGACAGAGTCTTGCTCTGTCGCCAGGCTGGAGTACAGTGGTGCAATCTCAGCTCACTGCAACCTCTGCCTCCCGGGTTCAAGCGATTCGCCCGCCTCAGTCTCCTGAGTAGCTGGGACTACAAGCGCACACCACCACGCCTGGCTAATTTTTTGTATTTTAGTAAAGACGGGGTTTCACCTTGTTGGTCAAGATGGTCTCGATCTCCTGACTTCATGATCTGCCCACCTCAGTTTCCCAAAGTTCTGGGATTGAAGGCATTATCTCCCAGGTGTGGTCCTGATTTCCAGTCTGTATGTCTAACTGTCTACTTGGAATGTCCACTTAGATGTCTGACCATCTTTACCCCATCAATCCCAAACCATCTCTCCACTGCTCTTCCTTATCTTAGCAAATGACATTGCCTTACCTATCAGCCTATGGCTCAGGTCTAACATCTGGGAATCATCTCTGATCTCTTTCTTCCCTCATATCTAATTCTTTGGGAAGTCCTGTCCTCTCTGCCTCCAAAATATATCCCCAATCCAACCACATCTCACCTGCTCCATCGCTGAGGATCACCTGAGCAACCTTTCACCTGAATGACTCCCACAGTGTCCTACCTGGTCTGCCTGCTTCCAGCCTTTCTCCACCCGTGAGAACTCACCTTCATTCTTCATACAGCACACAGAATAGTCTTTCTGAAAATTACATTTCATCATATGACTCTCCTGCTTAAAACCCTCCCATCATTTCCCATTGTAATTAAAATAAAATCTAAGCTCAATTTGGGCCTTCAAGGGCTTACTTGAATTGACTCCACCAATACCTAGGACCTAGCCTATACCCTCCTCTGCCACTCATAACATGCCACTTATAACACTTCTTTCGTGTCCCTCATTGGCTTTTCTTTGTCTCTGGAAACGTTAAATTTGTTCTGGTCCCAAGGCCTTTGCTGTTTGCCACTCCCTCTGGCTGGAGTCCTTGTTCACAAGATCTTAACCCACTCTGACTTCCTTTCCATCAATCAGCACTCAGACAAAATGTCATCTCCTAAGAGAGGCCTTCTGAGGAGGCAGTTGGAGAAGTCCAACTGCTTAGCTAGAGGAGCTAGCCCTTGCCCCAAGATACTCTCTACCTTATTACTATTGTATTTTTTCAATAGAATATCACTTTCAGATCTCTCTCCTCTCCCTCCTTTCCTTCTTTCCTCCTCCCACCCTTTCTTCTTTCTCTGCTTACTTGCTGGCTATTTGCTCCCATCACAGCATAAACCTCATTAAAACAAAGATTTCTTTCATTCATTAGTCTAATTTTGGCACCTAGAATACTGCCTGAATTATTATAGGGGCTTGATTAATAAATACTATTTATTGAGTGCCTCCTGTGTGGCAGGCACTGTAGTAGATTCATTAGATGCCTATGGCTATTTCTCACTACAAACTTTCTAAGCTTTGGGTATGAATAAGTTGAAGCACAGAGAGGTCATGAGACATAGCTAGTGAATAGGAAGCTGAGTTGAATTCAGAAGGTTTGCCTGATTTTAAAATCCATGCTTTTTTCTGTGATTCAACCTGCTTCAATTTGCTTGATTTTCAGGCTCCACATGTGTGGTTAAGCATCCTTGTGTTTGTCTTTCACATTTGACTTTTGCCAAGTGATGGCTTTCATACAGCTACTGGTATCAGGTGTCTTCTGCTATCAACATAAACCTATTTTATAATCTTTAAGATTATTTTGCTTTATAACTACAGCATTTTAATTGAATACAATAAAATTGATATTAATTAGTGCTATTGAAATGAATTTTCTCTGAGATGTTAGTACATATAGACAGACAAGAGTATTTAGTAGTTTCAACTTCCTCAGTCAATTTCTTTGTGACTTACTCTGTGACAGTAATTATACCCGCTGGTATATTTCCTTCCTCTTTTCTCCAAATAGTTTTTCGTTTTCTATTTCAATTTATATAGAATATCAACTTATAGACCTCAGATCCTTTTTGAAAGTGGGTGTGGGTAATGTGGGGGGGTGGTTGGAAGTATAAGCCAGAAATGAATTTTGTATTTGGAACTGCTGTAGCCATGAGTGATAACCTCCTGAACATCTTAAAGACAATCATGGGAGTGAGGGGAGAGCTTGTGGTGAATCGGGAGAAGATGGGGAGAACATGGGGTTGACTGGATTGAGGGCAGGTATTCCTGACTAGGGCCTCACGTACTAGCTGTATTTTTATATCTCTACTTGATGGGGCAAATCTGAATACTGGTGAGAATTACCCTGGAGCAGTGGGGAATAGTGTAGACTCCACCAACAGACCTCCTCCCTCCCCATACCTTGATCTCAGACACCCACAAACTCCCCAGCATCTTCCTAACCTCCCCATCCCTGCATGGGGTGTGTGGATGATGCCCAGAAGCCCAGGCTCCGGGCTGTCTGATGGTGCCTGAATTAGCTGTTGTATCTCTTATGGGAGAGGTCACCTGAGAATTCAGAAGAGAGGGACCATGGAAGAACTAAGACTTACCTATCAAGGTGTGGAATGAAACTAAGATGGCATACCAAGGGCTGCCCAGGAGCCCCCTCCTCCAGCTTCCTTATCCTACAGCTGACCCAGTCCCTTCTCCTTTCTTCATCCTTTTTTATCCTCAGCTTCTTGGCACCAGCTCACACATTCCTTTCCTTGGTCGCCCTGAGGATCCTGTGCACTTCCTGTGCCCTCTCCACCCTGTTCACCCCTCAGCCTGTCCTGCCTCTTCCAGGTTTCCTGTGGCTCTGGGGCCTGGCATCTCTGGCCCTGCCTCATGCCAGCAGTGTGGGAAAGGGGATCAATTGGCTTATCTGCACTCTCTCACGGGAAGTCCGCTCTTCTATTTAAGCCACACCACTCCACTCTTCTATTTAAGCCACACCACTCCTATCCCCTCCATTAGACTTGAAGAAAATCAGAAAGTAGTTCTCTACCATCAACAACACCCCCTTCTCCCACCAAATGCTTGAGGATTGCTAATGTGACTCTTTAGTGTTTGTAGCCCAAGCAATTTAATTTCATGCATAAGGTACTTGCAATGGCTACCATGCAAAACAAAACAGAAGTATGAGCAGTTCCCTGCCTCTTCTTTATGGTTTCAAAGAAATCTCAACCCCTTAAAATTTACCTATACTTGATTGATTCTCAATCTATAAGAATAGAAAGTCTGCACTATCCAAAACTTCCAAACAATTAAATTACGCTCAGAAAAGTTTTTCTTTTTTTCCCACAGGCAGTTAAATAAACACTCAACAAAAACATTTAACTACTTTTGTCCATATCTGTTAAAGGTAAAGGTCAATATGTATTAATCTGCTATGTGGAAATTTTACATGAACAATTTTAGTCTCTATGTAGTAATTTTAAATTTTACAATGTTTATTTAGTTCCAAAAGGGGAAAACTAAACCAAGTTGCTAAAAGGCTAACCAAAAAAAAGGTAAAAATTACCATGATTAAGTTTTCAAGTATCTAGATATATCAGGTGACAGGTTTTTAGGGATTAAATTTTATGCAAGTAAGGACACTTTGATATTTCACATATCTTGACTATTCTTATGGTATAACAGTACCATCAATATTCTGTGAATGAAGGCAATTTATTAATTATATAAAACAGGGCTATATTCTGTCAGTACAACTTCTTTATTGTACCAAAACACAATTTCTCTCAGCAAATCTAGAGCACATTCTGGCATGTCAGCCTGCTTTTCTTCATACCCTTACGTGACGTGCATTTCCTTAGACAGTGAATATTCCTTGAAAACGTGATTTGTGATGATGGCAGATTACGTGATCAAATGCTGTTTCATGATTTTCTTGATGACATCCCATCAGATTTTGGTTGTTTCTTATTTTCCCACATTAAAAAAAAATGGAGCATTAACATTATTTGAGCTCAAAATCTATTTTCTCCTGGCCTGAAAGTGCAAGGATTGGTATCAAGTTGAGACGGAGTTGAAATGCTAGTGTTGGACACTTGAGTCCTGTCGTGTTTGTCATGTGGAAGGCATGGGGAGTTTTTAGGTTTCAGGTTTCCTGTCAGCCTTGGCTGCTGTTTCTTCCCCTCCTGGCCTGAAGCTGGGCCACCTGACCACAACTGGGCCAGGAAAGGTGGAAACCCAGCTAGTCTCGCAGTGGCCAGGACCATGCTGGAGATGAGGTTCGGCATGCCTCCTGGGCTGTTCTTCGCTCTTGGCCTCCTTTTCCTTTTGGATTACTGGCCTCTCACTTCCTTAGATCAGTCCCCATTGGATATTACACTTTTTGATGGCTTGGTTTCTTTTGGTTACAGTTTTCAAATTTCACTTCCGGTAGCTACACAGATGACCCAGGCTAATTTCAGTACTAAAGTCCATGTTGGGCTTTCACATTCCATGCCCAGAAACTGACCATGACCCCGCAGCTGGATCCTACTCTCTGCTGAAGAGACCCCCTGCCAACATCCACAGGTTGTCCCCTGCCTGCACAGACCTGGAGGATCACTTCCTCACAGACTTTCCATCACTGCCGTCAATTCCTGTTTGCTAGGCTCAATATTTTTGGCCTTTCCTCTTCAAATATTGTCCTTAGTCTGAAAAATGATCTCTTCAGTGCCTGCAACTGTATCTGTTCTTTAAATACCTGCCCCATGCCAGTAATGGTCAGGACTGGCTCCTGGTAATAATCCCTTCTGCTGCTGCTTATTCTTTACTCTGTTGGCAAATGATCTCTTCTCTCTGTGTCCCAGCTGCTGGGTCTTTAACATGGAGATAATAATAGTCTTCTATGAGGAGAGAGTAGTAAGGATGCCATGAATTAACTTGTATAGACAGCTTAGATCATTGTCTGGCACATACATATTTAATACAATTTAGCTTTATTTTCACGAGAAGATTTCTCTCTAAGCACTACTATCACTGGTGAATTCAAGCTAATTTTGCCTTGGAGTCCCACCACTGTAGGGATGGACAAAGACAGGCAAGGCGGAACGCATCTGCACTGTTTTCTCTCACTGGGATACATTAGTTTGCTTCACTATCATAACCATCTTACTATCTCTATGTATCCCATAAGATCATGTTGTAAACCTTGAATATACACAATAAACTCCTGGCTGAGACAGGAGAATTATTTAATTATTTAAGGCCAGGAGTTTGAGACCAGTCAGGGCAACATAGTGAGACCCCCATCACTGCAAAAATAAAAAACAAAAGAAAGGTATTTCAGCCTTCCTGCCAAATTCTGAGCTAGCATTGGATTGTTTCCCTTTCAACTAATGTGAAGCAAGGGAATAGAACGAAGAATTTCCCTCTGAATTGTACACAAGGAGACTCTAATGAATATTCGTGAAAAGGGACACCATACGTGCAAAGGGCTTGCTTTGAGCTATATCTCCCTCTGCCTCACATTTAGGCTTAATGGAAGATAGAAGTAGGCTGGGAAAAGCACATGGAAATTCAGTACCATTATGTAACTCCCAAGAGGTGGGAGCAAAAGGTGTGCTGAGACTCCTTCACAGGTGTGCTTCCAAATTGTAATCAATTTTCCAAATTTATTGGTGGCAAAATCCATTTATTTATTTATTTATTTAATTCCATTTTTTAAAGACAGTATCTCACTCTCTCGCCCAGGCTGGAGTACAGTGGCACAATCCCAGCTCACTGCACCCTCAAAGTCCTGGGCTCAAGGGATCCTCCACAGAAACCTCCTGAATAACTGGGATTAAAGGTGTGTGTGCACCACCACGCCCGGCTAAAACTATTTTTGTAATGTTTATTACTGAGAACACTGAAATAAACTCATTAAATGATGGTTAATTGGTGGAGCAGGTTAACTGGCTGTAAGAGATAAGGATCATCGTTGGATATTAAAATGATACATTCAAAAGTTTTAAATGCTGTTCACTGGAATATGCAAAAACCGTGACTTGTGACTCTATCAGAGGCCACAGTCGGGGCAGTACACAGTTATCCTCACAAACAGTGACTCTATGTTGAAGGCTGACAAAAGGAATGAGATAGGAACAGTTTTAATGGGCACACAGAGACACTGTTAGGCAGTGTTGGTGGTTGCGTGGTAATCACTTCTGATGTGTATGGTTTTGTTTAGAGCCTATTAATTCTTTCAAATATGTGCCTAAAATTCTTGTGCTAAATTTAACATCAACCAGAAAGGGCTACCACTGCGATATTCTGAAAATGGGCAGGAAGGAGAGATGTTTCCAGTGCATCCTCAGCACAATTGGAAGCCACACAACGGAGATGACAAGAGTTGGAAATGACAAAGAAACCTGTCAAGTGGAAAAGCTTTTAATTCTGATCTACCCATTGTGCCAGATCTGTGGCACCACCAGAAATAGCAGCGGGTCCTGGAAGCAATGGTCACTGCCTGAATATATAATGGAAACGGGAGGAAACAGGGAGGTGGAGGCGGTTATGCCTCATTCCTTTCAGCTACCCTTACGTCTACAGGAAGTAACAGCCAGGACTGTCATCTTTTAGGACAAAGGAGAATGATGTAAGAAAAGTCTGAAATACGAAGATCTCAAAAAATCCTCCCTAAGTCATGGAGACAGCCTGCATGACACCTCATCTGATTTATTTTTTGAACCTCAACAGCTCATCATGCAATTTCCTTGCTTGTGTATCTCCTTTTTTTCCCGGGAACGAGACACACTTTCTTTTTCCGCCATCAGGATCCAAATATCAGCTTGATGACATTAGAGTTCTTCCCTCAAGGGACACAACAGTGGTTATTTTAGGACCTTTTTTTTTTTGACATGGCTCAACAACAAAATTTTGGAATGGTTCTTAATCCTACTTAAACGCAGAGAAAGGGAGGACTTTGAGGGGAGATATTTTTTGTTTGGTTTGCTTTTTTCCTTTTTTACACAAACCAAATACAGTAAGGCAGGCTAAACAATTAACTTAAATGTCCCTTTGAGATCATGTTCCTTCTGATAATATAAAGCAGCCTGATTCATTTACTTTCACCTTGATGCTTATGTTTGCACAAGTAATAAAATGAAGTTATTGGTGTTCTTTAGCTATTCTTATCCGTAATTGCAACAACCACTATTTTTAAACTTACATTTTCCCGTAAGTTTTGGAACACTTTTTAACCAAATACCAAGTAAAATTATAGTAAGTTGGAAGTTTTGAAGCTTGCTTATAAATAACATTAAGTTTTAAAGAGTTGCTTTTACTTTATTGTATATATTTTCAGTGTACAATTAAAGTACTTATCTTTGATAAATACAGTATTCAAGACAGTAGCATGTAATGTATTTTTGACATTTGAATCCTTGCAGAGTAATTTTCTGCATTACTTTTGCTCCTTTGAGAATTGAATACAGGCAGCCTTTGCTTTGCACAGTGCTGTGTTAACTGAAACTCATTTGTATCAGAAGTGTGCAAAGCAAGGGCTGCTGTATGCTTTTCTGTTTGTATTAACTTATCAGGATTCAAACATCACTTTTGGGAGACTGGAATAACTTTGTCTTCTGATTGCATTGGCACTTTCCTCTACAATTGAGAAGCTATTTGGGTTGTCTTTATCAGACTTACATTGCCTCTGTGAATATCAGCCTTGATCTACTCCAAGTGCAGGACAAACACAAAGAACTCTCTGCACAGTTCATTACTCCATTAGGTGGTTCAGATGCAATTCCAGCCCTTAGTCAGGTTCTTTCCAGTGTCCTCAAACACAGTAAGGAGAGTGCTCTAAGTGACTCTTTGTGTCTCACACAATCTCTTGGGTTCCCAGGTCACTGGTGTAGTAGCCAGCTGCATCCAAGAAGCCAGGTGAGCCTGTGCCACCAATCACAGATACTCCTTACCAACCATCTGCCAACCCATGCCAGCCCTGCTGCCCATGGATGTGCGGCTGTCCATGTGCCACGCCCACCCCCACCCCCCAGTCCTCATGTCCCTGTCTCCTTGTAGTCTATTCATCTGTGCTGAGAAAAATGGGTGATACTATTAGTATGTACCTCATAGGGTTATTGTAAGGATGGAATTAAATGCCCACAATGCAATGGTATTTTCCAGGAACATAGTAAATTTTCAATACATGTTAGCAATTATCATTGCTGTTTTGCATGACCACAGGAAGTAATTTGTGGGGCTTGTAGCCACAGTCTCATAAAGCCTTAATTTTTACTTTTCAAGAGCAATTTAAAGCTTTCATTCTAATCTGATCTGGGCTACTGTATTAGTTTCCTACTGGTACAGTAAAACGTACCTTAAACATAGTAGATTGAAATAGCACACATTTATTATCTTACAGTTCTGGAGGTCAGAAGTCCTGAAATCAAGGTAGTAGACAGGGCTACTTTCCATTTGGAGGTTCTGGGGAAGACTCCACCTCCTTACATGTTCTAGCTTCTAGAGGCTGCAGCAGTCCTTGGTTCCTGGCTCCTTTCTCCATCTTCAAAGCCAGCAGTGTAGTGTCTTCAAATCTTTTTCTCTCTCTTTGGCCTCAGCTTTTGTCATGACATTTCCCTCTGTGACTTTGATACTCCTGCTTCCCTCTTCTAAGAAAACTTGCAATGCTATTGGGTCTACTTACATCATCCAGGATCATCTCCCCATCTCTTCATAACAAGATCATGGGTTTTAGGGATTAGGATGTGGACATAATTGGGGGTCCTTTATTCCGTCTGCCACCGCCAATTTTAAAATTTAATTTTATTTCTCATCTTCAGTAAAATCTAAAGACTGGGTAACACTGATATTTTGAAGTTAGGTGACTCAGAATCATCAATTAATTATTCCCAGGAATTATTTATATAATATCATGTGTCAGAAATGTCCACAAAAAAACTCTGACAGACATTATGAGTTGGCTGATTCAGCAACTAATTTTAACCTTCTTCTCCATTTCCTCTACTTAAAAGTCCATCCTTCCTTGGAGTGGCTAATTGACAGCTCTTACCAATGAGATGGAAGTAAAAATCTGTTGGAGAGTTTTTGAAAACTTTGCTTTCATCATTTTTTTTTTTTTTTTTGAGATGGAGTCTTGCTCTGTCGCCCAGGCTGGAGTGCAGTGGCATGATCTCCACTCATTGCAAGCTCCGCCTCCCAGGTTCACACCATTCTCCTGCGTCAGCCTCCTGAGTAGCTGGGACTACAGGCGCCCGCCACCACGCCTGGCTAATTTTTTCTTGTATTTTTAGTACAGACGGGGTTTCACCGTGTTAGCCAGGGTGGTCTCGATCTCCTGACCTCATGATCCACTCACCTCGGCCTCCCGAAGTGCTGGGATTACAGGCGTGAGCCACCGTGCCCGGCCTTGCTTTCATCATTAAAGAAGACATACATCTTCCCTTTTGTGGACACAAGCCTGATCATTGGAGCTTCAGCAGCTATCTGGTAATAATGAGAGAAAGGCCAAGCCCAGGGAATTACAGAGACATTGGCCCTGCCATTACTGAGTAACTGAACCAACTCCAGCAACTACCCAAGAAACTTCCTGTTGTGAGAGAATAAGCAAACTTATATCTATTCTAACTCTTGTATTTAGCTTCTCTGTTACTTGCAGCTGAATAAATATAGCATTTAAAAAAATTACCTTACGTAATTATAAGTGCTTCATCCCAAAGAGACGACGTGTAGGTCTGACAATAGCGGGAATAAATACTGATAATATTTTAATAGATAATGACTTGATTCTATTATTTAATACTTTTTAGACTAATAGATAATTTTTAGATATTAATGGAAAAACCTCTACTTGAGTCAAAGCAGTAACTTCAAAGAACCAGAAATAAATTGTTGGCTAATGCAGGCTGGTCTAGGAAACGTTGCCAAGTATTTAAAAAGGAAAAAATCTCCCCTTTTTATGTTTAACCCAACCCCTACTTGTCCTTAAAAACCTTATTTCTATAATAAAATATATTTTTCTGCCTTTGTTTACACTAGACTTGGTTTACTTATTCTCTCATCATTGTTTTTCCTTGGGTCATTGACTTTTGTTCCTTTCAGTTTTGAAATGTCAAGGTTCTGTATCACTGCAGAAACAAAAACCTTTGTTTTTAAAGTATAAAATGCTTCCCTGAGAGGGGCTTTCCAAAAGAATTGAATGGTGCAGTCAGCGGCGCAAATTATAGGGAAACCCCTTAACTTCTACTGTTCCCCCAAACAGCAGCCAGCTTCCAGAAAGCATTGACTGCAGACTCAATAGAGGAATATGCACACCTTCTGACTTCTAAAAACATTTACAATAAGTCAGAAGGCTGAGTAGTTAACAGCATACATGTAGAATTATGAAGAATTTGAGATGCTTAAGTGAGAACCAGGAAAAGAAAAGAGAACGTAAGAGAGAGAGAGGTCCAGTTGTCAGCCAATCTTGACAAAAGCTTTGATCATCAGAGAAAGTCTATAATCCTGTCTAAAACATGTTCATTAAATTACAAAAACTATTCCCAATGTAATTCCTGTAATACTAGGAAACACATGAAAAATTTTGTAATTTCATGTATTTCAGCCCCATTTATTATATGAGCACATAAGAGATATTCATATATATATTTAATATTTTAAAGATATATATGAATTCTACAAAGCACTATCCAGATTTACAAAGATTTTGCAAAGCACTATCAATGTAAACAGTGTTTTAAGGATGAAAAAGCAAACCACATTAAATGGATACATCAATTCTCACAGAGCTGAATTTTAGAAAGATTAGAACTGTGAGAGGTGAGAATTTTAGTCTAGAGGGAAAATGGTTGTTCTTATTGTTCTACCAGAGAGATCGAAGCTCAGATTTCTCATTTCAAATGTGAGAAATGTGAGCTATAGTGGAGGTGGGGGGCTGTAGTTGGGGAGAAGTTGCTGGGAAAAAATGCCAAGAGAATTGTGAGAAAAGAAAGATCACAACTTGGCTAAGATTTATACCAGATTGAGGACTTGAGTATCTTTAGCAAATTGTAAGTATTTCATGAATAGTTTTACTCATCCCAGTTTATTTGAAGATGAACGGGACCTGCCTTTAGCAATATTGTGAAATAGGTGAAGAGTCATTATAGCTTATGGAAAAGCTCCCAGGAACATCAGGAGCATGAGTTTAGGTTCTAACTTTGCAATGAATATGTGATATGACAGGGGCACATTCTCTAAACTTGCAATATGCTCTTTTCCAAAATTAGCATTGAAGGAGGGTTGATCTCCCATGACATATCTGAGCAGTTGGGAGCACAGAGTTGTATTTCTTTGGAATTATCCAGTGAGTTGGGAGCAGGGCTAGGCTGGGGGTACTTTTCCCATTTTAGCAGAGTGGCCTCAGGGCCTTGGCTGGCACAATGCAACCTCGGGGGCAGAGTGAGAAGCAACACTGGAGGCAGGAGCTGGCACCTGCTACCCACTGACAAGGTTTATACTCCTTAATAACAGCCCTCTATGCAAAGGGGCTGCAAGAGGAGGGAGGGTAAAAACCACCAAGGCCACAAAGACCATGCAGCGGCTGAAAGTGCAGAAGCACCTCCACTTTCAAATCTGCAGGATGACAGATGGTGAAAGTCAAGTGTTCATTTAGCCATTGGCCCTTAGCTTCCTGCCCATTCCTACATTCATGATGACATGGACACACTAATAAGCACTATTAACCCGGTCAAGTCTGGTAAGTGATAGAGCAGTGGGTAAGAAGAGGTTAACGATTACAAAATGACCCAAATGTGAGATAATATAATAAAGTGGGAGAGACAGAGAGAGAGAAAGCCTGCTGGAAATGCAAATGGAATGAACCTTAAAACAGTGAAAAGTATTTTGAAGACTAAAAGTCTATCACACAGCAAATCAAATCGCATCCTGTGCAATGTAATCAACAATAATCACATGCTTTTTACTTACAAATAAATACTCGGGAACAATCTTTTAAAACCTAACCTAATCTTAAAGATAGGAACTTTTTTCCTTATTCTAGAGTGGTGTTTTTCAAAATGCAGGTCACAAATAATCAGTGGGTCATAAAATCAATGAGTGGGTCATGACTAGCATTTTTTCTTTTCTATGGTAGATCAAGTAGAATACAAAATATCTGATCGCAACACACAAAGTAAGTTTTGTGAAACATTTCAGTTGTGTGTGTGTGTGTGTGTGTGTGCACTGGGAGATGAGGCAGAGAATCTTTCTTACTGTGGGTAGCTGTCAATAAAAAGGTAAAAAATGATCCTTGTGAGACATTAGGTGGGACTTCTAGAAATGTGGGGACATATTTTGTGTTATGGATTGAAATGTCTCCCAAAAACGTAGTTAAAATCTTAAGTCCAGTTACCTGTGAATGTGACTTTATTCAGAAACAGTCTTTGAAGACCTAATACAGATAAATATATTCAATAACAATTTAAACGTAATGCAAATTTTGCATTTGCATATGTGCTATTGATTCTGGAAGAAATACTAAGTGAACGCATTAAAAACTGCACTCAGGTGAACCAAACTGTATAGAAAAACTCAAATTATTCACACAAGCACACCTCAAAACATCCACCAGCTAACCTCGGTTCACCCTGTTACGAGCTACACCTATTCATGTCTGTTGGTGTAACTTCCCCACTGATTTCAGAAAACCTTCCTTCCACCACTTTACACTAACTCATAAGCTGCAATCCTTCCCAAGCAAATTTCCGGTCTTTGTCAAGGTAGACTATGAGATTTACTGTAGTATTTATTCATTTTTTAACCATTTAATATGTATGAAACTGTGCCATTCTTTTTATCAGGTTATCTCCTTTCTTTCTTTCTTTTTTTTAATTTTGAGATAAGATCTCTCTCCTTCACCCAGGCTGGAGTGCAGTGACTCAGTCACAGCTCACTGTAGCTTCGACATCCCAGGCTCAGGTGATTCTGCCACCTCAGCCTCCTGAGTAGTTGGGACTCCAGGGGCATGCCACCACACCCGGCTAATTTTCTGCATTTTTTTTTTAATAGATTCAGGATTTCACCATGTTGCCCAGGCTGGTCTTGAACTTCTGAGCTCAAGTGATTTGCCTGCCCCGGCTTCCCAAAGTGCTGGGATTACAGGTGGGAGCCACCATGCCCGGCCAGTTGCTGACATTTTTAAGTGTTGTGCCCCAATCACATTTTTTGCATAAGACCTTTGGTTGTTACCGTGTGTATTTTGCATGGCACAGAGTTTTTTTTTTTTTTTTTTTTTTTTTTACAAACACTATGTTATATGAGAGCAGAACAGACTGGATGAGATCATTCAGTGGGTGAGTGTAGATACAGAAGAGGCCAAGGGTTGCATCCAGGGACACATCAACTATAACAGGCCTAGGAGAAGAGGAGCCAGCAAAGGAGCTGTCTGGTGAGATAGGAGGAAACCCAGGAGACCATGGTGTTCTGGAAGTAAAGTGAAGAAAGTTCAAAGAAGGCTTGAATGCCCACATCTGGCTCTGCAGAGAGACCAAGAAAAAGAAGAGGACTCACTGCGAAGTGACCACTGAATTAGTACTATGGTGGTCTTGAATAATTTTAATAAGTTCGATTTCAGTGGAAGGGCAGGGATAAGCCTAACTGGAGAGAATTTAATAGAAAAAAGAAAAAGAATAATACATTTAAAAAATAATCATGGAATACGTTTGATTTTGATACATGTCTTTTTCAAATAAGCTTTGTCATTAAGTGCATATTTATGTCTTCTTTGGTATCTGATAGATCAGGATCTGTTTATAATTTTTAAAGATTACTATAAAGTTCTGGCCAGGCATGGTGGCTCATGCCTATACTCCCAGCATTTTGGGAGGCCGAGGCAGGAGAATCACTTGAGACCAGGAGTTCAAGACCAGCCTGGGCAACATAGCGAGACACCCCCTCACCCTCTTTTTCTTTTTTTTTTTTTTTGAGACCCAGGCATGAGTGCAGTTGCGCTATCTTGGCTCACTGCAACCTCCACCTCCTGGGTTCAAGCAATTTTCCTGCTTCAGCCTCCCAAGTAGCTGGGATTATAGGTGCGAACCACCACACCCAGCAAATTTTTTTTTTTTTTGTATTTTTAGTAGAGATGGGGTTTCACCATGTTGGCCTGGCTGGTCTCGAACTCCTGACCTCAGGTGATCTGCCTGCCTCGTAATCCCAAAGTGTTGGGATTACAGGCGTGAGCCACTGTGTCCAGCCTTTTTTTTTTTTTTTTGATTACTTTAGAGTTCCTACTATGTGCCTGACATCATCTGTTTAAGAGAGCTGATGCTAGAATTGAGACAGACATTCTTGTGAATTCTGGTTCTGCCACTCACTAGTTGTCTAAAGTAAGGTTTACCCTTTAGGTTCCTAAAATGAGGTTAATATCCTAACTCAGTTTGTTGTTGTCAGGGTTAGGTAAGTGAAGTGCTTAGCATGGTGTCTGACACACAGAATGGGCTCATGAATGTTACTATTAATATTTTTCAGTCTGGGCACAGTGGCTCACATCTGTAATCCCAGCACATAGAGAGGCCAGGTGGATTGCTTGAGCCCAGGAGTTTGAGACCAGTCTGGGCAACATGGTGAAACAACATCTCTCCAAAAAAAAAAAAAAAAGCAAAAAAATAGCCAGGCATGGTGGTGTATACCTGTGGTCCCAGCTTAAATTTGGGAGACAAAACAGAAAATCAATTTAAAAAGTATATAAATGGTTGATGCACAATTAGTGCCCAAACAGGCTGAGACACCTTGGAGTTAAGATGACCAGGCAAAGTGAGATTTAAAATAGAACTTAAGTAAGAAGTCATTCTGAGAAGGGATCTTAACTTTTACTATATACCTGCCACTCTGCATGGGGCCGTAAGTACAGTCATGTGTTTAAGCCTCACACTCAACTATGATGAGGCATTCTTATTCCCAGTTCTTGGGTGAGAAGACAGGCTTTGAGACGCTCATTCACTTGCTCTGGGTCATCAGTTAGTAGGAGAGCTAGAGTCAGCCTGGGCATGCTCATCTCCAAAGTCCATGCTTGGTGGTGGCAGAGCAGTCTAGCAGGGAGGTGCTAAAGGTCAGCTCCACTCTCTGCCATTTGCAGACGATAATAAGAAACAAACAAAACACCCATAGCATGTAAAGCCTCATGTTAGCCTGATAAAGTACATCATCTAGAGAACCATATTAAAGGAAAAAACCCCAAAGAAACAAGCTGCATATTTTTGCTCTTGACTTTTTTTCCTTGGGTAGAGTGAATCTGTGGCAAAAAGCGGTTCAAAGGAAGGTGAGGGAGAAACAAAGGTGGGGAATGATCAACAAGTGCCTAGCAAGAGGTGATTGCACTTACGGGAAAACAGTTCCCGTCCAGTGTGGTTTCTGTTTCCCCACCGGGCTAGCTGATCTGGGATTTCATCTCTCCATGGGTTGCATTGCAGCAGTCCTGGTTCCCGTGTAGTTCCTGCTGGGATATCTAACAGGTGGACAGGCATTTAGATTTCCAGCACGACTCCACCCTGGCTGAGCCCCTCATTCAAGCTAAGAATGTAAGGACAGCAGGTGGCCTGCAGGGTGTGCTCTGAGGAGCTGCCCAAATCACTCTCCATTACCTGGGCATTAAGCGTTCTTAAAGAGCCTCCTTAAGCAGAGTTTAACTGGAAGAGATACATTGTCATTGTTGTTTTCTTAGAGTTCAGTTTTTGGAAGGAAAAGAGGTATATTGTGTTGCTAGTCATCAAGTTAGCTGCTTAAAGCATTAGCAAGGACAGTCTATTCACCCACTGTCACCTGGCAAAGGCTGTGACTCTGAAGGATAAACCCACGACAGATAAGTTTTGATGGACTGAGAGAAAATGAAACATGGGTCTTTGTCAGGCTCCCGTGAGACTTGGAAGGAGGGCCTTGATGGGGAGGTGTACGTGGTTCCCAGAGCTGTCATAACAAATGACCGCAAACTGGGTGGCTTAAAACAACAGACATTTATTCTTTCATAGTTCTAGAGGCCAGAAGTCTGAAATCAAGATGTAGGAGGGTTGGTTCCTTCTGGACATTTTGAAAGAGTCTGTTCTATGCCTTTGTTCTAGCCTCTGGGAGTTGCTTCTGGGAATTGCTGGCAATCTTTGGTTTTCCTTGGATTGTAGAGGCCGCTCTCCAGTCTCTGCCTTTGTCTTCACCAGCTGTTTTCCATGTGTGTCTCTGTCTCTGTGTGTCTTCTCTTCTTATAAGGACACTGGTTGTATTTTATTAAAGGCTCATCCTACTCCAAGATGACCTCATCTTAACTAGTTGCATCTGCAATAACTCTATTTTCAAATAAGATAACATTCTGAGATCCTGGAAAGAACATGAATTCTCGGGGACATTCCCCAACCCGGTAAAGAGGGAAGCATAAAACCATGAGGTGTTATTGTTTGGGGATAGAGAATAATGAGGAAAAGAGAGGAAGAGTCTTGAAGGAATAGTTGAAAAGATACAGAATGCTAGTAAAGCAGGCAGGATTTAACACAAAATAGATATCCCATCGAATGGGGAACTCGAGGAGAGTTTAAAGAAGGAACTGTTTCCATGAGTGTCAGAGTTAAGTAAAAAGTCAAGCAAACTAGGGGCAGTGAAGCCTTCCCCAGTAACAGTGGCAGGGCTCCATTTTCCCCAATCCTGCTGCCCTTCCCCTTGTCAGAGCTGTACCGTCAGGGCTGCTGCCAATGGCCTGCTCCATGGTGCCTTCAGGTCCTGCCCTAGGCCCTCCCTGATGCTGGGATGCCTATGCCTATGGGACCCTGCCTGGCCTTCTGGCATGTGCAACCTGGAAATGTGGGTGAATCAGTGGGGTTGCGCTTCTCTTAAAGAATGAGGGGCGGAAGGCAACTGGTGCACATTCCTTGTCTTCCTCCCTAGCAGACTGTCTGAGGTGTATTTCATAAGATTCCACGGAAGATTCTGAGGAATGAAGCACCCATTGACAACAGCAATGGCCAACTCAGTAATTCATCCTTGTCGGCTTTGAACCTCCCTGTTGTTCACTCTTCTTGCCCCTCATTCCTCTTCTCTAAGCTGAGTTCCCAAATAGATCACCTGCACCCAAGCCTTTGTCTCAGGCTCTTCTTTGGCAGAAGGGGTAAAGGGAGTGTGGAGCTACTGGGGCAAAAGGGAGGGGGAGAGGCAGGGGACAGAGCAGGAGCAAGCTGAAGGTGAAGACAAATTGCTGTCTCTGGGGAAGAATGCAGTGACTGCCAACTCTTGGACCAGCAGGCAACAGGGAGGGGAAGCACACAGTCCAACCCAACCTCCTCTCCCACTCGCTGGCCCCTGCAAAGACATTCCATGGCTGAAGCAAACCCCAGAGAGTGAGGAAGGAATTCATTTAATAGAGGTCAGCCTCCTAGAGCACAGAGCAGGTGGGAAGGATGGAAAGGAGAGCTGGAAACAAATAGAGAAGGCCCAGCATGACTAGGTTTGTTCACATATCAGTTTTCTCTCCTACTGACCATGAGTCCTACACAATTGACGCAACATTGACGTAATTCACAAGGTCATCTTTTCAAAAGGATAAGTGCTTCTAAGACGAAGTTACTTTTCCAACTGCACAGGAAGAACTTGTCTGTTACCTAGATTCTTATATTTATTTAAAATTTTTGAGCATAATGGTCTTAGTAAGCCTGGCCATCATCTGAGTTAAACAGCCTAGTATATTAGGAAGAAACTGGACTAGAATTTGGAACAACCCTGGTGCAAATCCCAGCTCTGCTACTAACAAGTGGTGTACCGTTAAGCAAGTGCCCTAACCCTTCTGGATCTCAGTTTCTTATCCCAAAATGGGTTTAAAGTCTCAGCCATATATCACAAAATTTTTGTGAGGATTCAATGAAATACGATATTGTAGATGGTGGCTTTTAAAAAAATTACTCATTTGGGTAAGTGCCTCTGTTTTCTTATATTCATAGATATTGATGGATATTATTAATGAATTATACCGAGTTCTGAACATGAGAGGATTTCTCTTAAAGTTATGGTTGGGTAATTGCAGTATTTTATCATCACTGTCTTCTTGTGGTCAACCATATAAAATATTCTAGAGTTAATAGTAAGTAACAAATGAACAAGGTGTTTTCCAAGTGCATTCAGAGTTTAATGATCTTTAAACCTAAATTGGTGGAGATGAAGTAATTTATGCTCAGACCTTATGAGACAGTTTGTCTGATTGCTGATAGTGATGAATCACTGAGGGAAAGACCCACATTTCTGTGCTGCTGGAGGCTTTTACTTAACTCCTGCGTCAGCTGAGCAGCATACAAGCTCACTGGCAAAGTGACCTCTGCCTGGAAACCCAGCATGAAGGGACTTCTCATCTCCGGGCTTGCCCTCAGCTATTTGAAAATGTTTTATGAGACTCTATGGCCAGTATGCGTTGACGAAAGGATGTGCTCTTTCTGAGGTGCAATCCATCTTGCATCCAATAATCAGTCTGTAATATTTTGAAATAGAACATGTTTAGTTCTTTCCTTATCCTTTGTAGAAAATCTGCCCAATGCTTTTGGAGCCATGGTGTCATGTAGAGGAAATGTCTCGCTCCTGCCTTGTAAATCATTTTTCCCCTTATTTTCTTCCTCTTTCCCAAATCGGATTTTTTTTTAAGATGAGTGAAGACAATGAGAAAAAGAGAACTTAATGAAAAGGAAACCATGGATACCAGTTTATGATAATACTAGCCTTATTTTTTAAAAAGGAAAACAATGAAGTTGAGGCAAATTGGATAATAAAAAAATAA
Organism: Homo sapiens; assembly: GCF_000001405.40. Lineage (NCBI taxonomy): Eukaryota > Metazoa > Chordata > Mammalia > Primates > Hominidae > Homo > Homo sapiens. The sequence goes on along the minus strand of NC_000006.12, from coordinate 137,737,854 downwards.
GATATATTATCTAAATAGTAATGTTTATGTGTTCTCTCCAGATTAGATAGTTAAGCCATGTATTTAATTTGTTGAGTATTTTGTGGTTATTGCTCTGTTTGTAAAAATGATTGTTGGCTTAAACTCTCATTCAGAAGAGAAACCCAGGGGACATTGTAATAAATATGTATTAGTCTTAAAATAGTGTTTAAACATTAGATCTGATAGTTCTTAGCAGGGCTCTGGTGTTATAACCAAAGGTTAAGCCACAACAGAATTAAAAATATGCCTTACATAAGAAATTTTTTCTCAGGGGCTTATATTTTGAATCTGTTTTCAATGAGCAGAGAAGGGAGATACTGAGAAATGCATTTTTGACTGGGAGAAGTGAAGGAGACACATGGAAGGAGACAGGAGATTATTTTCTTTAAAAAAATAAATCACAAAAAAAACCCCATTAGTAATCTGAGATTGGGCACTATGAGTACCATTGCTTTTGAGACTCTGCCAATAGAAATTTTTCTAAACTAGTTTTTTAAGTGACAAAAATTATATATATTTATCATGTGCAACATGTTTTGAAATATGCATACATTGTGGAATGACTAAATCGAGCTAATTAACACATGCATTACCTCACGTGTGTGTGTGGAGAGAACACTTAGAATCTACTCTCCTAATTTTCAATAACACAACCTATTGTTATTGACTATAGTCATCAGTTGCACAATAGGTCTCTTGAACATTTCTCCTATCTAACTGAAATTTTGTATCCTCTGACCAACATCTCTTTGTAAAAATTCAACAGGAATTTTTGGTCAGAGGTCCTTGGGAAATCGACCAGGCTCCTCCCTGTTCCACATTTCTCTTTAATAGTAAGTGCTGCCTGCCATAGAATCGTTGAAGCCCTTCCTCCTCCTAGAATTGGAAAGCCATTCTGGAGAAAGAGTCAGGATCTAAAGAAGAACTTGGTCTTGCTCAAGGCGGTGCAGAGTGGGAAACTGAGTTATATCTTAGTCTCGCTGCCTCTCTTGCCTCATCCTTGTCCTAGCCCTGAGAGGTAACTAGTGTTGTTGGAGAGCTCTGAGATTTAGGCAAAACAGCGATTCGATTTGGACATCTCCCAGGCCCATGCGTGGCTGGGAGCTCACACTGGCTCAGGGGCGGCAGCAACTCCAGTAAAGAGAAAGTACTAGTTCTATGCCTCAACCTCAACTGTGCAAAGTGACAGTTTACCCCTATGACTAACATGCTCTTAAAACACCCAAAATGCACCTGCAACTGATTAGATCTCCCAGAGTTAGCCCAGGCTGATCCACCTGCCTGCTCAAGCAGCTGAGAATTTGTTTTCAAAACTGTGTGGTTTGACTCTCTCTCAAGAGGCTTACAGATGGCTGGCTTGCTTTTCAAATAGATTTTCTGTGGTCCATTCTCTCTAATTCTGACCATCTATCCCCACTCTCCAGGTCCTGAGATCCACCCTTCTGTTCTGTTTGGTGATCAGGCAATGACTCCTGACCTTTTGCTCCTTGATCAGAATGCCCAGATACTAGATCACAGCTGGGCTGTGTCTTCTGCATCAAAGGAAATGAGATTGTTCTTATAAAGATTTTAGAACCTAGGTGTCTTGACTGCTTGGATTTGGCATATTTAGATAAGGCTGTTTCCCATCCTCCCCAGGCATGGCTCCTTCCTCTCCACGCCCCAAAGCACCTCGATTATTTACTGCTTTCTCTGGCCATATCCACAGTGCAGGGTTTACACATTTTGTCCTCATGAGATTATGGACTCCATGAGTCCAGGGACAGTATCTTATTAGGCATTGGCCTCTGCAGCACTTAATCCAGCGCCTGGGACTTCAGAAGAAATTCGTAAGTGAATGAATGAGTGAATATTGAACGTGTAACTATCAAAGGGAATTCACGGGAACTTTTGTTTCTCATTGGACTGGAAAGGATTCTTCTTAGTGCTCAAGCATCTCTTTTGTTGGCCATTGAAACTGCATTAGGAAGACATTGTATTAACTGAGGCATAGCCAGAGGAACAGATCCAGAGAAGAGACATTGCCATGAGTCAAACCTAGGTACTTTTTTAGACAACAAAGGGTAACACCAGAGTTAGTAGTAAGGTAGACTAGACAGACTACCTTATTACAAAAGCATAAAATGAAGACATAATTGTTAGTTGTGAGCATGTTGCTTTAGAATATAAGTGAAAATGTTGGCAAATTGTATTTATATTGGATAAGATCCTCAGACTATTTTCCCAAATATATTGTCACATTTTCATGACTCAATATAGCATATCCGTGGGGTTGACTCAGGAGTATCATGATGTGGTAGAAAGATTCTTACCTCAATATGTACCTCCACCACTATCTTGTGGGTGGTTTTTGAATGAAGCATTTAAGTGCTCTGGGCTTAATTTTTGTTATAGAAAACAAATAGAATAGGTGAAGTGGTGCCTCGGCCTTTCAAAGTGCTGAGATTACAGGTGCAAGCCACTGCGCCGGGCCAAAATATTAATATTAGTTAGAAATTAATTAGATACTGTATATCACAATGATGTTCTCATCACGATTTGCTGAAAAACAGTTTGTAAGGGCTGATAGGAGGGGACTACTTCTCTCTCCAGCCGTGAGAACCCCAGAAGCCTTTATTTACAACCCTGGAGGGAAAAGTGATAAACCCATCACAAGGAGGAAGTAGGGAAGAGAGCTGGAGGGGGAAAGCAGTCATTCATATTTGATTTCTTCCACGTAATTGTTCCTCTACCATGACCCATAGAGCCAGGAGGAAGTGTGGAGGAGACAGAGATGAGTTACCAATGTATTTGAACAAACTGAAATGCACAGTTCCCTGTCCTTTCTGTCTCCCGTTATTACCCCAGTGTTCCCAATTGTGCAACAGCGTGACCTTACATCAGACAGAAAAAAGAGGGAGTTTGGCAATAACGTGAGAAAAGCTTCTGATGCAAACATAATTCCTTTTGCTTTACAGAAACATATAAATTATGTACAAAAATTATTTATGCTCTAACTTGAGCATTCAGTTCCATTGATACACAGTATATGCTACCAACGTCTGCTAAAAAATAAGATTTTGCAGGCTTTCTAAGCTTGTTTAATAATGAGGAAGATGGTAAGGCTTGGCTTTTCCCTGTAAGAATGCTGAAACAGGTTCGGATAAAAAACAAACCAACACAAATCAAACAACTTTCTCTTTCCTCTGTGTTTCTCCTCTTCCACAGCTTTGGATTCTTCCAGAATACTTGTTACCTCAGATTAGGGTGGGATGCCTTTGAGATAGCCCCACACGGGGTAAACTAAGCTTTTGATGGTTTTATATAGCAGGCCCTGGGCTAGCTGTTTGCATGCATGATCTCATGATTGCCATGCAAATATTTATATGCGATGAAGTCTCCTTGATTGGAGCCATACTCTTATCTTCTTGTCCATCTCTCCCTAATTATGATGTGTCATGGGAATTTTGCAACTAATTCAGAATTTTTTTCAGAGGGAACCTGGGTTCTGCATATGCTCTTTGTGGATAAATTCTCCCTGAAATTCCAGAAAGTCCAAAATTGAATTGCCTGGTATATGGTTGCCTTGGCATATGATCTGTGAACAAACTGGTTTTATCTGGTGTGTTGTTTAGAGTGTCAATGAGGTTGTATAGTAGGTAGCAGATGTAGGAAGAAGGCAATTTGATGAATGGCAGCTATAAAATGAAACAAGGAAGGAACATCACTAAATTTGTGTTCAACTTACTTCTGCCATTTGAGGGGCCCTAGGTTGGAAGTGACAACAAACTGATAGGGTCAAGGAAATGGATTGCTAAGTTTAGAAGTGTCGGCCGGGCACAGTGGCTCATGCCTGTAATCCAAGCACTTTGGGAGGCCAAGGCGGGCGGATCATGAGGTCAGGAGATCGAGACCATCCTGGCTAACACGGTGAAACCCCGTCTCTACTAAAAATACAAAAAATTAGCCGGGCGAGGTGATGGGCGCCTGTAGTCCCAGCTACTCGGGAGGCTGAGGCAGGAGAATGGCGTGATCCTGGGAGGCAGAGTTTCCAGTGAGCCGAGATCGTGCCACTGCACTCCAGCCTCGGTGACAGAGCAAGACTCCATCTCAAAAAAAAAAAAAAAAGTGTCAAGGTTGACTAGAGTTCTTTCTGAATAAAAAAAGCTTTACCACACCATCAGCATTGACTGAAAGTGGAAAAGAGACAGAATTGGACAAGTGCCCAGAGAAAAATGGATTTTGTACATACTTTACAAGCTAATATAGACCATTCCTTGCAAAACCCCTCCTTTGAGAAGAATCACACATGCTCCTCCATCCCCCTGATTTGATTTATTTGTATTGTCTTAACAATTTCTCTTTCTTTCTTCCTTTCTTGCTCGCTCATTTGCTTGCTTGCTTGCTTTCTTCCCTTCTTTTTCTTCTTTTTCTTTCTTTTCTTTTCTTTTTTTTTTTTTTTTTTTTTTTGACTGGGTCTCACTCACTCTGTCGCCCAGGCTGGAGTGCAGTGGTGTGATCTCAGCTCACTGCAACTTCCGCTTCCTGGGTTCAAGCAATTCTCTTGCCTCAGCCTCCAGAGTAGCTGGGACTACAGGCACGTAACACCAAGCCTGGCTAATTTTTGTAGTTTTAGTAGAGACAGGGTTTCACCATCTTGGCCAGGCTGGTCTCGAACTCCTGACCTCAGGTGATCTGCCGGCCTTGGCCTCCCAAAGTGCTGGGATTACAGGTGTGAACCACCGTGCCCAGCCTTGTTTAACAATTTCATGATGCATGTTATTTCTTATTACAATGTGTTCCCCGCCCCTTTATTTCTCTTGCGGAGTCCAATATGAAGAATTGAAAAGAAATGTGATATCTCAACTTTTCATTAAGTCTCAATCCTAATGCCCTGTTTTTTGTTTGTTTGTTTGTTTGTTTAAAGCTATGAAAACAAAAAGTACCAAGTCTGTGCCAGGTTCTTTTTCATTTTGTTTTGTGTCTGTGTGTGTGTGTGTATGTGTGTGTGTGTGTGTGTCATAATAATGAGTGACTTCATATGAGCTTCCAGATTCACTGGTTCTGGCAGAAAGATATTTGTACAGCTGTTTCACAAGCTCTCTCCTGATTAGCCGAGGTAGGGCATCCAATCTACAGTTGTGGAAAAACAACATTAGCTGAAATAGACATAACACCTACAATTTTTTTTAGTGTTGTTGCTTTCCCCAAATGCTTGTTCAGCTCTTAGTTATCTTTCAAAACTGCTCAGGCGTTGCCTTCTCAAGGAGCCTTCTTTAGCCACACTTCTTACTCCCTCTCCTCCCCTAATGCCTCATTTTTCTTGTACTATTTCTAGACTTTGCATATTTCTACATTGAAACCGTCCTCTGCATTCTGTTTGTCTACCTCTCCTACCAGTATGTGAATATCTAGAGAGAATAGATGTGATTTTGCTGGTAGCCCTCCACCTAACAATGAATGGCAAAGAGTAGAAGCCAAATAAGTGGACTTTTACTGGACCTGACTGCAGTCATTTTTATAGAGTGTACCGGCAGCTCCAGAAGCATACTGTCCTCTTGATGCAGGATATCTGCCATTGATGTTTTATTTGTTTTCTGACTCAGAAAGTTTCTTCAAAGCCAGTTCCGATCTATTATGAAATATCCTTTTTGTGAGCCACTTCCCATTCCATCCCTTAACACAGATATACACATGGCCCAGGCAGAGTGTTTCTTTGTGGGTTCTAGGCAGTGATGGGAAATGAAAATACTACATTGCATGAATTCTAAAACAAAAATTTTTTTCTACTGCTTCTTGAATTGAAATTAGGGAGTATTTCACAATCAATGACATCTTATAATTATGATTAGCAGTGTTTTTTTTTTCTTTTTGAACAGTACCTGAAATAATGTGTCTTATCATTGATGGTATCTTAAGTACTCATAAAAGAAATCTTACTGGTAGCCAGCGCAGCCCTGCCAGGTTATATGTAAATTCGGGATATGTTCCAAGTGCTACATTAAAAATAAACCAAAACAGAAACAGACTTTGTAAAATAGAGTGAAAGAGTGAGCCTTGAAGGATCAGAGGGCAAGTTTCACATGCTATTCATTGTTCTGTCCCTGGCATCTGATCTACTATGCACATGGCACATATTTGTCACTTAAAACACAAAAATAATTGCTAACAGTCTTTGAGTCCTTACTATGCAGAGGTCACTGTGTTTTAAGTATTTTTCATATGTGAGCTCATTTAATTCTCAGGACAACTCTTTGAGTGGGTTCAGTTATGATTCCATTTTTCAGATGCATAAAGTCCAGATGAGGGTAGATAGATGACTTGCTCTGAGTCCCACAGGTAGCAAGTAAATGGCAGAGCCGTGCTGGATCCCAGGGCCATTTGACTTTAAAGACAACGTTCCTATGTTCTGTGCAGCACTTTCTCCCTAATGAATATTTATTTTAAATAAGTGTTATTTCTACTGATTTTGATGGCTATTTGCTTGGGTCCCCCACCCCCAGTTTCCATTAGTCATTAAATGCTTATCTGAGATTAATATTTAGATAAATATTGCTAATTTTTAATAAACAGTTCATTGGAAAATATTTTCTTTATTTAATGTTACAGGCGAAATCCTATCAAAAATAAAACTCCTAGCCAGGTACGGTGGCCCATGCCCGTAATCCCAGCATTTTGGGAGGCCAAAGCGGGAGGAGTGCTTGACTGCAAGAGTTCAAGACCAGCCTGGGAAACATAGCGAGACTCTGTCTCTACAAAAAAATAAAAAATTAGCCAGGTTTGGTTGCACACACCTGTAGTCCCAGCTACTTGAGAGGCTGAGGCAGGAGGAGTGCTTAAGCCCAGGAGGTTGAGGTTGCAATGAGCCCTGACCACACCATTGCACTCCAACCTGTGTGTCAGAGCGAGATCCTGTCTCAAAACAAAACAAAACCAAACAAAAAACTCTTTAAAAAGCCATTTGTGATTATGATGGTGTTGTATTTCATAGAAGAGATGTTGTTGAGATAAATTTTTTTATAAGTAGGAAAAAATGCAATCCCTATTTTGGAGAATTGTCACCCTTGCGTTCCCTGTGAGAAAATAAATGAAGTTCAATGGGCTTTATTAACCTCCTCTATTAGGGCTGAGATGTCTTTTTTTTCTCAACACCAAAAACCTCAGGCATAATCTTAAGAAGTCACTGATGAAATTGCACTTCAGATACAAAAGATTCTGTTAGACCAGTTCACTTTTTTCTCTTTTCATTCATTGCAGAGGGTCAGAACTAGAGGTGGTGGAGTGAACGCCGCACCAGGCAATGGAAGAAGCACTGGCCTAGACCAAGCTTGAGCGTGCACCACTGTCACCTGGAGGGCTTGTTCCAACACGGATGGCTGGACTCACCCCCAGAATTTCAGATTTATTAGGTCTGCACTGGGCCCTGAGAATGTTTATTTAAAACAAATTCCTGGATGCTACTGGTTCAGTTGCCACACTCTGAGACCCGCTGGCTTTGAGCTTAGAAGATGTGGGTTTGATTCCTGGATTCCACAGTTTACTAGCTGTGAGTTAGAGAATTTAAATTACTTACCTGAGTCTTGGTTTCTTATTTGCAAACTGAACTGTAAACTATTTGTTCTACCCATTTTATAAGACTTTTGTAAGGATAAAATAAAAGAATACATATGCAAATTACTGAAAAACCTGTCACTGTTGTTATTACTAGTATTATTGTGAAAGAAGCTGTAGATTTATGTCAGCCCCAGACAGGAGTTGACAGAACCTTCGAGTTGCACAAGGCCTGCTGGAGCACTTCAGAGAATTCCAAATGAATCTTGATTGCATTGTGGAATGTACAGCACTGGGGCCCTGGGGACCAGCATGGAATGTGAGTAAAGACAAGATAGGTTCTATCATCCTCCAGACCTGCAGATGTGTGTTCAAATCCTGACTCCATGGGGCTTGACTCTATCCCATCTGGAAAAATGGAAATAAAAGTGCCTACCTTACTGGTTTATTGTGAGGACTATTTGAGATAATGTATTTAAAGAACTAGCACAGTGCACGGCACATAGTGGGCACTCACTAAATATTAGCTCTTAATATAGTTATGAAAACTAAACCCAATGGGGAGAAAATGCAAGGCCATCTTGGTAATACAACTGTATGTATTATGAGGTAGCCAGGTCTCTCAGCCCAAAAGACCATATTCCAGGGCCAGGCATGGTGGCTCACGCCTGTAATCCCAGCACTTTGGGAGGCTGAGCTGGGTGGATGACTTCAGGCCAGGAGTTCGAGACTAGCCTGGCCAAAATGGCAAAACCCCCATCTTTACTAAAAATGCAAAAATTAGCTGGGTATGGTGGCACACACCTGTGGTCCCAGCTACTCAGGAGGCTGAGGCATGATAATTACTGGAACCTGGGAGGTGAAGGTTGCAGTAAGCTGAGATTTTGCCACTGCACTCTAGCCTGGGTGACAGAGCAAGAAAAAAAAAAAAAGACCATATTCCAGTGCTGCTGCTCTGAGAGAGCAGGAGCAGTTAGACTCACTGACCTCCCACGTTGCTTCCAAATGAGATTTTAATGTCAGCACAAAGCAAACGCATCTAGTCAGTTGCCAGCAACCAGGGCTGTTTTCCCCAGACTTCCCTTATGACTGACAGCTACACCATTCATTTCTTTGCTATGACCTACCTTGTAATTATGAAGCAACACTTTCTGGAATTCCCTAGCAGGCAGAGCACTAACAATAGAAAAATTGAAATTAAATGGAGATCAGTCCACAGAGCTCTTCATTTTCCCTTGGATTATGTGACAGTGGAATCAAGCCTAAACTAGACAATGCATGACAACACAATGAGCTCTGCACTAACAAACGCCAGATAAGCTCCAGCAGTCTGCTTTCGGTGGGTGGAAGTTCCAGGCTTGCAAAACCCTGTAGATAATAGAAGCAACAACTGGAGCACAATTGCTGACCCAGTTGCCAAATCTGATGCCATGTCATGGGGCTGGAATGCAGCTCAGTGCCATGCTGGACAGACTTTTCTCTTATACTACATGCTGATCAGAAGTTATTCACCCGGGCTGCATGTCTTCTTGCACATTACATGAACTAACACTTTGCCCGTTCATCTTGACAGCACAAGAGATACAGATGGGCAGGGTGTCCTTAAACATGCCTGCCTGTTCCTGTGATAGTTAAGTGATTGACTCAACAAAAATGGAAGAGAATTTGCTCAACTTTGATCCTTCTCTCTTCACTGGGTTTATGCAGGCTAGGTGGGTCACAGGACAGGTGAGGAAATGTGAGGGTGAGGCATTTCAATGTTATCTGATAGCACCAGTTGCCTCTCTTGACATTCCTTGCTAGCAAATATGAAAAATGCAATACCCTATATGAATATGCCTAATATGTCATTTTCCCCTAAGAAGGGAGAAGTGAGACTCTAACTATTATTATTAATTTTTCCAATGGAAATCCTCACTATGATTGCAGGATAATGCATCATCCATTTTGTAGACAACTTATTTTTTCTGATTTGATGTAAACTTTTGACTTTCTGCCCTTCTCTGCCCAGTTACTTCTAATTCTGAAGACTTTTTTCTCACATTCTTTCATGGTTTCAGTCTCTGCGGCCCTGACATCCTTTCCATATAATTCACCGCCAGATTTCCTGGTGACTTCCAGATTCGTAATCTTCTGGTGTCTTCCATTTGGATGAGCTCTGTCTCAGCCACTCCCCAGGAGGCCACACCTTATGCTTGGTCACAACTCAGATCGACTCCACTTTCAGGACGGCACATTCGGAAATCCCTTCCTTTTCTGGCTCCCTCCTTCCCTCTTTCTGCTTTGCATTTCATCTTAACTGAGACCTCTACTGCATGACTTTTATCTGGTCACCTACTCCGCCAATGCATTTGGTTTCATTCTTCTGCATCAGTCTGAACTCATTGGTCCATCATTCAGTTCAGGATCACCTACAATCCTCTTCTGTGATCTCTCTCAAATCTGTCTTTCCTTCCATTCCTGCAGGTGCTCTCTAAGACACTTGCAAGGATCTCCCACCCAGTCTCCTTATCTTCCAATCTGCTCTACTCTAATCTATATTAGTTACCCCTTCTAGGAGGATCATCCTGCTTTTAAAATGCCAATAAAGCTTTTCCAACTCTTATCCTCCAAACCCCTTCTACTTCTCCCTCCAAGTCTCGCTCCAGCTCTTTCCTCTCCTTTGAAATGCTCTTTCTCATCTCTGCCTGAAAAATACCATCTGTTCTTTCTAAAGACCATTTCCAATAGCATCTCCAGATTCCTCAAACTTTACTTGACCCCTTCTTGGTGTTATATGTCCATGCTAGCTATAGTGGTTTATATATTTGTTTTATCTTCTCTGCAGTGTGATCAGTGGAAGGTTCATGAGCTCTGGATTTAGAGAGAGATCTGGTTTAAGTTATCAGTATTTACCAGTTGTGTGATCTCAGGCAAGTCACTCCATTTCGCAAAGACTAAATTTCCCCATCTGTATAAAGGGATGATGCTATCTATCTCATGGGATTGTTAGGATTAAATGAGATAAAATAACCGCCATATGAAAGCCACTCAATAAATATCACTTCTTCTCTTTTTCCCCATTCCGTGCATCCTTGAGGTATGAGATTATTTCTACTCATTTTGTTTCCTTGGAAGGGCAGCATTGTTTGGCGCCTAGTAGGCTATTAATAAATAATTACTGTATTCATGTATTCATATCATGTGTCTTTGCTTTCCTGTTAAAAGTTAGAGCTCCCGAGACAATGTATTTTTCATTTGCAGTTCATTTCCTATTTAATTTTGGCAAGTTTAAAGAAGAATATTCTTTATATATTGAGCAGATAGTTAACAGGTAAACCTAGTGCCAACAATTCTGTCTTGTCTATTGAGAAAGACTAGCGGCTATGTGGTCTGTGTCTGGCTTGGAGTTAAGGAGAAGATTTTTTAGTGTGTGTGACAAAAACTCAGTCATAATAGTGATATTTGGGAAGCTCCCTTTTCATCTTATTGAATCAATATGACCCAATAAGATTGTGGCCAATCATGGTCCTCTCCCAGCTTCATAGCCAATAGGAAATGAGCTGGGAGCACTGATTCACATCCTTGTGTGTATGTGTGTGGTGGGGCTTGGTGGGGGGGAAAATGATTCCTGTTACAAAATCTAGTGATACTACAGTATTCCTGGCTAAAGAAGTGCTTCTTTTAGGAAAAGCTAAGCTTCAAGCTAAATATGTTTGTTTAAAGTATCATGATGTACAGCAAAGATTATTGAACTTGGAGTAGTGCAGAGGCTTGGACTCAAATCTCAGCTCCACTACACTATCAGCAGTGGAACCTCATGCATGTTACTTGGACCTCTTTCACTTGTAAAAGGCAAGAACAATACCCACATCACAGATTGTTGTAGGGATGGAAGCCATGCTTATGAATGCACCCTGTAGAGTGCATGGCATTTACAGAGAAAGCAGTTCACAAATGTTAGCTTTGGAATGCCAAAGTGTATAGAGAACTTCTCATAAAAGAAAGATCTAGTTTACTTTGCAGAAATGCAATAGCAGGCATTGTGTTATCATCATCTGTGTGACAGTTTTTGTGTGTCAACTTGGCTAGGCTATGGTGCTCAGATGTTAGGCCAATAGCAGTCTAGAAATGGCTGTGAAGGTATTTTTTAGATATGACTAATAGTTCAATCAGCAGACTAAGCAAAGCAGATTAGTCTCCATAATGATGGTGGGTTTCAGCTAATCAGTTGAAGGCCTTAAAAAGAAAAAAAGAAAAAAATCTGAGGTCCCCTAAGGAGGGGGGACCTCTGCCTCCGGTCTGTCTTCAGACTAGAACTGCAACATCAGTTCTTCTCTGAGTCTCTAGCCTGCTGATCTCCGCAAATTTTGACTTGCCTTCCCCCAAAATTGCACAAGAAAATTCCTTAAAATAAATCCCTATCTACCTATCAATCTGTCTATCCTGTTGGCTCTGTTTCTCTAGAGAACCCTAACTAATACAGCCCGTCTTGCTCACTGGGTGGTAATCGAATGTCAGGAACTGTATCTAACTCATCTTCACATCTCCAGTACCTAGCACAGTGCCAAATCTATAACAAATATTTATGCTTATTGAACTGCAGAGAATAGCAGCTCACATTCAGACACTATCTTATAAAAATGGTACTTGCACAGAAGGTTTAATTAATTCATCCCTCTACCTAGTTATTCATCCATCAAACATTTTGAGGGGAGCTTATTCCATATGACTGTGCTTGACACTGGTGATGCAGAGAGAAAAGACAGAATGCATTCTCACTATTTCATGGTGGCGTGAGGAGACAGTGCGAGTGAATGGGGCAGACGCAGGAAAGGAGGGTGAAGTGAGACACTGGGAATCTGTTTATCCAGGTGAGACAACAGGACAGCCTGACATAAGGGGGGACAATTGGGAAGAAGAGGAAGGGATGGGTTTAGGAGGTAGAAATAATAGGAGGGGAGAAACAAGGAGTGAGGCATCTCCCATGACTGCCTGGTTTCTGGTTAAGGTGTCTGGGAACACAGAGGAGGAACAGAGTTTCTCATCATCTTATCTGATCCTAACATTCCTCAGCATCGTACAACACAACCCCCTCATTTTAGGGATATGGATACAGAAGCTGAGAGAGAGCAGGTCTTTTGCCACCACCCTCATAAGTCAGGAGCTGGCAGAGTGAGTTTTAGAAGCCAAACGCGTGCTGTTTTGCTGAGTGTCCACTGTGGCCCACACAGCGGTGCCTGCCAAGTTCCTTGCACAATGGAAGGAAGGGAAATGAGCTCAAAGAGTCCCTGTTACTTCTGTGTGGTGCGGTTTCACTCTCGTGAGCTGTCGCATCGCTGACCAGCCTGCCATGCTCTCTGAGTGTCAACTGGGACCTGACCCAGCACCGGACTCATTCCATTTGGAAGATGGGTGTAATACCAGGCCTCAGTCCCCCATCTCTACTCCAGCCATGTTCAGCTGTGAGTTTACCATCATAACTTCCTGAATCTCAAGGGACAGCAATCAGATCCTTGCCAGATGGCTAGGCAATGGGATGCAATTTTTACATGAAATCACTGTAGACACTGTGACCAATGGAACTACCATTTTCATGGAGACCAGCTGAGCCCTGCTAACTGAAAATTCAGAGCATCTCCAGCCATTGTATCCAGTTGATGAAGTTGATGCTCTCCAACCATACCACATTATTTTGAATCCAAATTCATAGTTTACTTTCCAGTGTCATCCTGAGGATTGGAGGAAGGCACAGGAAATATCAGCGATTATCCTCCATTATCAGATTATTATATTTTTTTGTGTTAACATTTCTAGCGGTAAAATAGCTTGGAGAGGTTTAAACCATCTCTTAACCCACATTCTTTTGTAATTCTTTTTCAATTTAAAATCGATGATATCAATGGACTTCAATATTCTACTATTTAATCCCTTGTATAGATCTGCAATCTTTCAGCTGTTTATTTCACCCTGAGTTTCCAGTTTGGGCAAATAAAGAGTTGCCACCATGCACAGGTGACTCACCATGCACATGGGACTTCCACTATGATAGAAGGTCATGGTGTGCCTGATGGATTAGGCAAAGCTCCCCCACATTCACCTCCAGGACTTTCCTCTTTCCCTTGGGCACGTGCTTGCCATCTGCTGGGCTATGTGTTCCATGAGGTTAGAGGCTGTGGCTGCCATGTCCACCACTCTGTTTCTAGCACTGAATCAGGGCCTGGCACCCAGAAACTACAGAATAAATATTTATTGAGTGAATGCCTAGAGACTAATCATCAGCGACGTAATCATGTTATTTGTCCTTTTCTACAACAAATGTTTCTCAAAGGTCAGAAATGAGAAGATGAAACCAGGACCAACGTGGATTAAATAGAGGTATGACATAATTTCCTATTGTCTCCGTCCATCTGCAGTCAAGGTTATATTCACATCTCAGATCTTCATCAGAATGGCTTTCCCTCTTCTCTTAAAAGAAAACAGAAGAGTTCTGTGCAGTTAAGAGGTTGAATGAAAAAAGGGAGGGAGGGTTCAGAAGGAAAAGTCCAAACATCCTCTTCCCCATGGAAATAATGATAATAGGAATAATGAGAAGGCTAAATTATTTGCTTACTATGTGGCACTGCACTTTATTATTTAATTAATCCTCATGGCAAGCCTATGAGGTAGATAATATCATGCCCAGTTGTGGGGGAAAAAAAGGGGGGAATTTAGAAGAATGTAAATAACTTGCCCAAGCTGGTAGGTAGAGAAGCCGGAATTCCACCCCAGGTCTGTCTGAGTCCAGAGTTTAACCACCAACCCTTAGCTGGTTTGAATATTTAAGGGCAGGGTCCAAGTCTCATTCATCTTTGTTTAACTCATAGCACCTGGCCTAAGGTCACACCTGCCACGTGGAAACAGCAAATATTAGTTGATTCAAAAGTAGAGCTAGTCAAAGGCCCTGGGATAGGGTTACTTTACTGGAAAACAGGGCATGCATGAAAGGAAATGTAAAAGCCAACCAAGAAAAAGCAGAGTGGCATAAGTGGTCTTATATCACACCAAAGACAGAGGTTAACCTTAAATGTGTTTGGAATTCATAGCATGAAGTTAAAAAAGTATTTTGAAGCGGCTACACTGTAAGAATGATAAATCATGGGAAACAGCTGGAAGGATCCTGAAGTTCTTTCTTCTGACTTGTTCTTTTTCCAAGGACTGTAGATTCCTTAGCTTAGGCCAGCTGGGGTGAGTTCTTGTTGGTGTGTGAGTATATGGTTTTCACATGTAAAGCAAATTTAAGACTCGGTTATGATAGATTTGTGCTGTGTTTGTGCCCCAATCTTCAGGCCACATTTCTACTGTGCTGTCTTAGCCAGCTTCTCGTGGGCAGGGCTGTCAAGTCAACTCCCAGACTTGGTGGGTTGTCCGCTCTATCAGCCTCCTTCAGAATGTTCGTGGTGGCACCTCTAGATCCTTCTCAGAATGCTGTCTCATTTATTTCCTGACAGTTAAAGAAAACTTAAGAAAGTGAAAGCTTACATGAGAAAATGAGTAAGCACTTTTAAAACAGAACTATTAAGCTCACTTTCAATGTTGCTAAAGTTCGCCCTTTTTAGACACCTTTAAATCCCTAGTGCCCAGACAAATCAAATGCCTAATAGGGCTTGCTTCCAGTGCGGTCTACAAGGACACTTTAAAAAAGGTTGTCCAGGCCGGGCGTGGTGGCTCACGCCTGTAATCCCAGCACTTTGGGAGGCCGAGGCGGGCGGATCACGAGGTCAGGAGATCGAGACCATCTCGGCTAAAACGGTGAAACCCCGTCTGTACTAAAAATACAAAAAATTAGCCGGGCGTAGTGGCGGGCGCCTGTAGTCCCAGCTACTTGGGAGGCTGAGGCAGGAGAATGGCGTGAACCCGGGAGGCGGAGCTTACAGTGAGCCGAGATCCCGCCACTGCACTCCAGCCTGGGCGACAGAGCGAGACTCCGTCTCAAAAAAAAAAAAAAAAAAAGAAAAAAAAAAAGGTTGTCCAGATAGAAATAAGCCGCCCCCTCTTCCATGCCCTTTATGTCAAGGGAATCACTGGAAGGCCCACTGCCCCAGGGGACAAAGGTCTTCTGAGTCAGAAGCCACTAACCAGATGATCCAGCAGCAGGACTGAGGGTTCCCCGGGGCAAACGCCAGCCCATCACCCTCACAGTGTCCCAGATATGCTTGACCATTGAGGGCCAGGAGGTTAACTGTCTCCTGGACGCTGGCACAGCCTTCTCAGTCTTACTCTCCTATCCCAGACAACTGTCCTCCAGATCTGTCACTATCTGAGGGGTCCTAGGACAGGCAGTCACTAGATACTTCTCCCAGCCACTAAGTTGTGACTGGGGAACTTTACTCTTTTCACATGCTTTTCTAATTATGCCTGAAAGCCCCACTCCCTTGTTAGGGAGAGACATTCTAGCAAAAGCAGGGGCCATTATACCCCTGAACATAGGAGAAGGAACACACATTTGCTGTCCCCTGCTTGAGGAAGGAATTAATCCTGAAGTCTGGGCAACAGAAGGACAATATGGACGAGCAAAGAATGCCCATCCTGTTCAAGTTAAACTAAAGGATTCCGCCTCCTTTCCCTAACAAAAGCAGTACCCCCTTAGACCCGAGCCCCAACAATGACTCCAAAAGATTTTTAAGGACCTAAAAGCCCAAGGCCTAGTAAAAGCATGCAATAGCCCCTGCAATACTCCAAATTTAGGAGTACAGAAACCCATCAGACAGTGGAGGTTAGTGCAAGATCTCAGGATTATCAGTGAGGCCGTTGTCACTCCATACCCAGCTGTACCTAACCCTTATACTCTGCTTTCCCAAATACCAGAGGAAATAGAGTGGTTTACAGTCCTGGACTTTAAGGCTGCCTTTTTCTGCATCGCTGTGCATCCTGACTCTCAGTTCTTGTTTGCCTTTGAAGATCCTTCAAATCCAATGTCTCAACTCACCTGGACTGTTTTACCCCAAGGGTTCAAGGATAGCCCCCATCTATTTGGCCAGGCATTAGCCCAAGACTTGAGCCAATTCTCATACCTGGACACTCTTGTCCTTCAGTACGTGGATAATTTACTTCTAGCTGCCCGTTCAGAAATCTTGTGCCATCAAGCCACCCAAGCGCTTTTAAACTTCCTTGCCACTTGTGGCTATAAGGTTTCCAAACCAAAGGCTCAGCTCTGCTTACAGCAGGTTAAATACTTATGGCTAAAATTATCCAAAGGCACCAGGGCCCTCAGTGAGGAATGTATCCAGACTATACTGGCTTATCCTCATTCCAAAACCCTAAAAGCAATTACGAGGGTTCCTTGGCATAACAGGCTTCTGCCAAATATGGATTCCCAGGTACGGCAAAATAGCCAGGCCATTATATACACTAATTAAGGAAACTCAGAAAGCCAATACCCATTTAGTAAGATGGATACCTGAAGCAAAAGCAGCTTTCCAGGCCCTGACAAAGGCCCTAACCCAAGCCCCAGTGTTAAGTTTGCCAACGGGGCAAGACTTTTCTTTATATGTCACAGAAAAAACAGGAATAGCTCTAAGAGTCCTTACACAGGTCCAAGGGACCAGCTTGCAACCCGTGGCATACCTGAGTAAGGAAATTGATGTAGTGGCAAAATGTTGGCCTCATTGTTTACGGGTAGTGGCAGCAGTAGCAGTCTTAGTTTCTGAAGTAGTTAAAACGATACAGGGAAGAGATCTTACTGTGTGGACATCTCATGATGTGAACGGCATACTCACTGCTAAAGGAGACTTGTGGCTGTCAGACAACCGTTCGCTTAAATATCAGGCTCTATTAATTGAAGGGCCAGTGCTGTGACTGCACACTTGTGCAACTCTTAACCCAGCCACATTTCTTCCAGACAATGAAGAAAAGATAGAACATAACTGTCAATAGGTGATTGCTCAAACCTACACTTCTCAAAATGACCTTCTAGAGGTTCCCTTGACTGATTCTGACCTCAACTTGTATACTGATGGAAGTTCCTTTGTAGAAAAAGGACTTCAAAAAGCGGGGTATGCAGTGCTCAGTGATAATGGAGTACTTGAAAGTAATCCCCTCACTCCAGGAGCTAGTGCTCAGCTGGCAGAACTAATAGCCCTCACTCGGGCACTAGAATTAGGAGAAGGAAAAAGGGTAAATATATATATAGACTCTAAGTATGCTTACCTAGTCCTCCATGCCCACGCAGCAATATGGAGAGAAAGGAAATTCCTAACTTCCAAGAGAACACCTATCAAACATCAGGAAGCCATTAGGAGATTATTATTGGCTGTACAGAAACCTAAAGAGGTGGCAGTCTTACACTGCTGGGGGCATCAGAAAGGAAAGGAAAGGGAAATAGAAGTGAACCGCCAAGTGGATATTGAAACCAAAAGAGCCACAAGGCAGGACCCTCCATTAGAAATGCTTATAGAATGACCCCTAGTATGGAGTAATCCCCCCTGGGAAACCAAGCCCCAGTACTCAGAAAAAGAAATAGAATGCGGAACCTCACGAGGACATAGTTTCCTCTCCTCAGGATGGCTAACCACTGAAGAAGGAAAAATATTTTACTTGCAGCTAACCAATGGAAATTACTTAAAACCCTTCACCAAACCTTTCACTTAGGCATTGATAGCACCCATCAGATGGCCAAATTATTATTTACTGGACCAGGCCTTTTCAAAACTGTCAAGAAAAGAAATAATCTGCCAAAGAAATAATTTTTCAAAACTGCCAAAGAAATAATCCCCTGCACTGCAGGCCATACATTTCAATCCCTGTGTCTTTAACCCCTTTGTTAAGTTTGTCTCTTCCAGAATCAAAGCTGTAAAACTACAAATCATTCTTCAAATGGAGCCCCAGATGCAGTCCATGACTAAGATCTACCATGGACCCCTGGACCGGCCTGCTAGCCCATGCTCCGAAGTTGATGACATCGAAGGCACCCCTCCCAAGGAAATTTCAACTGCACGACCCTTACTATGCCCCAATTCAGCAGGAAGCAGTTAGAGCTGTCGTCAGCCAACCTCCGCAAGAGCACTTGGGTTTTCCTGTTGAGAGGGGCTACTAAGAGACAGGACTAGCTGGATTTCCTAGGCCAACTAAGAATCCCTAAGCCTAGCTGGGAAGTTGACCACATCCACCTTTAAACACGAGGCTTGCAACTTAGCTTACACACAACCAATCAGGTAGTAAAGAGAGCTCACTAAAATGCTAACTAGGCAAAAACAGGAAGTAAAGAAATAGCCAATCATCTATTGCCTGAGAGCACAGGGGGAGGGACAATGATCGGGATATAAACCCAGGCATCGGAGCCGGCAATGGCTGTCCCCTTTGGGTCCCCTCCCTTTGTATGGGAGCTCTGTTTTTACTCTATTAAATCTTGCAATTGCAAAAAAAAAAAAAAATCCCTAGTGCCCAGAACTATATATTTACTATATATTTATTGCTTGAATGCATGTGTGAATGAATCTCCACTAACTATTTCTTTAGAGTATCCTATGTGTAACATGTCATGGTGATAAATTCATCCCCACTCATCAGAATAAGAGAAGTTGGCTAAAATCCTAGTATGTAGGGATGGGGATAGGTAATGAAGAACCTGACATTCATTCTTACATGTAATTACATGGGTCTCAAGGGAAGGGTGCAATGACTTTTGAAAAAAATTCAATATTCATAACTTCCTGATAAAAGGTGTGTTAGGTAGTATTTACTTCAGGGAAGAATTTATAGTCCTCCAAATACACCTGGATAACCTCACCTCAGACTAAATAGATCCCAAACCACTACATTTGCCCAAAGACTTTCTTGTTTCCCACGTCTTCATTTTTCTGTTAATTGTGACTCCATTCCCTACTCACTAGGCTTTAAACACAGCTGTCAGACACAATCACTCTTTGTTTGAATTCATTTAGTTACCAAGACCTACTGATTTTTTTTTTAACAGTCTCTGTCTTGTCACCCATTCCTTCCTTTCCATTCTTAGAGCCCAATTTTCTAGATCAGGGCTTGTATTCTCAGTCTCTAATACTTCATGTGTAGGTCCAACTTGTCTCCTTGCATACATTTTTCCCTCCAGCAGCTGTTATGAACTGAATTATGTCCCCACACACCCCAGATTCAGATGTTTAAGCCCTAACCCCATGTGACTGTGTTAGGAGACCGAGCATTTTTGGAGGTAATTGTGGTTCCATGAGATTATAAGGATGGGGCCCTAATTTGATAGGACTGGTGTCCTTATAGGAAGAGGATGAGACACTACTCTTTCTCTCTGCTCATACACAGAGAAAAGGCGGCCATCTACAAGTCAGCAAGAGGGCCTTGCTAGGATGAATTTTCCAGCATCTTGATCTGAACTTCTAGCCTCCAGAACTATGATAAATTAAATTTCTGTGGTTGTAGCCACCTGGTCTGTGGTATTTCATGTCAGTCATAACAGACTAATAAATAGGCTATCTGCCCAGTATTCTCAGAATTACATGCATAAAACACTAAACTGACCCTATGCTTTTCAAATCCCCAAGGCTGCCACTGCCCACCCCCATGACTTTTAAGTCCAAATGCTTTAGCTTGGAACCTGAGGCCACCCTCTGTTTCGTCCCCATAGTTACCTGCCCAGCGTCTCAGCCTTTATATTGTTTAAGGCAAACATTCTGATCTCATTGTCCTCAAAACCCACATGGCATTTTCTGAAGCCACAGTGAAGCATGATGCCTTTGGGGAACTGCCCGTGGTTGCCATGGCTGCAAGGTGAGTCTACACCAAAGGATGGCAGGATGTGAGTGAGAGGAGTCACGTTGCAGACATGGCTCCCTCCTCCCTCTCTTCCTTGTTAACAGAGTCCTCACTGAGTTTAGAGAGGAGAGGTGCCCAGATCAGAGGCAAATAATGATGTCTAAGCTGGGGGTCAGCAAACTATTTTCATAAAGGGCCAGGTGAAGGTAAACATTTTGGGCTTTGTGGGTGATATGGTCTCTGTCACAGCTCCAACATTTTAGTGCGAAAGTAGCCATAGGCAATACATAAACAAGGGAGCAGAGCTGTGTTCCAATAAAACTTTATTTACAAAAGCAATTGTTGGACTAGATTTGGCCTTTGGGGCATAATTTGCTACTCCCTGATCTGCCAATCCCAGAGCAATGACATTGTTGATCTTCTGAATCAAGTGTAGAACAACTTTCGGATTTCTTGTTATGTGAGAGGCAGAAAACTCCATCTTTTAAAGGTCTTTTTAAGCTCTTGCTATTCACAAGTTTGCCTTAGACCAGCAGAATCAGCATCACCTGGGAGCTTGTTAGAAATGCAGAATCTCAGGCCCCCACTCCAACCTCCTAAATCAGAATGTGCATTTTAATAAGAAGCCCTGGTGATTGGAAGGTTTACTAGAGCTTAAGAAGCACTGATTGGAGCCACTGTTGATTGAATGTCTTATTACTTGCAGATGAAAGCACCCCTAACCATTGCTGGCAGGAACAAGTCTTCAAGATCTTATATGCTTTGCTAAGGACTGTGGTTTTGTCCTGAAAGACATTAAAGGGCTTTACGTGGGGAATGAAATGATCAGTTTTGGGAGGCATACAACTCATCTCTTTGATGAAATAATAAGCTCCTAAAAATCAGAATGTACTAAAGAAATATCCCTGATATTTATCCTACTTTCCAAGGCCAGCCAAATAGGTAGACCCCACCACTGCCACACCATTGGATGGAATTCAAAAGCAGCCTCGCCTCTTCTATAAGACCTGCTCTCCTGTCCATACCTACTGCCTCAGGCCCCAGGAGGAGTCTCTGTTTCTGGCATATCCATGGGGCTTAAAAGTAATTGGAAGGCTGTAACTCCAGCATTGTAATTTGGCATTTGAGACTGGAGAACTTTAATTTTAGTTATACTTAACACTGCCATCCCCCAGCTTGGTTCAATTTATCTTCTGAATATATGTTCACCTCTCCGATAAGACTATAAGCTACTTTGGCCTAAGCAATCATATTTTAAGATTTTTGCATCTCTTCCATAAGGCTTGCCAAGGGCTCTGCATATGACTGTCATGATAAATACAAAATTAATTCTTAAAATATAAGCCATCATTTACTGCTTTTCCAAGCTCTTCAAATAATACCTAAATGGGATAAGCATCTCGAATGTGAATATCATTCATCAGCTAAGTTAAAAATAGTACAGTCAAAAGGATCCAAATAACATCAAATTTTTTGAAAGGTGGGGCTTTTCATATTGTTTATGGTTAGGTTCTAATACACCCAAGGAATGGTTTGAAAAAGTATTCCGCACAAGCATTTGCTCGTATCAAGTCACCACATCTTCCTGTGGTTGGTTTATGAAGAGCTAAAACCCAAACAAACACCACCTCTTACACAGTCACCCAGAGTGTTAGTACTTACATGGAGAGAGCACGTCATAAACCCTCTAGACACATTGTCTCACTTAAACCATACAAAACCCTAGGGTTGGGTAGATTATTATCTTCACTGATGAAGAAACCAAAGTGCAGACTGTTGATGTCAACTTAGTGAAGATCATACTGGTAGAAATTTGGTGGTGGTAAGAGGGGACAGTTGGAATTCAAATCCAGATAGTTAAGCCCTGAGTCTGCGCTCTGAACCATTAAGCAGTGTCTCCATAAACAGAGCTTTGCTATGTCAAAGGCCAAACTCTCATCACCCTATTTTCATCTGCAGGCATCATCAGCTGGGATTTTCATGTGACAAATAACCTATGTTAAGCCGAGATATGTTAAAAATAAAATGTTAGAAGCCACTTATTCTATGGTCAGGTTCAGTGAGTGACAGTTTCTATGTTTAAAGCCTTATCCCATTATGAGTTAATGGTTTGGTCTATCATGATTAACACTGGGAAATATCTTTGAAATCAAATTAGAAGGTTTTAGTTTTGTTTTGGCAGTTAGTTATCATAGAAAGTTTTTCTCTGTCATTTCATGGTCTACAGTAAAGACTGTTAAAGGAGTACCTGTAATTATGATCTTATTGATCTATTTAAATTAGAGAGTTTATTACAAAGCTTATGACCATATCCAAACAATTAAATTAAAGCATGGAACAGTATTTCAATGACTCTGGGGAGCATAGACAGCCAGGTGGGATTATTGAAAACTGAAAGTGGATAGTTTTGTCTCCAGGTAATTCTGATCATCTGTCCTGATTCATTCAAGAATTTCAACTCTTATTTTCCCCTGGATTCCAATATTGACTCTGCCATTTTCTGAATCAATATGATCTTCAAAAATCACAGATCATCTCTAACAAAGGCTCTTTATTCTCCAAGATGTAAATAACTATGACTTTGTGTTGAGCAAATTGACACCAAAGGATTACCTTTTATATGCCTTGAAATTATGTATTAAATAATTGTTCCTAGAGATTTTTTCCCATTTCTAAAGCCAAGAGGCATTAACTATTTTAAATGGTAGTGAATTCACCAAGATAAGTTTGTAGAGAAAAACTAGTGGCCCTACTTTAAGTTGTTGCTACAGAAATTTCAGTTTTTAATAAAAGGATATATACTGTCTTCCACGAGTCGGTCTGTTACCAACAATTATTGTGTATGAGTCCTTTTTATATAGGAGTGCATTTCTTTTAATTGTGTGCACATATATTGATTGGTTGTAGAAAGCCGTTCATTCCTGACATCCTTTTTGGCTCTTTTTCCTTCATTTTTCTCTTGTCACAAGTCCTTTCATCCAGAAACTCTTTTATCCATCCATCCAATTGCTCAAGCAAGGAACCCAGGAATATCCTCCTTTGAATGCAATCAATAACCAAGTCTTGCAGATCAGATTTCCAAAATAGAGGTCAAATCTAATTCAATGTATCTTTACCACTCTTCCCCCAGTCTAAGCCATGATAATTTCTCTCTCTATGTGAATGTCCACCCCTGGAGACAGACACAGGGTGACACTGTTTGGACCACTGCAGCATCCTCTTAAACTCCTCCATCCACTTCTGCACCATCATCCATTCTCCACACAAAAGTCAAAGTGGAATATGTCCCTCCATTTTTTAAGTCCCCCAAGGCTTCCTGTTGACCTTAGAATAAAATGCATGCAGGGAGGGTCTGGCTGTTCTCTAGCCTCACCGAGGCCTTTCACTGCATCTCAGCCATACTGACTGACCACTTTGTAGTCTTCTCCTCTACCTTCAATTCTGCCAAGACACCCACTTACCCATCAAGGGCTTGACATGTCCTATAGGTTGCAATTCCAATATTTTTTTTTTAGGAGATCTCTCTAAACTTATATGCTAAATTCAGTTCCTATGCTCTTCATCCCAGTTCACAGAGTCCTTCCTCATAGAGAGCCTTTGTGTTTGTGTGTTTATATATCTATCTCTTGTGTTTATATATAATCTCTTTCTCAATAGATTATAACCTCCATGAAGGCAAGGACAATCACTTTCTGGTTGATCCCTTAGCGTTGGATCAGGCACATGGTAAGCCCTCAATTATTATTTGTAGAATTAGTAAATCAATATAATCTGTAACACATGGAATCTCATGAAATACAAAGTGAAGGTCCCTTTGGAAAACAAAAGTAACAATTCTTAAAGATAAATGTCATAATTCAGAGGCAAAGTTTTGGGGATCAACTACATGTTAATACAGGATTTGTTTCTGTGACCCGAACCAATAGAAATGGAAATATAATGTGTTTGAGAAGCTATGTGGCAAAATTACTCGGAAAAAAAGTCAAATATAAATATCAGTGTCTACCATAAACAACAAACACCACACAAAGTGGTTTTTCCCAATAGGCGTGTTCCAGCAATACATGTGCAACCTCATCCAATAATCCAGCTTCTTTCAGGCTCCCTGTTGAGCAGAAGCAAGTCTGAGATAGCTCCTTTCCCAGAGCCAGGACATGAGATTTTTCCAGAATCAGAAAATTGCCCTACATGTCGGGGGGAGGGGCTCTCACAAGCATAGTCATCAGAATCAGGACATTGGACATCTTTCACCCTGTTTACAAGCATCTATAACAAAGCAGTTTGACACTTTTCCAAAATGGAAGTTCAAGGTTAAAGTCAATTTTATCTTATTTGCTTACGTATGTACAAGTTAGTGGCTAAAAAGCAGACTGTCCACATCCTATACATCAGTTTGATCCTCTACAACCAGCCCAATAAACCTTCCATAGCCTTTGTCAATAATGTTGTTTTCAATACAAAGCGCTTTGTATTTTTACACATAAAATCTAATCTGGCTTTAAGGCAGGTATTATTATGCCTATTTTACTGCTTTAGTGGTTGATACCCTAGTGTCTGTCAGCTCCAGACTAAGCTGTTAATACTCAATTTTCTGATGCTGGGCTGGACTCTGATATCCCTATTATCTCCATGTCAGCTCCCAGTTGGGTTCTGCCCCAAAGGACCGTGAGGAGAGACTGGAAGGCAGAAGGAGGGAGAAGGGATTTCATCCTCTCTATTTGCTTCTTGTGCGTGGCAGTGCCAGCGGCTCTTCACCAGGCAGAAGCCTTTGCCCATTCCATCTTCCAGCTTCTTTCTACTGTCCCTGTACCAGCCTCATTGCATCACTCTGGTGCAATGTCCGCAGCACCTGGCAGTGCCTCCTTCTCAACAGAGGGGCAATGCAGACCCCATCTTTGCGCATGCTTATATGCATAATAATAAATGCACAGTGAAAACATTGTATTCCCACATCTAGCAATAATAGAGTTAGCTACTCACTGAATACATATTGAAATATTGCTGCAGTATGACCCTATGTTCACATGAATAAGACAGCTTTACAGAATTATAAAGTGACATTTCAAACCTCTGAATTTTCCCTACACTATTGATTGTTCAGTCCTATCCATGTTCCTTTCTATCTGGAATACCTGCCCTTCTCCCAGACCTGGTCCAGACCCCTCAAGGCCAAGCTGCACATTTTCTTCTGTGAAACCTTTGAACCCCATGGCAGACAGAATTAGCTGCTCCATCTACTCAGCTCCCATTATTCCCTGGATACTCTTCTCACGGACTTGAGAGACAGAAAACACATGCATGAGCTTGGAAATGGCCTGGCTTGGCTTGATTCTTGACTTGAATAACTCATTTCCTATGTGAGTTTGGATAAGTTATTTAAGTTTCAGTTCCTTCTTCTGTAAAATGATACTAACTTCTCCCAAATTTCTCCCTCCTGCATTTGTGGCATCTCCATCTTTCCAGCTGCTAAAGCCCAAATCCTTGGATGCATCATTGACTCCTCCCTTTGTTTCTCCCCCACATCCAATCCAATAGCAAATCCCAGTGGCTTCACTTTCAGAACATAACCAGAGTCTCATCACTACTTACCACCTTTACTGCTACCATTTTGATCTGAGTCATGGTCACCTTTGCCTGGCTCATTGCAGTAGTCTCATAATTGACCTCCACAATCTTTCTCTATTCCCTTCTGGTATACAGCAGCCAGACTGATCACATAAAAATATAAATTTGACCACTTTCCTGTCCAGTGGAAAACCATCTTAGAGTAAAAGCCCAAAGTTATTCCAATGACCTATAGAGCCTGGAAAGACAGGTCCCGTGTGACTTCGAACTTTAGTTCCTGCCACCCTGCTCACTCCACGTGGTCATACTGGCCTCCTTCCTGTTGCTGGAGCTGGCCAGGCAAACTCATGGCTGAGAACCTCTGCATTTGTGGTTCCCTATGTCTGGAATGATCTTCCTCAAGATAGCTACATATCTTTCTTCCGCACCTCCTTCAAGTGTTTGCTCAAATGGAACCTTCTCAATCAGACCTTCCCTGAGCATCGTATTTAAAATGGAAACCCATCTCCCAAACTCCTTATCTCTCTTCCATGCTTTATTTTGGAGGCTGTAATACTTTTTTTTTTTTATCACTGTCAAGTGGAAAATTATTTTCATTGCAATCAATGGCAGCCTCTGAGTCCACAACTAGGCAAACTCTTCCAGAAGGGATCACAGATCAAATGAAGGTGATGGAATCACATGGTTTATTAAATTGACTCAAATTCCTGCTGGAGAAGTGGGGGTGAGTTAACATGCCCCACACGGCACACAAATGGGTAAAAACCCTAACCAGGACAATGTTCAGATGTCTGTTTCTTTCTCTACCACACCAGCCTTTCCTGGCAGTCACTAGGACCAGCACTGAAGTTCTTTTTTTTTTTTTTTTGAGACGGAGTCTCACACTGTCCCCCAGGCTAGAGAGCAGTGGTGCGATCTCAGCTCACTGCAAATTCTTCCTCCCGGGTTCAAGCAATTCTCCTGCCTCAGCCTCCCAAGTAGCTGGGATTACAGGCACCCACCACCATGCCCAGCTTATTTTTGTATTTTTAGTAGAGACAGGGTTTCACCATGTTGGCCAGGCTGGTCTCGAGCTCCTGACCTCAGGTGATCTGCCCACCTCGGCCTCCCAAAGTGCTGGGATTACAGGCGTGAGCCACGGTGCCCGGCCTAGCATTGAACTTTTCAGCATGGAGTCTCAGCAGGTGGAAACGGTATGAGGCTCCAGCACATGGGCGTGGCTGGTGCTTGCCAATTAACCTGCTGAGCAGCAAGATTCTATTTGGTTTTTGGGGGCAAAGGTCACTCAAGGTCAGAATAAATTTCACAAATGAGTAGCCAAATAAAGAACTCATGAATATCGAGTGTCTCACATATATTACAGTGTTATGAATCTCAGGTATCCTGGCGCTGCCCTTCCTTCCTCTTCCTGTGTGTATACGTATGACCCACTTGATCTTTCTAACCTGTCTCTCATGCTGCTAACTGATCTTCCTATACTTAAACATGAGTTTCACTTATTTCAGTTGATTTCTTCTTTAGCAGAATTGAATATTCTCAAACAATACTACCAATGCATATTATGGCCTTCTGCCATCTCACATTTTCTACTTACTTTATTATCTACCTAACTAAAGTGCCATGAACACAAGAATTTTCATTTGTTTTCTTCACCAATGTACCTAGATGTGTACTTAAAAAATAATTATTGAAAAAAATGAAAGAAATTCTGAAAACCATGAGGCTTAAATCAAATAATATTTGAATTGTACTAGAACAGGAGAGAAAATGACTTGGAGCAGGATGAGAAGGTGAAATTGAAAGCCCATGCTATGGTCCCTGCCCTGCTGATGTCAATCTCTTCCCAGGCCCATGGGTGTGGGAGTGCTTAGATGCTCATTCTGAAATTCTGGAGATCACCCATTCTTCTGGAATTGCTCACTTTTCTTTCTATGCTCTCCAAGTAGCTGTTCTTTGGCCCACTTGACTCACAGTCAAACTAGTTTCAATCTTGTACTCCTGAAACATTTGTTTAATGAATGAATATCCTGTTACAGGTTGCCCCAGGACTTCAGAGCCCTGATGAGGACTGATACTTAAATGACATCAGATATTAACCCCAATGAGTTTGTGCTTCCTTCAATCTGCAGGGCTTCATTCAACCTGAAGTTGCCCCCTGGAGGGCCC
Organism: Homo sapiens; assembly: GCF_000001405.40. Classification (NCBI taxonomy): domain Eukaryota; kingdom Metazoa; phylum Chordata; class Mammalia; order Primates; family Hominidae; genus Homo; species Homo sapiens. The sequence goes on along the minus strand of NC_000006.12, from coordinate 137,709,852 downwards.
TGAGCACATCCAGGCCTAAGCCTTCGCGTTAGTCTGCTCAGGCTGCTGTAACAAAAGATCGTAGCCTGGGTGGCTTAAACAACAGAAATCTATTTCTCACAGTTCTGGAGGCTGGGAAGTCAAAAATCAAGGTGCTGGCTAATTCGGTTCCCTGGTGAAGGCTGTCTTTCTGGCTTGCACACATTTGTCGTCTTGCAACATGGTCACATGCCTTTCTTTGGTGCACGTTCACACAGAGAGAGAGAGAAAGAGAGGGAGAGAGAGAGAGACCTCTTCCTTCCATAATAAGGTCATAAGGCCACCAGTCATACAGGATTAGGGCCCCACCCTTATGCCCTCGTTTAACCTTAACTACCTCCTAAAGACCTGTCTCCAAATATAGTCACATTGGGAGCTAGGACTTCAATATATGAATTTTGAAGGGATAAAATTCAGTCCATAGAAGACCTAATTTCTTCTTCCCGCACAATGTCACTTTCCTTTTTTAATGTTATTATTAACTTTTAAAAAATGTATACATCTCCTGTAAAATCCACATTTTAATCCTTTGTTATTCCTGGCTTGCTTCACTCATTGATTCTACCTACCCAGCCCCTTTAGACATTAAAGTTTTTATCCGATGCCCATTGATTTAACCAGGGACTATATTTTCCAAACTGAAACTCAGGACATACAACATTATCACTATGAATATGCTTATGGAAGAGTAGAACAAAAAGCCAGAAATTGGGATTGTCTTGGAATAGTATGGATATGCAGAAAATGATGATAAATAACCGAATTCTCCATATTTGTATGACAGTGATTGAGAAGAGTATTAATGTAGCTTGATGCTTGGTGCCACTCAAACCCACCAAAAGTTCTATTTGCCCATTTAGATGTTTTGATGGTGAGGAGCTTGTTGGTGTTGGGCTGTGGAAGATACAAAGGTTGAAGACAGATGCTGTTCTCCATGATAGAGCTTTGCAAGTTTTCTTTGGCCCATGATGTAAAGCAAGAAATTTTACTTTACAACCCTGCAGACTGTGATGCATTCTGATCTGTTCTATTCTATTCTATTCTTTCTACAATGGGTGTTATAGCCTACATAATTGGTTTTCAAAACATGACTCTATTGCTATGTGCATTGGAAAAAACACAGTTCTTGTGGGCTGGGTCCAATAGGTTTTGGTTTCCTTTCTGTTAAAAAATATTTTGATTAGCATGAAGGTCTTTTTGTTTGTTTATTTTTGTGTTTTAATACATGTAGGTACTAGACTAGTATCTAGAAATAATTTCATGCTCTTAGAAACGTATCTGCTGGAACTTTTCTATTCACAGATCAGAGATTTTTGGAACTGGAAGGAACTGCAGGGGTCAAGTCAGAATACATGGCTCAGGAGTCTTTATGTTGAAGCTCCAGTGTTTGGATGCAGTGATCTTAAAAACGCAATTCACAAAAATTGTTCTCTTTGTTTTTTGACTCTTCTAACAGAACTCATCTTCAATTTAGTTTGCTAATTGCCTGTGTGCCATGATCTTGTTCTCCTTTGCAGAGCTCACAGGATGGGTTTTTGTTTTGTTTTGTTTTGTTTTGTTTTTAGTTTCCTTGCTGTTTTTCCAGGTCACAGCACCGCAGTCGATTGGTGATTGTGGTTTGAGGTCACCTACAGAAGGCGGGGCGGGGAACCCAAAGATTTTATTGCACACCTCAAATTGCTCTCTGATGACACCAAGAGCGTCAAAGTCCTGAGGCCGAGTTGTCAGTGAACATTCGCCAGGAAAAGCAGGGGTGAAGCTGCTTATGGGCGAAGATGAATCCCGTGCTGCCATCTATTGGTAATGTCATGAAACAGCAATTTTTAATACCACCTGATTTTTAAAAAATTTGTTTTGGGGGGAACTATAGTTCACTGTTACCTGTTCTCCAAATTTATATTTCCCAAGAAGTCTTGATTTCAAGTGAAGGAATCTGTGGATGGGAATGACCCATCTTTAACCCTAATGAACTTTGTCTGTAAAGTGAACCAAGGGGACAGGGGAATTCCCACACCGTCTCATTACTGCCCAAGCCGACACACTTCCCTTTGAGGATGGTTTGAGGGAAGGAGGGACTGTCTGCTTGTCAGAGGGATTTCAAAGAACACACTGTTCTCATCCTTCAGATCTTGCCGATTGCTTCATGGGCTGCCCGAGATTACCATATGTTTTTTGCAAAGGGTGACTTCAAAACAAAACAGAATAGACCCTCTCTGTTTTGAAGCCTGTTGATTCTAAATGCTACACCATTGCAAATAGTTCTCTGGGTTTATTTATTAGCAAGGGAAGCCAGACATCAAGGACCAACCACTTCCATTTTAAAAAGATCCCTGTTCATTAAAAATAAAAATAAAGTAGCCTGGAGTGCAGCGGGGTGATCATGACTCATTGCAGCCTTGACTTCCTGGGTTCAAGTGATCCTCCCGCCTCAGCCTCCACTCCCGGTTAGTTTTTTGTATTTTTTGTAGAAACAAAGTCTCGCTTTTTTGCCCAGGCTGGCCTCGAACTCCTGGACTCAAGCGATCCTCCTGCCGCAGCCTCCCAAAGTGTTGGGATTACAGGCGTGAGCCACTGCACCCAGCCTACTATCTTTATCTTATAGAAAGAAAAGAAAGGAGGAAACTGAGGCTTGGAGACAATGGTTTCACCCAAATATCAGTGGTGTGGAGGCAGAAAAACCTATTGTCGACAAGAGGAGTTGATGGCAGTTTTTTGGCAAGGCCTAGTAAAAGTACCCCTGGAGACTTCACATGTTCCATTAGAAGAAATAGAGCTGTCACCCACATCAAGATTCAGAACACTGGTGATTACTAGGACCCGTTTGGGGGGAAAAGTTTGCCACTTCGGCTGAGTTGGTCCAGTATTACATGGAACATCACAGGCAATTAAAAGAGAAGAATGGAGATGTTGTTGAGCTTAAATATCCTCTGAACTGTGCGGATCCTGCCTCTGAAAGATGGTTTCACGGACACCTCTTTGGGAAAGAAGCAGAGAAATTAACTGAAAAAGGAAAACATGGTAGCTTTCTTATACGAGAGAGCCAGAGCCACCCTGGAGATTTTGTTCTCTCTGTGCGCACCAGTGATGACAAAAAAGAGAGCAATGACAGCAAGTGTAAAGTGACCCATGTCATGATTCGCTGTCAGGAACTGAAATACGACGTTGGTGGAGGAAAACGGTTTGATTCTTTGACGGATCTCGTGGAACATTACAAGAAGAATCCTATGCTGGAAACATTGGGTACAGTACTACGACTCAAGCAGCCCCTTAACATGACTCGTATAAATGCTGCTGAAATAGAAAGCAGAGTTTGAGAACTAAGCAAATTAGCTGAGACCACAGACAAAGTCCAACAAGGCTTTTGGGAAGAATTTGAGACACTACAACCACAGGAGTGCAAACTTCTCTACAGCCGAAAAGAGGGTCAAAGGCAAGAAAACAAAAACAAAAATAGATATAAAAACATCCTGCCCTTTGATCATACCAGGGTTGTCCTACACGATGATGATCCCAATGAGCCTATTTCAGATTACATCAGTGCAAACACCATCATGCCTGAATTTGAAACCAAGTGCAACAATTCAAAACCCAAAAAGAGTTGCATTGCCACACAAGGCTGCCTGCAAAACATGGTGAATGACTTTTGCTGGATGGTGTTCCAAGAAAACTCCCAAGTGATTGTCATGACAATGAAAGAAATGGAGAGAGGAAAGAGTAAATGTGTCAAATACTGGTCTGAAGAGGATGCTCTACAAGAATATGGGGTCATGTGTGTTAGGAACATCAAAGGAAGTGCTGTTCATGACTATATGCTAAGAGAACTTAAGTTTTCAAAGGTTGGACAAGCTGTACTCCAGGGGAATATGGCGAGAACGGTCTGGCAATACCACTTTCGGACCTGACCAGACCACGGAGTGCCCAGTGACCCCGGGGGCATGCTGGACTTCCTGGAGGAGGTGCACCATAAGCAGGAGAGCATCATGGATGCAGGGCTGGTCGTGGTCCACTGCAGTGCTGGAATTGGCCATACAGGGAGGTTCATTGTGATTAATAGTCTTATTGACATCATCAGAGAGAAAGGTATTAACTGCAACATTGACCTTCTCAAAACCATCCACACAGTGCAGTCTCAGAGGTCAGGGATGGCCCAGACAGAAGCACAGTACCGATTTATCTATATGGCAGTCCAGCATTATATTGAAACACTACAGCACAAGATTGAAGAAGAGCAGAAAAGCAAGAGGAAAGGGCACGAATATAAAAATATTAAGTATTCTCTAGCAGACCAGACAAGTGGAGCCCAGAGCCCCCTCCCGCCTTGCACTGCAGCGCCACCCTGTGCAGAAATGAGAGAAGACAATGCTGGAGTCTGTGAAAACGTGGACCTGATACAACAGAAAAGTTTCACATGAGAAAACCTGGAAAACTTCAGCACAGAAAGTCCACAGATGTGGACTTTCACCCTCTCCCTAGAAAGATGAAGAACAGACACAAGAAAGTTTATGTGAAGACAGAATTTGGATTTGGAAGGCTTGCATTTTTGTTGACTACATTTTGATAAGCAAAATTTGAAACCATTTAAAGACCACTGTGTTGTCTCTTTCAGTGGCTGGCTGGCAGGGTAGCTAGACCTCTCACATACCAAGAGCTTGAAAGCAGAAGTGGCCAGGCCTCCTGAAGACTTAAGTCCAGAATTGTCGCAGCATCCCTTTTACTGCCCTCTGTTGATTATGATAACGATGAGGATTTTTTCTAATCAGAAGAGAGCTGGAGTATGCCCTCTACTTACTACACAAGTTACAAGCCCGGCTCAGATTCAAGAAAAGGGTATGAAGTGGAGGTGCAGTTAATTGGGGGACCACTAGTCTAAAAAACAGTCACAACCCGTGCCATGGAAAACCAAGGATATTAGCAAAAGTAGGAGTTGCCAGTGACCTTGGGAAGCCGAAGCTGCTTACAGTAGCTGGGACAAGCTGAAAGTCAGACTGAGAAATAAAGGAGGGGACTTCAAGAAGCTTCCTGAACAATTTCTGCCAGCCCTGAGCTTATTTTTGGAACCAGCACTTGGGGAAACTGATCTTGTGAGGATGGATGTTTTTAGGAACACAGGGCTTTTGAGAGCAGCACCACCCCACTGGGGCACCCCCAGACTTGGGAAATGTGATGCTTTCTTAATGTCACTGGTTTTTTAGTCAGGCCACAGTGAGAAGGAACAGCCCTAACAGGCCTCCAGCCAGGTTGAACGAGCTCATTTTTGTTTTAGCCAACCGGTAAGATTTGCTAATGTTCTACCTTAAATGCCTTTTCCAAAAACCTCCCTCTTTGCCTCATATGTTGAATCATCATTCAGTGCAGATATTTCAATGAAAATATCATTGGTTGACTTTTGTAACGGAAATAAAATGCTATGACATCTTTGACATGAAAAAATAAAAATAAAAACAAAAATGAAGACATACTTCAATCAAATTAATGAAATTCTATATTTAAAATGTCTAGGCTGGGCAAAGTGGCTCAAGCCTGTAATCCCAACACTTTGGGAGGCCAAGGTGGGAGAATTGCTTGAGCCCAGGAGTTTGAGATATGTGCAACAAGATAAAACCTCCCCTCTACAAAAAATCAAAAACATAGCTGGGTGTGGTGGTGCACACTTTTAGTCCCAGCTACTCAGGAGATTGAAGCAGGAGGATGGCTATAGCCCAGGAGGTCAAGGCTGCAGTGAACTGTGATCGCACCACTACACTCCAGCCTGGGCAGTAGAGCAAGACGTTCGTTCAAAAAAAAAGAAAAAAAAGCTTATATTGAAAAAAATGATTATTTTTATGAACTGCAATGCAATCTAACTGTGTTCACTATTGTACAATTGTAAGATTTATTTAAAATATTAATTTATAAATCTACATAGCAATGGAATGAATAGCCATGGTTTTTTCATATCTATCTATTATCTATCTATCTATCATCATCTATCTATTATCTATCATCTATCTATCATCTACCTATTATCTATCTGTCTATCTATCTATCTATCATCATCTATCATCATCTATCTATTATCTATCATCTATCTATCATCTACCTATTATCTATCTGTCTATCTATCTATCTATCATCATCTATCATCATCTATCTATTATCTATCATCTATCTATCATCTACCTATTATCTATCTATCATCTATCTATCTATCTATCTATCTATCTATCTATCTATCTATGCTGTGTACATGTATATGCCAAGCACTCTACTGGATGCTCAAATATATCAGTGAACAAAGCAGACTAAAATCTCTGCCTCTAAGAGCATACAATTCTAATGGGGGAAGATAAACAATGAATAAACTAAATAAGTCTGTTATATAGAGAGGATGGGAAATAGTAATAAGTGCTATGGAAAAACAGACTGCAGGGAATGGCAGTGGGGAATGTGTGCAGAGGGGTAGGTTGTAATTTTGAGTTGGATAGTCAGGGCACACTTCATGGAGAAGATGGCATCTGAGCAGAGACTTGTAGTTCATGAAGCAGGGAGCCATGTGGCCATGGGGAGGAGGAGCACTCCAGGCGAGGGGAGCAAGCAGCCCATGCAAAGAGCCTGAGGAAGGAGAGTGTCTGGAATAATAAAGGAGTCCAGTGTGCTGGAGGCAAGGAGGTAGGTGGGGCCTAGAACATGATTCAGGGAAGGTGGATTGTGAATTGCCTTGTGGGTTTTAGGGAGGACTTTGGCTTTTACTCTTGAGTGCAATGGGGAATCATTAGAAGGTTTTGAACAAACAAGCAATGTGATCTGACATTCATTTTAAAAGAATTATGCTAGCTGCTATTTTCAGAATAGACTGTAGGGAGCAAGAATAGACTGTAGGGAGCAAGAATTATGCTAGCTGCTATTTTCAGAATAGACTAGGGAGCAAGGACAGGAGTCAGGAGATCAGTTAGGAGGCTGCTGAAGGCAGCCAGAGGAGGGGTGCTGGTGGCTTGCACTGAGGGTATAGTGGAGTTGATGAGAAATGGCCAGATTCTGCATACAATCTTAACATAGAACTAGCAAAATTTAAGTAGAGATTCATTCATTGTGAGACGTGAGAAAGAGCAGAGTAAAGGGTGACCCAAGACTTTTGGCCTGAGTACTGGAAAATTTAGTTGGCCTCCACTGAGATTGAAAAGACAGAATATGAGGTTGTTTCGGGGGGACTTAGCAACTTCTCTCAGTCCTGTCAGAGGGTCAATGCACCTGAACCTACAACCTCACTTGGACACACTATCAAGAATGTAAATTCACAGTCTTTTTGCCAGTAAATCCCCCTTAGTTAAAAGGCCTTCCTGGCCCCATTTTCACGGAAAGGCTGCCCCGTTCCCCCATGACTAACAGACGCCCCATGATACTCCCTCATGCCTTCAGAGCATGCATTTCAGCTATGATACTTGCGTGATGATTTGCTTACTTACTATTTCTCCTGAAAGACTCTAAGTGCTAGGCATGAGAGGACTATGTCTGTTTCTGCTTCCAATTGTTTTCTCACCTGCTGGACAGACCTGGCAAGTAATAGGTATTCAATAACTATTGATTAAGGAAATAATGAATCTTAGTAAGACTTTAGGGACCAAACAGGACCTTCAGGAGCCCATAATTTTAAACTATGGGATTCCCTTGGGACTACCTAATTACCCTGGGATTATTTAGTAACTCAGAGCACTTAAGGTCAGGGATTTTTGTGTGCCAAACCCCAGCAATGGTGTGGCCCTGTTCTAACAGGGCAGCTGCTCTGAGCTGGGGAAAGTCCAGGAGTTAGGTTTGCACCTCTTGAGGGAGCAGATCCACTTTGCTCACCATGCTTTGCTCTGGGTCTGACGACTTGGCCCTCACGTCACTTGCTCTCATTCCTTCTCATTCAGTGTGGTCTTAGCCATCTTCACACCAGCAGTTTTCCATGGTAAATGCACTGATGAGGGAGAGCAGTAGTCCCTCTGCTTTTCATCCCAACTCCCTGCTTCTGCTCTCAGGACAACAGGCCCGGCCTGGATGCTAGATCTTCTGTACTTCTTAGGACTGATTCTAGAACCTCAGTAAAGGATGGGAGGTGTCCAGATTTTGGTAAGGAATGTACCTCCTCACTTTCCTCTTCTCTGCCTCAAAGATATCCCTTTCCTTGTTTATCACACCGACGTCAAATGTTCTCTTGCTCTTAGTCTCATGATCACTCTCAAGTTTACTCCAATGCAGGATTTTTCAACTTCAACACCATTGACATTTTGGGCTGGATAATTCTTCATTGTGGGGGCTGCCCTGTGTTTATAGGGTGACTGTGTTCTCTGGGATGTTTAGCAGCACCTCTGGCTTCTACTCTCTAGATGTCAATAGCACTCCTTCACAGATGTGATAATCAAAGATGTTTCCAGACATGACTAAATGTCTCTGGGAGCCAGTCGCAGCATTGATCTAAGGTATGGCTCTCTTTTGTGAAATGTCCTTGACATCTGGCCCCATAAAGTCTCACTTCTCCTGCCCTCCCCATAGTCCAACTTCTTACGTAATCCTGTTTTTTTTTTTCTATGATGGTTTTGGACTGATGAGAAGGGGGGTGCTGGCTTCTCTTTCCACTGACGACATCAGTATGTGACCCTCAAAGCTGCCGCTCCAATCACCATCATCCCTGTCCCAGGTCCTTGATGTGGTTAAGATATGAGAAAAGTACTGCTCTCTAACAGACTGCCTGAACTTTTACCCATTCTATGATTATGTCTTTATTCTCTGTATTCAGTATTTTCCTTGTTAACTTAAGAAATATTTTTTGTTGATGATAATACTGATGACGGAAAAGTAAAAAACGTTGTTAGGTGCCAAAATAACCTTTGGCAGATAATTCTGGGAAACTCCCCGATTAGTGGGAAAATTACTGGGTTTTGTATGATACTACAAGCTTTCACTAATCCTAGGAAGAGAGTTGTTATCTGGGCTGCAAATGGAGAAATCAGGGAAACAATATTTGTTATAAAATGTTAGATGAAGGGTGTGGTTATGTATGAAATAGAGCTCAGTTTTCCACATTACAATCAGAGAAATAGGAGCTCAAAGAAAGTGAGAGCTGCTTAAGAAATCAACTAATACAATTCTTTCCTTTAGGAAATAACAAAATAAAAGTCAGAGAGAATAATTCCTTTGCCTAGGGGATGTAAATAGCATCAGGGTCTGGATTTAAACATAGACCTCCTAATTCTCTGTTCTAATTTGTGATAAAGTTTTATCAATCCATGGCAAAATAAGAAAAATAAGATCAATTTGAAAAACATTTTTCTGAATGTGAATTAGTTAAATGCAATGAACTATCCTTTATCCTGAGACTTAGGCCCTTCTAACCCTTCTACCATTTTTGGTAATAAAATATTGTCCCTATTAGGAAAGAATGACTCCAGATGTATTTGGAGTTTTGGGGAGTTTCTTAATGCTTTTATTTTAGTAATCCTAATGCAATTCACCACAACTATCCCTTTTTAAAAATAAACAAAAATCTAAGAGTCACTGAAATAGAGTACTTCTATCCAAAGAACCATAGAGATGTTCTGGTTCCTAGAGAGCAAGACATGGTGCACAGACCTGTGGGTGAAACCCGATGGAGACCCATGGGTGAGTAATTCCCATGAACAATGACAGCCCAACAATGCAGTCTTGGGGTCTTCTGGAATCTCCCTCCTTCCTGCTGTTTACTCCCTTATCTCTCATTGAAATTGAATTGGAACTTGAGCATGATTCCTGATAGGAGGCCTCTCTCACTCTCTCTCTCTTTTTTTCTTTTGTAGAGATGGGGTCTTGCTATGTTGCCCAGGCTGGTCTTGAACTCCTGGCTTCAAGCAATCCTCCCACCTCAGCTTCTCAAAGTGGTGGGATTACAGGCTTGAGCCACTGCACCCAGCAGGAGGCCTCTCTGGATCACCAAGGTGGCTGTATCTGGTCTGAGCCAGAGTCCTTGGTGTATCTGGTTGGAGTGGTTGGAGGTGGGCTTCTGGGCCTCCCATTGTTCTTTCTGGCTGTGGCTTACCTTAAAATGCAAAAGTATCAGGATATTTCTCTAATATTCTTAAGCTCTCTGCCTGAGAGAAGAATATCAAGATCTAAGGACAAGCTTTTAGAATATTATAGGAGTGGGGCTGAAACTGCTGCTGTTTTGTGTCCTTAGTCCTCACTCACTCTTGTTCCTAGGAAATGGAAGGCACAAATTACTAGAAAAGCTTCATCAGACTTGAGTCACCACCAAAATGTCCTCGTATACCAGTTTGACCACACTACTCAGATTCCACATTTCCATTTTAACAGAGGCTTCTAAAGATGTCAAAACATCAATCTAAAGAAGTGAATGAAATTGCAGCCTCCCTCCTTGCCTGCCCAGCTGTAGTTAGGGGTTGGTGAGCCATGAGCCGGTGAGTTCCTTCCAGCCTGGGGCCTCATCAGCTGCCAACCAGCCCTTCATAGAAAAGAGCACACGAAGGGTTTTAAAAGAGGAAGATGACAACGGGATGTCTCAGAGATCTGAAAGCATTTTCAAGGGAAAAGGAAACCAAAAAAGGAAAGAAATATGTCATCAACATTTATCTATATATCCTCATCCTGTAGCTGAAACTTTGTTTCATCCAATTCCTGGTGTCATAGTTGTCTAAGGGGCCACATGATTCTCTACCAGGATGGGCCATTCTAGTAAGACTGCACCTGGCCAAAGATAAAGCTGTCTTTACATCTGGACTACTTCTTGGAATGTTTCAGATGGTCTCACATGAGCTCACCTAGAAACGTTTGCAACTCCAGGAAACAGCAGCTGCAAGGAGGAGAAAAGGGAGCTAACAGTTATTGAACAGCTTTGTGAGAGGTCATGTTTAGAAGCTTTTCAAGTGCTTTCTCTTTTTATCTTCTCAACAATCCCACGTGGTATCATCATCCTCATTTTATAGTGAAGGAAACAGATGCTCAGCGATGTTGGGTAACTTGCCCCAGGGCAGAAAGCAGAACTGGTCCTGTTCAGCCCAGGATCAAGCCGGAATTCAAATCCAGATCCTCCTGCCTCTGAAATGCTCTTTTCATAAGATTGAGCTTCAGTATATGTGGCCATCCCATACACTCAGGAAGTGGGGAAGGAGGATGTGGTTCCTGAGCCATGAAATAGTCCAGAGAGAATCTAAGAGACAGAATCAGAAAAACATTAGCCCTACAGTCATCATCAACACACAAGTTGAATAACATCAAGTTTTTAGTCCCAGGCTTCCTGTGGACTATCTTTCTGAAGTCCCCTGCTTGAAGGCCGTGCTGGATGGCCGAGCACTTTGGCATAGGAAGGAGAGGAATTTGTATTTCATTAAACAACAACAACAACAACAATTCAGAATTGTAATTCTCTTTTTTTTTTTTTTTTTGTGACAGTTTTGCTCTTGTTGCCCAGGCTGGAGTGCAATGGCGCGATCTCAGCTCACTGCAACCTCCGCCTCCCAGGTTCAAGTGATTCTCCTGCCTCAGCCTCCCGAGTAGCTGAGATTACAGGCATGTGCCACCACGTCCAGCTAATTTTGTATTTTTAGTAGAGACCGGGTTTCTCCATGTTGGTCAGGCTGCTCTCAAACTCCCGATCTCAGGTGATCCACCGCCTCAGCCTCCCAAAGTGCTGGGATTGCAGGCGTGAGCCACCATGCCAGGCTGAGACAATGAAAAGGTGGACATTTGATGAGCTTGTGTTTCTAACAGTTTATAGAGTTCAGAAACATGGAGATTTGTTTGCATGACACTTTCATTACAGAATTATTATTCAGTTGATTTATTCTTTCATTCCAGATCATTAATATTAACTGATATCAGGGGTGTTAAATATTTAGAGATAGAAAAAGAAATGTATCTAATGAGCAAAAATACATTTTAAGATTTAAAAAAAAAAAGAAATCAAATCTTTGGGATCCAACATGGGACTTTGGACAGCTCAGGATATCCGCTGGTTTCTGCCTGGGATCTGAAGACTGTTTACATTCCAGTGGAATTCCTGGGAAAGTCCAGAGCTCTCACTGCTGTGAAAACAATGGCTTATGGTGATAAACTCTCAACTGCCTCACCCTGAGAAGTGGCAAGGCCTGCAAAGTTTCCCTGGGCAGGATGGACAGGGCCAGGCAGCATTCCTAGGAAGAAATTGCCTTGTTTGCTGCCTTGAGCTGAAACTAAAGCTGGTTTGAAGGCATGCAGACTTCTGCCTGCTGAACCATGACTGGGCTTTGACAAAGGTGACTACTACACCTCTTGTCATCAACAGCTGTCATTGCTGACAATTTCCACAAGGAGTCACAGCCACTCTCTGGGCAGGCTGGGCACTCCTAAGGTATGGGAACCTTTTGTTCACTTCACTAGGAAGTCGTGGAGATGGAGCCAGTGATAGTTGGCCTTAAGCTATACTAAATCCCTCCTTTTGCAGAACAGGAAACAGAGGTCCAAGAAGTTCATTCAGTATTTTAACATGGCTGGTTAGTGGCAGGGCCAAGACAAGGAGCCAAGCTTCACTTATCAACTCAACACATATTAATCATGCTCTGCACCATGTGCAGGGAAAGAGCAGTGAGTGAAACTGTTAGGAAAGGAGGGATGGATTTGGGGGTAAGTCCATCCTCCAATTTTCAGTTTTCAGCCTCTTAAGAAAGAGAACTTGATGCTTGGTTTAATCTAGAAGAAGCTAAACATGGAAATATTCCTCTTGCCAGGGGTTGATTTAGGGGTGGGCGTACGATCTAGTTCTGGTCAAGTAGGTATGAAGGGAAATTTGCTATGGGGCTTGGTAATGTTTCTGGGAACAATTTTTCTTCCACTAAAGGTTGCTGCATGGGGATGTAGTGCCTGTCGACAAGCTGACATAGTACAGAAGAGAGATGGAAAAAAACCCTGGGCCCTTGACAACATCACTGAGCTGCTGAAAAACCAAACTCACAGGCCCTGCTACAACACTTGTTGAGATGTGAGCTGATAAAATTAGCTTACTAATTCAGTCAGCTGAGTTAGGTTTTCTAATGTATGTAATAGAAAGCATTCTTTAAAAATATTCAAAGTTTTAGTGGCGGATTTACTAGAATTTTCATCAAATGGCTTCTGTTTTCTCTTAGGAAAGTAGAGGATGGATGGTTTGAAGAAAGTGGAAAATCGAAAAACAGCTCCTTAGAGAAATTCAGGAGTGGGGAGGGCCTGATGATGCCCAAGCCCAAGAGATCATAGGAGGAACAACCAATTCACTAGGAGGCTTTCCTCCAGCTGTGCTCAGTAGCCCAAGAACATCAGCGGAGAGGGTAGATCATTACATTCCGCAAGGTTTGAGGTTTCTTCCTGGGCAGGTGCTTTCCTTTCTCTGCCACATTATATTGTCTTCAAGACGTTGGTTCAGTTCCATATTTGTCAATGTCTACCATGTACAAGGCACCCATAAGTTCCCGTGAAAATAGAAAAATATTTTTGTGGCTTCTAGAATGGCTCAGATGAATCCAGAGGGTCTCCCAGTGGGTATATGGCTTCATAGCATTAAATGGTCTTCAATTATGAGATTGAAAGTGTTCAGATGTCTCTAAAGACTTAACAGCTAATGAGAGACATAGATTTTCAAAGTGGAAAAAAAAATCACAGGAAAAATAAAATAAGTTCCTGTGGGCTACTTTTGAACTTCTTTGGGTTAAAACCAATGGGAATATGGTCATTAGATGCTCCAGGTGTCCTTAAAAAGCAAGCAAACAAACACAATGAAACAACCCAGAGATGATGAGCACATTCATTCATTTAATCTACCCTCCACCACTGAGTGTCTAGCATGAACAAAGGACAAGTTCACGTCCTTTGAACTGCAGACCTGCTGGAGAAACATTAATGCTGACAGCAAAATTCAGGATTTACACATGGCAGAGAAAGCCATAAAGGAAAAGCTTTCCTCTCTTTGGACAGAGGTGGGACAGCCAGGTAGGCAGCCAGGAGGTTTTCAAGGGAGTCCTCGTAGAAATTCTGTAGGCAGGAAGGGTGGGCGGCACGTTTCAAAGCAGCAGCCTTTGTGAAGGCTTGGGTGTGCACAGCAGCGAGCTTGTTTGGGGGTCTGCTGTAGTGTTCTGGGCTCCCGTGGGGTAGAGAGTTTTATTTAGGAGGAGGGGCTGTAGAGGGCCAGGATCATTTAAGAAGCATGAACTGGATGCTGCTAGAGAGAGGAAGCCAGTGGTGAACAAAGGCAGGTGAATAATGCAATCAGATTTGTGTCTTAGTAAAGGAGCTCATGCTAGGGCAGAAGCTGAACTTTGGGGAGATGCTGGAAAGGGACTGGAAATGGGGCAGGCGCTCTGGCCTGTGAGTGAGGCATTCCAAAAGGAATGGAATGCACATTTTAAAACACAATAGACTCTGATATTTTGGGACTGGGGAATCTGTAGACTATCACATTTGGATTTTCAAGTTCAAAAGGATATTTCTGAATCCTTTGCCAAATTGAGTTGGCCTTATACTTTTCTGAGATGCTGACAGAGTTGCAGAATCACAGACCAATGACCAAAATAAATTTTTGAAAGTTACATTAATCCTTTATTTCAGTGGGGTTTTTTAAAAAACAAAACAATAAAACTGTGAAAGGGATCAAAATACATACCCACAGCTACTCTTACAGCAATTCCCTTTCCTTTGAAATGCCCCTCTCACATGCTCTGCGTGCCTCTCTTCTCAGTGCACCAAATCTTTCCACCCTCAGGTGGCTCTTCTCTCCCAGCCCCCCAACCTGCCTATTCCACACTCTCCCATGCATCTCCATCCACCCACTCTCCCAGGCAGAGACACCCCGTCTTCTCCAGGAGGGAAAGTGGTTCTAGCAATCAGTGCTTTGCCTTGGAGTCAGGAGAAAGGGAGGAGGCCAGGCTCACTTCCAGATTAATTATTTTTCATTCCATCTTATTACTTTCTTATTTTAAACTTGATATATTGATTAGCCAGGACCCAATCATTGATGCGATACAAAGATTGAGAGAATTATCTGAGCAATTTAGGAAAAAGAAAGGATATTTCTGCTTTCATCATTCATCAGTGTTATTTTTCTTTTTTAAATAAATTTTATTTTCTATAGCAGTTTTAGGTTCATAGCATGTTTATTTTAACAGAGGATAAATGCCCATTCAATGCTTAAGGAAGGTTCTGACTAAGCAGAACCTTGCTACAAAAGATTTTACAGGTCACGACCTTTCCTACAAAACAAACTGTGAGAAAATGACCTAGATGTTGCCTCATGGGCAACTCAAGGGGTTCATTGGATTCATTGACATGATGATTGTTGTGTAGTTTGAAACTAAGATGTATTGAGCAGTTAAATGTGCCAGGCCTACTCCAAAGGCTCTCCTTGTGTTAGCTCATTTAATCCTCACAACCAGCCAATTATTAGCCCCATTTTATAGCTGAAAAAACTATGGGAATCAGCTAGTGAGTGATGGAGCCAGCAAGAGTTCAAATCCAGCCTATTGAATTTCAAAGCCCAATGTAATCACTAACCCTTTGTATTAAGCAGGTATCTAAAAAAAAAAGAGAACCAATAAGATATATATGTATGTAACAGGAGATTAATTATGGGAATTAGCTCATGTGATTATGGAGAACAAGATGTTACCAAGAACCGCTGTCTGTAAGCTGAAGAACCAGGAAAGCCAGTGCTATAATTCAGTTCAAGTCCCAATGTTGGAGAATCAGAAACTCCAATGTCTAATGGCAGGAAAGGATGGATGTCCCAGCTCATACAGAAAGAATGGATTCTCTCTTCCTCTGTTCTATTCAGGCCCTCAATAGATTGGCTGTTGCCTGCCAACATTGGTGAGGGCAGATATTCGTCATGCAGTTTACTATTTAAAGCACTAATCTTATCTGAAAACACCCTCCAGACAAATTCAGAAGAAATGTTTTACCAGCTATCTGAGCATCCCTTAGCCAAGTCAAATTGAAAAATTCACCATCACAAGTCCACCCCTTGCTAATCTGGCACCCACACACATCTTTTTACATCATACTTAATCTATAAATAAAGACAGCAGAGTCATAATTCCACCTAACATGATACAACTATGCTGTATACAACCAAAAATCCCTTCCCTAAAAGAAGAGGCAAAGCTCTTGAGTAAAGTTTACTCTCCTGATTTTCTATAACTTAAATACTGATTTAATATTAATAATACTTAAATCCTGGTATAAAGTCAATACACTTTATGTTACATCATAAGGAAGTAAGAGAGAAAAGAAAACTTAGATATTTCCTAAGTGTATGTTCATAGACACACAAAGCATTTATAACAATATAAGGATAAAAACTCATAAAAATTACTGTTCTTGTTTCTATAACTGGTCACACAATTGTAGGTGGTATTGATAACTACTTTCTTCTACTACCTATTCTGTATGCCCTTTGCCTTCAGCAAGCACCTCAACTGGTTATGGTTTTTTACCTGGCAGAGTGACCCAAACCTTTATACCTTAAGCATCTGAGCTAATAGTAGTTCTGCCTGGATTAAGTTGCTGTAGTTTTCCATTGACTTTAATCACAGGACATGGTAATACTAAGAGACACTCTAAGGGATCTCTTGTATTTCGAACATACTATTTCTTACCTCCATTGTTGAGCAGTAGTCCAATTTCCCCTTAGTAGTCAGATCAGCCATGCAGCCAACACTATAACTCCCTCCTTGGCCTGTTGACCCAGGCATAAGGAGCCCAAAGTGGCCTAGTGGCAGTCTTAACTTCCAGTTCAATAGAGTCATTGTTATGTCTACTGGTGGTAATATTCCTCCCACTGGAACTAAGACCTCTTGGCCAGCAGAGCATGAAGTCATGGGAACAGGAAGCACAAATTTTACTAGTGTGTCACTG
Source organism: Homo sapiens (assembly GCF_000001405.40). NCBI lineage: Eukaryota > Metazoa > Chordata > Mammalia > Primates > Hominidae > Homo > Homo sapiens. The sequence continues at coordinate 137,692,968 of NC_000006.12, read as the reverse complement.
GGGGTAATGGTAAGTAGTGCCACTCCCATTTCCACCCCTTTAATCCTGGACCTGTGAATCCTGGCTATGGAAGAAACAGTACCATATATTGGATGCTGATTTAGAGCATATACAGCCTTCTAGAGAACTGTGCCCCAGCCTGCAAGGTATTGCCACCTAGCTGGTGCTGTAACTGAGAATTTAAAAAGTCATTTTATCTTCCTGTCGAGGCTGCTGTTCAGGATGATGAAGGATATGGTAGGATTAGTGAATTCCATGAGCATGGGCCCATTGCTGCACTTCTTTAGCTGTGAAGTGAGTTATTGGTGAGAAGCAATGCTGTGTGGAATACTATGACAGAGGATAAAGCATTCTGTGAGTCCATGAATGGTAGTTTTGGCAGAAGCATTGCATGTAAGGAAGGCAAATTCATATCCAGAATAAGTAAGGTCAAAACATTGTCCCTTCCACGATAGGAGCTGTCCAATCTAGTCAACCTGCAACCAGGTAGCTGGCTGATCTCCCCAGGGAATGGTGCCATAGCAGGGGATCAGTGTCAATCTCTGTTGCTGGTATATTGGGCTCTCAGCAGTGGCCGTAGCCTGGTTTGCCTTGGTGAGTGGAAGCTGATGTTGCTGAACCCATGCATAATCTCCATCCCTGCCACCGGGGCCACTTTATTCATGCGCCCATTGGGCAAGCATGAGGTGGCTGGCAATAGGGCTGACTGATATCCACAGAACAGTCATCCTAGCTATGTAATTATTAAAATCCTCCCCAGCTGAGGTCACCCTTTGGTGAGCATTTGTATGGGACACAAATATTTTTATATTTTTTGCACATTCAAAGTAATCTATGTATATACATCTCCAAATTTCATTTGTCACCAATTTTCCAATCATGTTTCTTCTAAGTCCCTGATCCTCCAACCAAACCATCTGTTACGGCCCATGAATTAGTATGTAATCTCACATATGGCCATTTCTTCTTCTCCTGCAAAGTCACAACCAGGTGTACTGCCTGAAGTTCTGCCCACTGGGAGGATTTCCCTTCACCACTGTCTTTTAGGGATACCATAGAGAGAGGCTGTAGTTCTGCATTCCATTTGCACAAGGCCCAGGAGCAGGCCAAAAGCTGTCTCTTAAAAGGAGAGTAGTTATCTGTGGATGATGGCAGGACCTTGCTCCCAGTGTTCTGTAGTCCCTAAAATGTCTGATTATTTTCCTTTCTCTGGTGCACATTTATACTGGTAAAAATCCATAGGTCTTCCTCATCTCTACTAAAAATACAAAAATTAGCTAGGTGTGGTGGCACACACCTGTAGTCCCAGCTACTTGGGAGGCTGAGGCGGGAGAATAGCTTGAACTCAGGAGGCAGAGGTTGCCATGAGCCGAGATCACACCACTGCACTCCAGCCTGGCGACAGAGTGAGACTCCATCTCAAAAAACAAAAACAAAACAAAAACCAACAACAACAAAAAACCATAGGTCTCTTTGGGGAAGACTGGGAGGATGATTAATACTATACATTTTTGGTAGTGTACTGGGGTTCTTCCTTGAGGGGACCCTACCTCGCCTTCACTCAAGCATTCTGGATCTTTAAACTGGCTCAAGCCTGGGAATCGATTGAGGGACTTAGGGTTCTGTAGAGAAACAGAACCAATAGGATTTATTATGAGAATTGGATCACAACATTAAGGAAGCTGAGAAGTCCCACAATCTGCTGTCTGCAAACTAGAGAATCAGGAAAGCCAGTGGTATTATTTAGTTCAAGTCTGAAGGCCTGAGAACCAGCAGCTTCAATGTCCAAGAGCAGGAGAAGATGATGGCTCAGGGGAAACAGAGAACATATTCTCCCTTCCTCCACTTTTTTTGTTTTACTTGGGCTCCTAATGGATTGGATAATGAATGCCTACACTGGTGAGGATGGATCTTCTTTATTTAGTCTACTGATTAAAATGCTGATCTCTTCTGAAAACACCCTCACAGACACACCCCAAAATAATGTTTTACTAGCTATCTGGGCATCCCCAGTCAAGTTGACACATAAAAGTAACCACACCCTTGATGACCTTGTGCGGAAAAGTTGAACTTGTATTTCTTCCTGGGGTATGATCCCTTGGGTATAAGTGTAGGAAACATGGGATCTGGGAGGTGAGATAATGTCAGGCTCATGGGAAAAAAACCACAAGATGAGATGGGAAGAGGCCTGGAGTCCTAGATGGTAAATGCATCTTGTAAATCACATTATTTATATTTATGCCATTTCTAGCTTTCATTACTTCTGTAAGCACTGTTCTAAGAGGGCATTAAGGCATTAGGTCCTGTTTTCCATGTAGACAAAGATGTAAAGGAGCAGTGCTGCCTGAGGCATCATGGTGGCAACAGTGAGAAAAAAAAAAATACAATTCCTAAGAAAGTGGAGCAAGTCAGAGGCGCAAGATCCATCTGCCCCTCTGGACACAGGATTCTTACTCCATTGCTAATGTTGGAAAACGTGGGTGCACCATATCATGATTAGGGAAGTTTGCAGTTTTCTTTCAAAGGGCACAGCATAGCAAACAGAAACTATAAGGGTTCCTATACAATGGAGAATAAGGCCTAGAGCTGTGAAGCTGTGCAGCTTTCTAGTCTTCATCCAACCTCCCACTCCCTTCTGCTCTTTAGGGCACTCCTGTGTTGATATTAATATTTGTGTTAATACTATCAATTTATCTTAGACTTTGCTTTCCTGAGTCATTGCTTCCATAAATCACTAACCTTCCCAGTTAAGTGCCCCTGAGGTGTATATGACTGACCATAAACCTCTCTTGAACCTGACTCAATGCAAATGCTCAATAAATGTTAGTGAATTCATAAGTAACATCAAACTAAATGAGGAGGAAATAATGAACATCTAGTGATCAGCTCAAAATGACTTTCCTGAAGTTTTTCTAAGTATCCTAAAAATATCAAGAGGGGAAAATTGTTTCCTGTTATTTTCATTACCAAAACATTTTCTTCCATAAACATTTCACTAGCAGCAACTTCTCCAACTTTTTGACCAAATAGCAACAAGGGTAAAGCAAGGATTGCATACTAAGGGTAAGAGAAAACTTTAATCAGGTTTAGGGAGTCTAAGAGTACATTCAGCTGGGATAAAGGCACTGAAAGTGTCTTCTCTTTGATTCCAAGGCATTCCCCTTTGCCTTCATATTTCTTGGAGCGAAGTTAGTTTCTCAGACATATTTTCACCCACACAGAGATGCTGACATTTTATCCTGACCTTTCCACTTCAGTTACTTCCAAATAAGTATCCATTGATGTGGGATGCTGTGCTTATCATTCTGCTCCCATCTGTTCTGGTCACCACTTGGCATCGGACGGTGGGGAGTTCCATGCCCATTTCCCATGAGCCTTTGATCTGTTCCCACCTAAGTTCAACCGATGGAGGCTGGGAACAAAACATCCCATCCAGCATTGACCTTTGATCTCCCACTGATGCAACTTGCCTCCCTGTACCTTCCAAATTTTGCACATATAAATATTTCCTTGTTTCGTAGGCATTCTGACCATCACAAATGAAGGCCTGTCTCAGGGCTGGTGCTGCCAAATAAAACTAGGAATGTATTGTGTTATAATATGCCTTTGTTGATACTCCCAGACAACCCAGGAGGTTCATTCTGGAATAAAACTGCAAATTGACTCAAAGAGGAGAGAATGAAGAGAGAATCAAGATGGAGAAGGCACTCTGGCTTTTGAGCCAGGCGTTCCAACAGGAATAGAATTCAAATTGTGAAAACAGACCAAATAGTGTTATTTTGGAATCAGAGAATGTATACATCCATCATATTTAGATTTGAGAGTTTGAAAACTTATTTCTGAATCCATCATCAAATTGGAGTCTACATTGTACTTTCTTGGAATGGTAACATAGCTGCAGAAGTACATACAACTGTAGGGAATCTGAATAGAAAAGTATCATGGAGAGGCTAAAACACTGTTTTGGACTCTCCATATTTTCTCATCTCTCCAAGATGAGAAAAATCATCTTGGGATGTAAAAGATTACTGTGTTTTGGAATAAGAAGCTAAACATAAGAACAGATAATTGTAAAAGGCTGAAAATGTTCTAAGTATTTTCTAAATAATTTTTAGAGTTAATAGTGATCAACATCTGACCAGATGGAGGATATGACTGAAGTCTTGACCTAGATTGCAAAAGCAGCAGAGAGGCATGATGTGGCAGTGATGGGGGATTTTTCATATGCTGACAGAGTTTAATTCATTCACACTGAAAGACTGATAAGTTTTTAACTTACCTGGCTAGATGCTGACACTCCCAAAAGAAGCAAAAACTCATGAGGGGAGATTTTATCCTGTATAAATTATGAAAAACAAGTGAAAGCAGGTTGGTGAACTGAAGGGAAAAGAGGGAAAGTCAAAGAGGAAGGGTACAAACACTTCCTGAGCCCCTACCACATATCAGATGTCACCCACAGCAGTTAAAACATACCACTGTATTTATTCATCTCAATGACTGTGTGAGGGAATGCATCAGTATTTCCACCTAGCCTCAGAGACATTAAGTAACTGGCCTTAGGTCACTCAGCTAGTTTTAGCAGGTGCAGGTTTAGAGCAAAGCCCTGACTCAAGAGTCCAGGCCTCTTCCATCACCACATTGCTTCCTTGAGAATCTTGAGTAAAAAAGACTATGTCTTCTGAAGAGTGTCAGACATTTAAACTAGACCTGGGGAGACATTTCAGAAAGAGTTCAGTTAAAGCTAGATGTAAGTCCATGATTTCAACTATAAAATAGAGAGCATTTGAAATGTTTGGGTAACTAATGATCTCTCCAAATAACCCAGCCTGAGTAAAGCTGAAGTGGCCGGCAAAGGTGCTCATATGGCTCTCAAGGAATTCAGCTCAGATTTTAGAAACGCACACAGGAAAGGTAGAAAAGCTCATAATTAAGGAGTAATATGCATGTGAGGTTACATCCAGGACCTGGAATGCTAAAGTTGTAGGAACAAAGGCTTGTGAAAAGTGCTGAAGTGAAAAGTGAGGGGATTTGGAGTATGTTCAAAGCAGGAAGTAGAACTAAAGTGTACTACACTTAATAGCTGGGTGATGAAATAATCTGTACAACAAACCCCCATGACAAAAGTTTATCTATATAACAAACCTGCGCTTTTACCCCTAAACCTAAAATAAAACTTTAAAAAATATATTCCCAAGAATACCATGAATAGCTAAGGTTATACAGATGGTCCCTGAGTGTGGTTTGATGTGATTTTTCTTTTACTTTGCTGTGGTGCAACAGCAATATGCATTCAATAGAAACCATACTTGGAGTACCCATACAGCCACTCTGTTTTTCACTTTCAGTACAGTAGTGAATAAATCGTCTGAGCTATTTAACACTCCATTATAAAAAAGAAAGAATGAAGAAGGCAAAGACCTCCTCCAAGGGCTGGTGGTGTAACATCAATGGGAGACAGGGAGAAAACTATACTCTTCTATTCCTAGTTTGCTTCCATTGCCTTCATCAATGAAAGTAATCTTTAGACCTGCCATGTTTGATCCAACTCTGTTAAAAATTCTTAAAACTCAACTCCCTTGAGTTTAAATCTCTTGGTCTAAACTAATGAGCTTCCTGGGAATTTGTCAGAAAGGTCACAAGGCTGCATTAATGTGTGACAGTGAAGAATGGCACAGGCTCCAAAAGGTAGAATTTGGCATACACTACCTTGATTTTCAAAAGGGGAGGAAGATAAAGTCTACAAACCACAGTCTGGCAATCTCGACGCACGTATCCCAGAACAGATGAGGAATCTGCTTAGATTCACTGTAAACAAGCCATGCTGGGCTCATCTCCTTTGTCTGTAGAGGTTTTCTTTAGGTAGACCAGTGTAAGGCTGCAGGCAGACAAGATTAAGTCTTTTGTATCCTTGGGCATGAGAAGAATATTTGGGGATAGAATGTAATAAATCTACTAAGTTCATTTGTAACTGGTAAGGGACCATATCTAAGGAAGTGCTGCTCATGAAGCCATGTCATCCAGCAGAGGGATCTGCATGAGTTTTCCATCATAGTCTGACCCTATTTAAACTTTCTGTTTTAATGAATATAGACTGAGCTGGCTTTCTAGTCAATGCTCCAGAAAATATAAGACTAACAGAACAGTGGCTGCAATGCTGGATGTCTGATGTAGGGTTCAAAAGGAACTTGAACAATAACCTGAATCCAACAAAGAAACATGTATTATGGTTAACATGAAGTTTTCTGGTTAGATTTCAAGGTGAGCTTCACATGTATACATGTCAAAACAGTAGCATATAAAGAGAATAACTTTGGGAATTTTTTTTACTCAAAATGAGTCAAGAGCATGAAGGAACTGCTAAAACCTTAACTGTAACTTTTGGCTGCATTAATGAAAGGTCTGGAACAGCAGAGTTAACAGCCTCTCTATTGCACTCAGGTTAGACTGTACCTCACAAAGGGTGTTCAGTTCTGGGTGCACACTCCAAAAAGGACAGTGACAGTTGGGAGCATGGCCAGAAAAAAGGAACGAGGATGGGAAATTAGAAACAGTTGCAGGAACTTAAAGCGTTTGGCCTGGAGAAGAGAAAATGGCAAGAAATGGAGCTCTTTCTATATAGTCTTAGAAAGAAGACCAGGACCAACTAGATAGGTTTTGAGCTACTTATAGTTTTTATAATTATAGATGCTCAGTCAAAAAATAGACTGCTTTGCAAAGCTGTGTTTCCTCTCACTCTTCAATGACATGTTGGACAATCACTTGTTGAAGAAGAAGAGGAAACAAGAGATTCTTGCCTTGAGGTTACATAATTGCCCATGGCTGGTCATCCAGTTTTTTTCTTCAACACTTCTTGGGTTGGAGAGATCACTACCTAATTATATTGCTCAAACATTTGAGTAAAGCTTATTTAATATTACTCTCACTTGTTAGATAACTATGGATCTTAGATAATGCTTCTGTAATGCACTTTGGAGTTTGGAACTATCTCTTGGATTGAACCTAAGATGAGTTCCTCCCTCCATTTCCTGCTCTAATTACCTAATTCAGATTACCATCATTGCTTGCCCAGAATACAGCAATTATTTCCTACATGTACTCTCCCAATCTTTAGTTTTATGTTTCTTCCAATGCACTCATCACTTTGGCCACAATATTCCTTATTAAACACTTATTTTATCAAGTCACTACCATCCATAAGACCTTTAGTGACTTAGTATCTTCAATAAACCCATGGTATAATAAGGGTGGGATGGGAGGAAGGAGAGTGATGAGCTGCTCTGTAATCAAAGAGATTTAAAAGGCTTAACCATTAAATATAATGCTTGGACCTTGATTGGATATGGGTTTGTACAAACCAACTCTAAATTTTCTTATACATCATAATTGAAATGCTTTGATTTATTTCTTAGGCCATTTTACCTCCAACAAACCATCCTACTTTGACTTTCCCTACAAACAATCTAAAGCAAATGTTACGTGGTTATAACCACAGATACAGACTAGAAGCATAAATTTGCCTCATCAATCTGATTGATAGCTTAAGAGAATAGTGGAATAACAGATCACTGTCTGCATATGCCATTGTTCTACAGAACCATATCCTTTTAGTGGAGAAGTTACCTGCTAACAGATGGAAGCAGATAAAATATAATTTATCAATGGGTACTTCACCTACTATGTTACGCTGCCGTAGCAATGTCTCAAAACCTTGCTACAAAAAAAGTCGAAGAAAAACAGGGAGGTAGGTAGCAGTCTTTGAGAAATCTTCAGGATGAACATTGAGTGATGAACTGAAAATCTTAAGTTATTTTTCTTTTGACAGTCGTTTCTAAATTGCGTCTTTTAGATTAGCCTGAGCTAACAGTTTCAACTGTCCTCACAAAGAAATTTTAAATGAAGTTCACTCTCTGCAGGTAGCTGAAATTATGACATGAAAATTCTATCCCCATGAACCAAAGAAGTAGAAAAAAAATCTATGTACAGGAAGAGACAGACTAAAGCAGGTGGCTCAAGGGAGGCAGAGGGAGATACTGAAAGAAAAGGCTTGGGGTTTTCCGAGCCTTATTATGATTGCTTCCTGAGGTCTGGCTGTCTTTCTCCTCTTGGAATTCTTAAGACACACCTCTATTTCTTGAATTAATCTCCCTTGGTTGATAATGGAAAGAGAAAGTAAAACAAAACAAAACAAAACAAAACAAACAAAACAAAACAAAAAGACCTTGTCATTTTCTGAACATCCTTCAAATTTTACTATTTCTATAAAAACTTCCCTGATCACATCACTCCAAGAGATGGTATCTTTTCAATTCCTGTAAGTGCTTATTATCCCCTCCACTCACTTAACTCATCACAGACTGATTGCATTGTGAGTTATACTCCCAGAGCCCTCAAGTAGATTACACATTATTTAAAGCCACAATTCCATACTTTCATATTTCTCACTGCATCAAGCACAGCATGTGATAGATAGACCCTCAATAAGCATTTGCCAATTTGATGAGATTGATCATGCTCAGCAGTTCAAGTTCACCTTGTTGTTGAGCAATTGAAGTTATCTTGGCTTTAATAGAAACAACTAGGCTGAACCATGTAGAAAATAAAAATAAAATGAGGTACTTAATAAAATAACAGTAGGAGGAATATGAGATTATATACCAGCATAGAAACAGTTTTAAAAGATCCCCTAAAAGAGTAGGCAAGCCTAGATTAGACACCTCAAGAAGTCAGAATGTTTTACCAGCTTAACAAATATAATTAGTTGTTGACTCACTGGTGCATGGTATCTAATTTGTCTATTCAGTTGCTGAAATTTCATGTGCTGACAATTATCTATGCTGAGACTTTCCACGTTTACATCACCCATAAAAATAAAGAACTTGCTGTTCAAGTACAGGTTTGGGAAGTCTGACTATGCAGGCATTCTCGTGAAAAAGATCTAGGGGCTTTAACCGATCCCAAGCTGAATATGAGTCAAGAACTTGCTTTAATTTCTTAAACACGCTAATTCAATCTTAGGCCAAATTAGATGAAGAATCACCTTAACTTAGAATTGGGTGTTTGGGCAGCCTGCTACTGGTACCAAAACAGAGATATAGACCAATGGAACAGAACAGAAGCCTCAGAAATAACACCACACATCTACAACCATCTGATCTTTGACAAACAGGACAAAAAAAAGAAATGGGGAAAGGATTCCCTATTTAGTAAATGGTGCTGGGAAAACTGGCTAGTCATATGTAGAAAGCTGAAACTGGATCCCTTCCTTACACCTTATACAAAAATTAATTCAAGATGGATTAAAGACTTAACATGTTAGACCTAAAATCATAAAAACCCTAAAAGAAAACCTAGGTAATACCATTCAGGACATAGGCATGGGCAAGGACTTCATGACTGAAACACCAAAAGCAATGGCAACAAAAGCCAAAATACACAAATAAGATCTAATTAAACTAAAGAGCTTCTGCACAGCAAAAGAAACTACCATCAGAGTGAACAGGCAACCTACAGAATGGGAGAAAATTGTTGCAATCTACCCATCTGACTAAGGGCTAATATCCAGAATCTACAAAGAACTTAAACAAATTTACAAGAAAAAATCAAACAACCCCCTCAAAAAGTGGACAAAGGATAGGAACGGACACTTTTCAAAAGAAGACGTTTATGCAGCCAACAGACACATGAAAAAATGCTCATCATCACTGGCCATCAGAGAAATGCGAATCAAAACCACAATGAGATACCATCTCACACCAGTTAGAATGGCGATCATTAAAAAGGCAGGAAACAACAGGTGCTGGAGAGGATGTGGAGAAATAGGAACACTTTTACACTGTTAGTAGGACTGTAAACTAGTTCAACCATTGTGGAAGACAGTGTGGCAATTCCTCAAGGATCTAGAACTAGAAATACCATTTGACCCAGCGATCCCATTACTGGGTATATACCCAAAGGATTATAAATCATTTTAATATAAAGACACATGCACACATATGTTTATTGTGGCACTATTCACAAAAGCAAAAACTTGGAACCAACCCAAATTTCCATCAATGATAGACTGGATTAAGAAAATGTGGCACATATACACCATGGAATACTATGCAGCCATAAAAAAGGATGAGTTCGTGTCCTTTGTAGGGACATGGATGAAGCTGGAAACCATTACTCTGAGCAAACTATCACAAGGACAGAAAACTAAATACCGCATGTTCTCACTCATAGGTGGGAATTGAACAATGAGAACACTTGGAAACAGGGCGGGGAACATCACACACAGGGGCCTGTCATGGGGTCGGGGGAGGGGGAAGGGATAGCATTAGGAGAAATACCTAATGTAAATGACAAGATAATGGGTGCAGCAAACCGACATGGCACATGTATACATATGTAACAAACCTGCACATTGTGCACATGTATCCTAGAACTTAAAGTATAACAAATAAATAAATAAATAAAAAGAATTGGGTGTTTTGGTTATCTAGAAGTTCAGTATCTTGCATGATGCTGAACTTTTGCTATTCCAAATTATCTAAGGTCTCCTTTGGCTCCACTAGTGACCCCTGAAACAGTTCCCTCCTTGTAGCACAGCTCAATTGTTAGGAAATTCTCTAGCATTTTAAACTTTTTTCTACCATCCACTTTGCTGGCGCTTCCACCTCACAGCTTCATCCTGCTCATTGAGCCATATACCAAGTCTCACTCTTCTCCTTCATCACCATGGAAAGGCAGCTGTCATAAGCCAAATCCAACCCTCAAGTCTAAACTTGACATCTCTCCAGTTCTGGTAACCATTCTCTAAGTCATATGGTTTCTAGAACCCTCACTGTTTTGCTTGCCCTTCTTGTGAAGCTTTACTTTATAAAAAACAAAAACAAAAACAAAACACTAAGGCCTGGGCTGGGCATTATGGCTCACACCTGTAATCCTAGGACTTTGAGAGTCCAAGGTGGGTGGATCACTTGACCCCAGCAGTTTGAGACCAGCATGGGCAAGATGGCAAAACACTGTCTCTATAAAAAAAAAATAGCCAGGCACGTTGGCATGCATCTGTACTCCCAGCTACTTGGGAGGCTGAGGTGGCAGATCACTTGGGCCAGGAGGTCAAGGCTGCAGTGAGCCGTGATTGCGCCACTGCACTCCAAATTGGGTGACTGGGTGAGACCCTGTCTCAAAGAACTAACAAACAAAAACAACCAACCAACCAAACAAACCTAAGGCCAAAAGAGATAAATTATTTGCTCTAAATCATACAATCAACATCAGAGCTGAAACTTGTATTCCTTATTTGCAATGAATTGACTCACAGTGTAGCAATTTCTTTTTTACCTTGAATGATGCTGTATTATAAATCAACAGGGAAGCCAGAGATGCTATGAGAATACACCAACGGATAAGCAATCAGACCACACAGTTTCTAGGATTTCTCTTTCAAATGAAAACATGACTACTTTTTGAACAAAAGGGTTGAACACATTTGAAGAAAATCAATATTGTCTCTATTTCTTAGGTAATGAAACTGATAGCTTTTGAAGAATATGCTATCTTCCAGAGCTAAGAAATTCAAGGTGGGTAATGAGCATACTAGATTTTTAATGTCTAATACATTTAAGACGGTTATATACATTTCCTTTATACTTGGTAAACTATGTCTCTATCTGAACTTATCTTTTTAAAGAATATATAAACACTATATGTAGTCCTGAGAAGCAGCTTGGTACTGTACTACCTATTTGAGAGTAAAAGACATGTGACGTAGGTTTGTGTTTATTGTAAATGTTGAGATTTATGAATTGCTGAGTCATCCTTACCAAGAATCCTGGAAATTAGCGATCTTGATTTGACTGTGATTTCTCCCTGAGGTCAGTTCTAGGTCATTGTATTCTGAGTCTTTCTGCCACTTAGTCATGATGGGAATTAAAGTTGACCTGGATTTCCCCCATTGACATTGCCACTTGATTAGCTCCGAAATATAGAGATTATGAATCCTGTTTCATTCTAGACTTAAGTAGCAGGAAACTTCTGCTTTTCTTCTCAAACATACTCCTTCAAATTTATAGATGTCAGAAATCTCCATAGAATCACAGGGCAGATGTTTCTGGCGTGTGATTCACTCATAGAGACTAGGTGGGTATCATTATAGAAATTTTCACAGGCTCCCAGGGTACTACAAATTAGAGCCATTTCTTACTAATTTCAATCTATTTGGGTGAAGAGCAGTCAGAATTTTTTAAATCTTTTAATCATATGTTTAGAAAAACTTCTTGCAATAATTTCAAACTTACAAAATTTTTTATACAATACATAAAATATTCATATATCCTTTACCCAGATTTCTAAAATTTTTAACATTTTAACCACAATTTAAAAATCATTGTTTTTCTGTTTGCCCATGTCTGTACTCTTTTATATTTTTTGAATCATTTGAGGGGTAAGCCTTTTACACTTTCTTTTACCTCTTAATATTTTCTAATTATTGCCTAAGACTAAGGACATTCTTTATTCTTTATTTATTTATTTATTTTTGAGACAGAATTTCACTCTGTCACCTAGGCTGGAGTACAGTGCTGTGATCTTGGCTCATTGCAACCTCAGTCTCCCAGGTTCAAGCAATTCTCCTGCCTCAGCCTCCTGAGTAGCTGGGATTACAGGTGTGTGCCACCACGCCCAGATAATTTTTGTATTTTTAGTAGAGATGGGGTTTCACCATGTTGGTCAGGCTGGTCTTGAACTCTTGACCTCATGATCCACCCACCTCGGCCTCACAAAGTGCTGGGATTACAGGCGTGAGCCACTGTGCCCAGCCTGGCATTCTCTTACATAACCATAGTACAGTTATCAAATTCAGGACACTTTGATGCAATAGTTTTATGTATATTTTTTCCAATTATCTCAGTAATGTCCTCTATAACTTTTTTACCCTTTCCAGTCCAGAAGCCAGTACAGGACCATGGATTACATTTAGTTGTCTGTTTCTTTAGTCTCTTTTAACCTAGATCAGTTCCTTAGTCTTTCCTTTGCCTTTCATGGCAAAAGCCAGTAGTTTTATGGAATGTTTCTCCATTTGGGTTTGCTGATGTTTCCTCCCTGGCCACAAAACTACATAAACAATTCTGTGTCCTCCTCAGGTATCCCAGGCATAAAATATCCATCTGCTCCTCATTCATTCATTATATTAATTTTGATCACCTGATCAAACTCTTGTTCATTTTCTTCACTATAGAATTTCTATTTTCTCCCTTGCAACTAGTAAGCAATATGTTGAAAGACACTTTAAGCCCATGCAAATATTCTACTCCTCATCACACTTTTCTTCCTAAACTTGATTCTTGCTCTAATTCAAGTTTGCTATAATGGCTGTAAACTGTTGATATTACATGTTTACCCACTCTCTCCACATTTATTGGTAGGTGTTCTTTTGTTCTATAAGAAATGTCTCTCTCCCTCCCCTTTCCTCTCTCTCTCTCTCCCTTTCCTCTTTCTTCTCTCCCCTCTCTCACTTCTCTCCTCTTTGCCTCTCTTCCTCTCTCCCTTCTTCCCTATTATTAGTATGAATATATAGATTCCAATTTTATCCATGGGTTATACTTCATTTTTCTTATTAATGCTTTTTTTTTTTGAGAAGGAGTTTCATTTTTTCCCCCAGGCTACAGTGCACTGGCACAATCTTGGCTCACTTCAACCTCCACCTTCTGGTTTCAAGTGATTTTCCTGCCTCAGCCTCCTGAATAGCTGGGATTACAGGCGCTTACCACCATACCCAGCTAATTTTTGTATTTTTTAGTAGAGACGGGGTTTCACCACTTTGGCCAGGCTGGTCTCGAACTCCTGACCTTGTGATCTGCCCACCTCAGCCTCCCAAAGTGCTGGGATTACAGGCATGAGCCACCATACTCGGCCTTTGTTATTAATACTTTTAATGCTCAGATTGTCACAGACTTGGAAAGTTGGATCCCCTTTAAGCTGGCTCCCTTTTGATATGCTCCCATAATTTTTGTTTAAAACAACACTTTCTTGCTTTCTGGTTCAACAAGATATTTCAGACCCATCAAGTAGCATCCCTGTTCCAGCGCAGGAATCAGCCATTTCTCAAAGGACCTCTCTTTACTTATCATGGGGAATGGTATTTAGAAACCAAAATCTTAGCACTAGATGTTTTCATTGTTACTGAGGGGGTCTGCCTCCAGGCCCTTTTTGAGGATAGAGCTAAGAAAGCTACACACACAGAGATGCATACACACATACACACACACAAAGGCTTGTCTATACATGTCATAGAAATTCTGCAGTTATACTGATACTTTCAATATCAATCCCACTCCACGAGTTTCTTTTTTGCCTTCCCCCCACCCACTCCATCTTTGAATCTCCCTTCTTCCACAATGAGAATTCTGCCTTTCAACAGCATCAGAACACTGACTCATTTTCCCAGTTCTAAAACACACATAAAATCGTTTCAGAATTGCTATACCCAAATCACCATGCATATCAAATCAAATCAAGTAAAAAGAAATTAAGATGCATTTGAAGTTCTTTATTTTTTTCCCTAGAGTAAAAGTATATTATCAAAGTGTTGTCTTTAAAGTTACCTGAATTAGTTCTTTGCCCCTGCAACCCCCACTTCAATGTAGTAATGTTATCCATTTCGTAGAGGTTTATGCAGAGAAGTATCACTGCCTTCTCTATCACTTCTGTCTGATTTTCCCTCACCTTTTGTAGGTAAGTGATTTCATTGTCTTCTGGTTTATTTTTCCTGTGTTTCTTTTTCCAAAAAAGAGCAGACTTGTGTATTTTCTTATTTCTCCTTGCTTACACAAAAGGTAGCATATTGTAGATGCTCTTCTACAATTGGCTTTAAAAAAAAACTTATCTCCTGAAGTTCATAGAAATACTTTTTAGTGAAATTGTGTAGTACTCTGTTGTGTGAAGTACTCCAAGGTATTCAGATAGTTCCCAATATTTTGCTATTACAAATAATGCTGCAGTTAAGAACCTTGTATGTATGTACTTCCTTTTTTTTTTTTTTTTTTTTTTTTTTTTGACAGAGTCTGGCTCTATCTTCCAGGCTGAAGTGCAGTGGCGCAATCTTGGCTCACTGTAACTTCCACCTCCCAGGTTCAAACAATTCTCGTGCCTCAGCCTCCTGCGTAGCTGGGATTACAGGAACATGCTACCACGCCTGGCTAAATTTTTTTGTATTCTTAGTAGAGATGGGTCTTTGCCATGTTGGCCGGGCTGGTCTGTAACTGCCTGCCTCAGTCTACCAAATTGCTGGGGTTACAGGCATGAGCCACTACAACTGACCCATATTTTGGTATTTTGAAGATGTATCTTCATGATATATTCCTGGAATTAGGACTCCTTAATTGAAGAGTAAATGTCTGTGTGGTTTTGTTAGATATTGACAAATCCCCCTTCATGAGGCTATACCATTTTGCATTTCCATGATCAGTGTTTGAGAGTGTGTATTTCCCTAGAGTCTCTTCAATGGAATGTATTATCAAGCTTTTGAATAGTTGCTAATCTGGTGAATGAGAAGAGTCTCTGTGTAGTTTCAATTTTAATTTCACGAGTGAAATTGTACATGTTTTTCTATGTTTAAGGGCCATGTTTATATCTCTTTTTGGGAAATTTTCATGTCTTGTGCCCACTTTAAGATAGTACTGTCAGTGTTTCCTCAATTTTACAAATTCTTACATAATAGGGATATTAACTCTGTATCTGTGATTAAATACTTAAAATATTTTCTTCCAATTTGTTATTTGTCTTTTAACTTTGTTTATTGTTTTTGCCACTTGCTTTTTTTGTAGTCAGATCTGTTAAGCATTTCTTCTCTTTCCTGTGGCTTTTGAGGTATAGTCAGAAATCTACCTACAATCAAATTTTAGAGAGATTCATTTCGGTTTCATTCTGGCACTTGTATAGTTACATTCAGACCTTGAATCCATTTAGCACGTATTCTTATGTGTGTGAGAAGTGGACATAATTTTATCTTTTCCTCAACTGTCTGTCCAGTTGCCCCACCATCTTTGTTTAAAAGCCCATTTGTTCCCTAAGATTTGAGATAATACCACCTCTGTCATAGTCTAGATTTCCATATGTTGTTGGGTCTGTTTCTGGACTTTCTATTCTGTTCTATCTGTTCATGTGCCAGTACCACACTGTTCTTAAAGCAGAGACTTTATAGTATGTTTTAATGTGAGTATGGCTGGTCTCTGTTACTTCACCTCACCCCCCCATCGACACGCTATATTTATTCCTTTTCAGTATTTCCCTACCATGTTTATTTCTCCATATGAACTTTAGTATTAATTTGGCTAGCTACAGAAAGAAAAGGGATTTCTGTTTTATTGGAATTTTATCAAATTTATGAATTACCTTTGAGAAAACTGACATCCAAATACCATTGAGACATCCTAACCAAGACCTCAAGATGTATTTCTGTTAGGTCACCTCTACCTTTGTGTCTTTCAGGAATGTTTATAATTTTCTTCATTTAGGCTTTGAACACTTTTTAAGCTTATTCCTAAATATTTTATTTTTCCTATTGCTATTATAAATGGGTTTTTTTGCTTTATATTTTCTAACTGGTTATTTTTGTGTATATGAAAGCTATTGATTTTTTATTTTTGCAATTATTAAAGTATTTTAAAATATAACTAATTTTATTGCTTGTAAGTATGTAACCTCAGCATTTTTAGTACTTCAGAGTTTACAAAGTATTTTTGCAATATATCTTTTACTTAGTGCATATGATAACTTGATCTAGTAAAACAAAATACCTCCTAATAGAATGTATTGTTTCAATAAAATGACCTATAATTAGTTATTAATCGTATGCTGTAATGTAGTCATTATTTTTCTTAAATTTATCTACTTCAATGGTAACACATTTTTAATTTTCAAAACATCATAAAGAGGGCAAAGATAAGCTTCAGCCCAGATCTTGCCAAAATTCTCTCAAAGGTTCAAAATTATGAGCCTCTTAATAGTATACGCTACACATGCCCAAAAAATATTATCCTAGTGGTATCAAACATTCTTGCTTATTCTGAGTTGATGGAGCCAGAGGGAGGCGGACTTCCCTGACCATCTTTCAGTTTCATTGCACTTGCTCCCAATGCATTTCAGCAGGCTGACCCTTCTGTGCTAGCTGAATGTCTTAGTTTGTTTTTTATTGCTATAATAGAACACCTGAAACTGGATAACTTGAAAGGAAAGTAGTTGATTTAGCTCATGATTCTGGAGTCTGGGAAGTCCAAGATTGTGGGGTTGCATCTGGTGAGGGCCTTGTGCTGCTTCATAGCATTGTGGAGAAGCAGGAGAGGGGAGACAGTGTGCCAACCTGCTTTACAACCCACTCTTTAAGAACTAACCAAGTTCCATGAGAACTGCGTTAATCTCTTCATAAGGGCAGAGCCCCCATGACCAAACACCGTCAACTAGGCCCACCTGCCGACACTGCCATCCTGAGGACCAAGGTTCTAACACATGAACTTTTGGAAAACACACTCAAACCATAGCACTGAACTATAAATATTTAATTGCAGAGAAAGTCCATAAAATCTGCAAGTGCTACAAAATCTATAAATCTTTTCACAAATTGAACTGTAGTTATCACTCCAGCCCTTGCATCCATTTAAAACACAGCCGTAAGTACACATGGAAATTATTTATTTAGTTGTCAGACACTGTTTACTACACAGGTGGATTTAGAGGCCACTTTGGAAGAACTCTTCATATACCCTTTTCCCCAAGGACCCCAAGACCACAGATCGATTCCCCCTACACTGTATCATGCTCTCAGAAATGTTACCTACAGCATTGTTACAACTACTCACAGACAGATATGGCTGCAATATCAGTTTTTTCAACAGGATTGGCTTCCTAAGCATAGCATAAATGCTTCTTTTTAAAATCTTATCTGGTTTTATCTTACATGAAGGTGGTATGTTACCATTTTTACTATGTTCTTGACTTTACTTGATGATTTCCTTAAACTTATTCTCCTCTATAGTCTATATGGCTAGAAGAATGCCTAACCATACTTTTCAAACTCTTCTTTAGGATTTTTTTAAGGTCTATATAAATTTTTAAGTGTAGGAATCTCAATAGAGTAAAACCATTTCCTATTTGACAAAATAACATAAATCTAGATACTTCAATTTTGAAAGCCATAGGCCTGTAAGACATGAATTCCATCAAGATGATAAATTGCATGCTAATCACATCCATCTGTAGTACTTAGAGGGAGATAGTGAGCAGAAGGTTAGCGCTAAATCTTTATTATAATTTGAAGAGATTTATTGAAGAACCCATATCATACCCCTAGTAGTACATAACCACTGCACCAAAAAAACAAAAAAAAATAACCAAATTCCAAAGAATAAATGAATTCAAGAGAACATCATGGAATGCTTTGCTATATTCATTCATTTATTCATTCAATGCATACTGAGCACCAGTCCTGTACCAGACATCTAAGACCATGGTCTTAGATGTTGGGATACTGCAGTGAGCAATGTAGACACAGTGTACCAGGAGTTTATAGTCTATATAAGACTATTCTTGCTGCATTAACTCTAAAAAATAAAAAAAAGAACTCCTTAGTTTATAAGGCAGAGAATTTTGGCAATATCCAAGCACATTTTAAAGAGACTTCCTAGTATATAAACTACTTCCTGTTGCTATGTGCGATGCTATGTTGGGCAACTATTTTCAGGCTATTAGTTCTATCAGTAAATAATTTCCTCTTTAAATTTAGTTTGTTTTGTAAACGTTTTAAAAGAATTAATGTACAAGAAATAGCGAGGTACTAGCTTTTAAATGAATAAATATGGCTCACAGCATTGTGGAGGAGCATGTGAGGAATGTTTGGCTCTGCAGAAGGCAGCAGGTCTTCTCCAGTCTCAGGTGTGAACATCCAAGTAGACTGAGTTGCATTATCTGTTAGAATTTATCACTGCTTCTGTGGATGCAATAATCATGATGAAAAAGGATCCTTCACAGCACAGCTTCCTCCTCTCTGAAACAAGAAAGACTTGATTCGAACAAGATTGAGATAAATTAGTATCTAAAATCTCAGTCCTCCCCTACCTGCTAGAAGCTGAGAGAGTCTGATAGAACGATAAGAGGAGACAATTACAGCTCCTATTTCCCTGACACACAGCCCACACCCAAAGCCGCCTATTGAAAGGAAAATCCTCCTCATCCAATGACATCATATAATCATATGTGAAACAATGGAAAGTGCTGAATAGAGACCTTTATACAATTATTCTAAGGTAATTTGACAAGCTAAAGAGACAGTATGTTTCCCAAGCATGTTTCCTACCCCTGGTATGAAGATGTTGGAGTCACTTTATGATCTAGGTTCAAACAACGTTCCAGTTTCATCTCGACGCTCCCCACAGCAGACCAATGGCTTACTAAAGATTTTTTAGGTTACAACTATCAGAAACCAAACAAGCATTTCTACACAAAAAAGGCATTTATTAAAAGAATATTAACATATCTCCTGGAATCCAAGGAAGAGGAAAACTCCCCAGGCTCTGGAAGATCCAGGAACTTCCACAAAGGGAAGTTCCGTTCCTCTGCCATGAACATGGCTCAGCTCCCAGCAACCTTAGTTCTAAATTCCAAAATCATAAGAAGAAAAATCCAAATGACCCAGCCAATATTTTCTTTCAGACTCAGGCAAGGCTGGTCCCTGCCCTGGGCTCCACACTTCAGAGGGCCCTGGGCTCCACACTTCAGAGGGCCCTGGGCTCCACACTTCAGAGGGCCCTGGGTATGACAAAACTATGAAAAAAAAGGTATTAAAAAACAGATGGGTCTCTTTATCACTGGGATTCTGCATGTAGTTCTTGGTGCAACACAAGCGGTAATTCTAAATCCTCAGGGAAACATTTCTCTATGTATCTTGTCTTAGGCTCTTAAGTACAAGGCAACCACATTTGGATTCCATGAGACTTTCTGGATTGTGCTGCTGTGGATGCTTGAGGCAAACAGTGCTTTAGAGTGCAGGGGAGATTTGAGTAGCTCTTGCACATAGAAAAGAATAAAGGCAAATAAATTAACTTGTAAAATCCATGTTATCAGATACCATAAATGGAATAGATTCCCTTATAATGAAAGTCTGTTTCCCAATAGCGCTGAACATCTATTCATTTATTTCTCTTCTTGTTACCATTTGCAGCTCCAGAGGCACTTATGATTTTAGGGTGGCATTCATAATAGTTAACATGTAGCAGCTGAGAAACATTTTGGAATGTTAAGCAATTCAGATTGCTTTGAAATTTGTATATATATAGGTCTATAATATCACTTAAACATAGTGTTAATTCTTTTCATTGTCAACTAGTTGGACATTAAATGGTAAAATTACAAACAGTATTGTTTTTATGAAACAACAAAATTTTATTAAAATTATAAAAATTTTAAAATTCAGCTTGATTTAACTAATTTTGAATAAAATTATACAATCCATCAATTACAATTTGTGTTTTACTGCTTAATTGTAAGAAATGATTTTAAATATTTTAGAAGAAAACACTTCCTTTGGAAAACTACATTTAATTTTTAAAATTGTATATATATTCTAAGTTGCAATTTTGAATGAACACGTGGTAAAATTACATTTAATTTTTTAATCTTTTAGATCCTTAGGAATGACTACAGTCAAAATCACAAAAGAAGTAGAAAATGTAAAAGTAACCCCAAAATAGAAAGAAGAAATAATCTTCAAAGAGGATGTTTTCTTAAATTGTTTAAACTCACAACTAAATTGAACAAATGTATGTTAAGCATAATCTACATAAGATTTATGAATAAGATATTACAAATTCTATATACACTGAGGTTTTACTTACTGTTAAAAACAATGGAAATGTACAAGAAATTGTCCCAGTCAAATCCACGACTTGTATGCCCCTGATGAAATTCCTGCAACTAAGAAAATTCAATAATTCACATTTTAAAATATGAATATTTCTTATCAAATGAAGATTTAATTACTTATCAAAACAAAGAAGATTTGAAAAGATATTCATATCAAAATCACAACCCAAAAACATCAAATGCATCTCTGCATTTCCCTTTAAAAGATGCAAAAAAAATGACATTCATGCATTATAAGTTGAATGAGAAAGACAGAACCTCTGGAACTTTACTGTTTATTAGATGATGATCCTAGAAAACAGTCCATGTGAACTTTCTGACAGTGTGAGAATGTTTCTTGCAAAATACACTCTGCAGCAAATAAACGATTTTGATTTTTCATTGCCTGAACATTGCAGAAAATGTTATACTCCATTTTATATCAAAATTCTCTCAAATGGAGAGAAAAATGTTAAAACTGACTTACGTTTTAATGTCAAAAACAAAATACTGTGTTACTACTGTCAAATGCTTCACAACTAATCTTCAAAATGAAGGTATTTGTTGCTAACAACACTTAGGATCTCAATTAAAAGAACACAAATATATCAGTTGTGCATATATACATAAACACACAAAACAAAATGTGCAATTACTAGAACTTTTTAAAAATTTAAATAGCAAAAATTGACAGTACTCTGTAAAGAAAGACATAGGATATTAGCATGATATATTTTTTTAAAATGTTATGTATTTCATATTTATCCCAAGCTTTTCATAACACAAACAACAAACATTTTCAGAAAACACTGGAAAATTTTTAGTTTAAATAGAAATTATTGAGAAAAGTTATGCTATGATGTTTGAACATGTAAGCTGAATAAAAATAAACAAATGTCAAAGATCAGAAAGTTGTAGATTTGTGGTCTTATTTCTAAGATCTCTATTCTATTCCATTGAAAGGATTCCCTATTTAATAAACGGTGTTGGGAACACTGGCTAGCCACATGCAGAAAATTGAATCTGGACCCCTTCCTTACACCTCATACAAAACTCAACTCAAGATGGACTGAAGACTTAAATGTAAAATCCAAAACTGTAAAAATCCTAGAAGAAAATCTAGGCAATACCATTCCGCACATAGGCACAGTCAAAGATTTCACAACAAAATCACCAAAAGCAATTGCAACAAAAGCAAAAATTGACAAATGGGACCCAATTAAACTAAAGAGCTTCTGTGCAGCAACAGAAACTATCATCAGAGTGAACAGAGATCCTACAGAATGGAAGAAAATTTTTGCAATCTATCCATCTGACAAAGGTCTAATAGCCAGAATCTACAAGGAACTTAAACAAATTTACAAGAAAAAAACAAGCAACCCCATTAAAAATTGGGCAAAAGACATGAACAGCCCCTGCTCAAAAGAAGGCATTTATGTGGCCAAGAAACATATGCAAAAAGCTCAACATCACTGATCATTAGAGAATGCAAATCAAAACCACCACAATGAGATACTATCTCAAGCCAGTCAGAATGGCGATTATTAAAAAGTCAAGGAACAACAGGTGCTGGTGAGGCTGTGGAGAAATAGGAATGCTTTTATACTGTTAAAGGGAATGTAAATTAGTTCAACCACTGTGGAAGACAGTGTGGTGATTCCTCAAAGACCTACAGAACCAAAAATAACATTTGACTCGGCAATCCCATTACTGAGTATATACCCAAAGGAATATAAATCATTTTATTATAAAGATGCATGCATGCATGCGTATTTTCATTGCAGCATTATTCACAATAGCAAAGACATGGAATCAACCCAAATGCCCATCAGTGATAGACTGGATAAAGAAAATGTGGTACATATACACCGTGGAATACTATGCAGCAATAAAAGGAACAAGATCATGTCCTTTGCAGGGATATGGATGGATCTGGAAGGCATTATCCTCAGCAAACTAACATGGGAACAGAAAACCAAACACTGCATGTTCTCACTTATAAGTGGGAGCTGAACAATGAGAACACATGGACACAGGGAAGGGAACAACACACATTGGGGTCTGTTGGGGGAGCTGTGGGAGGTAGAGCATCAGGATAAATAGCTAATGCATGTGGGGCTTAACACCGAGGTGATGGGTTGATAGGTGCAGCAAACCACCATGGCACATGTTTACCCATATAACAAACCTGCACAAATGTATGTAGCAAACGTTCTGCACATGTAGCCCAGAACTTAAAATTAAATTTAACTTAATTTTAAAAAGAAAGAAACTAGTTATTACTATGTAAAAATAACCCAAAACAAGATTTGAAAATTTTATGTGTAATAAAGTGAGAAAATAAATCATCCACAAAATAAAAATCTAAAAATACTAAGTTCAACTATATTGTACCAGAAACAAAATTCATGTTGAAAATAACTTTTATTATTCAAATGTTTGAACCAACCCCCAAAAATGAAAATTTAAGAGTGTTTAGTTTGTTTTATACATGTTGGTAAAAGCTTGGGTTTTGATTAAAATGAAGACATTTAAAAAACACAATTTTCAGTGGTAGGCATTAATTTGAAAGGTTATCTAGGCGGAGCTATGATAATGGCATCAACACAGTTGCTTTAAAAACAAATGTACAAGACAGAATTTGGGCTAAAATTTAAAAAGCATTCTTTGTACCACATAGTGCATGGTTTGGATTTGTCACATGAGACAAACCCTCCACTGTGTCAATAGTTCAACAGCAATGACATTTTGTGGAGCAATTCATTATTATATTAGATGTTTTCTGAATATGCTCATCAAATATAACTTTACCACTATACTCAGACACACAATGAGAATGGCAACTAAATGCTGCTATAGCAATTAAATTTTATTTAAGTAAAATATATGAAACAACTAGAAGAAAGCAAAGTAGTAGAAAATCCCAAAGTAAGAGAAAATTCATTATTTGACAGAAAATGAATTAATCTTGAATTTAGTTATTTGGTGTAAACTGATACCTGTTACTAGTTATGTTAGCAAAAGCTTAAAACAAACTCAAATTACTTTCGGTTAACTTTTAAAAAACTGAAAGTGTAATAAAATGTTAGAAATGAGGTTTTTTTTCTAAATTGAAAGAAACAGCAGGTGAAATAACAAAAGTGCATTCCAATAAAGAAAGGGGAAATAAGAATGTCTGCATATCTGTGAAGGAGAGGAGTCATGTACCCATAATCTCTAAAGGAATTTCTATAGAGTTTATTTTCTGAACATATTATAGGTCCAGATATAGTCTTAAATAAAGAGAAATTTCAATACATTGAGCAATATTTTATTGCTTTTTCATTTTTATAATATTACAACATTGAATTTTTGAAAGAAGAAAAACTTAAGAAGTATTCTATGGATATTGCTAAGAGACCATGAAAGTTTTGTGATAGTGACATATGCAATTAAAATAGCTTATAATAGATTCTATGATCATGACAATTTATTATAGGTAGCTCCATGACAATGATTAAACATTGTATGTAAATTTCGTTGTTCATTGTGAATATCAGTATTGCTTTAAGAATTTTATTGACAATTTCCACTGCTGCCTCAGGAGAGTAAAGTTGACCCAAACTGAAAGGAACAAGAACTGAGAGGTATAATGATTCAAAAAACATGGCTTAATTGGCCTTACTGTTGATAGAATACAAATTTGGTGAAAATCTGAATCATAATGACATAAATATTAATTCAACTAAAATATTAATAGAAAGAAATAAAAATATATTTCATTAAATAAATAGATGATAGTTTACGAATGTACATGTCATTATTTTATTATTCATTCAAATACTGCTGGCCTATCAACTGGAAGCTTTGACATGCATAATAAGAATTCAATTCCAGGGAAGCCGAGGCAGGCGGATCACAAAGTCAGGAGATGGAGACCAGCCTGGCCAACATGGTGAAACCCCGCCTCTACTAAAAATACAAAAATTAGCTGGGCATGGTGGCATGTGCCTGTAATCCCAGCTACTCAGGAGGCTGAGACAGGAGAATCACTTGAACCCGGGAGGCAGAGGTTGCAGTGAGCTGAGATCATGTCACTGCACTCTGGCCTGGCGCCATAGCAAGACTCCGTCTCAAAAAAAAAAAAAAAATTCAATTACATTGTCTTTCATATTTAGCCAACACTCAATTACATAAAAATTATAGCTTCATGCACTTATATATTTAAAATATTGTTGTAAAAGGATATATCTGTTCTAATTTAATGTTCTAATTTAATTCCAATAGGAATAGTGTCACCCAATATAAGCACAGTTACCAGGGAACCAACTCAGTGTGCCTGGGAGCATTTTCCAAAGAAAATGCTATGAATCCCCACATCCCATTGAGACTTATCTATTATACCACTTCTCACGGTGTATCAATTATTTTCTGTGTGCTGGTCTATTCCAACAGAGCACAAGCCCTTTAGGGGTAAGGACTATAACTTTTCATGTTCGTTTCTAATATCTAACTCAGACAGAGCCTTCTGCATAGAAAGTACTTAAACATTTATTAAATGAATCAATGAGTTCACAAATAGACAAAATTTCTGACAAATTCAGAGCTTCTAATACTCATATCACATATTAACATCATATATAATATTATATATTACATAATAATATTAGAGAGTTCAGTATAATTTCTTTACATCTTAATGCATCAGAAAGAGCTTTACTAAGCCATTGATACTGAAATTAAAAGCAATTCACATTCACATTCTTGCTAAATATTAATTATATTCAAACCTAAATAAGTCATAAATCAAGTGAGACGTGATGTTTTCAAACTTGAATAACCTTTTCCTAATTGAATTTTTAAATTATAAATATGGCAATGCTAAGTACAACCAATATAAACACAAAAGATCATAAAGTGAAAAATAAAAATCTCCTGCCTTCTCAGTCATATAGTCCAAGAGGCAACTACATCTAACAGTTCGGGGAGTTTCCATCCAGATAGTTTTGATGCCTTGAAAATATTTTTTTCCACATACTCACAACTACCAACAGGTAATTTTTTTTTCCATTCTTTCCTTTTCTTTTCTTTTTCTTTTTTTTGTTTTTTACCCAAACTTGAATTGTAGTATCTAGATTGTCTTGCAAATTGTTTTCATCACTTAAAAATATTTTGCTGTAAACATCTTGCTAGACAGTTTTTACAATGTTCTCTTCAGGTTATTCAGACACTGGATAGCAATAAATTTTTAGAGTTCATTTTCAACATGTAATTATAAGTACTTAAGGAAAACAGGACTATATTATTTCAGTTGAACATCTCACCAAGCTCTTCTCACATTCATTTTCTCGATAATCTCTTGAAATGATGGTTTGGTCTTGAAGTTCTTGGTTATCGAAGCTCAAGTCTCACTGTGACATCACTTGGGAAGTCCAGGCTTATCCGGCTTATCCATGAACAGAAATTGCCCTGGGGATTTCAGATCTACCTCATTTGGAAAATTCAGAAAATTATGTAGAAGTCACATCAAGAAACCTTTGATTTGAAAGTGAACTCATTTATTAACTTTTCTATACATTTTTAAAAAGGAAAGTGTGTATGTAGAAGCATCTCCTTTTTTAAAAAAAAGTGCTGGAGGGCTGAAAATATCATTTTCACTTTCATTTAGTCAGGCAAAGAGTTAACCCACAATAAACAAACTACCATGTTACCAAGTAAACATAAGATAGTCAGTTTTACTTAGAAGTTGTTTTCAATATTTTATTTTAATTCAGCTGAAGGGGAAGCTAGATATTTGGCTAGCAACCTTCACCCTAACAATAAAGAAATCAACACATCTGTTCTATATCTGGCCAGGCTCTGCGGCCCCCTCAAAATTTGACACATTATTATGCTTCTCTGGGCTTCCATTATGTCATTTCTAAAACAAATGTGTTGGATGAGATTATCTTACTGCTTTCTAAAATTACAATTCAACCAAATTGTGACTTCAACCAAAACTATAATTATTTACTAAGGATAATTTGGTCTATGTTTCCTTGTATTGAACTAATATACAGTTTTTAAAAATAATTTTTAGGGGAAATGATGAGATATGTCCCCTAATAATTTAGAAATGTGATGTGATGTCCATTACCCTCTCAGAATTAAGCTATGAAGATAATGCAAAAGGGACCAAGACAAAAAGATGAAAAGTTTGACTGAAAATATTAGCACATGTAAAGGAGGGATGTATCAAAAGAAAGTTTTTGCCACCTCCGTCTTCCCCATCTCACCACCAGGGAAAATAGGGAAGGGTTTAAGGAATAAGGGAGGCACAGGAGAGACGGAAGGGTCAAGGTCAATGGGAGGTGAGTGTGGCTGCCATCCTCACCTGGTGCTCTCCACTGCTGGAGACAACAATGATCTTGGTCGTACGGACTGCTCACATGCTCAGCCAGCTAACTGAGAGAGCCATTTGCCATCCCCTGAGAAAGTAAACATTCCTCCAGTCATCCATCAGTTTAGAATAACAGACATGATTATAAAGCCAGCAACAATATTTATGGGAAACAATGTTTCTCCTAAGGACCACAGCTATAAAGTGTCACGCAACCTTCCTTCTTCTTTGAAGGATTACTGCCTTCTTACTCATGAAGAAACAAGTTTATCTAACATCATAGACTATCAAAATGTCACATTTGAAATAGTATCATTAAGGATGAAATATTCCATTCTTGCCCGGAGGATCTCAGTCACCTTGACCCAGTGAA
Source organism: Homo sapiens (assembly GCF_000001405.40). Classification (NCBI taxonomy): domain Eukaryota; kingdom Metazoa; phylum Chordata; class Mammalia; order Primates; family Hominidae; genus Homo; species Homo sapiens. The sequence goes on along the minus strand of NC_000006.12, from coordinate 137,665,360 downwards.
GCAGCCTCCATTTCCAAGCCAGTTATAGAGCTTCAGATAAGGGGTGTCTAGACACAATATTCAACATCAATCTTAACTTAGTAGTTTTTAAGGAAACAGGGCCTGAAGTCCATGTCATGGTCCAGACTTGATATTGATCCTCTACTCAAAGTCTTGTTTTGTTTTGAGCCTATCAAAGCACTGCTTCATTTAATGTTCACCTTAATTCCACCCTTCCTTCAAATTCTATAATAACTCAGCTTTTTCCTTGTTTGGAAATGGTTCTATAAACTTAATTTTTCAGACTTCAGGTCTGTTCCTTTTGGTTCTAGGCTGATGGGCTAGGACATCTTGTAGATCTACCATAGTAGAGAATGCTCTGTGTGATTGTCATGTTTCTCATTATAAGTTAATTCTTTTAACTTTTAAAAAATGTTGATTCTTGCTTATAGTAGGTCTGCCCCCAAGAGATAGACACCCTATTGGGAAACAAGAAAATCATTTAATTTTAAGCCCATCAGGTGTCAAAACACTATATCTTTAAATAAGTAATGAATGAGCACTTGGTAGGCTTTAGAAGACAGCCCCAGAGACCACCTTGTGTGGACAAGTATATATTCCTCTAACTTCTACACCTTCCAGAATGATAGGAACACTAAATACTGATAATATTGTGGCTCACTGAGCTGCAGAAATTTGGCAGAACTTTTGTCTGTGGAAATGATAAAATTGACACGAAAATTTGGAGGGAGAAAAGTGCTTCATGATTTGGAGATCAATTTATAAAAAAAAGTTTTTAAACAGAAAAAGAAATTCACAAAGTATCCTCTCTAGGGTTTCTCTAAACACAGAAATTCCATTGAGTACGTTTTTCCACACTGGCCTTTGTTCGGTGCTTTGTTTCTGTGGAGAGGCTGCAGGAACTGCTGTGGGGCTGAAATGGGTCCTGACTTCAAACTGAACAGCGTATTCAAGATTTTGTTTGAATATGACTCGCTACCAAAAAAGAAAGTTTGGAAATCACTGACGTAGCACTGTTTTTATATCATCTATTACATAAGCAGGACACACTGATTTTAGAATCACAGTAACCATCAATGTTCCCAATTGCCCATGTGGGGAAAAAATGTCATTCTCAAGAACTTTGGCTTTGAATGGGTGGTTGGGAGCCCACTGGGACTAGAGCTTAGTTCCAACCTTTCTGATTTACTTAAATTGTCCTGTAAGAAGATATCATGATGAAATTTAGTTTCTATCCAACAGACGGCAGTGGTAAAACTGTTAGCTTGGAAGGGATGTCGCCCTGAAGGACTGAGTACTGAGGATGGGCATGGTAAGTTTGGAAGCAGGAAATGAGCATAAATGTCATTTGGCTCTTTCTTTTTGCCTAGAACCAAATAGCCACATTGTTTTGTTCAGTACCCAGAGGTTCAATACCACTCTTTTCTTGCTTTTCACTCATCAGCTTAGCCACCCACCTATACTGCCTTCTTTTTATACTGGAAATAGGAGTTTTCTCTTTGAGATCCAGGTTAACCGCTGCCCAGAAGGCCCCAAGACTCTGATGAGCAATGCACCCTCGATGTGACTGCTCTCTCCCGGGCTTTGGGATGCATGTAAGGTTCTCTGGAAGACAGGATGGGAACTGTGCTGGCCCTTGCACATCACTATTTACAACTTTAGGCTTCAGTTCAGTCATGAAAGAAGCATTAAATTTGCAAATGGTAGTAAGCTCTGCCTAATGAAAGATGGCATCAATTAAACAACATTGTGTGTGTTTAACCTATAAAATCTCTTAGAACACAAAAACAAAGATCACAATAAAAACTTCTAACATTAATATCATGCATAAATATTTACTATTTAATATAACAAAGATATTTCCTTAAAAAGCCCTAAGGAATTTTGAAATTAGGCATCACATGCTCATTTTTCTATACATTACAATTTTTTTTTAATAGTAGAATGAATGATGGCTGTGAAGAGGCAACTCAGTTGGGATTCCCAAATCCCCAGATTCCACGCCTGGCTCTGCTGTCAATGAGGGTGTGTTTCTTATTCTTACTGAGTCAGTTTCCCTCCAACTTGAAAAATTTAAGAGTCTATAATTACTGATTCTCATGTCTTAAGTGTGGACTAAGTAGCTTAATCCAACACAGATAGTTGGAACTTCACATTAATGTTACTTTAGAGTAGCGGTTAACAAACTGGACTCATGGGTCATGTTTAGTTCTTTGCCTGTTTTGGTAAATAAAATTTTATTAAAACAACCACACCTAGTCATTTATACATTGTCTAGAGCTGCTTTCCCAGTACATCGGTAAAGTGGAATAGTTGCAACGAGAGCTTGTGTCCCACAAAGCCTAAAATATTTATCCTTTGCAGAAAAAGTTTGCTCACTGCTGCTTTAGAGAAATTAAATGTGATTCTTTAAATGAATCATCAATAACAAAGAACTTATTTCATCTCCCTACTAAAAGATTATAGAATGATCAGAAAAGGAAATCAAGAGAAATAGAAGCATTGAGTCAACCAGATGAGAACCCAGCTACAATCTTTACTGCCAGTTGAATATTGCTTCATACGTTATTATTATCATTATTAATATTATTAGTAGTAGTACTTGAGATGGAGTCTCACTTTATCACCCAGGTTGGAGTGCAGTGGTGTATGATCTTGGCTCACTGCAACTTCCACCTCCTGGGTTCAAGTGATTCTCCTGCCTCAGCCTCCCAAGTAGCTGGGATTACAGGTGCACACCACCACGCCTGGCTAATCTTTGTATTTTTAGTAGAGATGGGGTTTCACCATGTTGGCCAGGCTGGTCTTGAGCTCCTGACCTCAGGTGATCTGCCCACCTTGGCCTTACAAAGTGCTGGGATTGCAGGTGTGAGCCACCGCACTTGGCCATTTCATACATTATTAATTGAAAAAAGGATAAAGAAGTAAAATATTTAATTTTTGTTATTTCTTTTTCTCGAGTTTAATCACATTTCTTTTAGGCTTGAACTAACATTTGTAGGAAGAAAGTCAGTAGTTGCATAGAACGGGGGCATGCATTTGGTTTTCATTTCATTATTAGCTTCCCCTTACCTGTGGCCCTTCCAAGGGTTCTGTCCCTGGTGCTCCTTTTTGCAATCTCTCCAAATAGGAGTTACAATTCTAAGAACACATTAAGCCTTCTCCCAGTCATTGTATAAATTCAAGATGTTCTTCTTTCATTTGACTGAAAACACAATTTAAGCATCAGCTTCTTGGTTACCTGCCTCTGGACAAAACAGTACCTCAAGCCTACTAGAGACTACATATCTGCTGCATGTATCATGGGTTGTGACTTTTTTTCTAAATAGCAGATCTTCCACGGCAGGGCCAATGTCTCTGCAGTTTGCTTACCCTTTCCCCATCTTCACAACATGAATGCTTGAGTTGTGGGTTCAAGACAGGAAAAATGGGACAGGTGGCGCCTTATCAATTCCCCTTTAATAAGAAATCCGAAAGCTTTCTCTGAAGCTTTCAGCAGGTTAAGGTTTCTTCTCATTGGCTAGACCTGTATCTCCCGGCTCCACCTAGTGGCTAGCATGTTTTCCTGGGGACATCCCTGCCCTAACAAAATTGGGGTTTTGTTAGCACCTGAGAAATGAGAGAAGGGATCAAGGGAAGGCAACTAACAGCATAGACCACAAAATCGTAGAACTCATCTTGGATAAAGTGAATCACATAGACAAATGTGGATATAAAAATAATTTTTTGGCCAGGCGAGGTGGCTCACTCCTGTAATCCCAGCATTTTGGGAGGCCAAGGTGGGTTGATCACAAGGTCAAGAGATCGAGATCATCCTGGCCAAAATGGTGAAACCCCGCCTCTACTAAAAACACAAAAATTAGCTGGGCGTGGTGGTGCGGGCCTGTTGTCCCAGCTGCTCATGAGGCTGAGGCAGGAGAATCGCTGGAACCTGGGAGGCAGAGGTTGCAGTGAGCCAAGATCGTGCCACTGCACTTCAGCCTGGCGACAGAGCGAGACTCTGCCTCAAAATAATAATAATAATAATAATAACGATAATTTTTTGCCCAGTCCTTTGGGAGGCCAGGGGTTTGAGAACAGCTTGGGCAACATATCAAGACACCATCTCCACAAAACAATAAAAGTTAGCCGGGCATGGTGGTGTGAGCCTGTAGTTCTAGCTACTTGGGAGGCTGAGGTGGGAGGATCACTCGAGCCCAGGAGTTCAAGTCTGTAGTGAGCTATGATTGTGCTTGTGCACTCCAGCCTGGGCAACAGAGTGAGACCCTGCCTCCAGTAATTTTTTATATTGTGTTTAATGTTATGGGAATTATTCACTAACCCAACAAATATTTGTTAAACACCCAAAATGTTATAGGTCTAAAAACTCTTCTCTGGATCCATTTTGATTCAAAATGATCTAACCTAAACCAAATAATGAAGGTATATTTTAATATTCTTTATAGCATACCACATTGGTCAAAACCAGTCAATTCTTTTCACAGTTATGTTTAATGAAAGAAAACACATAGAAAAACAAAGATGTTGAGTAATGAGGTGGAAACAGAGCCCCACCCCACCCCCCGCCAATTCACTAGATCAATTAATGACTGAAAAGGCTTTTCCTAAAATTTAAAAACAAATTGACTTGAGACTGAGATTAAGGTTGAAAGGAAAGGCCCTTCTCCCTCTCAGTCTTTGGCGGTGAAACAAAGAGATCAGTTGGAATTTCACAGAATTAATGGGATAGCTCTTGTTTTCTGATCAATAATGAATAACCTGGATGAAATAAAACTCTCTTCTTTGCTAAGGTGCTTTTTCTCCCTTTTGATGAACTAATAATCATTTACCTGCAGCAATGCAGATTTATTAGCACAGAAATGTTATTCATGTTCAGAAAGAACAATGCATTAAAAATAGGAACAGAAAGAGGTGGACTAAGCAGATGGTATTCTGGACTTTGAGCCCCAGAGTAAAAATTTAACCCTCTATTGTCACAACCTCCAAGGGACTATCCAACTCCTTTTATTTCACTGGAATTCAATTGTATTGACTGTTTTCAAATAAATGGGTAATTGACTGAGGATCAAAAATCTTTTGTGATATGTTGAAGACTTTTACCACAAAGTTTTTTTTTTTTAACAGAATTCAATCGGCCTGTTAGAGATTGGAATAGTCAAAACAAAGAAAATTCCCAAGGATTCCAGGATTCTGTGTCACACACTGTTGTCTAGATCTCTAGGTTTTGTTACCTTAACTGTTTAAAGTCTTTCCCAGGTACAGTGTGAATGGAGCATAGAGGATTGTTTTCCACAACCCCCTGGTTAATCATACAGCATTCTTATCACTAGGGTTCTGGGAATCAGGTGGAGTCAGGAACCAGAACATTGCTGGGAGGTGGCAAGGCACCTGACGAGCCTTTAAAAACTACCAATGCCTGCCCCTCGACAGCTTGGTGAATGTGGTCAATTTCATCAGCTAAAAGAATAAGAATTTTTAATAAAATCATAAAGGTATTAACTGATTGAAACATAAAGGCCTCCTTTTATGCATACAATTTCCTTCTATAACATACCTGGAAAGTAGTCAGGAAAACATTGAACACCAGCAATCATAGGAATTTAATTATTTCTCAAAACAACTCGTTTAATTTTCTAGCAAATTTAGTAGTTTGGAATATTATTTTTAAATTAATACCTATCTATTTTCCTTTAATTCATGCAGTGTCCAAGTTCTGCCCTTTCAAAACAGGAAAAGTAAATCTTAGCTTCTACATCTCAGCCCTTCAGTTGTTTAATGGCACACATCCACCTTTCTTAAATAAATCCTGGATATTTGCATAATCACTTTTTAGATAGCTGAGTTTCAAATCCCATCACTGTCCTGGATACATTTCTAAAGGAAAAGCTCCTAATGGTCAATATTTAATTTAAAGCAGTGGCTAGGGTTCTGATTTAGTTGTTTTGGGTTAGGGCTCAGAGACATTGGTAGTCATCTAAGCTCCCCAGGTGATTCTAATTTGCAGCCAGGGATGAGACTCCCTGAAGGTTAGTGGCCCAGCTCTGGACTTGGACCCTCTGGTGAGAGGTCCCTTGGAAAGAGCTTCAAATAGGCAAATGAAATTGCTACTTTTCTTGTTCTAGACACAAATTCTGGTAGGCAATCCAAGTCACACATGCAATGTTAGTGACAGTTAGATACACTCTGGCTCACATGGAGCTTAAGGTCAGTCCAAACACTTAGATATTTGTCCCATGAATTTCCATTAAGTTACACCTTCCTGGTTTTGTATATGTGAAGCTGATCTTTGACTCTAAGTCTGGAGTTTTTTGGTTTTTCCTTTTGTTTGGTTTTACTTATTGCCTGTAACTATATTAGTAGTTGTATCAAAGAAAATAATAGCTGAGCGCTAAACATGGCCTATGTGTGGGGCTAAATGCATTGTCATTTAATCCATTATTTTATTGAATCTCCACAGCAATCCTATGGGAATGATAATCTCACGATCCCCCATTTCACAGCTGAGAAAACTGAGACCTAGACAACAGATTAGATTGGGTCCGTCACGCTAGTCTGTAAAAGCCCTTTGAGGATTCTAATTCTGTCACACTGGTGTAAAATTTTTTCTATATGTATAGCCTCCTTCCTACCGCAAATGTCAGCTTTTCATCAGCACCCACAGATGTGATCTCTGTACCATATAAATCCCCTTCAGTTAGCTGTGAAAATGTGGAACAGGAGGGAGTCTCAGTGCTGAGTCTGACCATGAGAGACCTCCAACCAGGATCCTTTAACCTGCATGTTAGAGCTACATCAGTGCAAGCAACTCATACCCATCAACATAGGCATATTTTCCCCACTGTCTGCAAGGATGTCATGGGACTCTAGGTCAATGCCATGCTAAATCTCTATTCACTGCTGTTACTTCTCCAGTAAACCCATCAGTCAAGGCAATGAGCACTGTCCAGATGCACGTGCTCTAATGAACCAGATGCTCCCTCCCAGAAATCATTATGTCTCCCCAGGGTCACCATGTCATTACATCACAGACCATCCTTTTAATACATTTCCCTAGAATTTTATCTAATACCAATATCAGTCTTGCTGATCTATAGTCTGCAGAGTCCAAATCAATATGTTATGTGCTACTTTTTTTCTTTTTTGAGTATCTCCCTTGCTCTATGTGCTACTAAAAGATCATTTTTGGCAGTTAAGAAACCACTTCTCTCTGTTTTCACTCTAATGTGCCTGAGCCACAGAGAACTGACTACATTTGATAGGCTCCATTTGATTAGTGTTATATTTTCCAAAAATTCCCAACAAATCTTGGATTTCCATTGACTTACCTTTCTCTCTCTGAACAGCCTTCTCTACAGAAAATACTGAACTGGGGATGATCTGCTTTCTGTCTGATATCTGTCAACATTACCTCACTTGCTCCAGGCAGTAGGCAAATTGCTTCCTTGTTCTTCTTGCTCAAATAAAACTTAAAACCCCCATTGTAATTTCCCTTCACATTTTCCTAATATTGAGTTTTGTATCCTTTTCAAGTCTTAGCTTATTCTGGGTGGTAGCCTTCCTGACACCTTAAGCTCATAATTGCATGCTAAGTAAACATTTGAACCAAAACTATGAATACAAAGCTAAATAATGAGTCAGATAGAAATTCCAACATCAAGACGAAATGTGTTATCTGTACAATCTTTCTTCTTTTATGAACAGGTGGACCACCTCCATACCAAATTCAAAATATCTTACTATGAAGTCACTTTTCTCAGAACTTTCTGAGAAAGTTCAGAGAAGTATGCAAGTATCATTTTTCTTTGTTTTACATGCAAAGAAACAGATCCACCAAATTCTTCCAGAAGCTAGAGAGTGACCAGGGTCATGAGTCACCTGCATATATTTTTGAGTTGAGGGCTCTTTGCAACCATCTCAGCTGATTCTCAGCCACATCCAGCCACATCCAGCAACTGACTAAAACAGCACCTGTCTTTCTAACTGACATAATGAGAAAGAATTACAAGCAAAGCTGACAAGAATGATTCTGTTCTTCCAGGAGCTGAGGGCAACAACAAGAAACCTTATAGGCCACTGTGGTATAACAAAGACTTGGGAAAGCCTACTTATTGTACTGGAAAGTGTTTTATTCCAGAAAGTTATATTGCTATCACTTATGTTTCTGATGTCCTTTCTGATGTCCTCTTATCACCAGCCAAACCCAGGAATTTGGGGATGGCGCTGTTGTAGGAATTTTTCCTTAGTTCAGCTAAAGACAGGGTCCTTGTCACATGAACACAAAAAATTAGGCTTGCAGACAATTTGAGGAGGGCAGGGTTTTTTTGGTGGAAAGGAAAAAAACTCAGCAAAGAGAGAGAGGTTCCTGTTAACAGGCCCCATCTCAGATTGAATACCCAGGTTGCCACACCGGATGAGGAGAGGCCAGGCTCCCCTCTTGCAAACAGCGTGAACTTCCTGAAGCTCCATGCCAGTGCGCACTCCTCCCAGTGTGCAGACCGGTTGGAGTTTTTCTGGGTCCCTCTCCTATTTGGCTGTCTCATTCCCCCTCTGAAGAAGTACATCTAACTGCCTTTAAAAGAAGGATAAGATCAAAGACCAATCTTAACTGCTTTCTACTGACAAGGGACATTGTTTTGGGGAAAATGGCCATCAGAGCTCCCTCAGAGGCCTATCTAAGGGAGCCTGGCAGAATGGGCCATTGTCCAAGGCTCCAGTTGCATGACCATTTGGAGTTTGATGGACTGAAGGGGAGAAGAGAAAAACTGGATTATTAGAAAATATGTATCAAAATAAAACAAGGCCGGGGCCGGGGGGCGGGTTAAGGACAACTTAAAAATTCTGAGGCCTTTTACCAGTTTGCACAGGGAGCGGGAGGCCAAAAGCCCAACTGGTGAAAAAAACTTTACCCTTTTGCCAGCATGTTGGGCTTCTGGGTTCCCTTCACCTGAGCCCTGTCCTAAGCCAACCAGTTTGAGGTTTGGGAAATTAACTTTCCCCAGTTTGGAGAATGCATTTGAGGGGAGTGTCCCATAGTACAGAGACACAATTACCCATCAATGAGGAGAGGACAGAGGAGGAAAAAGGAAAGAAGAAAGCATTTTTTTCCAAAGGAGTCCCACGGATTCAAGATGCATTTGAAAGGGATACAGACTGAAGATGAATGGCTACCCACCTAGAAAGAGCAGAACAGGTGTCCCTGGTTCCCTTCTTTTCCTAGCAAATACCAGGATACATGAGGGAGAAAAAGAAGAACATCCTCTTTCCCTCCTCCATCCTTGCATCCCCAAGTCCCAGCAACCTTGGCAGGTGCTGCCCATTGGTGCCAAAGCAGCTTACACTCATGAAGAAGGGAAGGCCTAGAGAATAGGAATTATCTGCTTTTATCTATGTCTCTTTTTCCCCTACATCAGCAGCCTTGGAATTCACTAGACCCCATTTATACCATGGATACTAGCATGATCCTTATCCATGAAATGGAAGGCTTGGCTTAATCGGCAGGAATTAGCCATGCTCACCTGCACTGTGTCTGATAGGACTGAGTTGTTTGCAAAAATAGACTTTAGTTTTATATATGGCCTGATTATTTGCATAAATTGCAGCAAGAATAACTATTTCTACATAGACCTTTTAGATTGGCTTTGATGGAATTCTGTTCCACAAGGAATCTCAGATGATATCTTTTAAAGCCAAGCCCAACCATGGTTTTATATCCACAAATAACTGTGAGTTGGGTGATCCATTCCTCTTAAGGTCCCAAGATAAACTTGGAGATCCTTGGCCAGTTAGAAAGTGACATTCTTTACTGATCACAGGTCAGGAACCCTGTACAGGGACTGCGTAGACAAGGGTATGAGGACAGTTTTTCCTGCGGGGTTTTATCAGCTCTGCAAGTCAAGCTTGACTCCTCAAAGAGAAGCATACCCTTATAATCAAACCCTTGGTAAAACAACTGGTTTCTCCACTTGCATCCTGTTGCAAAAGAAAAATGGATTCTTACTGCACTGATGCAAACAACTATATTGCCATAAGTTAAGAATACTCACAGATAGTTTCCAAATTCTAGAGGAACCAGGCAGAGAGAGAGAGAGACAAATAGGCTCCAAATTTTGTTCACAGGAGTATAGCTTACTCAGTTATTAAAGGCTGTAAATACTTCAAAATAAGTTTTCTTAACCCTGAAAAACAAAACGGGGATCAGCAATATTCCAACAAAAGTTAAAAAGATTGTTTCAGTTTTGAGTTCAGTCCATTAGTTCTAGTTTTGCTTGATATTCATGAACACTTCAGCTCTTCATGAGTCATGTACATTTTTCCTTTATTCCAATGTTACAATCTCCAAAGTTATCAGAAACCTGTATTTGAGAGGACCTGTCAAAGTTCTATAGCTCAGTATAAACCATCTTTTGAAAAGCATTAAAACAAGACAACCATTGTCTGTGAATAACAAAATGTCCAGGGTAGTTACAGTTAGAAACACAATTGACAAAGAAGTTTGGTTATCTCTGTGATTTACAATAACCTAACATACCAACCTTAATTATGATTGATAGCATATACTCAGACATTAGAATTGTAGAAATCCCATATAATTTTGAGCATATGCTAGCATTACTCACAAAAATATTACCTAAAGTATATTGAACATCATTTTGGCAGTCCCATGTACCTAAACATGTTTACCTCTCTTTTCTGGACACTCCAGGGGCCCTCTGAAGTATCTGAAAAGCCAGGAGTCAGGAAAGACAATTTCGGAACCAAAGTTTGATTTTTGGGAAGCCTGTTAAATTTGTTAGAGGTTTAAAACACTTGATGTTATAAAACAGTATTCCAGGTCACCATAAATTATTTATTTTGCCAAAATGATGACTCAGAAATTTTAAAGAGGCAAAAGCCTTTTATAAACCTTTACAAATTTTGCTAAAGAGCAGATTAGCACCTTAAGAATACCTTGTTGTGCTTTTATTTCAATGCTCAATTTACAGAATAACTTTTTTGAATTTAGTCAATATGTTCACACAGAGAAACTATTCTGTAAGATTAATGTCCACAATCCTTCCACCACTTGTTTTAACCTTTAGCTTTATCTTGTCTAATTCAAAACAATCCTTTACTCCTAGGCAAAAATTTACAATTTCGTGCCTTTTTATAATCTTTTACTAAAAACACATTTTACTGTTTTCACACACTTTGCATGTAAATCTATTTCCAATAGTTTCAATTATATGTTATAATGGTAACTCCTAGCAGTTTTTAACTTTAATGTAAAACCTGGTAAGTTGTTTTAATTGTGTGCTAGGTGCAGCCAAGGTTTGACTTCTTCCAGCGTAATTAAGGGTGTGGTTAGTTTCATATGTCCCCTGGCATTACCAATTGTGAAGCTGACAAATTGAAACATTCTCAAAAACCAAAAAGGCAGTTTATAACCTTAAAACATTTAGCAACTCTAGTATCTAACCTGCATAATTTAGTCCACCTATTTATATTTTGATGACATCTGCATTTTACCAATAACCTTTACGACTGCCTTATTTCTCAAAGATTAAAGTCGCTTGAACTGAAAGTTACCACAGCTTTTATCTTCCCTTAAAAAAATACTTGATTCAAGTGCTTGTCTTCCTTTAGGCCAAATTAATTAGAGCTCTTTTTACAGACATCATATACATAACACATATATAGCTACACAGACAGGCAGAAGAAAACCCAGTCGCTGGGTGGAGCCCTTTAAGAGACAGGGCTAGGAAAATGTGCAGATATCAAACCAGAAAGGACTCATTCCCTAGGCAGGATTGCTAAACAAAGCCTTGCCATGTGGTTACAGGCCACACCCTCAGGACATATGCCCTCAGGACATAAAACAAGATGGAGGTGTGCAGCAAAGTTTGCTACTGACCACACAGACATGCAAAGCATACCACATTGGCTACAGCTTAAGACCAACCTCACAAATCCTTTTTCACAATTAAAACTTTACAGAGAATATAAACATAATTAGTCCACATAAATAGGTGGACTAAATTATGATAATGATCCTTATCATTCCTAGCCTAAGAAAATGTCTTCTAAAAGGAAAAATAAACTCATTTAAAAGTTAACTGCTGATGGAGTGGAGAAGAAAAAGGGATGCCTGGGGGAAAAACCTCTTATTCTTATGCAAATAGTTCCTCCACCCTAGAGAGAAGCTTAATTGCTGTCTGATGGGGTTGGACTCCCTGGCTGGGGGAGGGGGAGACTCCATGGGTGCCTGGCAGGGAATACCGCCAGCTGCATGGGATCCCTTGGGGCTCAGGCAGCTGCTGTGGCTCATTCCCACCCTTGGCTCATTCCATTGTTAATGGCTGTTGGACACTGTGCATACATGCGGCAGACTCAGCCATGCACCCCAGACAGTAGAGAATGGGGAGCAGGGAGCTGCCCCACCCAACTGTCCCATACACATGCCTGTGGCCATTGGGGTGTGTGTGAACCACCTCCAGTATTGTAAAAAAAAAAAAAGTTTTCATGTCATTAATGTCCTGAAAAAAAGAAGAGGAATGCCATAGGACCAAAAGGCTCAGAAGCGAATGTGAGAGGTTTTGAGTCCCCATTTCACTCACCCCTTCTCAAGCCCTATGTTCTGGGCACCAAAGCTGTTGTAGGACTTTTTCCTTAGTTGAGCTAAAGACAGCGTCCTTGCCACATGACCAAGAAAAATTAATCTCACAGACAGTTTGAAGGGTGAGGAGGGTAGTGTTTTATTGGGTGAAAAGGAAAAAAACTCAGCAAAGTGAGAGAGGCTCCCCATCTCACAGACTGAGTCCCCAGGTTATCACACTGGATCAGGAGAGGCCAGCCAGGCTCTTCCTCCCCTGCAAATGGCGCAAACTTCCTGAGGCTCCGCCCCAGTGCACACTCCTCACAGTGCACAGGCCAGTTGGAATTTCTCCGGGGACCCCTTTATACTTGGCTGTCTTGGTGAGTCACTTTGTAGGCCAAATAACTGAAAGGTCTTCAATCAATACAAAGACTTGAGATAGTAAATATAAAGCTTCAGGCAGATTATTTCAGTAGATTGTGGCTTCTGCTCTCCAAATATAAGGTTAGAGGGTCATATGGCATGATGAACAAAGCCCCTTCTAGGTAAAACACACTGTCAGTCAGTGCCAGCATTGCCCACAGAATTCCTGTCCCTATCTCTCTGCCATCCCACACCACGCCACATCATCCTTGGCCTATTCTCCCCTACAGGACTTTGCATGTGGCATGCAGACAGTCTCCCTTTTCATTTGTTTTCTAAGGCATTATGTGATCACCCAGAGAAGGAGTAAGCTTCATTCAGGTTCCTGTCCTTCTACTTTGGGCCCCAGAATCTGGTCTGCTGTCCATGGATTCAGGGAGTGACAAGGGGATAATGCCTGCTAAGACATTCTCATCTTCAGTTGAGGTGTCCTTTTTTTTTCATTTAAGAATTTTTTTTTATTGAAGTGCAGAAAGTTGCACATATTCGTTGCATACCACTCAACAAATTTTAATCAACTGACCCATCACCTGATTAAGCAATAGACAATTACCTGTACCTGGCAACTCCCTACCTGCTCTTTCAAACCTTCCCCACCCCCGCAACAAAGGTCAGCACTACCTGTGTTGTAACCGAGCGAGTTATAGAGAAACACCACACTTTGAGACTAATTCAGGAGTCCTTTATTGCCGGGGACCGAGAGACGACTAGAGCTCAAAAATTCTCTCAGCCCCGAAGAAGGGGCTAGATTTCTTTTTATACCTTGGTCTAAATAGGGGAGGGGGAGTCTAGCTGAAGCAATTTTTACAAAAGCAGAACAGGCAAAAAGTAAAAGATAAATGGTTACAGAAACTGTTACAGGAAAATAAAAAGTTCCAGGTGCAGGGGCTTAAGCTATCACAAAGTGATAAACGCAGGGGCTTTGGGTACCATCAACCAAGCACGTTTCCAGGAGTGGGTAGTACAGCTTGCCTCAGTATCTTATCAGTAAGCAATTCCTGGATGTACTTGGAGTTAGCTTGCACCAGTTATGTCCTTAAGCAGGGGGAACGAGGGGCTGCAAGCGAAGAAACCAAAGTGGAGTCTGTCCTGCTCTCTCAGATAAGAGAGAGTCAATCAGGTTAAAACAAGGTAGGGTATCACACCTGGACTTCTCCCAGCACAGATTTGTTTGATCTGCTTTTGAACTTTGTATAAATGGACTCAGACAGCTTACATGTTTTTGTGTCTTGCTTCTTTTTTCAACAATATGATTGTGAGATTTATCCATCTGTTGCATACAGTAGTAAATTGTTTATTCTCATTGCTGGATCATATTCCATTTGATTAATATTTCTGATTACTTTATTCCTTCCACTATTAATGTCAATGGGAAGCTTCCAGTTCAGGTCTATTACAAATAGCACTGCTATAAATAAATACTCCTCTTTTTAGGTGATCACATGTTCCTATTTCTGTTGGGTGAGCACCTAGGAATAGAATTGCTAGGTCATAGGCTATGCATAAGTTCAGCTTTAGTAAATATTGTTTGTTTTTTCACTTCTTTCTCCTCCTCCTTCTCCCTTTTCTTCCTTAAGCATCTTTTTGACAACAACAACAACAAAAAAAACCCATGCATGCTGGCCTCATAGCCTCATGTTTATAGATAAACTGCCACCAGCTTGATTGCCGAAATTAGCCAGCCTCAGGCTATTCTCCTGCCGTTTTGAAAAGGCCAGCTCCTTTTCACTCTCTCATCCTGCAGGGTAAAGTGGCCATCAGCCTTGTACATATTTCATGTTAGCTTAAGGGTCTCTATTGCTGATCCTGAACTTTGCAGAGACAAAATTCTGCTAAAAGATAGATGGATAGAGAGAGAGAGACAGAGATGATAGATAGACAGGTAGATAGATAGATAGATAGATAGATAGATAGATAGATAGATAGAATATATAATCTATAAATTATATATACTGTTATATATGTGTATATATACACATGTATATATACACTTATGTATACACACCTAGATAGGTAGATAGAATATATATCTATATATTATACTAGAATATGTACTAAGTTATATATGTATATATACCTATGTATACACACATAGATAGAATATATAATCTATATATTACATATACTAAATTATATATGTGTATATATACACGTGTATATATGCATATGTAAACACACATAGGTAGAGAGATAGATAATAGGTATAATATATATCTATATATTATAACATATACTAAGTTATGTATATGTGTTTGTGTGCATATATATATGTGTATATATATATATGTATAGATAGATAGATAGATAGGCATCAAGAGGCTCTGAGTTTGAATCCTCCTTCCATTCTTTGTTACTGAGTGACCTTGAGCAAGTCAGTCAACTGCTGTTTTCTCCCTTTTCTTATCTGTACATTTAGATTAATAATAATTCCAACATCACAGGTTACCTATGAGGATAGTAATATATAATACATGTAAAATGCTTAACACCGAGGCTGGCAGGCAGGCATCTCAGAGACATCAGTAAGGAAGTGTAACTTCCCAAAGGCACCTGTGTTCAGGTTAGCGATCATTTCAGTTCCCATACTCATACCCAGTGGGTGAACTTTTACTTATCTATGCTGTGAGGCTATCTTGGGGAAATGAAAAGGGGTAAGGGAGAGTCTGCCCTGGAAGTAAATTCAACTCAGGCAGAAATGGTTTATAACTTTTAAATGGCAATTTTTTTCAAGTTTTAAAAAATATTAGAGTACAGTCCCAGTGAGTACACATTATTAAAACATGTGAAAGGTGGGAGAACAGAGAGAGAGAGCACAAGAGTGAGAGCAGTTATTAGAATAGTTTAATAACCACAAAGGAGCCCTATGAAATTGACTGAAGGCCGAGGTGGGTTGGATTGCTTGAGCCTAGGAATTCAAGACCAGCCTGGGCAACATGGCAAAACCCCATTTCTACAAAAAATACAAAAATTTGCCAGGCATGGTGGCACTCAGAGGCAGTCTCAGCTGCTTGGGAGGCTGGGATGGGAGGATCGCTTGAGCCTGGGAGGCAAAGGTTGCAATAAGCCTAGATCACACCACTGCACTTCAGCCTGGATGACAGAGTAAGACCCTGTCTCAATAAAAAAAAAAAAAAAAAAAAAAAAAAAAAAAAAAAAAAAAAAGGTGACTGAGCTTGGGCCAAGGAGACACCTTGGCAGAGGCCAAACTAGAGTGAAGAGGGGAGAATGTGGCCTTTCTGGTTTAGAATCAGGGCAAACTGCTTATTAGCTGTGTGTTCTTGAACTTTGCACTTTATATCTGTGGAACGAAAACAATCTTATCTTGCTGAGAGAATTGCCTGGCAGCTAAAGTATATGAATTGTTTAGCTTAGCAGGTGTAAAAACTTTATGTGGCCCCTATTTTTAGGTGGAATCACACACACACACACACACACACACACACACACACACACACACAATTCCCTTAATGAGAAAGTAAATAGCCCCATCAGCAGTCTTTCCGTGATGTTTCTAACAGAACATAAGCAGCACTTCCAATGGGACATGGAAAAGACCCAAGTACACAGTGTTTCTCAGAGGCCATACCACAGCTGCAAAAACCATCACTGTTATCTTCCAGGTGCTGGCCACTTTCTAACCAATGATTCTCCACTTTGTTCCTCCTGACTGCTGAACTAAGATCACGGAGACAGCTGAAATGACCACCTTCTGGACCACCTCTGAGGAGCCCCCTCTTCCAGGATCCCTCCTCAGAATTCCCAAACTCCCTCTTGCAGAGATACTCCGTTGGTCCTTTGGCATGTATTTTCCCTTACTGCAGCAAGAAAAATAAATCCAATTTCTTATTCCCCTCTACCTCCTCCTCTTCTTCCTCCTTCCTGTAGGTGCTCCCCTGTTTGTCCTTAGGTGGCAACGTTACCACTAAAGAAGTAACATCTCTCAGTAGACAGAGAGACAGACAAACAGATACATCAACATAGATGGATAGATAGAGATATATGCTCACTTCTATAGATAGAAAGACAGGTATCCATGTGTAGAGAGAGAAACACTTTTAGAAAGAGAAAGACATACTTTGACTTTCAAATCGTTCCAGTTCTCTCTCTACAGCTCTGTGACTCACTTCAGGTCTCACAGTCACCCTTTACTCACGCCAATAACTTTAACAACAGTAACACGATGGTAGAGCACTTACTATGTGTCAGGAACATTCTAAGCCTTCTGCATGTATTAAATCATGTGACCACCACAGTAACCTTATGGAAAAAAAGTGATGCTACTATCCCATCTTACATAGGATGAGACTGGATCACACAAAGGTTAAGGGCACTGCCCTGGGTTGCACAGTTAGTAGGTGGGAGTCTTCACTCTTACCTCCCACTGTCCTGCCCTTACTGCCTTTTGAAGGATGGCATGTCCTGTCCGTGTCGCAGCACAGCACACATACAGACTGCAGAGCCTTCTCAGTTTCTCTCCAGTGGCTCAAAGGTCAAACTTGAAGGGTTTCTACTTGCTCTTTTTCAGCCCTGTGAATGGGTGGTTTCAATGGGATGTATTTTCCTTTAATGTGTGTGTCCTGAAAAATTTCTGCTGCCAGAATCTTTTAAGGAATGTGACACAATATTCCATCATTTTTTCTTCCTCATTTTTCTCTCCCTCTTCTTCCCACTTCCTAATGTCTTTCTTTTTCCTTCTTATATTCTTTCTGGAGGTTGTAAAAGGGATTTTACAAATTTTCCTGCTTCACTTCAGACATGATAGCCCACAGTTTTAAGTACTTGTTATGTGCTGGGTATAGCGCTACATCCTAGGTACCATATCATATATTTTGCAGGGATTATCTCATCTGATCCTCACAACTGCCCCTTGTGAGGTAAACGTTAATATTATTCTCACTTTGCAAGTGAGGAAATGGGAGCAGGTTTCGTTCCTTGTCCAGACCTGAAATAACTAAGTGGCCAAATTAGGGGCAGACCTCTGGACTAACGGGCCCCAAGTCCAGGACTGCAAAGACCTCACTCATCACCACTACACACTACAACTCAAACAACTCAATTGCAATAAAACAATAATGCAATTTAAAAATGGTCAAAAAGATCTGAATAGATGTTTCCCGAAAGAAGACATACACATGACATGAGCAATGGGTCTTTGAAAAATGCTCAACATCACTAATCATCACGAAAATGCAAATCAAACCACGATGAAAAGTCATCTTTCCCCTGTTAGAATGGCTATTATCAAAAAGACAAAAACAACAGATGCTGGTGAAGATGCAGAGAAAGGGGAATGCTTGTACACTGTTTGTGAGAATGTAAATTAGTAGAGTCATTGTGGAAAATAGTACGGAAGTCCCTCAAAAAACTAAAAATAGGACTACCCTATGATCTAGCAATCCTATTTCTGGGTATATATCTGAAAGAAAGGATATAAGTACATTAAAGAAATATCTGCACTCACATGTTTATTGAAGCATTATTTGTAATAGCCAAGAATGGAACCAACCCAAATGTCCATCAATGGATAAATAGATAAAGAAAATGTTGTGTGTGACACACACACACACACACACACACACACACACAATGGAATATTATTCAGACATAAGAAAAAGAAACCCTGTTATTTGTAGCAACATGGCTGGAACTGGAAGTCATTATGTTAATGGAAATAAGCCAGGCACAGAAAGACAAATACTGCATGTTCTTACTCATAAGGAGGAGCTAAAAGAGTGGATTTCCTGGAGGTAGAAAGTAGAATCGTGGTGACCAGAGGCTGGGAAGGGGAGGAGGGAATAAAGAGAGGTTGGTTAAGGGGTATAAAAATACAGTTAGATAAAAGAAATAAGTTCTAGTATTCAATAGTACAGGAAGAAAATTATAGTCAGCAATAATTTATTAAATATTTCCAAATAGCTAGAAGAGAATGATAATGTTCCCAACACAAAAAAAAGATCAATGTAGGGAGCTTCAAGACAGCTGACTAGAGGCATTCAGTACTCACCCCGCTTTACAAAGAAGAACCAAAACAGCAAGGAGATAGCCATACTTCGGATAGATTGCCTCAGAGAGAACACTAAAATTCAACAGAAAAGTGACAGGAAACACCTAGGCCAAGAAACGAGAGGGAAGCAAAGTAGCCTACTTGGCTGGGATTGGCTGAAAACCCAGGCAGGCTCCCCAGAGTAGGGGAAGGGTAAGTGACTGACCCCCAGTGGTCCACATTCCCACTGAGGACTCCCGCAGTCCTAGCCACGGAAGAGCCCCTGGACCCACAGAGACCCCGAGACTAACATAGGGAACTGCCTGGAATCCGTGCGATGGCATTGCTCCAAAGAGGGCGCTCCCGCTGGGTCCCACACACCCCGAGTCCACACTAAGCAGCTGCAGCACAGTGCCGCTTTGGGAGCCCAACTCCCAGTAGACTGCATCCTGCTCTGGGGTCCAACAGTCCGCGCAACTCCACATCAATGGAAACCTTAGGAAAACTTTCCTGGATTGGTCTACGCAAAGAATTTATGACTAAAATTTCAAGCATGAGCAACAAAAACAAAAACATACAAATGGGACTATATTAAACCTAAAAGCTTCTTCACAGCAAAGGAAACAGTAAACAGTTGAAGAGACAACTCATTGAATAGGAGAAAATAGTTGCAAACTATTCATCCAAAAGGGCACTAATGTCCAGAATAAACAAGGAACCCAAACAACTCAACAGGAAATACAAATGATTCCACTAAAAAGTGGACGAAGTAAAACAATGAACATTTCTCAAAAGAAGACATGCTTCAAATGGCCAAATGCTTCAAATTTGAAGACAGGCTTCAAATGGCCAAAAGGCATATGAAGAAATGCTCAACATCATTAATCGTCAGAGAAATGCACATCAAAGCCACAATGAGATGTTATCTTACTCCGGTCAAAATGGCTGTTATTAAAAAGACAAAAAGTAACAGAGGCCGGGCGCGGTGGTTCACGCCTGTAATCCCAGCACTTTGGGAGGCCAAGGCGAGCGGATCACAAAGTCAGGAGATGGAAACCATCCTGGTTAACACGGTGAAATCCCGTCTCTACTAAAAATACAAAAAATTAGCTGGGCGTGGTGGCGAGCGCCTGTAGTCCCAGCTACTCAGGATGCTGAGGCAGGAGAATCTCTTGAACCCAGCAGGCGGAGGTTGCAGTGAGCCGAGATCAAGCCACTGCACTCCAGCCTGGGTGACAGATTGAGACTCCGTCTCAAAAAAAAAAAAAAAAAAAAAAAAAGTAACAAATTCAGGTAAGGATGTGGAGAAAAAGAAAGTCTTGTACACTGTGTAGGTGGGAATGTAAATAAACTAGTACACCTACTGAGAAACAGTATGGCAATTTCTCAAAAAATGAAAACTAGAATGACCATTGAATCCAGCAATCCCAGTATTGGGTATCTACTCAAAAGAAAAAAAAAATCAATATATCAAAGGTATACCTGCACTCACATGTTTATTGCAGCACTATTCACAATAGCGAAGATATGGAATCAACCTAAGTGTTAATCAATGGATAAATGGACAAAGAAAATGTGGTATATGGATATACACAATGAAATACTATTCAGCCATAAAAAAGAATGAAATCATGTCAACATGGATGGAACTGGAGGTCATCATCTTAAATGAACTAAGCCAATCACAAAAAGGCAAATATCACAAGTTCTCACTTAGATGTGGGAACTAAAATTTTGATTGCTTGGACGTAGAGAGTGGAAAGATAGCTAACAGGGACTGGGAAGTGTGAGTGGGGGGAGATGAAGAGAAATGGGTTTAAACAAACAAGCATACAGTAAGATGGAACAAATTCCACGTTCAGTAGCAGAGTAGGGTGACTATGCTTAACAAACATGTATTGTACTTAGGTAATGGACTCTCTGAATACCTTGAGTCAGTCACTACACATTATACACCTGTAACAAAATTTCTCATGTACCCTATACGTTTGTACAAATTTTTTTATGTCAATTCTTGGTCAAGAATATATTAGCACAATGAAAGAGAGAGAAGTAGAATAATTACTTAAAAGTCCAGTGTTGTTTAACTCCTCTACAGATTTCACTTTCCCTTTGACATTTTTTTTTCCCATGGAGCATAAAATAGACAAATGTTGATTAAACACATTCCCTTTTTTAATTTATTTTTTTCTCCCTGTCATTTACTTTATTTTTGGAGATAATATCTTTTCTCTCTCTTTTTTTTCTTCAATTTTTATTTTAAGTTCCTGGGTACATGTGCAGGATGTGCAGGTTTGTTACATAGGTAAACGTGTGCCATGGTGGTTTGTTGCACAGATCAACCCATCACCTAGGTATTAAGCCCAGCATCCATTAGCTATTCTTTCTGATGCTCTCCCTCCCTGCAAAGCCCTCTGACAGACCCTGGTGTTTGTTTTTCCCCGCCATGTGTCCATGTGTTCTCAGCATTCAGCTACCACTCATAAGTGAGAACATGCAGTGTTGGTTTGCTGAGGATAATGGCTTCCACCTCCATCCATGTCCCTGCAAAGGACATGATGTCATTCCTTTTTATGGCTGCATAGTATTCAGTGGTATATATGTACCACATTTTCTTTATCCAGTCTATCATTGATGGGCATTTGGGTTGATTCCAGGTCTTTACTATTGTGAATAGTGCTGCAATAAACCTACGCATGCATGTATCTTTATAATAGAATGATTTATATTCCTTTGGGTATATACCCAGTAATGGGATTGCTGGGTCAAATGATACTTCTGGTTCCAGGTCTGAGAAATCATCACACAGTCTTCCACAATGGTTGAACTAATTTACACTCCCACCAACAATGTAAAATGTTCCTTTTTCTCCACAACCTCACCGGCATCTGTTGTTTCTGTATATTTTTAATAATCACCATTCTGACTGGCGTGAGATGGTATCTCATTGTGGTGGTTTTGATTTGCATTTCTCTAATGATCAGTGATGTTGATCTTTTTTCATGTTTGTTGGCCGCATGAATGTCTTCTTTTGAGAAATGTCTGTTCATGGTCTTTGCTCACTTTTTAATGAGGTTGTAAATTTGTTTAAGTTCCTTGTAGACTCTGGATATTAGACCTTTGTCAGATGGATTGATTGCAAAAATTTTCTCCTCTTCTGTACGTTGTCTGTTCACTCTGATGATAGCTTCTGTTGCTGTGCTGAAGCTATTTAGTTTATTTAGATCTCATTTGTCAATTTTTGCTTTTGTTGCAATTGCTTTTGGCGTTTTCATCATGAAATCTTTGCCCCTGCCTATGTCCTGAATGGTATTGCCTAGATTTTCTTCTAGAATTTTATAGTTTTGGGTTTTGCATTTAAGTCTTTCATCCATCTTGAGTTAATTTTTGTATAATTTTGTTATTTTTGTATTAATGGAGGTTTTATTATTTTTATTTTGAAGATATAAGACCTATTTAAAGACTATATACTGTCATTAGATAGATTATTCCTATGCTTTAAAAACATAGAATTACAGGGCTTTCTGGATTTTTAATCCAATATTCTGCCCTTTGCTAATAATATACAAAAAAATTCCTCAGGAAAGTGTCATTTTCTATATTATTCTAAGAAGTTTTTGGGAAGGAAACAAAGAATATTTTCTAGATTCATATATCTTTAAAATTTTTTAATGTTTAAAAGTGAAGTCTTTTTAATACAATTGCACTTCACCTGGCATTATAACACCTAGTATCTTTTGTTAAGTTGTCTTTTTGTAAAATCTAGAAATAATCATCATAGTTCATATGAGTATGGCATCTTAGAGTTTTCCAAATGCCTTCACATAAAATATTTCATTTGATCTTTCTATCATTTCTAGTGAGGAAGATAGGGTAGGTATTTCTACAGCCACATCTGGATGAAGGAACTAAGGCTGAGGGTTGAAATGACTTGTCCTAGATCCTGATCACCTAATTAGTGAGTGGCAGAGCCTGGACATGACTGCACATCACTTGCTAACAAAACAAACCACCACCACCAAAAGCCTTAAGTAGAACTAGAAAGTAAGCAAAAACAAAAACATCTTACTAAAATATCAAATATCATGACCACCTTCTTTTTTTTTTTTTTTTTTTTTTTTGAGACGGAGTCTCGCATTGCTGCCCGGCTGGAGTGCAGTGGTGCAATCTCGGCTCACCGCAACCTCCGCCTCCTGGGTTCAAGAGATTCTCCTGCCTCAGCCTCCAGAGTAGCTGCGATTACAGGTGCCCACCACCATGCCCAGATAATTTTTTGTATTTTTAGTAGAGACGGGGTTTCACCATGTTGGCCAGGCTGGTCTCAAACTCCTGACCTCGTGATTCTCCTGCCTTGGCCTCCCAAAGTGCTGAGATTTCAGATGTGAGCCACCTTGCCCGGCCCAGGACCACATTTTATTCAAGATATTATAACAAGCTTTCCACCAAAAAATAAATAAATAAATAAAATGGAAAGACAATGTTAAGAATTTTGAATTTTATAGATATTTTCAAGTGCTTGGAATTACCAAAAGCATAGAGAGTAGAGCCAAATAGTTTTTAAAATTTGAAATGATTAGATTATTAATATTGGAAGGATTTTGTGTCCCATTTATTATCATTCTTTCTCTGCCTGCTGGAATGTGTTTTGTGCTGCAATCCGAGTGAAGTTTTAAGATCTACCCAGAGGCCAGGAGAGGGCAGTGTGAGCTCACAAAATAGAAGCCATACTTAACACACTGCTCGGCCCTGGCACTGCCTGGGTGTCATCTCATATTCCAATGTTCGCAACGATAGCAAAAAAAAAGTCAACACAATAAACTCCAAAGGAAGGAAGGAAGGAAAGAAGGGAGGAAAAATTATAAACCCTCACTATTGAATGAAGATAACATGAAAGAGTAGGAAGAAAATATTTTCAAATACTTGTTGGATATGGACTCTATGCTAAGTGCTACAATGAAAGAGACAAAATCCCTATGGTGAAGGAGAGACATGAAGAAACCAAACTCTGTTTTCAACTGGTCACATTCTTTGTGGCCTCGTTTGTTAATAAAATAAATACTTACTATCAGATGTCATACAAGGACTCATCTGGTCCCCAAATCCTGCAGGGCTTAGATGGCAGTGGCCTGGTGCAAAGGAAAATTTAAGCCCCCAGGTTGAAAGAGAATGGCAAACATGCCAGTGTTCATGCATACCCGATATAGTACATACCTATGAACAATACATTTCCATTGTTCGTTCTGTCAAGGGCTAGAAGAAAATATGCTCATGAATCTAGAGAAAAATTTTATTAAAAATGATCTTATTATTAACTGCAGTATTTTCTATTCCTATAATCCTACCATTCAACTTAGTTCATGTCCCCAGCATCTACTGAGGACCCTCTACGCTGAGCAGGGGAATATGGCAGAGCCTGTGGGAGGCACAGGAGCAGGGGAGGCAGTGGGATGAAATGTCCAAAGGTGGTGACAAAGTTGTATAAGTTATATAATAAAAGGAATACATAAAATGTCCAGCAAAAAAAGACATTGCTTCTGCCTTAGGGTGTTGGAGAATTGAGGAGTGATCGAGATGGACCTTATGGGATTTTGATGGCGGCAGAAGGTGGGATAGAGATTTGACAAGTATGAGGGGAATTTCAGGTAGAGGAAACACAGAGGTGGAGGTGTGGGGTATGTTTGGCGTGATAGTGAGAATCCATCTCCAATGCCCAGAGGACAAGGCATGGGATAGGGAGAGAATGGAGAAGGAGTGGCGTTCCGGTGGGGAAGGGACAAAGGGAATAGAGAGAAGAGGGATGTGGCACCTGGAGAGCCTTGAATGCCGCGTTAATGAATTTGGACTACACGTTCATGGGCTTACTGTTTATCCTCCAACAAGTCCCCAAAAGACTGGGAATGCATTCTGTAAACCAAGGGGAGATGGGATATTGCAGAGCAGATATGTCTAGGTTTTATGTGCATGCATATGTGTATGTGTTTTGTGTGTGACTATGCAGATCTGATCTCGTGGCTAGGTGGCTGCATCCACGAGCACGTAGCTCTCTGACAAAGATAATGAGAATGGCGATAGCTAATTAGAATATTAGTGTCATAGATACTGTGAGCAAGCAGACAAGAGGCAGCTTTGTTCCAAGAGAGCCCTTTATTAGGAGTTGGCGGCATTGGCGAGATTGCCATGCACAGCAGCACCAATGCAAGAAGACATTAATTTCGCTTCTGCTGTTTCACAGACACTAGGTGGAAATCAGTTTCTTCCAGTGAAATATGTATGTTCTGTTCTAACCTTCTGGTATTGTATTCGGTATCAATATTCATTTCAGAAATATTAGATTATTATGAATGATAAGACATTTTTCCCCTAAAAATAAACTTCCTTGTGTTATTCACATGATATATAGGCAGAATTATTTGGTTTGGGACTCAGATAAATGCTGTCGGGAAAACATGAGAAGATAAAAATTTTGCCCACGCTTTGGTGGCGCTAATGTATTTTAGCTGGAAAATCGTCTGGGAATTGAAATAGAATGTTGGAGGTATCCAAGGTTACATATAATATGAAAAAATGTATAAAAAGAAACTACATTTGTTCCTCTCCCATAGTTTTTGAATATGTTATTAGTCCAATGGATCTTGGTAATTTCAGTGACAGATACTTATAATGATTTAACCAAGCCTGAGAACCTATCTGCAGAAAAACATGCAGTCTATCATGTCACCTTCATTTTCAGAGGAATTTCTCAGCCTTGAAACTCAGTAGGCCTAGGTTCAGAACCCTTGCCTGAGACTTCTAGGAAATAATGAGCCACTGTATACCTCTAAGGTGTGTCCCCCTAAAATGTTCCTTTCCCGTGTTATACTTTCTCTTTCATTTCTACATTTAGGACAGTGGTCATTTTCTAACCAGATGATGACTTTAGAAACACAAATTGTGGTTTTATTTAACATTGCAGGCAAATCCTGTAGACCGTGATCCCATAAATACGTGTTCATTCTGACTAACCCAAGATAGTGTGGTTAGAGGAAACCTTTGAAAACCTTGTTTCTTAATATAAGCAAAAATGGGAGTCTTTTAGTAATGAAAATTTGCAGTCAAATTCCATTTTTGTCTTTTATCTTCTGGTCTTTATAAGACCCTGGCAAGAAAAGACCCAACTCCTTCAGGCTAGAGTGGCACAATGAGGTAACAGCCTTATTGAAGTTTTAAACAAGAAGCCCATGAGCTAGTGCTCTTAAAACCTCATGGCAAATTTTATGTATGTTTCAGATCTACTCTGTAGGTTGCTCAGCAGAGGTCCCCCCTTGGCCACTAGCACACATAGCTCACACCAACTGCATACATGTGCCTGCTGCTGTTCTAGAAGGGTTTCAGATAGAAATCCATTTAATCCTCCCAACAACCTGAAGGAGTACAGGAATGTTATTCTGCCTATTTTAGATGAAACTGAGGCCCTGGATGATGAGTTGCTTGTCTCAGAGCCCACGGTGGTAGAGTCAGGATCTACACTCAAGCAGTCTTGTTGCAGAGCCTGTGTACTAACTTATATGCTCCTCTGATATACAGACATTATTTTTTCAAAACAATGGCCCCAGGTAGTAATGGTACTATTCTTATATCTTCTGTTTTGAGGGGATCTGCGACTCTGGCTCGGGCATTCTCTCAGCTCTCCAGTCGTTGAAGGATTTCTCTCTCTCTCTCCATCTCTCTCTCTGGCTCTCACTCTCTCTTTCTCTCTCTGCCACCACACACATGCAATTCAGTTATACATTTGTTCAATTAGGCCTAACCTCCAGTGCAAGGAAAGCAGCAAGCTTTACACTGCTTTCCCATTGGAGGGGCAATAGGCACTCAAGTCTGTCTTCTCCATGAAAGGAAGTCACAAATTTTCACTGAACTCTTCCACAATCAGCATAAAATAGTTATTTAGGGTTTGCAAATAGAAATAGAGAAAATTTTCATTGTGAACTGTCTTCCTTTCCAAAATTTTTTGTGTTTTGCTGTTGTTTATCTTGTTTTCTTGAGATAAATGTTTGTGTTTCTCATTTCCCCTCTTGGCCAGTTTTTCGGTATAAAAATTTTTGAAGCTGATACTTACAAACTTCTAACTCCTCTCTTCCTTTGGGCTTAGATACTTACCCAAACTGGAACTATATTTAAAAGTCTCCTTAATTGCAAGACCTTGACTTTATAGAGGTAAAAGGTCAATTTTAAAACCCATACCCTATACAGTAACCTAACTCAATTCAGGTGCTTTGATTGGTTCACTGCTTTGACAATTACAAGAAACACCACTAGCATCTGAAGAAATTGAAATCCCAGGACTGTCTTCACATCTAAATCCACAATGGTGCCTGGAGCAAATCATGGATCAAAATATCTGATTGGCCAACAACTGACTGGTAATTGTCCATAATTGATTCTCCTGTAAAGTGCAAATGATAGTTAGTTAACAGCAAAGAAATTGAAATATCCTCTCTTTAATGGTAAATTTTATATCTTCATTTAATTTTCAAAAGGCAGGAAAAATATTTTATAAATATCAACCTCCTAGGTCAATTTCTAAAACTTCCAACTTAATAATTGTTTAATATATATTTTGAGTTTTTTTTCTTCATGCAGCATGTATGTTGAGGTCACAGTATGTGAACAGATGGAATATATGGCAGGGGCCAACTAATTAACATTAAAGACAGGGGACCCATTGTCTTTCTATAACTCCCATCCATCTACCTTCATTTCTGTCACCATGGTACCTAGTGGTTCAATTACTGAGTGTTGTGAATAAACTATTAAACAAAACCAACTCCATATAATGCTGCTACTTGATGTTTAAGAAGCTATGCTTGAATATTTTCTAAATCACTGAAACCTTCTCAATAATTTCCTCTGATAAAGGAGGTGAGACTGTAGGGGTTTTTGTGCAATTTATTTAGTTTACAGACCAGTGGAGTGGGAACTGGCATATTTTAAATTGCATCATTGACATTCTTGTGGTTTCTAGCTGCAAGGGCCAACTCTAGAATGCCTCTGAGGTTGAGCCAAAGGAGCATGAGAAAGCATGTGGTTCTTATAAGCCCATATCACATGTAGCATGCTGGGGATTTCAAAAAAGCAGGCATTCTCCAGACTTGAATTAACTCCTGCTTCTTCCCAGAGCAGCCATTTCCTCATAGACTCGGATGGAATCAAACCAGGAAGCTCTAAGCAGCATGAAAGCTCTCAAATGTGACCTGTGAGTTTTTCCTAAGTTTTCTTGGCAGCCTGTGGCAGAAGAGCACTGAAAATAGATGCAATAGAATTACCATGTGATCCAGCAATCCCAGGTATATATTCAAAAGAATGCAAAGCTGGATCTCAAAGAGATATTTGCACACCCGTGTTCATTGCAGCACTATTCACAATAGTCAAGATGTGGAAACAACCCAAATGTCCATCAACAGATGAATGGATAAAAAAAAATATGGTATATACACACAATAGCACATTATTCAGCCTTAAAAAAGAAGGAAATTCTGTTATATGCTGCAACATGGATGAACATTAGGAAAGGAGAATGGTGGTTGCCAGAGGCTGGGGGAGGGGGAAATGGACAGTTGGTGTTCAATGAGTGTAGTTTCAGTTTTGCAAGATGGAAAGGTTCTGGAGACCTGTTGTATAACAATGTGAATATACTTTACACTACTAAATTGTACATTTAAAATGGTTAGGATGATAAATTTTATGTTATGTGTTTTTACCACAATTTTAAAAAATACAGTTGACCTTCAAATAACACAGATTTAAACTGCATGGGTGCACTTATACTCAGATTTTCTTCCACCTCTGCCACCTTTGAGGCAACCAGAACAACCCCTCCTCTTTCTCCTCCTCCTCAGTCCACTCAACATGAAAATGATGAGTATGAAGACCTTTATGATGATCGACATGGCACTTAATACATAGTAAATATATTTTCTCTTCCTTATGATTTTCTTAACAATATTTTTTTTCTCTAGCTTACTTTATTGTAAGAATACAGTATATAAGTCATAAAACACAAAATATGTGTCAATTGACTGTTATAGGTAGGACATCTGGACAATAGTAGGCTATTAGTAGTTAAGTTCTGGGGGAAGTCAAAAGTCATACATGAATTTTCCACTGCAAGGGAAGTTGTCAAGGGTCAATGGTAACTTCTAGTGTCCCCTTACCTTGAACTCAGGGGTTGTAATGAACTCAGCAGCTGGTCTGCAGAGGACCTTAGTGAGGTAATTCTGATTGGAGAAAGCTACTTTCCAGCTAAAATTACTTGCATTGGAGTTGACCAATGTGTAGAATGCCTGCCAGAACCTACATCCCAGAACCCTACTGGGCTGCCCCACTGCCTCGAAAGCTATTGTGGAAAGCCAGGAATCTTCTGAGAGTCTCTAAGTTCAGATGTGGAGAAAGATGGCACAAATAAAGAAACAAATCAACACACCAGCAAATGTGTTTGACTCGGGGAGGTGTCTCTAGGGGACAACGTTAACTTGGGGTAGCATATCCACATATCTTTTTTCCCGACATGCCCCAAAACTTGCAGAATTTTATACCTGGAAGGAACAATAATAATCAGTCAGAAGAAATATATTACCTCATTTCATAAGAGGAAAGTGAAGTGAAGGAAGGTAAGAGACTTACTTACGCAAGGACCTCCAGAGAAATGATTAGAAAGTTGAGTTTAGGATTCTCAGTCTCAAGGGGGATTTTAGGCAGAATCCATTCTTGAATGAGACATGACAGGAAAGACCAATATTAACAAACACACGGGACAAAACTGGCTCTATTTTTGTTGAAAGGAAAGCAGAGGTGGCAGGAACGGTGGGGTGTCATTTCCCCTCTCCACACCCCGAGCCCACCCTGGGCCCTAGAGGCATGCCTGTGACTGCCTGTGCCTCAAAACTCTGTAAGGCACAGTTTGAAGAGCACCCTAGCATACCACCACTTTTCACTGGACACTCCCACTACAGCATTTATAGAGGAGGTCATTATCTTACTTTGTAATTTTTGTTTGCATGTCTGCAGGAAGAAAGTTCAAAATAATAGCTACCATATATTGAGTATTTACTGTGTGCTGGCTTGCTGGCTAAATACGTTACAGACATTATTTAATCAAATCCACCCAAAAAAGTTATTGTTTTATCCCATTTTGCAGGCGGAAGAAAAAGGCCATGTAAAATAGGTTGCTTATAAGTGGCAGGACTGGGATTCAAACACAATTATGACCAAAGACCTGTGCCTATAACCAAAGCAGCAATCAGGCTTGTGATTGGTTCATCTTTGGATGCCCATTACCTAGCATAAGGCCAGTACATAGTAGGTGCTTCATAAAAATGCTTTGATTGAGATTCCTCTGGTTCACAGACATCATTTTAAAGTGCTAAATTTCTACAAAAAGAATAATTTTAAAATGTTAAACATTTAAAAAACAAAATTGTCAAAAGAAAAAAGAAATAATTTAAAAACTACAAGCGCAAATTTCTCAGGGAAGGTTAATGACTATCAATCACTCACACGTAAGTGTGAATTGGTTAAATCTGGTTGCTTTAACTGTTAGCTCTTGCCTAAGCCGCGTGGAATCTAGTGTAGTATCTAAGATCATTAACTAGAGTTGGGCTCTTAAAATCTTCTCTATCATTTAGTGGCTATGTAACCCTGGGCAAACCATCTAACCTCTCTAACTCAGTTTTCCCATCTGTAAAATGGATATTATGGTAGAATTTATCACCTGGAATTACTGTCTGGATTGGATGAATTTATTCAAAAGTATTTAGAACAGAAATTGGTCATAGTAAGCACTCAATAAAAAATAATATATTGGCCGGGTGCAGTGGCTCACACCTGTAATCCCAGCACTTTGAGAGGCCGAGGTAAGCAGGACATTTGAAGCCTGGAGTTTGAGACCAGCCTGGCCAACATGGTGAAACCCCGTCTGTACTAAAAATACAAAAAAATTAGTCAGGCGTGGTGGCACGCACCTGTAATTCCGGCTACGTGGGTGGCTGAGATATGAGAATTGCTTGAACCCCGGAGGCAGAGGTTGCAGTGATCGAGTCACTGCATTCCAGCCTGGGTGACAAAGTGAGACTGTCTCAAAAAAAAAAAAAAAAATCAAAGGGATGCCTGCACTTGCATGTTTATGGCAGCACTATGCACTATAGTAAAGGTATAGAATCAACCTAAGTGTTCGTCAATGGATAAATGGATAAAGTAAATGTGGTATATGTATATACACAATGGAATACCATTCAGCCATAAAAAGAATAAAATTGTATCACTTGCAGCAACACGGATGGAACTGGAGGTCATTATCTTAAGTGAAATAAACCAGGCACAGAAAGAAAAATATCACGTGTTCTCAGTTATATGTGGGAGCTAAAAATTTGATCACCTGGAAGTAGAGAGTGGAATAATGGATAACAGAGACTGGGAAAGATGAGTAGCGGGGAGAGGGGAATATAAAGAGAGATAGGTTAAAAGATACAAACATACAGTAAGATGGAATCAATTCAATGTTTGGTCAGAGCAGGGTGACTATACTTAACAAGAAAGTATTGTACTCAAGTGGTGGACTCTCTGAATGCCCTGACTTCATCACTACACAATATATACACATAACACAATTTCTCATGCACTCTATACATTTGTACAAATAAAAATAAATAAATAATCATTAATTACTATTATAAACCACAATGAAGAAAAGGGTATTATGTATACTTTTTGGCTTGGTTGTCATTGTTTTTTTTTTTTTTTTTTTCAAAAGGAGGGAGAGAAGGTAGGTAGTTTTTAAGCATGGTTTGGGCTGCTGAGATGGGAGACCAGAGCAAATGTACCAGGGAGTCCCTGGGCATCTGATGATGGACTATTACAGAGGATAAGAGTAATCTAGGCCGGGCGCGGTGGCTCATGCCAGCAATCCCAGCACTTTGGGAGACCAAGGCAGGCAGATCACGAGGTCAGGATTTCGACACCTGCCTGACCAACATGGTGAAAACTAGTCTTTACTAAAAATACAAAAATTAGCCAGGTGTGGTGGTACTTGCCTGTAATTCCAGCTTCTTGGGAGGCTGAGGCAGGGGAATCACTTGAACCCAGGAGGCAGAGGTTGCAGGAGTTGAGATTGCACCATTCCACTCTAGCCTGGCGACAGAGCGAGACTCCGTCTCAAATAACAAACAAACAAAAAAAGAGTAATCTAGACAAGGGCCAAAGATAGCTCATTTCAGGAATGTGCTTAAGACCTGCACTTATCTAGGTAAGGAAACAATACTTCTATTTCATTTTCATCTCTTCCACATCTCTTGGCAGCTGATCTGGACTCAATTTTGAGCTCTAGATCAGTCGTACTGTCAGAAAGAATTTTGTGGCTGGCATAAGTCTTTGGCAATAACAAAAATGAGGAAATGTTATAGCTTGCCACTTACTTTCTGATATGGTTTGGCTGTGTCCCACCCAAATCTCATCTTGAATTGTGGCTCCCATAATTCCCATGTGTTGTGGGAGGGACCCAGTGGGAGATAATTGAATTGTGGGGTCAGTTCCCCCATACTGTTCTCATGGTAGTGAATAAGTCTCACAAGATCTGATGGTTTGATAAGGGGAAACTCCTTTCACTTGGCTCTCATTCTTTCTTGGCTGCTGCAATGTAAGACATGCCTTT
Organism: Homo sapiens; assembly: GCF_000001405.40. Lineage (NCBI taxonomy): Eukaryota > Metazoa > Chordata > Mammalia > Primates > Hominidae > Homo > Homo sapiens. Next base: position 137,632,702 of record NC_000006.12, on the reverse strand, counting down.
CACCTTCCACCATGATTGTGAGGCCTCCCCAGCCATACGGAACTGTGAATCCATTACCTCTTCTCTTTATAAATTATCCTGTCTCGGGTATGTCTTTATCAGCAGTATGAAAATGGACTAATATACTTTCCAATGAATGGTTACGTGTTTGGTCAGCTTGTTTCATCCAATTCTCAGGACTTGATCTACGAAAAGGAAAGCCAAAGACATAATAGAGCAGGTGTCCTGCTGGGAGAAGGAGCGGGAAGAGCTCTGCCATGGAGCAGATATGAATCAGGGAGGACTAAATTCCCAGTCTCCCTTGACTCTTTCTCACTTGGCCGGTGAATTAGTGGAAAAAGATAGAAAGACACAGGAAGAAACCAAGTACTTCCTAAGGCATCCCTGGCCTAGGCTGTGTTGGTCTGTGTTGCTCTGTCAGATCAGCAGGGGCATCAGATTCTCACAGGAGCATGAGCCCTACAGTGAACTGCATGTGAGGGATCTAGGTTGCCAACTCTTTATAAGAATCTAGTGCCTGATGATCTGAGGTGGAACAGTTTCATCCTGAAACCATCCCCCGCCACCCTCCATCCATGGAAATTTGTCTTCCATGAAACCAGCCCAGTTGGTTTCTATTACAGAGTTTAAGAGTAATCTAGGCAAGGGCCAAAGTTAGCACATTTCAGAAATGGTATTAAGACCTGCACTGTATCTGGGTGAGGAAACAATACTTATGTTTTATTTTCAGAGTCCCCTCTGATTCAGAGCAGACTAGGGGAGGAGTGGGAGCAGAGCTGAAAGTGAACTTGCAGTAGACCACCATACACTTCAAGGAGAATTGACTTTTTCCCTAACAGAAAAAGGGAAAGTTTCATGCTTTAAACTGTAGAGTACATGCCTGTGTGTCTTTTATTTTTCACTTATGTTTAATTAGATCTGAGAACAGGCTTACTGCTAAAGCTTAAATAATTAACTAGCATTTATTTGTAAAAGATAGATGGCCATAACATCATCTAGCAAAGTGGAGAAAATATAACTGGATTCTGTCTCTATCAAGAACATCCAGAAAGAGAGAGAGGTAACCTGGAAACTCTGTCAGAGGATAGTTCTTAGTCAAGGTAATCGCACAATACAACCTCTGCTTTACCATATAAGGAAATTAAACTTCTGGCTCCAGTTGCTGCCAGAAGTACTGACTATGGTAACTCCTGCTGTACAGCTCTGGCTCATCAGACCCTGCAACTCCAGCTTCCTTCCAGCCCTAAGGTGGTAGCAGCTTGCTGCTATTGTATTGCTAAGCACTGGGTTGTTTCTCGCTGCTCCTTATTTGGCTTCTCAGCTTTCCCATTATTGGTGAAACCAATTCCCTGTAACAAACTTTCTCATTGTGAAATATCTATGATGGTTTCTGGTTTTGTTTTTGTTTTCTTCCCAGTGGGTATCTGAATGCTATAGAGAGAATAAGAGAACTCTATACACACTTTAGAAATGAGAAAGAGAAAGTCCTATTTCTATCTTCCTATTTTAACATTGTTTAGGCTATTATTTCGTTATTTTGTGTCTTTCTTAATAGGTAGCTTTATGAAGCAAGCAATACATCAGCAAACAGATCTTGAGCACTTCCTTTCTATAGTGTACTTTAGTCATCTCTAAAAAATAATCTGATAGAACTGTTGCTTTCAGCTCACTATCACAGCAAACAATTGCAGCTCACCCTGATAAAGATAGCTGCAAATGGAATTTCCTGGACTCCACCTGTCTTCTGAGGCTTTCAGCTGTCTATGCCATATCCTCTCACATCCAGACACAAGAGTAGAGGCTGGAGCATTGTCACAGCACCTTAGGACCTTCCACGTCCTGCCTAAGTATTTCACTGACCACTGTGAGCCCAGGAATTGCCAAGGGAGCAAGTCCAACCACAGCTGCAGCAGAGTGCACTGACAGGGCAGGCCCATAATGGGCACTTGCCCATCTGTTGTGCAGTTAGTTTTTGGCCTTTTTAATAGAGTAGTGTTAGAAACATTGTAACAACTGAACATCCACACCTAAGGGGTCAGAGATGGCCTCATTAATAGGGGACCCTAAGGCAGCCCTTACTTGAAACTCTCCAAGAGAGATATACGTGTATTTTCTGTCCTTCAGAAAATGCAATTTTTTTCTGGACACATTTCTAATGATTTCACTTAATAACCACGTTTTATGTAGCTTTGAATTACTAGAGCTATCTAGTTATTATGAACCACAGGATACGATGTCAGAATCTCAAAGCACAAGAGAAATAGGACTAACTAACTTATACAAAGTAATTTGGAATTTGCAAAGTACTTTCACACTCATTAGCTCAATTTTTTTTTTTGAGATGTAGCCTTGCTCTGTTGCCCAGGCTGGTGTGCAGTGGTGCGGTCTCAGCTCACTGCAGCCTCTGCCTCCCGGGTTCAAGTGATTCTCCTGCCTAGCCTCCCGAGTAGCTGGGACTACAGGTGTGCACTGCCGTGCCTGGATACATTTGCTTTTGTAATTTTGGTAGAGACAGGGTTTCACCATGTTGGCCAGGCTGGTCTCAAACTCCTGACCCCAAGTGATCTGCCCGCCTCAGCCTCCCAAAGTGCTAGGCATAAGGTACCGCACCTGGCCCATTAGCTCAATCTCGCTGATGGTTTTGGACATTGTTCTGGCAAAAAAAGATGAGGCCTAGAAGTGCTACCTCAAACAAATGATTTCAGAATTAAAATGAGGCAATATTTTAAGTACTTTCTACTCCTGCATGGGCAAAGTCATTTTTTTTGATACAAATATTTTCTGTCTTTTGGAGAACCCTCTATAGCAGTGGCTCCCAACCTTTTTGGCACCAGGGAGTAGTATCGTGGAAGACAATTTTTCCGTGGAAGTGGGTTTGGGGAGGGGATGGTTTTGGGGTGAAACTGTTCCCACCTCAGATCGCCAGGCACTAGATTCTTATAAGTAGCCGGCAACCTAGATCCGCCGTTCACAATAGGGTTCATGCTCCTATGAGAATCCAATGGCCCCACTGATCTGACTGGAGGCGTGGAGCACAGGCGGTAATGCTCACCCACCCACGGCTCACCTCTTGCTGTGAGGCCTGTTCCTGACAGGCCACAGACCAGTATGGATCCATGGTCCCGGGGGTTGAGGACCCTTGCTCTGTAGCATACATTTGAGATCTCGTCTTATTCTAATTGTTGCAAGCAATACAACATCAGAATTTCTGGTTATGGAGTCTTGGGCCTCTTTTTACTGATTTGGAAGGAAATTTTCAAAATTTGCCTAGTTAAGCAGTTGACTCCTTTTGCTTTAGTGAGCTCAGTCTTATTATATCCAGTGTTCTTGCTATATCTCTTGATAATGAGGCTTTATACATATATATATATACACACACACACACAATCATACATACGTGTATAATGATACCTGTATATATGTATAATAATAATGAAGCTTTGTATATAAAGCCTTATCATATAAAGCCTGTGTGTGTGTATATATGTGTGTGTATATATATATATACACACATACACATACATATATATATATACACATACACATACATATATATATACACACATACTGACAGGCCACAGACCATATATATATATGTGTGTGTGTGTGTATATATGTGTGTGTGTATATATATATATATACACATACACATACATATATATATACACATACACATACATATATATACACACACATACTGACAGGCCACAGACCATATATGTATATGTGTGTGTATATAATGTGTACACACACACGTACACATTACTATATATATATAGTGACAGTGTAATTTATTTATAGAGACATTTAAACTCCATGACATGGACAAGCCCAAAGCTATGGTTCTCTCTACAATGAGCCTATTTACATTTTCCTTATACAAGAGAAACTTTCTAAAGATCTTCTTTACTTTTTTTTTTTTTTGAGGCGGAGTCTCACTCTATTGCCCAGGCTGGAGTACAGTGGCGCAGTCTTGGCTCACTGCAAGCTCCGCCTCCCGGGTTCACACCATTCTCCTGCCTCAGCCTCCCAAGTAGCTGGGACTACAGGTGCCCGCCACCACGCCCGGTTAATTTTTTTTGTATTTTTAGTAGAGACGGGGTTTCACCGTATTAGCCAGGATGGTCTCGATCTCCTGACCTCATGATCCGCGCGCCTCGGCCTCCCAAAGTGCTGGGATTACAGGCATGAGCCACCGCGCCTGGCTGACCTTCTTTACTCTTAATCCTAGGACCATACCTAGTGTAAAATTTTTTTAATTAGAGAAAATCCTGAAATTTTCAAAAATGTAAAAACAAATCTAAAGCTTTAGGTCTGCCTAATCCAAAATGAATTCCACTTTAACATGTGCCATTTCATGGAAAAATAACTGGGTCCTTTTTATTTTAGACATAAGCAAGTATCTTTCTAGAGTTAGGAACTCAAAATAATGGCAGTAAAACGCATTTATTCAGATTCTTACTGAATAGCTACTATTCCCAACATTATGCTGGGGTGACAATATGAAAGAAGGCACAGTCCCTCGTAGTGTTTGGTCTAGTGGAAGAGGAAGATGATTGAGCTCTTCACTTGTAACAGAATAGACTCCTGCCAAAACTCTAGAGCCTAGGGGCAGGACAAACTATGGATTTTTCATGCAATAATAATAATAATACTCTATATTACTATATAAATACATATATATCCATACATACATTAGTATACTATACTTGACATTACTACATATGCATATATATCCTTGTATATACTCTAACATTACTATATATACATACACAAATAAAACTATATATACATATATAAAGATACATATATACACACATTAGTATACCATATTTGACATTACTACATAGTCACATATTTTCTTACATATACTGTAACATTACTATGTATACATATATAAGGATATACATGTCTACATACATGTATAAGAATATATATGTATATGTAGTAATGACAAGTATAGTATACTAATGTGTGCACATATGTATATGTATTTACATAGTAATATCAAGTATTATTATTATTGCATGAAAAATCTATAACTTGTATGCAGATATATTTCTATGTGTCTGTATAGACACATATCTGTGTGTATATGTGTGTGTGTATGTGTATGTGTGTGTGTGTGTTTGTGTATGTGTATATATAAAAAATATATATATATAGTTATCTTTTCCTCGATTTCTAATACATAACTTGGCATAGGGCAAAATCTCAATAAATATTTCCTGAGTTAATAAGCTAAAGAAATGTTATTTGATTTGAAGACTAAAAGAATCCCTAGCACATGAAGGGCTTTAAAATAAAAGAGAGGGAGAGTCTGGGTCTCACTCTATTTGTCGTTTAGGACTCAAATCTTTGGATGCCTTCTAATATATTGCCCATGGGGTATCATCTTTATGATGCGGATCTTACTCCTTAGCTTCTTCCTTTCAATTCAGTTTAGGAAATATCTTTTGAATAACTACTGTGTGCTAGACAATGATAAGTACTGAGATATAAAAATGGTTTCAGTAAGGAGGAAACTCAAATATAATGTGGAAATAAAAGTATGTGACCCTAAGGATGCAGATTGTATTTTGTTCATCTTTTTATCTCCAATGCCATGGCAGATAGCTGGTTGAAGGTTGTCAGATGAATGGATACATGGATAGAGGAATTAAGACTTAAAAGACAGCAGTAATAAGGGAATAATTCTCATTTGATTTATGTGTGAGGGAGAAAGGGCTTAGTCTTGAAAGACTGCAAATTGGAGATGACAGTTGAACTTGGGTTTGAAGATGAGAAGAAGCTCTTAAGGTAGAGAAGGGGAGATGAATAGCATAGTCAAGAGGAGGCAGAGCGAATAGACATGGGAGAGTGAAAGAACACAGCTCCCCGTGGCTCCCTTGGGGAAGCTGGGGACAAACTGGCTGTGCTAGTGGAGAAGAAATGATTTCTCATTGTTACAGTATTCTTTCACCATGGAGGACCAGAAGGCTAGTCTTGTTTCAGCTCTCAAGATAGGGTAATTTCTCCCCGCTCCCCTGCTTTTTAAAATTTCCTTAGCTTACTTGGTTCTCAGTTTTGGAGAAAAGTGAAGTAAGAAATGTGGGAAACAGGACAGATGAGGAAACTGATGTTAAGTGGCTCATCCAGGATCACCTTAGTAACTTCATTCCCTGCCTTGCCTGCTTCAGCCTGATGTGTGTCCCTGGAAATTTGTAACTGATTCTTTGGATTGTTGCCAGAGTTTGAAAATAATATTAGGTTGGTGCAAAAGTAATTGCGGTTTTTACTTTTCACCAACATATACAACTCAGCAATCCCAGATGGACTCCAAAAGGACTGTATCAAATCAAGTTGCTAGACTATCAAAAAATTCCTGTTCTTCCCTAAATTATTTGTAGCTCAATCCAAAAGAAACCAAAAGAAAGACATCCAAGTGCCATCCAGACTCGCTTTCCAATGGGCCAGACCATTTCTGAACAGTTCCTTCCATCCTGCCAGTTGCCACTTCCTAACGAGCATCAGGTTAACATTTTTAAGAGAAAGAATAATTTCGCTAGGAATACAGCTGTGAGGAAAAGATATTCCACCTTCTAATAAAATAGTAATGCTGCAAGCTCAGCGGCTCATAAAACATTTATAACCTTCAGCCAGTAAAGAGAGAACAAGAGATTTAAATGTTGCTGCTTGATGCTTGGCATAAACTCCACGCAAAAACACGTGTGCTGCAGCAGGGTCCAGGGAAACAGGTCCCCTTGTGGCTGCGGGTGGCAGTCTGTTTTTCAGTTACTCTCCTGGTTCTTTTTCATATCCACCTGCTTTCGTTTCATAATCCCCTCCTTTTTTTTTTTTTATTACTTTGGAGTTTTTTTTTTCTTCAGCATCTCAGGGTTTGTGCTAATTGGGGTATGAACAACATAGCTTGTTTTTCAGATTGCTGTATTATTTCTACTTTCGAGAAATGAATTCCCTGATGTGTTGAGTAGTTTGGCTAGCATGTATGACATAAGTTTCTTTTCCGTGTTTTACAATTGTAATTGCAATATCATTTTGAGCACAAATTTCCTTTTGTTAGTGTTTTTTGCCCCTCTTCTCTTGCTGGCAGCGGCCCTCATCCAGCCTGGGTCACCATTCAGAACCAAGTTTCGTGTGGGCAGTTTGGGGTTCATGTACCTGGGAAAATTGCTGATCCAGCCTCTCGGCCAGTGTGTGCTACTGGGTGCAGGCTCTGACGGAGGAACCCCAGCTTCTCTCTCCTGCCACCCTAGGCAGTCGCTGGTTATTGGGCACAGCCCCAGGCTAGAGCTGCAGTTTTTCTAGGGCCTGTTCCTTAAAAAAGCACCTTGTCCTGGCCCTTTGTGTCAAACAGCCAGTCCAACCCTGAGGCCAGCACTGGAAGCCTCGGGGCCTGTTCCACCGAGCCCACTAACTCCTGGTACCCGCAGATGGTTTCTATTCTCAAGTCCAGAAAGCTGAGCCTCTGCCATCCCTCATGGTTCTGTTTCTAGACCATACAGATGTTCTCTTCTTTTTGAGAGTTTTTATGTATTTTTAATTTTTAAAAAATTTACTTTAAAAAAAAAAAAAGAGAGACAGGATCTCAGTCTGTTGCCCAGACTGGAGTGCAGTGGCACGATCATAGCTCACTGTAACTTCGAAATCCTAGGCTCAAGCAATCTTCCTGCCTCAGCTTCCCAAGTAGCTGGGAATACAGGTGTGTGCCACTATGCTTGGTTAATTTTGTTATTTTTTGTAGAGATGAGTTCTCCCTATGTTGTCCAGGCTGATCTTGAATGCCTGGGCTCAAGTAATCCTCCTGCCTTGGCCTCCCAAAGTGCTGGGATTACAGGCATGACTCACTGCACCCAGCCAAAAAATTTACTTATTATCTTCTCTGCTTGAAGAGAAAGGGGTGTGAATTTCCACACGTATTCATTCAATCAACTTAAGCAGGAATTGTGAGACCTATCTAATCTCCCTTCCAGATTTTAAATTCTTTAATAATAGTGTTATATATTATTTGACTTTATATCCTTCCTAATAGCACACACTTAAAAATGTTTATTGAATGAATAAAAAATGAATAAATGAATGCAGGCCCAATTCCATTCCTTATTTGAGACGCTTTTTAATTTCCTCACTCAGTTCTGATGATGTCACTCCAAGAGGTCAGGCAGCTGCTTGCTCCTCCCAACCCAAATCAGTGATGGCTCAACTTATCTTACAAGAGTCTTGGCTCCAGGTGCTGCTTCATATCATGTATTCAGAACTGTTTGAATTATTATTGTTTTATTCTAAAAGTAATATGTAATTCTAAGAGGATATATAATGGAGACCTGCACTGCAATCGAGTCAAACATAATACATTTTTCTTATTGAAAATAATAATATGCAATAGTGGTAGAAAATGTATTCAGTACACACAAGCAAACTAAAGAAAAAAACCATTCCACCATGCTACTCATTAACATTTGGTGTGTACCTGTCCTTCCTTTCTCTCCCACTGTAATATGCCCATGCTAATAAAGGGGCGTTCCTTGTTTGCCACTTGGCTCACTTACTAGCGTTCTGTTCTTGCAGTGAATTAGGGATGTTCTCTTTCAGTGTTGATGTGGCCATCAGATGTGGCTTTCAGCTCCCAGAGATGCAAACGTGGCTGTATTCTAGTATTTTTGTATTTTTATTATTTTTACTCTGAGGTGGATGTTAGGAAGTGAGCATATTCTGATAGCATGAAATGTGGAGACGTTTTTGCTGGTTTTGCTGCCGGCGTTGCTGAAGCAGCTGACTGTGATGAATACGCAGATAAATAAGTTTCTGCTCAGGAGACAGACATTTTGTGCTTGCCTGGTGGCAGGAGGCCTGGATTCTATATTCTTTTGGTCTCTGCTTTCCTCTGTCTGGTGCTTCCCTTTGGTCAAACCCCTTTTGCTACCGGTGGAGGTTATCCAGGTTATTGGTGTCTTGAACAAAGACTTAGATAAGACACACAAACAAAGCAAGGAAAGAATGAAGCAACAAAAGCAGAGATTTATTGAAAACGACAATACACCCCACAGAGTGGGACTGAGCTGAGCATAGGGGCTCAAGAGCCCAGTTACAGAATTTTCTGGATTTTAAATACCCTCTAGAGGTTTCTCATTGGCTACTTCGTATACACTCCATGCAAATGAAGTAGTGGACTGCAATTAGTCTGAATGGTTGCAGGAAGCAAGTTTTCCTGCAGAAAGCAACCAATCAGAGGCTGAAGTGAAGTTACAGAGTTACACTCCTATGCAAATTGCTTTCTGCAACCAATCAGAGGTACTTTCAATTTTCCATCTGCCACGCAGAAAAAAGGTGGGGGTTGCAAAGGGGGTAGCCTCTGGTCGTTTTGTTACTTAGGTGTGGATAGTTGGGTTTGTCCTTTTGATTTAGTTCTAGGAAGTCAGCATGAATCGTCCTTAGGCTCCCTGCCTCCATACCCTATTCTCCTGCCTCACTTCCATAAAACAAAAATGGCCATGTGTGGCTGACAAGATGCTGCTTAAATCCAGGCCATTTTATACATGAAAATGGCGAGGAGCCTCTGGGTTGCTGTTCAGGATGAAGGTTAAAAATAAAACCGAGAACCCCAAGTCCAAATTCCTGGTGCTTTCCAAGCTGTTCTAAAAAGGGGCATTTCCTCTCCTTCAGGACACTGGGGTTGCAGTGGGCTTCCAGCAGCTTCAGTTCCCAGCAGGGTGATGAGGAAGAGCACAGAGAGTAAGACCAGAGGCAGGATCAGAAGGACAGCAGTGCATGGAGGAATCCAGGAGAGCTGGATACCCACACATGACCTGAAGAAGGGCGTGAACAGACAATGATGCTCTATACCCTGAGACTGTTCTTACCATCCGACTGTAAACATGTGAGAAGTAAAAATGACAAATGCAGATTTTAAAATGCAAAAAAAAATATCATGAGGGAAGAGGCATAGGTGAGGTATAAGCCATCTGGTACTGAGAAAGTCCTGGAAAGGTGGTACAATTAAATTAAGAATCTAAGTATTCTGCAAGTCAGAGAATAATAAACAAGAAATGTTTTGGTTCCTGAAGGACGAAAGGTCAGGGGGACATGATAGAATGTGAAGTGAAGTGAAGTGTGAATAAAGCCACATAGCTCTTGCTGAGAAGTATCAAGAAAGATGAGTTTATAGTCTTTTTAAGAGCAGCAAGGGAAGAGGAATGAGAAATATGGGAAATGGAGCTACTTCAAATTCAGGACTAAGTTCATACTTTCCTAGGATGAACATCATTCATTACAATGCCCATGCAGGTTTTAAATAGTGAGGTGTTTATTGGGCACTTACTCTGTTAAGAGCTATTTTGATCATTTGAGGTCTGACTGAAAAAAACAAAACAAAAAAACCAAGTTTCTGTTTTCAAGGAACCCAAAATCTGGTTGGAAAAATGCAACACAAACAGTACAATAGTATAGCATTAGTTTGGTGGTGTGGATGACAGAGTATATGAATGCTCTGTCATTCTTTTCTAATATGCAAGAAATGTACAATGTTGGGAGAAGATCATATGCAGCGGTTGTGGGAATGAGCAGGGCAGGCATGGCGAAGGAGGTGGGACTTGATTAGAATAAAAAGAAAAGGAGGGCCGGGCGCTTTGGCTCCCGCCTGTAATCCCAGCACTTTGAGAGACCAAGGCAGGCAGATCTGGAGGTCGGGAGATCCAGACCATCCTGGCTAACACGGTGAAACCCCGTCTCTACTAAAAACACAAAAAACTTATCCAGGCGTGGTGGTGGGAGACTGTAGTCCCAGCTACTTGGGAGGCTGAGGCAGGAGAATGGCGTGAACCCAGGAGGCGGAGCTTGCAGTGAGCGGAGATCACACCGCAGCACTCCAGCCTGGGTGAGACAGCAAGACTCCGTCTCAAAAAAAAAAAAAAAAGAAAAGGAGAAGTGAGACTATAGCTTAAGAAAGCTTGCACCCCCAAGGCCAAGGTTAACACTGTGTCTAGCATTTTACAGGGGAGCAATAATGTTTGTTCATAAAAGGATAGCAGATGGATGGTGTCAGGGCATCACTTGCTCACAGAACAGTGAGAGACTAAACCTAGGAACATCACAAAGTGGGGAGGCAGATTATGGAGGGTCTCATACACAGGAAGAGAGGAGGGCTTAGATTGGATGGGGTAGGAAACAGAATTCTACTAAATGATTTTTATTTTGTGTTTTTAATTAACATGCTAAAAAATTGACATTTTGTGTTTGTGTGGTTCTACGAATTTTAACACGTGCATTCTTCGTATCTAATACCACGAATGGATACATAACAATTCCATCACTCCAAAAATCCTCCCTGTGCTATCCCTTCGTAGTCACAACTTTCTCCCATCTCTAACCTCTGGCAACCACTGATATGTTCTCCCTCACTGTAGCTTGTCTTTTTGAGAGTGTCATGTAAATGGAATTCTACTGTACGGAACCTTTCGAGGCTGATTTCTTTCACTCAACTTAAAGATTTTGAGAGTCTTCGAAGTTGTTACCAACCGTCTATTCCTGGACAAGCAGGATTCCATCATACTCACCCATTAATTAGGCTGTTTGGGTTAGTTCCAGTTTTTGGTGATTATAGATAGAGCTACTGTAAACATCTGTATACAAATGTTTATGTTCTCTAGGGTATATACCCAGGAGTGAGATTTGTGGGTCGTATGGTAAGTGTATATTTAACTTTGTAAGAAACTGCCAAACATGTTCAGAGTGGCTATACCACTTTGCATTCCCACCAAAAATGTGTGAGAATTCCAGTTGCTCTATGTTTTCATCAAAACTTGGTATTGCTATTATTTTTTATTTTAGCCATGAAAAAGTATATAATTGTATCTTATTGTGGTTTTAATTTGCATTTACCATGGGCTAATCAGGTTGAACATTTTTTCATATGTTCATTTGCTTCCATATAATCTCTTTAGTGAAGTGTCTGTTCAAGTATTTTGCTTATTTTTATAATAGGTAATTTGTTTTCTTACTGATGAGTCTTGAGAGTTCAGCGTATACTCCGGATACAATTCATTTGTTAGATGAGTGATTTGCAAATGTTTTCTCCTGGTTTGTAGTTTATCTTTCCTGAAGCAAGTTTCAAATTTTGATGGAGTTCAACTTATCAATTTTTCATTTTATGGATCGTGTTGTGGGTGTCATATCTGAGAATTATTTGCCCAACCCCAGGTCTTGAAGATTTCTACTCATGTTTTCTTCTAATAGTCTTATAGTTTTTCATTTTCTATTTAGAACTATTATTCATTTTGAGTTAATCTTTGTATAAGGAATGAGGAATAAGTCAAGGCTAATTTCTTTTGGCCTATGGATGTCCAATTATTTTAACACTATTTATTGAAATACTATTCTCCATTAAATTTCCTTTGTATCTTTGTCAAAAACCAGTTGGTCATATTTATATGGGGAACCTAGTTTTAAATTCTCTATTCTGTTCTATTAATCTACATATCTGTTTGTTTTCAATACCACAATGTGTTGATAATTGCTTAAAATTGCATAGTGTGTGTGGTTCCTCTAACTTTATTCTGTTTTCAAAAGTGTTTGAACTTTTCTGATTCTTTGCCTTTCTTTCCATGTAATGTTAGTGTTCGCTTATCTAAATCTTCAAAAATCCTGTTAAGAATTTGCCTGGAGTTGCTTTAAATCTGCAGATTGATCTGGGAAATATTGATACCTTTACTCTCACCTAGTTTTTTCATTAAAAAGAGTGATGTAATCGCTTTTTATATCTGAGAACTTCATTTGCTTTGGGAGGATAGTTGAAGGCCATTTTTATACTTTTCCTACTATTCCCAGCTTAAAGAACTTCTGAGCCCACAAACCACTCACTTTGTTCTCTGCTCCATTAGGAATGAAAGACTCAGCTTTTCTTCTGTCCAGGTCCACACTGGGTGTGGCAGCTCAGAGTATGGCACAGGAGTTGCCACCAGCCTATGTATGCAACAGCCCAGGCCACACAGTAAAACTGGGTCAGGTGAAGAGAGGTAATCGGGTGTTTAACAGCGTCCAGATAAAGATCTTTGGAGACGGTGTAGTAAAAAAGTTCAGTCTGGTTATTTGGTGACCATATTCTAAAACAATAAACATCCTATATGAATTCATGTGAATTTCTGAACAAGAGTAGGACCCTAACTTGTCTTTGAGGCAAAAATTGGAAACTACATTGAAAAGCTCGGAAAAACTCGGGTTTCATGTGGCTCATTTTCCTCATCTATAAAATTCAGTCCTTCCAGAAAATACCAAAACACAACAATAAGTCTAGTGAGTCTAATATGCAAGAAATGTACAATAATTTGTGAATGAATCCTAACCTTAAAAACTACAGAGAAAATGGTTATCCCACAGAACACAGAGGCTGTGGCTTTACTAAGATCAAATAGCCAAATAATTCAATGACAGAAAAAGCATACATACAAATAAGCATATGCTTATTTAAAATTCGAGTCATTTTGCACATAAATCTGCACAAATTCATAAAGATGTCCTGGATTTACTCATACAAACCCTATTTTGAGTGGACCGAGTCATTCTCACTCCTTAACATGCCCTTTACCATCCTTCCCATTTTAAAACAAGACCATTGAGCAAGTTCTGACTACAAGCAGCAAAGCAGTGCTCACTCAGGACGGCCTTGCTATGCTGTATGAAAATGGAGTAATATGAAAGTATAAATTGTCTAGGAAGTAGATTTAACCAGGCTGCTTCTCGAATGCTGAGATGAGATTTGAAAGCTCAGCCCACACAGTACACAGTAGGTCAATGAAGAGTAAGAAGGAGGGTATGAAAATGAGGAAGATTGCTCCAGAGTTGTTACAGCACGTGTGTGTGTGTGGTGTGTGTGTGTGTGTGTGTGTGTGTGTGTGTGTTTGTGTGTGTGTGTGTTGGGGGTGGGGGGTGTTGATAATAACAATGAAAGCCCTGTGTCCCTCCCTGAAAGAGAGCATGAAGGCAAAGCTGGGAAGAGGCTCCAGTTCTCCGAGGGTTACTAGAGATGTCTTACAGTAATGGAGAATGAAGTACACATTTCCTTCATACCTATGGTTGGACCACTTCTTCCAAGTAGGACAAGTTTTGAAGTTTTCCTTGAATGCATATCTTTCTTTTCTTAGTGTTCTTTTACCCTAGGAATTTTCAAACCTCTGTGCACTTTTGTTGGTGGTGGTGTTTGCTTTTATTTTTTTTTAACCCCCTCTAAGTAGTTACACACTGTTTCCAAAATGAAACCTCCTATGGAACCCTGCACCTAGAGAAGACATGGCAACAACATAATTCTGGTGCCCAGTCACCTGGCACAGTCACCAGAGTCCTTGCCTGCAGAGCTCCAAGGTCCAAAACAGCAAGCCCGGTTCATGATTGCCACCAATGCACCTCCCAGTGCTCCATGCCATCCTTCAAGGCCTGCCCCTGTAACTGGTAAAAGGTAAGACCAGGTCAATCAATCCAATATCCTAGCCCATGGTAACATATGAGCTTATCAATGTGTGATTTCCCTTAGATTATATAATGTTTATTCTGTCTTAAATGGCCACCATCTAGGCCCTGACCTATCTCTCCAAGTGGAGGCCAGTGAAGAAGGTATTCCTAGAAGTGAGGGGTTGATCCTGCCTATCGCATCTTCCAAGTGTCTCACACTCTACCCAGTGGGACTCCAGGTTGACTCTAAGACACTGATTCCTACCTCATGATATGAAAGTCTAAAGATATAAATGCTACATTAATGATTTCCCCTGAAAAATACTTATATAAGACTTACAGAAAAAGCCTTACAAGACTAAGGAAATACTTATACAAATTTTGAAAATGCCAACCCTGCATTTTAAAAAACTGAACATCTGGGGCACAGTGGCTCATGCCTGCAATCCCAGTACTTTGGGAGGCTGAGGCAGGTCAATCATTTGAAGTCAGGAGTTTGGGACCAGCCTAACATGGTGAAACCCTGTCTCCACCAAAACAAAAACCAGCCAGGTGTGGTGATGTGCACCTGTAGTCCCAGCTACTCAGGAGGCTGAGGCATGAGAATCTCTTGAACCCTGGAGGTGGAAGTTGCAGTGAGTCAAGATCGTGCCACTGCACTCCAGCCTGGGCGACAGAGTGAGACCCTGTCTCAAAAAAATAAACAAATACAACAATAAATAAATAAATAAATGAACATCTGGCAAATACAGAGAGAGAGAGACTTGTAGAGCTGTAAATATAATAAAAATATATAAGGTAACTTTTGAAGTATTCTATTTGCTGTATACAAAAAGGCAGATTATTGGGATTAAATTCAAACTCCTCTGCCTATTTGTTGTCTATGTAACTGTTTTGAGCCTCAGTTCCTTATCCGCAGAATGGGGACACTAATATCTTCCTCAGAGAGTGTAATTTCATTCATAAAGCATCTGGTTCTGTGTTGAATCCACACAAGCACTTGGTATGTGATCATTCATCATTTGCTACTGTCATGAATAGATTCTCCTTTTTGACTTCAGATTTTCAACAGTTCCTGGCGGGGGACAAGGGGGGCATGAGTTTCAGGGCTTAATGTCAAATGCAATTGCTGTACTGCCTGAAAATGGCAGCAGCAAGCTTGTACCTAAGAAGATCAAGTTAATTTATAAACTGCCAGCAGAATTGGGGGTAATCTCTTACTCTGTCATCCAAACTGGGACACTGCTAAACATGCAAGACACTGAAAAATTATGCTGGGAGAACAGGGAGAAGCCAAAACTATTCTAGGCAAACTAGGACACATGATCACTCTACCTCAATTGAATTTTTTTGAGTTTAGATTACTAGCATAACCAGTAAGAGAAGAAAGAGAAGACCAACATTTCTAAAGCACTTAGAAAGTACCCAGCAGTACAATCAATATGCAAATCCATTTCATCTTTGCCACAAATCTGAGAGGTAGTTATCCTATTCCAGTTTAACAGATAAGGAAATGGATGCTCGAAGTAGTAATTTACCAAATGTCATGCGAACAGTAGAGCACAGATTTGAACTGTGGTCTGCCTGACTACAAAATCCCTGCACTTGTTCCTCACTGTATCAGTGATTTCCCAAACAAGTTCTAGCAGAAGTATACTTCCTTTCTAGTAAAATAATTAAAACAGAGAGAACCAAGGAAGCCCAGATGAAAGCTGGAGTATGAGGCCTGAGGCAGTGCCTGTGGGGCACCACCCTGTTCTCTGCAGAAACCCGTGAGACATTCACTAGAGTCCCAGAGCCCTAGGGATCATAGTTCAAAACTCATCTGTAGTTTCCAGCCCAACCTTCAAAAGACCCAGGGGTGAGGAGGGGTAGTCGAGATGGGACTAGTCTTGCTTCCAGCAGCACAAGGACAAACTGGTATCAGGGCATCTGTATTCAGGGCTTAGCAAGGCCTTCAAAATCTATTTCACGTGAGGGCATCTGGGAATGAAAGCAAGAATCCTAATTCTTCCATAGTCCAAAAGAGCATGATATGAGGAGGAGGACTGAATGTATCAAATTTCGTGCACCTGAGAAAAAACAGCAAAAGATTTTAAAGCAAAAGTGTGATGGAGACAGTGAATGTGCTGCCTTCCTAGAGCATGCATGGTTTATGGAGCTGAATGGCGTGCCGACTCACTGATGACAAAAGCACTGCTAGAAACCTCCCTGAAGGTGCTGCAGGCAGAAATTTGCCCAACTAAGCTCACCCAGGAACACCAGATCTCCAGGAATCAGACATTCACATTCAAAGTTCTATGAATAGAATATCAGCGCAAAGAAATCACAATGAGCTTTTAGGTGGCCACAGAGAGATTGGGTGGACAAAGTCCTTCTTTAACCCTACTGGCAATATACTCAATTGGCATGATTTTTGGAAAGCAAAAAGTCATCAATTCTGACAAGTGTCATACTATTTGACCTTTAAAAGTTTTAATAACATGCAATGAAATTATGAAAGTACATTGTGAAAACATGCTGAATGGAAATGTCAGCTTCGAAGTTAATCTCGTAGGCCTTTAAAATGCTTAAGATTTCACTTAATATTGTGTTAATATGAGGTTGACATCTTATATGGAACAAACATCAAGCACAAGCTTACTCAATTGTCTTAGTAACTCCCATCATCCAAATGCTCTGGTTCTAGCCTCTATCTCCTCATGTAAAGAAATAATAAGGGCAATCATGAATACCTTTCTAATCTGAATAGCAGAGAAACAACATTGTCTGATTTAAGGTAAAACAGAAATGGGGGCTATAGGCATCAAGTCTGTCATAAACCTATTGTGGGGCCTTGAGGGAGACAAAAAGAGTTTGGCCTTTGTTTTTGCAACAGGGATAAAACTCACAATATTTATGAGGAACAGCTAGTAAAGGCAGAAAGGGCTATAGTTTTGAGGAAAAAGTAAATGTTCAAACCATAACCTTGTTTGGTCTTAATTTGTGTTAACGGGGCCAAAGCAAGGTGTTTTTGTTTGCTTTGTTATTGTTTTAAATGACCAAGTTGCAAGAATAGTAAATCTACCCCAATTTTATCATGACAAAGTATAGCTACAAAAACAGCCTTCTGAGTTGCATAAAAAAAGAGTGTGTATTCGCTGTTTCAATAGCAAAGACTACCTGTAATTATTTCCTCAGTGGGGCTGCATAAAACTTGTATTCCATTTAATCTTATACTAAACAATTTCTATATTTCATGTCATAGATTAGAATGAAAATGGAGATAGTTCGTCAACACTGATCTGTGATATAAAAAAGAACAGCGAAGCGGAGGGTATGAGAGTGCATAAAAATGTTTTGTGTTCTGACCAGTACATTGCTTTAAAAAAAATTTTACAGTCAGGCCCAATTGTTCATTCTCACCATGCAGAAGATACTCACATATTCATTTTTAAAAGGGCAAATCAACCATAATTCAGTTTATAAACTGTGAAGCTGGTTGCGAATGTCTGGATGAATATTCATTAGAATCTCTTAATCTGCCATCGACTGTGATTCATTAGGCATATGTAAATATCACTCACTTTAATTGCCCCTAAACTGACTTAACATAATATTGTCATTAGCAAATTATTAGTTATTTGTGTAACTAATGGTACATTATGGTGTGCACATTAAATCTCCAAATATATGATTACAATTATGATGGTGTTTTATGCTGGGGGTTTTCTAAACTATTTTATGAAATATAATGGAGTCAAATCAAATCTGGTATGTTAATAGGACAGTTGTGCAACTTTTTTCTGTACCTTGGTGCTGTTATCATATCCCAGCTCCTCACTCTCCCTGACATTTGACTTGCTCTAGGTTCTTCCTATTCTCCTTCCTGAGGTCTTAGGAAATTTCTCATTTCCATTCTTCCCTGTTTTACCTAATGGGTTCAATGTCAGTTTGCTTTTGGTAAAAGTGATTTTACCAAATCACTTTTAGGATTGTACCAAATCAAAATAGGCAAAGAAAGTGTAGAAGACCCTCCTGAACACTGATGTGAGGGGATAAGACTAGCACTGAATTTAATCAACCTCTAAGAGCTTTACTCCACATAGTAGTATGTGGGGGACTGGCATGTGACCTGTATAAATTCATGAAGTGGGGAGCTGTGTTGCAGCTATTTTCTCCAGAATGATAATCATCTATGAAGAATTTGATACCACCTAGGAACCATCTTGCCTTCATAGCATTCCTCTTTCTGAAATTTGAGTTTACCTATCCCTCCATCTCCCTAAAGGACTTATTTTGCAACAGTGTCATATACAAAAAGAACTTTCTCTAATCTCCATCTCCACAGAAATATCAAGATGTTTGTTTTTCAAAAAGAATCATTCACGAAGCAAGCTCATAGGAATAAAGTTGATCCAGCACACTGGCAGAAAAGGAATTAGTGTTCCTTTAGTCTCTGTTAATTGCCTAACTGGTGACAGGAATATGTTAATACAAAATGAGCTGACAGAGGCAGGAAGCCTTTTATCATGTTACCCTCCTAAATATTAGGACATTAACAGGCCATTGATGTTTAAAAAGAGAGATCCAGATAAATGCATGTTCCTGTCTTTGATAATCCTCTAGATTAATTGCCATTTTATCTTAATTTAATAAGAGATCCTTTTGGTTAAAAAAATGCTTACACATGAAAAGAAATTATTGAGATAATGACAGCATAATGAATATAGATTGTGGTACAAATCTCCTGAAGAGATTCCAACATTCCAGAAACATGGTCAAGCGTTATTGTATTTAAAAGAAAGCAATTTTTTTTAGTCTAACATACTTCAGGTTTAACACTACTGCCATAAGGTAAAACAATACTGGTTATTTTGATTGATGGTGAGTGACTGAATTCCTCCCTCCAAGAAGCTTAATTGTGAGTTTCTGAGCTCTCTTTTAGCCAATATCATCCCTCCCATTTTACAAAGTGGTCAACTGTGGTGCCACTTCTATACTATACATACTTCTGACATAATCTATTATCTTCTGGTTGATAACCATGCTGTCCCCTCTACAGTCTATAAGTTCCACAAGGTCAAGAGCTTGTGTCAGTACAGAAGTTGACAAATGGGTCAAATTTGGTCTGCCACCTGTTGTGGGTTTCTTTGTAAATAAAGTTCATATGGAACACAGCTATGTCCGTTCATTTACTATGCCATTTGTCTATGGCTGCTTTTGCTCCATAATGGCACAACTGAGTGATTATAACAAAGACCATATTGGCCCACAAAGCCTAAAATATTCACTATCTGGCTCTTTACAGAAAAAGTTTGCCAACCCATAGTCTAATATATAGAATTTTGCCAAAAATAGGTGAACGAATTAATGAACAAATGAATGATGCTCCTCAAACAATCATCTACCTTGTGGCTAAAATTTATGCCTCAAATAAATTGGACAGCCAATGATTTGTCTTGTAGTTAAATAGAGTTTGGCCACTTCTAACTGCTGTCACAAGGATGTCAAAAATATCTAATTTATTTGAGCCCTGATAATTTGATGACAAAGCGTGGCCTAAGTATTTGGCTGCATTTGTACAGCAGTATAAACTCCTGACACCAAATCCATTGTCCTATTTGGGAATTATGATTTCATACAAACTGTGAGTCAGAGAGTCACTTGAGATTTTGTTAGTACCTCTGTGCTCACTTTAAACTCTAATGAACACACATAGGAGGAATGAAGTAAAATACCCATCCAGTACTGATACTGCAGTTGTTAATAATAACCCATAGTTATGGAGCCACTACCTTTGTGCCAGGCCCATGCAAAACACTTTGCATACATGATCTCATTTACTATTTTACAACAACTTTATGAGATAGATTTTTTTCTTACATTAAAGACAAGAATACTGAGACTTAGGGAAAATATGTGTCCTACCTAAAGTCATAACTAATAAATGAGAACCAGTTCTCAGTTTTCAGCTTTTTCAAATCCATGACCCATATTCCTTCCACAATACCATGCTGCCTCAGTGTTGTATTTTTGACAGTGAGACAGTGTTATATTGTAATAGCTTGTATTATCTTACCTGCATTATTATGTTGAGATGCTTATCACGTAGCCATTAAAAATCATGTTTTAGCGGGCACCTGTAGTCCCAGATACTCGGGAGGCTGAGGCAGGAGAATGGCGTGAACCCGGGAGGCAGAGCTAGCAGTGAGCCGAGATTGCGCCACTGCACTCCAGCATGGGAGACAGAATGAGACTCCCTCTCTGAAAAAACAAACAAACAAACAAAAAACAAAAAAACATGTTTTAGAAAAATATTCAATTATCTAGGGGCAATCTAATTTAATAATGTCTTAGTCTGTTTGTAATGTTACAACAAAATACTATAGGCTGAGTGGCTTTTAAACAGCAAACGTTTATTTCCCACAGTTCTATAGGATGGAAAGTTCAAGATCAAGGTGCCAGCAGATCCAGTGTTTGAAAGGTCCATTCCTCATAGATGATGACTTCCTGCTGTGTCTTCACGTAGCAGAAGAGGCAAACAAGCTACCTTAGGCTTCTTGTATAAGGGCATGAGAACGCCATTATTATGAACTAATCACCTCCTAAAGATCCCCACCTCTTAATACCATCACCGTGGGGGTTTGGATTTCAAAATATGAGCTAGTGGGAGGCACAAACATTCATACCATAGAAAATAAAGTTTAGTAAAAATTGAGGAATAAAAAATTAAAGACATTGTGATCTCAATTGTATAAAATAGATATATGTTAGGATCCCAACTTGAACTTAGACTGCAGGCATCTCTCCAGCTGTTCAGTCATATTTGGGCATGGCCAGTGAGCTGATGGGTGACCTAACCAGAGTTTTTCTGATGGAATCTGATGAGCCTCCTAACAAAGATATTTTCCTAATGAAAAAAGCCTGGACTACGAGTTTGACCTAATAATCGGTCTCCCGTTGGATGAAAGGAGTGACTCTGTGAAGGTGGTTATTCAAACTACCCTGAGTCCAGATGCCTGGATTGATCGAGGTACAGTGATAGTACTTTAGAGTCCTTCAAACTGACTTCATATCAGAACAACCTATGAAGCTATTGTTGGAAGAGGCAATCCACCATGAGTACTGGGCATCCCTGCACATTGACTGGGTATGTTCAGAATACAAGGCCCTGATTTTTCTTTATCCAGGACACTTCCCAGGGTTGTGTTTATAGGAGGCAGCCTTGATAGATGAGATGACTTTAAAAGGACTTGCAGGCTCGCTTAGCACTTACTAGTAAAGTAATGAATTCCCCAAGCTCAGTTTTTCTTGCTGTGATGCAAATTAGTTGAAAGTAATATATAAGCATTTAATGCCCTGTATTAAATACCTTTCTGCTTAAAATAACTAGAGTGGTTTCTGTTTCTTATAGTGAGTTTCTGTTTCTTATAGTGAATGCTGCATTGATTGGTACAGATTTTGTGCAGTAGCAATTTGGAACGGAATTGGGTTTTTTGTGCCTTTCAAAGGTTTGCTCCCACCTGGCACTGTTGCTACTTTTCTGCTCTTTCCTTGCTACTCTGAGGGGCACTACATTTCACTGCTGTCATCACAGTTCATTGGTCAGTAGTACCTTCAAGACTTATAGTCCTTAGTGAATTCGATGTATAGCTCTGTGTATGTGTGTGTGTGTGGAAACAAGGGATCCTGACACTTTCTCCTTTATCTTTCACCAGTGATTCTCAAATCTGGCTGAGCCTCTAAAAATACAGATTCCTGAGGGCCTATCATTAGAGATTATTATTCAGTAGATGGGCAAAGGATACCAGGGAATTATGGATTTTCGAAGCTGTCAAAGTCTGGGATTATACTCTATGTGCAAGCTATCAAGCTAGCCAGTTACTGTTTCACAGATTCTGGCAGAAGACATAAGACTCCTGGGTCAGAGACAACAGACTGCTACTATTATTCACAGTACAGCAAGTAGCATGAGCATCATGTTCAGTGTCCATTCCCCTTGCCCTCAACTCCCAGCAGGGCAATGTGGAGGGGCTCAGGTAAATGGAGCACATGCAGTAGGCTTGCATCACAGCTAAGGAATATTGAACTTGAGGAATTCACTAATTTTGTAGTAAGCAGTAGGCAAGTCTGTAAGGAAAGTTTTGTCCCAGAGGGAGATGTTACCTTATTCATCAAGGCCACTTGCTATGAACACAACCCAATCAGAATGTACAAGGATGCCCAGGACCCATGGCAGATTGCCTTTCCCAACAATAGCTTCATGGATGGTTCTGATATGAAGTTAGGCTGAGGAATTCTAAAGTAGTGTTGCTTGTATCTCAGCAGAGCTAGCCACCAGGGCTTAGGAAAGTTTCAGTAACCACCTTCACAGTGTACTAAAAAAATTCCCTTCTCCTATCCAACAATATAAGTTAGGAAAGCTGAAGAAGTGGACTTTTAGGCCAAATCTCCAGGAATGACTCCAACAACACTACAGATCTGACCTTGCAGGAAAGACAGACTCTGGAACCATTGAGTCCAAGAAGGTACCACTGTAGCTTCAATCTGGGGATGAGGAAGCTGCAGTTAGGAAGCAGCCATGGTTGTGGCTGCCTCTGGACACCCTGGAGGCTAAAGAAGAAATACTGGAATACTGCAGCAGAAACTTCTACCCTTCCTACCCTCTCTTGTCAGCTGAAAAATAGTCAAAAGGCATAGAGATGACCTTGGACTCATTTCCAAACTTCATGTGAATATTTCTAATTGACAGAATTTAATTCGTACCCAGAATCCTAATTCTAAAAAAAAGGGAGTCTAAAAAATGTAATTTTTAGCCTTCCAGCTTCTGTGGTACAAGAAAACATCAGAGAGGAGAAAAGGATGGAGTTACTGTGAACCAATCCGTAATATCCTCTACGCTCATCATTTCTGCTCCATGGGAGTAGAGGACCTTTTCTTTCTTCCCACACTCTCTAAAATACTTAGAAAATGGTAAGCACATACTAAATATTTTATAATTACCACTAATTGATTAGGAAAATTTATTATGTTGTGGGAAATTCTGATGAAAGAAATAGTGGGTTTTCTAAGACTTATAGTATCTCGAAGTGATTTTATTCAGTCCTTGATTTGATGTGGAACTATGTCAAGGAAGACGTGTCCCAAAGGATCTTTGGAGAAAAGATCCTCCAAGTTTTAGATGGCTTTTGCCAATGTTCAGCCATTGTTAGTGATTTCAATGCCTGTTCTAAATCTCTTCTCTTTCTAGAATAAAAGATACAACTTCTTTAACTTTCCATCATAGATAATATTTGCTTTATGTTTGGTTTCTCCTAGTCCTCCAATTTCTTAAGTTTACACTTCTTAAAATAGAAAGAAAAAAATAGAACATCATGTTTTAATGATTGCCTGCCTAGTGCAAGTACAATAAAAAAATTTCCAGTGAACAAAAAATAACTGGAGGGGGTAGGTTTCCCAATATCCCAACCCCTTATTGGTTGGGAGGATCCTCATAATATTGTGCTCTACTGGAGGGATACAGTGTTCTGCCCCCCAGGACTGAGGTGGAAAGAAAGGGAGAAAGCCTCCCTTACCATGTCCCCAGGAAATCAGTGAATGTACCTGTGACTCAAATTCAACCATCCAGGACTCTAAATCCAGGGGACATCTACAAAGTTGGGAGAAATAATTGTGATCCCTTTGGACATACTGGGTTGTGTTCAGAGGTGTCAGCTGCACTATGCAAAACCAGGAATAGCTCCTGGTGTTCTGACAAGACTGATTGTGTCCACTAAAAGGCAGAAGATATGTTAGCTGCTCTTTCCCAGAGATGCCTTAGTTCCTATTCACTTTCCATGTCTTATGTTTTGTCTCCAGCTTCTCATCATTTCGTATGCTGATATCCTACCAGTTAATTCCTTTTCCCCCAACATGGCCAGAGTCAGTTTCTGTTGCTTGCAACCAATAAGCCTAACTGATAGAGAACTTCTACACTGTGGTCATTCAAACACCAACTGTCAGTGATCCTAAGCATAATGTGAGGAATATGGGAAGGGCCTTTGCCCACTCCCCACCTCCAACTTCCCTTAGTTTGATGATCTCATGGAAAAGTTTCAGAATTAAAATCAGCTATGTAGATAAGAGAAGCATTATGTGCAAAATGACAAATGCTTTATCAAGATAGAAAATAACTAAAAAGAAGAATTGTGAGTATCCACTTGTAGAAGACCTACAATACTAGAACCAAAACTGAGAGTTTTCACTATTTCACACCAATAATACCCATTGTGAACCATGATGACTACTGGTCATTCCCTCTGCCAAGAGGGCCACCCTGGTGGGACCAGATGTCATGCCAGCAGCTAAAAGTATTCAGAAAAATTGGTATCAGTGATCTTTTCCACCTTCTTTTGGGTGACTTTTATTCAAATATGGGGACATAGCACTTATTTATGAGAGGTGACTGGTTTTCTCAGTTTCCAGGCTGTTCACAGACTTTGCAGACAGTAAGTACATCTTGCTGCCCACCTTACCTCCCCAGACCCCTTCCAATTACACTTCCTTTTTCTGACTCATTAGTTTGATCAATTTATAAGTGTTCAGCTCTGGAGAAATCTCTAGCAAGCTGTCTTTCAGAAGTTTGGGCTGAAATCAACTTATTTGATGTATCTTGTGCAAATTTCCATTTTATTACTCAGTATATGTTAAGCATATCTTCTTACGTTTTAAGCTACTTTGGTTCAGTGAATGGGGACATGTCTTTGTATACTTGGCACCTACCACAGTTCCTGGCACAAGGTAGATGTGAAATAAATGTTTTTATTTATTTTTAATTATTTTTAATTTTTTTAATATTTATTTATTTATTTATTTATTTTCAGATGGAGGCTTGCTCTGTTGCCCAGGCTGGAGTGCAGTGGTGCAATCTCAGCTCACTGCAACCTTCATCTCCTGGGTTCGAGCGATTCTCCTGCCTCAGCCTCCTGAGTAGCTGGGACTACAGGAGTGTGCCACCAAGCCCAGCTAATTTTTCTTTTTTTTTTTTTTAATTTTTAGTACAGATGGGGTTTCACCACGTTAGCCAGGATGTTCTCAATCTCCTGACCTTGTGATCCACCCGCCTCGGCCTCCCAAAGTGCTGGGATTACAGGCGCGAGCCACCGTGCCCAGCCCAAATGTTTTTAAAGTGGAACTGAAGAATTAGCAGGTTGAGTATGTTAGAAGAAAAACCTTAGCTGAATTAAGTTTAACAGAGTTTAGTTGAGCAAATAACGATTAGCAATTTGGGCAGCCTCCTCAGCCAGACTGGGCTGAGGGACTCCAGTGCAGCCACGTGGTGGAAGATTTATGAACAGAAAAAGGAAAAGGATGTACAGAAAATGGAAGTGAGGTACAGAAATAGCCAGATTATTTACAGCTTGGCGTCTGTCTTATTTGAACATGGATTGAACAGTTGACCACTTTGATTGGCCAAAATTCAATGACTGGTAGAAGAGTAGGCTACAGTCTGTTTACAGCTCTATTTAGATTATAGCTCCTGATGTACAGAAAAATCTTTAGGCCAAACTTAAAATATGTAAGGAGGAAGCTTTAGGCTAAACTTCATTTAGCAAGTGTATTTTGAAATGTCAATCTGTTATTACACTCAGATAACATTTTAATTTTAGCAAAAGAGATTTTTGGAGACTATTTTTTAATTTTAGAGTAGAGTATAAGTTTGTAGGACTTCAAGTCACTATATGAGGCTGATGAGGGAGATGCTGGGAGGCACAGGCATTCCAGTTCCTCAAGTCGCACTTGTAACTGCTGCGTCAGGGACAACCATGATACTGGGTGTGGGGAGGATTTCATAGTGGGTGACACTTTTCTTGGCTCCAGCCCTTGATGGAATCCTAGGTTAATATCTGCACTACAGAATGAAATAGGCTGATACAAATTCCTAAATTTCAAGTAAATCTCAAAAAGAATGAAAAGATAGGATAGCTCAAATGAACGTATTTTCAGCAACAGACAGAAGTAGTTAACCTAAAGTTTCACAGTCTCTCTATAGTCACCAAGCAGGATGCTCAATCGGCAGTCTCCTGATGTGACTTACAATTAGTATGGACCACTCACCCCACCATCGTGACCCCCTGCCTGCCCCAGTGGTGTGACCAGCCATGCACTGCTGGGTGTTGCTGGTCTGTTCCTGTCTTCCTTCGGCTTTCTACAGTCTTCTTTTTGCAAGTCTGACCAAGGTGTCTTGACTTACCACCCAGGAAAGTCTATCTCCCTGGAAGTCTGCTGGACACTGGTGACAGTTCTCCCTTCAGGGCTCACAGATTTCTCCATTAAGATTCCTTTCTCTTGGAATTGATTCCTCTTGGTCCCCTTAGTTCCTTAGTACATTTGATACAGCTCTGTCTCCTTGGACACTACCTGAGAGGAATTTAGATGTACATGGCACACAGAGTTAAAAGCAGATGTAACTTAGATGTATGTGGCTATACAGGGCATAGAGATGTCACCTAGATGTAACTAGGATGAACAGGGAATAGCAGCTGTAACTTAGATCTATGTGGCTATACAGGGGATAGCAGATGTCACTTAGATGTACTTGGGATGTACAGGGACAGCAGATGCCACTTAGATATACATGGGATGAACAGGGAATAGCAGGTGTAACCTAGATGTACATGGGATAGCAGAAATATAGAGAACAGGTATTAATTTTGCCTTGGTCTGGGCGGGGTGGTGTCAGGGGAGGCTTCACAGTGGAAGCACATCTTAGAGATTAAGCAGAATTCTTCCAGCAGAGCAGAGCGCATTCCTGGCAGGAGAAAACACTTGTAAAGAGCAAAGTGTATGAAACATTGCAGCATACGGATTCTACAACACAGAACAGTGAGAATGAATCTAGAGAATGATAAGAAACTTTATTTTATTATAAGAAGTTTGGAAGCCATTTAAAATGTAGGGAGGATATGACGTGATAAGATTGATGTTCTGGAAAACAAACTCGGCAGGGTGCAAAATGGATTAGAAGGAATCAAGACTGAAGAGATGGGCCATTCAGGACAAGAGAAATTGATAATCTTCTGAACGATGGTGCGGTGAGGGCTTGATCTATGGCAGTGACAGTGACAGACAGAGAATCTCACCAAAGAGGTGTTAGGAGGGTACCATCGACAGGCAAGTGAATGCAAACAAAAGAAGATCCAAAAAAGACCCTGAGGTTTGTGTCCTGGGTGACACAATGTCAACAACGGCATTCACTGAAGTCGAGCACGTAAAGGGGGTTATGCAGACACAGAAATATATGGTGATTTCCATTTGAACATTTTGAATATGAAGTACCCTTGGAATATCCAGGTGAAGCTGCTTAGGGAGCCAATTTATACATGGATTAGAAAGGAGTTCTGAACTAAGGATTTAGATTTGGCATGTACAACCCACTAGCTGTGTGAGCTCAGGAAAGTTAATTAGCCTCTCTGCGCATCAGCTTCTTCATCTGTAAAATAGGAATACAAATAGTATCTACTTAATAGGGTTGTCACAAGTATTAAATGGCTTAATATATGAAAGCTTCTTAGAGCCATGTCTGGCACTATATAAAGGTATTAGCTGTTGTTTTTAATTATTATTACTATTATTGCCTTTGACAAGATATCCCCAATAGGTTGATTCTTTAACTGCCTCCTCAAACCCTCCTTCCTTCCTTCTGCCACTCATCCTGGGTAAAAATCTTAGTTTTCACAGTTCATGAGAAGTTCCAGAGTGGCCTGTATTTTTTATGCATTTTGCCTTTTTCAAAAAACATACATACCCTGAAATGAGTGGTGCTTATTGCTAGCTTGAAGAGTCCCTAGAGTAGCCTGCTGTGGAAGCTCAATTGCCCTTGTTTCTCACAGAGCCCACACTAACACTCTACCCCAGGGCACAATAAGGAAAGCATATGTATGGTGCCTCCGCTGCTTTTACAAAACAACTTTCCCCCTTGATTATAGAATTAATACATGCACCTTGCACAGATTTTGGGGAAAAAACAAAACTGTATAAAGAAAGTAAAAATCCTGTATAACCAAGATACACCCACTGTATGAATATTTATGGTTTGTTTATCTTTGATTTCTTCCTCTGTGGAGACGGTGGGCAAAGAGTATCATCTCCCCATTCTGCCTGGAGTTTGACCCCATTTCTGTGGGTCAGCACAGCTGACTTCAGACATTCAGATGCCAGCGTGATCATTGGGTTTCAGAAAGTTGTCAGGCTGCAAGTAGATGCAGCATTTGTTTGAGGGTCCTGGCTGGATTCCAGCTGAAGCCCTGATGGTTTCAGGGTCTCCGTTGTAGCTTCAATTGGATTAGTTACCCATTAGTTATTCTTCTGACCCTGGGTAGAGGGGTGCAGGCATGGGTAAATCAAGAGTTGCTGCTTTTAAGTGAAGGGAGCCCTGCTGAGGGGGCTCTGTAAATCATCCCAACGGAGAGGACAAGCTCTGTTAGTATCAAAAGTTCTGGGAAGTAGTAGCGGGTCATGGAGCCTCCTGCTGCCTCCACCCACAGGCACATCCTTCCCTGGGGGACTTGCGGAGGTGGGGCACCACTGCAAAGGCATCTCTCTGCTACAGGATCTCTATCTAGCATTGAGTACAGGTGTTTCTACTGAACACCCTGGCTTAGCCCTGCCCAAGTTCTCCCTCTATCTTACATCTTACATGGATAAAATTGGGTGCACAAATGCCTGAGTATGGCACTGCAAGCTACCTAGGTAATGCTATTTCAATAATCTGATCAAAGACAAAATCGAGGTGCAAAAGTCAGCTTACTTTCCTAACGCCTATCAGATGGTGAAGGTGAGAAGTTTGTAAGGACTCATAGCCCAGAAACCAAGCTGGCAGAAGATGTTGCTTAACTATTTTGATCATGTAGGAAGGGGGTCAGCACGCCCTGAGCCTTGAACCAGAGGACATCAAAACACACTGAATCCAACAGTATCCAAACCCCTAATTGCTACTGATTTGAATTCTGCCACAAATTTTGCATAATACCAGTAAATGACCTTTCTTCAGGGGTGCGCTGGCGTGATTGTTGGGACCTTGTAGCAAATACCTAGTGCAATTTAATGATGGAATGACATATCTCTGATATGCAAATTTTTACAGCACAGCAATTAAGCAGTTTAGAATTTTACGACTGTGTTTGCGCTTTATGCAACAACAGAAAAGGGGGCCAATAAAGACCCGTGATGGATGGGCTAATCCCCACTGGAAATGTACCATGTAATGCTGCAGAGACAATACATTATGGATAGCATTGTGATGATTGGTTGTTAATCTCCCTTTCCATCCTCCCCCAAGATCCTGTGGAAGCCCTTCTTCCTGCCCCCTCCCTGCAGCCCAGGGCCAAAGACTGCATGGCAGCCACGTTGTGGGGACACGAGTCTGGGGTACAGATGGGAAAGTTGGGGCATAGCAATCTGCTGTGTGCATGGAATACAGAGCTAAAGGGGCTTGCAGAGAGGCAGCTTGTCAGCAGGGGACAGAACTGGGGGCCATATGCCGCTCTTCTTCTCCCTTCTGTCACCAAGTCTGCCGCCTCATCCTTCTGTCAGGGGACACTTTAATGATGAACATGTTTTAAACAGTTTTGTTTACCTAGCAACAGCTTTTCTAAGAGGGGGTCTTAATTAGTCACCTTAAACAATTTTGGGTTTGGATTTTTTTTTTAAGCATTCATTCATTTGTTCATTCATCTGGAAGAATCTCCCTCTTGCTCATTCTGCACACACGCCCCTCCCCGCCCCCCATACCCTGGAGGCTGTTGTTACTGTTTCCATGAAAAAGTGTGTCTGCATTACAAAACTAGTTTTAATAGCTATATGCCATTTTTCTTTCTTTCATACATACTTTAATACCACAATTAGCTTTGAAGGGTAGATTTTTCTCCACTTGTCAGAGGCAGTGTTCCTTTGTGAAGCTCTTCAAATGGGATCTGCATTTTAAAATGAAATCCCATTTGGTGAATTTTTTTTCCATAATTTTGTACTACTGGTTGCAGTCATTTCCACGTTAAAGGAGCAGGCTCAGAGTTGATTTAGCGATTCTATCATGACAAAAATAAAATTAAAAAATTCTCATTTTAAATTTATCAATGATGTTATTGGTTTTCTTTTCAACTTTGATTCACAAAGCGGAGTGAAAGGAAAGTAGCTTCCTGGTGTTTTCTGAGTTACTTTTGCTTTTGCCTCCCTTTATTTAGTACAAAACATTTTCAATACTATTAGTTCATAGATTTCTATTTATAAAAAATAACGCTGATTTTTAAAAAAATCTGTTAAAATGTAAAATTTTTAACTTAAAATAATTAGAAACAGACTCCAACATAGCATCACTTAAAATGTTGAAAGTGAAATGCTTTTCTTGTTTTTTTTTTTTTGTAATAAACTTTGTAGAATAGGTTAACAACCAAAAGACAATACAACCAAATGTGCTTAATCATTAACTCTCATTAGACAATAACTCCCATAAAAATCAAATGACACAGTCTAATTCCTGCAGGACTACCTCTGCTTTTACATTATTGAACCAGATTCTGCTTTATTGTAAAAGAACAACACCTCTTTCAAGCTACGAGTTGTTTCTATTAGAACCTAGAATCAGCTTAAGCCGTGGGCGTATTCACTCCTGAGTATCAAGCTTCATGTTTATTCATAACTAGAGTAGAATTAGAAAATGTAGGCATGGTGGAAGTAGAATGGAGCTGATCCCAGAAGATATTCTTGGAATAAATGTTACATTTTTGTTCCTAACGTAATGTTTTAGTAAGTCAATCATATTTAATTGAATATTGCTTTTTTCCCCGTACAAATTCAGTATTTCAGAAATAGGTTTTTGTTCAGAACCCTAAAGATGTGCTTGTATAGTCAACTGATCTTTTAAAATTTTTTAACTAATAAATGTTATCTTTAGAGCAGCTTTAAGTTTACAGAAAAGTTGAGCAGAAAGTACAGAGAGTTTCCATTTAGCCCTTACCTTCCCCTACAGTTTCTTCTGTTGTTAATATCTTGCAGTATTGTAGTACACTTGTTACAAATAAGGAACCAATACTGATAGATTATGATGAACAAAAAGCCCTAGTTTGCATTAGAGTTCACTCTTGGTGTTGCGCATTCCATGGGTCTAGACAGATGTATAACGAGATGTGTTCACCATTATAGTATCATACAGACTATTGTCACTGCCCTGAATATACCCTGTGCTCTGCCTGTTCTTTCCTCCTTCTGGAAATCACTGATCTTTTTAACTATCTCCATAGCTTTGCCTTTTCTGGAATGTCATATAGTTAGAATCATATGACAGTATGCAACCTTTTCAGATCAGTTTCTTTCACTTAGCAATATGACTTTAAGTTTCCTCCAAGTTTTTTCACAGGTTGGCTATACTAAGATGAATTTTTATAGTATTTAATTGTTTTATCAGTGTCAAAATGAGGAAAATCTATCCTTCAAAGCTAATTGTGTGTGTATATTTTATACATTTATATATATATATATATAGTATGATTTATTTGATTTTTTTTTTTTTTTGAGACAGAGTCTTGCTGTGTCACCCAGGCTGGAGTGCAATGGCGCAATCTCGGCTCACTGCAACTTCCACCTCCCGGGTTCAAGCAATTCTCCTGCCTCAGCCTCCCAAGTAGCTAGGATTACAGGCACATGCCATCATGCCCAGCTAACTTTTTGCATTTTTAGTAGAGACGGGATTTCACCATGTTGGTCAGGCTGGTCTGGAACTCCTGACCTCGGGTGATCTGCCCGCCTTGGCCTCCCAAAGTGTGGGGATTACAGGCATGAGCCACCGCGACTGGCCTTGATTCTTAAATTTTATGGTAAATTTTTTAAAGTTGCTTATTTTAAAAATTTTGCCTCAATTTTAGGGTAACTACTAACACATGCATTATAATTACTAAGTATAAGCTATATAAAACATTAAGTAAAAACAAAATTGGAAAACCTCAAAGCTGCAATGATCAGGGAAGGATGGTTAATGAGGTTTGCAGTTAACCAAGAAGTGTCATGTCACCCCTGTGTAAGCCAAAGGTAGGGACAAAACATTGTGTGTGTGTGTGTGTGTATGTTTGTGTGTGTGTGTGTGTGTGTCAGAGGGTCCCTGGTGAAAGATAACGTAATACTTTTGTTTCTTTCAAAATACTTTTTAGAAACAGAGTCTCTGTCACTCAGGCTGGAGTGCAGTGGCATGATCATGGCTCACTGCAGCCTCAAACTCCTGGGCTTAAGTTATTATCCTGCCTCAACCTCCTGAGTAGCTAGGACTACAGGTATGTGCCACCATGTCCAGTTAATTTCTTTCTTTTTTTTTTTTTTTTTTGCAGAGATAGTGTCTCGCTATGTTGCCCAAACTGGTGTCAAACTCTTGGCCTCAAGTGATCTTCCTGCCTCGGCCTCGCAAAGTGCTGGGATTGCAGGCATGAGCCACTGCACCCAGCCCAAGAACTTAATATTTTTAGTAAGAACATTTTCCAGCAATTCTTTTTCAAAAAGGTGGGCCAAGAATTCACTTTGGCAGACCTTTGAGGAATCACTGGGAAGATGCCTCTAAATTACATATTCTAGGATGAGGAGGTACCAAGTATCCTAAGGAAGGAATAAAATGGAAAATTTGTGGTTGATGAAGACTGCTTCATGAAGACATCATTTGGTGTGCACAGGTGATCACATTGTAGAAGAAGAATGATGCTGTGGAGGAATCAGGAATGTTTTGGAATGAAAGGGATTGAGATGCTGGTGACTTTCGTTTTCAGAATCAACTTGATTAGAATCAAACTGAGAGGTTAGGATGGTCCCAGCTGAGGTCCATGGGTCAGAAAGGACTCCAAAGTCCCTGAAGTGGAACTCACTGTATTGGAAGGAGAAGTCAACCCAGCCCAACACTAGGGGCCAAGTGTATAGGCACCATGTGGAATTGGGACTGGCAGCTGACTTTGGAACCACTTCCCACAGTGGATTTGGTTCACAAGTGGGTGTGGCCTGCAGGAGTGGAAGCAGGAAGCCCCAAAGATGGGCAACACTAGCCCTTCAGGGATCCTGGCCTGTAAGCATCACTTCAGTGGGAAAGTGTTTTTGAGCATTGTGCAGGACCACCACCAGCTTCCAAATTTTCCTATTCAACCCTCCAACTGGCACTTAGAAGCAGAATGACTTGAATGAAGTAATTTACCCTTGGTGCCATCAGACAATTCAGGAGTGGGGCGGTCTCAAGCAGAAGACTTCCTGCTTGGGTTACTAATTGAAAAAAAAACCACACTAAAGAACGTGACTTCATTTGCACCCCAAGCTGATGAAGAGAACCATACTATAACATGCTCCAGCTTAGACTCTAACTGAAGAGTGCTCTCCTTCCATGCCAGAAGGCATAAACGTAGAACATTACTTCTGCCTTCCTCCACAGGGCATGCAGAATGCTGATGGGGGCAGAGCCTAAAAGGACACAAAATGCTCAGTTAGATTAGAGTGAGAGACAAACTGAGTCTAACATCATAGAAAAAATAATTGCCCTGTTAACGGGGAACTCATCACAAACATTTTGTTGGGTGTATTATAGGGCTGCAAAGTCTTTTTTGCAATATACCTTTCTTTTGCTTCTAAGGTATTGTATTAGTCCGTTCTCACCCTGTTATAAAGAACCACTGGATACTGGGTAATTTGTGAAGAAAAGCAGTTTAATTGACTCACAGTTCCACA
Source organism: Homo sapiens (assembly GCF_000001405.40). Classification (NCBI taxonomy): domain Eukaryota; kingdom Metazoa; phylum Chordata; class Mammalia; order Primates; family Hominidae; genus Homo; species Homo sapiens. The sequence goes on along the minus strand of NC_000006.12, from coordinate 137,598,559 downwards.
GGCTGTACAGGAAGCACAGCTGGAAGGCCTCAGGAAACTTACAATCATGGCAGAAGGGCGAAGGGGAAGCAAGACACGTCTTCACGTGACCAGAGCAGGAGGAAGAGAGAGCGAAGTGGAAAGTACCACACACTTTTAAACTATCAGATGTAGTGAGAACTCACTCAGTATCATGAGAACAACAAGGGGAAAATCTGCCCCCATAATTCAATCACCTCCTACCAGGCCCCTCCCCCAACATTGGGAATTACAATTCAACATGAGATTTGGGTGGGGACATAGAGCCAAATCATCTCAGGTGTACATTTAAAAAATATATTTTAACATCACTGATATCAGCCTCTGTGTTATAATTAAATGCATCCCCATTTGCTGTTGGTGTCAGTAAAGTGGTTGTTATTAGCTGCAATGCCCAGGTTTGTTCATAGATGCTTATATCATTGTCACTTCAATCGAGTCATGTGCCTGGTTGGTACTACATAAGTTGAGCCATTGTTAATGACTACCTGATTATTGTTGGGAAAATTTCTATCGATAACTTCTGACAAGATTTTGCTTTTTTAAAAATCAGCATCAGTGGATATTGTTGACTTAGAAAAAAATTCCAGAGAAGCACTGTATCAGTGATAATGCTGTGTCACTTATGATCCTGTTGGCCTAGATATATTACTGTGTGGAAAAGCCCAGGTAATGAGAAAACATTTCTTTCTAACTTTTTTTATTATCTTCTTTTTAAAAATTTTATTTCAGATTCAGGGGTTACATGTGCAAGTTTGTTACTTGGATATATTGCATAATGGTAAGGTTGGGTCTCTAGTTATCCATCAGCCAAATAGTGAACATTGTAACAAATAGGTAGTTCCTTGAACTTTCAACCCCCTTCCTCCCTTCCCACTTTTAGAGTTTCCAATGTCCGTTATTTCCATCTTTATGTTCATGTATTCACATAATTTTCTTATAAGGTCCTACATATAAGAGCATGCAGTATTTGATTTTCTGTTTCTGAGTTATTTCACTTAGAATAATGGCCTCCAACTCCATCCACGTTGCTGCACAGGACATGATTTCATTCTTTTTGAAAGCTGCATAGTATTCCATGGTGCATATATACTACATTTTCTTTCTTTCTTTCTTTCTTTCTTTCTTTCTTTCTTTCTTTCTTTCTTTCTTTCTTTCTTTCTTTCTTTCTTTCTTTCTTTCTTTTTTTTTTTTTTGGTGGAGTCTCACTCTGTCACCCAGGCTGGAGTGCAGTGGCATGATATCGGCTCACTGCAACTCTGCCTCCCGGGATCTAGCGATTCTCCTGCCTCAGCCTCCTGAGTAGCTGGAATTATAGTCGCCCACCACCATGCCCAGCTAATTTTTGTATGTTTAGTAGAGATGGGGTTTCACCATCTTAGCCAGGCTTGTCTTGAACTCCTGACCTCATGATCCACCCGCCTCGGCCTCTCAAAGTGCTGAGATTACAGACATGAGCCACCGCGCCCAGCTGAACTACATTTTCTTTATTCAATCAACTGTTGATGGACACTTAGGTTGATTCCATGACTTTGCTATTGTGAATAATCCTGCAATAAACATACAGTGCAAGTGTCTTTTTAATATAATGATTTCTTTTCCTTTGGGTAGATGCCAAGTAGTAGATTGCTGGATCAAATGGTAGTTCTATTTTCAGTTTATGGAGAAATCTCATACTGTTTTCCATAAAGGCTGTACTAATTTACATTCCCACCAACAGTATATAAGGATTCTCTTTTCTTCACTCCCATGCCAACATTTGTTTTTCTCTTATTAATAATAGTCATTGTGACCTATGTAAGATATCTTGCTGTGGTTTTAATTTGCATTTCTCTGATGATTAGTGATTTTGAGCATCTTTTCATATTTTATTGGCTTCTTGTATGTCTTCTTTTGAGAAATATTTGTTAATGTCCTTTGCCCACTTTTTAAAAACTCATTAAAAAGTTGTTGAGTTGTTTGAGTTCGTTGTAGATTCTAGATATTAGTCCCTTGTTGGAGGAATAATTTGCAAATATTTTCTCCTATTTTGTAGATTATCTGTTTACTCTGTTATTTCTTTTGCTGTGCAGAAGCTTTTTAGTTTAATTAAGTCCCATTTGTCTATTTTTATTTTTGTCGCATTTGCTTTTGGGGTCTTCATTATAAATTTTTTGCCTAGGCCAATGTCCAGAAGAGTTTTTCCTAGGTTTTTGTTCTAAAACTTTTATAGTTTCAGGTTTTACGTTTAGCTCTTTAAACCATCTTGAGTTAAGTTTTGTATATGGTGAGAGATAGCAGTCCAGTTTTATTATTTTGCATATGGCTAGCCAATTTTTCCAGCACTATTTATTGAATAGGGTATCCTTTCCCATTTATTTTTGTCGACTTTGTCAAAGATCAATTGGTTGTAGCTATGTGGCTTAATTTGTGGATTCTTTATTCTATTCCATTGATCTACATGTCTATTTTTTTACTAGTCTCAGGCTGTTTTAGTTACTATAGTTTTATTTAATTTGAGGTCAGGTTATGTGTTGCCTCTGGCTTTGATTTTGTTTTTTTGTTTTGGTTTGTTTTGGTTTTGCTTAAGATTGCTTTGGCTATTTGGGCTTTTTTTTGGTTTCATATGAACTGTAGGATTTTTTTTTCTAATTCTGTGAATAAGACATTGGCACTTTGACAGGAATTGCATTGACTCTGTAGATTTCTTTGGGCAATATGATCATTTTGATAATATTCATTCTTCCAATCCGTGCGTATGGGATGTTTTTCCATTTGTGTCGTCAATGACTTCTTTCATTAGCATTTTGTAGTTCTCCTTGTAGAGATCTTTCACCACTTTGATTAAATTTATTCCTAGGTATTTAATTTTTTGTAGCTATTGTAAATGAGACTGAATTCTTTATGTGGTTCTCAGCTGGAACATTATTGGTGTATAGAAATACTACTGATTTTTGTACATTGATTTTTTTATCCTGAAATTTCACTGGAGCTATCAAGTTTAGGAGTCTTTTGAAGGAGTCTCCAGGATCATGTCATCAGCAAACAGAGATAATTTGACTTCTTCTTTTCCAGTTTGAATGCCTTTTATTTCTTTCTCTTGTCTGGTTGCTCTGGCTAGGACTTTCTGTACTACGTTGAATAGGAGTGGTTAGAGTGGACATCCCTGTCTTGTTCCAGTTCTTAGTGGAAATGCTTTCAACTCTTCCCAATTCAGTATGATGTTGCCTGTGGGTTTGTCATATATGCCTCTTATTATTTTGTGGTATGTTCCTTCAATGTCTAGTTTGTTGAGGATTTTTATCATGAAGGGATGTTGGATTTTATCAAATGCTTTGTATGCGTCTATTGAGATGATCATATTTTTTTTGTTTTTAATTCTATTTAGATGGTGAATAACATTTATTGATTTGTGAGTGTCAAACCATCCTTGTAACTCTGGAATAAAACTCACTTAATCATAATGAATTATTTTTGATGTGCTGTGGTTTGGTTTGCTAATATTTTGTTGAGGACTTTGGCATCTATGTTATTCAGGAATGTTAGCCTGTAGTTTTCTTTTTTTTGTTGTGTCCTTGCATGATTTTGGTATCAGTGACACTTGCATGTAGAATGAGTTAGGCAGAATTCTTTCTTTTCAATTTTTTGGAAGAGTTTCCATAAGATTGGTAACAGATTGATATGGTTTGGCTCTGTGTCCCCACCCAAATCTCACCTTCAATTGTAATAATCCCCATGTGTTATGGAAGGGACCCAGTGGGGGTAATTGAATCATGGGGATGGGTTTTTCCCATGCTGTTCTCATGATAGTGAATAAGTCTCACAAGATCTGATGTTTTATAAAGGGAAGTTCCCCTACACATGTTCCTCTTGCCTGCCACCATATAAAACATGACTTTGCTCCTCATTTGCCTTCTGCCATGATTGTGAGGCCTCCCAAGCCATGTGGAACTGTGAGTCAAGAAAGCCTCTTTCGTTTATAAATTACCCAGTCTCAGGTATGTCTTCATTAGCAGTGTGAGAATAGACTAATACCAGTAGAGTAGGGTGCTACTGCAAAGATACCTGAAAATATGGAAGTGATTCTGGAACTGGGTAACAGGCTGAGGGTGGAACAGTTTGGAGGGCTCAAAAGACAGGAAGATGTGGAAAAGTTTGGAACTTCTTAGAGACTTGTTGAATGGCTTTAACCAAAATGCTGATAGTGATATGGACAATAAAGTTCAGGCTGAGGTGGTCTTAGATGGAGATGAGGAACTTGTTGGAAACTGGAATAAATGTGACTCTTGCTATGTTTTAGCAGAGAGACTAGCAGCATTTTGCCCCTGCCCTAGAAATCTGTGGAACTTTGAACTTGAGAGAGATAATCTAGGGCATCTGGCAGAAGAAATTTCTAAGCAGCAAAGTGTTCAAGACATGACTTGGGTGCTGCTAAAAGCATTCCGTTTTATGTATTTACAAAGATATGGTTTGGAATTGGAATTTACATTTAAAAGGGAAGCAGAGCATAAAATTTGGAAAATTTGCAGCCTGATAATGCGATAGAAAAGAAAACCCCACTTTCTGAGGAGAAATTAAAGCTGGCTGCAGAAATTTGCATAGGTAATGAGGATCCAAATGTTAATTGCCAAGCCAGTGGGGAAAATGTCTCCAGGGTATAGCAGAGACCTTCCCAGTAGCCCCTCCCATCACAGGACTGGAGGCCTAGAAGGGAAAATATGTTTTGTGGGCCAGGCCCAGAGCCCCCCTATTGTGTGCAGCCTAGGGATTTGGTGCCCTGTGTCTCAGCCATTTCAGCTGTGGCTAAAAGGGGCCAACATACTGCTCAGGCTGTTGCTTCAGAGGGTGCAAGCCCCAAGTCTTGGCAACTTACACATGGTGTTGGGCCTGTGGGTGCACAGAAGTCAAGAATCAAGATTTGGGAACTTGGATTTCAGAGGGATTTCAGAGGATATATGGAAACACTTGGATGGTCAGGCAGAGGTATGCTGCAGAGGCAGAGCCCTCATGGAGAACCTCTGCTAGGGCAGTGCAGAAGGGAAATGTGGATTGGGAACCCCCACACTGAGTCACCACTGGGACACTTCCTAGTGGAGCTGTGAGAAGAGAGCCGCTATCCTCCAGAACCCAGAATGGTAGCTCCATGGACATCTTGCACCATGCACCTAGAAAAGCCACACTCAACACCAGCTCGTGAAAGCAGCTGGGAGGGAAGCTGTACCCTGCAAAGCCACAGGGACAGAGCTTCCCAAGGCCATGGGAACTGACCTCTTGCAATAGTGTGACCTAGATGTGAGATATGGAGTCAAAAGAGGTCATTTCGGAGCTTTAAGATTTGGCTGCCCTGCTGGATTTCAGACTTGCGTGGGGCCTGTAGCCCATTTGTTTTGGCCAATTTCTCGCATTTGGAATGGGTGTATTTACTCAATATCTGTAATTCTGTCGTGTCTAGAAAGTAACTAATTTGCTTTTGATTTTACAGGCTCATAGATGGAAGGAACCAGCCTTATTTCAGATGAGACTTTAGACTGTGGACTTTTGAATTAATGCTGAAATGAGTTAAGACTCTGGGGCACTGTTGGGAAGGCATGATTGGTTTTTGAAATGTGAGCACATGAGATTTGGGAAGAGCCAGGAGCAGAATGATATGGTTTGGCTCTGTGTCCTCACCCAAATCTCACCTTGAATTGTAATAATCCTTACATGTCATGAGAGGGACCTGGTGGGAGGGAATTGAATCATAAGGGCAGGTTTTTCCCATGCTGTTCTCAGGATAGTGAATAAGTCCCATGAGATCTGATGGTTTTAGAAAGGGCAGTTCCCCTGTACATGCTCCTCTTGCCTGCTGCCATGTAAGACATGACTTTGCTTCTCATTTGCCTTCTGCCATGATTGTGAGGCCTCCCCAGCCATGTGGAACTGTTAGTCAGTTAAACTGTTTTCATTTATAAATTACCCAGTCTCAGGTATGTCTTTATTAGCGGCATGAGAACAGACTAATACACATCTCTTCCTTGTATATCTCATAATATTTGTCTGTGAATCTCTGGTCCTGGGCTTTTTTTGTTGAAAGTTTGTTGTTTTTTTTTCTTTTTTTTCTTAATTACTTATTCACTTTCACTGCTCATTATTAGTTTGTTCAGGATTTCAATTCCTTCTTGATTAAATGTTGGGAGGTTGTACATTTCCAGGAATTTATTCATTTCCTCTAGGTTTTCTAGTTTGTATATATAGAGAGATTTATAATAATCTCTGATGATCTTATGCATTTCTGTGGTATCAGTTGTAATGCCAACTTTATAATTTTTGATTGTACTTAATTTGAATCTCCTCTCTTTTTTTCTTGGTTAGACTAATTACCTAGCTGTCTATCAATTTTGTCCATCAACCACCTTTTCACTTCATTGATCCTTTACATCATTTTTTTTGGTCTCAATCTCATTTAGCTCTGCTCTGAGAATAAACCAAGCACAAAGCCAGCAAAAGAAAGAAATAACATGTTGTTATTTCTTGTTATTTGCTTCTTTGGGTTTGGTTTGTTCTTGCTTTTCTAGTTCCTTGAGGTATAACATTAGATTGGTAATTGGAGATTTTTTTTGATGTAGCCATTTAACACTATAAAGTTTCCTTTTAGCACTGTTTTTGCTGTATCCCAGAAGTTTTGATATGTTGTGTCTCAATTTTCATTCATTTCAAAAATTTTTTATGTCTGCCTTAACTTCATTGTTTACTCAAAGTTGCTTAGTTTTTGTGTACTTATGTAGTTTTGAGAGTTTCTCTTGGTATTGATTCCTAATTTTATTCCACTATTTCTGAGAAGAAACTTGATATGACTTAAATTTTTAAAAATTTATTAAGATTTGCATTATGGCCAAGCACATGGTCAGTTTTGGAGAATGTTCTGTGCACAGATGAGAAAATGTATATCATGTGGTTGTTGGAAAGAATGATCTGTAAATGTCTATTAGGTTCTTTTGGTCTAGAGTCTAGTCTAAGTCCAGAGTTTCTTTGTTGATCTTCTGCTTTGATGAACTGCTTAGTGTTGTCAGCGGGGTGTCAAAGTTCCTCACTATTATTGTATTGTTGTCACTCTGTTTTCTTAGGTTTAGCAGTTTCTTAGATCTAGTAGTATGAATCTGGGTGCTCTGGTGTTGGGTGCATATATATTTAAGACAGTTAAATTTCTTGTTATATTGAACCCTTTATCATTATATAATGCTTTTCTTTTTTTGGTCTTTTTGTACTGTCATTGGTTTAAAGTCTGTTTTATCTGATATAAGAATGGCTACTCCTGCTCGGTTTTGTTTTCTATTCACATATGTCTTTTTTTCATTCCTTTATTTTGAGTCTGCAGGTGCCTTTAGCTATTAGGTTGGTCTCTTGTAGGCACCAGATGGTTGGGTTTTGTTTTGCCAGCTATGTCTTTTAAGAGGTGTATTCAGGCCATTTACATTCAAGGTTAGTATTGACATGTGAGGTTTTGTTCTTGTTAGAATTTTGTTAGCTAGTTGCCTTGGAGTCTCAATTGTATAATTGCTGTATAGGTTCTGTGAGCTTTCTACTTACATGTACTTTTATGATGACTAGTATTGTCCTTTCATTTCCATGTTTAGAACTCCTTTGAGCATTTCTTGTAGGACTGGTCTAGTGGTAATAAACTCCCTTAGCATTTGCTTGTCTAGGAAAGACTATTTCTCTTTAATTTATGAAGCTTAGTTTGGCAGGATATAAAATTCTTGGCTGACTTTTTTTTTTCTTTAATGAGGTGAAAAATAAATAGGCCCCCAATCTCTTCTTTCACAAGGCTTATGCTGAGAAGTCTGATGTTAGTCTCATGGGATTTCCTTTATAGGTGATTTGATGCTTCTTTCTAACTACTTTTAAGATTGCTCTTACACTTTGACCTTGGATAGTCTGATGATGATATGCCTTGGTGATGTTTATCTTGTAGAATATCTTCCTGATGTTCTCTAAATTTCTTGTATCTGGATGTCTATGTCTCCAGGGAAATTTTTCTGAATTATCCCTCAAATACTTTTCCCAAATTTCTTACTTTTTCTTCTTCTCCCTCAGGAATGCCTATAAATTACAGGTCTGGTCACCATATGGAACCACATATTTCTCAAACGTGTTTTTCATTAAAAAAATTCTTTGTTTTTGTCTGACTGGGTTAATTTGGAAGATCAGTCTTCAAGCTCTGAAATTCTTTATTTTGTTTCATGTAGTCTCTTGTTAAAGCTTTAAATTGTGTTTTGAAAATTCCTTCAGTGAATTTTTTATTTCCTGAAGGGTTTTTTCTCCTTTGTTTTTTTTTTTTGTTTTTTTTTTTTTTTTTGTATTTAAAATACATCTATCTTGTCTTTCCTATCCTGAATTGTTTTCCCGATTTCTTTGTGTTGGTTTTCAACTTTCTCTTGGATCTCATTGAGCTTCCTTACAATTCATACTTTGAATTCTTTATCTGTCATTTCAAAGTTTTCATTTTGGTTAGGATCCATTGCTACAGACCTAGTGTGGTCCTTTGAGGGTGTCACAAAATTCTGTTTCTTCATGCTGGTTTCTTGTGCTAGTTCTTCTCATCCGTGGAAGCTGCCACTTTTTATTTTTGAAGTTACTCTTTTGGAGTGGGATTTTTTCTTCTCTCCTTGAGGGTGTTACAGCTGTGTGTGTTGGGTAGGATTTGTTTCTGCATGCTTTTAGGGGCCCAAGGCTCCTTACGAATTCCTTGGTTATAGATAGCCTTAGTGTGGTTTTCTCAAATGGTAGTTATTTGTAGGTTGTAGTAGTGGAGTACTGTACATGTGGTCAGGCTGTCTGTCACCTACAGAGATGAGTAAGTTGAGGTCTGGGGAAGCTTATCTCCTTCCTTAGCACTGTGCACATCTGTTAGCAGGAAGTATATTGGGTTGTGCAGTTCACCCTACAGGCCAGTAGATAGCACTTGCGGGCAAAAGCCTGCTGACTGCTATACAATGATGTCAGTAGTTGTGAAACACTGTGCAGTTTGACCTCCTTGCCAGTAGGTGGCAACTGCAGATAAGAGGCAGTTACAGTGACGGCAGTGGAATTTTTACTTGACCTTTGTTAACGGGGTATGTGTCCCTGGTAATGGGCAGGGCATGGGGCTTTCAGGGATCCCATCTCACGTTCTGCTACCAAAGTGGCTATAGGGAGCAAAGCTGGGTAGGGCCTGGGTCAGCTGAACCCAGAACCAGGCTCTTAAGGCAGGTACAAGTGCTGACCTTAGCAGGGGTCTAGGGGAAGCTTTCAGGCCCCTACCCTGCCCCCACAGAGCCAGCTCAGGGGACCAGGGGCTGCCAGGGATTTTCAGCCTAGAAGGCGGCTGCAGGCCTGCACAGCTCTCACACACTGATTTGCTCTCCCTGCAGCAAATGGCTAGGGCAACAGGCTTGACTGGTTAGTCTAGTCCCAAGCTATCTGTGCCCAGATTGCCAAACCGTTCCTGGCGTTCAGGTCTGCTAGAACCCGTGGAGTAGAAACTGCCACTAAGAGACCCCACCCTTTCCTGTCTGGCCTCATGAAGGGAGGGACGCCCAGCTCCCCACACCATCACACTAACCCACTTCACACTCTTCTCTGTGTTCTGACAGTTGAGTTTCCTCCCCAACTCAAGGTCAGGCCACAGATCTCATCTCCCTACCCCTGGGCAGTGTGCTCCAGTCCTGGAGAACTGGACCCAGGCCAGCAGATTTATCCTTTGGCCCCTTGGGATCAAGCACCAGCTGTGATACAGAGGTGGACTACTCCCAGGTTACCAAGAAACCACTCAGGCTGGGCGATGGTGGCTATGCATTGGGCTTCCCCTGCAAGAATGGCCAGGCAGGCAGTCTTGGGAGGGACCAGCAGGCATGAGGGCATGTGGTTCGGATGCACACATGGCAGCGGGGCCTGTCTTGGGTGCATGAGCATGCGTGGACTTTGCTCTCTCCTGCAGGCAGATAGCAGAAACTGCAGCTGCTTAGGGAAGGATGCAGAGCTTTGTTGGGGATGGGGGAAGGTGGTTCCCAGAGTCACACTTTGCTGCAGCTGCCCAGCACACTGAAGCATTTTGGGATCCACTCAGGTTTAAGCAGTGCCTGTATGTATTCTCCACACAGCTCTCCCTACCATTCTGAAGGTCTGCTTGGGGGTCATGAGAAGTCTTCTAGCTAGGATCTCAAAGGTCCACCATGGGAATATGGTGCTCTGGGGTTCCTTTACTCACCCTTTCTTTGGGTCTGATCTAGGGGCCAGTCCTTGTCTTAGTTACACAGCAGATAACCTGCTTCATGAAAGCTTACCACTTTTCCATTGATGCATAGTTAGCATTTACCAACAAACCATCTCAGGTGTTTGCTGGGTTGTGTATCTAACCCTCTAATTTCAATACTTTAAACACATTTTGCTTTGATGAAATACAAGTGCTTTAATTTCTCAAACATGCTACTTGTCTTTCTTCTTATACATTTTTAAAGGCATGTGGAACAATTTTTGTCATTTCCAACGACAATCTACTTTTGAGACATTCTAATGTCTACTCTAAGCACACATTGTACAACATGAGTTCCTACTGGTGTTCATACTATTATAATTCTATGGAATTCTATGATCAAATATACTTGTACATGCTGTTATAGCCAGATTGATACCAGCTGGACTCTACAATTGAATCAAGATAACTAGGGAGTCAGTTCTGGTGCCCAGGGTAAGCAAGCAATATGAGCAGCCCCACTTATAGAATATTTCATAATGTCACCTTAATTTAGTTGTTTGTTCAACAAATATTATTGAATTGTCTATTATGGAGTAGGCACTGTGCTAGACACTGGGGAAACAGAGGTAATTAAGTACATGTTATGTAAATATTTAACCATTCCCTGTTATCTGTTTACCCCATAGTAAATGATATTTATGCTAGCTCTTAAATTAAGCAAACAAACAAATGCACAGTATTTTCTAAAATTCGCATGCTAAAAGTTTTATAGACCTATATGTAGTGTGACACTTATCCATATTATACTGAGAATGTAGCTGTTTGTGGTATTTATTGTTTGTTATGAATACAGGGTGAAAGTGAAGAATATGATTATTAATACTAGAATTACTTCTCTTTTTTTGAGAGAGAGAGGTTCGCTCTTGTTGCCTAGGCTGGAGGGCAATGGCGCGATCTCGGCTCACCACAACCTCCGCCTCCCGGGTTCAAGCGATTCTCCTGCCTCACCCTCGCGAGTAGCTGGGATTACAAGCGTGCACCTCCATGCCCAGGTAATTTTGTATTTTTAGTAGAGATGGGGTTTCTCCATGTTGGTCAGGCTTGTCATGAACTCTCAACCTCAGGTGATCCACCTGCCTCAGCCTCCCAAAATGCTGGGATTACAGGCGTGAACCACCGTGCCCGGCTTAAATGCTAGAATTATTAAATGACTACACAATATACCAGTTATTTTATCATATACGTCACTTGTAACTCCAGGATAAAAGCCCCGTACTTGCTATGGCTTTGATTCCAAATTTCTCTCTGTTCTCTTCCTACTTGGTGAGCTGAGCTGGATCACATGGAAGCAAAAGCACCAGAGAGTGGGTGAGGACTTTCTCAGGGCCTTTCCCATTTATGCCCCCTCCCTACCCACTCGCGCGCCACCCACGTTATATTCCTGGCCCTCCAAGTTACCAGTCTGACTGCTGAAACTCAGGGAAGATAAGAAAGAGTTTTTTCTACAAGGCAGTGGCTCTCCAGTTTTATAGAACATAAATTACATGGAGAGTTGTTAAAATGCAGATTCTTAGGCTCCATCCCCCAGAGAGTTTGATTCAGCAGAACAGAGTAGAGCTTAAGGATTCTGATGCAGGTGTCCTCTAATCCATACTGCCTGTAAAAGAAAAGGACACCCTCTCATTCCTTCACCAGCTACTTAAGAGAAAAAGGGTGATTCTCTCTCTCTCTCTTTCTTTCTCTCTCTCTGTCTCTCTCTCATACAGCCACCACACACACACACACAAAAGAAAAACGTACTCAAAAAAGAAGAAATTATAGCTTTGGTTCCATCTGTAATGGAATGATGAGCATTGTACTTATCCCATAGTAAATAGCTATAAAAACAGACAGAAGGTATGAAATGACTATTTGTAGGCATTGATTAACAGTGCCTAAAGTACAAGACCCAATTATATGTTGCTTGTAGGAGATATTTAAATATAAAGACACAGATAGATTAAAAGCAAAAGGTATGCCACGCAAACACTAATAATTTAAAAGCTGGAGTGGCTATAGTAGATTTCAAAGCAAGGAAGATTAGTGGCAATAATGAGGGATATTTAACAATGAAAGACATCTAGTTCATCAAGAAGACAGTAATCCTAAATGTGTATACATCTAATAAAAGAGCTTCAAAATATATGAAGCAAAAACCAAAGAGACTTAAAAAAAAGAAACAGACATATCTTCAGTTACAGTGCAAATTTACATTTTTCTCAGTAATTACTTGAACAAGTAGGCAAAAAAAACCAGTAAGGAAGGATATAAAAGATTTGAACAACTCTCAACCAATTTTCCCTAATTAGCATCTTTAGAACACTACCTCAATGGCTGCTGTAGAAACATTCTTTTCAGTTGCAGATGGAACATTCACCAAGATAGACCATATTCTGGCCCATAAAACAAATCTCAATAAATTTAAAAAGATTTAAATCTTACAGTGTATGTTTTCTGACCACAATAGAATTAAAGATCAATAACCAAAAGATAGTTGGAAAAAAGCCCAAGTATTTACAAATTAAGGGACATACTACTAAATAACTCACAGGTCAAGGAAAATTTTAAAATATTTTGAATTAAAGGCTGATAGCATCTTAAAATTTGTGGAATGCAGCTAAAGCCATGCTTAAAGGGAAATTTATAGCTATTATAGGGCAAAAGAAGTCAGACACAAGGCGATATATTGTGGGATTCCAATAGATGTAAAGTACAAAAACAGACAAAAAACAAATGCTCTTGGAAGTCAGGATAGTGGTTCCCCTGGGGCAGGTGTAGCCCTTTTAAGGACGTTATATTAGTCTGCTAGCACTGCAATAACAAAATATTAATCTAGGTGGCTTAAATAACAGACATGTATTTTCTCCCGGTTCTGGAGGCTGAAACTCTAAGATCAAGGTGCAGGTAGGGTTGGTTATTTCTGGCCTCCCTCCTTTGCTTCAGATGTCTGCCTTCTTGCTCCATCTTCACATGGCCTGTGACCTGTTGACACACATCCTTGGTGTCTCTTTCTCTTCTTATTAGGACACCAGTGCTATTGGATTAGGATCCCATCCTTATGAGCTCATTAACCTTAATTACCTTTTTAAAGGCCCTGTCTCCAAATACAGTCACACTGAGAATGGGGTCTTCAACATACAACTTTGAGAGAGACAGTCCAGTCATAATTGACACATAAGGACAGCTTCTGGAGTACTGGTTGTTTTCTGTTTCTTTTTTCTTTTTTAGAGATGCAGTCTCACTCTGTCGCCCGGGCTTGAGTGCAATGGTGAGATCTCGGCTCACTGCAACCTCCGCCTCCCAGGTTCAAGCAATTCTCCTGCCTCAGCCTCCCTAGTAGCTGGGATTACAGGCGTGCACCACCATGCCTGGCTAGGTTTTTGTTTGTTTGTTTGTTTGTTTTTTGCATTTTTAGTAGAGACGAGCTTTCACCATGTTGGCCAGGCTGGCCTCGAACTCCTGACCTCAAATGATCCACCTGCCTCAGCCTCCCAAAGTGTTAGAATTACAGGTGTGAGCCAATGTGCCTGGCCGTTTTCTGTTCCTTTATCTGAATGCTGGTTCCCTGTGTTACATCTGTACTCAATTTCTAAAAATTAATTGATCAGTTCACATATGGTAATGTACTTTTCTATATGTATATTAAAAGTTTAAATTAACTGTATAAATATAAAAAGGTATTTTTATAAGTATGTAAAAAAAGTTAAAATCAAAAAAGAATTCATCATGCAGAAAAGAGCGGCCCAGGATAGTTAGAGTGGTTGCCTCATGTACAGAATCTTGAAGAGCCTGGCTCTACAGTTAGCCAGACCACGTTTGAGACCCGGCTCCACCGTGTAGGGGTTAACAACTTACTTTTTCTGATCTCGGTTTCCTCAGATGTGAAGCAACCCACCTGGGAGAGCTGTTGTGAGAATGAAAACACTCAATTCACATTAGCAACATGATAATTTCACTGCTCTGCCTCCCTGCAGAGCTTCTCCCTGGGGGCACAGTTAAGGATGGGGAAGGAAGATATCCTTGAGCAAATCTCAAAGATGATGCAGACCATTTTCTAGAGTCTCGAATTCCACTGTATAGAGAAAAGTTTGTTTGAAAAGTTGGGAATTCATGCTGCTTTTGAAGAGATGCAGTCTCACTCTGTCTCCCGGGCTTGAGTGCAATGGTGAGATCTCGGCTCACTGCAACCTCCGCCTCCCGGGTTCAAGCAATTCTCCTGCCTCAGCCTCCCTAGTAGCTGGGATTACAGGCGTGCACCTGTAATCCCACTTGCAACTAAGCAAGGGCTTAGTTGGTAATATTCCACAGGTGTTACAGCCAACTAGGGACAAAGCAAGACGTAAAGGAGCAGAGCTGAAGGGTGACGACATACAAAGTTTCTGATTTAAGTCCTTCTTTTTGTTGTTCCCGGCAAACTGGAATGCCCTTTTCTTTTCCTCTCTCTAAATAAGACCATCTCTGTATCCTTTATGATTCACTTAAATGTTACTAAGTTGATGACCCCCATCTCAGGCGGTTTTGATCCATATTAACTTTCCCTTTATTTGAACTCCGGTGACACTTCTGTTTACTGTACATTTGTTGTTTCTTCTTTTTCTTTTTTTTTTTTTTTGAGATGGAGTCTTGCTCTGTCACCCAGGGTAGAGTGCAGAGGTGCGATCTCAGCTCATTGCAACCTCTGCCTCCCGGGTTCAAGCAATTCTCCTGGCTCAGCCTCCTGAGTAGCTGGGATTATAGGCACCCACCACCACGCCTGGCTAATTTTTTTGTACTTTTAATAGAGACAGGGTTTCGCCATGTGGGCCACGCTGGTCTCAAACTCCTGACCTCAAGTGATCCACCCACCTCGGCCTCCCAAAGTGCTGGGATTACAGGTGTGAGCCACTGCGCCCAGCCCATTTGTTGTTTCTTAATCACATTGTGATTGCATTGTAGCCTAGCTGTTTTTTTATTTGTCTTCTCATTGAAATGATCAACATCAGAGAGCAAGACTTCCTTTCCCTATATTTGCCTAGCTTTTAAGGTGAGGGAAGAGACCACTCAGTCTTCTACATGGTATTAGCTACAGTTTTAGCCTAGAACAGTGTCTGGAGTATGGTGCGCATTAAGCACTGTTTAATGAAGGTGCGGTTATGTTACCATGGAATGCCACAAGATGTTCAGCCAAAAGGCTCAAGCAGTCCCTGAAGTGTTTAAAAGAAGATCTAGAGAGCAGGCAAAAAATAGAGAAGACTTTGCTGGAGAAGTTAACGACAGACTGTAATAGGACAGAGCTAAGAGTCAAAAAAAATGGATGAGCTAGTGACCATTTTATTCTCTCAAGAGTGGAGACTAAGACTCAAAGTCCAAGTTCCTAGAGTCCTTCCCTGTCTGTTCTCACCTTCAATGACATTTTGGAGTCTGTAAAATGTGGTGCATATGTTATGTGGTTATGTTTAACATCTTTTTCACCAAGCATATTACATGCCTTTCTCTAAGTAATTATTATTTTTGGAAGCATTTTTAATATGTACCAAATAATCCAACACAGACACAGGCTATAGTTTATTTTGCCATTCTCCACTCTTAAAAACTTACTTTTGTTTCCAGGTATCACTACTATTATAATGCTTTGGTTATCTTTGTATGTAAATATATAACCGTTTTTCTGATTATTTCTTTACGATAGAGTCCAAAGAATTCTAAAAGTAAATTACTAGGTGAGGGCCTTTTTGTTTTTGTTTTTGTTAAATTGCTTTCTAGAGTTCATATTAGCACTAGGAATATATCAGAGCACCTGTTTTAAAATAAAGAGCTACCTTTAAAAATGGGAGAAACTAGGCCAGGGGCAGTGGCTCATGCCTGCAATCCCAACACTTTGGGAGGCTGAGGTGGGTGGATCACCTAAGGTCAGGAGTTCGAGACCAGCCTGGGCAACATGGTGAGACCCCCGTCACTACTAAAAATACAAAAATCAGCCGGGTGTGGTGGCACGTACCTGTAATCCTAGCTACTCGGGAGGCTGAGGCAGGAGAATCACATGAACCAGTGAGCTGAGATCACGCCACTGCACTCCAGCCTGGGCGACAGAGCGAGACTCCATCTCTAAAAACAAAAACAAAAACAAACAAAAAAAAAATGGGAGAAACTACACTGCAGATACAAACTGCAGGACTATATGTTCACTTACAAGTAATGAAATGAACAAATTAATAAAGGTGGGAGAACTCCATTCCAAGTGATGCTTACATTTTTTAGTGGTGATAATAGTGACAGAAGTAATGGTCACAAGTATTCTTTATTTACCTTTTAATTCAGCTTTCCAATAAGAAAGTAGTGCCTGATTACTGTCTTACTCTGACAGGCTTATCTAGTCCTTCAGCCTCAAGCCCTTCTACTCCCTTCATCTTTCCCTGCTCTCACTACTCCCCACAATCCCTGCATCACCCAAAGCAACACATGAATCTTTGATCTTATGCCAAACTATTTTTAAAAATCTCTTCTCTGGAGGTTGGCAACTGACCACTCCATGCTCAGAGTGACACCTTCTCATGAAGCATTTATCAAGGTAGTTTTATAGGCAAAGGCACTTCCTTCTCTTAATATCCTTCTCTTGGGTCAAATTTTAATATATACTAAACATTCCTTCCCAACTCAAGTAATATCAAAAGTGAACATCTGATTGTGTCACTCCTGTTTAAATACCTTTAATTGCTCCGCATTACCCTCAGAATAAAATCTAGATTCCTCCCTGAAGCTTTCAAGGTCATTGTTATTCAGGCCAGTGCTGCTGTCTGGCTTTATTCTCTTTCTTCTCTCCCCACACTTGTGCTGCTGCAGAACTGAGCATCTCAGTTCTTGTTGTTTCTGGGCCAACGCACACGTGTTTTCTGTGCCTAGAAGGCTCTATCTCAGCCATCACCTCTTCCCACCCTACTCCCCATATTTCTGCCTGACTAAACTCTAATTATCTTTAGCTTCCAATCTAGGTACTACATTTCCAAAAATGCCTTTCCTGACCCAAAGGCTGATAGTTCTTTTCACTTGAGACTCTATTTTACATGCCTATGTCCTACTTGACAGTGAGTTCCTCAAATTCAGAGACCACAACTGTTAAGTTTCTGTTTCTGGAGGCTAACACAGACAACACTGAGCTAACAACAATCATTGAAGCAAGAAGGCTGACCTAGGGAAGAGGTCATGGCCATGGACATGGACATGGCTGTGTTCCAATAAACTTTCTATACAAAAGTGGATAGTGGGCTGGATTTGGCCCAGGGGCCCTAGTTTGCAAACCTCTGGTTTAAGATATAAGGAAGCAATACTACTCCAATGAATCTGTTATGTTCTGTCTACAGAAATCATTATAATCTTGAACATATTTAATCCATACATGTCTCTCAGTCTGACCAGTCTGCTTCACCTGGCTAAGTAGCTGGTTGCAGGGGCATCCTCAGGGAAGGTCTGAGCCTCCACTATTTAGAGAATGATGCTCTCCATTTCCAAAATGCCCTCAGCTATACCTCTTTACTGTTTCTATAAATACAAATTGCAAAATAGACAAGAATAAAGTTTTTGTTAAAATCTCTCTAAGATAAAAGTTGACCTTAAAAATAAGGTAAAATTGATGAGATGTAAAAGCAAATATAAAAAGCCAATGAGATAAAAGGTTAAAAGTATAAAATGATGAAAGATTTAAGCTAAAAGGCCCAAATACGATAAACATTTTAAAATTTAAAGTAAACGAGATTAAAGGTTAAAGATAAAAATTAAGTACTGGTAGTGTAGGAATAAAAATTATAAATCTACAAGAATTAAGAAGATTAAAAAAACTATTTTTAAAAGAAAAGAAGAACCAAAAGCACCGAGATTACAAAAGGTAAATATTAAGAATATTATAAAGAGGAAAAAAAGTAAAGACAGAATGGCAAGAAGTGGGAAGAGACTAAGATCTCAAGGGATTGTCAGCCTCTTCCTAGAAAAAGGCCTCTGTCTCATCTGGGAGCCAGGCAGTATGGAGCCCTCCTCCCGCAGGCACTGGCAGGCTAGATGCAGGGCCTGAGGCTTCTCCACGAAAATTGGCAAAGAACTGGTTTGCAGGGCACAGGGGTCCAGGCTGCATAGCATCACTGGGTCACAGAAAACCTCCCAAAAGACCATCTGGAAAAAGGGTTAGCCATTATGGATGAGCTTAAATTTCAGAGTATCTAGTTCAGATAGTTTTCTCTTCTTCTTCTTCAAATATGGAAACAAATGAGAATAAAATGTCTTTCTGTCAAGTATGCATGTATATTATACATATATATGCCTGTGTATGAAAATTGTATAAAAATTTATACAAAACTGTATTAAAATTGTGTATGAGAATTGTAGAAATGTATACATATGAAAATGTTATATATTATATAGAATTGTATATATGTATGCATATATGATTATATGCATATAAACATTGTATCTGTTTATACCTAAGTCACATATATTGGCTCCTAGCCAAAAATGTGAATAGACACACACACAAACACACATGCACATACCCACACTACGACATTGCTCAGGACAGATCACAGCAGTACCTGGGTACTGATCACACTGTCCAAGGAACTGACCATGCTCCTCTGGAAAGCTCACATTACTGACACAGACAAGGAACTGCAGCCTCTTCCCTTTCTCAAGGGAAGAGCTGCCCAAAGGAGATTGAGCTGCAGATTCAACGCAGTTGTTGCTTCCCTTGGTGACCATGCACTTGTTCCCACCCACCAAAACTCTTTTTCCTTGTCCTGTACAAAATGTCATTTTGTTAATAATAGAAAACCAACTGGAAGAACTTTGTTTTTTAAATCACAGACACAATAGAAGAACACAACATGTTTTTCTATTAATCTTCACATTGTATTTGAATTAGGAGGATGATTCTGTCTCATTTTGCAAATGGTGAAATCTAGAAATCCCATATGCTATAGGCTCACACTCTGCTGAAACTCTCTACCTTACTCATCATTAAGGATGCTTTTGGCGATGTAAAAAAGCCTTTCAGATGAAATACTTTTTATGAAAGTTTTAAAACAGATGTGGGATTATTAGATTAAAAAATAGTTTATCCTGGGTCCAAGTAATGGAGTTAATGTAAATGAACCCAAAATTGAGGGGATTTTTGTTTGTTGTTGGCTTGTGCAGGCTAAGTAAAACTTATAATGCAGGGGTGTTCTGGAGCTGGCTTGAAATGCTTTGCAAGAGCTGATTGTGTGTATGTATTTTCAATTTAGCCTTAGTGAAGTTAGATTCATTGCTTTGAAATCATCCATGGTTGGAAGTGTTAAACTGCAGAAATCAGCACCCACTAAAAATCTCTGGGCCTCCAGAGATGGTTGTTAAATATTTACTGGCATGTCACTGCCATAATATAAACAGAACTGTTTTGTTAATATTAAATGTTCTTTCCGCGCAAAAATAGTGAAATATATTTGCAGGGTTACTGTGGTGAACCATATCACAACAGAAGAATTGACAAAAAGATTTTATACTATTTGGCATCTTTGTAAAAATGTTAACTGGATACTATTTAAAACTAGGTTAACCTAAGTTGAGTTCTATTAATTAGTTTTTTATTTAAGTTCTCCCCCCTGGGAATTGCTCTAAGTTTTACAGGTCATTAACTGATAGTTGTTTTCATATACATACACATATAGGTGCTTCATGGTAGAATATAAGTGGTAATATACCAAGTGATAGACTAGTGGCATTAAGGACTCAGTAGAACTTCTAAAGATGTTTAAGTTACATGCAAGGAGCAACAAAGACACTGAGAAGAACTGTACTAGGAGGAAATTGACATCATTTTTAAAAATTCAAAGCACAAATCCTTCTAAAAGACCTAGGACAGGAATGGATGTCTAGAAATTAGTCTTCAGTTAACTTTGGGGATCTTTGGTGTCCCTTAACATTGATTTTACTTGCCATTTTGCAATTGTTTTCTGTTTTAAATAGTGTCTGACATTACAATTAGAAAAATGAAAATGATTTCCTAATAATTAAGAATGAAGTGGTGTGTGTCTTTGCACAACATGTGATCAACAGAATTCTGTGCTTTTACATTGAAATGCAGATAAATGATAAAACATTTTTGGTTTTTACTGCATGTGTTTAGGCAATAAAATAGTTCTATCCAAGTTTCTTAATAATAGCCTCAGTGTCATTTCAAATTGAAAAATTCAGTCCTAGTGAAACAATTGCTGTGTAAAAGTGATGAAATGAAAACCAGGGGCCTTGAGTCTTCCCAAAGACACAGAGCATGATAAGGAGGCTCAAGTGGCTTTACAGCCACACCTGTCATACATCCCATGGACAGGAGAGATGGGTTTAGTTAAATTTACTGGCTCAGTTAGTGTGCCTCTCTATTCATCACCCTCCAAATTAGGCCCTCGCAAAACTGTATGGCCCCATTGAAAATACCCCTTCCTGGGTAGAGGTGGTCTGGTGTCAGGTCAGGAGTAACAGAAGAGCTGCATTCTCTACAAAAGAGCTCTCAAGGCCCTCGGCTGGGTGGGGGTGGAATGGAGGGAAGTCCAGCTTCCAAATGTAACTGGATTATTCTTTTAACAAACATGTGAAATGATTGTCCTATCAGTAGAGCAGGCATCTCGGAAAATGTTCCGATCTCACAGTGGTTCTCTTTCTCTCTATGTAGACACAGCTACCAGATTATGTCAACTCTTCCATCTGAGTGGTGGGTATGTTGGTGTTCATTGTATTATACTTTCTATGTTTTGGATGTTTAAATCTCTCACAATTAAAATTCAGTTTTAAAATACTCTCATTTGTGACAAAGTTTTGCACTTTGTTCATTGTCCACAGTCACCAAAACGAATCTTTTCAAATAATTTCAGACAGCATATCAAAATGTTCATTATATAATGTTAAGTGAAAAGGCAAGCTCTATAATTAAGTATAATGTGATTTTAATCATATAAAAAGGAACATATGTTTTACACATGTACAACAGATATATTTATACATATATAAATTAAGAAAGAAAATACATCAAATTCTTGAATTTTTTCTTTTTGTTTTCTATAACAAACATACACTATATACTTAAGGAAAAAAATAAAAGCTATCAATTTTTTTTTCTACTTCAGTATGAATGTTAGAGAATGTATCATTTGACAAACACGTAACACAAATGGAAAATCAAAAGGCAATCTTGTTTCAAATCAGTAGATGTCTAGAAGTGGATCATGACAAAGATAAAAATCTATCTGGAAAGACCAGGTGAAATAGAAACACCTGTAAGTATCCTGCACTTGCTTTGAAACCTGGACATGACTTCAAACAAAACTTACCAGGAATCATTTGTGATGACCACCATTTGTGTACTGCTTTAGCACTTAGAAAGCTCTTTGCTTTTAATTGCAATCAATTGAATTCTCACAAAAATCCAGTGAGGTTAGTATGCATGTCCTTATTTTACAGATAAATGAGCTGAAGTTCATAGTGCTTTCTAACACCCAGCATTGCCAGGATAGTTCTAAGATTCATAAAACATCATGACAATGATTTAACAAGAAGAAATTATCTTTACATAATGTCCATAATAATAGCTCCATAGGTTAAAAAAATAGTGAGGATTTTTGTCTGTTTTGAGATGGGAGTTGAGTTCACATAGAAGAATATCCACATTTAGACATTACCTGTGCTTTTCTTCTTAGATAAAAGTATACAAAATCCTCCTGCAGTAAGCCTTCCAGGGCCAATCCAGTTCTGACAATATGAAGAGCACACTACAAGCTTTAGAAGGCAGCACATCTTTAAAAATATAAGTTCAAGCTAGAAGCCTAGAGTTTGTGAAATATATATATATATAATTATATGCTATATATATATATATAATTATATGCTATATATATATGCAATTATATATATATATAATTGCATAAATGGTCTGGTGTGTTAATGAGAAATAGGAAGTGACATAATAAAAAGAAAATGAAGAAATTGGGACCTGACCACCCCCCGTGTTTGTAGTTTCTCCAATCTGCTAGAGCCTCTATTTAAAAGTTTACATCTTTTAGTGGAAAAATTAATTTCTCTTTCACAAGTTCCACTCACATTTTGTTGCTAATAAAACCAAGAATGTAAATACTATTAAGTACAAAACAGCCTGCTGCATAATTGTTTCAAAGCAATTACAGATTATATCGAGCCATTCGTGGAGCAGAAACAGTTTTATCCAAGACACCAGCTCCCTGTACCTTGAAATTTTATTAGTCTAAGAATTTCATGCACCATATGTTAGAATATGAGACTAGCTGCAATTGAACAAACAACTTTCTGATATATAAGTGAATGATAACATGATTTTAAATGTGTTTATCTAATGAGATAGTAACTATAATTTACAACACATATAAAAATCCCCACTGTTACTCCTGGTGCACCTTTTGGCTAAAAAGGGTGATGCAGGGAGATATGCTAATGATGATCGTCTTGGTTTTTACCACGTCAGTAATAAAATTTGCATTTGATATTGTGCACAGTAAACTGGGTTATTAGCCTTGAAAATGAGTCTCATAAAATTTAAATATAGGCTTAAATCATATTAACTGTCCTGTAGGTTTTCTGAGAGGCTTTAAAGCATTGTGTTGCCTCCATAGTGTGGAGAATGCAGATGTTTGTGTGCCTTTAAGGGGGCCCCCAGAAGGATACAAATGAGAGCTTGAGAGATGCACTAGGAAAGCATCCACTATTGTGTTTCCGGCTTTGAGGACCCTGCCAGGGTCAAGTACCTGTAGATCAAGGAGGCTGGGGAAGGTGGGTCTTTCAGAAGAAGTCTTCTAAGGGGTTTCTGGCTAAAGAGTTAGCCAGGCTGGCTAATAAATCTCTGCAAAAGGACTGCTTAGACCATCAACAACAAAATTTTTAAACCCCCATGGCTGGATGATGCAGAAAAGTTGACAGCTTGTTATCTTTGAGACAGAGACGGAAGGTGCAGATTAAAGGCTGAAAGACCTAGTGGACACAATTTCTCCAGTAACTTCCAATTGCGGTGTGCTGTTTCTCAGACCATACTAAGTCATAACCGTACACTGTTAGAAGAAAGAAATGCATTTGAGGATGCAGATCCTTTGTTTTTGCCTCCTTGACCAAGTTAGATGCCCTGTTCTGGCCTTGGGCACCTGTTGCTAAGCAGCCTTGCAGGCTTTCACCAGCAACTCACTGGCAGTACTTTAGCCTGAGCCAAAGCCTTGATCCACCCATCACCGACCGACTTCTTCTACCCAGCCAAGACATGAGATCTCCTTGGATGTGTAACCAACCAGGTCAAGGCTGACTCCCATGAGGCATGGTGGTCCTCTACTTCTGACTCCAAGACTTTCATCAGAAGACTGAAATACTAATTATTTAAAAAAATTATATGCAGCCAAATTTGCCATACTTTATATATATCTCTATATTCCTTGATCGCTACCCAAGATCCAAGCTCCTCTTGAATATATCCCCTTCCTTTCTCCTGAATCGACTTCCTTTTTCACTCTTCTTTCCCAAAATTTCCCATTCTGCTCTGTGGAACTCTTGCTCCATAAGTAGCAGATTTATATATGTCCTCGAGGTTGTCACTGAATGCTCACTCTGGCACCCTTGCCTTGAAAGAACCCTGGCTCACCCCAGGAAATAATGCTGCAACCTCTCAAAAAAGCTGCTCATTTCTCCCCATTTCACATGCTGCAAGGGCAACGAGAGGCTGTTCATCTATCTCACTCAGCACAGCCCCTCTAGACCTTGGATCTTCCATTTTGGTGTGAAAATCCTTGCTTGGAGGAGCTGTCTATACCACTCTTTCTCACTCATCCTTTTTGCTAACATCTACTCTTTCTTCCCCTTTTCACTGAAGACTTTAGCACTTGGTTCAAAGCTTTCTTCTCTACCACTCTGTTAATGAAGAAGGCTCATCTAAAACCCTAAAGTCCAGTATGTTGTCCTCTTAAGCTCTCATGACTCGCACCCTCCATTTGCAGACTTCAAAGTCACACTCCCGTGGATGCAAAATAGACCCTGTAATTTCCAGGAATGTCTGCATCTCTGAATTAATAATTCAGAAAGTCCACCCTCTAGTTACACTCTCTGACTTGTTTCCTGAGCTATGGTTTCATCAGGACCTGTATTCCTCTGCCCCACCTGATTCTATCTGATTTCTCCCCACCTAGCAGCCCTTCCTGGCTTAACTTCCTTCTTAACATTGTGTAGCACTCTAACCCTACCACCTTAACAGAAACTCCTTTTGCCAAGGACATTCACAAACTGCATGTTGCTAACTCCAAAGGAAACATTCCCATCTCTTCCTCACCTGCTTAGCAGCGTTGCTCCTCTTGGACCCTCCCCCTTCCCAATCTCCTCCTCCTGTGGCCCTGCCTCTGTGCCTCCTGATTCTCCTGCTGTTCAGTCTTCGGGGTTGTCCTTCCTCTTTCTTCCCTGAAGTGTTGCTGTCCCTCTGGATGTAGTTCCAGGACCTCTCATCTTTTCTGACTCTATAGCTGCCCCAGGGTGTTCTCATTACCTCGCATAGCTTTATACGAGGTCTATATGCTGATAATTCCCAAGCAAATATCTTCTCAGTCACACACATAATTTTCCAAATTGGGCAAGTTACTTAACTTCCTTGTGCCTCAGTTTTCTTATCTATAAAATGGGACTGAACATAGTACCTATCCTTGGGTTTACTGTTAGGAATAAATTAGTTAATTCAAATGAGTACTTAGAACAGTACTTGGTACTTGTTAAGGTTCACTCAATGTTTTCTACCACGATAACAATAATAATTATTATCACAGGGAATCTTTTGTGGATGCTTCATAAGAGCCTGAAACTCAGTATACTGAAAAATGGAATTTACTGCTTTCCCCTTAACTTTTCTGCTTTCGCTGGGTCTCCTAGCTCAAAGAAACCCTCAATATTATTTATTCAAACCAGAAATAAATCATTTCTCCTCCTTTAGTCCACACATTCGATCAATCACTAAGTCTTACAAACTGTGCTTCCTTTCAAATATATTTCATATATCAACTTTGAGTTCCCTAAATCAAGCTTTTATTGTGCCTAGGTCCCTGCAATAGTCCCATAGCATATCTCCTGACCTCATTCAATTCTTTGCCCATATAGTACATTGCCTGAGTGTACTGAGTGATCTTCCAAAGCCAAAATAAAAAATACCAGCACTCCCATATAAGCCTTTTTAATGATCCTTCACTGCCTTCAAGACTGAGTTTAAAGCCTAATAGCATCTAGAGACCATTTGTCTTATTCCCTCACATCTGCCCTAAGCCCAGACTCTTAAGGTTCCTTTCACTCTGTGCTCAAGGTCAGCAAACTATGGCCTGTTGGCCAAATCCAACCCACTGACTATTTTTGTATGGCTTGCAAGCTAAGAATAGTCTTTACTTTTTTAAATATAAATATGAAAACAAACAAAAAGCAAGACAATATGCCATTCAGCAAGAACAGCTGCTTGAAGAGGTTAGGACTCTTAGCCTACAAACCCAACAGAACAAGTTTACCAACCTTTGCTCTATCTCCATTCACAGAACTTCTCTCAGCTCCCCAGAGATCCATACTTCAAGATCTTTGCATATGCTCCTCTCTCTGTGCCTTATCCCCAGACCTAACCTTTGTTCATCTTCAAGTATTAGCTTACACATCACCTTTGCCAGCCAGATTTCCTGATTCTGTAAATCTGGATAAAATATTCATTTTTAAATGCTCCCAGCAAACTCTCAATGTTTCCCTTCCCAGTATTTATTACATACGAAGGGACACTGTTCATTCAGCAGCTCCTAGAGCAGTGCAAGGCACCAATGGGCATTTAGCAAGCATTTGTTCATTGAATTAATTTAAAGGATCAGTTCAGACTTACCTCTATCCCAAGAAAGAACACATTGTGCTATAGTCATCTGTGTCTTCTACATCAGAGAATATGAGTTCTTTCATTATATGCTTTATGTCTGCATTCCTGGCATCTAATACTCTAATAATAAGAGATTTTATCTCTATATCTCTAGCATCTAGTTGTGGCACAGGTTACATGGTGAAAAAGTATTGAAAACAACTAGTTGCATATCCTTAATAAAAATATAATTACTGCTTGGTAAATCCCATATGTTGTGGAAGCCCAAAGTGTGAAATGGACTTACAGTAATTGTGCTTATTGAAGTGAATTAGAATTTGCATGTCTTCCAGGAGAGGTAGCAGCACCTTAGCCACTCTTTCTGCAATTCCAGAGTCCACCAGCAGGTGCAGTGGAAACTTTTCAGGTCATCTGTAGGTTCAGGCATGAACAACTCAGAAGATTAAAATTATATCCAGACTAATTTTCAATTTTTAAACAAAAATATGGTAATTTGCAGAACAGTATTAATATTTGGAAAATACTAATTAACCTTTTTACATATTACCTCTACTTAAAACATCTTATCAGAATAATATAAGAAAAAAAAGACCAGTTACACAAAAATGTATGCCCCATCCTCTATAATCAACTGGTATCTATCAACACTTCCTTTATCTCTAGTTATCTTTTCCACTAGAGGAGACATTATGATGCTCTAAGCATATGTCACTGTCTTTTGGGTTCTCTGTATCCCGCTTTTTCCTGATTCTTTCAGATAACTTTTAGGTTTTTCCTCCTAAATGTCAGATGACAAAAGATAAAGTAGACCAGTTTCTCTCCCTTTTCTGCATAAATATAGTCCAAATCTTGTAACAGATTCCTTCATTCAGGGTAAAATTTCTGTAGGATCAGATGGAGTAGAAAGAAGAGAATTCAGAAAACCTCTTAGGAGACTACAGTAAAAGCGTTACAAGAAACTCTTATAATCCATGAGCACTGCATAGTATCTCCTTGATCTAAACCCAGTAAATTTGCAGAAGAAATTTACTTGCTTAAAGTTTAGTCTCTGCCTATGGGGAGTTAATTTTTTATGGGCCTTTGTTCCACAGAAGCCAACAATCAACTGCAGTGGAGAACAACCTGAAGTCATCTCTTATCAGACATTAGCTTCATTCACCTATGAAAAACAATACTAAATATCCCCTGCTTATGGGCTGTGTGTGTGTGTGTGTGTGTGTGTGTGTGTGTAGAGCAGGAGGAGGAGAAAAGAGAGCTATTTTTTTTAAGTTCACAAAATATAAGGGATTTTAATCTTCCTTTCAAAAAAGAATAAAAAGAATATATGAATGAAAAGCATCAAGTGTCTTTGTTATTTGTGTTTCCAATATGCTTTAAACAATGACTATGTATTTTTAAATAAAAATGTGTTTTTGTAAGGTAGAAAGAAGAGAATGCTTTCAAAACTTAGAGCTTGGGAACCCACATTTCTAGACTTTCCATCACATTATCCCTACTAACAAAAACTTAAAAAAATTACTAGAGACAGTCAAATAGAGGCTGCAATTGGTGTTACGATTATTTCCAATGTTCTGTCTCAGAGGACTGTACGCTGGCAGCCACCACATAGAATTGTTTATCATATATGATTTCCCAGACTAAGT